>NC_000004.12:72671381-73921381 GCF_000001405.40 Homo sapiens | reverse complement strand
TAATTTTAACATTGATTTTATAGTACAAGTACTATTATTATCCCTATTATCTTAGATGAGGAAATCAAGACTTGATATGCTAGATTAGTCTTGTCTGAAATATTTGCCAATATACTATTTGATTATGAAATAATTGATATATGCAAAAGAAACTTACCAAAGATGTAAAGAATAAAGCTTAATAAAAGGCATAATAAAAACAAACACCCATGCATATCGTGAACATTGGAACTAGACTTTTACCAATATTATTGAATCTTATGTGCTTTTCCACTATTCTGTCCCTCTGCCTCCAACCAGAGTTAATTACAATCCTAAATTTTGATATATTCTTTGAGTAAGAAGTGTAGCTATTTTCTAAAACCATCCTAATTATTGATTTATTTGTGGCACTTATTTAGCATTCATAAAACTACATGGATGTTTTGGCAGTCATAGATTTAATACAAATACTGTTAACATAATTCCTGGATTTTATACTTTCTCTTAGAATTTAGCAGCTGGCATGGTGGTTTTAATTTAGTAGTTAATCACGATTTTATAACATTCATTTACTTAGTACTGAATCATAAAAAAATATTGAATTTGGCATTATTGAAACATTTTAGTTTTCCTAAAATTGACCAAAAGTTCAGATAAATATCGAAATATTTTAGTTTTCCTACAATTTTCCAAAAGCTTGGATTGAACAAGGGTAACATCAAATATGTTTTTCCATAAATTTTTGCCACTTTATTATGTTGTCAATGGGAATGTTGAAAACCAGTAAACCCAAAAAACTTTTTCTGCTATTTATATCTCAGAACCAGCAGATTGTAGAAATCTCTTTCAGCTTTTACTTTGGTTACTCTTGCAATATGCCTGCTATTTGCAGGCACTGGCATATTATATGATTCAATATTTTCCATTTGAATTGTTGATAAAATTGAAAAGATGGCCCTTATCAATCCCGGATCAAACATTTATTGAACATCTACTAAGTGCTAGAAAATACTCAAAGTTGGATCTTCTAATATGAAAAGAAAAACTCCAGGAAGTCAGGACACAAAATTAAAAAGACATACATGAATCTGCCCATTTTAAAATTAATTTAATAAAGCACTTACAAAAACAAATGGAATTCAGGACATAATGAAGTCTTAAAGGAGTTTTTGTAGGCATTGTGATTGTCTGGGATTCTGGATCATGATTCTTTGTATCAGGAAGCTACTGCATTGAGCAGGTGTCAGTAGAGTAGTGAATGCTGGGCACCTGCATGTTACTCTTTCCCATGTCATCCCTTATAGCCGAGAATGTCCATATGCTGATTTATACAAGTATACAGTCCTTCGATGAAGGCTTGAGAGCAACTGAAGGGAAAATGTGAGGCGAGCCTGGAATAGCTTTTTATTCCAGAAGGTAAGGGAGTGCTCAGAAACTCAGAAACAGGAGTCAGCTTGAAGGAATGCTCCTCTTGGGGAAGAGGAGATGTGAGTGAATAGGTTAGGAGACTGAGGAAGTTAGCCAAGTAGATATCTGGTGGAAGGGGATTCCAGGCAAAATAAATAGCCACAAAATAGAAGCACAGCTGCTGTGGGTTTAAGGAACAGTAAAGAGCCCATGGTGGCTGGGGTGAGTGAGCAAGGGAAACAACACTGTTGAAAATGCTATCAAGGAGGGAATAGGGAGCCTCGGGAGGTAAGGCCTGTGACCCATCTCTAAGGATTTGGATGTTAACTCAGAGTGAGAGGAGAACCAATGGGGGATTTTGAACAGAGCAGAATCATAGTTTGACTTACATTTTGTAAAGATTGCACTGGCAAGTGTGTTAAGAATAGACATAGAAGAGCTTAAAGATACCAGTTAGGAGCCTTTTGCAATGATTCAGGTGACTGAAGATGGTGGCTCAACCCAGGGGGGTAGCAGTGAAAGTGGTTATGAAGGTAGAACCAACAAGATTTTTTGTTGGATTGGATGTAGAGTGTGGGAGAAAGAGAAGAGTTGAGGATGACTTTTAAGTTGGCCTATAATAATATTTTAGGCAACAGATACATAGATAGAGAAAACAGAGCTGGAGTGGTCAGGTTGGATCCAAAAGAAATTGAGAAATGAAATTTATTAGAATTGGAGATAAAATTTTTATCTTAAATTTAAGTTCAGGTATTTACCAGTTTAGGAAAAACCTTATAAAACATTCTACCTTTATTTTTAAAGCCTCCCAAAATCAATCGCCTCCTGCAAGTAAACTTGAAGTAGCTGTCTCATTTCTCTCGCTCTGAATCATCAATTTCTTCTGTGCATTTATTAATGTCTTACATAGTACTTATAAAAGATAAGTATTAGAGGATATAAATCCTAATGTTTTAAATATTTTTGTTGGTAAGTATGAAAGACAGGGAAAATGAGCTCAAGAACTCCTTGGTGTGTGTGTGCGAGTGCATGTGTGTTTAGTAATATATAGTTTTTTTCTTTTCTAGTTCCTTTTAATTGGTCTCTTTTTCTCTTTTTCCATTTGGGACACAGACTTGACTGGGAAAACTGGGATAAATCGATAGGGATGTTCTCTTATCTTCATACTAACCTGGAGATACTTTTGTAAGAGTTTATCAGGAAAAATTGCAAAGTCAACAACTGTCAAACAGTTTTTCTTTTTGTCAGCTTTCACCTTCATTCCCAAGCTGTTTTGCCTCCTCCTCATTCTTGTATCTCTGGAACCTAGAGCTTTGTCACTTCTCTCTGGAAGACCAGAGACTGTCATGCAGATCCACGTCATCTTCAAAATGAAAATTATTCCTCACGCCCCATGCCCAATCCCCTTCCATATCAGTGCTGAAAACAAAATAAGTTATTAATCTGTTTATAGCACTTGACCCTAAGATACTAATGAATGAGCCAAAGATTTATCAAAGAACTTCAAAGAGAATTTGTACAACAAAATGCTATCTCTAATAGAAAAGTAAGTGGAGTTATATTCTTATTACAGACTACCTCTTAACAACACCCAGAAAACACACATACACAGACTGAGAAAACACACACACACACACACTCCCACGCATCCCTATAGAATCATTTGCTGCCATACCGCCCCTTCCTTCTCTCCCAGACTCTTTTCACACACAGCTTTAGTGCAGTAGAGGTTTATGCTTGTGTTCTAACAAGGTACCAATAAATGCCATTCCTCATTTTCTTGGAGTGTCCTGTGGATTCACACATTGTTTTATTGGAAGGAATGTACCCTTGTAAAACTAGGAGGCAACATAGTATTGACTTGGCCAGAATGAGACTCAGAAAGCCATGTAAAGGGCTAATAGTCTATTCAGTGTTTTAAGAAATGATTTTGTTTCCCCCACTTAGAAATAGTTTTATTTTCCTGTATCAGAATGCAATTATTCTATCAAAGTACAAAAGATCATTCTCTCTTCTCTTATAGTTAACACATTTTTCCAGACACGACAAAATATAACAACTAATAGAAGTACTTTAAATCAGCGGTCCTCAACCTTTTTTTTGGCACCAGGGACCTGTTTTGTGGAAGACAATTTTTCCAAGGATGGTGAGGGTGGGGGAGTAGTTTCGGGAATGAAACTGCCCCACCTCAGATCATCAGGCATTAGTTAAATTCTCACAAGGAGCTCGCAACCTATAAACCTCGCATGCAGTTCACAATAGGGTTCATGCTCCTATGAGAATCTAATTTTATCAGAGATGGAGCTCAAGCAGTAATGCTGTCTTGCCTGCTGCTCACCTCCTGCTGTGTGGCCCAGTTCCTAACAGGGGACAGACTGATAGCCCGGGGATTGGGCACCCCTGCTTAGATTATAAACACAAGAAAATTTAATGGAATTAGGCCCATTTCTGATTAAAGTATCAAAGAGTCTCCCAGTGCTATTAACACTGACTCTAATCCAGGATACAGAAAAGTGCTGGGTGGCTCCATTACAGATGGAGAAATTGCCTAGAGAGGGTAGGAGGTTTCTCAACATAATGCTCAGAATCATAGAAAGGAATGAAAAGCCTCTGACTCACTGTCTGGTGTTTTCCAAAGGCCAACCACATTTAAATGTTTAAATTCAGAGCCAAATACCTCCAAATACAACTAACCACAGAGACTATGAGGGAATCAGGTCATTTGGGAAAAAAACACAAGAAGTTAACCTCTTGAGCAAGTGTTAAACATACCTCAGAATTATGGTGGTGTCTTAACTTTGTTTACTACAACATTAAACTAAGAAAAGTGACAGGCAGAACATTGGGGACGGTACCATTACCACACTAAGACTAAAGTAAATAAACGCTTTGGGCTAACTGGCTACTTCTGAAATGAGAATGCAACACAGGACCAAAGAAATAAAAACCAAAGAGCTTTAAAATGGCCAATTGCAAAATAGAAAAATAAATGTTTTTATAATCTATAGAACACCCAGAAAAAAATGTGTTTTTGTAGGCAGGAGATTTTTTATTTTTATTTTTTATTCTTTTGGAATTGCCATAATTTTTACTCTCCTAAAATCAGAACCTCAGACAAGGACTTGGGTCCTTGTAGTTGATTTGCGAGGGTATCCAAGACACAAACATAAGAGGTAAGAGGAGTGAAACCTGGAGGAGTGGGAAGCCAGTATAAATGTATGCCTCACTGAGTTGCTGCTATGAGAAACAGGGCCTCCATTCCTCTGGAATTTGTGGGGAGCACATAGAATGCTTTCTGGAATTGCTTGCCTTGAAGGCCTGGAGTCTGGTGCAGGTAACCATCAGTTCTCCTTGCCTAGTGGTTGAGGATTACTCCCAGGGACATAAACTCTCTTCCTCTACTTGGGACTCTTTTTCCATACTAGTCAAGCAGACTCCCACTACCTTGGGGAAGGCTTTGAAGCAGAATGCAAAAATATGCTTGCTCTTACAGTGGACTGCTATCAGTGCAGGATGAATCTGAGGTTTTCTGGAGCTCTTCACTACAGTTGTGACTGAGATGAAAGGTAAGTTTGGGGTATGTGATGGGGAGGAAAATAAATGAATGTCATGGTCTGCTTCACTCAGAATTGCATCACTCATAGTCTTGCATTACTCCAATTTACAGGAGCTCATATTGAATTTTCTTGGTCATTTAGTTTTAGAGAAACAAGCTACCCTCATCACTACTGCACCTGGTCCTTAGGCCATCATCAATATTCATCATCTCCCTCCTTCAATCCATTCTAGATTTTCACTGTGTTTTGTCAGAAATTGAAATAATTCAATATGCTTACCTGGTAGGGTCACCTAAATTTTCATCCCTGAGGGGTTTGAGCTCTTGGTTGTCTTGCCCTTGTCTAACCACAGTTGCTGAAATCGCTTATTTACCATTTTTCCATGGCATGGAAACATCACAAGTCCCCATAAGTGTCAATGATCTGAACTATTCCTGACAATCTGAGTCAATTATATCAAACAGTATAACTTTTTTATTTATCTTCTGGCCCACAAGCATGAGGAACCCAAAGTGACCAGGTGGCAGCTGTGGCTTTAAGTTCAATGGAACACTTTCTGTATGCCCTGGTACCAATATTCTTCTCTCCATGGGTCACCATTAAACATCCCTTCAAAATGGCAATTAGGATTGTTCCTACTTGATCTTTTCATGACTAATACTCTATGGGTTACGCTATTGCAAATTCCAGGCATTTTTGTTCCCCAGAAATTGTATTACCTTACTGACACCAAATAAAAACATATAATTATCTTTGATGGTATTTCATATATATATATATATATATATATATATATATATATATATATATATATAAAATTGGCAACTAGTAGTGATTATTCTGCAATATCACATTTTTCTTCATTAATGAGAGCTTGATTTAAAGACCCAATGTGAAATTTTTGTACTTTATTACAAAGAACAAAGTGACAGATACTGTAAGAAAGCAATGGGAAAAGAAAAAAGTACAGAGAGAATTTAATGCCATGTTACCCACAGCTCTCAATTTAAGCTGTTTTGTTACTCCTTTAGGCAGCTGGAATCATGGGGGAAAGAGTTTATAAACAAAATCTCGACAATGGGACAGAGATTTACTTGTGCCTCAAAGAAACGTCTAGCTATTTTGATTGGTTATTTTGAGTTTTTGTTCTCTGTTTTATCATAGCATTAGCAGATTTTTCACTTTGAATAAGCCAAAGCTCATTAACCTACATCTCTCTGAATCTTGTTGAATTTGAAATTTTCTACTGCTGATAGCCAGATCCAAACTGTTGAATATTGGTGTAGTTATATAAGTCACTACAGTTGCTCAGCAGTGAGAACTTCAAAGTGATTGTGTATGTCTCATTATCAAGGGAGAAATAGTGGCTACTCTTGGAATGCAATCAGGAGGGGTAATAGGGGCTTCAACAGTGGCAGCGACATTTTAGGTCTTAAGGCGGATGATAAACATGCAGCTATTTGTCGGATTAGTTTTATACCATTTTAAATTTCTGAAAATTTTATAACAATTTTAAACTACTTGGTTAACGAAGAAAGGATTATACACTCTTTTATAATTGTTTACCTGTCAATGCTAAGGATGTCTTATTAGTTCTACACCCACTTAGAAATGATAATTAGTAAAATAATATGATAGTTCTTGCAGGGTTTTCATGCAAGCTATTATTCATTTACTTAACAGGGAGGAATTATTACATGCCAAGAAGAAGTATCGCTATTATGGAAGGATAATTTTTTAATATACCTTTTCTCTCGTTTCATATATTGTTTCCTTTGCTCTGAGACCTGAAATAATAGAATAAACCCATATGGCATTGTGAGGACAAAAGATTTGAAAAAAGTAAGGTTTGAATGGGGGCTTCTAGAATAGTTCTCAGCTGGGGTGATTTTGCCCCCAAAGGGACATTTGGTAAAATCCAGAGACATTTTTCATTACCATAATTTAGGGAAGGGGGATGCTACTGGAACTATTGGGTAGAGGCCAGGGATACTGATAAATATTTTACCATAAATAGAAGAGCCCTTCACAAGAAAGAAGTCTCTGCTTCAAAATATCAATAGTTCTGAGGTTGAGAAACACTGTTACAGGAAAGTTTTTGCTGGACTGGGGGTGGTGTGGATTGAAAGAGAGGATCATAACATAATAGCTATTGCTGGACCTAGGGAGAGAGACTTCCCGAAGAGAGTTGAAGTAATGAAACTTGAGCTAGACATGTGGGATCTGATAAAAGCAGCTTCCTGAAAAGTCTGGGCAGAGAAGGCTTCAGATGGCCTCTCTGAACATTTCTATGCCCCAGCAATACCATGGAAGAAATATAATAATATACATCATTTTATCCTGTTGCAACTGTTGTGGAGACAGTCAATGTACCTAAGGAATTCAGGCATTTAGGAAATGTGTACATGTTTGTGGCTGCCAAGTAGACAAATAATGACAGTGTTGGCCAGGGGGATAACCCCTACAATCTCATTTTTGTGTGAATTAAAAACAATCCTTAGAATAAGCAAGACCAAATCTCAAGTAAGATTTTATATGTACCACCCTGGTAGAATAGGGTTTAGCATAATTGTTCTGCATTACAGAAAAATAAAGAGAGGTATATTTTGTACATACCTGAGCCTATGGGCTAAAATTTTAAAACACTTCATCATAAATTATGTTACTGAATTGATATTTTAATTGAAAATTAAACCAAAGCTAATAAATGATGGGCATTAATTCAAACATTACCTGTATCTTTTAAGATGTTCCACAGACCCCAGTTCTTACCATTCTCTGCTTGTGTAGAGGGATGTTCACATTTCAGATAACAAGCAAAGAGAGGGAGGTTTCCCCAACTACCAGTAGGTATGTTTTAACACGAAGTCCTTCTATGAGGAAATTCTCTTTTCCTTCACTCCAGTATTATGATTTTATTACCTGATTTCATCTACCATGGTGCCAGTGAATACTGTCTTTATACAATCCATGTTGACCTGCCCGAAATCCAGACATGTTGATCTGCTTATCTCCAGACTATAGGTGAGATCATGTTTTGAAAAATCCTAGGAAGCCATAGATCACCCTGTTTTTAGTAAGCTCAAATTTGTTCCTCAAGTTCTTGATGAATATTTTGCCGAAGGAAATCTTTGGAGAATATATCACCTATTTTCAAACTTCTGTCTGGCTAAGACCCTACATGATCTCTCCCCACCCCCTACAGAGTACATGTAGGCTCCTCCCTCCAAAAGTAGGTCATTTACCTATCTTTGTCTTACCTTTCAGCAGTATTTTATTTTTCCTTCTTATTTATTAGTAGATTGACATGTATCTTTAGATTGTCAGGAAATTCGTTTTCATATTTAAATGGATATTGTCTTTAATTATGTAATTATATCTTTACTGGTCAACTTTAATCACCTCCAGCCATCATCTATACATCATAATAATTGTACAAACACACACACATACACACACACACACACAAATGCAGTGTGTAGCCTATCTTGATTACACTTTGACATACTTTATTATTGTCTTGGTCAAGAAAGACTGTATAAATTCCTCTCTCTCTGAGCATTCAATTTAGAATGTGAAATTGATGCTCTACAATGAATAATATTCCTACCAAAATAGCTTCTTTTGATATCTCCAGGAGACTGATGCATTAATTGTGGAATATTCTAACATGAAATGTACAAAATGTTTTATAGATTCTCACTGTCCCTGCCATCAATCTTTCTATTATAGTGTAGAAATCAATATCTAACTAACATTTATTTCACAGTTACATGAGACCCTTAAAAGAGTCCTGCAAAGAGAGAGATATAAATGTTGATAGTTCTTGCAAATAGACATAAAATTATTGCTTCTAAAAGGTTGCATACTTATTGCAAATGAGATGCTTATTGGCAATTATTACCATAGGCAGTTGCGTCTTTAAATGAAAGTCATCTTGTGTTACTGTAGAGTAAAAGTCTAAAGTATGGACTTTTCTGATTATTTTAGGCTTCTGTTGCAACATCAAAACATGTTCTTGAACAACTACAGCATTTCCATAAACCAATAAAAGGATGATTCAAAAGGTTAAAGACCCTAGGTCACAAACTACTTACAGATGAATGTTTTAAAGTTCTGTCAAAGTGCTATTTTCTAAAATATTTATATAATTGGCAAATAAATATATCAGGCAAAATTGTTTGGTCCCTGACTCTTCTCTGAAATGTCTCAAAACAACTCACTGAGTTCAAGGAATGTTGTTTAAAAGCAAATTTTAAACTGGTTCAAATAGATGTATAATAATGACTTGAAACATTCTTTGGCATTTGCTTTCTTTGGTTCCCTAATGCAGAAAATGATTTAATACAGGGACTTTTTGCTAGCTGTATTTTATTCCATTGCTCACAGTTGCTTTATAGAGTGTAAATCCTAATGTGTCTGACTCCAGCCATGTTTGTGGCCACTTAACCATCCTCAGGCTGGCCAGTCCCTGATTACTTCCATTGCCTAACAGTTGGTTCAAAGTTTTATACATTTGGTTTGATTAATTACATGGACACAGGCTTTGAGCAAAACCAGAAGAAAGCAGTGAACTGTGTTGTTGATTCAGGGGGTACAGGGAAACAGCAGAAAGTGATGAGACACTAAATTAACAGCAGACTTCCTAAAGTTACAACATAATTCATCACACTCAGTATAAAATCTGTATTGTTACTCAATGTACAAAGGTTGAATGATTTTGATAATTACTATAAAATTTTGACCTACAAGTGTGAAAATATATATTACAAATGAAGGAAATATAAATAAGCCATTTGTTGGTAGCCACTGAAATTTAAGTGAAATGAATTTCTGTATTTAATGCAGTACTGATTTCCACATCCACTGAGGCAGATAGGTTCTCTTTAGAGTGTATTTATCATATGCTTTCTTTTTTTAAAAAAATTAGTTGACACATAATCATTGTAAATATTTATGGGGTACAGTGCGATGTTTCATTACATGTATGTAATGTGTAATAATAAAATTTGGATAATTAGCATATCCATCACCTTAGATATTTATCATGTCTTTGTGGCAAGAATATTCAAAGTCCTCTCTTCTAGCTATTTTGTAACATACAATATATTATGGTTAACTATAGTTTTTTTGTCCATTTTCTATAATCCAAGCAAACTTGGGAATACACAAATATGGTTTTTTGTCATTGAAGAGTTCACAGTCTAGAAAAAGTGAAGAAGATTTTACAATATGTATATATAAATAAAGTTGCAAGGAGCTCCAAAGTTACTCCAAACTAAAATTCCCTTATATTCTCCTCCTTGTCTATTAAACAGAGGAAATAACTTTATCCAACTGTTAAGACTGTTGTGAGGATTAGCTGCATTATTACACATGAAGTGTTGAAAATAGTACTTGACACATGCTCACTGTTGGCAGTTATTAGCTCACGGTTGGCAATTATAACAAAGGGAACTCCACCGTTCCCTTTGTTCCCTACTTGTTAGACAGGAGAAGCTACCATTTAATGGATGCCTACGGTATGCCACACGTTTTACCCCACGTTAATATTTCATTTTCTCCTTCCACTAACTCTTAGAAATAAGTCCCATTGATCTTGACTTACACATGAGAAACTTAATGCTCAGAAATTTGATAATTTGTCCAATTTTAGCTCTAGTAAATCCAGAGCTAACATTCAGACTAGTTTTTCTATTAAACATACAGCCCCAGGGATAGAGAGCACTATAGACACATTGGGATTAAATCGCTTAGCTCTCCAGATCTATTCCCTGGGGGAACTAGCTATTTCAATCCACTCTTTGCTCCCTTTAGGAGAAAAGGAAGACACTGAGACAGAGATCTGCTGCAACATGTAGGGCATTGGAAACAGACAGAGTCAATTCAGTGCACGTTTTAAACATTTTCTCCTTTTATTCCCACTGGCTTGTAGAGAAGAGAAGATTGTGGTCCTCAGCAAAAGGGGAAAAAGTATTTAAGCATTACATATTGTGAATTCAATGTTTTTCAGAAGAATTTCTTTTTTTTATTATACTTTAAGTTTTAGGGTACATGTGCACAATGTGCAGGTTAGTTACATATGTATACATGTGCCATGTTGGTGTGCTGCACCCATTAACTCATCATTTAACATTAGATATATCTCCTAATGCTATCCCTCCCCCCTACCCCCACCCCACAACCGGCCCCAGTGTGTGATGTTCCCCTTCCTGTGTCCATGTGTTCTCATTGTTCAATTCCCACCTATGAGTGAGAACATAGGTTTGGTTTTTTGTCCTTGTGATAGTTTGCTGAGAACGATGGTTTCCAGCTCCATCCATGTCCCTACAAGGACACGAACTCATCCTTTTTTATGGCTGCATAGTATTCCATGGTGTATATGTGCCACATTTTCTTAATCCAGTCTATCATTGTTGGACATTTGGGTTGGTTCCAAGTCTTTGCTATTGTGAATAGTGCTGCAATAAACATACGTGGGCATGTGTCTTTATAGCAGCATGATTTCTAATCCTTTGGGTATGTACCCAGTAATGAGATTGCTGGATCAAATGGTATTTCTAGCTCTAGATCCCTGAGGAATCGCCACACGGACTTCCACAGTGGTTGAACTAGTTTACAGTCCCACCAACAGTGTAAAAGTGTTCCCATTTCTCCACATCCTCTCCAGCACCTGTTGTTTCTTGACTTTTTAATGATCGCCATTCTAACTGGTGTGAGATGGTATCTCATTGTGGTTTTGATTTGCATTTCTCTGATGGCCAGTGATGATGAGCATTTTTTCATGTGTCTTTCGGCTGCATAAATGTCTTCTTTTGAGAAGTGTCTGTTCATATCCTTCACCCACTTTTTGATGGGGTTGTTTGTTTTTTTCTTGTAAATTTGTTTGAGTTCATTGTAGATTCTGGATATTAGCCCTTTGTCAGATGAGTAGATTGCAAAAATTTTCTCCCATTCTGTAGGTTGCCTGTTCACTCTGATGGTAGTTTCTTTTGCTGTGCAGAAGCTCTTGAGTTTAATTAGACACAATTTGTCAATTTTGGCTTTTGTTGCCATTGCTTTTGGTGTTTTAGACATGAAGTCCTTGCTCATGCCTATGTCCTGAATGGAAGAATCTATATTTCTAAGCATATTATGTCACACTTATAACACATTATTAATCAGCTCAGTTCTTTTCAGAGTACTAAGCAATCAGGAGAGAACTAGTTTAGTGCAATCCATAAGAAACAGATATGAATAAAGCCACAGTGAAGAGGCATGCTTTGCTTGGGCAAGGACTACACTTATCTCTTTGACCAATGTGCCTTTTATCAGATTTCTCTCATATCTTTCTCAAAGCAAACCAAGTGTGATTAAATTGGACTTTTAACCATACCCAACTGTCTTATTGAACAGATAAGTGTATCTGTTTCCATTGTTTTAGAATTTAAATATTTAGATAATAAATTATTATAAAAAATGAATAAAATAATTATAATTCTTTTTATAAAAATAGTGAATGCCTAAAATGTATCAAATGGTTAATTATATGCCAGCACTGTTCTAAACATTTTACATTATTTCATTTAATCTTTAGAGCAGCTGTATGAGATAGATATTATTACTATCCCATTTTCATAGATGAGGAAACTGAGGTCTAAAGAATATAAGCAAAATGTCCAAGGTCACAAAGATAGTAAAATAGTCAACATTTTAAAAAGTTACTAAAAATGAGAAACCAGACAGCCAAATATAGATCTTAAACTTTTAAGCATTATGTATACTGCTACTATGCTCTTTAGAGAATTTAGAAAATAATTGAGAAAATAAATGTCATCCATAATTGCATGGCTAAGATAAAATCATTGTCTATATTTTTTAAGCTCTGTGCATATATAGAATATTATGCCACCATAAAGTTTTCATGTTTTTCACTTGCTATATCAGTATGATTTAAAATATTTAAAATTGTTTTTATATTATGACTTTTTTTCTGTAGTACGTTATCATTTATTTAGCTTTGCCCTGGTTTTTAAGAATTTAAGTTGCCCTCATTTGTTATCATGAAAATACTCACTGACATCATTGTGTTCAAAGCCTTTTATGCAATTATTTAAGATTATCTGTTAGGATGTAGTTATAGAACTATAATTCCTATGCTATAAACATGATTTTATTTTAAAGCTTCTGCTTTTTTAAAATAAAAATTTATTTAGAATGTTCCATGGGACTTTATGTCTATTCTTTCTTCCTGTTGGCCCCTTATTACTGCTTTTGTAGTTACTTTTACTCCCAAAAGAATCCCACATTTCTAATGCTTTAGAGGACTATTTAATTTCCAAACAGAGGCCAGCGGGAATTGGTTTAACAAGCCAATGTAATGCTTCCAATTTCTGCACTGTGTTTTCTCCCAAGTCAACCATTTTATGCCTTAAGTGCAGGGTTTGGATTCTTTAGTGCTTTCTGTATGCAGTTTAGACTGAGCTGCCACTTACCTTAGCCAGAAAGTCTGGCCTTTTGTACATTCTTTCTTGCCTGCCTGTCTCTTTGAGCTTCTTGCATCTTCTTTGCCCCATAATATTATTCAAATATGGCTTCTAACTCCTGGTTCATGCTAGATCTTTTGGGTTTGTTTGTTTGTTTTGGCTTCTCTGGTCACTGAAAAGCTTTTTTTTTTTCCCCCGGCCCAAACAGACCCTGCATTTAAGTTCAGTTATGTGTTCTTTCACATCACCTGAATTTCCAGTCCTTGCCTTCTTCTTGGCTCTGGGCTCTGACTCTGAGGTCAGGCTTTTACTTGGAATCATTATGTAACACTTTACACCTAGACACAAGAGAGAGGGAACATCTTGCAACCTACAATATGTTTCAAAGACATGACCTGAGAAGAATCTAAGATCCTAGGGATAAATGAGATTGTGATTCTTCTCAGCCCTACTGTAACTCAACCCTTAATTAGCTCATTGTGAAGAGATAAACTCTACTATTCAATTGCTCACTTTGTGCTAAATTCACATTGCAAAGGAAGATAGCATAACACAAAGAAAGATATTCATAGAAGGTTAATAGCTGGCAAATAAATCTTACTTTTTAAGCAAAGACTAGGAAGAACTCAGTAAGTTGCAAAGAAGATGGCTATGGGAGCATTCAGAAACCCACTAAATACCAACTATATTGTTTATGACAGCTGCCCATCTAGGTGAGACAGTGGTTTAGTTAGATGCAAACGCAAAAAGCTAAATAATTACTACAACATTGGGGCCTTATGGAATTATGAATTGGGGGAATAAAATCTTGTATATCAAGCTCAGAACTAGAAGAAAAAATAAAACAGAAAACCTGGGATCTAATCCTAATCTTGACAGTGACTTTATAAATTTGGACAAGTTACTTTTTTATTTCTCAACATCAAGTGCTAACTACAAGAAAAGTATACAAATTACAAAGCAATCTATCCAGGCTGAGTTCTTCTTCTGGAGAAGAGGGGAAAATAGAAGTAAGTCATTGTTGAGCTTGCAGCCCATGTCATTTTTTAAGAGAGTGTGTGTGCTTTAATATTTATATTTACAAGTTTAGGCAGGAGAAGGAAATAAAGGGTATTCAATTAGGAAAAGAGGAAGTCAAATTGTCCCTGTTTGCAGATGACATGATTGTATATCTAGAAAACCCCATTGTCTCAGCCCAAAATCTCCTTAAGCTGATAAGCAACTTCAGCAAAGTCTCAAGATACAAAATCAATGTACAAAAATCACAAGCATTCTTATACACCAATAACAGACAAACAGAGAGCCAAATCATGAGTGAACTCCCATTCACAATTGCTTCAAAGAGAATAAAATACCTAGGAATCCAACTTACAAGGGACGTGAAGGACCTCAAGGAGAACTACAAACCACTGCTCAGTGAAATAAAAGAGGATACAAACAAATGGAAGAATATTCCATGCTCATGGGTAGGAAGAATCAATATCATGAAAATGGCCATACTGCTCAAGGTAATTTATAGATTCAATGCCATCCCCACCAAGCTACAAATGACTTTCTTCACAGAATTGGAAAAAGCTACTTTAAAGTTCATATGGAACCAAAAAAGAGCCTGCATCACCAAGTCAATCCTAAGCCAAAAGAACAAAGCTGGAGGCATCACACTACCTGACTTCAAACTATACTACAAGGCTATGGTAACCAAAACAGCATGGTACTGGTACCAAAACAGAGATATAGATCAATGGAACAGAACAGAGCCCTCAGAAATAATGCCGCATATCTACAACTATCTGATCTTTGACAAACCTGAGAAAAACAAGCAATGGGGAAAGGATTCCCTATTTAATAAATGGTGCTGGGAAAACTGGCTAGCCATATGTAGAAAGCTGAAACTGGATCCTTTCCTTACACCTTATACAAAAATTAATTCAAGATGGATTAAAGACTTAAACATTAGACCTAAAACCATAAAAACCCTAGAAGAAAACCTAGGCAGTACCATTCAGGACATAGGCATGGGCAAGGACTTCATGTCTGAAACACCAAAAGCAATGGCAACAAAAGCCAGAATTGACCAATGGGATCTAATTAAACTAAAGAGCTTCTGCACAGCAAAAGAAACTGCCATCAGAGTGAACAGGCAACCTACAAAATGGGAGAAAATTTTCGCAACCTACTCATCTGACAAAGGGCTAATATCCAGGATCTACAATGAAGTCAAACAAATTTACCAGAAAAAAACAAACAACCCCATCAAAAAGTGGATGAAGGACATGAACAGACACTTCTCAAAAGAAGACATTTATGCAGCCAAAAAAACACATGAAAAAATGCTCACCATCACTGGCCATCAGAGAAAAGCAAATCAAAACCACAATGAGATACCATCTCACACCAGTTAGAATGGCAATCATTAAAAAGTCAGGAAACAACAGGTGCTGGAGAGGATGTGGAGAAACAGGAACACTTTTACACTGTTGGTGGGACTGTAAACTAGTTCAACCACTGTGGAAGTCTGTGTGGCAATTCCTCAGGGATCTAGAACTAGAAATGTCATCTAACCCAGCCATCCCATTACTGGGTATATACCCAAAGGACTATAAATCATGCTGCTGTAAAGACACATGCACACGTATGTTTATTGCGGCACTATTCACAATAGCAAAGACTTGGAACCAACCCAAATGTCCAACAATGATAGGCTGGATTAAGAAAATGTGGCACATATACACCATGGAATACTATGCAGCCATAAAAAATGATGAGTTCATGTCCTTTGTAGGGACATGGATGAAATTGGAAATCATCATTCTCAGTAAACTATCACAAGGACAAAAAACCAAACACCGAATGTTCTCACTCACAGGTGGGAATTGAACAATGAGAACACATGGACACAGGAAGGGGAACATCACACTCTGGGGACTGTTGTGGGGTGGGGGAAGGGGGGAGGGATAGCATTCGGAGATATACCTAATGCTAAATGACGAGTTAATGGGTGCAGCACACCAGCATGGCACATGTATACATATGTAACTAAACTGCACAATGTGCACATGTACCCTAAAACTTAAAGTATAATAATAATAAAATAAAAAATGAAAAAATAGTTTTTATAGTCTGTCATATAACAGCTGAAAACATTCTAAAATGTTGGCCAACTGGTGAAAATGTTTGCTGAGATCAAAGTCTTGTGAAATATTAATTGGTGACATTGCATCTTCCAGATTATTCACTTCCCACAAAAAGGAAAACGCAAACTCATTCTGTCAACCACATGTTGACAGATTTTTGGAACCATTGGAAAGGGAGTAAAGACTCTTTTGCAAAACACTTTAAAAAACTTATCTCTAATCTTTAGTGAAATTTCTTAGCAAAGAAAGCAACCTGGCTGGGGCACAAGTGGTTAGGGAACGCCGTGGAAATGTGATTAGAGTCTATGGCTATACCACCATGAACGTGGCTGTTTTTGTTTGATCTAGGAAGCTGAGCAAGGTCGGGACTGGATAGTACTTGGATGGAAAAGGTGATGGGGTATTCTAAAGACAGCCAAGAGGTTGAAAGACTTAAGAATTCACTGAATCAAATGTGGTTTGATTGTCTATAACCAAAAACTTGACCTTTTATAAGAAAGACAGGAATGTAAAATGAAATAAAGTATGAAATATATATTTACTTTAAAACCAAATATAATGTAGCAAAATATATTATAAGCACAATTTTGTAATGAGATATTGCAGCAGAAAGTTCTTTGGAAATTAACACATTATACAGCTTACCAAAGAAACATGTTATTATTGATAGAATCTTTTCACTTCTAACCTAATTTTTATTCTGATATGAAAGAGAAAAATAGATTTTCAAAGGCCTAATTAAATCAGTGCATGAAAAAAATACACTGGAAAAGAAACCCACACATTTTTGCTTCACAAAGAATTAAGGTAATAAAACATACCACTGCAGGTCCAGATTTTGCATTTTATAACACAGGTTTCCAACTTATAAGTGGGCTATATTATAAAATTTTATTGCCAAGTTGGTATTTGGAATGATTTCCCCATAAAAATAATGATCTAGATGATGGGATTACTTCATAAAATAAGCCCTGTCCACACACACACACACACACACAACAAACCAAAAAAACCACACTCTTTCTAATTCCAAAGGTGAGGCAACATAGCAGTACAGGCTTTGGTGACAGGACATGGTAATAACCAATCAGAAATGGTTAGGGACTAAATTAGTGGCCTTAAGAAATTTGCTTAATTTCTTTTAACTTCATTTTACTCATTTGAAAATGGAAATAATAATAATTCCCTCATAGGGTGGTTGTGAACATTAGCGCAATGTAAGGAAAAGTTATCTTTATACTGCAACATGCTATATAAAAATGTTAGTTATTAGTGTACTCTAGCACTTGGTGTTTCTGCTATTTTGGGATTAAATTGCCCTATGTAAACTATGTGGGAAACTAAGTGTTACTTGTCAAGTCTCAATAGAGGAAGATGCATTGTGTAGCAAGAAGGGACTGCAGTTGATCAAGAAGAATGCCCCCATCTGTGGTGTTGCCAGCCAGCCATTTGGACAACAGAAATATTTCTTTACTACCTCCCCTCCCTTTCCCAGCTGTAGTAACTGCTGTTTCCCAGAAAGCAATATGTCTAGTCTCATGCCTCTGGTGGATCCATATATCATGTATACCATATTATCTTCCTTATTTTCATAATTACCTGGACTCTATTCTCTGGTTGTTTCATGCACATTGTTAAATAAAAAAATGTATTTAGTGATACCTGTTAAAGCACCGTATGGCAAACATTATTCGAGACCATCACAATAGGTTTGGTCACCATAGAGACCATGGCAGTGTGATTTTTCAGAGGGGAAAGAGATTGAGCTCAACTTCAAATACAGCAGGAGCAAGTGAGAATTTATAGCCAAGGTGCAAGGTGGGGGTCAGTGGATGGAAAATTACTGAGAGGAAACGTCAGGCACCAGGGGGATTCTGGCCTAGACTGACCTGATAGAATTGTTGCTGAAGACAGACCAGAGTGATTAGACACTACCTGGGGTCTGGAAAAGGATGGGGTAGTTCTTGCTAACCTGATTTAGCAGGCTTCTTTGCTAATACTAGATTTTACAAGGCTATTCACAGATGGGCTTAGGAGATGGTAGAGGAGCTGACTAAAGTTTAGTCAAGCAAAGAATCTTTGTCGATATGAGATTTGTTTCTTTCATTAATTCTAACATGGGTGAAGGTGAGAGTTGTTATTTTACCTCTGCAGGCTCAGAGAACCCAGTTTGTCTCTAGCCACAAAATGCTAAATAGTGAACAAGAGAGCACTTCCTCTAACTTAGGTAAAGAGAATGCTCTTGTATAGCTAGAAGGTGAAACTGAGCTTTTCTTTTCAAGGGTTATTATTTAGATTAGAGTCAGAAGGGAAGGCAGTAAGATTCAAACCACATTGAGGAGTGGTAAGGGCTAGATAAAAGATCTATGAGCAATAGCCAAGCCTGAAGATACTTAAGAAGCAAGTCACTTGATAGAAGTTGTGAATAGGATAAGTTTCTCCAGAAACGGAAAAGTGTCATGTATCAGAAGTTCAGGAAAATAGAATTTTAAAAACTTGGGATGACAATGAAATCTAGTAGAAAAATTATTTTAAAGAAAGTAATTTTAGGTTAATTCTACACTAAATAAATCTAAGAAATGAGATCAGTCAAGCAGACTCATCTTACTTGCCTGACTCATCTTATTTGTCATCTGTACCATCTGTAATAGACAATTGCCTCAACTCTCCTTAAAGTGTGCTGACCAGCTAAAAACTTAAATCACAATTGTAATAGCTAATATCTTTAAATATTTAATATGTCCCAAGATTCTATTTCATCTGCTTTGTAAAGGTTATGATAATACTTAATCATTGCATTAGTGTAATGATTTGGGAACTATCAAGGAAAAGGTGGCTCAGAATTTTTTCTTTTTTTTTGAGAGAGTCTAGCTCTGTCGCCCAGGGGCTAGAGTGCAGTGGCACAATCTCAGCTCACTGCAACCTCCGATTCCCAGGTTCAAACGATTATCCTGTCTCAGCCTCCTGAGTAGCTGGGAGTACAGGCACCCTCCATCATGCACGGCTAAATTTTGTATTTTTTAGTAGAGATGGGGTTTCACCATGTTGACCAGGCTGGTCTTGAAATTCTGACCACAGGTGATCCACCCGCCTCGGCCTCCCAAAGTGCTGGGATTACAGGCATGAGCCACTGCGCCCAGCTGGAACTTTTAAATGACTTACTCAAGGCTATAACAGCTCACAAATGGTGGAGCCAGGGTTTGAACTCAGCAATCACTATTCCTAAACCAGTTTTCTTAAAAACTATGTCATCAAGACTCCCAGATATGAAGAAAGCTTGTTCACTTAGGTGGTCAAATTCTGTGTGTTTTGATGTGAAAAAAGAAAATCCCTCTCTCCACATTAATGCATATCCTGTCCCCTGCCAAGCCTACTATAATCATCCCTTGTATTTTCAGCCCTCACTGCCTCTCTGTTGGATGGTCCTTCTCTCCTTAATTTTTCATGTTCTATCCAGTTGGAAAAGTTGCACAATGGCTCACACGCTCATCAGCGGTCTGTGGCTAATTTTGGTTAGCTGTTAGTCGGGGGTCAAACAGCAAGAGGTTTGGCAAGTGAAGGGATTGGGTTAGTTTGGTTTTGTCCTTCTCGGCCTGAACCCACAACTCATGATTCACAACAGTGCTTCTCTGTTTTCAATCTTCTGCTTGCAACTAAAATGGGATTCTCATCAGTCTTGGTTAGACTAGATATGCCCAGGTTGAGGTTGCATGTGACTTTTTAATCTCTCAGAGCAGATGTGAGAGAGAGTTAGAGAAAAAAAAAGGCATGTGTGAGGAGGGGGGCATTCAACTTCTATTACGTGTTTACTGTGTTCCAGTCTAGGTTCTTTATGCAAATTATTTCAGGTAATCTTCACAGCAACATTTTACTGTGGGAAGCATTATAATTGTCTCAAGAGGAAACAGGTGCTCCTAAATTTTAGAAAAAATATGCCCAAATTTACACTGCTTTGAAGTGACAGAATAAAAATTTATATCAGTTTTACCTGGTTATAATGTCTGTGTTTTTTGTACTACATCAATGTTGCGATAAAGGACAAAACTAATTCAGAGGTAAAAAATTATAGAATTTCAAGCTTTTAGAATAAATCCTTTTTGATAATGAAAATTCTCATCTTGTGAGTGATCAGTAGATGCTAGGCTCTTTGCTGAGCACTTTGCATGTATTGTGTAATTTAATTCCTCACAATTCTATAAAATAGGCACTGTTATTATTTCTAATTTACAGAGAAAAAAAAGGGTTAGAACAATTAAGAAACAATTTATCTGCGATTGGGCACGAGATAATCTGTTTCCAGGTCCCTTGTTCCTGTATCTACACTGCCCTTTTTAGCCTAGCTCAAACTAGATGTTTCTGTTTTCTTAATTTGTTTCCATTTCTCTCCAAGGTATATATATATATATATATGTGTGTGTGTGTGTGTGTGTGTGTGTGTGTGTAAACGTTTATGTATCCCTATTAAATGTCAAACATTATTTTAAACTCTTGACATGAATTACTCAATTTAATGCTCACAACAGTTCTATGAAATAGCTATCATTATCATTCCTATTTAATGATGAGAAAGTTAAGGCACAGGGTGGGTAAACCAATTGCTCAACATCACACAGGCATCAGGGGCAGGATTTACTCTGGAAACCCTGCATCTATGCTTATAAGTTCAGCTGCCACTTAACTGTGTATGCTGCCTCCAGGGCACTCTTTCTGAAACTCAGATCCAGTCACATCTATCCCCTCTTAAGGATCTGCACTAGTTTCCCATTATTTATTAAACAAATTCAAATATATGTTGCTTGACATTTGAGGTTCTTCACAATTTGTCTCTCTTTTAACATTCTATTTTCATTTATCTATTGATTAGCTACTTCACCCACTCTGGACTATTTGCCACCCCTAAACTAGCCAATCACACTGAGCTATTTATGACTTTTCTCATAGACTGTGTATTAGTTCATTCTCATGCTGCTAATAAAGACATACCTGAGACTGGATAATTTATAAAGGAAAGAGGTTTAATGAACCTACAGTGCCACATGACTGTGGAGGCCTCACAATCATGGCAGAAGGCAAAGAGTGAGGCACATCTTACATAGCAGCAGGCAAGAGAGTGTGTGCAAGGGAACTCCCATTTATAAAACCATCAGATCTCATGAGACTTATTCACTATCATGAGAATAGCACAGGAAAGATCCACCCCCATGATTCAATTACCTCTCATTGGGTCCCTCCCATGATACACAGGAATATGGGAGCTACGATTCAAGATGAGATTTGGGTGGAGACACAGCCAAACCATATCAGACCGGAAGGTTCTTCTTTGTTTATAAAATCAATATTCAAGTTCTCTCAGATGGCTCTGTTCCCACAACCTTTCCCCATTCTCTTGGCAGAGAACAGTCCCCACCTTCTTCAGCACTTATTTATATGCAGATAATATCACATCTTTCTCTCTATTTTGCACTAAACTGTGATGTTTGCTCCCCTCCGATCCACAATAGACTCTGAATCTCTTGAGATCAAGGGCTGTGTTTCATGAACATCCTCAAAGTGCCTGAAATTTAGTGCAGGTTGTTGATATTCGATGAACATTGCTGAATGAATGAGAATACAAGTAAGTGAATGAAAGTATTAACCATGTTTTTATCTCTAAGGGGGAAAAAAGTACAAGTTCTAAGTGTTTATTGAACTAAACTAACTTTTAGGGTATATAAAATTTATATATATGAACATAATTTCTGTATTACCTACATGTTTCAGACAAGAGTGCAGCAATACAAAATTCAGATCCTAGTGAATGACGACAACACCAAGTCAGGCTAGTTCAACAATGGCATGTCTAAACACCCAGCTGACCTTCCTGGGTAAGTGTAACTTTCAGGTCTTCTGTTTAAATAAGTTCTTCCTAGTTGTCCATCTTCCTTTCCTTCCTGCTGGTTGGACATAGTGGCGATGGAGCTACTGTAGAAGCCGCAGTGAAGAATGGCAGAACCACCATTGTAGCCTGGGACTCTGGATGACTTTACAGAGCAAAACCTGACTACCTACTCTGGACTGTTAAGTGAAAGAGAAATAAACTTATGTCTTGTTTAGTCACTGAACTTTAGAGTCTATTTGTTAACCATCATCCCAACCAATATACCCTGAAACATTTCTACCAGTAGTAAATCTTGCTAGAACTGTATTTCAGGACTCAGCTTAAACATTCCATCCTCCTACCCTCTAGATCAAAACAATTTTCCTTGATACATCCTATCTTAGGACCCAGCTCTTTTCTCTTTTAAAGTTTAATCCTCACAATACTCTCTAGGGAGTGTCTCTCTCCCTCTCTAGATTGGAAGCTCCATGCACACATGGACAGAGGCCACTTATCCACTAGCACTAACACATTGCCTGGCACATAGCTGACTCATAAAAAAAAGTCCAGTAAGCACAGTTAATAATATTACTAATTATTTATTATAAATTGTATTATTATATTATTAATTACATTAATCATAACAATCATGATTGATATATTATTATGCCTACTGATTAGAAATATAATTGATATAATATTAATTATAAATAATATAGTATATGTAGTGTAGACATTATATTAATTATAAATAATGTAATTAATAGCAGTTATTAGGGTAATAACCACCACCCCCTAAATATATACAATGTTTCAGGAGTTATACTAAATGTTTCATGTGCATTATCTCATTTAATCCTCTCAATATGTAGAGAAGTCCCTAATAATATTATTATCCTATTTTATGAGAAAAAATAGGTTTAGAGAGGTTCTGTAACTCACACAGGATCACACAATTCAAGGTTTATATTTTCAAGTTGAGAGTTTCCTCTGTGCTCTGTGCTTGGTTAGCAAGGGTAAAAACTGCACGATAGCCAGATAGTTCCACAAAATGAAATCCAGGAATTCCAACTAAGATTCAGATTCTAATGAATGATGTTAATACCAAGTCAAGCCCGTACCATGTTTGGAAACTCAATCAAGTTTTTTTTTTTTTTTTTTTTTTTTGTAACTGGAACAATTACATTTTTGTCTACAACAGAAACAAAGCCTAAAACATTGTTTATAATTTTAAAACAGTTGCCTATAGTCTGTGTAGTTAATTCAAGATGAGGCATGAAGAAACATTCTCTTGAACTCTGTTTAATTCCCAGTGGGGCAACTACAATGGTTTTTTTCATCTTGAGTCAAGGATTTAATCTGGAATTCATTCATATTTCAAAACTATGCATGATAATTCTCTTATTACGTATTTTGTGGTTAAACACCTCCCTTACACCCCATACAAACCAAGCCAAGAGCTTAATGGTTAGCAGAAGAAAAAATGAGCTAACTATTAACTTGCGTGGAATATTGGAAAAAATATTATATCAGGAGCCAGCACACTGAAGGTCTATGACCACACTGCCCAATATGCTAGCTACTACCCACAGTTGCTATTTAAATTTAAATTTAATAAAAGTAAAAGCCTCAGATCTTTAGTCGCACTAGCCACTGCTCAACAGCTACATGTATCTAGTGGCTTTTGTATCAGACAGTGCAGATTTATAGGGCATTTTCAACATTATGATAAATTCTTTTGGAAAGCATTGCTCTAGAAAGTGATTCTCAAACTTTTTGGTCTCAAGATAATTTGAAACTCTTAAAAATTATTCAGGACCCAAAAAGAGCTTTTTTTTTGTTAGAAATATGGATTATAACCATTGATATTTACTGTATTAGAAATTAAAACTGGCCAGTTGTGGTGGCCCATACCTGTAATCCCAACACTTTAGGAGGCCAAGGCAGGAGGCTTGAGCCCAGGAGTTCGAGACCAGCCTGGGCAATATGATTAAACCCTGTCTCTATAAAAAATACAAAAATTAGCCGGGCAAAGTGTCATGGGCCTGTAGTACTAGCTACTAGGGAGGCTGAGGTGGGAGAATCACTTGAGGCCAAGGCTGCAGTGAGCTGTGATTGTGTCACTGCACTTATAGCCAGGGTGACAGAGCCAGACCCTGTCTCAAAGAAAAAAAATAAAATAAAGAATTCTTCCTATAAACTTTGTGTTCACCATGGTGTCAGCATATTACAAAGGACCTCTTAAAAGGTCATTGTGCAGTACAAAAAATAAGTTTCCAAAATATTGGTAAGTCCTGGATCTGACTTAAACACAATCAAAATTATTTCAGAATGTTGGGTTTTAGACTAAGTAGAACAAATTCTTCCAATTCACTCTGAAAATATGAACTATTCCACAATGTTAAACCACATGTAGGACGCTCAGAGCAAATACTTTTGCTCTATTCCTAAAAAATAGCAATAATTAAATAAAATTGAGTTACTGAGAAAGCACATTACAATAGTTTAACCGTAATAGACTTTGCTAAGATATGTTCAGTAAAAATGGCTTTTTTTCCTGAGAATTTTACAATGTCCGTTATGGTAATGATCTGGATTTGGATGAATTTAATGATAACTAAAGGAAGATTCCACAGATTTTATTAATGTCCGTGATTCGTATTACCTTTTTCTACAGTGCTTTTTTAGGTAAGCGCATGCTGTTTGAGATACATAAGTGAACGAGTTAAGAAAGGCAGCATTTCTGCTGCAGTGGTAAAGGTAGACCTCATTTGGTAAAACACATAACCAAGGGAAGTTGTTGCCTCTTTTTTGAAGTTTCTCTGCTAGTCATTGGCAAGAGAAGTCACTCTCGAATAATCTCTTCACATTGTATGTGACCAAGCCCTGTTTTCTTCTCTTCTTTCTGGATGATATCGGTTCACCCTTCAAACCTTTCAAATATTTTTTTCCTAGGTGTGTCAAGGTGTATCATGAAAAAAAAGTGACCTTTGAGGCCACCAAACAAGTTTCCTGAGTGAGGCTGTTTGCCTGGTTGGGGGACTGATCTGGATCCATTTTCAACTCTATCTCCTCTCAGTGTTTGAGCCTGGGCAATGACTTAAGGCAGTGGTCTTCCTCACTTGTGACCTTAGGAGAAATAAGTCACCTCTGGAGGTTCATAACAGCCTGACTTCTTTTTAATTGTCCAGCCTCAGAAAGAACAAGCAATGGTCACAATTATTCTATTATTGATCTATATCTATGTGGTTCCTTCTCCAGCTTTGCTCTGGAAATGTGTCACTCATAAAACCTCATAAATGTGTAATCTGTTATTGCGCTGGGAACACACTGTGCTTGACATTGTCTGGTAGTTTTGCTCCGGCAGCAAATCCTTACCTGTATGATTCTGCAGCCATCTCAATTCTTGCCTCCTCAGAAGAAATAATTTGACGGAGGGGCATAAGGCAGAAGGAGAGACTGAGGCAAGTATTTGAGCAGGGGTGAAAGCTTATTTGAAAGCTTTAGGACAAGAGTGAAAGAAAGTAAAGTACACTTGGAAGAGGGCCAAGTGGGTGACTTGAGAGATTCAGTGTGAGGTTTGACCTTCTGACTAGCGGTTTTATACATTGGCGTACTTCCAGGGTCTTGCCTTACTTCTCCCGATTCTTCCCTTGGGATGGGCTGTCTGCATGCACAGTGGCCTGCTAGCACTTGGGAGTTGAGCATGTACAGTGTGTTTACTGGAGTTGCACACATGCTCACTTGAGGCGTTCTTCTTTTACCAGTCAAATGTTCCTGGAAGGTCATTTGCTGATTAAATTCTGCCATTTTAATGTGCATGCTTGAGCCCGCTCACCCAACTTCTGAGATCTTATTGGGAAGCTGCTGATCACTAGTTTCAGGTGTTTTCTATCTATGGGGAGACTGCCCTCCCCTGGTACTGGCTGTGACCAATTATTGTTTTAGAGACTCAGTTAACAACTGCCTGACCATCATCTGCTGGTCGCCTGGTGTTCCCGCTGTGTATGTGTGAGGGGAGCCTTCTCTTGCCCTGTTCATGTCTGACTAGCTACCTACTATAACAGTTTAACCATCTTGATTTGAAAAAAAGAAGAAAAGCTTGGTAAAATAAGTTACCTGTATTGAACAATTGTATCACTACAAATTATCATGTCTGTCTAGCACATTGTAATGGAATAAATGCCAAAAGCACTGTTAAGTCTTCTGAAGAACTCTAAAATAATATTTTTTAAGTCATTGCACATAGAGTCAGCCTTAGACTAACATTAGCCTGCTATAATATAGATTCAGTGAGCACTGAGCATTGCTCTGATTCTCATCTGCATTCTCTCTTTCTAATTGGTGATTATGACATCTCTTTATGTTAGTTACATAAACATCCTTCCATTAGGGCCAGTGATTTTTCTCTTGAAAAGATGTTGGAACAAGGTGTAGAACAAACTAGTTTGACCATCTCCTTCTGCCTTGTTCTAAATTCAACAGCTCTAAATGTGATTTCTTCTTCTTGAGGAAGTCCATGCTTTATCATGCTGTTTCTGGTCTTCTGAGATGGAACCTCTACAACTTCTTCCAGGTGAAGAGAATGATAATGCTTATCGTAGTTGTGCCTCAGAATAATGTGTCCTAGGGGTAGAAGTGGGGAGAATTTAACTGACAGCTCCCATCCCATAATATCCATCAGTGGCACAAAGGAGGTCAACTGCCTGTCACTCCTGGGTGCTCCCATGTTAGAAAAGCTCCAGGACATGAAACGAGGGCATGGAATGTAGCTAACACCACATGCTGTTTGGTTAAACTCACACAGAGCAGTTTGTTTGCTGCAGGAATTGCTGAGTAGCAGGAGGACTGAGAGGATGTGAGGCAAGCTGCAAAAAAAAAATAAAATAAAATAATTACAAGTTATATTACATAATCTAAAAGTCAGTGCAGTGTATGGGAATGATTTTCCTAGGTGAAGAAAATAAAAATAAGCATCCCAGCAGAATTTTTATGAAGAAAATGTACCGTATTTTTTTCAATATAAAATGCATACAAAGAAATAGGATAAACGTGGAGCTGGGCCGAAGTCGTTCTATCTTCAAACTTCACTTCTGGAAGTCATAGCTGCTTTTGGTCTCAGTTTGTTGGTCTTTGAGAATGTGGACAAGCAAAGTAGATTGTGGTTGCATTGGTATAATTATTTATTCTAATGTGATGGCTTTCAGGGAGTCAACACATGGTCCTTATGAGATCTTTACACCATGCCACATCCGCTCCAATAGAATATGGCTGCCTGCTCTTTGGTTTGAATTAGTGCCTGGGTTGCTTCTCTGACGGTTGATGGCAGAACAAAGGCAGCCAAACCTATCACAGGTTATAAATAAAGCTTTGCACTGCATTTTTGTTGGGAGGAGGCTAAGAGAAGCCAAAGGAGAATGAGAAGAAAGAATAGGTCCCCCTGGGCAGATAAGAAATAACACACTCAACACACTCAGAAGCAGACTGGGGTTGTGATTATGACTGTGTCAGGCAGGATGAGAAAGGGATGATTACATGATGGATTGAACTTCACAATGCCACCTTTAATGGACCATCTTATTGTAGTTTTTCCGTTCTAGTATAGAGGGCTTCCTGCTCATCAGAGCCAAGGGCGTGCATGTATGCTAGTTGTTTTTCTAGGAAGCCTACAGGTAGCATCGTTTATCCCTTCTTGAGTTATGACTTTTGATTCAATTGAGATGAAAAAGAAAGTAACTTAGATAAGATATAAAAATATCCTGCTTACTAATAATGAAGCTGGTACTAGAGCCAGTGGTTTGTTTCTGTGGACAGGTGTACTTCCTAACACTGACCCCCAGAATTAGGCAGACCTATCTATGTAGTCACAAGCTGGGTTGGAAAATCTTAGGTATGCCCTATGCGATAAGCTACTTTTATTCTTGGCAGAGAGCAGAACAGATCATTTACTTTACAGGAGGGTGAGTGGTTCTGTGAAAAAGGTAAGCAGGAGATGTTATGCAAAGTTGATTGTTTCAAACTCACCCATCTAAATAAGTCAATGTTTCCCTCAGAAGCAGAGAGACTAGATGAGTCAACTTTACAATACACCTCTTTTTCTCTGTAGGTAGATATATCATGGGTGATAGATGCAAGATTACAGGTAAAAGACTTGCTTTTCCTCAGCAGTACAATCTACAACTCAATGCACAACTGCCTGAAAATAGAGTGTTGAAGATGATAAGACACATGCTGTATTTCAGTGAGTCTAAAAGGCACATTTTATCACATTTTAAAATCTCTATAATTGTGGCATGGCTTATCACTGATGGAGAACACAGATTACTTGGGCTGATTTTTCCCTTTCTGAATGGTATGTAAGGTAATGATTTGTATTATGATCCATAGTATCTTAGGCTAGATAAGTAGCAAATGATGAAATTAGCGTTTGTTACCTGGGTTATGACAACTTCTAAAATGATTCCAGACTATTTTCTGGCCAACAATTTTTACCTCAACTATACAAGCAATTAAGGCAACACATACCTTATGTTCTATGCAAATGATTTCCTTCCTCACATCTTTTCATGTATTTGCCTGCAGTTTGGGATTTTGTGTCTCACTTGACCACATCTGTATAGAATTATGCTCCTTGGGAGTCACATTCCTTCTTTGCCTGTGAACTGAGGCCACTTAGGGAGTTCTGTGAATTGGACTGATGAAACACATTTATTATCACAATTCAAACAAGTGTCAGTTGAATGTTTCAGCAGCTGCACCATTTTAGAAGAAAAACAAACTGGGCCTATTCACATTATTTTATGTAAACTCAAGTGGAATGTGAGAGGAAGAGTCCTGGGAAGTTTTTTATTGCTCAAGACTATTGCTTGTTGCAATTGAGAAATGTGGGAAATAGCTGAAGTGATATTTTGGTTAATAATTTCTCAACCAATACTTTTTGAAATTTTTTTTAATGCAATAAATCTTGAGTGACTGTTTTGTGCAAAGCACAAACTAGTTGCTTCAGGGAACAAAATATACTGCCTGGCATTAAGTGTCTAACATGATATATAAAGGGAACCAGGCCAGGTGCCATGGCTCACACCTAACACTGTAGTCCTAACACTTTGGGAGGCCAAAGTGGGCAGATCACCTGAGGTCTGGAGTTTGAGACAAGCTGGCCAACATGGTGAAACCCCATTTCTACTGAAAATACAAACATTAGCCAGACAAGGTGGTGCGTGCCTGTGGTCCCAGTTACTTGGGAGGCTGAGGCAGGAGAATCTCTTGTACCCAGGAGGCAGAGGTTGCAGTGAGCCAGGATAGTCCCACTGCACTCCAGCCTGGGCAACATAACGAGACTTTGTCTCTAAATAAATAAATAAATAAATAGGAAACCACCGAGTTTACTCATGACTGAAAAATAAGTGATATGGTTTGGCTGTGTTCCTACCCAAATCTTATCTTGAATTGTAGCTCCCGTAATTCCCACGTGTTATGGGAGAGACCTGGTGGTAGATAATTGAATCAAAGGGGCAGGTCTTTTCTGTGCTGTTGCTGTGATAGTAAGTCTCAAAGGATCTGATGGTTTTATAAAGAGAAGTTCCCCTGCACACCCTCTCTTGCCTGCCACCATGAAGACATAACTTTGCTCCTCATTTACCTTCTGCCATGTTTGTGAGGCCTTTCCAGCCATGTGGAACTGTTAGTCAACTAAACTTCTTTCCTTTATAAATTATCTAGTCTTGAGTATGTCTTTATTAGCAGTGTCTTTATTATAACAGACTAAGACAATAAGAGAAAGAGAGGTTATACGATGTCTTGAACAAAGAAGAAATCACATATGTGTAAAGCAATCAAGAGCAGAATCATGGCAGAGCTTTGAAAGCTTGAGTATAATTTTCTCAAGTGGAGATGGGATTGAGACTTCTGGTTTCCAATAATAGCAAACTAGGTTATTTGGAGTCACACTCCCATAGAATACAACTAAAAATGGTAGATAAAATATTTTCTGGAAATATTTTAAAAGTCAAAGAGCTGAACAAGTAAAAAATTATTATATCAAGATTTGAAGAATATCAGGAACTTAGATAAATAAATGAAGTATGGAAATTCTCAAACTTTACTGTGCATAAGAAACATCTCAGGTCTTTGCATATAGTGTAGGTAACAAGTGTTGAGGATGTGAAACAAAAAGAAACCTTGTACACTGTTAGTGGGAATGTAAATTGGTATAGCTATTATGAAAATCAGCATAGAGGTTTATAAAAAAATAAAAATAGAGCTGCCATATGATCTAACAATTCTACCTCAGGACACATATCCAAAGGAAATGAAATCAGTATCTTGAAGAGATATCTGCACTCCCATGTTTATTGTAGCATTAGTCACAATAGCCAAAATGTAGAAACAACTTAAATGTCTTTTGACAGACGAATAATTCTAAAAATATTTTATATATAACATATGTAGATCTCATAAATGCACATGCCCGCACACACACACACACACACACACAAACTAGTATTTTATTCAGCCATATAAAAAGGAAATCCTGCCACTTGCAACAGCATAAATGAACCTGGAGGACATTATGCTGAGTGAAATGTCAGACATAGAAAGACAAATACGGTGTAATCTCTCTTTTATGTGGAATCTAAAAGTCAAACTTATGGAAGGAAAGAGTGGATTAATGGCTGCCAGGAGAAAGGGGTGAAGGGTGGGGAATGGGGAGATGTTGGTCAAAGGATGCAAAATTTGAGTAATAAGATGAATAGGTTCTGGGAATAAAATGTATGGAACAGTGACTATAGTTAATAGTACTGTATTGCTTACTTGAAATCACACACGCAAACACACACACAAAAGGTAACTGGGTGGCAATGAATGTGTTGATTAACTTAATTGTGGTAATGTATATAAAATCATCATGTTTTACACCTCAAATATATACAAATTTTGGTAATTATTTTGCAATAAAGCTGGGAGGGCAAGTGAACTACTTTAAAGCATTTCCACATTGAAAAAGTATTTTAAATACAGGTTCATTACTCTTAGATATGACACATATGATCCACTCATATATAGATTATATATTAAGAAGCCTGTTTTCTAGCAGTCCTAATTTAGAGTATATATTTTGGAGAAGGATGAATGGTGAGAGTCAGCATCCTTTTGTTTTATTTCAATAAATTTCTACTGAGAAAAATTTTAAGGAAAGAGAATCGCAGAGAAATTTTAAAATGCTAAAAAGATTACTATGAGAAAATCTTTCAAAAAACTGAGTTGCAATTGAGTTATCAGGTTTAATGTGGATCTCCTGGGAAAGGAAAACTCTACTTTCCAGCACAAACTTTCCAAACAACTATAAGGTGTTAATATTTAGGTGGTAAGGGCAATAATTATTATAGAAAATACAGTTTTGAAACTTGTTTAGGAAGCCTTGTACCTTAGATGTATAGAAAAAATAAGTGATATGTTGATCTTAACTGAAAGGAGTAAAATAATGATAATTAACAATAATATAACCTTGTAAACAATAATTACATTAATTACTATCATTTATTGAAAAAATAATTATTGTCATTTACTGAAAATTTGTTATATTCCAGGTATCTATGTTAACACTTTACATGTATCTCTTACAGCAAACTTGATGGTGGTATGGTGCTTTCTATTTTTCTTTTCCTTTTGCAGACAAGGAAACTGAGGCTCACAGAGGTTAAGTAATATTTCCAAAGTCACACAGCTAATATGTTCTAAAGCTGACATTCATATATAGATTTATCCATCTCTAGCATCTATACTTTTAAACACCTCAACTTATTTTCAGAATTGTCACATTTGTATAACTCTTCAAAGCTATGTCTTCTTGCTCCCACTTTCAGGTCATTGCCTTATGATGCTGCATTAAAAATCATTTTAAATGCATATTTAATTTTTATGTTAGTCTTTGGAAAATAAATCCGTAAGGTTATGTTTAGTACATAAAAACATTAGGGCATTAATCTGAATCTACTCTTTCATCAAATATAAATATTTAAAATTGTATATTCATATACATTTAGTTGGTAACATCTTCATGCTCCATGATGTTCTTATACACCCTGGAAACTATAACTTATGTTTTCTATACAGTGATCTACGATATGTTGATTGCTTTCTCAAGACATTTTCTGATTCTATATTTGGTGGTAATGGAAAATATTTTTAACAGCTAAAACCTGAATAGGAGCCACACCCCCACTGATGTTCCTCACTGGTAGCTTTAATTAATATGATTTAAAAAGGACTTACTTTTAACAATCGTATCTGAAAATATATAGTAAGAAGAGTAAACACTACTATTACTTTTTATGATAACTCCATTTACTCATAAACATTTAAACATTTAATTATAATTTAATGCAAAAATGATTTATTAAGCCCCACATTGGTGTCTATTTGTGAAAAGAGTAACAAAACAAAAAAAGAGAGATAATTAAATTATCTCTAGTCGATGTTGCAAAAGTATTTGATAAGGTCCAACTTTCATTAAAAATTTCACAATTCCTGCTAAAAGTATGAATGGACACCTACTCTATTATCCTGAAAAATTAAGAAAAAAGCAAAGGAAGAGCATATCTACACCAATGTATGTTTATTGCTTTTAAGGAACACCACAGAAGATATGGCTTGGTGAGAAAGCCAAATAGACTTGTGAATTTAACATCAGACTAGACAATCATATCCAGCAAGGGTTTAGTAATGCTGGACAAGAATGTTCTGGTCCACATCGAGTAGGAAAGTTGGAAGAGATGCCCAGGTCAGAGTTTTGGCAAAGAGAAGACTTCATTCTCCCAGTATCTTGATCCTAAAAGGGAGGAAAAAAGAGTTGTGTCGAACATGCCTGATTTATTCTTACAAACAAAGTAAGTCCCCTGAGTAGAGTAGAGGCAAAGGTGCACCCTACTTAGAGGTAGAGAAGTATTTTTCCTTTCACATGAGTTGTAATCTTATTTTGAAAATATTACCTTCAGCCCAAGCCAGCATCATGCCTAATAGCAAAACATTTAGTCCCATTAAAGGGATGGATAAGTTTAAGAATGCTTAACAGCCATTTATATCATGACCTTGTCCTAAATACTACCAATTTAATCAGAGAAAGAAGGAAACAAAAAAGATATAAAAACAAAAGAGCAAAAAAATTGTTATGAGTTGCAGATGCCATGATTACACAAACAGAAGCTCAATTAATCAAGTTAAACTTAATTTGACGCAATTGAAAAGTTCAGCCTCTTGATTGTTATGGAGTTAATATGCAGACATCAAGAGCTTTCCCATAAAAAAGGAACAGCATGTTTAAAATGTAATGGAATAAAAAGTCTCATTTTTAATCATAGCAAACACAGCTGCAACAAAAATTGTCTAGGAATAAACTAAACAGGAAATGAACAAGATTTAATGAGGAAAAGTTTAAAATGCCTTTAAGGTACATATGTGTCCACACACAGGTACACATACACATCCTTGAATTAAGCAAAAGATGTATTTGATTCTTAAGTAGACAATATTTATAAAGATATCATTTTTTTCTAAATTAATCCACAAATAGAGAATTCCAATGAAATACCAATAGGTTCATTTTCTTTGGAATTAGGCAAGTTGATTCTAAGGTTTACATGACAAAACAAACATCTGGGAAGAGCCGTAAAATCTTTGAAATTGAAGAGCTACAAGAGAAGGATTAGCAACACAGATACTAATGCACATAAAGGCACAGTAATTCTTTAATTTTTATTATTATTATTTTTCTATTTCAGTAGGATTTGGGGGAACAGGTGGTGTTTGGTTATACGGATAAATTTCTTTAGTGATGATTTCTGAGATTTTGGTGCATCCATCACCTAAGCAGTGTGCCCTGTACCCAGTGTGTATTCTTTTATGTTATCCCCCTCCCACCCTTTTCCCCTGAGTCCCTAGAATCCGTTGTATCATTCTTAAGGGCCTAGTAATCTTTAAATTCTGATGGTGGCTGACAAAGAAACAGAGATACTAGTAGAATAGAATAGAGAGTTCGGAATCAAATTCACATGACATTAAACACATACTAGAGGAGGTATTTAAAATCACTGGGGGAAAGGGATGAGCAAATAAATGAAGTTGAAACATATGGTTAACCATCTGAGGATAGATGCAAGCTAAATCTTATATCTCTCCTTATACCAAAATAAATTCCAGATGGATCAAATATCTAAATTTGAAAAGAAAAAGAAATGAGTTTTGAAAGGGAGAAGTGCTATGAAAGCAAAACGCAAACTCCAGATGCCATAAAGAAAAAAATTAATAAATTAATTACACTAATAATATTTTTAGAGGAAAATTGAAATGAAATAAAAATACAAGTGGAAAGAACACAACGAATATTTGCAATCTCTTAAGCAGAAAATGCTTATTTTCTTGAAGTATAACTGTTTCTTACAAATACATGACAAAAAGGATCTGACTAATAGTCTTTCTTACTTTGTCACCTTTTCTTCCTTGGACTCCGTGGCCCACAGAGTTGGGCATAGTTGTAAGGAAATGTGTGTTTCAGTGGGGATTGGTGATGGTGGTAGTGGTGGTCATGGTTAGAGGTGGGAGGACAATTCTTTTCAGCAGTGACAGACAATAAATGAGGCTCAAGAAAGGAGAAAAATTTCCATTGAAAATGATGAGTTCTAGAAGGAGATTTAGCTATATTTAAAAAAACCATATCTCTGTTGGCACTAAAAAGAAAATTCAGAAGACGCATTGGTCCAGATCAAGATGATAGCACCTGATAATCCAGTGAAAGGATAGCAGAGCTGGCAAGGAGCAGCAGTCAGGATGTCTTAGAAGGCCTGATGAATTAATCACTGTGTCATGGGGAAGAAATGCACCTCACGCAGAAATACACAGAGGGTATCCTTCTGAAGATTTTATGTTTCAGCACCCCACAGAGCTTGGGCGTAACCAGGGTGGGGCTAGCCCTGCTAACTGAAGTATAAGCAGCAGAGGTAATTTAAGATAAAAATGAGGATTCCTGGCTTCATGCCTTGGCTCTGTCACTAACTAGTTTTATAATCTTTGGAAAGTCATTTACATTTGATTTGATTCAAAAGCTTCCTCCATGAAATGAAGTTAAATGTGAAACAACTGAAATTTTGGCAGCTTATGTAGATGAAGAGGAACAGATAACCCGCACTTAAGGGGTGTGGGAAGCTGGAGTTGATGACACACAAACTAAAGTCATTCTTCAGACCTCAGATCCTTTAAATGTTAGGTCAGGTGAAGGGTAAGGAGGCAGAGCAAAGGGAATTGATCTGTACAGAGGGAACTGTATGAACAAAAACTTTAAGCCAAGAAGTTGAACAGTATTTTCAGAAACACTGTAAGTAATTTGCTATGACTTGTAGGGCATAAATCAGTAGAAGGCATTTGCTTTTTTAATATTCTCAACAAACTTCAAATAAAGTAGACATTAATGTTAACATTTTATAGGAGAAAACAGATTCAGAAATGTTATTTGCCTGAAAACACATAACTTGTAAATGCTAGATCTAGGGTCTGTCTGCCCCAAACCCTGTTTTAACTTTTAATTTTTAGCACTTCTCCACATTATCACATTAAGATGGATGGGTGGAGAGCAATACAAATGATCCACTTTTCTCAATGTGTCCAGCAGCTTACTTTTTGAAAAAAACTTTGAACCTGAAGAAAAAAAATCATAGAAAATATGTAAAATGTATGAATCATTGGGTATATAGGATTTGAACCACAAACATATGGAAGCAAAAAATTACTATGAAAATTAGTTGATCAATAAATACATCATTAATCCTGATGTTTTTATTAGTAGTTCACTGCATCTCTTAGAAACCATATGACATTTAATCATAACTAACATAAGCCAAACTTAGTGTCCTTGATTCTTCATTACAGAGTTGCATTAAAAAACCACAGCAATTTAATATTGTTTTAAAACTAATTCAACCAAAGCAGTTCCATTTTAGAGAAAATACATTATTTCCAGAGACTTGGCTCTGGTTTGATCTTTTCTTTAATTGTCCTTCTAGAACATGATTATTCATTATCAGGTCTTTATCTTTTGGATCTTGTACTTTCAGTACATTGCAGCTGAATGTTTTATTTTTCTGTTCTGCTTAAAATGTATTTGGCTTCTTGAACATGGGGGTTTCATCTATCCTACAAAATTCTCAATCATTATCCTTTCAAATATTACTTTTTACCTATTCTCCCTCTCCCTGTGGTCTAGAATTTCTTTCAGAAATAAGTTAGATATTCTCATACTATTTTTAAAGCTTCTTAACCTCCTATTGTATAATATATTCTATATTTTTATCTCTGCTGCATAGTAATTTCCTCAGATCTTCCAAAATAATTTTGTCTTTAGATGAGTCAAATATACTGCTTAAGCCACCCTATGAAATTTCACATTGTATCGTTGTGTTTCTATTTCTAGAAGCGCCTTTTTTTTTCAAATTTGCTATTCTTTTTTTTTTCTATTATCTGTTTTAGATTTTCCCCATCCGCCTTCCAAATCTGTTTAACTTCCTAGTATCTTATTTTATTCTTATATTTCAAGTCCTTCTTTGATGTCTAATGATTTGAAACATGTTTATAATGGTCTTCTTTGTTGATTTTAACGCTTTCAATTTAGGAGTGCTGTTCATTCCAAGTTTTAACTCCTGTTTAGGGTGGATGGTTTCTCCAGAGTTTTATGAATTTGGACTATTAACCCATCTTCAGTGTGGCTTTATCTTTCAGACTTCTGTGTGGTGCCTATTGAAGATATATCTGATTAGCGCAGTTTTAGTTTCATTTCTGCCAGGTATTGATCTGGGCCTCCTTCTATGGTACCAAGGGGTTCCAAGCCCAAACAGGTGTTATAACAGAATCCCAAATAATTTCTCAAGAAATTGTTTTTTCTTCAACCTGTTGTTCATGTTAAGACAAACATGCCTCCTTATTGTAAATCAGTGTTTTTAGTAGATTTATTTCTATTGAGGGTTCTGATTTTATACAAGGACCTTTGTTACAACTCTCTGTCTTACAAGGATCCACAGCCATGTCTTCTGTTCTAACGTGAGATAAAAATGTCAACATCTAGGTTACTGATGGAGCAACCATCTTCAAGCCTTACTCTGCACAATCCATGGCACTAACCTATGAAATTTCTTGTCCTATTTTCTGATTGCTCTTTTTTGAGGTCCTGGGGGTTTTTACTACTTTCTAGAGAGCTAAGCTATTCATTTAAAAGAATTGTTTCCATAGTCAGTGTTTTAGGTGACTTGTAATTTAAAGGTTTTCAGGTTATTTTTATCACTCCCCCTTTACCCCTGAAAAAAATCCTTCTGAAACCAAAAGTACCCACAGTTATTTACTCTTCCCTCAGATTTAAGAAGAATGCTCTCTGAGTGGTAGGGAGGTCCCACTGAGATGTCTGTCTGTTACTCCAAGAATCGCCTGCCTCACCCTGGGAGGACTTCTGGCAGCCATGTCTCTGTGGTGTGTTTCTCATTTCCTGCCCACAGAGGGGTAGACCATGAGTGAGTGCATGACTCAAACTGTGCTAACTGGATCCCTTTCCCCAGAAATTTGGAATTTTATGTGCTAAAGTACTTGGTCTTGAACTTGTTGTCCTGAGATGGATTTTTTTTTTTCACAGAGCTCAATCTCAGAGGTACTTGTTAGTATACAGCTTAATAACTATTATCATTTTTGCTATGATCTACAGCAGTAAAACTTGGCACCTGCTACAGATAATTTAGTGGTTTGGTGCATATGTAGTTATGGATAGGGCAATGTGAACAGGTTCCACAAAACTTGCTTTTCTAAGTACTAATTAAGAAGTGATCTCATAGTTTTAATAAGAACAACACTCTGATTTTTCATGTTTATGTTCAAAGCACTTTCAATTTTATTATCTCCTCTTGACAGTTTTGTCAAGGAGGAGATGTTTTGTTTCATTTTCCCATGTTTTAACATTTACAACTGAGTATAAAGAAGCTCAGATGCTTGCTCAGAATCATAGAGCCCAAACGTCTGAACTTTTTGTCTAGTTCTCTTTCAATATATACATATCACCACTCTAAAGACTAACAGTTTGTTTCTTCTGAGGAGATGTGTTTTATTTTCTGTCTGCCCCTCTTTATTTTTCTCTCTCCCATGTTCAGATGCACATATGCAGGGATCCGAAGAAATTATTTTCCCATCTTTCAGTGTGGTTCTGAAAAGAAAAGAATGTTCTGGCTAAATAATAACTATGCTTAATTTAACAATGCTTTAAATTAATTCATTAGAATTTTTGAGAGATAAAATGAATATGAAGAGCTCAGTCTTATACTGCAAAGAACTGAATTCTACCAACAACCTGGATTGGCAGTGGATTGCATCCTTAGAGTCTTCGCATGAGACTTTAGCTGACACCTTGATTTTGACTTTATGAAACCCCAAGCAGAGAAACTGGTGAAGCCACCTAGATTACTGAGCTATGAAACTGTGAAAATTAATAAGTGGGTTAATTTTAAGCCACTAAATTGTGGTAATTCATTACCTGGCAATGAACACCTGAAACAATCTGGCAAACATAGTTTATAGTAAAATTTTTTTTAATAAAATGCAGAATTGTTTTCCACAGTCTCTAAGCTCTTTATTTGTAGGCTTATGCCTCAGTTGTCTCCATGGCCATCTGGCCATACTGAATTTATCATATAACTAAGTTTGTAATAGATTTCCTGATGATCAACTAATTATCCATGTATCCTTACTGAGGAATGTGTATCTTTGCTTATGGTACATGTTCACTGACTATAGGGTTAACTCCACTCAGATGAATTCATACCCTATGTTCCCATTTGAGAGCCCTTTTTATTGGGGAAAGTAGATAATGTTTTCAGGAATGAAAGCATAAAGATTGGGCAGTTATCTTCCCACATTGCATAGGAATAACACCTAGAGGTTAGATCTCCTATACTTCCAACCTAGCATACTTTGTAAGGAAATGCCAGCTTTGAAAACTGCTGTCCTAGAGGCTTCCAAACTCCACCACATCTTCACTACTTACTGACTTCTTTTCTTCTGCAGAAAGGATCCTTATGTATCAACTGATCATTTTTAATGAATTGGTGAGGAATAAAGTCAGAATGTGTCTGAATACACTGACATCCAACTCTTAATCCTCAGAGGAATCAGCTGTGTGAGAAAAAAATTAGAAAAATCCTTATTGAGAACAAACATAGCCATGATGCTTACTTCTTTACTTTAAAGTAGAAATCAATATAGAAGGACACTCAACTGTATTCACAAATTCAGTACTGATAGAAATGTTTATGAAGACAGTTACACAAACATAATTATTAATAACATATTATTATCCTGATCAACAAACAATTATTGAGCATCTATTATGCTTGAAAAACTGGTAGATATACTAGACCGATAATTTATTGCTTTCAAGTATGTATGGTCAATAAGATAACTTTTTCAATGGCAAAAATCAACTTGATCCTTCCTACCAAAAGTTGTAAACATAAAGATTATATGTGAATTTTATTAATTGAAATTAGCATTTTCTCTCTGCTTACCATCATTAAAATGAACATCGTAAACCAATTTTTGGTAACGTTCCTGCTATCATCTATAATAAGAAAAGCACAGACTCTTACACTCAGATATTTCTAGGAAGTTAAACAGATGTTTTTATTTGACTCAACAAGAAGTCTTTGACACTCCATAGTCTAAATACTGTATATGTCAGCTTAAGTTTCAATTTCACAGTTTTTACATTTTTCTTAATGCCAAATACAATCTCATTACATCTGGAATATTTTCTGAGATTTTCTAATGCCTAGAAGGAAAAGATAAAAGCCACAGTTGGCTTACCAAATGTGCCCAGAACAATGACAGCTAGCAGGAGGAGTGCTGGAGGAGTCCTGAGTACCCAGGTCTATCCTTGATCTTGATCCTGGTCTGGATCAAGATCCAGATTGATTCTGGTGGAATCAATACTGCAGCCCACTTTTATGTGCTCTCTGCAACGCTGAGAACTTTTTTATTACTCTCATTGCACTCTCTTGGTTAAAGAATAAAAGGTACAGTTTATTGAGCCTCATGTTGTCACTCACAAGCCAGCAAGGAAACTGAGTTTGTTTTTCAAGTATTGTTTTAATTGGGGCTTTGGGGGCACGCTAAGATGAACTTGTTAAATAGAGAAATGAATGTATTATTTTCTGGGGGTGAAACTGCATAATTGTGAAGGGATCGATGTCGGTTGCAGTTAATGGTGACTGGTAGAATGGAGTCATGAGAATGTCTATGCATGTTTACAAAGAACATGTTTGTACAAAGTAGGGAATTAAGATGCATTTCCTCAGGAAGTATTTGCTGTTGGCTTTTGTATTTGCATAATCCCATTTAAGGTCTTAATAAAGTCGGTCAAACCTGAAGTACACATACAGCTTAATATCCTGCAGAAAAATGGAGTTCAGATTACAACCATGTTGCTGTCAAGAAATGTAAACTGGCAACATGATCCTATATCTAGATAATGACATAGTCTCAGTCCAATAGGTTCTTAAGTGGATAAACAACTTATGCAAAGTCTCAGTACAAAATCAATGTGCAAAAATCACTAGCATTCCCATACAACGACATCGGTCAAGCTGAGAACCAAATCAGGAACAAACACCCATTCACAACTGCCACAAAAGAATAAAATACCTGAGAATACAGCTAACTAGGGAGGTGAAAAATTTCTACAAGGATAACTAACTACTGAACATGGCTCAAAGAAATGAGAGATGACACAAACAAATGGACAAACATTCTATGGTCATGTATAAGAATAATCAATAATGTTAAAATGGTCATACTGCCCAAAGCAATTTATAGGTTCAATGATATTGCTATTAAACTACCATTGGCATTCTTGACAGAGAAAGAAAAAACTATTTTAAAATTTATATGGAACGAAAAAAGAACCCGAATTGCCAAGGCAATCCTAAGCAAAAAGATTAAAGCTGGAGACATCACACTATCCAACTGTTATCCATGTTACAAGGCTGCAGAAACCAAAACAACATGGTGCTGGTACAAAAACAGACATATAGACCAATGGAACAGAATACAGAACCCAGAAATAAGACCACACACCTACCACTATCTGATCTTCAGCCAACTTGACAAGAACAAGCAATGGGAAAAGGACTTCCTATTTAATAAATGGTGCTAGGATAACTTGCTGGTCATATGCAGAAGATTAACCCTGGACCCCTTCTTTACACCATATACAAAAATTAACTCAAGATGGATTAAAGACTTGAATGTAAAATCCCAAAATATAAACATCCTGGGGAAGACAACCTAGGCAATGCCATTCAGGACGTAGACACTGGCAAAGATGTCATGACAAAGATGCTGAAAGCAATTGCACCCAAAGCAAAAATTGACAAATGGGATTTAATTAAACTTAAGAGCTTCTGCACAGTGAAAGAAACTATCAACAGAGTAAACAGACAGCCTATGGAATGGAAGAAATTTTTTTCAAACTATACATCCAACAAAGCTCTAATATCCACCATCTATAAGGAACTTAGACAAATTTACAAGAAGGAAACAACCCCATTAAAAAGGGCAAAGGAGATGAACAGACATTTTTCAAAAGAAGACATATATGCAGCCAACAATCATGGAAAAAGCTCAACATCACTGATCATTAGAGAAAATCAAATCAAAACCACAATGAGATACCATCTCACACCAGTCAGAATGACTATTATTGAAAAGAAAAAAAATAACAGATGCTGGCGATGTCATGGAGAAAGAGGAATGCTTATACACTGTCGATGGGAGTGTAAATTTGTTCAACCATTGTGGAAGACAGTGCAGCAATTCCTCAAAGCCCTAAAGACCCAGCAATCTCATTACAGGGTATATACCAGAAGAAATACAAATTATTCTATTATAAAGGCACAGGCAAATGTATATTTGTTGCAGCACTATTTACAATAGCAAAGACATAGAATCAACCTAAATACCCATCAAAGATAGACTGGATAAAGAAAATGTGGTATATAAACACCATGGAATACTAGGCAGCCATAAAAAACAATGAGATCATGTCCTTTGCAGGGACATGGTTGGAGCTTGGAGGCCATTATCCTCAGCAAACTAACACAGGAACTGAAAACCCAATACTGCATGTTCTCACTTATAAGTAGAGCTAAATGATAAGAACTTATGGACACACAGAGGGGAACAACACACACTGGGTCCTGTTGGAGGATGGAGGGTGAGAGGAGGGAGAGGATCAGGAAAATTAATTAATAGGTACTAGGCTTAATACCTGGGTGATGAAATAATCTGTATGACAAAAGTTTAGCCATGTACCAAATGTACACTTGTACACTTGAACTTAAAGTAAAAATTTAAAAAAATAATTCAAAGCAAAACAAAACAAACAACAACAACATAGAACTCTGAACTTTGTCTTTCAATGATGATTTCTGGAAATGCTCTCTATGTGGTACTCTGGGGCCATGGAAGGGCTTGCCTCTGATTTTTTTTTTTCTTGCAGGGATTACTATCCCATTATTCCTATTGTCTAATGTCCATCACTTCATATATTTTGTGTTTTAATTATTTAAAGTATAAAGATAATCTGGTCTGTTATCTTTTTCATGGCATTAAAGAAAAGTAATAAATACATAATTTTTAAAAAGAACTGCAAACAACACTTTACTTATTGTTTGAAGGCAGCAGTTTCCATTGGCTTCAAGGTTAATTATCTAATAGTGAACTATGAGCTTTAATTTTATTTCTTAAGCAGTTTTATAAGTGACTTTGATTATATCATAGTGACCACATTTTTTTTTGTATTAACAAATCAAAGACCAAAACATTTGTATTAGTTTCCTAGGGCTATCATACCAAAGTACCACAGACTGGGTTGCTTAAACAACAGAAATGTTTTCATATTTCAATTCTGGACCCTGGAAGCCCAAAATGTAGGTTTAATGGGGTTGTTTCTTTCTCAGGACTGTGAGAGAAGGAGTTGTTCCAGACATCTTTACTTGCTTAGCGGGTGTTCATCTTTATGTTTACATGGTGTTCTCTTTGTCTGCATGTCTATCTAAAAATTTCCCCTTTTTATTAGGGCACCAATCATACTGAATTAGGGGTTCACTCTAATTACTTCACTTTAACTGAATTACCTCTTTAAGAACCCTACTTCCAAATAAGGTCACATTCTGAAGTACTGGGGATTAGGACCTCAATATATAAATTTGAGGGGGATATAATTCAACCTATAACAACATTTAACTGAAGAACTAGTGATTACTGAAAGGTTGATACAGTTTAAAGCTAAAACTAGCCTAAATAGTAAGTTATTTTCTTTTACGGATTATAATTGAGCATTTATTATTTGCGAGGGCCTTTGCTTGATGCTAGGCATTTGAAGATAATGAAAGTTGAATTTCTGCTCTTAAGAGGTTCACAGTCTGTTTTGAGAGACAGATGAGTAAACAGATTAAACTAAAAGGTGGTCTGTGTTATAACAGTTGTATATCTGAGGCATAGTGGAAGCAGAGGGGAGGGAGGACTTCCCCAGGGCCGTCAGGAAAGACTTTACAGGGAAGGTAACACTGGACTGGTGAAAAGACAAAAAGAAAGTCATCATTTCTTTTTTGAAGGCTGATAAGCGTTTGAGACAGAGAAATGCACAAAGAAGCACAAACAAGACATGGGCATGTTAAGGAAGGAGGAAAAAGCTATTTCAGTCTTTAAATGAGATGTTTTAACAACCTGACAACATTCAATTGACTGATCACATCTTGTCCTTTGTAGAAATGAAAAGCTGCAAGTAACTTCAAACTGTTATTCAGAAACAACCTTGGATTTCTTCAAATCTCATTTTTCTTCTGTACCAAGTAAAGGTAATAAAATGTGCTATCACACACCAGCATGGCACATGTATACATATGTAACAAACCTGCACATTGTGCACATGTACCCTAAAACTTAAAGTATAATAATAATAAAATTTAAAAAAAAATAAAAAAATGTGCTATCAATCTGTACAGGTGTTATGATGCTAATAAGAAAGTATATACAGATAAGATAACCAAGTATTGAAAGATTCGAAGTAATTTAGTTTTTCATAAAACTTCAAAGACAGACTTAAGACATCACAATAGTTTACTAAGGAGTTTGTTAAAGAGATGGTAATTTTTCTTATCAAAGATGGTTCTCTCATTCTACAGCTACTAAAATTTATGCCAGATCTGCAGCAGAACTTATTACAGTTAGATTTAGAGTGCTGAGACTGACAACTTGACAACTTCCCTGATCTTATAAACAGTTATTTTGTTAGTTGAATTTTCACATAGGCCTGAGGCTTATACAAATATGCAAGTTACCAAAACATCCAATTTTAACTGTAATCCTATGTTTTATTTTTTAAAATATTTATCTACACTGAAATGCAATGTAATATAATAATAATAATTGTTTATTGTACTCCAATAAACATTTGTGCTAACATTCCTCTATGAATTTTTGTAAGTTTTCTGGAAACTTTACAAGGGGTATTTCTATGTCATAAACAAGAAAATCAAATATTAGGAAGTAATACAGCAGTGAAAGATTAAAAATAGCCTTACATTCTTAGCAGCTCCTCACTTTAAGAGACAGAATCTGTATCCCAACCCCCTTGACTCTATGCTCACCTCATGACTTGCTTTGGCCAATAGGAAGTGTTAAAAGTGATGATGTAGATGTTCCAGGCCAACAAGGTAAGAAGCCTAGGAGTTTCTACCCCTGCTCTGTTAAAATGCAGCTGCCACCATATGAGGATAGCCAAGCTCATGAGGCCCAGGCAATGACTAGTGCAAAAAACCAGACATGTGAGTGAGGCAGCTGCACTCGGTCACCAAGTGTCACCTGGTGACTCCAGGAGACACCATCAGAAGAACTACCTGAGCCAAGCCCAGGTTGTTGTATTGCCTAGCCCAAATTGATGGTCATGTGTCAAAATAAAATGGTGACTGTTTAAACCCACTGCATTTTCGGGAGACAATAGATGATTAATAGAGTAATTTAGCCAGTAAATTGGCTGAACTCATTTTATACTTTGAATTATTTGGCTACAATATGCACAATGTTTTCTTTAAACTTTCTTAAAGTGGCACATGGCGTGAATGGCTATTAGCTATTAATTAGTACTCTGAGAATGGTTCTACAAATTTTAGAAAGCCAATCCTGTAGCCAAAATTTAGGATAACTGTCTTCTTGAGCAGTCATGAAAATAATCTAGTTTAATAAAAATCACTGTGTATTAGTCATCAGAAAACCAAACTCTGACCCACTTTTGTAATAAAATAATTCCATGGCATTTGGTAACTCCTTGGTGGTTTCTGAGCCTTTGTAGTTCCATCTATAAAATGAGAAGGCTGATTTTCTTTTTCTTGTGATCTCTCAAGTTTTGAACCAAACTCCTGTCTGGCTGTCAAGGGATCAGTCCCTAGTCTCAACATTTTATTTATTTATTTCTCACCATATGATCTGGCTTCTTTTTTAGGAGATTCTTGAAAGCAACAGTAGCATTTCTAACTACTTTTCACTTAAAAAAAGAAAGATTTATTACTTTTAATGTGGAGAACAAAAATGTCAGTTGGAGTCCTCACCTTTTCAAAGGTGAAAATGAGGTCCTGACTATGGTTTAGTAGACTCTTTCTCCCTGCTTTAGTACCTTGTGGATCCAGATTCCACATTTTTATTTTAAGCATAGCCAAGGAATAGAAATCAGAGGCTGATGCCCTGCTGTTAGGAAGATTTATGACTCTGCTATAAACACAACAACTACAATTTCTTGGTTTGAGCAGGTTTCATAGTTTCTGCAGATGAGGAAAGCAAACACTCACAACAGCCCCTTTGTGAGGTCAAGAACTCAGTTGTGTGCAGCAATGGCCAGTGTGGTTCTGCTCTCTTCTATCATGAGCTTTCACTTGTTTCTGCCTCACTTCCCATTTTTCTTCCTCTTGGTTTTCTGGCATTATACTCCTCAATAAAATAGTAGTCATAAGCCTCTGCTATGAGGTCTAATTTCTGGGGGGCCCAACTGTCTAAGTTTGGGCTCCCCCAAAACAGAGTCTGATAAAAGACTTATGCGCAGTAGTTTATCTTACAGGTGATCATGGAAAGAACAAGTGAAGGAGTGGGGGAATGTGGGATAGGGAAGAGAGAAAATCTAATAAAGTGTATGTAATGAATGAGCTATCATTTGTGCAACCAGGGCTTCATCTTGCCATGGAGTCTCAAGGAAACCTTGTAAAATGTTCCTCAGAATTGTCCCAATAAGACTTCAATTTCCAGTCACGTTGAAGTAAAACAGAAGTCATAACTTCCTGTCTTAAGCAACTAGAAAATGCAACACAATATATGAAGCAATTGTTATCAGACATTGGACAACAAGCAGCAAAAGGCTAGAATTCCTCAGAAAAGGAAATAAACAAGGTGAGGTGTATGGTGATCTTGGTTTTTTTCTGGAGCAACTCTGGACCACCGTGCAAGGGGAGAGATCCAAAGTAGACCATGGTAGTCTTACTGAGTTGAGGGGGCACAGGTTTGAATTCAAGGGAGCTGGGGTGGCTAGAAGTTTAGGAAAAAAGAGTTGTAGAAAGGGGAGATCTATGCAAGAAACCAGAACTCCATAAATCTGCACTGAGGTCCCACTGGGTCTCTTTGATCAGTACTAAGTCACACACGCACGGTGGGGGAAACTCCATAAGTCAAGCAAAGAGTAACTAGAGATTTGTAAGCTGAGAAAACCTCAGACCTAGCATGGAATGAGGAGATAGTTAAGGTCTACCCTGTCGTAGTAGAGAGAACCTGTGAGCACTCAGGGCATTCACTAACGGCACAAGAAGGACATGACTTAGTAGTACAGCTAAACAAACCCTAGAGTGAAGAACATTCCTAGACCACCCTAACAAAGCTCAACAACAAGCCCCAAAGAGACAAAGCTGATGCCCTAGAACTTACCTGCTTGTCAAAATGGAGCCCAAGACTCTAAAGAAAGAGAACAAATCTTGACACTCAGCAACATAAGATTCAAAATTTCCTGCAGTCAAATGAAAATGATTATACATGCTAAGAAGTAGAACAGCATGAGTTATATAAGAGAAAAAAAATCAAGTAAATATAGATTCAGAAGTGACAGAATGATAGACTTAGCATACCAAGATTTTAAAATAACTATCTTAATTATGCTCAGGTGTGTAAAGAAGGTGTAAACATAATGAAGAGGGAAGTGGAACATTTCATCTATTCATATGTCTTTTTAATATTTATTTATTTTAATACACTATCTATAAAATTTAAACACACACATATATATGGAGAGAGAGATAGGAAATTCTAGAATTATCTAACAAGAGACTGGGAAAATTGAATATTCATCCTTTAACTCCTATCTCTCCTCTCAGGGCATCAAATCACAGGCCATCCTAGCTGTGGGCTGAGAAATCTCTCTCTGCCAAGCCCCCTTTCCCACACCTCAATGGAGGAAGCCCCCAGGAAGAGATGCAGAAGAACAAGTGCCTTAAGTTGGGAAGCTGTTATACATTGCAGCTGTTGTACTCATTGTGAGGGGAGTGGGACATCATTGGTGAAGACAGGCAGGTCCTTTTTTAAATTATGTGATTGGGTAGCCAGAAAAGACAAACTGTGTGATCTGTTTTTCTGGATTTCCCTCACTGTGCTATTGTGGGTCTGCCACCTCCACCATCCCTTAACGTCTCTCCAGTTACTTCTGGAACACCTGAGAGGGTGTCTCAGGAGGACTCACAATGATAGAATAGCGTTAGCCACGTCTCCTTCTTTCCTTCTCTAGACCCCATGGTAACATTGCTCAAGAAACCTCAGTCACTGTGATCATTGCTGTTTCCTGCTGATGGCTTCTCAAAACTGTGATGTGTTATGTAATATCCTTTTCCTACTTCCTTCACCCTGTGACTACCACGCCAAAAACGCTGTATCCTACTTCCTGCTATAACACTCCCAACAGGAGACTGCCTTGTACTTGCAAGTTTTCAGAGCAATTTGGTGTGAAAACACAATTTACATATCTGCTTGATCTAAGACTGAGACTGAGACCATGTCCATGGAGTTGGCCTGAGGACCAATGGCAAGAACCAGGTTTCCAGAGCCTCCATAACATTTAATTCTTACAACACTTCAGAAGGCTAATTTTATTATCCTCATCCTATAGAAAGGAAAATGAGGTTGAGTGAAGTAAAGAAACTTGCCCAAGATCACAGTGACAGAGCTGGAATTTACACCAAAGTCAATCTGATCCTTTGAAATCTGTCTTTAACCACCATGTGAATAAAAGCATCTCTTTTGTCCTTTTTATGTTCCCTGTTCCATATTAGCCAGAGCTAGGTAGCCAGTACAGCAAGCTCCAATGTTTGAGGGTAAGGACTTGTCTTAGGTGTAAGGAGTGGTTTTATTGAACCCTTGGATGCTACTTGTAAACATTTTCCAGTGTCCTCTAACTTGGGGTTAGGGAGTGAATGCTACCATTTATGGAGTTTCTCAAATGGTTTGCATTTATTTGCTTATGTATAGTTTACAAATATTCTTCTTCCTCATCTCATTCATAATTAACTAATAATGTTGGAATTATGAAGAGATTCTTGTTTTTAACTTTTTTAGTTGTGAGAAAAGCTCACAGAGTTTGTTTCTTGTTGCTTATGACCTCTATTTGCCCAGCTTCTTGGGATGATCCAGAATTTGATTTGAAGTATTGAGGCTGCCAGTCTCACCTTCTTGCCTCTGTTAGAGGCAGTTACCCAGGGCTCAGGATTTCTGAATGAGTTCTGAATCAGAAACAAGCACACACCTCATGCATGCACGAACATCCTTCCTTTTCAGGTTTGGAGTGTGGTTTCTTTTATATTATTGGGGTATTTCTTCCTTAGACATGCCAATTTTGCTTCTGTCCTAAAAACCTGTAGTGCTGCTGCTGTTCTGGGACAGCATTGAATACAGAGTTCCCCAGAAGGCAACCGCTCTATGAGGTCCCATCAAAATTCCACTAGGAACGATGCAAATGAATGCAGTCCAATCTTAAAACCATTATAGTTGGTATATTGCTATAAAGGATTGAAACACCGCAAATCTTAGTGCTAATTACTTATATGTGAAGGCTAGAAAGCTGAGCCCAAATTTCAATCAGATCTTTTCACAGGTGAAGCATTCAGCCACTCACTTTTGCTTCTATTGACGACACAAATGATTTGAGTTTTGAAAAACGAAATATTTTAGCCACCATTTCACTGCCAGCTTCATTAAATTGTCAACAATTATGAGAAATATTGTTCAACAAAAGCAATGAAATGAGAGCCCTTGTTAAGATAATATAAATATTTTTAAGGAGGTAAATTTGAGTAGCAAGACAGAAAGAAACTTCTTATAAAAAGGGCAATTTATATCAGTGACTCTCCCATTAGGGGCCAGCCCATAGTTTAGTAAAGCGCATTCTTCACTAGGTGAGAGCCAAGGGTATTGGCAGCAATCACCGCATGAAATGAAGCATAACTCATAGTTTGATTTATCTGTATAGCAAATTGAACACCCAGAAAAATAAACACAATTAAAAAATTGAGAAATATTGATATAAATCACCAGATTTTCCAGTAAAGGTAGCCCTTGTTTCCCCCCAAAAATCAAACGAGTTTTTTCTATAAGTGCTTTATTTTTATATTCTCTATGAAAACATCAATAATTAAGCCCCTTTGTTCTAAGCCAGAAACACTGTAAAACTACCATTAAACAAGGCAGTATGCCTTACAAGAAAGACATAAAATGTCCAAGGGATATTTAGAACATTTTAGTTCTTAAAGTTTCAACATGAGAAATGTTGACCACACACTGTGAAATCATTTCAATAAATAACAACTGACATTCATCTAAACAGTTACAAAACAGATGTGCACATACATTCCCCTGCCTTCACAATGATCTCATTGGCCATTTGCTTGGATCCGCCAGCCTCTATCACAGTGGCTGGCATGTTGCAGGCTCCTCAGAAATATTAACATAATGACTGGAGAACATTTGAAAACATTCTACCTTCAAATTAAATATGAATCCAGATTGAACTAACTTGGGGTTGACATTTCAAAAAGAATGAATATAATAGGACAGTGTGCAGGTAGAGTTAATCATACCCTTAATTATTTTACACCTAAAATATTAACATAGAATCTTCAAAACTAATGAATAAATAAATAAATAGAAGACTTCTCCTAAGCGATGCTCAAACACATTAGGCACAATCCAGGTGGCCTCTGCAGCTGTGTCTCTCTTTCCTCTTCTGTTCCTATAAGGGCAGGGCCTCCTTCAGGAACAGCCACCAGTGAGCTTCCTCCTCCCTTCTGGTCAGTTGGATTTGTCACTGCAATGAGAAAATGGGTGCCCTGAGTAGGTGCTCGGGAAAGCTGATTGCACAACACTCTTCTCCTGCCCTGCTCCTCCAGCCTCTAGAGTTTTCCGAATGCAGTTTCCCCAGCCTGGCAACCAAGTGGCTACTGCCTATGACAGCTGTGCTGTGTGGCAGGGACCTCTAAGCTTGGGATGCTCTTTTAGGAATGGGGGTGGGGTGGGGCGGTGGTCTCCACTGTACTATTGGATTAAAAACAGCCAGAACCTGTTGCTGTTTGTCCTACTGGGCCTCAAATGAAGGCAGTTTTACCTACATTCATTGGAACGAAGGAAGAACCAGGGTGGGGACGCCAGGCATTGGGAATATCCTCTGGCACCAGAGCAGTAATTATCGTAAAGGAAACCTTAATTGTGAAAACAATAATCCCAATTTCTAGTCCTTCAACTAACCCCTGGGTTTTCCTGATTTTATTTTTAGGGGGCACATGCCAGTATTTCTGACCAACGGCTCCAGTCGCCTGTGTACATGGAAACCATAACTCACCTGTTCAGCATCTTTTCGATGATTTTCTTAACTATGGGGGATGCAGGATTGAGGCAAGCTTTCCGCCCATTCTTGAGTGTGGCTCTGCAGAGGGAAGGGAATCTCGTGAGGCAGGAGGTCGGGCTGGGGACAGGGTTGGGGCAGCAGGAGGGTCTGGGACCCCGGCGGTGGCAGAGGCAGCGCGGGGCGGGACTTACATGACTTCGGTTTGGGCGCAGTGGGGTCCGGGGGACTTCACGTTCACACTTTGGATGTTCTTGGGGTGAATTCCCTGCAGGGTCTGCAAGCACTGGCAGCGCAGTTCAGTGGCCACGGACGCTCCTAGGGAAGAAGAGACTCACTGACTGAGCGAGGCTGTCGGCGCTGGGTGCCTACCCCAGCCGCGTCCGGCCCGGGGACCCCAGGGCGCCGGTACCCACCTGCTGCGCGCCGGCCAGCGGCTACCAGGAGCAGGAGCAGCAGTGCCACTCGCAGGAGCCGGGGATTGCTGGGGGCGGCGGAGAGAGCAGCGCGGGCCATGGGGCTCAGCAGGCGGGTCTGGCGGCTGTGAGAGGAGCGGAAGAGCTGGCGAGGAGGTGCCTGCGGCCCGGGCTCTGTGGCTCTCCGAGATCCGCGAACCCCTTTTATGCATGGTTGGGGCTGGAAAGCCCGGAGCCCCCGGGCCAGGGAAATTCCCGGAGTTCCAGATCGATCCCGAGTCCGGAAGGAAGGCGACGGCCCCGCCCCCAGGGTGGAGCGCTTGGGGTGCGGGTGGGGTGTGGGGGTCCACTGATGCAGCCCGCGCCTCGCCCTTCAGAGTAACTCCTGTGGACTCTGAGACTCTGGGATATTCGCCTTCTGCCCCAGATCCCTGGAGGGGGGCTGAGTGGCAGCCTGCGCTGAAGATACCACCTGAGAGGTGGGATCTTGGGTGCCTGGTGATCCCAGTGTGTGGGGCTGGGAACGGAGAAGGAGCTGGGGCGGATCCCTGAGAACCACCACAGAGAAGGCGCGACCTCTTTGGAGGAAGAGCGTTGTGTCTCGGATTTGTGGCTGGAGATTGAGAGAAATTAACAAGGTGCTGGGAGATAGGCTGGAGCTATATTATCCTCTCTGCCTCAGCCTTTCTTATTTTCAGTTTAGCCTATTTCACGTACATCTAACATCAGTGCTGTCTGTGAAAGTACAGTCCATTATGTCAGATTCCAGAGAAGAATGTTCTGCTTGTTCCTTGTGTTGCATATTCTCTAACCACACTTAGAATATCTTGTTTACGTTTTCCATTTGGTGGCAACAGATTATCAGTGTCAAAAGCTGAATCCAGTGTTAGCGTCAGTGGAAGCCAGGGCTGTATAACATGAACTCTTCTTTCATATCCTGCTTATCTTCCTTCTTCCCTGTAAAATGTTGGAACTTTCAAAATCCCCTGGAAATCTTTTCCCTGTAGGAGGGGTTCAGGTTTGATCTAGAAATACGGCACTGGTTGTCACTCCGGACCTCGGAGGGGCTGGGTCCAGCAGGCTCATGGGCTCACCATTCCTGGTTCTGTCTTTGGACTGCATAGCACATGACACCAGGGAGTGGGTACCTGGTGTGCAAGCACCCTTCCCACTGAAGCAGCAGACATGCATTCGGATGAAATAGGAACGCCGGATCCCACATAGAGTCACATTCCATTTACTATAGGACTTCCTGGTATTCAGTATTGGGCCCCCTTTCTAGAGAAACACACACATGTTGTTTTCTCTCAGGAATTTCAGTCATTTAACCTGGTAGCTTTATTACTTTTTTCTCCAGAAGTTCTAGAGAACTTATTTTTATTCATCATTAGGTTTTTAGAGGGTTTAAGTGTGATTCTCCAAGTGGGATTCAGAGCTCTCTGAGACATGGAGTAAGATGGGAGGAGGGGGAAAAAGCAGAGGCTTCTGCCCCAGGGGCAGATGTCTCCACAACAGAGTTCTACACAGCCCAGCTCAATAGGTAAGACCTGTGTTCCTAGCCAAGCAGAGAACACAGGCAAGGCTGCCACCTGCATTTAGTAGTGAAGCATCGCCTGCAGATTGTTTAGCCTCTCCGTTTCTACCCCAAGGTGGTTATGAGAAATGAGTCAACATTTGTAAGAGCCAGCATGGATTTAAGTGCCTTATAAATGTTTGTTAAATATTTGTTTAAAAAAAAAATGGAAATAGCGTTTTCCAACATTGCCTAAACAGAAACTCATCCTGATGTGAATTTATATATATATTTATATATTTATATATATATATATATATATATATATATATATATATATAATGGAAAGGTTCACTCCCCAGTGTTTTTTACATTTAAAATTTTCTATATCAGTTACTGCTACCCAACTACCCCTAATGTATACAACACCATATACAGCAGTATGAGTCTTGAATAAATCAAGGCAGGTCCTGGAAGACAGAATGTTCATATAAACACCAAAAGCTCAGTTTCCAAAATGCCCTTTCGGTTACTCAGGGGTACTGGTGCTCTCATTACAGTAATCTTAGTCAAGGGTAGAAAGGTGTGCTAGAATGTTGTTTCTTTAAAACAGACACTGTAGATAGTATATGTACTCCAGTCTTTTTCAATTATTTCTCTTTTCACATCTTCCTGATTACTTATATTTCTTAACAGGAAGAATAAATGAAAAAGCATTGACCCAATGGAGACCAAATACAGTGTCCCAAATATCTTCATCAGTTTCAAGCTGTAATCAATGCTGCAAACTTCTAAATCTAAATTTTTTAAAAAAGAAACTCAGCTGAGAATTTACAAAAATTGAAATAAAATTTTCTGTATCAGGCTTTCAGAAAGGAAGACAAATATGTACTCTACCACGAGGTACACTTAGATGAAATTTTATTTGTTACCGTTCAGACAGATCATTGGTTTATTTTGTAGTCCACCTTTCAATCACTTCATGTATATAAAAAGGGACTTTGAATGTAATAGTCTTCATCTTATTTATTGAAAAGATGTACTAAAGGAATGACTATTTTTTAAAAAAACTCTAGTATTTATCAATATGACTCTAAGGGAAAAATCAAGAAAATTAGAGGAAGGTTCAAATTAGTAGTAAGGAATAGGAAATGACATATAATCTAAAGTTTATTAAGTGTGTGACTAGCTCATGCATAATTGAAAGTTTGAGTGATTACACCTCTTATTATCACTCTTTTTCTGGGATTTGATGGGAAACTGAAATTTCCAGAAACATGGAAATGATTCTTTAAAACTTGAAAAATGTATTGTTTTGTTTTCTAATTGTAGTTGTAATATATGCTCATTTTATAAAGTTTATACAAACCAAAAAGGCAAGAAGAGATTTTTCTTCTCTAATGTCTCTTCACTTTGTCTATGAAACAAACATTCACAGGTCGCTGAAAATTTGCTTTTTTTTCTTCAACAAAGGAGCTAAATTATAAGAGCTTACAGAATTCTGGTAAATAAAAAATATGCTGCTTCCTTGATTATGCTGCTGCATACCAAGGGCAAATTGCTAAACCTCTACACCCGAGGCAAAGGGCAGAGCATTTATTTTCTGCTCTTCTAAGCAGTTTACAAATATTAACTCATTCAGTCTTCCAAACAAGCCTGTGCTTGTACTGATAACTACAGTATCAGTAGATATTGTTGTGTCTATGAGATTTTAAGTTGCAAATAAAGAAACTGTGGTGCAGAGAGGTTAAGTCACTTGCCTAAGGTCATACATCCTTGAGCCTGGAAATCAAAGTCAGATAAAATGGCATTTAACTATTATACTATGATAAAAACACTCTGTGATATATAATTAATACTTTCAAGAGTAGAATGATTTTAAAAAATCTGTTATTGCCCTAGTTGAATGGTTCAAATTTACATATTCTTAAATGAAAACACAGCAAAATGGTCACACATCTCTATAATTTTGTTTCACTAACAGCATATCTTTCCTGTGGCATTGAAATAGCTTGTTATATTTTCCTGAAGTACACAATTCTGAAAAATAAAATAGTAACTTTGCCATGAGAAAACCTGGTAAACTCGCCCTATACCAAATGAGGAAGATTTACGTCATCAGTGTGATGTCATGTGCATATCATGTACCCCCTTGATATGATGTCACAAGAACAGCATACCTCTTTGGTGCTCTTTCAAAAATTAATAGCCCAAGTCTAATCATGAGAAAAGCATGCTTCAAACCTAAATCAAAGAATCTTAAATGGCTGAGTGGTACTCTTCAAAATTGTCAATGTCATGAAAAATAAGGGCAGATTGAAGAACCATCACAGTCCAGAGGAAATTATGGAGATATGACAATCCACTGCAGTGTGGTACTTTGGTTTGCATTCTGAAACAGAAAGAGGATGTTAACGGAAAAACTGGCAAAACCCAAATAAAATCTGCAGTTCAGTTAAAAGTAATGTGTCAGCGGTGGTTTCTTAGCTTTGACGACTATACCATGATATTGTAAAATGTTCACTTTAAAGGAAAGTGGGTGAAAGATACACAGATACTGTATTGACTTTGCAACTTTTATAAACTTAAAATTATTTCAAAATAATTTTTTTATTTTTTAGTTTCTTTTTTTAAAATAGTTTATTTTTTAAAAAGTTTCTCTTTCTGAATTCATTTAGAATGCCACCAAAATTAAATGGCCATGCGTGTTTCATCTGCTAGCTTTTAGAGAGGAAACTGAATTTTCGTTTAGTGCCTGTTTGTTCAAATATGAAAATCCAAAATATCTACTGCCGAGTTTGGACACTTCATCATGTTTCATAGGATTAAATAGTTTGCCTTCATCATTAATCACGCTGCCCAAATCTCTCATCTAGTTCTGGTAACTGGAGAAAAACACAAGTGTTTCTGCTGTAATCATCTCAGGACCCAACCCAAAACTGACGCAATGAGAGCGCTCAGGGGGAGCAGAGCTCCACAGGAGCTGCCAAGAGAATGAAGCGAATTAAGCATGTCAAGAAGCAGTGGGCATCCGCAGATTAGACAGAACTTGACTCAGGAAAATTTTCATCAAAATCACATTTTGTGTAAATGAATTGGAATGGAAAGAATTTTTTGTTGTTATTTCCTCCTTAATATGCCACTTGTATCAATGAAATCCGCATAAACCAAAATTCAAAATTTATAAGCACAGGAATGCTGTAGCCTGGAAAAATAAACAAATTCATTGTCTTGTTGGAACAAATGTTCCTCCAAGCTAATTTTTTTCAAGAGTTGAATGACGGGATTTTACGCAGTCTTTAAACGTATGCAAGCAACAATTCTTAAAGAAATGGAGGAACCTTTAAAAATGGAAGCTTTGGTAGCTAAATTCCATTTTGCCTGGAATCACTATTGAAACTTTCATAATTAGCAGTCAAATCTGGGAGCTCATGTTTTCTAGACCTGTTTATCTGTCATTGCTGTAGCACTCTGCTGCCTGCAGATGTCACCTGGCAGCTCCCTGCCTCAGCTGCATCAGGTATTTTTCACTCACTAGCCCAAAGTTTCTCTGTTGCTGCCATGTAACATCCCTTTCGCAGGAGAAACCAGAGGCAAAAGATACATGTTTTCCCATTTTTCATGCTTTGGGCAGACATTCTACATCATTTCTCAGAGGATATCCAGTAGGATTGAACCCCAGTTGCCCATGTCCTCTTTTCCTATTTTACTCTTTCCTGTTCTTGAGTCCTCTGTGTTGGGAACATTTCCCCAAATCAATTACATGCATGGCAAGCCCATGACTCAAGCTCTGTATTTTAGGGGAGCCTAAATAGAGGCACTGCTCCATCCTGAGAAGTGACCATGCTCAAGGCAGGCAGGAACCGGCGGGGCAGCTCTCCTCTGCCCCTACTTGCCTTAGGAACTCTTGTCCCTCACACCTGCTGTACCTATTTCTCTATACTCATCTCTTCCAATGTAATGACTCTGGCTCTGAGCAGAGAATAATAAAGATGTGTGAATATGATGTTAGATTTCTGGATCAGTTCACCCCCCAAAGTACAAGGGCATAGTGGGTGCTAGAGTTAGGTTCAGCCTCTCTATTCAGTCTTCCAAAGACTGCTTGTCTGGCACCCCCTTCTCGGAACACCCCCTCGATTACCAGCTCTTAGTCTGTAGATTTCAGGTAAGATAACCCATCTCTCAGTTCCTTCCTGTATGCCACCCCCAGCCCTAACCCTGCTGATTAATTCAGATGTGGACAAGTGACCAAAGCCTGGCTATATTAGAAATAGTTCCTAGAATTTTTGCTGGAACGAATGAAAAGGAGGTTCTGAATTCTCACTGGGATTGCAAAACTGGTAAAATGAGGGCCTGGAATTTTGTAATGCTTGGAGAGAACCTACCTGAGAGCGAATTTGGCCCAGAGAAAAGCAAAGGTAAGACATGAAGGGGACCATCTAAGTATATGTATGGACACCTAGGTCCTCCAGCTGGCTCTGATTTATTTATGAACTTCTCAGTCATGTAGGCCAGCAGATTTTCTTTCTTTTCTTTTTTTTGAGATGGTATAAATTAGATGTCTGTCTCTTGCCAGTGAAATAGTCTTGCCTAATACCACCCATCTTCCACACTTCTGCTACAGACAACTTTCCTACATAGTTGCTCTAGTTACTTTATTGTTAATGCATCTGTCCATTCATCCATTCAAAATTTATCTACCACTCATAATCCAGGAACTAAATTTGGCTCTAAATCGGATTACAAAGAGGGAAAAGAAGACTTTGCTTCAACTGAACTCACATCTACAGAGTGGCACAGAAAGATATGGCATTGTGTGGAGGTCCAAGACACTCAGCTGTGTGCAGAGTTTTGTGGGCACTCACAGGAGGTGAACACCTGACCCTTTTTCTTGGGAGGGTGGGAGCTTCCAGAGAAAACTTTCTGGTAGAGGGTGCTACCTAAGGTGAGTTGGGAAGGGACCCACTTCAGAAGAGGCAGACCAAACAAGCAAAGGAATGGAAACTGGCAACAGTGTAGTGTGACCTGAAAACAAAAATCAGCCGTTTATTTTTTTAACACAGAATTTAACATTTAGATTGATCCAGCAGAAGGATAGGCAGGGCCCAGTCACTGAAGGCTCCTATTTATCAATCAAGGACCATTTCAAATGTCACTTCCATTAAAATCCCATCTTTCCTTCCAAAGGGTTATCTTGGCCTTTGGATACAAATCACATTGTGGGGAGCATTGATTTACATACTCCCATACTGGATTGTGTATTCTGTAAGGAAAGCCATCATATATCTCATTCCTGTTTGCATCCACCAGACTCTAAAATTCTCTCACACCAGTGGTTTTCCTAGGGACCCATCAAAAACTATGAATATCTGGTCCTGAAAGTTCACGGGAAGCTTTGTGCCAGGACTCTGGAAAAAGAAGATGTAAACATGAAGATAAGTTTTCAAACAGGGAGTTAGAAGGAGCTAGAAGAAAAAGTCTCTAAAATGAGTCTGGTTCATGCTAAGCACTCAACAAATGTTTGCTGACATAATGCATGAGTCAATGGTTTCAGGTCACTGTTTTAAAACTAAAATATCCTTAAGTCAGGATATGTGGAAGCTTCCCTTGATGGAGTGTGGAATTTCCTTAGTTTCTTTTGCCTATTTTGACTTTTCAGGACCAGAATAAAAGATGCCAGTGGACATTTAATGAAACCAGATATGACAGTTGGGTCAGAGCCACAGTTTGAATTCTATAGTAAGAGCTAGAAAAGGGGATCCCCTACCTGGGAAAGCCAGAGTAATGAGTCTGAACCAAAGTCCTTAGAAAGCTCTGATGCCCAGGTCTGCCAATACATTTAAAGAGACAGATGGGACCTGCATCCAAAGCCAGAGGGCTTGAGCTCTCCCAGGTGTGGAACAGAAGGGGAACAATGTTAGGAATAAGGCCAGGGAGGTCCTTGTCACAGATGGAGCTGGAATATCTGTGTTTGGTTTATAGGTCATTTGCCTTAGGGCTGATAGAACAATCCAGGTCATTACAGGTTCATGATCTAGGCAGTAAGTGAGTAGATAATAGCTATTCTTCCCACACATTTTAAAATTCATCTGCGTGTAAAAGGCACAGTGATAAGTTTAGTAGAAGAGGAAAAGTTGGATAAAATATGAATTCTAATGTAAAATTCTTTGTTTAGCCTGACTACTTTCTCTTGCAATGCTATATTATTTGTTTTTCTGTTCCTGGCATGATAATCTGATGTTATGATTAGTCTACAGATACTTAAAATCATTCAGGTAACACTGAGAATCATTTGATATATTAGCTTTGCCAGATTTTTTTTTGGAGGGGTGGTTATTGTTTTTATATTTTTTTTTTTTTTTTTTTTTTTGTTTGTTTGTTTGTTTGTTTTGAGACAGAGTTTCACTCTTGTTGCCCAGGCTGGAATGCAATGGCATGATCTCGGCTACTGCAACCTCCGCCTCCCAGGTTCAAGTGATTCTCCTACCTCAGCCTCCCGAGTAGCTAGGATTACAGGCATGTACCACCACACATGGCTAATTTTTTTATATTTTTAGGAGAGACGGGATTTCTCCATAGTGGTCAGGCTGTTCTCGAACTCCCAACCTCAGGTGATCCGCCCGCCGCAGCCTCCCAAAGTTCTGGGATTATAGGCGTGAGCCACCATGCCCGGCTGGTTATTGTTTTTTAAAAAGGTTTTTATAAATCTTTTTGCATCTCTGTTTTCTTTAAGATTGTTTTCTGACCTATCTGGAAGTGGTATTCACCAAGTAATGACATCATGAGCATATATTTAAAAAAAAAAAAAAAGAATTACAGGATTGCAAAGGATAAGGAAATGAAAAGTTTCTCTTGGAAATAATTATGCAAGAAATTTGTTTTGGAGAAGAAAACGTTATTATGACTTTGTCATTCCGAAAACAAAATTTAGGAAATTGAAGGATGAACATATAAACCACAAATGAAAATAGCATACATAGCATAAAAACGCAGATTTCAGCAAAGAAAAGTTTGAATCATCATGAGAACTTATGTTAACATCTTGTCCATAGTATTTTCCAACATTCATTATCCTTCAATTTTTTGGTAAGAAATATTTGTGTTTTCCTTTTTACCTTCTTGATCAGTCCATTTACTTAGGTAATCTTTGAAACAGATTTTCCTGAACAATACTGATTTCAAAGAGGTTGCTCTACTGGTGTGTGACTGAGCTAGTTCCTTGATTGACATTTCTAGTTAATTAAGTAAGTAGTTAATTAAGGACACTAAAGAAATACAAGATCTAATTAGATATGGTGGGTATTATAGTGAAAGAGGAGGAACAAGGGCTTGGTTGTGTGTAATTTACCATCTGTATGTTGTACATTGAAGCAAACATCTATAATAAAATAATGTTTAATATGTCTATATCATAGCATCTGTGTATGATGAGAGCACGTGAATAGACAGACGAGGGGAACTCTTAACAGAGTCCCTAATAGTTACGAATGCGACTCTAATTAAAACATCAAACAAATCACTGATGAGGCAGATAGTATGGGTGTGTTATAATGTCTATGAATAACTTGATGAGATCAGTGAGCCTAACAAGATCGAGAGCTGGGAAAACGGTGTCTTTCTTTAATTTTCAACTAACTTTCTGTTGGCTGAGTAGCTTATCCTTAGCACCCAACTGCACCATTACTTCACAGCACTAACTGCAGATTTATTCTTCTCCAAGTAGTTAATATTTGACACACATTTACTTAACACCTACTCTATCAGGCATTTTTCTGAAATCCAGAATGAAGAGATGGAATAGGCTTAATCCTTATTCTCTGATTTAAAGTAGGAAAATAGATAAAGGAATAATTACAGTGAAGCTTAATAGTTATTCTGATGGAGGCGTGTGTAAATTGCTTTATTGCTTATTTCCTAACATTCCCTATAGCTATCCCTAGAATTACTGAGAAAAGAAAACTGATTCTCCAACACAGCTGATAAGTAAGAGCTGGCTGTTCCAACTCTGTTTTGACTGCTCTGTTTCAAGTTGGATTGCCTCTCACCACAAATGCTGAATAGTGACATAATCCTCATGTTGTGCCTGCTTCAGTGAAGAAGTAAATACTTGGCAAATTTAAGTCTAAAGTTTATTTTTTCTTGTTTTCTTTCCTGGAAAAATAGCTAAGCCAGCCTCCTGTATAAATATACAGTTCACTAGATGTCCTGTATATTTTATAATCTTACAGATATGCTGGCTGACAAACATTGTGGTTTTGTTATTTAATTTTCTTTTAGTTGTTATCAGGAAAATACTACTTGTGTCTGTCATGCTAAATTTTTTCTTAACTAGCTGTCTGCACCCAAGCTTTGGGTTGTGGTTCTGAGCAAGGGAAGTACTGGCTTATTGGCTGTATTCTTAAAGAGTTGGTTGCTAGCTCAGGGATTGTGGCTTCTGCTGGAAATGTTATGTTCCCTGAGAGTAGAACTCCAAGAAGAGGAAAGGAAACATTTATTTACTAGGTTTCAATTCTGAGTAAGAACCCATACTGGATCCTATTGTAAGTGTGATTTAATCCTTTTCAGTACCCTGTGTGGTGGGCTTTATTGTCCTTGTTTTGGAATAAGGGAACTGAGGAGACCCAGGGTCACACAGAGTCAAAGCTGAGATACAACCCAAACTGTCTTTCTCAAAAGCCCACTGGGCTAATGCCAGCATCTACAGGAATAATAAGGAAAAAACCCATATGGGAAGAATTTTATATAACAGCTAGTTAAGTCCACTGAGTGTGAATATGCTGCTTTTATTTGAGCCCTCCTAGAAATCGATGTGTTTTCTGTTCTTAACCCAATTTACATTTGGGACCAAGCTAGGCAGTACACGGCTGAAGCAGATGGTCAGGAAATATAAATGGTAGCCCAAGCTGAAAAGGACCTAGAGTCTCAACAATCCCGACAACATCCTATTTGGTGTGACATCTTTACCACAGAAGCTGTTTTTCATGGGTTTCCTCGAGACTCCAACCCCAGGTGAGGGATGGTGACTGAGATTAAAGGAACACTATAGACCAGGAGATTTAACTTTTCAGCTAGGCCTTAGTATCCTGCCCCTAATGGCTCTTCAAGCATTTTATCTGGAGTGTGGAATCCAATATAGACCGTCACAACTTAACTCTTTAATCAAAGAACTGGAGGAGTGTTTTTAAACTACACATCATGGTACATCAGTAGGTTATGAAATCACTTTATAGTGGTGTGGCCAACATCTTTTAAAAAATGGAATGTGGTAGGATAGAGTAGAATAGAACACAAAATATGAGGACACACAGTACAAAGCAAATATAAGTATTGCATTATGAACTTGTTTTATGTTTGTGTGAGTGTGTATGTATCTGTATGTGTGGAAATATATACATACATTCATACACACATACATATACACACAATGAATATAAGAATCATAGGATCTACATATATGTATAAGTGAATGCTGGATCACATAGGTTAGCTATTCATTCTCTGGCCAAAGAAAACTAATTCTATTACCCTGGACTTGGTTTCCTATTTGTAAAATTGGGACAGGAATGCTCCCTAAGTGCTTGCAATGCACTTAAGTAATTACTAAGTGTTTTCTTTATGATTGTGTACAAATAATTGATATTGTATTGAAAATTAGCAGTTCAACTTATAACCATGTCAAATGATAATATGTCCAAAAAGAAAAAGAACATTGAGTGGCAAAATTACAAGTTTTAAAAAATAGTTTCTATTCTTTTGCCTCTGTTTTCTGTTACTTAGAGTGAAGATGCATTGTCTTTTACAATGAGAAAAATATGAATATGTATTTAAAAACAAAGAAGTCTTCAATATCCTATGCATTACAGAGGAACTTATTTTACCACAAAGGTCTTAGAAGGAAAAAAAGCAATAATAAAAATACAGAACAACTTGCAAGGTCAAAATGTCCTTTGATGGTTTTGTTTCATTGATAGACACCATGACTATGTGGTAAGTCCCTAATTTGTGGACATTTTATGCTGACTGCCTCCATCTAGAGGGGAGTTTAAGTGCACTGAATCTTTATTACTCCATGAATGTTGAAACAACAACAGGGAGTTGCTGTGTCGCTTGGGATTTTCCAAGGAGCAAAGCCCTCTCCCCATGCCCATGCAGATAAAGGCAGTAACTTAATACAGTTTGGATGTGCGTTCCCTCCAGATCTCATGTTGAAACGTGGCCCCCAGTGTTGGAAGTGGAGCCTAGTGGGAGGTGTTTGGGTCATGGGAGAAGATTTCTCATGCATGGCTTGGTGCCCTCCACACGGTAATGAATGAGTTCTCACTCTGTTACTTCACAAAACTGGCTATTTAAAGGAATCGGGCACTTCCTTCTCTCTTGCTCCCTTTCTCTCACTATGTGACACACTGTATTAGTCAGGGCTCTCTAGAGGGATAGAACTAATGGAATATGTGTGTGTGTGCATGTGTGTGTGTGTGTGTGTGTGTGTGTATTCCATATATATTCAACAATCCAGACAACATCCGATTTGGTGTGGCATCTTTACCACAGAAGCTGTTGTTCATGGTTTTCCTCGAGACTCCAACCCCAGGTCAGGGATGGAGACTGAGATTAAAGGAACATTGTAGTCCAGAAGATTTAACTTTCCAGCTGGGCTGGAAAAAATATATACATATATATACACAGGGGAGTTTATTAAGTATTAACTCACACGATCACAAGGTCCCACAATAGGCTGTCTGCAAGCTGAGGAGGAAGGAGAAGCAGTCCGAGCCCCCAAACTGAAGGACTTGGGGTCCAATATTTGAGGGCAGGAGGCATCCAGCATGGGAGGAAGATGTGGGCTGGGAGGCTAGGCCAGTTTCTCTTTTCACATTTTTTTTGCCTGCTTATATACTAGCCGCACTGGCAGCTGATTAGATTGTGCCCACCAAGATTAAGAGTGGGTCTACCTTTCCCAGCCCACTGATTCAAATGTTAATCTTCCTTGGCCACACCCTCACAGACATGTGAAGAATCAATACTTTGTATCCTTCAATCCAATCAAGTTGACACTCAGTATTAACCATCACAAATGCCTGCTCCCCCTTTGCCTTCCACCATGAGTAAAAGCTTCCTGAGGCCTCACCAGAAGCTGAGCAGACATTGGTGTCATGCTTGTACAGACTGCAGAACTGTGAGCCAAATAAGCTTCTTTTTTTTTAATTTAATAAATTACCTCAGGTATTCCATTATAGCAATGCAAAACAGATTAATACATGACTCAAAAGTGTTCTCAGGACAGTTAGACCAAAGTCATTCTGAAGCAAGAATGTATGAGGCACCAGCATTCCAGGATTGTTTGACTTGGCAAAATTTGTTTTGCTCTTTTGACCCTTTAAAAGTCACATCAACAAATTATTAAATAAAGCTAAGTATGCTGTTTGAGACAGGCAACAAAAAGGAAAGCAGCAAAAACAAAATCACACCACACACATCTGATTTCCAGTATTTTCTCCTTCAAAGTTCATTTGTTTTGAGCAATTTCATTGCTATTGCAATTTTTTTTGCTACCTATTACAAAAAAAAAAACAACCCTCTGTTAAATTCCTTACTCAGGCCAGGCGCAGTGGCTCATGCTTGTAATCCAAGCACTTTGGGAGGCTGAGGCCGGTGGATCACTTGAGGCCAGGAGTTTGAGACCAACCTGTCTCTACTAAAAATAGAAAAATTAGCTGGGCTTGGTGGCACTTGCCTATAATCCCAGCTACACAGGAGGCTGAGGCATGAGAATCACTTGAACCTGGGTGGCAGAGGTTGCTGGACAACAGAGTGAGACACTGTCTTACAAAAAAATAAAAAATAAAAAATTCTTACTCAACACTCCAGACTAACTGGAATGGTACATTAAGAGAAATATTGATACCGGTAATATAATACTATAATACAATTAATCGTTGTTAATTTTTAAGCTCAGACTGTATATAAGGAACTGTGCCAAATGTTTTGCATGCATCCTCTGTTTAGTCCTTAAGATAATCAATCCATAAAGTTAGACACTCATAATGTCCTCATTTCACACATATGAAAACTAAGGCACAGAGGGAAAGTGAGTGTAGCGCAGCCTGGGATGCCAGGTTAAGGACTTCGGATCTTGAATATTTTATTCAGGGAAATGAAATATTTGGGTTTTGGAAAGATAGTTTGGGTGGTAGTACATTAAGTTATACTGAAGATAAAAAACACTAAGTGGGCAAAAACTGGTTGGGAGACCCTTGTTCATTCTCTCTCCCCATAGATACTCCAACCCTGCAGTGCTATGAACTGTTGTACAAACATGCAAATGACTTAAAATGATCTTGTGTCTTTCTACTTGTTATTTATCTTGAGGCAGTTCCAGTCTTCCCATTGCCCGCCTGCCCCCCCCCGCCAACAAATTCCTACTCCACCTTCAACAGCTAGTTCATGGAATTCGCTAACATGCCACTTTCCTGTGTGAAAGACAGCACAATGTGAAAGCAAGAGCAGGAAGTAGGGAGTCAGAATGATCTGCTCAGCCTCTGAACAAGCTGCGTCCTTCCCAAGACTGTCACCTCATCTCTATAATAGGAATAATACTAATTTGCAATGTGGATGTGGAAATTTTAGATGATATTCACAAGTCTCTGTAAATTTTGTTTATTTTAATCAATTTGTCATCCTAGGTACCTCCCTCCCTTCCAGCCCACCACAGAGATTGAACTGTACCATCTGTATTTTATCATAGATCTTAATCCTATCTGTACACATTGTCACATTAGGTTAAAATTGCACTAGCTCATGAACAAGGGTCTGTAGCTTTCTCCTGCCTCAAGTAGGTCTTGCCTTCTGGTCCATGGTGGTAGGCTGAATAATGCCCCCCACCCCTGAGATCCTTGTGTTCTACTCTCTGGACACTATGAATGTGTTGCTTAACATGGCAAAAAAAAAAAAAAAATATATATATATATATATATATATATATATATATATATATATATATATATCTTTGCAGATGTATTAGAGAACTTGAGTTGGAAAGCGTTTCTGAATTATCCAAGTGAGCCCAATGTATTCACACGCCTCCTTATGAGAGGTAAGCCGGATATAAAAGGTAGAAGAGTCAGCAGAGACAGAGGAGAAGTAGAGGTTGGTGTGATGCAGGTTGAAGACTGGAGAAAGGGCTATGAGGCAAGGAATGCTGGTGAAAAAGGAGAGGAAGTAGATTCTCTTCTAGAGCCTTCAGAAGGAATACAGCTCTGAGGACAGCTTGAGTTTAACCTTTAAGACTTACTTTGGACTTGAGACCCCTAGAATTACAAGACGATAAATTTGTGTTGGTTAAGCCACTGAGTTTGTGGTAATTTCTTACAGAAGCAACAGGAAACTAATATGCCCACATTATAACACCTTCATTTCTCCCCAGTGTAGAGCAATGTCTTCCTAAAGGATGAATGAAAATATTACCTCACACTTCTCTTAGTTCCCAGAATCTTAATATCACCAATGTTAAGGAATTTGTGGGGATAAAAGCAGAGTGTTGCTTATTTACTTCATTGAAAAAAAAAAAAGCTGTCGAGTAATGCTTAAGAGCTACTAATATTTATTGGCAAGCTAATTGTAACATTCAAGGTAAATATGTAGCTATAAAGTACTGCAATCACATAAATGAACAAATATGTATCAGCTAACATATAACACTGAACAAAATCAGTCTTTATTAAACCAAGCCTTCCTTCATAATGCTTTTTGCTTAAAATTCTGGAAATTTTAAAATATGAAATTGTGATGTGTCAGCATTATTTTTGCAGTATTATTAAGAAATAGATTGACTATACCACAACTTGATTTATTTCGTTAATATAATATAAGAAGGATAATACAAACATCAGAAGATTCTTTCACAGTTAGATTGAAAGTGCACACTTAGGCAGCTAGTAGCTAACTCTCCAAATGTTCCTTAATGATTTTCTTGTACAGCAGGGCTTGCAGATCCAAGCAAATTTTCCTCCCATTCTTCAGCGTGGCTCTGGCAGGGAAAAGAGAAGAGACGTGACTTTCAGTCCTTGGGTTTGCAAATGGCATTAGAAGGGGGAGGGATGGGCAGAGGAGGCACGGAGCGGGAGCACTAACTGATGCAGTGCGAGGACTCACATGAGTTGGGCAGTGGGGCAGTGGGGTCCGGCCTTGATCACCTCCAGGCTGGTGATGTGCCTGGGACGGACCTGGGAGGTGGTCTTCACACACAGGCACTGCAGGTCCCCATCTTCTTCAGCTTCAGCTGAGGGGGAAAGGGAGGGAGTAAGAGAGGAGGAGGGGTGGGAGTTGTGACTCCCTGAGTAGCCAGAGATACTTTAGGGACCTTTTCCACTACCTTCAGCTTTCTTTTCCTTAGCCGTAAATCAGACCTCTCTCAGACAGAGGTTGTGCTGATCAGGTGGCGAGGTGCACGTGCAGTGCCTGGCACTGTACCCGCAGACTCAGCACGCGCGCAATAAGAGCAGCTGCGATCATGATCCTAGAGGATTCCTCCCCAGCCCCAGGGCTTCCCGGACTCCCCCTCGCCGCTGCTGGCCCTCCCAGCCTGGTTTCTGCTCTCACCTCTGGCGAAGGCGACCACAACTGGCAGGAGCAGCAACGCCAAGAACAGCATCTCCTGGCGGGTGGCGCGGGTGAGGCGGGACCTGGCTGCGGAGCTCATGTTGCAGCTGAGGTTCCAGCAGGATCCCAGTGCGCAGGGAAAGTCGGGCTGGGGTTCTGCAGGCAGTGACTCCTGGCCTCACCAGGCTTCTTTTATCCCCCGTCACTGTCCCACTGTCCTTCCAGTCCGGAAGCCTGGGGTGGACAGCGAGGAACTGTGGTGCAGGAGCTAAGACACTGCTATGAAGACTCAGACTCTGGCCAGCCAAGATTACAAAACAAAAGGCTGGGGGCAGCTGCCTTGGCTAGGAGGTGGTACAAAGATGCATACCTCCAACCTCAGTTTATATACACTTACATTTGTGGAGTTAGAAACACTACTTGCATCTTAGAAGAGAAATATTTTCTGTGTTGTATCATAGTAGAGTTCTCTGTAGTCACCAAGCAACTTACACAGCAGGTGGCTTCAGGACCCAGACAGTTCTTGTTTCCTTCTCAACTCAAGAACTGCCCATATGCTCCTAACTTCAGTCTTGATTACCATTGAGTTTGATGGCTGTGTGTTTGAAGAGTGTGCTATTTGCAATTGTTTTCTAATACTAATAAGTTTAATTTGGTCTCTAGGTGATGACTCTTCTGAATTTCACCTGAATGTGGAAAACTTCCCTAGTCTCTGGATGAGATTTACCAGGCTCCACCAACAATCACCCAGTATACTGTAGGATGCAAGATCTATTTCCCGTTACTCTTAGAAAAATTGCAGAAGTAATATTTGAATGCATTATTTTTATAAAAACTTAGCTCCTGGATGTTTCTTCATTGTTTCAATCCTGAATAATAGTCCAGAAGAGAGGACAAGGAGAGTTTGCCAGGCCATGTCTTCCAGAGCCTGCTGTGTCCTCAGTCACTGCCAGTGACAGGGTGAGATGGGCTGCACTGTTGGCAGGGAGCAGTGATGCTCTCTGTGGGAGGATTCAGGGCATCTGGGAGTTGGGTGTGAGAATGATGGGAGGTGACAGTGAAGGGGATGCAACAGAATCCCACACGGGAAAGGGGAAGAGATCCATATCGACCGTTTTCTCTTCTCTAAAAAAGAATGACTTTGGCTCTTGATCAGGGCAAGGTACACCCTCAACCCAAAGCCCAAGGTTCCCTGTCACTCTGACTAACAGTGGTGAAGGGTGTCAGGGACCCACTGGATGGAACTAGCTGATATTCTAATGCTCAGCAAACCTGCATTTTTGTAGGAATATGCAATTCTTTCTCCTACTCTCCCTACACCTGCCTATTCAGCTGGCTAAGACCTATTCATATTTCTGGTGTCAGCTTAAATATCACTTCCTCAGGTGTGCCTTCCCTGACAGCTATATATAATTGTGTTCCCTTGTTGTTCTATCTTGCAGAACTCTGTTCTTCGTATTTCTCACAGAATACACAAACATACACACACATATATTGTAGATATATATATATATATGTGTGTGTATGTGTATCTGTGTATTTAAAAGTGTTTAAAATTGTTTTGTTTCTTAAATGGAAAACACTGTGACATTAGATATCATAACGTTTATCACTATTTCAATGTACTGGTAGGGACTCAGTGCAAAGTAGCTACAGTAGTGAAGATAATGTGTTGAAAATGATGATGATGAGGCTTTGACGTGTTCCTATGTCTATTCAATTGGAGCAATTAGAGCATATAATTGGAACATACATCTATATTGACACGTGTCACATATGGTCAAAATTATTTGTCCACTTGTCTGCCTCTCCCACAAGATAGTGATCTCTTCAATAGCAATTCTCTGTGACTTATGTGCAGTCACCCACCACATAACAACGTTTTGGGCAGTAATAGACTGTATAAGTGATGATGATCCCATAAGACTATAGTGGAGCTAAAAAATTCCTATTGCCTTGTGATACCATAGCTGTTGTAAAATCATAGCAAGCCAATGTATTATTCATGTGTTTGTGGTAATGCTGGTGTAAACAAACTTACTGTGCTTCCAGTTGCATAAAAGTATATGACATACAAGTATGTACAGTACATAAAAATGGATAATTATAATAAACAACACTGTTTCTGGTTTGTGTATTTACTATATTATACTCTTTAATCATTATTTTAGAGTGAACTCCTTCTCCTGCTAATGGAAGAAGAGTTAACTATGAATCAGCCTCTGGAAGGCCCTTCAGAAAATATTCCAGAAAAAGACATTGTTATTTTAGAAGATGACCACTCCATATGTCTTATTGCCCATGAGATAAGAAATGAATGTGGAAGAAAGTGATTGATGATTCTGACCTTGTATAGGCAAATTTTTATGTTGGAGTCTTAGTTTTCAATAAAAAAATTTAAAAGGTGAAAAAATTAAAAATTAAAAAGCTTATAGAATGAGAATAGAAAAGAAAAAATATATTTATATAGCTGTACAGTGTGTTTGTATTCTATGTGAAGTATTATTATGAAAGTGAAAAAGTTTAGAAAATTAACACATTTATAAAATAAAAATGTTACAGTAAGCTAAGGTTAATTTATATTGAATAAAGAAAAATATTTTTTAGAAACTTAGTGTAGCCTAAGTGTACAGTGTTTATACAGCCTGCAGGATCGGACTGTAATGTCCTGGGCCTTCACATTCGCTGATCACTCACTCACTGACTCACCTAGAGCAACTTCCAGTCCTGCAAGCTCCATTCATGGCAAGTGCTCTCTACAGGTTTACCATTTTCTATTTGAGCATACTTCTACTGTACCTTTTCTATGTTTAAATATATTTAGGCACACAAATACTTATCATTGTGTTACATTTGCCTACAGTATTCAATACAGTAGCATACTGTACAGGTTTGTAGCTTAGGAGCAATAGGCCATAACATATGGCCTAGGTGTGTAGTAGGCTATACTAGGTTTTTGTAAGTACACTCTATGATGTTTACACAATGAAAACAATTGCCTAGTGATGCATTTCCCAGAGCTTATCCCCATCGTTAAGCAATGTTTGACTGTATTTTTAAACATCTGGTGTACAACTCAATGGCTGTGGCAGAACATATTGTAATTCATACATTTCCATGGAACTGAAACTGAAGTTAACAGCGGAGAGAATAAATAAAAGGGATGGTTTTACATTTCAATGGGCAACATAGTAGGTCTGTACAATCTTACCCGGAGATTTCAATATTGGCAGCATACAGGAATTCAGGCAGCAGCGAGTGGCAACTAAACTACCCTTTCTCTGCATCTAAATAGAATAACTCAATAACTTCACACAAAAATAAGAGATACCTGCATCTCATGAAGAATAAATGTAGTGCCAACACTGTGTTATGTCTCAGGAGCTGGCGTTGACAAGTTTCAGTGGTAAAACACTACAGATATGAGTGAGATGCTTGAGCTACTTTGAATAATTGAGAAAAAAAACTAAGGAGAAGAATTGCAATTTGCATTTACTGCTTTATTACGTGTTTATTTATGTATCGTTTTGGCTATTATTTAATATATACATTTATTTTATAGACAAAACACTTTAAGGTATTGAGCCTATGATGGTGAGGAGATAATAAGAGCATTCCTTAATAGCACAAAAGTTGTAAACTACATGCTTAGTACATGAGTACCTCCCCAAAGTCCACGTACAAGTTGGAATAGGTGAAATTATTTCTTCTCCTATAATCATTATAGTATACAGTATGTTATCTATGCAATAAATCCTATTTTGTGTGCCAATAATACTATGTTATATGTAATGTAATCTCCTCATTCGAGGAAGCAGAGTTAAGAAAAGTGGTGTGGTGCAGTATTAAGAGCAGAGTTTCAAATCCCCACTCTGTCACCTACTAAGTAATCTAATGTTGGGGCAAGATTTTAAATTTCTTTCAACTTTCTTTTTTTGTTGTTCCAGAAAATACCATAGTTTTCTTTATAGAATATCTGGATATGTTTTTGTTATATATTGTTACTCTGCTAGTGACAAATATGTTCACTTTAAAGTAAATAATCACAACTTACAAAACTGAACATTCAACAACTTTACTATTTTCAGCATTGGAAGGCTAAAATAAACATTAGAAAATCTTTCAGAGAATGTTGTAAACAAGACATCCTAGCACATTGGAAAGCTCTATTATATCCCTAAAGAGTTTAACAAAAATTTATTGACCAAATATTCTATGCTGGGCTCTGTGTGAGTTCTTATATCATTGACCATTATAAAATCTGTTAATTATCATGGGCATGTCTAGTCTAACAGTAAAACTGAGCAAGAAAAATCAACAAAAATATGTTTGGAAGGAGATTCTCAAATAAAGAGAGCAAAGCACTGTGCAATGGTTAGCCAGGAATTAGAGAGTAAACCATGTACTATGTTGAAACTAGGCTTGCTTATTTTCATCTTCTTTCTGTCATCTTTTAACTAGCCTTCTCAGAATAAAATGTGATTTTTGAGAGAGAATGGAAACATACCTGGATTTTAATACAGTAAGAGTAGGTATCTTGGATAAAATAAGAATTCAAAAAAGTCAAGGCTTTAAAATCCTGCCCTTCCTGGGAGGTAAACAGGTTTGGCAGAAAGTGAACAGATTAAGCACCTGACCCATCACCTTCCAACATTTTCTGGACTATCTTCTTGATTCTGGGAGCTTCTGGGTCCAGGTACATTTTCCTCCCATCTTTCAGCATGGCTCTGTAAGAGACAACAGAATTATCTGTTGAGAAACAGAAAACAATACAGATGGGGAAGGAGGTGAAGGTGTAGGGCTTTCCTGATGAAGCAATGACACAGAAGCAGGGACTTACATCACTTGGACTTTGTTGCAAGGGGCTCCTGACCTGACCACTTCCAAATGATGAGTGCTGGTGATCCATCCTAGGTTAGCCCTAATTCCTGGCTGACCATTGCACAATGCTTTGCCCTCTTTATTTGAGAATCTACTTCCAAATACATTTTAATTGATTTTTCTTGCTCTACTCTACTGTTAGACTAGACATGCCCATGATAATTAACAGCAAATAAATGTGGATGTTTGGGATGATGTTGCTGGGATGAATTCCAGAGGCTGACTTCACACACACGCAGCACAGTTCAATGTACAAGTCACTGTCTACACATTCAGGTGGAGTAGAAAATGTGATTTATTAGTGGCCATGACTATTTAGCTCAATTCCTTATTTGTAAATTGACAGTAATTGTACCTCTCTCATAAGGCCATTGTGAATATGATCTGTAAAGCTTTAGTAAAGTGCCCAGCAGAATGCTCAGCACATGTGAAGTGCCCCCTCTGTGTGCCCCCTCCAATTGGAGTTGTTAGTATAATGGCACTCTCCAGACCCAGGGGCACCAGCTAGTCTTTCTCCCAGACACAGGTATAGCAGAAGCAGCAACAGGTGCAGGCAGCAGGTCTCTACCTTTGCTTTTCCCTAAGTTTCTCTTGCTTTGCCCATTGGTGCAGGAAGGCAGAGCGGTCAGCAGCAGTGACAGAAGCAGCAACACCTGCAGGGCATGAAATGGTCTGGCACTGTTACAGGAAGGGGTGGCTTTGAGTCTGAGGCTCATGGTGGAGAAGACTGAGCTAGAGTTGTTTCCAGAGCCAGAAGACTTGCACATGAGGGTGAGCTGCTGCCTACAAGTCTGCAGACAAGTGGCTTCTCATGCTTTGAAGATGTCATTTATATCCTATCCCTCAAAGCCAGGAAGGAGGAAGAGATAGGGAAAGGGGAAGTGAGGGTATGTGGTGATCCACATATAAGCCTGTCAAGCTGTGCCCAACCCAGAGAAACACGAAACAGATCAAAATTCCTACTAAGTTGCATGTTACGCATCTCTTCACATTCCCACTCTCCCTTTCTCAGTAGCTATCTCTCTTACACATGTGTAAGAACTCTACTTAGGAAGGTAAGAACTACCCTGAAATACCACATGCATTTTCTTTGTATGAGTATGTAACAATATGCCCTGACTTTCCTAGAATGCAGTGTACAGGCTTGATGGACTTTAGGAGCACCCAAAAGCACAAACTTGTGGCCCTTGAAAGAGAGAGTTATCTTTCCTTTCTAGTAGCTATGGGAAGTAGATATTCTTTTCCTGGTTGTTGATAAGTATTTGGATTAGTTTGGAGTATGTGAGTAAAATAAGAGCCAACTACCGTAAAAGATTTACTTTTTATTTTAGCTTATGGGCTTCTTTCTGTCTTCCAAATGAATTGTCTTTTGTAATTTCACCCAGAATCTATAAACAAAACACATCCTCCTTTGTATTATAAAAGAAGTTACTTGTTTCTACCACCTGAGTATACTTTAAAAAACAAGACCCACCATATTGATTTTTTCCTTTCCTCTTAATCTAATAGAAAAATAGATGATATCATTTGTTGTAAACAATTCATACACTACAGATATATTTGAAATAAAACATTCAAGTTCCTTATCATTACTCCATATTACTGCTCTTCAGTGGTAACCATTGGTGACAATTTGGGATTAGTTTTCTATTCTATGTAGATTTATATGCACATATTTATGCATATACAGAGAGAAACATGTTTAATATGTAAAGATACATGTATACTATTCACAGAGGTATATGAAGGTCTTTTTTATATAAATGGGATCCCTTTATATAGATTATTATACAACTTACTTTTGTCTTTCAAAATATGGGTTCAACCGGGCCATTGCACTCCAGCCTGGGCAACAAGAGTGAAACCCCATCTCAAAATAAATAAATAAATAAATAAATAAATAAATAAAAATATGGGTTCAGCATCCTTTTATGCTACTTTGATGCAGTCTTCCCCCATTCTTTTTAATGGTTACATGACATTCTATGGTAGGAAAAATAGTTACTCAGCCTCTGCCTTGTTTATGACCATAAGGAAGTTTTGAACTACTAGAAGCTGCAATCAGGCTTACACCTGTAATCCCAGCACTTTGGGAGGCCAAGGGGGCAGATCACGAAGTCAGAAGATCGAGACCATCCTGACTAACATGGTGAAACCCTGTCTCTACTAAAAATACAAAAAATTAGCTGGGCGGGGTGGCATATGCCTGCAATCCCAGCTACTCTGGAGGCTGAGGCAGGAGAATCACTTGAATCTGGGAGGCGGAGGTTGCAGTGAGCCGAGATCGCACCATTGCACTCCAGCCCTGATGACAGAGTGAGACTCTGTCTCAAAAAAAAAAAAAAAAAAAAAAAAAAGAAGCTGCAATCAAATCTTTGTTTCTGAATTCTCAGGTCCTGATTAAAGCGCTTGGTGTGAAATATTGCATATAAACTAAGCCCCACATAGATACAGAAGTATACCTATATACATCACATGTTGGTTTGTATATTATTGTCTGGATCACTGTCCCATTTATAAGATTTGCTTGTTCAATTGAATTAGACATTTTGAAGGCAGAGGCATGTCCTAGGTTTCTCTGAATGTCTCATGTATCCTATTGCATGTAGGATAATGCAGGATAAAGTAAGTCCTAAGCAGTGTTAATAAGTAAATCAACAAACATAAATCCCATGAAGGAAGGTTTCTCTTTTCTGTTCTAATTAGCTACAAACTCCACATGACCCATAGCACGTGTAGTATGAAAGTGTCATTTGGAAGACTGGCAATAAAGAACGAGGCAGATACAAGTGGTCCTGGCAACAGGCAGTCTTCCTGCTACAACTATGTATAACTCTCTTAGGATGTTATTTAAACTTCCCATATTCTTTTCTTACTTTTAATAACTGAATTTTATGAACAATTATTTATTATTTCTGATAATTCTGCATGTTATTGTGAGCTTCTTCTGCTAAGCTCACCTAAGTGGGTGCAATCAGAAACAACTGAAATAGCTGAAAATTAAAAATGGCCTCATTCACATGGGACGTGGTTGGTGTTGGCTGCTGGCTGAGATTTCTGCTAGGGTACCTTCATCTTTCTCCTCCTTTTTTTAGTAGCTTTGTTTTACTTCTGAGGAATAAACAGAAAGTAAGGAGGGAGGGAAGGAAAAGGGAGAGAAAAGGAGAAAGACGAAATAAAATAGAAAAAAAAAAAAGACAACACAAAGCACAAGCCCCATCACTTGAAGTCTCAAAATATTAAATATGCAAAATTGCTTTCTAGCCAAAAAATGAATGTAGTAAATATTTTTTCTGACTTAAGTTTTTAAGTCAGATTTTCTTGTTTAATAGTTCCTGACTATGCCTACTTAAATTGTTAGGTCCTGTTTTTTAATATATCCCTTATTTTTCTCCACCTCATTTTTTTCTTATAAATTAGAGTTTAGCAGTACAATATAATAAACTAAAATGATTTTTCTCCTGTCTCAACACAGAAGTTTCTAGTCTTAAGCAAGCGTAAAGGAAGGGGATATGCTGAGAGTTTGGGTTCTTCTGAGAGTTGAGATGTGGAGTCAATTGCAAAGATAAGCTCAGCAGGACACAGAATTAGGAGAGCAGGCTTCTTTCTAGTTCCTCCTGTGAGATGACTTTATAGACTTCCCTCATTATTGACATTGAGATATTGTGAATTCTCAAGCAGATACGTTTCCATTCAAACATAAGATCAAAACCATTTCCAGAGCAAGAGATAAAGGTTTTTAACACTATTCATAGTATCTTTCATTTTCTGTTCAACCCCTTAAACACATTGCTGAGAATATTTACTAGCTTCACTGGACGATTTTTTCTTTCCATGCTTAACACTATTCAGATTTCTTTCCTGTTTCATTAGAAAGATTTTTTAAAAGTCACTAATCCTTTTGAGGAAACTATATGAAACGTCTTCTGAAGTAATGATGCTGTTTGAATTGGTTGATACCGGGAAGGAGGTAGCCATGGGGCACACTATCATCAAGTCATTGTCTTAATCAACAAATGTGGTTCGTCACAGACAATACATTGTCAGCAAGGTTCATGAGGAAGTCTTAAAACATTTCTTGAGTCATCACAATTTCATAAGCCTATTAGTCAGCAGTTGATATAAAATAGCTTTTTGCTTGTTTTCATTTATTTAAAAATATTGATTAAACATCTATTATGTGCCAGGCATTATAAAGTTCTCATTTTTGTGTAACTTAGTCATTTAACTATTTCTTTTTTAAGAGCAATCTAAAATATTTGTGTAAAGCAATGGGATATGGATAATACTCTATTATTACTACTACTGTAATGACTGTAACTGTTAATTGTTGTTACTGTCATTTGCCTTATTCCCTTTGATTTCCAAGATGAGAAGCACAGTACAGAGGGCAAGGCATACACAAATGGTTAAAAGATATTTTCAAATAAGTTATTCAGTTAAAAGCAGTTAGCTTATACAAAATTATAAATCTGAATGAATACTAGGGGTAAAAACAATTGTCAGAGGTTCTTGAATATTAAAATGACAGCCTTTTTAAAGAAGCTTACATTGTCACATGGGTTTTTATGTGTGTATGTGCTAAGAAATTTTATCAAGTCTTTTTCCTTTAAGTCATACTATAAATAACAGTCATTCAGAAAACAAAGAAGTTTTCTAAGACCCCAAACAGAACTTACCTGTTGGCTATTTTAAAAGAAAATATCTAGAGACATCAGAGGACTACTATCCCTTGAAATTAAGACATATTATCCCTGCCTTACATAGAACATTTTGAGCTGACATTTCCCAAATCCTTCTTTTAAGTACAAAGTCAATGAGCTATCAATCATAAAAATAATTTGAACAGAATATCCTAGAGCTAGTAAAAATTTTGGGTCAGTTTGTTAAAGTATTTTAATCAATAAATTGAAATACTAGTCAATAAAAGAGTTTCTATTAAGTGCTGAAACCAAATGTGTTTTATGTGTGACTCTCAGTTGATATGAATCATTCAGACCACTGGCACTCAGGTTAATGGAGGTTTTACTGTCTTCCAGTGAAACATGAGGTGTGGGTGGGGAAAGAGTGGGGAGAGTGGGGCTGGGGAAATATCTTCCTGGGTACTGTTACATAGAAGTGCTGCAAAGTTTTGCAGGCCTGAGAATTTTCATTTCAATTTATGTTAATCAGTATAATTTGCTGAGTCTCAAATGTATGACTGTTACCCACTTTCATTACATATTCATTCATTTGAGGAAATTCCAGTACGATGTTTTTCCAGAGTCTGCAAACACATTCAATTGTTAGCAAGTACCGTTTGATCCTCTTTTGCTGTGTAAGAAGTCAACCTTAAATTTAGTGGCTTAAAATGACAGTTTATTATTTTGATAATTCTACACGTTAATGTGAGATTCTTCTGCTAAGCTCAATTAAGTGGGTGCAGTCAGAAGAAACTGAAATGGATGAAAATCAAAACTGGCCTCATTCCTATGAGAGGTGGTTGGTGTTGGCTGCTGGCTGAGATTTCTGCTAGGGTACCTGGGTCCTTCTCTTCCTCTTTTAAATAGCATTATTTTACTTCTGAGGAATAAACAGAAAGGATGAAGGGAGGGAGAGAAGGAAAGGGGAGAGAAGAGGAGAAGAGGGAAGGGGAAAGAAGAAAGAAAATAGAAAAAAAGTCAACACAAAACACAAGCCCCTCCACTCTCCTCCTTCTTTCTTACTTCTCCTTTTCCTTTCTCCTAGTCCCTCCCCTCACCTCTCCTCCCCTTTCTTTCTCTCCCCTTATTAGAAAATCTTTGTTCTGTGGGAAACAGTATATTTGCTGTAAAGAGATCTTAACTCAGACAGAAAGCTCTTCATTTTTATAATTTCCAGATTTATAAGGATCTTGCATAGGGTCAGGTATGTAACAAGATTATCAATAAAGGTTAATAAATTGATATTTGATTGAAGAATGTTTATATGAAGGAAAATACATCATAATTTTTGATAGTTACCATGTACTTCACAAAAAAATAGAATATACAGCTTTCAAAAGCTTCTATAAAAAGACTCATAGAAAAAATTTTAGGAGTACTAATAATTAGTCATGCATATGTAAAAAGAATATAAATAAATTAAGAAAAAATAAGTATGTTTAAACTACTAAGTTCTCAGTTTTCTCATTTGTAAGGGGGAGTTTGAACTAGGAGTCTTGGGAAAGAAATTATTAATAATATTTACCAAGAATCTACTTTGTTCCAGGGTAGTGCCTGTGAGATAGCTATTATACTGATTTTACAGGTGAGGAAGCTGGGGAAGGTAGATGTGAAACAAATTGTCAAGTTCACATAGCTGGAAATACACAAAACTAGATTTGAAATGCAATTGCTCTAATTCTGTACTGCACCACAAAATATAAAGAAGTATAATTAGCTTCTCTTGCTGGAAGTAAGTCAACTAGTTTTCTCTTTATCTAACCCTAGAGGTAGATTAAAAACAAACATAAATTTATGTGTTAGAGAAACGTCTCTGTTAAAAATACAAAAAATTAGCTGGGTGTGGTGGCAGGCACCTGTAGTCCCAGCTACTCAGGAGGCTGAGGCAAGAGAATGGCATGAACCCAGGAGATGGAGCTTGCAGTGAGCTGAGATTGCGCCACTGCACACCAGCCTGGGCAACAGAGCGAGACTCCGTCAAAAAAAAAAAAAAAAAAAAAGTGGATTTTCCAGAGAAGCGTCCTTGCAACTTATCTATGTTTCAGAAACAGAACTTTGAAATTTGTAGAAACAAAATTATACACCCAAACTCTAGGTCTTTCTATGTTCTTATCTCACTCCACATATTTGAGGTATGAACAATCCTTCTTAGGAATATAACATTAATTTTTCTGACTAAGAATGAACCAGGACTGTCAGCCAAAATCCAAATCATGGTACCTTCTCCTCCTCTTCCTTGATTTAGTCAGGGAGGCAACTAGAAATCCCCAAGTGCTCCTTCCATCTGGTAAATTTCTCATTTTGTAACATACAGGAAGGTATTTTGAAGTTATATACAACATGAGAGTTATCCACAGCAATTATTTTCCTTAAGCAAGAATTAAAATCATGATAGAAAAACAAAGCCACTAGTCATATTTTATCATAGATCTTGTCATACCTTCAGGAATTGAAGGATTATATGAATGCGTCACACATAGAGGCAAACAGGAAATTCTGGTATAATGAAGGACATTAATTATACATTTAAAATTGTCTGGATTGGAGCAGTAACAGAGTAGATTTTAGCTGAGCATTTGTTCAATATCTAGTGACTTTATACATAAGATAGAGTTTCAGACGGATAACAGAGTGAAAATAGTATTTAGGGGTTAGTATGAAGAAACTAGAAGACTTATCCCTAGGATATTTACATTAGATTAAGTTTCCCCAAATATGTTAGTCCTTGAGTTTGCTAGTAGAAAGATCAACTAGGAATGGTTGAAAGAGTGAACAGTAGCTATCATTGAGTTGCTTGTATAGGTTACTCTTCAGTAATATACTGTAATCTATTTTCTCTATAGAGTGACCATTTGCGGAATGGGCCTGACAACTAGAATTGCAAGAATATTAGAAATCATGTTTCATTCTATTTCTATGAACAAACTAAACTTACAAGTGTTGCTTCTTAAAAAAACAGAGCTTGATGATAAAAACAAACAAACAAACAAAAAAACAAACAAACAAAAAACCATTGAGACAAGCCTGGCCGACATGGTGAAACTACATCTCTACTAAAAATACAAAAAATTAGCTAGGCGTGGTGGTGCATGCCTGTAGTCCCAGCTACATGGGAGGCTGAGGCAGGAGAATCACTTGAACCTGGGAGGCGGAGGTTGCAGTAAGCCGAGATTGTGTCACTGAACTCCAGCCTGGGTGACAGTGAGACTTGGTCTCAAAAAAAAAAAACAAAAACAAAAAACTAACCAGCAATGTTTATTTCCTTATGAAGCTTATATTTCACCTGTACAAAGGGCATTTAATATTCTTTAATCTTTTATAATCAAGCATTTTTCAATAAGTATTTTGGAGTTAATGTGACATAGCAGGGATTGTTTTAAACACTGAAATTTAGAGCTCATTTTTGTAATTTGGTTTGCTTTCTAGTATTTCCCCAGAATTACTGTATCATCCATAAGTTCAAAAAAAATACCATTTGAGAGAGCAAAAAGAGACCACAGAAGTTTAATGCATTTTAAAAAATTAGAGATATTTTGTACTTTTTTATTGTTGAAAAAATGATTAGAAAACCCATCTCTGAAGCTACTTTTTAAGTTTTTTCATATCTTTGTGTCTCTTTCTCTCTCTGTTATTTAAATATATCAATATATAATAATTAAAAAATATTAATCCAATTTATATTTTATATATAAAGAGAGAGATAAAACATACAGGAAAGCCTAGGTTAGATATACTAAAGTATACAAGTACGTGCCAATATAAACATATATAATATATTAATCCAGCTGCAGTGTGAATGTATGTATACACATACTAATTCGGTTAGTCTTCTTCGTTTCATTTTCTTGCTTTTCCTAAGAACAGGTATTTTATATGAAACGACACTTTTAATACTAGAGAAACAGAGAGACTTGTTTAACCAGATCACTCATTTGTTTAAATATACACTATGTGCTAGGCATTGTACCAGGAACTGAGATAAAGATGATAAACATTGTCCCTGCTCTCATAGAACTTACAGTGAAGCTAGAATAGATAGACTCTAAACACATGACCACATGTCTATATGCTCTATAAACTCTAAAGTCACCTTCATGAGAAAATGTTATGAATAAAAAGTACAGAGTGCTATGACAGTATATAAAAGGGATCTTAATCTGGGAGGAGTAAGAGTTATAAAGATTGTATCAAGAAAATGATATGTAAGCTATCCCCAAAGGAAGGAAAGATGGGAGGTAGCTAAGTGAAAATGAGGGGTGGGTGGATTACACATGCTAAAGCCCTGTTGGATTACCTGTAGACAAGAAGGAGAAAAGAAGGTGAACAAATTACAATTTAATCAAAATCTACCATGAGCCAGATTATTGATTTTAGTATAACATCTGACTACCTGAGGGTCAGGATAACTTATTAATTCATTAAGTCATTCCATGCCACACATTTGGAATGCAGAGTTGGATGAAATATGGTCGATGTTCTAGGAGAGCTCTTAATACAGTTAGATGAAGAAACCTATAAACAAATAAAAGCAATGGAATATATTTGTTGTAGTGCAGATGTCTAGAAGATGCTATGAGAACACCAAGATGCAAACCACAAGCTTTGCTGAGTGTGCCAAGGAAAATTCACGAAGGAGATATTGCTTGAACTGAGTTCTGAAGGATGAATAAGCCTCCTCTTATACGCAGGAAAACGTAAATGCTTTCCAGGTAGAGACCCTAGCAAATACAAAGTCATGAGCCTGGGGAAAGAACATGCCTAGTTAGGGAACTGAACGCCTGACTATAGTGAATGTGAGGCACAAGGGAAGTTGAAGTACTGATGATCAGGAGTGAGATGAGACAGAACCTCATTCATCATGTTTAGCAACTTTTATTTCATGTCTAGGAAACAGGGAGCCATTTAAGAATTTAGATAGGAAAATCTTATCCTATTTGTGTTTTCTAAAGACCCCAGAGGCTATTGGTGCTGTGAAGGAGTAACTGGAAGGGGGCTGAACATGGAGAAAAGTTGAACCAATGCAATGGTATTGGGGAATGAGGGCCCTCTCTGCCAGCCAGAGAAGAGCAGAGGTAATATTTTGAATAATGTAGAATTAAAGATAAATAGTAACTGTATAAGAAGGAGAAACAACATCAGTGGTTTAGAAATCTTTTATTGTTTCTCCAAATGACAATACAAGTACCAAAAACCAACATGACACACAGGAAAAAATAAAAGTGCAATTTTAATATAGTGAATGTGATACATGTATAATTCCTCATAACAAAATGGTCAAAACCTTTAAAAGATCCACAATAGATATCTGAAAATCTTAGCAATGCTATATATATTTTGAGGACTAAATGATGAATTTATATTCAAATTGTTCAAATATATTTTCAAAACTTTCAGAGCACAGATCATTGTTAATTTTGCTTTTATTTAAAAAACCAAGAGAATACATTTCTATGTAAATTAGCAATCAGGAATTTATCTGTTTTTGGGCTTCTTCATCTATCTAAAGTGTATATTTAGTGACCAGAATTATAGTCATCCTATAGTGAAAAAATAGCATACAAAATCAAAGTTTAATGAGTAAATCATGACATTATGCCATACTAAGAAGACATCAAACGTCTAAAACCATAGGAAGAGAATATATTAGCCCTTACAGAACTTAAATTTTTAGAAATTCTGAATAAGGAAATATATTCTGCACAGATAACGGTATGACACACCCAGTGTTCTAATACAGTACAACTTAAATAGCATCCTAGGGTAAAGAGTAACATATTCCCCAAGAAACAGAACTAAAATATTTCCTATTTTATGAGAAGAGTGAGTAAGAACAACAGGATACCTCCCTCAACAGCACACTAATAAAACATTATTTCCATACGAAATCCACAGCCTTTTCGGTAAGACTTTAAGGAATGTATGATAGAAATACAATAGTTATCTTCAATTCAATATTCATTGAAAGACTAATAACCAGTGATTCTTTGCTCACAATATGGTCAATTGCCAAAGGGTTCAATAACTTATCAGGTAAAATAACAGTAAATAGTGGAAATACTATATTAGTACTTCATTAGCTGAGCTGTAAACTTCAGGGAGAAGCGTAGGCTTTCCCCCACACTCTTCAAAGTAGGGAATCCATGTAGAAAATGGAAAAAAACCAACCCTTCCTTCTTATTCTTACTGGGTCCAGGGATCTCCAGAAAACTGCTCCGCTGAAGACTGGGCAATTTTATGATGCATGGTCTTTTTTGTTACTCAGTTTTTCTTGTTTCCACTGTTGAGAAAAGAGTTATATTAGTATAACCAATTCCCACACTCTTGTATGCTACATTTGGTTTTCAAAAGCGTTTGGTGGGGGAAAAAAATCAATAAAAGCAAAGAGCAGACAAAAAATAGATGTCAGTAATGAGCTCTGTGTAATTGTTCAGGCATGTAAGATTGGTGATAAAGGTTTACCCAGAACATTCCAGAAAAAAAGTTTCCTTATTCTTCTTAACAACCTTATAATTCTAAGCATAGTCTAAATCCTACAGAGAGAATAAGGACATTGTGAAGTATATGCTTTCCATAGAAGATATTAAAACACCACAAAGATCAAAGGGACAAATACCTGTCCAAAATTTTCTGGATGACTTTCTTTAGAAAAGGGGCTTCCGGGTCCAGACAAACTTGCTTCCCGTTCTTCAGGGAGGCTCTGAAGTAAAGAAAAAGAGGATGCACCCATGAGCCACAAAGGTTGACGACCCAGGCTGGAGGACTTGCCTAAGTCACAGTGGACACAGCAACACAGGAGAACTTACACCACTTCCACCTTGGAGCACTGCGGGCCTGCGGGGAACACCTGCAGTTTACCAATCGTTTTGGGGTTTACTCTCAGCGTAACGCGTAAACAAGTGCAACGCAGCTCTGTCAGCACAGCAGAGACAGGACCAGCTGGGGAAGAAAGACATTTTTATAGGGCAGGTTGCTGGGAGAGTTCCCTGGAACGCAGCGGCCCCGCAGAGGCTGGGATGCACCCCAGTGCCAGGAGCTCTCACCGCTGGCGAGGGGCCCCGGCGGCGTCAGCAGGAGCAGCAGCGCGAGCAGCGCGCACAAGGAGCCCGAAGGACCCGGGACACGGGCCGCGCGGCTGGACGGGAGGCTCATAGTGGTCAAGAGAGGGTTCGCGGGTTCCTGAGCTGGGTGGAGGCGCGGAGACTGGAGGATACAGAGCACTTTGGTTTCCTCGTGCCTTCTGCACTCCCTTTATCTGCATTCATCCCTCCCGACTGGCAGGAAACTCAAGCTTTGGGATGCTGGGGAAATTCCCTGAACTCAGGGGGCAGTGTGGAAAGAAGGGGTTGGTGGAGGGGGGCGGGAGGATGGGAATTGGTGGGGTGGGTGGCTGGGAGGAGCTGCCTGCTCCCTTAAGGGGGAGGACATTTTAGCCCCGCCCCGCGGTGGAGGGAGCTGTGGCTCCAGCCAAAATAGAGCAGCGATTCAGCAGGGTCTCATCCCCTGGGCTTGAGGGGTTAGCGAGGCTGGCTTCTCTGAGGCACGCAGCTGTCTGGGAGATGCTCCTCCTCTCCAATGGCCAGGACAATTAGGCAGGAGAAGGAAATAAAGGGTATTCAATTAGGAAAAGAGGAAGTCAAATTGTCCCTATTTGCAAATTACATAATTGTATATCTAGAAAACCCCATGGTCTCAGCCCAAAATCTCCTTAAGCTGATAAGCAACTTCAGCAAAGTCTCAGGATACAAAATCAATGCACAAAAATCACAAGCATTCTTATACACCAATAACAAACAAACAGAGACATGGTCTCAGCCCAAAATCTCCTTAAGCTGATAAGCAACTTCAGCAAAGTCTCAGGATACAAAATCAATGCACAAAAATCACAAGCATTCTTATACACCAATAACAAACAAACAGAGAGCCAAATCATGAGTGAACTCCCATTCACAATTGCTTCAAAGAGAATAAAATACCTAGGAATCCAACTTACAAGGGACATGAAGGACCTCTTCAAGGAGAACTACAAACCACTGCTCAATGAAATAAAAGAGGATACAAACAAATGGAAGAATATTCCATGCTCATGGGTAGGAAAAATCAATATCGTGAATATGGCCATACTGCCCAAGGTAACTTATAGATTCAATACCATCCCCATCAAGCTACCAATGACTTTCTTCACAGAATTGGAAAAAACTACTTGAAAGTTCATATGGAACCAAAAAAGAGCCCGCATGGCCAAGTCAATCCTAAGCCAAAAGAACCAAGCTGGAGGCATCACGCTACCTGACTTCAAACTATACTACAAGGCTACAGTAACCAAAACAGCATGGTACTGGTACCAAAACAGAGATATAGATCAATGGAACAGAACAGAGCCCTCAGAAATAATGCCGCATATCTACAACTATCTGATCTTTGACAAACCTGAGAAAAACAAGCAATAGGGAAAGGATTCCCTATTTAATAAATGGTGCTGGGAAAACTGGCTAGCCATATGTAGAAAGCTGAAACTGGATCCCTTCCTTACACCTTATACAAAAATTAATTCAAGATGGATTAAAGACTTAAACGTTAGACCTGAAACCATAAAAACCCTAGAAGAAAACCTAGGCATTACCCATTCAGGACATAGGCATGGGCAAGGTCTTCATGTATAAAACACCAAAAGCAATGGCAACAAAAGCCAAAATTGACAAATGGGATCTAATTAAACTCAAGAGCTTCTGCACAGCAAAAGAAACTACCATCAGAGTGAACAGGCAACCTACAAAATGGGAGAAAATTTTCGCGACCTACTCATCTGACAAAGGGCTAATATCCAGAACCTACAATGAACTCAAACAAATTTACAACAAAAAAACAAACAACCCCATCAAAAAGTGGATGAAGGACATGAACAGACACTTCTCAAGACATTTATGCAGCCAAAAAACACATGAAACAATGCTCACCATCACTGGCCATCAGAGAAATGCAAATCAAAACCACAATGAGATACCATCTCACACCAGTTAGAATGGCAATCATTAAAAAGTCAGGAAACAACAGGTGCTGGAGAGGATGTGGAGAAATGGGAACACTTTTACACTGTTGGTGGGACTGTAAACTAGTTCAACCAGTGTGGAAGTCAGTGTGGCGATTCCTCAGGGATCTAGAACTACAAATACCATTTGACCCAGCCGTCCCATTACTGGGTATATACCCAAAGGACTATAAATCATGCTGCTATAAAGACACATGCACACGAATGTTTATTGCAGCACTATTCACAATAGCAAAGACTTGGAACCAACCCAAATGTCCAACAATGATAGACTGGATTAAGAAAATGTGGCACATATACACCATGGAATACTATGCAGCCATAAAAAAGGATGAGTTCATGTCCTTTGTAGGGACGTGGATGAAATTGGAAATCATCATTCTCAGTAAACTATCGCAAGGACAAAAAACCAAACACCGCATGTTCTCACTCATAGGTGGGAATTGAACAAGGAGAACACATGGACACAGGAAGGGGAACATCACACTCTGGGGACTGTTGTGGGCTGGGGGGAGGGGGGAGGGATAGCATTAGGAGATGTACCTAATGCTAAATGACGAGTTAATGGGTGCAGCACACCAGCATGGCACATGTATAGATATGTAACTAACCTGCACATTGTGCACATGTACCCTAAAACTTAAAGTATAATAATAATAAAATTAAAAAAAAGAGAGAAAAGTTGGAACCATAGTAGTGGAAGCTTTGACTTGAGAAAAATTTCTGAAAGTCAATCCTTTCTAATTATTATTACTATTATTCAGGAAATGTTATTCATGATTATTGCCCTAAACTGAGAGTCCTTCCTCTTCTTGCAGGCAGGTCATTCTAGGTTTCTTGAATGACTTTTTGATTATCTGGATTTCAAACAGCTTTAGAAGCCAAGATAACGTGATGAAAGAGGCTCTATCCCCACCTGAAGTCAACAAGTTGCCTGAATTGGCCCCAAAGTGAAATCTGTTTATTAGAAATTGTATACTTGTAGTTTAGCAAGCATATGTGTGTTGAGGCAGTTTAATAAACAAAAATATCTTCAAACAAAAATCACCCAGCAAATTGCCATGGAAGATAAAATGTACTTTTGGCGGTTGCTATGCTATTGAATTGGAAGAGGTTTTGGTCTTATTGGGAGTGAAGTGTAGTATGGTGAGCATAGACTGAAGTTTGCCAGGGAGCCCGGGCCTGCCCCAGCTCTGGTCCCACCCCCAGGTGTGTTTTTGACACCATTTGGAGATGCTGTAGGAGGTTGATGAATTTGAGGGGCTCATGTGAAAGCTTCTTCTAGAGATTTGCATCAATTGGGCAGCATAATAGCACCCAGTCTGTTTTCCCCCAAACAACCTCATGGGGGGAGGAATTCTCCCCATAGGCTTCTGGAACCATCTAATTTCATGATTACTGGTGACCAAGGCTGTTTCTGCAGACCTGTTCTAGTCCCCAGTGAGCCCTGCACTGCCTCCTGAAATTGAAGGGTGAAGTAGCTTCCAGCTTCTCCCTCTCTCCTTCTTTGTTATCCGTGGAGGAGTTAAAGCACTGAAGGTTTAAGTGTCTTCCACCGTCTTGCTCCATGGCAGGCATGAGTACGGCACTGGAATGGCACATAGACTTTCTTTCACAGAAGTCTAACTAGATCCTCTTCTGGCTGGTTCTGAAGAACTTTGTCCTCAGTGCAGGCCAGCAAAGGTCATCAGTAAACATGACGGCATTGAGAAGCCAGTTATGGAACACAACTCTTTTCCTTGTCCCTTGTGACACTGGGGAATTTTATTAACTTCCTCTCCTGTCACCTCCATTGGTGAGCAAGAAAGAGGTGTCACAGACCTTTACAATTTTGATTCTGGAAGGAAACAAGAAATTCATTGGCTGAGGAAGGCTGGGTGGTTTGGCCTTCAGTTTGTGGGAAGCTAAATGAGAAGTTCTCACAGCTTCCTGACACCATCAACATCATACCTGACTCAGCAAATGGAATCCTTCATCTTTTTGGGGAGTGGTAATCTGTAGAAAACAGCCTGCAGATTTAGCATATTGACATTTTAAAGATTAGAATGTGTCTAAAGACAAAAGATAAGCCTTGCTGAAATGGCTAAGACAAAACTTCAAAAATGTGACTCAGCTCCTAGGCAATTAATTCAACTTAACCACAGGGAATAAACCACAGTATAAGGCTTTGTTTAAAAAAAAGTTTAGAGATGACATAGGTTATTGACTTTTAAACTCTCTCTCCCTGTCTGTATGTGGGTTAGTTCTGAATAAGCCATTTTAAACATAAATGAACATATGAATTTGTTTTTGGCACCAAATGGTAAAATCAGAGAGGAATCATGAGACAAGATTGCCAGTTCCTCCTGATGGTCTTATAAGTACACATGTCTTACCTGCTTTGCACTCTGAATCAATTCACAAAGGATTATTTATAGAATGTAAGAAGAAAAAATATTTCTGCAGTTGATAAGCAAGTAATAGAAAGTCCCCAATAAAAGTGAGTTGTTGGGTTACCCAACCTAATCAGGAAGCAATGTGTCGCTTTTCCTGGCTTCCCATGAAAATCAGCCTGGGTCATTGTCCATGTCTGGCTTCTATCTAGGCATTCTCTGATGTTGGCCTTGTAAAAATACAGGAGGGAACATGAATGATGCAAAGATCCCCTGAGGTTAAGATGGAAAGCATGAAGAACTACGACAGACATAGGACTTTAAAAGTCATTGCTCCCTTTTCACTAGTTTAAAGGAAAACCATTTGTGTTACCTGCACTGTGTCCAGCTGGTAGAGAAAAGCTCTGTGTTATTTTTGTTCCCAACAATAAGGGAAAAATTCTTCCAATGCCATTTGCATCCTGATGGCCTGAAAAGTTTACTCCCTGTCAAAATCAATCCTATTTTAGTCATTGTACCACAGATTAATATAATATGAATGAAAACATTCCAAAGAGTTTGTGGCGTTCAAAACACTTTTATGCTCATTATTTCTTGAGCTTCACATTTATTCTTTGAGGCTGATTAAAAAAAAAAAAATCTCTCTCCCAGAGAATGAGTTAAGTAATAGAAAATCCAGAATTGGCAGTTAAACACCAGAGAACGTGCCCCAGTAATTTTTAATAGTTTCCAGATTACAAACCACTTTCTTCACAGTTGCTGGCAAACACCCCACAGTGGCTTTCCACAATCTGGGTAACCACTTTATTATATTTCCCAGAAACCACATTTTAAGTTATTGAGAACCTCAATCCATTCACTCCTATCTTTGGGACCACAGTAATATCAAGGGTAAAAGAGACTTCCAACATATTCAACTTGAAACCACTTTCTATATCCCTCACTTTCTTCAAGGCAAATTCAAAGTCCTGTCTTTGAAAAAGCTTATTCTGACAAAGCCAGAATAGAGTATTCCTTCCACCTTTGCTCTTCGAACATCTAGTGTACTTACAATAACCACTGCATGAGGCAGAGTTTAATTACTCCTTAATTTTACTTTTATCTCCCTCAAGTCAACTACGAACTCCTTAAAATCAGTGACGATATCTTACATTTCTCACACAACCTCACATAATTTCTTAGTTCAACAGCGAACAGTCTATGAGCACTTGGTGATGGATAATGATAACAACTTTTTAATTTTACGGTGTTCTTTACCTTACAAGTAGATCTTAAAGAGAAAAGAATGGGGCTGTTTATTGTCATTAACTCCTGTATTTTTTTAAACTTTACAATTTTGAATTGGCTGCCTCCTATGTGGGAAATTATTTCTGGGTTATTCTTAGGGAAAGTTAGAATGATATCAACGATATTTTCTGTCTTTGAATTCAAACTGTTCAAAAGAATGTTCAGAATCCGGCAAGGCACTTGATATTAAAAGAAAAAATACATATAACTAATGTATTAACCAAATTACATAGTTTTTGTGACATAGAGATTGTTGGAGATAAATGACAATGGAAAAATCTGATTACATTACACTGCGTTGAATGTTAACAGTGTGTGTATGTCATTCTAAATTGATTTTTTCTAACTAGAGAAGCCTTTAATTATATGATTTAGTATTTGGCTTAGGTTAGGCCTTTTCAAATGTTTTTTCCAAGATTTTATTTTTTATATTCACCATTCTTTGTATTACCTTTAAGAAATGCTATATAATTGCAATAATTATTATCAGGTTAAGCATATCAAGTGTTTCAGTATAAGGAAGGCAATAAGAGTTTAAGTGGAGGATAGAGTAACTTGCATGTATGCAAAGAAAAAGGAAAAAACACCAGCAACTGCTGAGTTTACTTTGCAATGTGAATGCAGTCTGTCTCCTAAATTGAGCTGGTAGTCCAATGAAGAAGTACTATCATCCAGGGAATGACTTTGCTCCAGGGTTGCTTCACCTTTGCTTTGAAATGCCAGGAATATTTTTCTTCCTTTTGCCAATTATCTAATTTTCCTTGCTGCTCATTTCAGATTATATCTGTTTGAGGACTAAATCAATGAACCTTGACTTAGTCTGTACTGAGCTAGATTTCAAATAATCATAGCTGGGCTTCTCTTCCCCACCTCTTGTGTGGATGGGGCAGCTAGTTATCTGTTGTCCAACTGTGCAAACGTTAGAAAAGTTTTTGTTGACAACAAGAGTTGCTACATAGGATAAAAAAAGATAAGAATTAAAGTTTTAAATGTTTCTAAAAGCCTTAAGTTTTTCAGAAACAGGAAGTCTTCATTGCTTTCTTCAAAAATTTCTTCTGGGCTAAGGAAAGATATATATATATATATATATATATATGTATGTATATTTTAATGTTAGATATTTTAAATAACTTTGAGAAGGCATTTCTATACTACAAAAGTCTTTTATGTAAGTTAGATTTCTAATACTGTGCTAAATAATGCTTGTTTGATATATAATTTCTGATCAACATTACCTTCATAACTTGTATTTTTCAGCAGATACTGTCTTCTGTATTACTTCATAATATATTTAATTCTCATTTAATATATAGTAGAACCTCAGGATTGCCGTTTTAATAGGAATAATTGTAATATATTTGTATATGTGTGATTTTTGTATTTCCTAGACATTCAAAACCGTCTTTTTCCTTCCTTGTCACTGCTTGAAAAAATAGGGAAGACCTAACATTTGACAAGTATCCCAGGCAATGTTCATGAACTTAAAAGACAAACACACAAGTACACCACCACTACCACCAGTGCCCTCACCACATCGACAAAACAAAGATCAAAAGAAAAAAATAAGAAAAAAATATGTCTTAGAGTTGATTTTTTGCCACTAATTCATTAAATCTCATTATGAATTTCCAGTGAATAACTATTTTCATGCATATTTTAAATGTTATTTTTTAGTATAAGAATTGGGAATTAGGAAATTGCTCACACTGACATAAAAGGTGTTGCAATGCCAAGCCAAAAGTCACAAAATCCTAGAAATTCTGGCTAATGTTGGACTATAAGTTTCTTACTAGCATTTTGGGATTTTAAAGCGTGACTTCCTCTGAAGAGTAAATTGACCAAATTGCTTTAACAAAATATTTTACTTTGAATCATTTTGATTTCCAAAAATTGCAGTATTAGTAAATCAGACAGGAAGTTATTTTCTTTGGAACACAATATATTTCTGACGTTAGAAACAGTTTTGACTTTTTTTCCCTAACTTGAATTTGAGACCAGACTGATGAATGCTATGACCGGGAGGGATTATGTCATAGAACAGGAAAACATGTGGTGGCTCATGTATTAGAAATAGACCACAATGTTGCTGTGCACAAGACCGTTCTTTGTAGTAAATGGAAGTTGTGAAAGTTTTGTATTGAACTATATCCAGCCAGCTTTCTGTGATGGTTTGAAAAAAAATTGCTTAAATTCAGGCATATACAGATTGAAAATCAAAGAATGGAAAGAAAAACACCATGCAACCAGTACCATATGAAGTCTAGAGTGGCCTTATAAATATTCAGCAAAACAGACTGCAAGAAAACAAGTATTATCAGAGATACATAAGCACATTTCATAATGATAAATGGTCAATAAATAAAAAAAATTATAAATTTATACATGCTTACTAAATAAGCTTCAAATTACATGAAACAAAACTACCAATTAGAACTTACAACAGGTATTATCTTCAATCACAGTTAGAAATTTTAATACCGTTAAGTAACTAATAGAAGTAGACAAAAATATTAATTAATGTACAAATGATTTGAATAACACTTGATCTACTTCAAAAAGAGCAAGACAATTATTTCTAGTCTCAGTATTTCAACTCTATTTTATGCTAATGGTTATAGGCAGTGAAGTAAGTTTTAAAAAAGAAATAAAGACATAAAAATGAAAAAGGAAGAAATAAAACTGTCCTTATTTGCAGATAAAATTGTCATTAATACAGAAAACTAAAAATAAATTATAAAATATACTGAACCAATAAGTGAATTTAATAAAATTTGAAGATAAAAAGACAATATGTAAAAGTCTACTTTATTTCTGTGTTATACCAGCAAAATATTTGAAAATAGAATTTTTAAAATACCATTTACCATAGCATCAGAATTATAAAACACTTAAGAATAAATTGAACAAAAGATGAACAAGAATTCTATGCTGTATATCACAAGGCTGCAAAAAAAAAAGATAAAAAGACTGAAGCAAATAACAAAGTGTCAATATCATGTTTATAAATTAGAAAACTCAAAATTGCTAAGCTGATAATTCTCCCCAAGTCAGTGTGCACATTCAATGCAACGTTAAATAAAAATCACATTAAGCTGTTTTTGAGAAATTGATACATCACTTATACCATTTATATGAATAAGCAAAGACTTATAACAGCTCAATTTTGAAAAAGAAGAACAAAGAGAAACCACACTATCTGATTTCAAGGCACAATATAAAACACATTAACAAGGACAGTTGGAGTAAGGAGAGACAGAGAGACCCATGAAACCAATTAAAGTACAGGAACAGATACAGATATGCCATCTGTTGAATTTTCATAATGGTTCCTAGGAAATTCAATGAACAGTAATATTTTGAAAGAAAATTATTTTTTTCCCGAGCAGTAGGTCTCAACAGTGGGCTCAAAATATTCAATAAGCCATGCTGTAAACTGTTGTCAAAAGAGTTTTACCATTTCATACTCCCACCCACAAAGGAAGTGTGCCCTGACTACTCCATATCATCATCATCATTCTTTTTAAAATTGTAGCTACTGGTAGGCATTTAGTAGTATCCCATTAAGCTTTTAATTATTATTTCATGATTACTAATGATGTTGAACACCTTTAAGGATGCTTGCTTGCCATTTGTAAATCTCCCTTGTAAAGTGTATTTTCAATTCTTTTGCTCATTGAGAATGCACATAGTCATGTAAGAATTCTGATGGAGATGTACAAAGAAATTAATGTTGCCTTTATGCCTGTGAACACAAAATCTATTCTGCAGCCCATGGATCAAAAAGTAATTTTGACTTTCAAATAGTATTATTTAAGACATACGTTTTGTAAGGCTGTAGCTGCCAGAGATAGTGATTCTTTTGATGGATCTGGGAAAAATAAATTGAAAAATTTTGGGTAAGGATTCATCATTCTAAGTACTGTTAACATTTGTGATTCATAGAAGGAAGTCAAAATGTCAACATTAACAGGAGTTTGGAAGAAGTTGATTTCAACCTTCATGGATAGTTTTAAGAAGTTCAATACTTCAATGGAGGAAATAACTGCAGATGTGGTAGAAATAGTAAGACAATTAGAAGTGGAGCCCGAAGATGTGACTGAATGCTACAATGTCATCACAAAACTTGAATAAATGAAGAATTACTTCTTATGGATGAACAAAGAGTGGTTTCTTGAAATGGAATCTACTCCTGGTGAAAATGCTGTGATGATTGTTGAAATGATAACAAAGGATACGGAGTATTACATCATAAATTTTGTTGATAAAGCAACATCAGGAATTGAAAGGATTGACTCCAATTTTGGAAGAGGTTCTGCTGTGGATAAAATGCTGCCAAACAACATAATGTGCTATAGAGAAATCTTTTGTGAAAGGAAGAGTCAATCAATGCCACAAATCTCATTGCTGACTTCTTTTAAGAAATTGCCACAGCCACCTCAACCATCAGCAGCCAACTTCCTGATCAGTGAGCAGCCATCAACATTGAGGCAAGACTCTCCACCAGGAAAAGTATTATGACGTGGTGAAGGCTTAAACAATTGTTAGCAGTTTTTAGTAATAAAGTATTTTAAAGTTAAGGGATTCTTATTTTGTAGACACAATGCCATAGCACACTTAATAGACTACAGTATCATGTAAACACAACTTTTATATGCACAGGGAAACAAAAAAATTTTGCGACTCACTTTATTTTGATATTCATTTTCTTGCAGTGGTCTGGAACCAAACCCACAATATATCTGCAATGTTCCTGTAAATAAGTAGGGCCTCGAGAAAGGGATTGTCCATGTGTCATATTTTGGAAAAAAAGTTGAGCAAGATTTAAATAAATAGGTAGTTATGATTACTTCTTCATCCTCAATGAGTGACATGCTGAATGCTGCTAAGGGTAGATATTCAATGGTGGCAACAAGAAAGCATTATAATTTTAGTGCTCCTTTAAATGGAAGTGGATTATTTGCTAGTTTTAGGTTAGGTGCTATGTGGCACTGTGGGAGTAACAAGTTGATAGAATATGCTGACTCTGCTGCTGTGGGTACGCAGGAGGAAAACACATTAGTTAGTATTTCAAAATATGATCCTGTTCTGTAAGCCTGTCCCAAAATTACAATAACTGACTCCAATAATCCATCGACTTTGATTCCAGTATTGACAACGTGTTTCACAAAGTTTAATTAAATCATTTTTGTTTTATATTCAATTGGCAGTCTCACATTTGCATTTGATGTCTTCTTCCATTTTGGGCCAATCAATTAATCAATCAGTCAATCTAACCTGGACTCACATTAGTTTTCTGGGGCAAAATTAATTCTGGTTTATCTACAAAATTTTTTTTTTCTGGAATAACTCAGTTTTTACCCTTCTGAAGTGTTTTCTATTGTTCTCTCCTATCCTCTGTTATGGTTCAGATTCTTTCACTGTGAATTTCTGTAAGAACATTCTTTAATGAAAAAGTTCTGCATACTTTTTGCCATCATGTGATTTATAGTACACTATGAAGTTACCGTGAGTAGGACTGCCAACTCCCTGTTCCTCCAACTGTCTTTAGCTAGACTCTGGTAAAGGCACAGGTAAGAGAGGAAGTCATTAGTTTATGCTTGCAAAGTGCTGGGGACATGTTCTCTCAGATTACATATGCGGTTACTTTCCTCAGAGCAAAGAATTCTGGCATTTTGAAATACGAAATGTTATATTTTTTTTTAAATCTGTAAACTCTCATTCTTCTTATCCTGATATAAGAAATTTTCTAAGCCTCAAAATTGATATTATGATGTAAGCTAAAAAAAACTGTGGAATCAACCAAGGTCAGCCCAGGATCTTTAATCAAGTAGGTACCAAAACCTTAAATCACAGCCTCCTTGTACCCTGCCTACAAAGTATGAGAAGTTAAAAGGACTCTATCTAATTGAAAAGCAAATTCTGAAATAAGAGACCCAGAGTAGCTAAAACAATCTTTAAAAAGGAGTAATTTGCAAGACTCATACTTCTCAATTTCAAAATTGCTACATAGCTACAACAATCAAGGCTGTGTAGTACTGGCCTACGGTGGACAATATATACCAATGCAATAGAATTGAGTCCAGAAATAAAACCATAAGTTTATGATCAGTTGGTGTTCAACAAGGGTGCCAAGATAAATAAATGGGAGAAAGAATAGTCTTTTAAATAAATAATGCTGGGCAATCATATATCAATATACAAAAGAGTGAAGTTGGACCACTACTTCACACCATACACAAAATTGGACTCAAAATACATCAGCAACCTAAATATAAGTGCTAAAACTATAAAACTCTTAGGAAAAAAGTTAGGCTTTGATCTTTGTGATCTTGTATTAGATAATTATTTCTTAGATATGACACTAACAACCAAATAACAAATTGGACTTCATTAAAATTTTAAAAAGTTGTGTATCAAAGGACATTAACAAGAAAGTGAAAAGACAGCCCATGAAATGGGAGATAATATTTTCAAATTATATACATGGTAAGCACCTAGTATCCAGAATGTATAAAGAAGTCTTACAGTGCAGTGACACAAAGACAAATAACGCTATTAAAATTGGGAAAAGTATTAAAATATACATCTCTTCAAAGAAAATATACAAATGACCAGGAAGTATGAGAAAAAATGTTCAACATCAATATTAACTAATGTATTCTTCATTGTGCTTAGGGAAATATAAATCAAAACCACAACGAGATAATATAAAGTGTTTCAAGGATGTGGAAAAATTAGAACCCTCATACATTACTGGTGGAAATGTAAATAACGCAGCAGTTTTGGGAAACAGTTAACAATTACTTAAAATGTTAAACATAGAGCTTCTATATGACCCAGCAATCTCACTTTAAGGAATACAACAAAAAGAATTGGAAATATATGTCAATACAAAAACATACTTATGAAAGCTCATAGCAACATTATTTGTAATAGCCGAAAAGTAGGAACAACCAAATGTCCACAATTGAAAAATGGATAATCAGAATGTGGTATAAGAGTTCTTTATATTATTACAATGGAATATTATCCAGCATAAAAGTACTGATTTATGTTACAACATGGATGGGCCTTATGCTAATTTCATTCAGCACAAAGAAAACATTATGCAAAGTAAAAGAAGCTAGATACAAAAAGCTGTTTTGGATGATTCCACTTAAATAAAATGTTCAGAATAGGCAAATCAATTGGACAGGAAAACTAGTGGTTGCCAGGGTCTTGACAAGGGAGGAATGGGGAGTGACTGGTAATGGGTGTGGCTTTGGGGGATGCTTATAATATTCTGGAATTAGATAATAGTGATGATTACACAACTTTGTGAACATTTTTTGAAAACCACTAAAGTGAGCACTTTAAAAGGGTGAATTTTACAGCAGGTGAGTGTAATCTCAATGAAAAAATAATTCCTGGGTGGTGTCCCAGGACCACTACTAAATTAGGATGAGAGAGTGAGGTTGTTAGGAATCTGTATTTTAACAAGCTCTCTAGGAGATTTTTCTTTTGCACACTAATGTTTGAAAAGCATTTCTTTAAAGCATTAAAAAGAGTCTGTCTGACAAATGCTTAGAATGTTCTTACTGGCCTGTTTTTCTCATCAAGCCTTCAGAATATACTTCTGCAGTGCTTCATAAGTCTATAATATAATAATAGTAATGATAACAATAATAAGGTATACCATATCTGTTGTTATGGTTTGTCCCTGTGTCCCCACCCAAATCTCATCTTGAATAGTAATCCCCACATGTGGAGGGAGGGACCTGGTGGGAGGTGATTGAATAATGGGGTGAGGAGGGTTCCTAGGGCAGGGGTGGTTTCCCCCATGCTGCTCTTGTGATAGTGAGCAAGTTCTCACAAGAGCTGATGGCTTTAAGTGTGGCACTTCTCTCTCTGTTTCTCTCTCCCCACTGCTGCTATGTAAGATGTGTCTTGCTTCCCCTTGGCCTTCTGCCACAATTTTAAGTTTCCTAAGGGCTTCCAGCCATAGAGAACTGTGAATCAATTAGACCTCTTTTCTTTATAAATTACCCAGTTTGGGGCAATCCTTTATAGCAGTGTGGAAATGGATTAATATATGTGTCAAGAAAATTTTTAAGAAGTCATACAAGCATCCAGATCACAGCACCTCATGTTTCCCAATTTCTTTCTGCTGATTCAATGCCACATAAAGTCTTTTATTTTGTCTTAGTCAGCTCTTCTGTTCCCTTCAGCACAAATTTGAACCTTCCCTGGTTTAGTCTTTTCAATTCCTCTCTCTCTCTATCTCTCTCTCTCCCTCCCTCCCTCCCTCCCCTTTCTCCCTCTTCTTCTCCCTCTCTATGTCACTCTTTATCATTGTCTGGTAGAAACTTTCTCAATTAATTTCTCCCTGCCTTGCAGAATGACTCTTCATTTGCACCTAGCTTTCTCTATTTTCATTTTATTCATTCAAATACCCAATTTCTATTTACGGAGAATCTTCATTGTGTTAGTGCTCAAGATACATGATGAACAGAGCAGTACAGGACCTTGTCCTCATGGGACTCTCCTCATTTGCTAGTGGGAGAAGTAAAAATAAAACAGTCAAAGAAACAATATAGAGACTATGGTAGATCTATGAGTCAGAGTAACATCACCACTTGATCAAAAAGATCATGGGCTGGGAATGCTTAGCTTAGAACAATGGTCACTAAGAAGGTGAAATTTTAAGCTGACACCAGAAGAATAGAAATGATACACACCTGCAAAGAGCATAGAAATGAGGGTTCCAGGCAGAACACACGGCAGGACAAAAGTCAGAAGCAGGACGAGTTTGCTATGTTTTCATAACTAAGAGTAGCAGCTGATGGCTGGAACTTAGAAAGGGGGAAAATGACATGAGTGAGATCACAGAGGTCATCAGGGACATGGTCATGCAGAAATTTCTAGGCCAAGATGCAGAGTTTATAACTTATTTTATTTGCAGTAGAAAGCAATTCAAGGATGTTATGTTACAAGAAGGTATGATCTGTTTTTTTTTTTGTTTTTGTTTTTGTTTTTTTTTAATCTGACTTCTGTGTGGAAATGTCGTAGTGTCAACTTTGGATTAAGAAACTCAAGTTAGGCTGGGCATGGTGGCTCACGCCTGTAATCCCAGCACTTGAGGAGGCCGAGGTGGGCTGATCACCTGACGTCAGGAGTTCAAGACCAGCCTGGCCAACATGGCGAAACTCCGTCTCTACTAAAAATATAAAAATTAGCCGGGCATGGTGATGTGTGCCTGTAATCCCAGCTACTCAAGAGGCTGAGACGGGAGAATCACTTGAACCCAGGAGGCGGAGGTTACAGTGAGCTGAGATAGCACCACTGCACTCCAACCTGGGTGACAGAGCAAGATTCCATCTCAAGAAAGAAAAAAGAAAAAGAAAGAAAAAGAAACTCAAGTTAGAGGGCAACTCCAACAATCTTGGTGAAAGCTAAGCAAACTATCAGGATGGTCTAAGTCTGGTCTGCCACATGTCTGTAAATAAAGCTTTAGCAAAACACGGCTGCAATGATTTGCACACATTTTACATATGGCTACTTTCACACTGTAATGACGGTGTTGAATAATTGTGAAAGAAACTGTATATCCTGCAAAACAACAACAAAATTACTTTCTGGTCCTTTACGGAAAGTTTGGCAACCCTTGTTCTGGATGAAAAATTATGACGGATTGGGCTAGGATGATATCTATTGAGACATAGAGATGATGAAAGAGTCTCTATATATTTCACAGTTACAACCTCCAGGACATTCTGAAGAGTTTGGATACTGGCAATGGAAGATTCAAGAATGTTTCCTTGTTGTTTGATGGAAACAACTCTGTATGGGGATGCCATTGATTGAGATATGAAAGAATGGGGAAATACATGTTTACACAGCAGTGGAATAAAAAAAAAATCCTCTTTTAGACGTTTAAAATTGTAAATTCCTGTGAAATATCCAAGTGAAAATATCATGGAACAAGTTGTTTATGATTCTGGAACTCAGGGAAGAAGTTTGTGCTGAAGCTATGTGTGTGAGAGACATCACATAAGGAATGACTTGTGGAATCCACCTAGAGAGAGAGCTCACATCATGGTCTCAAATGGTGCATTGAGGACCCCAATATTTAGTGATCATCAGTCTCACTGTTTTTCCTCATGTTCAATTCATTTTCTTCTTCCTGCATTACCCAACTCATTTTTCATCTTCTACAGCACCTGGCTCAATCCTTCATATCAATTTTCCCACAATCTTATAACAGCCCTGCAAAATAAATGTTATTATTTGTGTATACATATAAGGAAAAAAAGGTCCCAGAGAGATTAATCAACTTGTTATAGACACTGTAAATGGTAGTTTCTGGTTACAAGGCCCATAATCTTTTTGCTCTGTAACTTTGCTTCCCAAAGAAACTGCTGATTATCAGTGGGATGTCAGGAATAACTTTTGGTTACTTTGCTGCTCACTCCCTCCTGAGGAGCACCTTGTGCATAAAAGCCTCACAGAACTGGCTTTCTCCAGGGAGATATTGAAAGAGACTTCATGCAGATTCTTTTACCCTAACAGCTTGCTAAAGACAATGATACAATCAGTTACAAATAACAAATGACAATTTAAACAGAAAAGAAGTATATTTTAAAAAGACACTCAGAAGCTCACATAAATTTTAGGAGGGCCAGAGAGCAAGTCTCAGAGGATGCACATCGAGAACGATGCCCAAATTCATGTAGCAGAACCAGACTGGTGAAGGTAAAGTAAGCTTTTCCCACAGGTCAGAGACACCATGGCTTGCATCGCTGACACTCAACATGCAACACTGGGCAGTGGATGCTTTTATTATAGCTGCTGCTGCAGCTACTGCTAAAACAAGTTATAGCTGCTGTCACTGCCACTACCTGCTGCTACAGTTACCCATCTAGGTGGGTCTCACCATAAACCACCTTCTTCATTTTGTGTTGAAACCTATCAGGGACTTCTGATACATCTCCTGAGACACTTATTATTTAAAGGCATGAGAAACTGCACTGAGCAAAGGTGGGGTTTTCCTATTCCTCTTCATCTATCTGGTGATATCATCCTAACTATAAAACACTAATTTTGTAATAAGCAAACAAATTCATCCTGATTGATATGGAGGTCAAAATTACTGCTTTTATAACTGGCCTTAAATAGACAATTAAGAGTATTATAATCAATAGACATTTACATGCTGTTTTTCAGAATTCTTTTTGAATTGGTGATATATTTGGATAATGGGATCTTGTAATAACTCTCTTGCCCACTCTTTACCAATAGTCCTATTATGCAACAGATGTCCTAATGTCACTAATCTCTAATAAAGCAATCCCCAAGACTTATTCTAACACTTCCATGAATCACTGATTAATTTAATAATTTGTCTTGTGAATAGCCAACATTCACTTTATGTAGAGAAAGTACCATAATCCTATCCATGAATGACCCTTCAATATACCCTGCTAATACATATGCAATGAAACTTTCCTCAATTAACAGCTATTTGTATTCAACTCATGAGGTCTTCTAAGAGGATATGCAAGACGAAAAGAGATTATTATTTTATTTTTGTCCCCACCTCTACGTTCTGGTAGCCAAGTTGATTAATTTTTCCTAGCTTACTCTTAGAATAATGTGCCAAGACCTTGGACTAGACCTGTCACTGCTATTGCTGCTGTAGTTCATGTTGGGTCTCTATGAAATAGAAGACCCATATCCATCTGTTTCTTTAATGTAACAATTTCTGCAAAGAATTTCAATCTCTTCATAATATACCCTCAGTTGAAAGGCACTAGAACTCAAATCATAAAGGTTTATTTCTGTTAATTAATCTATTAATGCATTTGTTACAAAGACATTATTGATCTCTGACTGTATGAGGAACAAGGCTGTTGTCTCATAACATTAAGTGACAGGAGAGACAGGCAATAATCAGAAAAGATCTTCAAAATTGTCCTTCCTTCTATCTTCAGTTGATTTCCTAATAAAGGCTTGTCTGTTAAAAAATAAACTTTGGTACTTCTGAGTCTGGTTTGTCATTAAGAGACTAAAGTCCTCTACCATTTGTGTTCCTATGTTTCTTCTCCAGTTCATAGAGGCCATTTTTCTCTTTATTCTCATTTAAAATTTTTTAATTTTTTAATTATTATGGGCCCATAATAGGTGTAAAGATTTATAGGGTACCTGTGATGTTTTGACACAGGCATACAATGTGTAATAATCACATCAGGATAATCAATCTATTCATCACCTCAAGCATTTTTCATTTCTTTATGTTAGGAACATTCCAATTCTACTCTTTTAATTATTTTTAAAGGTACAATAAATTATTGTTGCTTATAGTCACATTTTTGTTATTAAACACTAAATCTTATTCATTTTATCTAGCTATATATTTTTACCCATAAACTACACAATTTCCCCCAACCCCCACTACCCTTCCCACCTTCTAGTAACCATCATTCAACTATCTATCACCATGAGTTCAATCGTTTTAATTTTTAGCTCCAAAATATAAATGAGAACATGCAAAATTTACCTTTCTGTGTCTGGTTTATTTCAGTTAACATAATGTACTCCAGTTCCATCTATGTTGCTGCAAATGGCAGGATTTCATTTTAGAGGCCATTTTCTTAGTTCCAAATGGTGGTTCCTTTGGTGAGTAACTAAATTGTTTCATGGTGGTAACAGAGACCTAAGTATGTCACTGGGATGTTTGTTTTATATGGGGTAAGGATATGTAGACTCTACTTAGGAAAAGAACTCTGGCTACACAAAACCCTCAAAGCTTTTAATGTGGGAGCCATGACCTCACCATGGTATTACAGCCACATCAATGCCTATAGACAAGGCATGAGCTGAGGTCCCAGGGCTGACTTTGTGGTGTTCTCTTCTCCTTAAGCCTTGAATACAGTTTCCCTTTTTTTCATTGACAAAATTCCAACTGCTACCACCAAAAATTAGGGTGATGGGGTGATCTCTTAGCACTCACATAGTCCTTCATAGAAACATTTGATTGCAGCTATCATCTGTTCTCACGTTTTCTAAATGAACCTCATCTGCCAGAATCTGCTCTATTATTCCTCTCTCCACTGTCCTCAGAAATAGCATTTTCAGAGTCAACACATAAGTTTTTATTTCCCCCTGTATTTACATGGATATTTAAGAATTTAACATATGCATCCCTTTTCCTATTCATTTCCTTTCCCTTCTCTTTCCTTTTCTGCTCTTTTCTACATTAAAATGGCCATTCAATAGACTTTAATAGTAAGATCACAGTTCTAAGGTATTAAGAGTCTTTGATCATTGAACAACCTCCTGAGCAAGAATGTATCAACAGATGTTTATCAATCTCCTTTCCTTTCAACTGATCATTTCTGCTCCACTTCTCTAGAATCTTCCCAGAAAGATGTAGTCATTGAACAACAGCTGGTTTTTGACGCATCAGGCATTTTATACACATTGAGATCTATCCAATCACCAGTCCTACAGGTACAGCCTGACCTTCAGAGAAGTCTTCCTTGGAAGCTAAGAAAAGCCTGAGACTTCTTGCTAGAGAAAAATTCCTCTTTTTGGTTTGTCTTTAAAATTGGTTGTGATAGGTGCTGACTTATCTATTAGTTCTCAGGTATCTTCTTCCCCTGTCACCTTGGACAGTTCCCACAACCTTCTAGGCCTTACTCTCTTTCAAGTGTTATGTACTCATCTGAGTGCTCTGTGCAGGAAGAAAGGTGTTTTAACAGCTGCCCCATCATCTCTATGTGTTATTGTGAAGACCAGCTGATATAGGAGGGGTCAATATAAATCCTTTAGTCTTTGTAGTTTGTAGAACCCCTTAGCTCACAGTTTGGCGGCAATGGGAGAAGTGCCCCTCCTGATTCTATCCAGAAATAGTGATGTCTGAAATGGATAAATGTTTGACTCTTCTTGTCTCCTCAATGTCTTAAAAATCAGTATCATATGACCTGGAGATCACAATGTTTAAAACACTAAACATAGCACCATTTCCCCAGGCTATACGAAGTTAGGTGGACATTTGGTATGTGAGATGTTATTAAGTTAAAAAGTTAGTTATTTCCTAGAAATGACACATGAATTTATATTCTCTCACCCCTAAACAATTTTTAAGTGCTTTAATTTCCTGGTGGTTGAAACCAAGTTTCCCCAGTTATGTCTGACTCATCAGAACACACAGCTGCACTGCCTGGAGATCACCCAGTAATGTGTTTCATGTTTGCCTCCGTCCCACCCTTTCATCACCATTCCTTGCCTCAGTGTCTAGGTCAACACTGCCTTGTGTTTAATATTAAATAGCACCAGAGACTCGTACTCCTCATTTATTCTTCATTCATTTCATTTTTTTCTCCTCTTTTTATCACCAAAAGACCTACCAGGGGAGTGGATCCACTCAGCTGCAAGTCAGGGGCTGGACCTCATCCTGCTACAGGCCTAGCTGATTGCTTGATGTTTGTATTAGTCCGTTTTCATGCTGCTGATAAGGACGTACCCGAGACTGGGCAATTTGCAAAAGAAAGAGGTTTAATTAGACTCACAGTTTCACATGGCTGGGGAGGCCTCACAATCATGGCGGAAGGCAAAGTGGAGCAAGTCATGTCTTATGTGGATGGTGGCAGGCAAAGAGAGCTTGTGCAGAACAACTCCCATTTTTAAAACCATCAGGTCTCATGAGACCCATTCACTATCATGAGAACAGCACAGGAAAGACCCACCCCCATAATTCAATCACCTTCCACTGGGTCCCTCCTACAACACGTGGGAACTATGGGAGCTACAAGATGAGATTTGAGAGCCAAACCATGTTAATGGTATAAGCAACCAGCTAGGGCTGTAGCAGAAAACTGTCTGGTCCCAGACTTTTGTGTACACCACAGTTGCCCACCATAACAGGAAGTTGGGTTAGGGCTTTTTCTCTGTGATGGACAAAGCGTAGAGGAGGTCTTTCTAATATATTCACTCTACCCATTTTTTTTTTCTCTTTCTGAGCAGATACTTTTCCCTAGAGTCTGGTAGCAGGTGTGATTTAAAACTTGAATTTTACAAAGAAATGTTTGCTTCATGTTCAACCATGACATTTTTGCTTCAGTGTCTGATTTAAAGATTAATTTGTTACTGGTCAACTTATCCAAAATTGAGGCTTACAAAAATCCCCTGATACGTAATGACGGAAGCAAGGATGGGCTGCATGTTGATTTAGCAGTATGAGATATCAGAGTGCCAAATCAGAGATCTCTAGTGAAAACAATATTAATGCCAAACCACATTTTCGTGACTGGATCAATAATTTCTAAGAGAGGTTTCACCAACCTGGTGCTTTAAGCATGTTGATACCTGTGACATAAATTTTGATGTTTAACATCTTGGTAAATATTAAAATTGTAAATTGGCTCCCAATTTATTTAAACATGCTTATAGGTCATAGAAACTCTAAATAATATGATTGGATGAGAGCTAATATTTAGGAGATTTACTAATCTATGTATATATATTGGGGAGGTGAGGAAAAATATAAATAACAAAATATATTAAAATATTTTCTAACACAGTTTTTGATCTCTTCACTCTAAATATTGTGATTGGGTGTAAAAATATAATTGTATATGTACAAAATGCTATAATTCACCTATTGTGTCTCCAAATGCTTGGATTATAAAGAGACAGATTTCTCACTTGTGCTTTTCTTCATCATTTAATGGCCATGTCGACTAAAGTGGGAATTGATTACCTCTGGCAATTATTGCTGATGTTGAATATAGTTGTTCTGAACCATCCTTATGCTGCTGGAACACACAATACTGGATGATGGCTTTAAAAGGTAACAGGATGTGGTGTAACATGACACAGTAAATCCCCTGCTGAATCAGGCTTTTTGTTTTTCTCAACTGTCTTCCTCTTTTTATCTGGTACTTGATCCTCTATTCACAAAATATAAAGGTATAACTAGGTCAACACTAGAAAGATTGTGACTGTTGGTATTCTACTTACCTCTTATTGTAAATAAGTGAGGGAGGTGAAGTTCAAAACTGCCATCTGACAGCAGTGCCAATACAGTTTACCACGGCCCGCTATTCTTCCTTGCTTCTCCTAAGGTCCACTTCACATATGTACAGCTTTGCCTACCAAGAAGAGGAATGAGGAATTTGTCTTTTTCCAATGGGAAGCAGGCATGTCAGAGATCGCATTGTGCACTTTCCAGGATCATACCACCTACCTCATTCTCTTTGCCTCCCCTGTTTCACCATCTCTACCTGCCATTCATTTATTCATCCCTCAAATATTTATTGAGCTTCTACTAAATACCAAGCAATGCTAAAGGCATTGAGGATATAGCAATAAGCCAAGCCAAGTTTCTCTCTCAAGTAGTAGTCATTTTATTATGGTTACAGTTGACAGGTAAGAAAACAAAGATAGGTGTGCCTGTGTATGTGTACATATTTATTTTATACAGAGTGATTGAAGGACTCCTACAATGATATCAGAGAAAAAATCTGAAATAAGTGAAGGAATAATCATGCAACTCCAGGAAAAAATTATTGTCTTTAAATATTCCGAGGTAAGTAAGTAAGGCTTCAATATTCCAAGGTTAAGAGTTTTGTTGCTATATTGAAGGAGAGTGTGACTGAGCAGTATTAACAAGAAGTAGTCAGGGGTTGTAAGATTGGAAGGTTTTGTCTATAAGAACTTGGGTTTCTTTTAGGTGACCTATAAAGCCATTTGGAGAATTTTTAACAAAAGAGCAAAATAATCTACTTTTCTTTTTAAAACTCTTTTCATATGCTGTGTCAAAAATAGAATAAAGGGAGGCAAAGAATGATAAAGAGAACTTAGTGTGAAGGCGGTTACAATAGTTCAAGTGCAAGATGATGATGCCTCAGTCTAGAAGGAAAGCCATGGAACTGGTGAGAAGTTGCAGGGTTAAAGGTATCTTTGAAAGGTATAGCTGTCAGGACTCACTGGGGAACTGGATGTAAAGCATGCCATAGATGGTGTAGTAAGGATGGCTCTGAGATTAGCCTGAGTAAGTGGAAGCATTAATTTGCCATCATTGAGATAGGAAAACTCAAGGAAAAGAAGATTAGATGGGAAATGGCTGGGTATTTAAGTTTAATTTTGTTCATGTTAAGGTTAAAAATTTTTGTTAGATCATCCAAGTAAATATGTAAACAGATATAGGAATGTGTAATTCAAGAAAGAGTTTTGGGCTTGTATTATATAAATTTGAGAGTCACTATCACATGGATAGAATTTACACGAAAGAATTGGATTATGTCACTTGGGAAATAAGAATAGTAAAAAGGAAGAAAATCATCCTCTTAATAATTTCCTATTCCTCTTGCATATCAGAATCCCTATGGAGCTTTAAAATACATACATATACCAGAGCTCCACCACAGACCCATTGTATCAAAATCTTTGAGATTAGGGCCCAGGAATCAATTTCAATCAGCTTCCTCAGGTGATTACTTGTGTAGAAACTGACATGTATTTGCTAATCAACATTATAAGCCATTCTTTTGTGTTATAATAGGAATTAACTTTTAACGTTGAGAAAACACTTCTTTCCATATCCACTGGCATATACCCAAAACTAGGGTATGGTTTTCCATTTCCTGGATTAACTCAGCAGTTTCCTACCTGTTCTACCCACATCTATCCTTACCCCTATCTTTTGCATAATTGGCTCATATCATCTTCAATGTAATCCATTGTTTTCAAAGGCAACTGTCCTTAACATATCCAGACCCTGCCTGGCTTTAGCCATCCTGTCTCTCCATCCTCATCAGGCATGAGGCTCCTCCTTGTTCTCTGCACTGCCTCCACACACTGGCCTTCCTTCAGTCCCAAGGACACATCTACTTCCTCCTGTTCCCGGGTTTTGCACTTGCTGTATCCTCTACTTTCATGTCTCTTTGTCCATTTTCTGCCTTCTTTCACCTAATTAACCCTTACTCATTTTTTACCTCAACTCAATCATCACTTCCTTAGAGAAGTCTTCTCTCTGACTAAGGCAAATCCTCCCATGGTAATAGATTATGAAATAAATTTAGAAATTTATGACCAGAATTTTTTAAGGAAAAAGAATGGAAGAAAAAATGTCAGAATAGGTTATGCCTAATAAGAATAAGCATTATCTCATAAACTTTTCTTTCCTTGTGGACTAATAGGACAATGTACTCATCTTGTAATATTTTTACAGGTGCACTATTGAGTGTGTGTGTGTATGTGTGTGTGTGATTATTAGCTATTGTCTGACTCTCATTAGACTGGAAGCCCCATGAGGACAAAGGACTGTGTCTGCTTGCTCTTCATTTGATCCATAGTTCCTGATCAAATGGCTGACTCTCATTTAAGCACACAAAGCATAGTTTGTGGAAAGGAGGAAAGAAAGAATACAGTTATAAGAATTAATATTTGGAGCAGGGTACTCCTGTACTATCACATTATATAGCATGACCATAACTAGCTTTGCCAATACAAACTCTGTGAGCTTGTCAATCTCATATTTGAAACAATTAGATTTCTCATGGTGCTTATTTATTTTTAAAAATTTATAAATAAACAATTAAATGACTATTTACAAATTTTAAGTGAAATGCTAGGCTAAGGAAATCTGATATTACTGTAGATGGCATTATTTCATAAGAAGAGCTTCAGAAATCCAAGCCTTCCTGAAGACCACAGTAGAAAGAACACTTTTTTCCCCCAGAAATTTATGAAAATTTTAGAAATAATTTTAGAACTAAAACATTGGCATTCCATCTTTACTTGGGTGTACTTTTTTCTCCCCCTATGAAACTCTTTTACTCATTCTTATAGTTACTCTTTTCAGCCTTTCTGCTCTGTCATTATTTTTCTGTTTCAAGTGTCAGAAAATCTAACCTTAAGTAACATTGTAAGAAAGGAAATTAAATGGCTATTTAACTGATTATTGCAGTTTTAAAATTTGTTTCAAGTGGAGCTGAGAACCCAGGACCCAACCATTGTCAATCACCAAACCCTGTTTTTTTTTTGGCTCACTCTCTTAACACTGGCTCCATTCTCAGGTTCCATATGCCTGCAGGATAGTGGCTGTGATCTCAGTCCCTATATGCTCTTGAGTTCATGCCAGTAATTTACCAACAAAACTCTTCTTTTGTTCCATGAAAGTCCAAATCTGTCCCTGAGTCAGCCATTGTCGTCAGAGGAATGTGATAGTCTGATTGGCTAGACCCAAGTCAAGTGCCTAGAGTGAACTCAACTTTTCAGAAAGTGCATGGACTGAGAGTGGGGTCAACATGCCTCCTCACAGGTATGGCCAGCAGAAGAAAAGTGCATCAAAGACAATAGCCACAGTACCTTCTCATATGCTATACCTTTCTTAAATTATGTTCCTGCATCCATTTAGGATATTTTTACAGCTATATAAATTCTACTTTCCATACTAAGTTTTTATTACCTGGTTTTACTAAAAGTTTTGTGTGTAACCTGCCATCTCAAGTATATTCTAAGTGAGCACAGGTTATAAATTGAGTTATACTTCTAACTGGGATGAAATTCTGATTTCACTGGTATTGGAATAAGACCTTTTGTTCAATACCCACTTTATACCTCTTTTCTTGGGAGTTGTACAGTATTTTAGTTTTTAAATAAAATGTAGTTGCCTTGAACATGGGATCAAAAGGTATTTCTGGGAAGAGGGAGAATACTTAGCCCCAGAGGAGGAAGCAAGGATAAAGTAGTAAGAATAATAAGAGGAAGGAGATCTTAAATTCCCAGAAAAGATAAGTAACTCAAGTTATAGGCTCCTGTTATTATCAAAATATAATTTTCAAAACAATTTAAATTCATGATTTTGATATATAACCTAGAGGGATGATAAAAGCTACCTCCAGGGAAGAGACAGAGAGAGAGAGAGAGAGAGAGAGAGAGAGTGTGTGTGTGTGTGTGTGTGTGTGTGTGTGTGTGTGTGTTTTCATGCCCACATAAGATAGACTTATATAATCGTGGACAAAAAGAATACTGGAACAAAATTGCAATACTAGATAAAAATTGATTAGTATCCTACAGGAAAATAATTGTAACATTTGAAGTTGTCTTATCTATGGGACAGAAACAATTTGCATTACTAATGGACAAAAACAATTTGCAATTATCAATCCTCTGCAACTTAACATCTAACTTTATAGAAGCTTGACATAAGCAATATTAAACAGAAAATTTGGATTAACCAAATTGAAAGTATAACAGCAGTGGGCCAGTTGATGTGGAAAAGAGTAGGAGTGGAGTCCTCTTAGGAGGCTGACTTTAAAACTGTATGCCTCGCCAATTGAGTGGCCTATTACTAGGGGATTGCTAAAGGTTTTCAATCCATAAACAGATACTTTAAAGAAGATGTTTCACGTACATTCTGTGGGCTACCTAGCAAATCAATTTATATTAATAAAATATACCTCTGAATGTGTCATCCACTTTCCAGGAACTTCCAAACTGAAGGTGTGATGAATCAGTAACAGGTGAATAGAAGAAAATATTCAAGATCAGGGAGAGGGGTGGAAGTTCCAGTAATTTTTAAGTTGCATGGCCAGGACACCTGCTATTGCATCCATAGATAACATCAGTCTATTCTTTGTATGTCGTGATTTAATGGCTTAGAAACTTTGGCACCTGTTTCTAATAGAAAAAAAAGTTATGTTCTCACTCTATCTGAGGCAGTATCAACATTCTGTCTTGGTACTTTCCATTCTTCTTTCTATTACTGCTTAAGCCTTGCCTAACTTTCTCATAAGGTTGAGAATTTCCTCTGGGCCTTATAATGATTCGACAGCAGATAAAAGACCCTTTGTGTTATGGCTGGCGGTTATGGTAACCATAGCCACAGCTCAGTTGCAAAAATCACCCCTATAACCTCCATTCTCACAATCCATTTCCAAAAGCATAAAAAATCTATTTAGGGCATAAAAAATCTATTATATTTGATAATATAATATATTAAATCTGATGTTCAATTAAATGTACTTTGAGTTGGGAAATTCTAATAAAAGTCTTCAGTACTTCTGGGAATATGGTAAATGCAGAACTAGCTCTTCTGTGTATCACATTGATAGTCTTCCCAGAGGAATAAATTTGGCCCTGAAATTGTGCAAATGTTCAATTTTTGTTAATTTTGTTAAAAAATAATCCAGTGTTTTTAAGCAATAGAATACTATAGACTGAAATATAAATAAGGGAACACGCAAAAATGTAAGTTTCTCTAGCAAGTCTGGCATCCTGGAGTATGAAGATCTTTTCTTATTAATTCTTCTAATCTATGAGGATATCTTTTCATTTAGTCATTCTTCTTCAATTTCTTTCATCACTGTGTTATAGTTTTCCAGGAACAAATCTTACTCCTTTTTGATTAAATTTATTCCCAAGTGTCCTATTATTTTTGATGCTATTGTAAAAGGGTTTGTTTCCACTTTTTGTTGATAAGATATAGAGATGCAACTAACTTCTGCATATTGATTTTTGTATCTTGCAACTTTATTGAATTCATCTATTAATTCTAATGATTTTTGGTGGAGTATTTAGGTTTTTATGTATAGAAGATCTTGTCTTCTGCAAACAGAGATAAGTAAAATCTTTCCTGATTTGGATGCATTTTATTTCTACCTCCTATCTGCTTGCTCTGGATAGGATTTTGATTACTATGTTGAATAGTAGTGGCAAGAATGGCCAATGTTGTCTTAGTCCTGATCTTAGAGCTTCAGCTTTTTGCTGTTGAGAATATGTTAGCTGTGAGCTTGCCATACATAGAATTTTCTATGTTGTAGTATATTTCTTCTGTACTTAACCTGAGAGTTTTTAATCATGAAGAAATGCTGATTTTTTCTTAAACACTTTTTACGCATCTATTAAGATGATCATGTGACTTTTATGTTTCATTCTGTTAACATGGGGAAACACATTTATTGATTTACACATGTTGAACTATCCTTGCATCTTATGGATAAATCCCACTTGATCACAGTATATGATTCTTTTAATGTGCTGTTGAATTCGGTTTGCTAGTATCTTATTAAGGTTTTTGCACTTATGTTTATCAGGGATACTGGCTTATAATTTTCCTTTCTTATACTGTTCTTTTCTGGCTGTAGTATCAAGGTAACTCTGTCCTTATAAAATAAATTTGTAATTAGTTCTTCCCTTTCAGTTTTTTGGCAAGTTTTGGGAAGAATTGGCTTTATCCTCCTCAAAATGTTGGTACAATTCAACAGTGAAGTCATGAGGTCCTGGGCTTGTCTCTGTTGAGAGATTTTTGCTTATTGATTCATTCTCCTTACTTGTTATTTGCCCTTTGAGATTTTCTATTTCTTTATAATTCACTCTGGGTAGGTTGTATGTTTCTAGGAATTTATTTATTTATTCTAGGTTATTTAATTTGTTTGTGTATAATTGTTCATAGTAGTCTTTTGTGATTCTTTTTTTTGTGATATCAGTGTATTGTCTCTTTCACTTACAATTTTATTTGAGCCCTCTCTCTTTTTTCCTCTTTTTTTTCTAGATTCTCTATTTTATTTCATTTTTCTTTCCAACTTTTAGGTTCAAGGGGTACATAAGATGGTTTGTCACATGGGTAAATTGTGTGTTATGGGGGTTTTATGTAAAGATATCTTTGTCACCCAGATTTCAGCATAATACCTGATAGGTAGTTTTTCAATCCTTACCTTCTTCCCACCCTCCACCTTAAAGAAGGCTCTGATGTCTATTGCTCCCTTCTTTGTGTCCATGTATACTCAATGTTTATCTCCCACTTGTAAGGAAGAATATGCAGTATTTAGTTTTATGTTTCTGTGTTAATTTGCTTAGGATAATGGCCTCCATCTCCATCTATGTGGCTGCAAAAGACATAATTTTGTTCTTTCTTATGGTTACATAGTATTCTATGGTGTATATGTGCCACATTTTCTTCACTCAGTCCACTCTTGAACATTTAGATTGATTCCATGTTTTTATTATTGCGAATGGCACTGTGATGAACATACACATGCATGTGTCTTTATAGTTTTTATAGTAGAATACTTTGCAGTTCTTTTGGCATATGCCCAGTAATGGGATTGCTGGGTAGAATAGTAGGTCTATTTTAAGTTCTTTGAGAAATCTTCAGACTGCTTTACACAGTGGCTGAACTAATTTAAATACCCCTAGCAGGGAATGAGTGTTCCCTTTTCCCTACACCTTCATCAGCATCTATTATTTTTTGGATTTTTAAAAATAGCCATTCTGACTGGTGTGAGATGGTCCTCATTGTGGTTTTGATTTGTATGTCCCTAATGATTAATGATATTGAGCATTTCTAATATGCTTGTTGTCCACATCAATGTCTTCTTTTGTGAGGTGTCTGTTCATGTCCTTCCCCCATTTTCTAAATGGCATTGTTTATTGCTTGTTGATTTGTTTAAGTTCCTCATAAATTCTGGATATTAGACCTTTTTTGGATACATAGGTTGCAAATATTTTCTCCCATTCTGTGAGTTGTCTGTTTACTCTGCTTATAGTTTCTTTTGTTGAGCAGAAGCTCCTTAGTTTAAGTAGGTCCCACTTGTCAATTTTTTGTTTTTGTTGCAATTGCTTTTGGAGTCTTCATCATGAAGTCTTTGCTATGGCCGATACCCAGAATAGTATTCCTTAGGTTTTCTTCTAGGGTTTTTTAAAAATAATTTTCAGCTTTAGATTTAAGCCTTTAATCCATCTTGAGTTGATTCTTGTATATGGCAAAAGGAAGGGGTGCAATTCCAGTCTTATCCATATGACTAAGCCAGTTATCCCACCACCACTTACTGAATTGGGTATTCTTTCCCCATTGATTGTTATTGGTAGCTTTGTCAAAGATCAGATGGTTGTAGGTGTGCAGCCTTATTTCTGGGTTCTCTAACCTGTTTCATTGGTGTATGTGTCTGTTTTTGTACTACAATCATGCTGCTGTAATTGTTCCAGCCTTGCAGTATAGTTTGAAGTTGGGTAGATGCTTCTGGCTTTGCTCTTTTTTTCTTGGAATTGCTTTGGCTATATGGGTTCTGTATTGTGTCCCAAGGTATTTTAGAGTAGTTTTTTTTTTCCTTTATTTGAATGCCTTTTATTTTTTTTCTCTTGCCTGATTGCTCTGTCTAGGGCTTCCAGTATTATATTGAATAGGAGTGGTGAGTGTGGGGGTTCTTGTTTCGTTTCACTTCTCAAGGGGAATGCTTCCAGCCTTTGCCTGTTCAGTCTGACGTTGGCTGTGGTTTTACCCTAGATGGCTCCTATTATTTTGAGGTATGTTTCTTCACTATCTAATTTGTTGATGATTTTATTGTGAAGGGATGATGAATTTTGTTGAAAGTCTTTATTGTGTCTATTGGAGTGATCATGTGGTTTTTGTTTTTAGTTCTGTTTATGTGATAAATCACATTTATTGATTTTTGTATGCAGAACCAAACTCGCATCCTGAAAACACAGCCTACTTGATTATAATGTATTAGCTTTTTATATACTTCTGGATTTGATTTGAAAGTATTTTGTGAAGATTTTTGCATCTATGTTCCCCAGGGATATTGACCCAAAGTTCTTTTTTTTTTTTTCTCTTGTGTTTTCTTTTTCTTTTTCTTTTATTTTGCTTGTGTCTCTATCAGGTTTTCATTTCAGACTGATGCTGTCCTCATAGAATGAGACGGGGAGGAGCCCCTCCTGCTCAATTTTTTGGAATAGTTTCAGGAGCATTGGTACCAGCTCTTCTTTATACATCTGATTGAATTCAGCTCTAAATCCTTCTGGTCCAGGGCTTTTTCTGGTTGGTAGGTTTCTAATTATTGATTCAATTTTGGAATGCATTACTGGTCCCTTCAAGGTTCCAATTTCTTCCTGGCTCAAACTTGGGAGGTTGTATGTTTCCAGAAATTTATCCATTTCTTCTAGCTTTTCTAGTTTATGTGAACAAATGTGTTCATAATAGTCTTTGAGGATTTTTGTATTTCTACTTGGTCCATGGTAATGTCCTGTTGGTCATTTTGGATTGTGTTTATTTAGATCTTCTCTCTGTTTTTGTGTTAGTCTAGCTAGTGGTCTATCAATCCCATTTATTCTTTCAGTGGAACAACTTTTGGTTTTGTTGATCTTTTGCATAGTTCTACTAATCTCCATTTCATTCAGTTCAGCTCTGATTCTGTTTATTTCTTTTCTTTTGCTAACTTTGGTGCTGATTTACTCTTGTTTTTCTAGTTTCTCTAGGTATGATATTCAGTTGGTAATTTGATATCTTTCTATGTTTTTGATGTAGGCATTTAGCACTATAAACTTTTCTCTTATCACTGCTTTAGCTGTGTCCCAGAGATTCTGATGTGTTGTATTTTTGTTTACATTTGTTTCAAATAATTTCTTGATTTCTACCTTAATTTCTTTGTTTACCCAAAAGTCATTCAGGAACAGATTGCTTAATTTTCATTTAATTCTATGATTTCAAATGATCTTCTTGGTATTGATTTCTATTTTTATTGTGCTGTGGACTGAGAGTGTGGTTGGTATGATTTTAGTTTTTTTGAATTTGTTGAGAATTGCTTTATGGTCAAACATATGATCAATTTTAAAGTATGTGCCATATGAAGAGGATAAGAATGTATATTTTGTTGTTTTGGGGTGGAGAGTTCTGTAGATGTCTGTTAGGTCCACTTGATCAATATTGAGTTCAGGTCCTGAATATCTTTTTTAATTTTCTGCCTCAATGATCCATCTAATATTGTCAGTGGGGTGTTGAACTCCCCCACTACTATTGTATAGCTACCTAAGTCTCTTCATAAGTCTCTAAGAACTTGTTTTACAAATCTTGGTGCTGCAGTGTTAGGTGTACGTATACTTAGTACATTTAAATCTACTTCTTGAATTGAATATCATTATGCAATGCCCTTCTTTGCCCTTTTTCAAAGTTGTTAGGTTAAAGTATGTTTTGTCTGAAATAAGAATAGCAACCCCTGCTCTTTTTTGTTTTATTTTTGCTTGGTAGATCTTTCTCCATCCCTTTACTTTGAGCTGAAGCCTGTCCTTGCATGAGATGGGTTCCTTGAAGACAGCATACTATTGGGTCTTGCTTTTTTTTTTTTTTTCTGAGATGGAGTCTTGCTCTGTTGCCAAGCTGGAGTGCAGTGGCACGATCTCAGCTCATTGCAACCTCTGCCTCCAGGGTTCAAGCGATTCTCCCGCCCCAGCCTCCCAAGCAGCTGGGACTACAGGCGCACACCACCACACCCAGCTAATTCTTGTATTTTCAGTAGAGACGAGGTTTCACCATGTTGTCCAGGATGGTCTCAATCTGTTGACCTCATGATCTTCCCACCTTGGCCTCCCAAAGTGCTAGGATTACAGGTGTGAGCCACTGCACCCAGCCAGGTCTTGCTTTTTTATCCAACTCACTATTCTATGCCTTTTAAGTGGGACATTTAGCTAGTTTACATTAAGGTTAATAGTGACATATGTGAATTTTGTTTTTAGCTGGTTGTTATGTAGACTTGATTGTGTAGTTGCTTCACAGTATCAATGATCTATTTACTTAAGCATGTTTTTTCGGTGGCCATTAACATTCTTTCCTTTCCATGTTTAGCACTCCCTTAAGGACCTCTTGTAAGGTAGGTCCTGTGGTGATGAATTGCCTTAGCATTTGCTTATGTGAAAATAATTTTATTTCACCTTTACTTATAAAGTTTAGCTTGGCTGGATATGAAATTCTTAGTTGAAATTTTTTTTTTTTTTTTTTTTGAGGATGCTGAATGTATGCTCCCAATCTCTTCTGGCTTGTAAGTTTTATGTTGAAGGTCCACTCTTGGCCTAATGAGGTTCCCTTTGTAGATTATCTGCCCCTTCTCTCTAGTTGCCTTTAATATTTTTTCTTTCACATTGATCTTGGGGAATCTGATGACTATGCATCTTGAGGATGGTACTCTTTTATAGCATCTTGCAGAGGCTTTCAATTTTCTGAATTTGCATGTCAAACTTTCTAGTGAAGTTAGGAAAATGTTCATGGATTATAGTCTCAAACATATTTCCCAAGTTGCTTGTTCTCTCTCCCTCTCTTTCAGGGATACCAATGAGTCATAGGTTAGGTCTCTTTACATAATTCCATATTTCTCAGAGATTCTTTTTTAATTTTTAAATTATTTTTTCTTTATTTTTGTTTTACTGCATTAATTAAAATAACTTGTCTTTGAGCTCTGAGATTCTTTCCTTAGCTTGGTCTATTTTGCTGTTAGTACTTCCGATTGTGTTATGAAATTCTTGTAAAGAGCTTTTCACCTCTATCAGACAAGTTTGACTATTTCTTTAGGTGGCTATTTTGTCTTTCATCTCTTGAATTATTTTTCTGGATTTCTTAGATTCCTTGGAATAGGTTTCAACTTTTTCTTGAATCTCTATGATCTTTGTTGCCATCAGATTCTGAATTCTATGCCTGTCATTTCAGCTATTTCATTCAGGTTAAAAACCATTGCTGGGGAGCTAGTGCAGTCATTTGAAGGTAAGGAGACACTCTGTCTTTTATAGGTGCCAGAGTTCTTGAGCTGGTTCTTTCTCATCTGTATGTGCTGATTTTCATTTAACTATGGTATAATTTGAGTATAGTCAGTTGGCTTCATTTTTGGATTTTTTTAGGTGGCTGAGGCTTTGTGTAGGGTCTTTATTTGTGGCTGAATTGTTGTCCTTTCTTTAACATGGGGATATATTAGCAAAGTATTTTTGGTGTTGAAGTTTGGGCTGTGATCCAGTAGATGGTGCCTAAGTGTAATGACTGGGATAAGCTCTTACTTGGCCACGTCACTGTTATGTATTTTCTTATATTTGCAGCTATGCTCCCTCTCAGTACTCTGAGAGTGTGAGCTCCTCTTCCACTCAAGTGCTGGTCTCAGATCGTGGGTTGGCATTCCCAGGCTGCACACCACAACCCTGGGGTCAGCTCAAACTTTTTGTTCTATTCTCATCTTGGGGACGGGAGGAGCAGAGACCTTGGCAATAGCATTGGTAGATAGCCATTCACTTGTCTCTCAGGAATCCACCCAAGAGAAACACAATGCCACTGCCAATCAAAACGATCAGCCAGGGGTGTGGGAGCTGCATTGTGGGCCCAAGCCAGGGGGGGCCCTCTCTGGTTATAAGCAGGGGTTCTTACAGGGAAGACAGTTTGCCCTTTTCTCTGTAGGGTGGCTGTAGCATGTTGGAGGTGAAAGTGAAGCACTCAGACTCTTTGTTTTTTCCCCAGTGTTGTGGCAGCAAGGGTGGGTACTGCTGTAGCAGCAGTGGAAAAGGGGTTGTCAGTTGCTTCTGCAAGCTCCACCTCAACAGACATAAAGCTACTGCAAAGGGAAATGTTCAGTAGGGGGTAGGGCAGCTGCACTGCCATCCCAAGCCAGTGGCCTTGCCTAGTGAAGAGCAGAGGATCAGAGGCTCAAAGTGAAGAGAGGGCTCCACTCTGTATGGTGTTGCATCATGCTGGAGGTGCCAGCAAAGTAATCATGGTCTTTGTTCCTTAGACTAAGGACCACAAAGGTGGTACCATTGCAGCGGCAATGGCAGAGAGCCTGTGAATTGTCTCTGAGATCTTTACCCCAGAGAAACCAGAGCCACCACTGACTGACATAATCAGGTAACGGTAGGACAGCTATGCTGGGGGCCCAGGTCAGGAAGCCCTGCCTAGTGATGAGTATCAGGGGCAGAAACCTACATGGAAAACAGTCTGGCTGCTTTTCCATAAGGGAGCTGCAGTGTGCTGGAAGACCGCAATTGTTCTTGGGCTCCTCACTCTCTCCCCAGCCTGAAGGCAGTAAGGTTGGGGGCTGCAACAATGGTATAAGCTATAGGCCTGTGGGTTACCTCTGGAAGCTCTGTCCCAGAGAATTGCAGAGCTGCAACCAGCCCAAATGCTAAGGCAGGAGTGGGGTGGTTGCACAAGGGTCCCAGGCCAGTGGGCTTTTCCTCATGAGGTATAGTGGAGGCAAGGCCTGTAGTCTGCCCACTCCTTAGCACTATGGATGTAGCCCTTCCTCAAGGTATGTGAGAGATCCTGGCCTACCTTGTTGGTGGAGCTACATCAGCTGGTGCCAGGGTGCTCAGGGGTCTAAGGCCCTTGGGGCTTCATGTGGGCCTCTGTGGCAGCTCTGCCCAGACTCCATGCAGCTTTGCATATCTGGAGGCCGCGGGGATAGGGGGTCAGTGAGGATCTCCTGTGCCCAGTATTGTAAAGATCTCTGCCAAAAGTGAATCCCTGGGGCCTCTTGCTCACTCACCATTTCCCTATGGTTAGGAGCCTCCTTTGGCTTTGTGCCAATCCCAGGTGGGTGGCTGTCCTGTCTCATTCCTCTCTGAGCTCCATGGGTCATGTTGCTTCCTTGATGAATCCCAATATGTCCTACTGGGTGATCCAATTGAAGAGCTAATGTTTACTGGCTACTCTATTTAATCTCCCTCTTTTTTTCTTAGTCTAGCTAAAAATTTGTCAATTTTGTTTATCTTTCCAAAACTCAATTCTTAATTTTATTTATTTTCCTATTGTTTTTCTAGTCTCCAATATATTTATTTCTGCTCTAATTTTAATTCGTTTTATCTGCTTTTCTTCAGCTTAGTTTGTTTTCTTTTTATAATTTCTTGAGGTATAAATTTAGATTGTTCATTTTTTTTTCTCGAGATGGAGTTTCACTCTTGTAGCCCAGGCTGGAGTGCATTGGCATGATCTCGGCTCACTGCAACCTCCAGCTCCAGGTTTCAAGTGATCCTCCTGTCTCAGGCTCCTGAGTAGCTGGAATTACAAGCACCTGCCACCGTGCCCAGCTAATTTTTTTATTTATAGTAGAGATGGGTTTTCACCATGTTGACCAGGCTGGTCTCAAACTCCTGACCTCAGGTAATCCACCTGCCTCGGCCTCCCAGAGTGCTGGGATTATAGGGATGAGCCACTGCACCCAGCCTATTATTTAACTTTTTCCGTAATGCAGGTGTTTGTACTGTAAACTTCCTTTTTTTTTTTTTTTTTTTTTTGACCGTGTCTCTCTCTGGCACCCAGGCTGGAGTGCGATGGTGTGATCTCGGCTCACCACAACCTCCACCTCCCAGGTTCAAGCAATTCTCTTGCCTCAGCCTCCTAAGTAGCTGGGATTACAGACGCCTGCGACTGCACCCAGCTAATTTTTGTATTTTTAGTAGAGACGAGGTTTCACATGTTGGCCATGCTGGTCTCGAACTCCTGACCTCAGGTGATCCACCTGCCTTGGCCTCCCAAAGTGCTGAGATTACAGGTGTGAGCCACTACGCCCAGCCTAAACTTCCTTCTTATAACTGTTTTTGCTGCATATTGTAAGTTTCCATTTTCATTTACTTCAAAATATTTTTTAAGTAAATATTCTTTAAGTAAAATACTTAAAAATATTTTAAGTAAATAAATATTTTTAAGTATTTAAAATACAAAATATTTAAGTAAATATTTTGAAGTAAATATTCATTTACTTCAAAATATTTTCCCTTTTGATTCATTTTTTGACCCATTTGTTGCCCAGGGCTTTAATTTTTACATATTTGTTCATGCTTTCAATTTTTTATGTTATTGATTTCTAGTTTCATTCCATTGTGGTAGAAAAGATTTCAGTCTTCTCAAATTTTTTAAACTTATTTTTGTCTATTTTGTAATTCTTTGGTTTACTTGATGTCATACCAAAAGTCCTATAGGCTTTCTTCTTATTATTTATTTATTGTTCTTCTGATTGTAATTTAAAATGATCCGTTTTCCAGCAAATTGATTCTTTCTTCTGCTTTATCACATCCGCTGTTAAAACTCTGTATGATATTTTTCAGTTCAGTTATTGTATTCTTTAGCTCCTGAATTTCTGTTTGGTTCTACTTTAGTGTTTCTTTCTCTTTGTTGAGCTTCTAATGTTGTTCAAATATTGTTTTCCTGATTATGTTTAATTGTGCATCTGTGTTCTCTTGTAGATCACTGAACTTGCATAAGATTATTATTTTGAATTCTTTATTAGACAATTCATAGATCTTGATTTTTAACTTCAGTTACTTATGCTTTACCTCATTCCTATTGGTGTCATGTTTCCCTGATTATCTGTGATCATTATGGGCTTGTGTTTGTGGTTGCACATTTGAAGAAGTAGATACAGCTTCCAGCCTTTATACATTGGCTCCAAAAGAAACAGCTCTTCACCAATCACTCCCACCAGATATTCTAGATAGGCCAGTTGGTGGAGTTCACAGGCAGGCATTCTGCTGTAGTCTATTGGTTGGCTTGCTAGGGTTTGGGTCCATAAGAATGAACAACATCTTAGATTCATTCACATGGTCAATCTGGAATCTGAGCTATGAGAATTTGCCTGGTGCTGGGGCAAGTCTGAAGCTTAAGTCTTTAAGGGGAGTCTGGAGCTTGGGGCCATAGGTTGTTGGGATAGCACCAGAGTTCACTGGGATAGACCTGGTACTAGTGTCCAGGGTGAAGTAGGATACTTAGCCCACTCTCCTTCCCCACATAGAGGATGTTTCTCTTGGCTCTGTGCTGCGTAGGCTTAGGAGAGAGCGTCACAAGCAATATAAAACTGTCCTTTCCACCTTCTTCAATTAATTCTTTCTCATTTATGTCCAACACTCAGATGCTATAATCTCTTACCTGAAATTAAGAGCTCTTGTGAAGGATTTTTTCATGCATGGATGATTGTTTATATTAGTGTTTCTATGAGGAGATGAGGGCTCCACCATATTGCTGATGTCATTTTGTCAATTTATGCTTTTACTTTCCAACTGGTATATTTTTTGTCATTCTCATAGAAAAGCAGAGTAAAGTTTTAATTCTAATGTCTCAATTTTTTCTTACCACTACAAACAGGCTTTCTATTCTCAGCTCTAAAGTAGGATTATTTGACAATTACTCTTTTTCTTTACTACCACCTCCAAAATAATTAATTTTTATTCTACTGTATCTGTACCTCTCTCTGTCTTTCTATGATGGTATATTATCCAACTGCCTTGTTTTCCCCTGAACTTTGGTATCATTTGTGGGTTACCTCATTTACTTGGTGGTTGTGCATTCTTCACCAAAGGGCCATATTTAGTTTATATTTTATTTGTCTTATGCCTCATTTTATTATAAGCTCCTTTTGAAAAAGAACAATAGATCATCTCTGTAGTCTAAGTAACTTGTACCCTGAAGTTTTAATTGCAGTTGCCCAGTGTATCATTGTTGAATTTGAGTTAAAAAGCAACCAAGGTTATATATCTTATAAAAGACTTGTATCCAAAATATACAAGAACTCTTAAAACTTACTAGTAAAAAATTAATAAGAAGTGGGCTAAAAATCTGAATAGACACTCTAGGAAATATGCAAATGGAGAATAAGCATATGAAAAGATGCTTAACATAATTTTTCATTAAGTAATTAAAAATTAAAACAATAATGCTATATCACTACCTATCTATTAGGATTATCATTTTTTGGACCTCTGGCTAAATGGCAAAAATCCAAAACATTGACAATCCCCAATGCTGATGAGAATATGGAATAATAAGAACTCTTGGCTGGGCGTGGTGGCTCACCCCTGTAATCCCAGCATTTTGGGAGGCCGAGGCAGGTGGATCACGAGGTCAGGAGATCGAGACCATCCTGGCTAACATGGTGAAACCCTGTCTCTACTAAAAAATACAAAAAAAAATTTAGCCAGGCATGGTGGCGGGCGCCTGTAGTCCCAGCTACTCGGGAGGCTGAGGCAGGAGAATGACATGAACCCAGGAGGTGGAGCTTGCAGTGAGCCGAGATCACGCCGCTGCACTCCAGCCTGGGCAACAGAGAGAGACTTCATCTCACAAAAAAAAAAAAAAAAAAAAAAAAAAAAAAAGAACAAAGAACTCTCATTCATTGGGGTTGGGAATCAAAAATGGTACAGGCACTCAAGCAGTTTCTTAGAAAGTTAAACATAGTCTTATCATACTACCCAGCAATCATGTTGTGAGGTATTTACCAAACTGATTTGAAAACTACAGAAAAACCTGAACAAGGATGTTTATAATACTTTATTCTTAAATGCAAAAATGGAAGCAAAACATGATGTCTCTCAATAGGTGAATAGATAAACCAGCTGGTTTATTCATAAAATGAATTAGTATTCAGCAATAAAAAGAAATGAACAATTGAGGCATAAAATGACATAGATGGATTTTAAATGCATATTGCTAAGTGAAAGAAACCAGTCTGAAAAGGCTACATACTGTATTATTTCAATTATGTGATTAGTGGTTGCTAAGACTTTTGTGGGAGGTTTGAATAGGTGAAACACAAGGAATCTTTCAGGGTAATAAAACTATCCTATATGATATTGTATTGGTATATGCAGGACACTATGCATTTGTAAAAACTAACTCGTGGAATTTTATAGTGTAAAGGCAGAAGAAACAGTACATAAGATTGTTTTCTGGTCGGTAATGTTGATTACCATGGAGGTACAGGATAACAAATCTAAAACCACTATATATAGAATTGAACAATTAAGTAAAAAGGTAGCTGATAGTGGGAGCTAGGTTTCTCACTGTTCAAGTGAGTGGTTACATACAGAATAATTTATAGATATATGTACAAACTTTGGTTAGTATTCACACATATATTTCCTTGCATTGCCAGCTGAATATATCTAAAAGCAACAGTGCCCCAGTAGTAATGAATATATTTACTATCCAGAACTTGTTTTCTAATACCACTCCCCAGTAATAGGAACCAGGGATCCTTGAGAAAATGGTTGATTCTCAAACTATAGCATAAAACATACTACATAAGCCAGAAGTACCTTGTAGTTCCAGGAACCATGAGCCACAGCACTGGGTGGGTGTTCAAGGTTAACGTCAATTGTAATAAATCATATTGACATGATAAAGATGACATAATATCTTTGATGTGATGTAACGAGTATATGACTTCTTATCTCTATGGGTTTCTTCTCCAAACCCAAAAATTCTAGCCTAATTATGAGAAAAATATCAGATAAATCTTTTTTTTAACTTTAGGGAGAAAATTTTGTATTTTTAAAACTTGCATAAAAGTTATGCAAGTTTTGCCAGGAGCGGTGGCTCACGCCTATAATCCCAGCACTTTGGGAGGCAGAGGCGGGCGGATCACGAGGTCAGGAGATCGAGACCATCCTGGCTAACACAGTGAAACCCCGTTTCTACTAAAAATACAAAAAATTAGCTGGGCCTGGTGACGGGCGCCTGTAGTCCCAGCTACTCTGGAGGCTGAGGTAGGAGAATGGCCTGAACCCAGGAGGCGGAGCTTGCAGTGAGCGAAGATCGCGCCACTGCACTCCAGCCTGGGCGACAGAGCAAGACTCCGTCTCAAAAAAAAAAAAAAAAAAAAAAAAAGTTATGCAAGTTTTTTGAATTATACTTTAAGTTCTCAGATACATGTGCAGAACGTGCAGGTTTGTTACACAAGTATATACGTGCCATGGTGGTTTGCTGCACCCATCAACCCGTCATACACATTAGGTATTTTTCCTAATGCTAGCCCTCCCCTAGCTCCCCAACCCCTCGCAGGCCCTCGTGTGTGATGTTCTCCTCCCTGTGTCCATTTGTTCTCGTTGTTCAACTCCCCCTTATGAGTGAGAGCATGCGGTGTTTGGTATTCTGTTCCTGTGTTAGTTTGCTGACAATTATGGTTTCCAGCTTCGTCTATGTCCCTGCAAAGGACATGAACTCATCCTTTATATGGCTAAATAGTATTCCATGGTGTATATGTGCCACATTTTCTCTATCCAGTCTATAATTGATGGGCATTTTTGTTGGTTCCAAGTCTTTGCTATTGTGAATAGTGTTTCAATAAACATATGGGTGCGTGTGTATTTATAGTAGAACGATTTATAATTCTTTGGTTATATACCCAGCAATGGAATTGCTGGGTCAAATGGTATTTCTGGTTCTAGACCTTGAGGAATCACCACACTGTCTTCTGCAATGGTTGAACTAATTTACACTTCCACCAACATTGTAAAAGCAATCCTATTTCTCCACATCCTATCCAGCACTCGTTGTTTCCTGACTTTTTAATAATCACCATTCTAACTGGCATGAGTTGGTATCTCATTGTGGTTTTAATTTGTATTTCTCTAATGACCACTGATAATGAGCTTTTTTTTTCATATGTTTGTTGGCTGCATAAATGTCTTCTTTTGAGACGTGTCTGTTCATATCCTTCACTCACTTTTTGATGGGCTGTTTGTTTTTTTCTTGTAAGTTTGTTTAAGTTTTTGTAGCTTCTAGATATTAGCCCTTTATCAGATAGATAAATTGCAAAATTTTTCTCCCATACTGTAGGTTGCCCATTCACTCTGATGATAGTTTTTTTTGCTGTGCAGAAGCTCTTTAGTTTAATTAGATCCCATTTGTCAATTTTGGCTTTTGTTGCCATTGCTTTTGTTGTTTTAGTCATGAAGTTTTTGCCCACGCCTATGTCCTGAATGGTATTGCCTAGGTTTTCTTCAAGGGTTTTTATAGTTTTAGGTCTTGCATTTAAGTCTTTAATCCATCTTGAATTAATTTTTGTATAAGGTGTAAGGAAGGGGTCCAGTTTCAGTTTTCTGCCTATGGCTAGCCTGTTGTCCCAACACCATTTATTAAATAGGGAATCCTTTCCCCATTTCTTGTTTTTGTCAGGTTTGTCAAAGATCAGATGGTTGTAGATGTGTGGCATTATTTCTGAGGCCTCTGTTCTGTTCTATTGGTCTATATATATGTTTTGGTACCAGTACCATGCTGTTTTGGTTACTGTAGCCTTGTAATATAGTTTGAAGTCAGGTAATGTGACGCCTCCAGCTTTGTTCTTTTTGCTTAGGATTGTCATGGCTATACCGGTGCATTTTTGGTTCCATATGAAATTTAAAGTAGTTTTTTTTTTCTAATTCTGTACAGAAAGTCAATGGCAGCTTGATGGGGATAGCACTGAATCTATAAATTACTTTGGGCAATATGGCCATTTTCATGAGATTGATTCTTCCCATCCATGAGCATGGAATGTTTTTCCATTTTTTTGTCTTCTCTCTTATTTCCTTGAGCAGTGGTTTGTAATTCTTTTTGAAGAGGTCTTTTACAACCCTTGTAAGTTGTATACTTAGATATTTTATTCTCTTTTTAGCAATTGTGAATGGGCCTTCACTCATGATTTTGTTCTCTATTATTGGTGTGTAGGAATGCCTGTGATTTTTGCACATTGATTTTGTATCCTGATACTTTGCTGAAGTTGCTTATCAGATTAAGGAGATTTTGGGCAGAGACGATGGGGTTTTCTAAATGTACAAGCATGTCATCTGCAAACAGAGACAATTTGACTTCCTCTCTTCCTATTTGAATACCATTTATTTCTTTCTCTTGCCTGATTGCCCTGGCCAGAACTTCCAATACTATGTTGAATAGGAATGGTAAGAGAGGGCATCCTTGTCTTGTGTGGTTTTCAAAGGGAATGCTTACAGGTTTTGCCCATTAAGAATTATATTAGCTGTGGGTTTGTCATCTATAGCTCGTATTATTTTGAGATATGTTCCATCAATACCTAGTTTATTGAGAGATTTTAGCATGTAGTGGTGTAGAATTTTATCTAAGGCCTTTTCTGCATCTATTGAGATAATCATGTGGTTTTTGTCATTGGTTCTGTTTATGTGATGGATTATGTTTATTGATTTGAGTATGTTGAACCAGCCTTGCATCCCAGGAATGAAGCTGACTTGATCATGGTGGATAAGTTTTTTAATGTGCTGCTGGATTCACTTTGCCAGGATTTTATTGAGGATTTTTGCATCAATGTTCATCAAGAATGTTGGCCTGAAATTTTCTTTTCTTGTTGTCATTGTGTCGCTGCCAAGTTTTGGTATCGGGATGATCCTGGCCTCATAAGATGAGTTAGGGAGGAGTCCTTCAATTTCTATTGTTTGGATGTTTCAGAAGGAATGGTACCAGCTCCTCTTTGTACTTTTGGAAGAATTCAGCTGTGAATCTTTCTGGTTCTGGGCTTTTTTTGGTTGGTAGGCTATTAATTACTGCCTCAATTTCAGAACTTGTTATTGGTCTATTCAGGGATTTGACTTCTTCCTGGTTTAGTCTTCGGAGGGTGTAATTGTCCAGGAATTTATCCATTTCTTCTAGATTTTCTAGTCTATTTGCATAGAGGTGTTTATAGTAAGCTCTGATGGTAGTTTGTATTTCTGTGGAATCAGTGGTGATATCCCCTTTATCATTTTTTATTGTCTGTTTGATTCTTCTCTATTTTCTTCTTTATTAGTCTGGATAGCAATCTATCTATTTTTTTAATCTTTTCAAAAAACCAGCTCTTGGATTCGTTGATTTTTTGAAGGGTTTTTTGTGTCTCTATCTCCTTCAGTTCTGCTCTGATCTTAGTTATTTCTTGTCTTCTGCTAGCTTTTGAATTTGTTTGCTCTTGCTTCATTAGTTCTTTTGTGATATTAGGGTGTCAATTTTAGATCTTTTCTGCTTTCTCTTGTGGGCATTTAGTGCTATAAATTTCCATCTTAACACTACTTTAGCTGTATCCCAGAGAGTCTGGTACATTGTGTCTTTGTTCTAATTGGTTTCAAATAACTTCTTTATTTCTGCCTTAATTTCGTTATTTACCCAATAGTCACTCAGGAGCAGGTTGTTTAGTTTCCATGTAGTTGAGTGAGTTTCTTAATCCTGAGTTCTAATTTGATTGCACTGTGGTCTGAGAGACTGTTGTTTGTTATGATTTTCATTTTTTTGCATTTGCTGAGGAGTGTTTTGCTTCCAATCATGTGGTCAATTTTAGAATCAGTGCGATGTGGCACTGAGAAGAATGTATATTCTGTTGATTTGGGGTGGAGAGTTCTGTAGATGTCTATTAGGTCTGCTTGGTCCAGAGCTGAGTTCAAGTCCTGAATATCCTTGTTAACTTTCTGTCTTGCTGGTCTGTCTAATACTGACAATGGGGTATTAAAATCTCCCACTATTATGGTGTGGAAGTCTAAGTCTTTTTGTAGATCTCAACATTCTTAAAGAAAATTATTTTCAACCCAGAATTTCATATCCAGCCAAACTAAGCTTCATAAGTGAAGGAGAAATAAAATCCTTTACAGACAAGCAAATGCTGAGAGATTTCATCACCACCAAGCCTGCCTTAGAAGAGCTCCTAAAAGAAGCACTAAATATGGAAAGGGAAAACCGGTACCAGCCACTGCAAAAACATACCAAATTGTAAAGACATTCAACATTATGAAGAAACTGCATCAACTAAGGGGCAAAATAATCAGCTAGCATCATAAGGAGAGGATCAAATTCATACATAACAATATTCACCTTAAATTTAAATGGGTTAAATGCCCCAATTAAGAGACACAGACTGGCAAATTGGTTAAAGAATCAAGACCCATTGGTGTGCTGTGTTCAGGAGACCCATCTCATGTGCAAAGACACACACAGGCTTAAAATAAAGGGATGGAGGAATATTTACCAAGCAAATGGAAAGCAAAAAAAAAAAAAAAAAAAAAAGCAGGGGTTGCAATCCCAGTCTCTGATAAAACAGACTTTAAACCAACAAAGATCAAAAAAGACAAAGAAGGGCATTACATAATGGTAAAGGGATCAATGCAACAAGAAAAGCTAACTATCCTAAATGTATATGCACCCAATACAGGAGCACTCAGATTCATAAAGCAATTTCTCAGATAAATCTTAATTGAGATACATGCTACAAAATGCATGACCAGTACATTGATTTAGGGACTTCAGTTAGTCATAGTTATCAATATTGTCCTATTAATTGTGACAAAATACACCCTGCCAATGTAAAATATTCTTTTAATAGGGGAAAATCAGAGGTAGGTATATGAAAATACCCTGTACCATCTTCACAATTTTCTGTAAACCTAAAACTGTTTTAAAATTAAGCTTATAACATATTTCAAAAGGAAGAGAACTTTAAAAACCTAGTATTCTTAAAGAGATTAAGGAAGATATTTTATAATAAAAAAAGGAATGCTGTGAGGAAGGATCAATTAGGGGACAAAAATAAGTTCTTAGGAATTTTAAATATGGTAAGTGAAGTAGTGAATTTTATACAAAGTTTGAAACATAAAACAAATATCTAAGAAAGTAGAAATAAGTATAACAGATGGATAATATAAGAAAAATGAAAATAAACATGGAAAATGACACCAATTACTAATATGTTATAGAAAAAAGAATAGAGAAAAATAGAAAGCAAGACATTCTCAAAGAAATAATAGAGAATTTTCCTGATTTGAAGGTTGAATTTTCAATCTGAAGCAGTTCTGCAAGTGTTCTGTAAAATCACACACACACACCCCCACACAGCTGAGTACATCATTAGAAAATTTAGAAAGTCTAGTTAAAAGTTTCCTTTTGGAAAAACCAAATCACTATGAAGAATAATCATCAGACTGGGATCATCTTTGTCATCAGCAACACTTAAAAGGCAGAGGAAGCTCTGAAGTAATATAATTTTCAACCTAGAATTCTATATCCAGAAAAACTACCAATCATGTGTTAGGGTAGAAGAAAAAACCACTTTCAGATATGTGAAAGCTCAGAAAATTCTCCTTTACAATCTTCCTTAGGAAGTTCTCTGAAGATATGTGTCAACAAAACAAGTAAATAAGCCTATAATGAGGGAAGACACATGTTCCAGCAAATAAAAAGTTCAACCAGGGAATAAAATAGACAGAGAAAAACCTGAGTTGAGGGGTCCTGGATCACTGGTCTTTGGGAAAATATAATAGTTAAATTAAAAAAAGAAGGATAAAATAGTTTTAATTGGAAAATTAAATCAAAACTCTAAGTAAGCCAAAACCTGTAAAAGAAGAAATATTATGATCATATAATACTTCTGTCTTCAGTAAACAGTATTTTCATAGGTTAGGTAAATGCGGTTAATTATTTACAAATATTTCATATCAACAAGTCCAGATGACTTAATTATGATTATAGAACAGAAGTGGTAGACAAGTATAAGGGGACTGGATTATCAGTCATTATAGAGAAATTCCGCAGGGGTTAATTTCATATGTATAAGTAATTTTTTAAAAACTTGGTTCAAACACAATATTTAGAGACATGGCATTCTCTACCAGAACAAAATAGCTAAAACATTTAAAAATACTTGTTATTGAGGGACTGAGTGTGGAAAGAAGTGATACGCTTTTATTATAAGATCTTCTTTAGTCTCAGTTTTTTAAATAATGTGTTTTCATGACATTAATAACATTTTAACATATTTTGATTAAAAATAAATTATATGTCAAGTTCAATTTAAGTATTTACAGATATTCCCTTTTTGCTTTCCCTAAGAATGCTATTATCTGTTTCTAAGTATTGAAGTGGTTTAAGTGTCAGCTATAAAGGAGACCACTAATTTTATACTTAACTGTTTAAAGAAATGCAGGAATCACTAAAAATCTGTGAAAGAAGTTTATTGCCAGATTTTTTAAAATCAATCAATTAATTGTATTGATACATAATAGCTGTACATATTTTTGCTGTACATGTGATAATTTGATATATTCATTTAATCAACTCAGTAATTAGAATATCCATCACTTTAAACATTTATTTTTCTTTGCAATAGGAATATTTGAATTATTCTCTTCTAGCTATTTTGAAATGTACAATCAATTAATGTTAATCATGATCATTCTACTGGTCTAAGAAACACTGGGTCTTATGTCTCCTATAAACAAGCATTCAAATAAATACAGTTCCTGAACTATTAAAACTTTGACTTCTGCACAACCACGTTCATAGCAGCATCATTCATAATAGTCAAAAGGTGGAAGCAACACAAATGTCCATGAATAGATGAATAAATAAACAAAATGTAATATATACATACAATGAAATATTATTTAACCATAAAATGCAAGGAAATTCACATGTATGCTACAACATGGATAAACCTTGAGGACCTTATGCCAAATGAAATAAGTCAGTCATAAAAAGATAAATATTGTATGATCCCCCTCATATTAGGTACCTAAATTAGTCAAAATTTTAGAAACAAAAGGTAAAATGGTTGTTGCCAAAGGCTGGAAGAATGGAGAGTTATTGTTTAATGGGCGCAAAGTTTTACTTTGGAAAGATAAAAATGTTCTGAGTGTGAGTGACGGTGATGGTTATAATAATACAACAATGTGAATGTACTTAATGGTGCTGAACTATATATGTGAAAATTGTTAGATTGGTAAATTTTATTTTATACATATTTTACCACAATAAGAAAAATTTTAAACTTTGAGTTCTAAAAAAGAAGTGAAATCCATTCATAGGTATTTAAAGAATATTACTTTAAATATCATGTAGTTTTTGCCTTAAATAAAATTTAGCATGTAAAGAACCTAGTATACTGCTTGGCACATAATAGGAGCTTCATAAATGACAGTTCTATGATTTGGCTACCTATTGTTGGAAGTTTTTAACATGACTATGTTGTTGCTGTATGTGTGGCTATGTGGAGGTTAATTGCTGTCTGGGGTGGGCCCATATAAAGCTACAATCTCTGTTGGTACCCATTGTCTCCACTCATTTCCCAAACTGAGTGAGAGATAACTTTGCGAGCTACAGACTGGGAAACTGTGTCTCTGCTTTTAACTATATGAAGCTGAAGTGCTTCAGAAGGAACTCCCAGATGTCAGGTGACAGGTGATACTCTTTGCCTAGAGGTGAACGTATTTTAGGAAATACAAGATTCAAGCAAAGAGAAAGTTTTCTAAGACTGCAAACTAAGCTGTTACTGTAACACTATTTCTTGGGTATGTCTATTCACTTCTTTTTATTAGATAATTTTTTTAAATATCGCATGATGTTTCAATTACATTAAGAAGCACCTGAGGTAGGGGATTTTCCATGCACTTTTTATCTTCCCAAAGTAAAACTCTGTGCCCATTAAACAATAGCTCTCTATTCTTCCAGCCTTTGGCAACAACCACTTTACCTTTTGTTGCTAAAAATTTCACTAACTAGGTACTTAATATGAAGAAGATCATACAATATTTGTCCTTTTGTGACTGACTTATTTCATTTAGCATTAGATCCTCAAGGATCATCCATGTTGTAGCATGCGTCTGAATTTTTTTTGTGTTTTATGGTTTTAATTTCCGTTGAATCCAAACTAAAACGAACTCCAAGAACCAATGAAGTCAGCATGACAATATGAATCGGGGCCCCAGTGAGAAAGACCTGAGAAGAGGAAACTCAGGCGGATCAGAATCAAACACTTAGAATTAGATAACCACCTTTTCATATTGCCTCCTCAAATCTCTAGATTGGCCACAGAGGTTCTGTGTTCTGCTGTGCTAAGGGAAGCAAAGTTCTCCTATATGACACTTTTTCTTTGCAAGAGAGAAGTTTTCAAAATGTACTGGACTCTTGTTTAAATTTTTGAGTCCACGTTTATCAAAGAAAAAAGTAGATACTTCAAATGTCAAAAAAAAAGTTATGCTGTGCCCTCTTACATACTTTGCCAAACCAAGTTTGCTTAGAGTACAGTTTCATTCTCACAGCATACACACTCTTGTCACAAGTTCAACTTTCCGCTTGGCTTCAATGAAGTCCTTTGTAATATTAGAAGTAAAACTTCCAGAATGAAAGAGAGAAATCCTAGTGTGAAAGGGACTCTGACTCTGTTGTCTCTTCTTCTTCTCCTCCTCCTCCTTCTCCTCTTCCTCCTCCTTCTCCTCTTCCTCCTCCTTCTCCTTCTCCTCCTCCTCCTTCTCCTCCTCCTTTTTCTCCTCCTTCTCCTTCTCCTCCTCCTCCTCATCCTCCTCCTTCTCATCCTCCTCCTTCTCCTCCTCCTCCTTCTCCTCATCCTCCTTTTCTTCCTCCTCCTTCTCATCCTCCTTCTTCTCATCCTCCTCATCCTCCTCTTTCTCATCCTCCTCCTTCTCCTCATCCTCCTCCTCCTCCTTTTCCTCCTCCTCCTCCTTCTCCTCTCCTCATCCTTCTTCTCCTCCTCCTTCTCCTCTTCCTCCTCCTCCTTCTCCCCTTCCTCCTCCTCCTCCTTCTCCTCCTCCTCCTCATCCTCCTTTTTTTCCATGAAATTCTCTGGGATTATTTGACACTCCAAGCTTTTAGCTTTTATTTAGAAGCTCACAATCCTGGAGTTAGAGATGAGTTATCTTTATCCAAAGAATTTTAAAGGCCATACTACTTCAAAAGTAACAATAGCTACTTGTATCAATTATTAATCAATTTTATTTATCTGTTTGGAACACTTGCATATCCGAATCTACTTGGAGCTTGTTATCTTAAGCTACTAGACAATGATAACACACACACACACAAATAAAAACAGAAGAGATACATGAAATGAGTAATCAAAAATAAGGATTATATTCTGGAAATCCCAAGTGAATATTTTGGGCTTAAAATTCTTCTGCAGAAATTACAAAGAGTAAGATTTTATTCCCATGAAGAGGTAAATAGCTTGCTTTTCTCACGTGTAAGTGTATGAAAAGTCAACTTGAGGAAGCATAAGCATTTTTCCAAAGTTGTGAAAAGGATTTGAAAGAATCATTTAAAAAATGCAGTGTACTAAAGTCCAATTAGTTATAAACAGAAAGTCAAATGACTTGGGGTCAAATCCCAGCTCTTCCACAAACCTAGATTTGTAGATTTAGGGTAGTCATATTACTGAGGGCCTTTGAACATTAGCTCTCCCCGCTTATTTCTTCATGGAACAAAATGAGTAAACTGAGGTTGGGTCGCCATCCTATAAATGGTTGAAACAGGATTTAAACTCAGATAATCAAATTCCAGTGGCTGAGTTCTTAACCAGTAACCTTTAGTACAGACATAAATAGCCAATTGATCTTTTTACGAAGGTGCAAAAATAGTTCTATGTGAAAAAGACAGCCTTTCCATAGATGGTGCTGAAGCCACCAAATATCCACATGGAATAAAGTGAACCTTGATCTTTGCTTCATACCAACCACAAAATTAACTTAAAATGCATCATACACCTAAATATAAAAATTAAAATTCTCAAAATTCTAAAAGAAAATAGAGAAGAAAAATTGTTGTGACTTGGATAGGTAAAGGTTATATTTAGATAAGATAGTAGAAGCACCAACTATAAATTAAAAAATTGAAAATTTGTATTTCATCAAAATTGAAATCTGCTACTTTTCAAACAATACTGTTAAGAAAATGAAAAACCAAGCCACAGACTGGGAGAAAATATGTGCAATACATTTCTCTGAGAAAATTCATAATGAATATATTTGATAATTCATATAGCTCAATAAATTAGAAGGCAAATCAATTGAAAAATGGGGGAAAGTTTTGAGCAGCTTTCTTTATTGAAGAAAAAAATAAATCGCCAAACAGTACATGGAAATATGCTGAACATCTTTAGTTCTAAGGGAACTGCAAATGGAAACTTCAGTGAGATACCACAGGACAATAGCTAAATTTAAAATATGGACAATACCAAGCATTGGAGAGGATGTAGAACAATAGAATGCTCATTCATCATTGGGGGAGGGTAAAATTTTACAAATGTTTCAGAAAAGTTTGTCCTTTTTTTGTATTTTAAATTTTTAGTTGATACATAATAATTGTACATATTTATAAGATACATGTGATATTTTGATACATACATACAGTGTGTAATAATCAAATCACGGTAATTGGGATATCCATTATCTCAAACATTTATCTTTTTTCATGTTGGGACTATTCAAAATTTTCTCTTCTAGTTATTTTGAAATGTACAAAAAATTATTATTAACCCTAGCCTCCTTACTGTGCTACAGAACACTGTAACTTATTTCTATCTAACTGTAATTTTGTACCCATTAACCAATCCCTCCCTATCTTTGCCTCCCCTATTCTTCTTCCCTGCCTCTGGTAACCACTATTCTGCTCTCCACTTCTACGATATCAATTTTCTTAGCTTCCACATATAAGTGAGAATATGTGGTATTTGATTTACTGTGTCTGGCTTATTTAAATTAACATACTTTTTTCCAGGCTCACTTATGTTGCCACAAGTTAAAGGATTCTATTATTTTCAATGCTGAAAAATATTCCATTGTGTATATATATTACGTTTTATTTAACTATGCATCTATTGGTCAAAACTAAGGTTGATTCCATATCTTGGCTATTGTGAATAGTGTTGCAATAAACATGGGAGTGCAAATATCTCTTTGACGCACTGATTTTCTTTCCTTTGGATACATACCCAGTAGTGAGATTACTGGATCATATAACATTTCTACTTCTTAGTTTTTGAGGAACCTCCATTCTGTTTTCTATAATGGCTATACTTATTTACATTCCCACCAACGGGCGTATAAGGGTTCCCCTTTCTTTGCAACCCAACCTCACCAGTATTTTTTTTTCTTTGGTCTTTTTTATAGTAGCCATTTTAACTGGGGTAAGATGATACCTTGTGGTTTTGATTTTCATTTTTCTCATAATTAGTCATGTTGAATATTTTTTTCATATGCTTTTGGCAATTTGTATGTCTTCTTTTGATAAATGGCAACTCAGGTCATTTGCTCTTTTTTTTTTTTTTTTTTTGAGACGCAGTCACGCTCTGTCTCCCAGGCTGGAGTGCAGTGGCGCGATCTCGGCTCACTGCAAGCTCTGCCTCCTGGGTTCACACCATTCTCCTGCCTCAGCCTCCCAAGTAGCTGGGACTACAGGCACCTGCCACCAAGCCCAGCTAATTTTTTGGCATTTTTAGTAGAGACAGGGTTTCACTGTGTTAGCCAGGATGGTCTTGAACTTCTGACCTCGTGATCCGCCTGCCTCGGCCTCCCAAAGTGCTGGGATTACAGGCGTGAGCCACCGCGCCCAGCCCATTTGTTCATTTTTTAATCAGATTATTTGGTTTTCGCTATTGAGTTGTTTGAGTTTCTCATATTTTCTAGATATTAATCCCTTGTCTGATGGATAGTTTGCAAATATTTTCTCCCACTCTGAAGGCTGTCACTATGCTCTGTTGCAATCAACAGAGCTTCCTTTACAGTGTAGAAGCTTTTCAGTTTGATGTATTTCATTTGTCTATTTTTCCTTCTGCTATCTATATTTTTCAGATCTTACCCAAAAATATTTGCCCAGACCAATGTTCTAAAGAGTTTACCCTTCATTTTCTTTTAGTAGTTTTATAGTTCTGGGCACTACATTAAAGTTTTAATCCATTTTGATCTGATTTTTATATATGGTGAAAGATTGGGGTTTAGATTCATTCTTCTGTGTTCATATAGACATTGTTTTCCCAGCACCATTTATTGAAGAGACCGTCCTTTTTCCAATGTATGTTATTGGTGCCTTTGTCAAAAATTAGTTGGCTACAAATGTGTGGATTTATTTCTGGCTCCTCTATTCTGTTCTCTGATTTCTGGGTCCTCTATTGACCTTATGTGTCTATTTTTAGGACAGTATCGTGCTGCTTTGGTTACTACAGCTTTGTATTATATTTTCAAGTCAGGTAATGTGATGCCTCCAGCTTTGTTCTTTTTATTCAAGATTGCTTTGGCTATTAGGGGTCTTTTCAGTTTCATATGAATTTTAGGATTTTTTTTCTATTTTTTGGGGGAAGATTGCCATGTTATTTTGGTAGAGATTACATTTAATCTGTAGATTGTTTTGGAAAGTATAGACATTTTAACAATATTAATTCTTCCAATTCATGTCCTCTTAAATTTCTTCCATCAGTGTTTTACTGTAGATATCTTTTATCTCTTTTGGTTAAGTTTATTCTTAGGGCTTTTTATAACTATTGCAAATAGGATTGTTTTCTTGATTTCTTTTTCAGAATGTTTGCTATTAATGTATAGAAATACTACTAAGTTTTGTATGTTGATTTTGTCACTTGAAACTTTATTGAATTTATTTCAGTTCTATTTTCTTGGCAACATCTTTAGAATTTTCTAAATATAAGATTATAACATTTCCAAATAAGGACAATTTGACTTCTTCCTTTCCAGTTTGGATGCTCTTTATTTCTTTCTCTTGACTAACTGTTCTGGTTAGGACTTTTGGTACTATGTTGGTGAATAAAAGTAGTGAAAGTGGGCATTCTTGTCTTAGAGTAAAGGCTTTCAACTTTTTCTTATTCCGTATGGTAGCTCTGGGTTTGTCACATATGGCCAAAAGAATACATATTTTGAGGTATATTCCTTCTGTACCTAATTGTTGAGAGTTTTTATTATGAAGAGATGTTGAATTCCATCAAATGCTCTTTCTGCATCTATTAATGACCATATGATTTTTGTCCTTGATTCTGTTGATGTGATGTATCATGTTTATTGATTTGCATATGTTGAATCACCTTTGTATCCCTGGAATCAATCCCACTTGATCATGGCATATAATCTTCTTGACGTGCTGTGGAGTTGGTTTGCTAGTGTTATGTTGAGAATTTTTGCATCTGTGTTCATAAAAAATATAGGCATATAATTTTATTTTGTGTTGCCTTCTTGCCTAGTGTTTGTAACAGAATAATGCTGGTTTCATCTAATAAGTGTGGAAGAATTCTCTTCCCTTCAGTTTTTTAGAAGAGTTTGAGAAGAATTAGTATTAATTCTTCTTTAAAAGTTTAATAAAGTTTAGCAGTGAAGTCTTTCAGTCCTGGACTTTTCTTGGTTGGAAATTATTTTTAGTACCGATTCAATCTTGTTTCTGATTATTAGTGTTTTCAGATTTTTTATTTCTTCATTATTCAGTCTTTGTAGGTTTTATGTGCCCAGGAATGTATCCATTTTATTTAGCTCTTTCAATTTGTTGGCATATAGTTGTTCACAATTGTCACTAAGGATCCTCTGTATTTCAGTCATATCATCTCTGATTTTATTTATTTGTATCTTCTTTTGTCTTTTGTAGTCTAGCTAAAGATTTGTTGATTTTTCTTTTTAAAAAATGAACTTTTTATTATGTTGACCTTTTCTATTATTTTAGTTTCAATTTTATTTATTTCTGTTTGGATTTTTATTATTCCTTCTCTGCTAATAATTTTTAGTTTGGTTTGTTCTTGCTTTTCTAATTCCTTGAGGTGCATTCATGAGGTTGCTTATTCAAAATTTTTCTATTTTTCTGATGAACGCGTTTGTTCCTATAAACTTCCCTCTTAGCACTAGTTTTTTCCCCAGGCTTTAAAAATAATCTTTATTTTTTAAAAGTTAACATGTGCATAATAGGAAACTAAAAAACACAAGAAGCAAAGAACAAAGCCATCCACAATCACAAGCAGTTTACAGCTTGATATGTCCTTCTGGGTCCTGTGTGTGTATAGACACAACATCCGATTTTATGGGATTGAGATTGTACGGTATGTATCATGGTTTTTCACGATATATACTAAATACTTACAATGAATATCATGAATATTTACCAATAAAAAGTCCCAAAGCTATAGGAGTATTTTGATAATCAAGAATACACCACACCATTGCCAGGCTCAGTGGCTCACGCCTGTAATCCCAGCACTTTGGGAGGCTGGGCAGATCACCTGAGCTCAGGAGTTTGAGAGCAGCCTGGTAAACATGGAGAAACCCCGTCTCTCCTAAATATACAAAATTAGCCTGGTGTGGTTTTGGGCACCTGTAATCCCAGCTACTTGGGAGACTGAGGCAGGAGAATTGCTTGAATCCAGGAGGCAGAGGCCGCAGTGAGCCGAGATTGTGCCACTGCGCTTCAGCCTGGGCGACAGAGCGAGACTCCAACTCAAACAAACAAAAATAAAATACATCACACCAACTTAATCTGTCGGAAAAAAGAAAACAAAAACATAATTCTGCCTTTCTTGGGGTAAAAATTTCATAGAAGACAAAAATGACAACATGCTTATAGATAAAAGCGTTGAAAGAGTTCAAATTAAAATACTGTATTCTCTTAATGCTCAATTTAAAATGAAACATAATGCAACAGAATATACTAAGTATGTTTCTAAGAGAATTCATTAGCAGATCTATACCATTAAAATATTAATAAGAATGTATGTTTCCACTGAATTAATTAATGTATTCCTATGGTACAACCACAAGAGATGCACATACCTCAATGGCTATTGTCAAAATGTAAATATGAAAACATCTGCATACATCTTTCCCTTTGTATTTGCTTCTGCCCTTCTGATGCCAACCTAATGAACAAATCCTTACACACACTACTCAGAGGCAGTTTAATAATTCTATGTCCAACACGTATCTTTTCTATCAATTATAACAAAAAAAATTTACAAATTGGTTAATTCACTAGCTCTACTTTTTTATCATACATTGTTACCCCAAGACATTTATAAAGCTTAGATGTTGCAAAATAATTAAATTTGTTCACAATACACTTAGGTGCTTTACTAACAATGCTCATATAGATCTACGGTTATTATCTGATATGGTTTGGCTCTGTGCCCCACCAAAATCTTACCTTGAATTGTAATCCCCATAATCTCCACATGTCAAGTGCAGGACCAGGTGGGGGTAATTGAATCATGGGAGCTGTTTCCCCCATGCTGTTCTCCTGATAATGAATGAGTCTCACAAGATCTGATGGTTTTATAATTGTCTGGCATTCCCCCTCCTTAAACTTCTTGCTGCTGCCCTGTGAAGTAAGTGCCTTGCTTCCCCTTCACCTTCCACCATGATTGTAAATTTCCTGAAGCATTCCCAGCCATGCTGAACTGTGAGTCAATTAAACCTCTTTCCTTTATAAATTACACAGTCGTCGGTATGGTTTTATTAGCAGCATGAGAACCGACTAATACATCATCTAAAACCCTCTTCTGTATGTAGAGATACTAACAAACAGCCCTTCCCTTCACTTTTCCTCTTTTCCCTTTTCCACTATCCCAGTGACTAAATATAGGACTACATCTAGTTCCAAGAGTTGGATTAACAAAAGTCACTCCCAGAAGACAGGCCTTCCCAAAAACCAGTGAGAAGACATTTATGTAGGAACTGTTTTACTACCTCTACTTTTAACATACTTTGGGGATTAGGACTTATTTATCCTTTAATACATAACAGTACTAACTAAAAGGCACATATACAACAATGGTTAGAACATCCGACCTAATCAAACTTACAGGCACGGAACACTTCTGCATGCATACTTTCTCCTCCCCTGACTTGCTGCCACCCAATAAACAGTCAGCATACTCTCCAAACATCAAGCTTAACAATTGCATTCCCAAGCACAACCACTCCTAGGAATTAACCAAAAAACTACCTCAGGGTGTTACTTTAGCCCTCTAGTTTTAAACTATGTTGTGCAATTTTAAGCATGTGAAAAGACTAGATATTTCAAATAGGACTTAAGTTTTCCACCATAGACACAGTAGCATTAAATAAGTGGTGCACATAACACAGGTTATATTTGAAAGTGTCTTCTAAATAAGAACATTCTGGCCTAGAACCCTTCCCCTTCCTACCTCTATCAACACAGTTGACAGGTATAAGCATTTGTAATGCTTAGACAAGATTTAACAATTTCACTTCTTTAAGTGTTTTTAAGAATAGTCTTTCTTATGAATTTTAAAACAAAATGTTCTCAATTTATTAGTTTACTAACCTCTGCTTTTGTCATACACTGTCAAACTCTTTAACATTTAGAAAGACTAGATGTTGTAAATTAGGATACGTTTGCCCATTTATATATACTATATACACAGCAAAGTAAAAGAAAATGTAGATACAAGGAACAGTGGTCAATTGTGCCTCACCATAAACACACTGGTGTAAAGGCCTTTGCACTTTCTTCTCCTCCTTCCTCCCTGTACCAGCACAAATAATGTGTACTGCTCAGAGGAGTGGTTTGATCACTTTCCAAGGGACAATATTTTATATCAAAAGGCTATCTATAAAATGTGGAAATTTACTACCTCTACTTTTAACATATTTATGTACTTCTAAATATCTAGAAAGACTAGCTGTTTCAAATAAAGACTTAAGTTTGTTTACTATATACACAGTATTGTTGAATAAACTACACACATGTAACAACTGTTATATCTGAAAGTGTTTTCTAAATAGGAACGTTCTGGTCTAGAATCCTTTATTTCTTTCAACTCCTCTCTACGAACAACCTGGTAAATATGGGCACATGTGTCAAAGCTGATGCTATCATTTCACTTCCTGAAGTCTTTTTCAAAATACAATCTTTGTATACATCTTAACATAAAATGTACAAAATGTGTTAGTTTACTAACTCTCCTTTTGTCATACATTGACAATCTCTAATATCTAGTGACTAGATATTATAAAATTAGGATTCATTTGTCCAATATATACAGTATATACAGTATAGTTAAGTTAAATAAAATGCACTGTCAAGGGCATTTGGGTATAAAGGACAATGGATAAGCTGACATTTTCTAGTACACACTAGCAAAATGCCTTTTGCAATTTCTTCCCTCCCATCTCCCTCAACCCAATGAACAAGTATAGAAAGTACACTGTTCACTGTTCAGAGGTGGATTAACAATTCTACTTCCAAGCACAGTATTTCTCGTCAGTTTTTTGGTTTTTTTTTTTTTTTTTGATGGAATTTCACTCTTGTTGCCTAGGCTGGAGTATAATGACGCGATCTTGGCTCACTGCAACCTCCACTTCCCGGGTTCAAGAGATTCTCTTGCCTAAGCCTCCCGAGTAGCTGGGATTACAGGCATGCGCTACCACACTGGGCTAATTTTGTATTTTTAGTAGAGACAGGGTTTCTCCATGTTGATCAGGCTGGTCTCAAACTCTCAACCGCCTGACCTCAGGTGATCCGCCCACCTTGGCCTCCCAAAGTGCTGGGATTACAGGCATGAGCCACCATGCCCGGCCTCCCATCAGTTTTTAATAGCTATTTATAAGAAGTGTTATTCTACTACTTCTACGTTTAAATGCATCAAGCACTTCTAAATATGTAGAAAGACTGGAAATTTCATATAACTTTTCTGCTATGTTAAAATTGCACATATATAATAATGGTTATAATCTGAGGTATCTTCTAAATATGACCATTTTGGCCTTGAACCATTCTCTCCTCCCTTCCTTCTCTCTGCCTTCAATCCAGTGGACCAGTACAGTATGTGTAATGTTAGAGATGTCTGAACAAATCTGTATTCAAAAGTCATTTACAGAAGACAAGCTTTCCTGTGAATTTCAACACAGTATATAAAATGTGCTAATTTGGCTGGGCACAGTGGTTCACACCTGTAATCCCACCATTTTGGGAGGGTGAGGTGGGTGGGTCACCTGAGGTCAGGAGTTAGAGACCAGCCTGACCAACATGGTGAAACCCTGTCTCTACTAAATACAAAAAAAAAAAAAAAAAAAAATCAAATTAGTTGGGCGTGGTGGCAGGTGCCTGTAATCCCAATTACTTGGGAGGCTGAGACGTGAGAATCCCTTGAACCCAGAAGGCAAAGGTTGTAGTGAGCCGAGATTGAGCCATTGCACTCCAGCCTGGGCGACAGAGAGAGATTCTGTCTCAAAAAAAAAAAAAAAAAAAGTGCTAATTTCACTAAGTTTAGTACTTTTTAAATGTATTCCATAGGTTTTGATAAATTGCATTTCCATTTTCATGTGTTTCAAAAAAACTTTAGTTTCCTTCTCAATTTCTTAACTCACTTTGTCAGTTTCTTTTAAAATTATCTATACAGGTTCATGACCCAGTAATATCAATTCTAGGTATTTAATCCAAGATAAATAAAAGCATATATGTCCAAAAAAGTATTGGACATAAATATTCATAGCAACTTCAGTAACAAAATAAAAAACTAAGGACAATGAAAGTAGGAAAGATTGTGGTATAACCCCATAGTATGAAATACTACTCAGAGACTAAAAGGAATGAGCTCCTGCAAAAACATGAATAAATTTCACAAATATTATGCTGAGTGAAAGTCAGACAATGAGAGTGCCTAGTGCATTATTCTATTTCTATAAAATTCTATAGTGATAAAATTGGATCAGTGGTTATCTGGGACTGGTAGGGGGCAGAGTGACCGACTAAAAATGGGCAAGAGGGAACTTTGGGAGCATAATGTAAATATTCTATATCTTGGTTGTGGCAGTGGCTACATGAGTTGATATCTTTATCAAAACTCATCAAACATGACACTTCAAAAGGATATGTTTTTACTTTGTAGAAGGTATACTTGGATCTTTTTTATATCCTTATTCAGATAGAATACCAGTATAGCAGCTCCTAGGATTTGTCACAAATGGAAAATGACATGTCATCTTCATTTCAAAATTACAGTTCTTAAATCTGGGGAGGAAAGCCAACACCCTTTTGGACCATGAATACTGCCCAGAGTCCATCAGCTACTCCGTTTGGAATTTCAGCAGTTTCACAGACACAGACTCCTGCAGGCAATGCTGCAGCATCCTGAGTTGATTCATTCACTCAGTGAGCCATAAAATATGAGACAATTTCTCACACTTTGCTTCATCATTTGCTGTTTTTCAGGCCAAGATGACAACGAGCCCAGCTGAAGCTGACATCCCAGCAAATTGCATGACAAATTGCAAAGACGACTAACCCACAACCTACTCTTCTGGAAAATACAATTTAAATAAAATAATTTTAAGTGATTTTCACCTGTTTTCAAAGTACATGATACAGTTTATAAGTATTAAATTTAAAAAAAGACTAAAATGTACTTAGTGACTTTTCATCATTATTGAAATAAAATTTTATCAATTTAAAATATAGAGAAATGAAAATATGTTAATTATTTTATGGCTTTTTCCCCTTAATCTTAAAATACGATTCAGAGGTAAAGTTGTATTTGTTTTGGCTCAACATGCATTATTTACTTCAAATTAAGTATATCAAAAAGCAAAAGTGCATGCTTTTAATATTTCTCTAGTAACTTAAAGCAGATTATCAAAATTACTGTATTTATAATCTTTTGTTTATTTTACAATGATTTATGAGATTAATTAACTTAAAATCAACTGTATCCACCTTCTGGAGGCTTTATGTAAAACAAATTAAATAGACATTTTAGGCATTGAACCATAATTTTCAGTAAGCATTTCTTTGGTTTACTAATGTTTCAAATAATACAGATTATACTTTTTTTAACCTCTGAAAAAGATCATACATTTTTGTGTTTAATAAAACTGCCATGGTAAGTGCTAAGGAACATTTATTCAGTGACAGTAAAGGTATTGAAGATAAGTATGTAAGATAGGATCCATCATCTTTATATATGGAGACAAAGCTTTTGCTTCTCCACCCAAAAGTGCACACTTTGACACAATTATACCTTCAAAAAATATCCATTTTATAAAATATAAATGTATTAGGTAAGCCAAAAATAATAAATTAACATGCAGTGTACCATCAGTAAGCAATAGGTAGCTGGCTTTCTTTGGCTTATAAACATTGAGATAGCCACACAAAGTAAGTTTAAGAACAATTTTGAGACCAAGGAAAAGCAGTGCATTAAGTATTAAGCATTTATCCAGGGACAGCAACATGCATGTTTTCAGAATGTTTCTACTCAGCTCCAAAGACACCTGCACCCTGTGGTAAGCAGGACTGGGATCATTGCAAGGCCCACATTGCGGACACCATGAAGGATCACAGACTCAGTGACCTTTTTGGCACTTCTCCAAAAGCTGTGTCAACATCAAAATGTTTTGGCTTTTCCCTTCATCTCTGCCAGAGAAAATAATAACTTCCTTTTAGAACATCTAGTTCAGAATGTAGGTTAATGGAATGCTTTATCTAAACCAGCCAAATTTTCTTTTTTCAGAATGAAACCGCAGAAGTGAATATGGTTTGGAGTTACTAATCTTCATAACAAGGAAGAAGGAAGTTTGGCAAATAAAAGTTCAAAGGGATTTTTGATGAAGAAATGATTTAAATCCCCTTATTTTCCCCTGCCAAAAAAAAAATTCCACACATATTACCCTTTTAGACCTCAATTATAAAGCATTTTATTCAAAAAAGTAAAATATATGTGCATATAACCATTACCTATCTACCCACCTCTGAGATTAGCTCTATTAATATTTGATTATAATTGATTCCAATCTTTTTTAATTAAAAAATACATAGACTCTAAAGTCCCATTCGCCAGTTTTCTCTCTTCACTATTCAAATCCTGTGATGATAGTATCATTCTCTTTAGTGTTCTGAACTTTTACCATAGATTCATGTTTCTCTATATAGTATTTAGTGCTTAACATCTACGTGAATGACATTGTACTGGATGTAGCATTTTGTATTCTTTTTTACTCAGAAGTATGTTTAAAGGTTTACCCTTGTTTAACCAGTTAGATTGAGTAGTTTCATTTTAACTCTATCATTGCACTGTTTATGAATTTTACTCCTGAGGTTCAATAGTTTTTGCTATTACCAACACTGCTTCACAAGCATCCTTATAGCAATTTCTTATGTACATGGTTGAAGATTTCTCTAGTGCAGACGCAGAAGGGATAATGCTGGGGTAAGTTCTGCATATCTTCAGCTTTCACTAGATATTGCCAATTTCCAAAGTTATGTGCATTTATATTTACCCCAGCCATGTCTGAATTTCCATTTTCCCATATCCTCACCAAAATTCAGTGTTACCAGATTTACCAGTTGTTGACCATCTGATGGATATGCAATGCTATCTCATAGTGGTTTAAGTTTGATTTTTTTTGATAACTAATGAAACTAAGTATCTATTAAGTTTCTGTGAATTGCCTATTCATATTCTTGTCCATTTTTCTATTGGAGTCTGGGATTCTTTAACTGATGAGTAGCGGTCATATTTTAGATACCTGTATATTCCAAATACTTATATATTCTAAATACCTACTGCAGATGAATGAAATTTTCACTGTGTTAAGATGAATGTTAGACTGTTTAGATGACACTTTGAATTCCACTGAATCTCAATAGAAATGTTTTACAATTTATTTTACATCTATCCGGAGTGTCAAGCCTTACTGCTCAATATTATATACATGTTCTCTTATTTCAATATACTTTCATGTATCTTTTTACTTATTTATCTCATAGAAAGGCAAGGTAGAATAATGTTTGACAGGAAAAATCAGACTTTGTACCAGACTGACACTTTCTAGGTTTGAATCCCAGCTCTGTAGCTTCCTAGCCATATAATAATGAGTACATTATATAAGTTCTCTTCACTTCAGCATGTTTATCTAACATAAAAAATAATAGTAATTACCTCATAGAGTTACAATAAAGGTAGAACACTTAGAACAATGCCTGGCACAGAATAAGCACCCAGTGTTAGCTATGATGATTAGTCTATAAAATTGCAATGTAATTTAGAACTTTTAAAAATTGTAGTTTTAATACAAATTATATTTAATAAAGGTATTAAAAGTAAATGCCAATAGCCTCAAAGTATTTTCTCTAAAATATTTGTTAATTATTGTTTTGATTTGAACATGTGACCACAAATTCTTTAAGGTGGAACTTAATTTCCAGCCCCTTGAGTGTGGAATACACTTAGTGACTCCTTTCTAACACATAGAGTATAGAAAGCCAATATAGTAACATTACAAAGAAGAAACTTGCCTGACAGCACTTTAACCACATGATCAATGTTAACATCACCAGTTAAAATGTAATGTTTTTATCATGTGCAATGAGAAGGGTGTGGGTGGCAAGCCACCCAGGCACCGAGGCAAGAGACCGAGGACGCGAGCTGTTCCAGTATAATAAAATATAAAACAAGAATAGTTATACCAGATATAGATCTTAGATATATGAATATCATTAATCATTAGTTTGTAGCAATTACTTTTTATTCCAATATTATAATAATCCTCACTCTATAATCATAACCTAGGAAAAGCCAGGCCATATAGAGATAGGAGCTGAGGAGACATAGTGAGAAGTGACCAGAAGACAAGAGTGCAAGCCTTCTGTTATGCCCAGACAGGGCCACCAGAAGGGCTCCTTTGTCTAGACATGACGCCAGTGTCTGGGAAGACGCCCGTTGCCAGGCAGACCATGGTCTAGCGGTAGCAAAGAGTGTCAAGGAACAACACCCGCTACTTAGCAGACCGGGAAAGGGAGTCTCCGTTTCCCTGGGGGAGTTTAGAGAAGACTCTGCTCCTCCACCTCTTGTGGAGGGCCTGACATCAGTCAGGCCTGCCCACGGTTATCCGGGGACCTAACTATCTCCCTGTGATGCTGTGCTTCAGTGGTCACGCTCCTAGTCCGCCTTCATGTTCCATCCTGTACACCTGGCTCTGCCTTCTAGATAGCAGGAGTCAATTAGTGAAAGTACTAAAAGTCTCTGATATGCAGAAATAATGGCGTAAGCTGTCTTTCTCTTTGTCTCCTCTCTCTCTCTCTGCCTCGGCTGCCAGGCAGGGAAGGGCCCCCTGTCCAGTGGACACGTGACCCACGTGACCTTACCTATCATTGGAGGTGACTCACACTCTTTACCCTGCCCCTTTTGCCTTGTATCCAATAAATAACAGCACAGCCAGACATTCGGGGCCACTACCGGTCTCCGCGCATTGGTGGTAGTGGTCCCCCGGGCCCAGCTGCCTTTTCTTTTATCTCTTTGTCTTGTGTCTTTATTTCTACACTCTCTCGTCGCTGCACATGGGGAGAGACTCACAGACCCTGTGGGGCTGGCCCCTACAGAAGGGCACTTTACCTCTGTGATAATTTTTCCTAAAATCCGTAACTGGGGGGTCAGACAAACCCAAATTGAGAGACGTTCTAGAAAATACCTGACCAATGCTCATCAAAAGTGTCAAGGTCACAATAGACTAAGGAATGAGAAATAAGCCAGGCATGGTGGCCCACACCTGTAATCCCAGTGCTTTGGGAGGCTCAGGTGGGAGAATTGCTTGAGGGCCAGGGGTTCAAGACAAGCCTACGCAACATAATGAGACTCTATTTCACACAAAAAATAAAAAATTAGCCAGGCATGGTAGTGTGCACTTGTAGTCTTATCATCCCTCAGGCAGGAGGATTGTTTCAGCCGAGGAGTTTGAGGCTGCAGTGAACAGAATCATGCCACTGCACTCCAGCCTGAGCAACGAGAGAGACCCTGTTTCCTAAAAAAAAAAGAAGATAGACAGAAAGAGAGATGATATGATATTAGTTTTGATAAATATACCATGATTATAAAAGATGTTAACATTAGACGTTAAGTGAAATGTGTATAAGTGAAGTCTGTACAATTTTTACAACTCTTCTTTAAATCTAATATTATTTTAAAATCAAAATTTAAAAAAAACAAATGCCTACAATACATTATTTTACTATTGTCATAATGAAGCAAGAATTTTTATAAGTAGATAAAAATACATAGATAACACACACTTAGGGAGGTTATATATCTTTATTTCCTGTATGTTTGGGGGCCCAGGATATTAGGAATTAAATTTACTGGGTATATATAATAATCCTTAATACAACATGAATTATCCAGAAAGACGTATCTACTTAAAATATATTTAGCATTTAGTTAGGTTTATTCCAAGTGAAAAGAGAAAATATAGACAATCTTTAATGCATTCTTAACTTTTTCTATATTCTTTCTACAACCCCAATGACCCAGACACATTAAAATTACTTAATTATTGTTTATTCCTGGATGTTAGGGAACTGAAACTTCTTTCAAGTTCTCAAAATATCTCCACATAAATGCTTGTGATATATTGCTTTGTGACTATATTAGTACAAAGTCACAAAAATAAATTCAGGAACTCAGAAAATCTATCCAAATTAACAAAGTATAGACAATTCACAGTGATATAACAATAATTTTTTAAAGCCTGCATAGAAAATTCAAGTGGAATATTTTTAGAGGATCATAAAATTTGCGATATTGTCTGAGATTCATTCTGAGGCACTCGGGTTGAAGACTTTAACATATGAATTTAGGAATAGGGGAAAAGTTTAGCCCCCAGCATAGTCCTTGTAGTAAATTGGTGCTATTTCGAAGCTTTCTAAAAATAGCATAAATTAGTAAAGTTGTACTAACTATTTATATTTCCAAAGTGGAAGACGATTTTGACAAATTAGCAATAAATACATAAGTCAGTGGGGGAAAGTTTTAAGAAACACAGTGTTTTACAACTGTTTCATGAAGAGTCACTCAAGATACCTTAATTATTATTCACTAAGTGATGTGTGTGGAACCAGTGAAGGCTCCTGAGTCAAAGGTCAGAGCTCTCCTCTCTGTGTTCCTGCCATACTGCTTTATTTTTATTTATCCTGTAAGAGCATGGACAACAATGATCCTACACCCTTGTAATACAGCACTTAGCACAGTGTTCACTGTTGGTGTTCAATAAATAGCACTTCTTTACTCTCACCAGGAGTCCCTAAGAAGAATGCATGAATTAATTTGAGGCACATTAACATCAGCTATTCAGACTGCTTCTTATCATGTGGACATGTGAGGTGGTAGAGACAATAATAGCTTGCACTACTGAATTAGATAAAACATATTTTATCAACAAAATGGTACATGCTCACCATTGTTTCTGAACATTTATTGACACACTTCTTTTTTGAGAGGAGTGGGTTCAAGATAAATTTTCTATTCTTGAAAGATAGATGATAGATAATAGATCAACATAGTTGATACATATATCTAAGATACAATATATAATATTTATTATATATCTTGTCTTCTCTATGGCCATACATCCTGAACACACCCAATCTCATCTGATCTCCAAATGTTTAAAAATTATTACATGCCATCATTTTGAGCAACATCCAGGTGATCTTACTGTGTCAAAAAGGGAAGAAAAAGAAATCATAATAAGGAACGGTGCAGACCTGGCTTCACTAAGGTGGAGATGGCCAATGCAAGGACACAGAGAAACCATCTCATGTATATGCCACAAGTAGCAAGGATTCCCAGAAAACGCATGAAGAAATAAAACTATCCTCCCTAATAGTTCTGTCAGCCTACTCATGAAAGCATGTCTTTTGGTAGTGAAGAAGAATATTTCCCTGACCCTTTCACAGGACTCACAACAGAGGTGCCTCATTTACTCAGTCAGCAGCTTTCAACTCTTGTGGGAGGGAGCACGCTATCAAATGAGGCAGGAACTGGATTGCATGAGCCCTGGAACCAGCTGGCTGCTTTGGTGCCAGCAGGAGCAAACTCCACTCACTTGCACCTGCTGTGTTCCACCCCTTTCAGGAGGGAGTGCACAGGTGAGCGAGTGCAGGAGCCAGGGCAAGCACATTTAGGCACTGGCAGGAGCAAACTCCATGTGGGCTTTGCAGCAGCATCAATGGGATGGTGCCTGTGACCCCTGAAGTCCCAGAGGACATGTTACAGTATTCTTTTAGCTCTCCCATCCACAGACAGCTAAAATGTTAATAGTTCAGTGGGACTTCTTTCTTTTCATGTGAGGTGGCTGCCTTCTGCCAGCGAGGGAAAAGGGCCAGTATGAAGCCTTTTGTATTCACACTTGTGGCTCCCAAGCTGTTGTCAGGTGTCCACGGAAAATGATGTCGCATGAATGATTTAAAGGATGGTAAATGTGGGAGATTTTATTGCCAATGAAAGTGGCTCTCAGTGGGAAAGAGAGCTGAAAAGGGGAAGTAATCTTCCCCTGAAGTCCAGCCATGTTCAGCAGGATTCTTCTCCAAAGTTACGTGGTCAAGCCATCCCTCTGAAGTCAAGCCACTTCTCTCCAATGTCTAGCTGTAGTCCCCAAGGTCCAGCTGCTTCTTCCCTCTGCTGGCTGAGTCTGGAGTCATTATAGGCACAGGATGGGGTGGGGCAGGGTCATGGGTGACTTAGGAAAAGGCAAAGTTCGCATGGGAAAACAGTTCTCACTTTGGCCATGGTCTCGGGCTTTTCAGCTTGAGGATAGGGCTTCACCAGGGACCTGCCCTTTTTTACCTAGAATTTCTCTGCCTCCTTTCCCCATCATTTCCCTTTTCAAAGCGGAACATCTCACTGCCATTAGAATACAGACAATGACCGATCTTAGCTACTTTCTGCTTACTGGGGACACTGTTTTGAAGAAAACAGTGGTCAGATTTCCCTCAGAGGTTTACCTAAGGGCCTCTGGTAAAAGGGAGCCATTGTCCGAGGCTCCAGTTACATGACCCTTTGGAATTTGATCGCCTTTAGGTGAGAAGAAACAAGTTTTACAGGGATAAGTTTGCATGGATCAAATATATGTATTATACAAAACGGGGTTAAAAGGAGATAATCTGGTGACAAAGTTTACAGAAATAAGAAGTAAAATATACTATTCCTTCTAGACACAATATTGTATCCTGCAGTATAGAACAGAATAAAGGTAAAAACAGCGAACATAGGCAAGACTATAAAGAGGATATCCATGGAAGTTTAACACTTATCTTTTGTAATTTTTAGCTTGAGGTCCCCAACCTCTTCATATTGGTACTTTGGGTACTCTTTGGGTTCATCAGCTTCCCAGGCATTTACATGGGTGTAATAAATTCAAGAATCTATTCCAGTGACCTATTGTAAAAGACAGGTGGCTGCTTTCAGGAGGTTCTCTAAAGTACTATCTGGTCCCAGGGCCTGTTTCTGCAGCTTCCTCCTGATCTCAGGGGCTGCCTGAGTAATAAATTTATCCTTTAGGATTAGTTGTCCCTTAACTGAATCAGGAAGTAGAGAGTTGTGCTTCACCAAGGCCTCTTTTAACCTTTCCAGGAGAGCAGTGGGATTCTCATCAAATACCTGGTCTATCATGGATAACTTAGAATAATTGAGAAGCTTAGTTCTAGTCCTACATAATCCCTCCATTATGCACACCTGAATGTGTCTCCTCTTCCATTCTCCCATCTTGTCAGTGAGATCCCATTTAGGGTTATCCAACGGTACTGCTTCTCTTCTAGTTGGATAAAGTTTGACCCCTTCCCTGACACTGTATGTAATAGAAAGCTCATTCCCCAAATCTCTCTGCCACTTGCAGAGTAGCCTGCTTCTCAGTGTTAGTCAGGCTTTGATTCAAAAGTAGCATAACATCTTCCCAGGAGAGTTCAAATACTTGAGTTAAGTTCTGGAAAGCCTCTATACATCTGTCAGCATCATGTGAAAACTTGCCAAGATCCCCCTTAATTGGCCTTAAGTCCTTTAGAGGGAAAGGGACCTGGATCTTACCAGGGACCAAATTCACCAGGCATCTGTTGGAGGGGCAAGAGTGGGACTGGGGCTTATCTAGGGTGAGGATTTCTAGGAGGGAGCAAACAGGAGAGATAAACTGGATAGGGAGGATGGGGTGGACCAAGAGGAGCAGGCAAGAGGGAGCTGGCTCCATTGCTAGAGGGGCCTCTGGGGTTCACCTCTTGTAGCCTTTCTGTGCATTGCAGAAAGGAAAATGATCAGATTATTTGGGGAATACTGGTCACTGGCTCTTAGCTGACATTCATTCCAGGGAACCCAAAATGCCACTGTGGTCCTCCAGTTAAAGTAGGGGCTTATGTAGGTCAGGTAATGTATGGAGTTTTAGCTAATGTCCCACTTCCAGTCAGTCCAATGGGTACCCAGACTCATCCTGTGGTTATTTCCCCAGTGCCAGAATCCATAATTCGCATAGACATACTTAGCAGCTGGTAGAATCCCCACATTGGCTCCCTGACTGGTAGGGTGAGGGTTATTATGGTGGAAAATGAAAGGCAGCTCAAATGGAAGCCATTAGAGCTGCCTCTACCTAAAAAAATAGTAAGTCAAAACAATATTGCATCCCTGAAGAGATTGCAGAGATCAGTGCCACCATGAAGGACTTGAAAGATGCAGATCCCTGTTCAACTCTCCTATTTGGCCCATACAGAAGATAGATAGATCTTGGAGAATGACAGTGGATTACTGTAATCTTAATCAAATGGTGACTTCAATTTCAGCTGCTGTACCAGATGTGGTTTCATTGCTTGAACAAATTAACACACCTCCTGGTACCTGGTATGCAATCACTGATTTGGCAAATGCCTTTTCCTCCCTTCTTGTCCACAAGGCCCAGCAGAAGCAAATTGCCTTCAGCTTGCAAATTGCCTTCAGCTGTCCTACCTCAGGGATCCATTACTCTCCAGCTTTGCATCATAATCTTGTTTGCAGATATCTTAATCCCTTTCCCTTCCACAAGATATCATACTGGTCCATTACATTGATGACATTAGGATGACTGGATCCAGTAGGTCATAAGTAGCAAACACATTGGGCTTATTGGTGAGATATTTGCATGCCAGGGGATGGGAAATAAAACTGACTGAAATTCAGGGAACTTCTACCTCAGCAAAATTTCCAGGGGTCCAGTGGTGTGAGACCTGTTGAGATACTCCTTCTAAAGTGAAGGATAAGTTGCTGCATTTGGCCACCCCTACAACCAATAAAGAGGCATAATGCCTAGTAGGCCTATTTGGATTTTGGAGGCAACACATTACTCATTTGAGTGTCTTACTCCAGCCCATTTATTGAGTGACCTGGAAGGCTCCTAGAATTGAATGGGGTCCATAACAGGAGAAGGCTCTGCAACAGGTCTAGGCTGCTGTGCAAGCTGCTCTGCCACTTGGGCCATATGACCCAGCAGATCCAACGGTGCTTGAGGTGTCAGTGGCAGATAGGGATGCTGTTTGGAGCTTTGGCAGGCCCCTATAGGTGAATCACAGCAGAGGCCTCTAAGGTTTCGGGGCAAGGACCTGCCATCTTCTGTAGATAACTACTCTTCTTTTGAGAGACAGCTTTTGGCCTGTTACTGGGCTTTGGTAGAAACTGAACATTTGACTATGGGTTATCAAGTCACCATGCGACCTGAAATGCCTATCATAAACTGGGTACTTTCTGATCCATTTAGCCACAAAGTGAGGTATGCACAGCAGCATTCCATCATTAAATGGAAGTGGTGTATACGTGATCGGGCTTGAGCAAGTCCTGAGGTCACAAGCAAGTTACATGAAAGAGTGGCTCAAATGACCATGGTCCCCACTCCTGCCACCCTGCCTTCTCTCCCCCAGCCTTCAGCGATGGCCTCATGGGGAGTTACCTATGATCAATTGACTGAGGAAGAGAAGACAAGTTCCCTGTTTGCAGATAGCTCTCCATGATATGCAGGCACCATCTGAATGTGGACAGCTGCAGCACTACAGCCCCTTTCAAGGACATTCCTAAAGGACAATGGCAAAGGGAAATCTTCCCAGTGAGCAGAACTTCAAGAAGTGTACCTGGTTGTGCACTTTGGTTGGAAGAAGAAATGGCCAGATGTCCAATTATATATTGGTTTATGGGCTGTAGCCAATGGTTGGGCCAGATGGTCAGGGACTTGGAAGAAGCATGATTGGAAAATTGGTGACAAATTTGGGGAAGAGATATGTGTGTGGACCTCTCTGAGTGGTCAAACACTGTAAAGATATTTGTATCTCATGTGAGTGTTCACTGAAGGGTGACCTTAACAGAGGAGCATTTTAATAATCAGGTGGATAGGACGACTCGTTCTGTGGATACCACTCAGCCTCTTTCCCCAGCCACCCTGTCATTGCCCAATGGGCCCGTGAGCAAAGTGGCCATGGTGGCAGGGATGGAGGTTACACATGGGCTCAGTAACATAGACTTCCACTCACTAAGGCTGACCCAGCTACGACTGCTGTTGAGTGCCCAATTTGCCAGCAGCAGAGATCAACTCTGAGCCCTCAATATGGCACCATTTCTTGGGGTGATCAGCAAGCTACTTGGTGGCAAGTTGATTATACTGGACCTCTTCCATCACGGAAAGAGCAGCAGTTTGTCCTCACTGGAATAAACACTTATTTGGGATATGGGTTTCCTATCCTGCACCAATGCTTCTGCCAAGACCACCATCTGTGGACTCACAAAATATTTTATCCACCATCATGGTATTATACACAGCATTGCCTCTGACCAAGGCACTCACTTTACAGCTAAAGAAGTGTGACAGTGGGTTCATGCTCATGGGATTCACTGGATTTACCATGTTATCCATTATCCTGAAGCAGCTGGATTGATAGAACAGTAGAATGGCCTTTCGAAGTCACAATTACAATGCCAACTAGGTGACAATACTTTGCATGGCTGAGGCAAAGTTCTTCAGAAGGCTGTGTATGCTCTGAATTAGTGTCCAATATATGGTACAGTTTCTCCCATAGCCAGGATTTACAGGTCCAGGAATCAAGGGATGGAAGTGGAAGTGGCACCACTCATCATCACCCCTAGTGACCCACTAGGAAATTTTTGCTTCCTGTTCCCATGACATTATGTTTTGCTGGCCTAGAGGTCTTAGTTCTAGAGGGAGGAATGCTGCCACCAGGAGACACAACTATGATTTCATTAAACTGGAAGTTAAGATTGTCACCTGGCCACCTTGCGTTCCTCCTACCTCTAAGTCAACAGGCTAAGAAAGGAGTTACATTGTTGGCTGGGGTGACTGACTCAGACCATCAAGATGAAATCAGCCTACTACTCCACAATGGAGGTAAGGAAGAGTGCACATGGAATACAGGAGATCCCTTAGGGTGTCTCTTAGTATTACCATGCCCTATGATAAAGGTCAATGGGAAACTACAACGGCCCAATCCAGACAGGACTACAAATGGCCCAGAACCTTCAGGAATAAAGGTTTCGGTCACTCTACCAGGTAAAAAACCACAACCTGCTGAAGTGCTTGCTGAAGGCAAAGGGAATACAGAATGGGTAGTAGAAGTAGTCATCAATACCAGCTAAGAACACATGACTAGATGCAGAGATGAGGACTGTAATTGTCATGAGTATTTTCTCCTTATTTTGTCAAGAACATGTTTGTGCATGTATACACTTGACTAAGAAAATATTTTCATTTTCTTTTTTTTCTTTATCATGTGACATAAGGTTTATTGACTTCATATCAGCATCTAAGTGTTATTAACTTTATGTAATAGCATTTGGGTTGGGGATTGGTGTGTTTCCAGTTGCAAAAGGATAGCTGTACTATGTAAGGCATAATTAAGACCTTATTATTGTCTTTATTTGAAAATTATGTATAATTTCAGGAGATGTATATGAGTTCAAGTTGACAAGAGGTGGACTTGTGATGGTTAATATCGAGTATCAACTTTTGATTGGATTGAAGGATGTAAAGTATTGTTCCAGTGTGTGTCTCTGAGAGTGTTGCCAAAGAAGATTAACATTTCAGTCAGTGGACTGGGAGAGGCAGACCCACCTTCAGTCTGGGTGGGCACCATTTAATCAGCTGCCAGCATGGCTAGGATAAAAGGTGGCAGATGAATATGGAAGGACGAGATTGGCTAAGTCTTCTGGCCTCCATCTTTCTCTCATGCTGTTTGCTTCCTGCCCTTGGACATTGGACTCTCAGCTCTTCAGCTTTTGGACTCTTGGGCTTACACCAGTGGTTTGCCAGAGGCTCTCAGGCCTTTGGCCACAGGCTGAAAGCTGTACTATTGGTTTCCTTACTTTTGAGGTTTTGGAACTTGGACTGGCTTGCAGATGACCTACTGTGGGACTTCACCTTGTGATCGTGTGAGTCAGTACTACTTAATAAACTTGCTTTCGTATACACAATGTATCATATTAGTCCTGTCTCTCAGAGAATCCTGACTAATACAGATGGAAATCACATTGTTCTGAATCGCATATCTGATGGCTGGGCCAAAAGCTCATTCTATCTAGTAAAATGTCTGCTGTTTGCAGTAAAACTCTTATTATTACGAAAAAAGATATAGGAGTCATGTCAAACTGTGAAAGAAGAAAGGGAAAGATACCATAGAAAAGTCTAGGGTCTTGGTTAATGTTCTAATGGGCAGTTGGGGACTGGAGCCCCTCTAAGGGCCTTCTGGCAACACTGAGTAGTGACCTTGGCCAGTAGCCTACAGTTGCCCCAGGACTTTATTCTGGTCTGACACGAAGTCCAGACCCCCATGAAGGTAAAAAGAGCCAACATTCCTTGCACCAGGAAGAGAGAGGTAACAGGGTTGCATCCTGTCCCCTGCAAATAGCATAGCTCAGAGGAAAGTCTGAGGACAAGAAATCTTGGAAAAGAAGTGAAGAGAAAGATCCAGCTGATCCGCATTTACTCACCCTTCTTACATATCCTGTATAGGCCCCCACATGAAGCAGGATATTTCCCTGACCCCTTCACAGGACTCGCAACAGGGGTGCCTCATTTACTCAGCCAGCAGCTCTTAACTCCTTGCAGAAGGGTGTGCGTGAGTGAATGAGGCGAGAACTGGATTGCAGGAGTGCTGGAAACAGCTGTCCACTTCAGTGCTGGCATGAGTGAACTCCACTTACTCAGACTTACTGCAGGAGGGAGCACACAGGTGAGCGGGCAGGATTTGGGGTGAGCGCTTTTGGGTACTGGCAGGGGCAAACTCTGTGCAGGCCCCACAGCAGCAGCATCTACAGGGGGATGCCTGTGACCCTTGAAGCTTCAGAAAGCATGTTACAGTGCTCTTTTAGCTCTGCTGTCCACAGACAGCTTAAGTTTTAACAGCTCAGTGGGTCCTCTGCCTTAGACAGCCTTTTGTATCCACACTTATGGCTCCCAAGCTCTTGTTCAGCATCCAGGAAAAATGAGGTTGCACAAACGAATTGAAGGATGTTAAATGTGTGTGATTTTACTGCTGATGAAAGTGGCCTTCAGTGGGAAGAGGAGCTGAAAAGGGAACAGGGAAGGAAGATAATCTTCCTCTGAAGTCCAGCTGTCTCCGGCAGGATTCTTCTCCAAAGTTATGCCATCAAGCTGTCCCTTTGAAGTCCAGCCACTTCTCTCTGACATTTAGCTATAGTCCTCAATATCCAGCTGCTTCTCTGCTTTGCTTGCTGAGTCCAGGGTCTTTATAGGTACATGATGGGGTGGGGCAGGGCCATGGGTGGCTTAGGAAAAGGCAACATTTGAATGGGAAAACAGGGTTATAAGTTCTCACTTTGGGCTGTGGTCTCAGGGTTTTAGGCTTGAGGTTGAAGCTTCACCAGGGATCCGCCGTTTTCTGCCCAGAATTTCTCTGCCTCCTGTCCCCATCAGTAGCTTTTAGACAATCATTTTACTTTAGGAAAAAGTAAAACATAAGACTTTCTATTGTGAACATTTTCTAAGGTTTTTGCTCTGATAAACATTGGCTTTTGTTTTGCCTGTAGAGTCAAACTTTACAAGGAATGGTATGCTGGAGCTGGCTGATACTATGTCATGAGAGCGGATTATCAGACATTCAGAAGTTTTACCAACCATTTGCAAAACCATTTTTAGCTTGAAAAACAGCGTAGTGAAAATATTTACACCAAGGAAATTGTCAAATACTAAAAGTCAAAGCTTTTATTTTAGAGACACTTTTGCCAGCAGGCCATTGTCACAGGTTTTGTCTTCTTCTTGTGGCAGTCATGAAAATGTACCTCTGGATCCCTGACTACAAGGAGCATAATTGACTGGTGGCTCTACACATTTTGCTTTAAAATTCATCATTACTTTTGTCCCAAGACTAAGCTTCCCAAGCATTGCTCCTAACTGATAAAGAAGCATGGCAGAATACTAACATAGACCGCTTCCGGGGAGACGCAGGTTTCCTCTAACAGGTGACTTGGACTCTATGATTCCCCAGTGACCTTACTGAACTTCCCCTTGAACTGCACTGCAGTCCAAGATGTTCCACCCAACCTACATTCACTTCCCCCTTCACTCAAGGTTAATCCCGCATCGTGGTCTGATGTCTTTGTCGGCCTCTCCCAGCTGCCTCCCCATTTCCTCTCACATACACTTACTTTAATAAACTTCTTGCATGCCTAATCCTATCTTGATGTCTGCTTCTCAGAGAATCTGGACCAACTCCCACACATACGTTTTCAGCTGCACCTTAGCTTAGTGTTTCTAAATTGTGACACTGCCCTGTATTTTATAATCCCAATGCTTTTCCACACACATTCACCCTCAATCCTATCCCCAGGTCCATGTTCCATGATGAACTGTCTTTCCTGTTTCTGCACATTCTATGCTATACCTCAGAGAATGTTTACTCATTATTTTTAAAAGATTTTTATTGAATGTAACACATAACTTAAAAGTGCACGTATTTCAATCTCAATAAGAGTTTTTACAAACTGAACTAGCTCCCATATCAAGAAACAGAACATTACCAGTACCCTTAAATCCTACTCCATGTTCCTTTCTAATCACATCCTGTGTCTCTAGGGTTACCATGGTTCTGACTTTCAAAGGCATACATTGTTTTTGCCTGCTTTTGTTTGTTAAGAAATTGAATCATGCAGCATGTGGGTTTTTGTGCCTGGCTCTTTAAACTCAACAATATGCTTGTAAGATTCATTAATATTTTTGTGTATAATTATACATAGCTATTCTCAATGTTTCTGCAATGCTATATAGTATTCCATTATATGATATATCATATTTGATTTATATTTTTTATTGTTGGCAGACTTTTGGGTAATTTTCTAATCTAGGACCACCACAGAGGGTACTGCTATTAACATTCTACTACGTGTCTTTTTAGGAATATATGTGCACATTTTCTGTCGAGTTTACATAAGGGACTTACTGGGTCAAAGGTAATGTGTATGTCTGCTTTGGTAGATGCAGCCGGTTTTCCAAACTGTATTATTTACACTCCTATCAGCAAAGTCTGAGAGTTCCAGTTGCTTCACATCTTCACCAATAGTTGGAACTGTCTGGTTTTTATTTCAGCTATTCCAATGAGTGTGCTAGTTGTTCATCTGCACACAGTTGAGTTGGTATTTAGATGGTGTCTTAATTTATTTTCTGTTGATTTATAAAAACTGGGTAATTTATAAAGAAAATAAATGAATACTTATCGTTATGAAGGCTGAGAAGTCCAAGGTTGAGGGGCTGCATCTGATAAGGGCTTTCTTGCTGGTGTGGACTCCCTGCAGAGTTCTGAAGCAGCACCGGACATTACGTGGCAAGAGGGCTGAGCGTGCTAGCTCTAGTCCCTCTTGCTGACCTTCTAAAGCCACCAGTCCTGGTCCTATAATAATCAATTAATCCATCAATACATTAGTCAGTCAATTAATTCATGAGTGGATTAATCCATTCATGAGGGCAGAACTCTCGTTACCCAATCACTTCTTTTATTTATTTTTATTTTTTTGAGACGGAGTCTCACTTTGTCGCCCAGGCTGGAGTGCAGTAGCTTGAGTTGAGCTCACTACAACCTCCGCCTCCCAGGTTCCAGCGATTCTCCTGCCTCAGATTCCCAAGTAGCTGGTACTACAGGCACATGCCACCATGCTCAGCTAATTTTTTATTATTAGTAGAGACAGAGTTTCACCATGTTGGCCAGGCTGGTCTTCAACTCCTGACCTCAGGTGATCCTCTTGCCTCGGCTGCCCAAAGGGCTGGGATTACAGATGTGAGCTACCGTGCCCAGCCATGTTACCCAATCACTTCTTAAAAGTCCCACTTCTCAATATTGCCACATTGGGGATTACATTTCGACATGTTTCTTCTTTTTTTTTTTTTTTCTTTTTTTTTTTAGAAGGAGTTTTGCTCTTTGTTGCTCAGGCTGGAGTGCAGTGGCATGATCTCAGCTCACTACATCGTCTGCCTCCTAGGTTCAAGCAATTCTCCTGTCTCAGCCTCCCAGGTAGTAGCTGGGATTACAGGCACCTGCCACCATGCCTGGCTAATTTTTGTATTTTTAGTAGAGGCGGGGTTTCACCATGTTGGCCAGGCTGGTCTCAAACTCCTGACCTCAGGTGTTTCTCCCTCCTCAGCCCCACAAAGTGCTGGGATTACAGGCATGAGCCACCATGCCTGGCCCAACATAAGTTTTAGAGGGGACAATTATTCAAACCATTGCAGATGGATTTCTAATGCCTGTGTTTCTGAACCATTATACCTTGGAAAGTGATTGTTATTGATTCTAATTTTTCTCTTTAATTAAGTTCTACCCTTTCTTTGAGTCACAAATATTATAATAGGATAAATAAATAAAGATAACAATAGTTTAGCTACCAAACATAGGGTAGCAGAAATGCTGTATTTATCCTACTCTTTTGTCCTCAGTCTTACTAAGACAAGAGAATAATCCAGGTGGTTCCTAATACTGTTGGTTTTACAAGTGGTTTCTCTTTCCAATCAAGCTGCTTGAGTTTTTTGCTATAAGAGTGTAAAATTAGCCATGTGTACAGTAAATGCATCCAGCTTTGTTTCCAAAAGGACTGAAATTCACTTTAATTTCTTAAATTGGATAGCAATAGAACCTGGAATCATGAATACTATCATCCCTCGCACTGGAATTTCATCTACAGAATTTAAAGACTTTCAGATATCGGTCTTTGAAATCTCATAAAGTGTCCCATTTCTGCTTTTTCTATATGATTTGATTTCAGATTGGCAAATGCAAATTCTGCATTTTGGCCAGAAACAGCCAAGAAAGAAAGGAAGGAAGGAAGGAATTTTTTAAACATTTTAAAAACTGGGGAAGTGTAGGTGTTTCTCATGGCAGTACAACTTAGTTTCAAGACCCAGGGCTATAAGATATGCAATCAGTCAAATTATTACAGACTAAGCTCTGCATTGGTCTCAACAGGTTTTTCCAAACAATTAGCTTTACTACTGGAGTAGACGTAGACTACGTGCTTGGAGAGAATTTTCACAACCATGTAGGAAGGACTATGTTATCAGTCTAACACATGTCACTCTTCCCAAGTGAGACACAAATGATTTATAACTTTTTGAGTTCCAACTCTGTATTTTCATGATTCAGTGCTTGGCAAAATCCCAAAAAGATGCATTTGCCTGAAGTTTCCAGCAAAGAGATTAATAGTTGTTTGTTGATGAATTCCTATGAAATTGATTTGAATGATTCTGGCAAGATTCTGTGGTGTAATAGAGAGGGGGCTGATTTTGGAACCAGACTTGGTGACAAAGGCATTACTACCTTTTAGAAGAGTAAATACTTACATGTACGAAAATAAGAAAAATTTATATGTAAAGCATCTTTGTCACTAGCTCTTTCCATTAATTCAGTGTTTGCATATGGTATCTGCCATTATTTACTCACTATTTTTACAGGAAAATAAAAAATAACTCTTGTTGCTATGAGCAGCATATACCCCCAGTGGCTGTGGCCTCCTTAGACTTTTAGAGAAATTTCCACCCTTTTAGAAGGACAAAAACTGGTCAGCAATACAGAATCTTGGGAGAATTTAAAGGTCTCATGATGACTGGCACCATGGAGTTAGGAAATGATACATTCCAAGCTCACTCAGAATGATAATATTTTTGAATTTTTATATAACATAAAATGCTTTTTATAGCAATATTTTTAACCGTACTATCCTTCTTTCCATAACAATCCATATCCAATAATTCCTAGCAAGGGAATTTCAGGAGAGATACGGAAATTTGCATTTCCTCGGAGGGCTTATTTGGTAATTGTGTCTTTTTCTAATGAGCTACTGGTACTTGGATCATATAACAAGCACCTATGAGCAAGGGAACAATCCCCAGATGGATCCTGGAACTCCTTGCATTTTGTTTCTCAATATTTTAATCCTCATAAAAATACATTTTCTTTAAAGTCTAGAACATAAGATAGTATAAATTCTGCAGATCATATTGGAAAAAGATCTAATATTACAAAAGTTTTAACACATATGGCACCAAAATCACACAAAACAAAAAAGAAAAAAAGGGTAAATTTGACTTTATCAAAATTAAATATTTCGTGCATCAAAGAACACTATCAACAGAGTAAATTTATATAATACTTTTGTGCATCAAAGGACACAGCAACCTATGGAATAGAAGAAAATATTTTCAAATCATGCATCTGATAACTGGTTATTATCCAGAATGTATTAAAAACTCCTACAACTTAACAACAATAAAAGCAACCCGATTTTTTAAATGGGCAAAAGACGTGGATAGATATTTCTCCAAAGAAGATATACAGATGACCAATATAAACAAGTAAAGTTGACTCAAAATCATTAAACACTATGGAAATTCAAATTAAAACTACCTTGAGATAACACTTCAATATCCTTAGGATGCCTATTAGAAAACAAAGTAATAAACAAAACAAACAAATACAAATCCAGAAAATAACAAGTGTTGGTGACAATGTGGAGGGAGAAATTGGAACTCTTGTGCGTTGCTGGTGGGAATGTAAAATAAAGCAGCATCTGTGGAAAAGTGTGATAGTTCCTCAAAAAAAAAAGAATTACCATATGAACTAGTAATTTCACTTCTAGGTGTACACCCAACATAATTGAAAGCAGGGACTCAGACATTTGGACATCAATGATCATAGCAGCATTATTCACAATAGCCAAAAGGTGAAAACAACCCAAATGTTCATCGATGGATAAATAGTTAGACAACATATGGTGTGTATATATAGATATATATATGTGTGTGTGTGTGTATATATAGATATATATGTGTGTGTGTATATATACACCATATATATGGTGTATATATATGTGTGTGTGTGTGTATGTATATACACCATATATATGGTGTATATATATATGGTGTGTGTATATATATATGGTGTGTGTGTGTATATATAGATATATATGTGTGTGTGTGTGTATACCCCATATATATGGCATATATATATGTGTGTGTGTGTATATGTATATACACCATATATATGGTGTGTATATATATATATGGTGTGTATATATATATATGGTATATATACACACACACACACCATATGTTGTCTATTTATCCATCAATGAACATTTGTGTTGTTATATATATATATATTTACAGTGCAATATATACATATATATATAATGCAATATTATTCAGCCTTAATAAGGCAGGAAATTCAAACACAAACTACAATCTGAATAAACCTTGAAGACATTATGCAAGGTGAAATATGCCAGTCACAAAAGGACAAATATTATATGATTCCACTTTATTAAGTATCTAAAGTAGTCAAATTCATACCTACAGAGAAATAGAATGGTGGTTGTCAGGGGCTGGGAAAGAAGGGGGAAACAGTTATTGTCTAATGGGTACAGAGTTTCAATTTGGGAAGATAAAAAGGTTCTAGAGATGGTTAGTAGTGATAGTTGCACAACAACCTGAATATACTTAATGCCCACTAAACTATAAACCTAAAAATCATTAAAATCATAAATGCTGTTATGTATATTTTACTATAGTATTTTTAGAAAGTTTTAAAACAATAGGGAATGCAGACGATGACAGATAGATAGAAAGATAGACAGATAGAGAAGTTTAAAATTATATAAAAATTTTCTAACCTGGATAAAAAAGGGTAAAAAACATGGATAGGGTAGGCTTCAATTCAGACTTTGCTCCTCAAGTTGAGAATCCACTTTAGCTTATCCAGCTTCCCTTTAATATACCTCTCCTATGTCTATTCAACATATAACCCTTCCAGAATATCTGCGACTCAGGATGCCAAGTTTCTTGTTTTTAGCGCTGAATAGAAGATCTTGAGGTTATTTTAGAAACAGACTAGAGGTCATTCTGAATAGTCAGAGGCAGACACAGTGCAAGGGGGCAAGTACAGCTAATAGTCAAGGAGGGGAGCCAAGGGTCAAAACCAGAAACCCAAACCCAGTTATCACATCTAAAGAATACATCAGGGCATGCAGTTAGGAGGAAACGAGAAATAGCGAGAAGCTTGGGTTGCCAAAACAGAGTGTAAGGCAAGAAAAGGTTGTAAGGTTCCAGAAGCTCAGCAGGCCACTGACTGGGTTGGTGGAACGCGGTTCTGAGGGAGTCTGATTTAGTGTTTGTCGTTTTATTTATCCTGCCACTGTTACCGCAAGAACTTCGTCAGACTCAAGCTCAGACTTAGCCCACCTATTAAGCCAATTACAGGTAGCTGGAGGAACATAGTAGAAATGAGGCAGTGACTAACAATTTATTCCCTTGATTTCTTTTCGTCTCTGTTTTGTTGCATTTCTTTTTAATCAGGCCTAATGTAAAATTGAAGAACAATTTAGCTTTTGAATCATATTTATTGAATAGCATTGTTGTATTTCCCAACTCTCCACCATCCCAGATACCAGAAAGCTAAAACGTGGCCTATGATACATATGGTCCAACATTGATTATCCAACCCTAATTGAAGGAAAGTAGCCACAAATGGAACCATGAACTTAATTAAAAGTGGAATACCTGTGGTGTCAGAGTTTACTATAGCAGATAAAACAAAATTCCTCTTAGGAGGATGGTGGTCCAAACTGGCATTCCACAGAATTTGGCTTGCCAAGTTCTGTGTTGTAAGATATTCTGAATTATTAGGAGACAAAGCAGACCATGTGTTGTCCAGTTCACCACAATCTCTACCACCTTCTGCTGATGGTCCTGAGCTGCTACATATTTTTTTCTAATATGCTCGGTTCCTGAATATGATTATATTATTATGGTGGATGGACCTTTGACATTTTTTAAAAAATAGATCCAGAGATTGGACAAGTTCTCAAAGACCAGCATACTCTAGTAGCAGATCTCAAGGAAGGCAAGACAAAGCTGTACCAATGTACGTGGTGATAAGTTTGGCACTGTCACTACCTAAGGCACATGCTCTCCCCACATCATCTTCATAGCCCATGTACCAGTGTTATCATTATCGCAGAAACTTGCAAATTACTACACACTGTGATTTTTTTTGTCTCATATGTTCACTTAAAAAAATAGACTTTTTAAAAGAACAGTTTTAGATTTACAGAAAATTGAGAAATTATTACAGTTTCTATATACCCCCACCCAGTTTCTACTGTTAGTCACATTTACATTAGTAGGGTAAATTTGTTACAACTAATGAATCAATATTGATAAGTTATTATAAATTAAAGTCCATACATAGATTTTCATAGTTTTACCGAATGTCTTTTTTATGGTCTAGGATCAATCCAGGATGCCACATTACATTAAGTTGTCATGTCTCCTTAGGCTCCTCTTAGTTGTAACAGTTTCTCAGAATTTCCTTGTATTAGATGACCTTGACAGTTTTGAGGAGCACTACTCAGGTATTTTGTAGATACCTCCCCATTGAAATGTATCTGTACATACTATCAACATAGTTTATCATTTATGATGTTGACTTTGATCACATGGTCAGGCAGTATTTTTCAGGTTTCTCTACTATAAAACTACTCTTCCTCCTTCCCTTTCCATACCATAGTCATTGGAATTAAGTCACTAGGCTCAGCCCATACTTCTGCAGTGCATAGTTATACTCCACCTCCTAAAGGGAGCATATCACAGAAATTATTTGGAATTATTTTGCATGGTAAATGAGACTGCAAATTTTAGTCTCTTCATAACAATTTATTTATTTATTCAATCATTTATTTAGATCCATTTGGACTCATGAATATTTACTTTATATTTTGGGTTATAATACTACTTCATTTTGTTCTCAAGTTGTTCCAGCTTTGGCCATCATTCTAGCTTCAGTTAGCTCCTGGTCCTCTTTGACATACCATCATCAATTTTTTAATGGGGATGGGGACACTCCCTTATTTTCTGGCGCTAGAAGATGTTCATGGATCATCTTGTAGATTTCTTGCCTCAGTCCTACACTCAGCTACACTCATTTCTTCAAAGGTCCCTCATTCATTCATTTCATTGGAAAATGATTTTAGATACCAAGATTTGGGTTCTAGTTGTGCTTGTTGCTACTGGAGTGCTATTACTTCTAAGCCCTCTCAGATAACAAAGGAAAGAAATATATGTGTGCATACTAACCCAACTATATACACATATCTACAAATATTTCTATATGTATCCACCTGTATCTATATTAAGCTAACCATGAATTCATACTGATGTGTCCAACTCTAATTCATTACTCAAATCATTTTATCTTCCCCTCCTTGCTTATCTGAAAATGCTTAGAGTAACAGTGAGAAACCTGGCTCCTACCATTAGCCATCAATTATTCAATTAAAATGTTTAGAATACATGTATAGCAGCATCAGAATTGTGAACCCATAATACGTTTACATGCCATAGATTTTTCAGGAGTCAAATATTCAAAAGTTAAATCTTTAAAAGCTAATGTACTATGTTACATGGAAATCAAGTGCAAAAATGGCATTTATTCTATTCCCAATACATACCACATGGAGTACACCACATTTAAAATCAGAGTCATGTAGTTTTTCTCACTGTAAAGTGAGGGGTCAGAAAACCTATCACACTGTGCATGGTAAATACATACGATTTTATATCTCAATTAAAAATATATGAATAAACACAAGGTTTTAAAAGATTTAGATAATAGGAAGGATATAGATGGAAACACATATAAACAGTTTGTATAGAATCTATGTGACATTACATGTGAAAGATATAACAAATTTTACTCAGTACATATTACTACTAACTCTTCTCTCCATTTTGAGATAAGGAAAAATGAGACAATTTTAGTTAACTAGGAGATTAGAAAGATTATTTTGGGAAGAAGTTTAGTGCTAGAAAAGGGACTTAGAAGTAGAAGTCATAGTCCTTTTCATAGCCGCACAGAAGCCTCTAAAACTAACCCACAACATAAGATGGATAAGATGGGTCAGGAAGATAGAAAAAGAAAGAAAATGCTAAGATTTTCCTCTCTCTTCAGAATAAAGCATTATATTTTACAAATGTCCTTCACCAACTCTAAGGCTCATTTAAGATTTACAAAAAGATCTTGGAATATGATATTTTTTAATATTCAGAAATTTTTCAATGAGCTCAATAATAACAAAATATTTCTTGTTTCCTAAACAAGAAAGTTTAGGAATGAGTTTTTCACAAAACATGACTAGCACATACTAAGGAAAATAAAACAAGTTGGGGAGAAGGATGATTCACCTACGTCATAGCAGAGCTGCTGGAGACCTGCAGAGAGGTGACTAGAAATGAGTTGTCTCTTTAATAACATGTTTCAAAATGGGATTCCTGTAAGAGGCATGGTGGATACCTTTGGAAGCATATAGAAAAAATAAATCTAAGCAGAAGTATCTACTTATAGAATAGTTTCCCCACAAATGCTTCATTTAGAGGAACACTAAAAATGAAAGTGTAAAGGCAAAGTAGCATGCAGTAAGTGGCAGATTAAATTAGGATCTAATTAGTGATCCTAATTTAGGATCTATTTAGATAGTGGAATCATATCACAACATGATTAAAATGTAAGGTAAACTATCCCCTATGAAATACAATTGCTTGATACCTTAAGTTTATTCTCATCTGTTGCACTATAATCTTTTACAAAGTTATTGGAACATTCATCCAGATACATCTGAAACAAACTTTGGGTGGAAACTTCTGTGAATGTTTTCATATCTTTGTTTTTCATCAAGAGATACCTTTGTGTATCTATTTAATTTAATTTTTATGGAATGCAAAGTACATAGAAATCCCTCTTTCTCCATTCATTGTAAGAGCTGGATTCTTTGACTTAAGTAATCATTTAGAGGATTCTTGATTTTCTGTTTTGAAAATCTTGTGAGATGGAATTGTCGATTTACTCTGATGCATTGGAAAAGTTTCTATCTGTTGTCTGTGTTTTCAGCAAACTCAGCTGATGGTTACCAAACTTGAGACAATTGCTATCTGGACGTCTTTTAAAGTGAATAATGGAGAAATGACTGGTTTCTTAGACTTTTTGTTGTTATTGCAGAGTTAGTACATTCTTACGCAATTTTCACTTGCTGTATTATTATCACAAGCCAAAAGCAAAATAATTTTTTATCCTTCTCAAGTTTTGAAATATAAACTGAATGTAAAAATAGGTGTATTGTAATAAAAAATTATTACTTATTTAACAAAATCTTGAAAATAAAATATTTTTGCCTAGGTACTTCAACTGATGAATCTATTTCTGGATGCATTTCTAGCAAAACAAATGTCATTTATGAAAATTCTTGATTTTGTATGTTGTATGTACAACATATGTATTATGGTATTTTACATGTAATGCAATTTTAGGGTGAACACTTTATTATCTTTATATATCTTTTATTTTGTGTGTTTCTGTATATTTAAATTCATGCTTCTATTCAGTAAAATTAGACAAGTGATTTAAGATCACACAAATGGATCAACGGTATGTGATAATATATCTTTCATGTAGTTTGTTTCTAAGGCTGGGTCTATACAAATAAATACATATTTGTATACATAACTATACATATACAACTATCTATATACATCCTTATATACATTACTATTATCATTGAAGAAAAATAAAGCAAAAAATGTTAATTCAGCAAATTGCTTGACCTTTCTCTCTCACTCACATGCTCACATTCTCCCTCTCTTTTTCATTTTTCCTTTTTTTGGCTTATTTACATGATGGCACATTTTCAATTTGACCTACTTGATTGCCTTTTAGATGGAATACTTCACTGTCTTGTAGACAGTGACAATATAGATGAGAAAGTAAAGAAATAATCTGGCATATTTTAAAGGTGATAAAGATGGAATTGAGAGGTAGTGCTTAAAAGTATTCATTATTAAGATACACTGAATTGGTACAGATATTCTCATTTTGCTTTTAGGGTTGGATACTGATGATATTAATATGATGTTAAAACCTCACATTAAGAGGTTTTGTTTAGAGTCAGAAGTTAGTTCTTTGATTCAATCTCCAAATGGCACGAAGAAGTTTCTAAGATTAAGCACTTTAGGTTGCTTTTGTGGCCTCCCACTTCCATCTGGAAACACCTCGGAGGAAGAATGGCATGTAGTGTTCACAACTCAAAATTAGGCAAATTGGAGTGCACTAGAAGTTTTCCATTCTAACTCTAAGCCCTTTAGAGCAATGTATTGTCTATTGTCTTAGCTTTAGCTGTTAGCACTTGTTCTGTTTCACGCCAAACTCTAGTCATACTGAAATTCTTTCACTTCTTAAATCATATCAAGCTCTTGCCTACACATTACTTTTTCTCACTGTCTAGACTCCTTTCCTACACATTCTTCTTCCCTTTGTGTGGCTAACTCCTACTCATGCTTCAGACTCTAAACGTTCTCATGGAAATCTAGGCTAGTTAGATTAGATAACCCCTGCTTGCCTGCTTCCAAATGTTAACCAAAGACCATGAGATCTGTAGAGGGAAAGGAGTAGAGCTTTATTTTTTATAATTTTTTTAAATCTATAGATTGGGGAGGCATGCTTTTTAGTACAAGTGGAAGTGTGCTTTCTGGATAACAAGGAGAAGGTTCAAGATTTTATGAAATGGGAAAATGTTACATATTGCTCTTTGAGAAATTTCATTAGCACTAGTAAGATTTTAAGGTTCTAGCAAACTCTGATAGGTAAGTGACAGCAGTGGGCAAAACTAGTCAGAGAGTTTGAGCAGCTTTCAGCAGTTAGATCAAACTGGTTTCAGGTTATAGCAGGCAGCTTTAGCTGCCCAGCTTGCAGAGAATTACATCTTTTGAGCAATGTTTTGTGCTGGGTGCTTTCCCCCCACCCCACCCCCTCCCTGGCCTCCCAACTCTGTTTTAGTTGAGTGACAAAAATGATCCAATTCATATGATCAACTTTCATGCAAATAACTTTGGTACATCTCCTAGCAATATTTTATTAAACTTACTTATTTCTATCTGTTTTATTTACTTATCAATGAGATACACAAGATGAGAAACTGAAAAATGGGAGTGGGACAAGGGATCTTGAATGTGAAGAGGAGAATATGGAAACGAAGATTAGGCAGAACCCTGAAGAAAAAGAAGCCCCGCAACATAGCAAGAGAAGAAATATAGGCAGGAAAAAATCCTCTTCTAAAGGGAAACAACGAAGTTGTTTCTAAACAGCGAATACCAGGTAGAATTTTCAGTTGGTTCCTACTGGTGTGTCACTTTTAAATCTTGCATTGATTCTATTATGCTGAATACCTATGTGTTAATATGCACTGGGAGTTATAAAAGAGACCAGAGAGATAATAGCAACTATAGGTACCCAGAGCAATTGTTAAGAAGCTAAATGACATAGGAAAAGCAGGTTGCAATGTGAACTAACTAGTGAGAAAATAAGAGAAGACTTTCTTCCTCACTCTAAATGTCCTATAGCATATTTTCTAAATACGAAAGAAAGAGGGAACCCTTTGTGACTTCAGATCATCTGGAATATGCAAACCTGATTAATGAAAGTATCTCAGCCTATGTCTTCCTTGCAGTCTTTAGATGTCTTACTAATACCAGTGTTTTCACATAGATTGATTGGCTTTGAATCAATTCAATAAGCCACCTCGTCTAACTCTTCCCGTCAAGGCTAACAGCTATAATTTTCTCTAAAGGCTACTGGGAATGAGACCCCAATGCTTTAATAAGAGTGTGTCTCAACTTGTTCTTCTTCAAAGATGTCTCAGATATTCTTGAACCTTTCACTTCAAGACAAATTTTAAAATCGTCTTGACAAATTACATACATAGATTTTGGAAATTATATTAGAACTTCATTGGATCTGTAAATTAATTGGGAAATAAGTGACATCTGTTTTACAAGATTTATTTCCAATTCATGCAACATGTTATATTTACCTTATTTTTAGGTTTCCTTTGATGACTTTTTTTGTAACTTTTATTTTAGGTTCCAGGGGATGTGGGCAGGTTTGTTACATAGGTGAACTCCTGTCATGGGGGTTTGTTAGACAGATTATTTCATCACCCAGGTATTAAGCCTAGTACCTAATAATTACCTTTTCTGCTCCTCTCCCTCCTCCCACCCTCCACCCTCTGTCTACTCTGTTGATAGTTTCTCTTGCTGCACAGAAGCTCTTAAGTTTAATTAGATATCGTTTGTCAACATTTGCTTTCGTTGAGATTGCTTTTGTTATCTTTGTCATGAAATCTTTGCCCACTCCTACGTCCAAGATGGTATTGCCTAAGTTGTCTTCTAGGGTTTTTATAGGATGATCTCCAATCTTGGGGATTTAATAAAGTATAATAATATTCTTCACACATTTCTTACACAGCTTTGTTAGATTTATTTCTTGTTGATTTAAATGATGATGCTAGTTTATATAGTATGCTTTAAGCTGCCTTTTCTAATTGTTCCTGGTATACAGAGAAGCAATTTGTTTTTATAAATTGTTTTCATACCCAGCAAAATTGTTTAAAGTTAATCAATTATCTTTATATAATCTTTTGAGTTCTACCTTTTATTTTTTTCTTTCCCAATTGTTACTTTTTAATATCTTTGTTCCTATCTTCCTGCATTGCCCAGGACTTTCAATAAAAAATTGAATGGAAGTGGTGATAATGGAAACCTGTTTTGCTTCAATTGTATATATTACTATTTTTAAATTAACTCTTAAGTCTTGAGTATGCTGTGATTTTTGTTTGTTTTATTGTAACTTTTATAGGTTTAAAGTAGTTTCCTCTCATTCCTAGAGGATTTTTTTTCTTTAAAATGATTGGATGTTAAGTCATATCCCAGGTTATTTCTGAATCCATTGAGATGATCAAGTTTTTTCTCCTTTACTACCTTAATATCATTTGTCAATGCTTGTGAGTTTCATTAATTGATCTTCAGTTATTTAAGTTGTATTCAGTTATTAAGTTGTATTGTTTGTTATGATGTATTAAAATCTTTAAATGTTTTTGTCTTAATACTGTGTTCTTTAAAAATTTTTGTAATGTGTTTTTATGAATGAGTTCTGATAAAATTGTGTGGCTTACTTATTTTTTTCTTAGTAGAAATATTTTAAAATATTGATTAATATGTCCTTGATTGTTATTGAATTCTATAGATTTTTTTTAAATTCTTGAGTTAGATTTGGAAATACAATATTGTAGAAATATGTCCATTAATCTCTTTTCAAATTTAGTGCTGTTAATCATAGTTTGTTTTATTTTCAATTCAATTTTATCAATTTTATTACTCTTTCAAAACAACCAACTTGTGTAAATCCTCTGTTGATGTATTAATGCTTTGCTCAGTTCTTTATTACTTTTCTATTTTTATTATTTTACTATCTTTATTCTTTTTTCTAATATAATCACTACAGTTGTAAGTATAAAATACTTACTAGTAATATTAAATTAATTTCATTAAACAGTTTATGTTTTCTATTGCTGCTAAAGAAAGTTACCATAAACTTTGTGGCATAAAACACCACCAATTTATTATTATAAATCTTAGGATTCTGAAGGTCAGAAGTTCTCAATCCAAAGTGTAGATGTGTTATGTTCTTTCTGGAGCCTCTAGGAGAGAATCCATTTCCTTGCCTTTCCAGCTTCTAAAGGCACCTGTATTCCTTGACTCCTGGGCTTTTCCCTGTAACACTTCTTTCCTTTCCATGATCACATCTCTTTCTCTGTATCTGACCATCCTGCCTTCCTCTTATGAAGACCCTTATGATTATATCAATTACATCAGGCCCATACAAATACTCCTGGATAATTTCCAATCTTGAAATCTTTAACATAATCACACCTGCAAAGTCTCTGGCTGTGTAAGGTAACATATTCAAAGATTTCACGGGTTAGAGCATGAACATCTCTTGGAATGCCATTACTCTATCAACTGCACACATGTTTTGATATACAGTATTTATATAATTGTATTCTAAAAATTTTTGAATTTTCATTCTGATTTTCTTTGCACAGATAATTTATTTAGAAGTGTTTATTGTTTTCCAAACATATGGGCTTTTTAGTACTTATATTTTTGTGGTTGAATTCTAAATGAATTGAAAAATATTTGGATGATGTGGTCTATATAACATGAATTCTTTGAAATTTGTTGAGACTTGTTTTATGCCTCAGAATGTGATAAATTTCATAAATATTCTATGGGCAGGGTCTGCTTCATGGGTGTGGGACCTGTATACTTGTACAGGGCTCATGTTCAGAAGGGTTCCATGCATGTGTTATTGATTTGCTATCACAACTGTTACTATTACATTTTTAATAATTTTTGAACACAAGTTCCTACATTTTTATTTTGCATTACACTCTTCAAATTATGAAGCCGGTCCTGTCAATGGGGACTTACACAACAATGTATATCCTAAAGTTGTTATCCACCATGTCTCATACATATCTCTTAGGTCAGGCTTGATAATGTGCTGTTAAAATTTGCTAAGCCCATGTTGCTTTCTGTCTTCTTGGACAATCAATTACTAAGAGTTTATTGTAAGTCTCCTATTGCAATGGTTTGTTTATGTGTTGCCTGTTCCTTCTAGTTATAAGAATGTATACATTATATATTTTTGATATTCTTTTATTAAGTGCACAAAAGTTTACAATTGACAAATATTCTGACAAATTGAACATATGCCAGCAAAAATACCTCTCAAGAACAAACTTGGAATTAAGCTTCCTTTGGACAACCAATGAGAAAATTTGTCTTCACCAGACCATCACTAAACTAAATTCTAAGGATGTCTTTGTGGCAGAAAGAAACTGGTATAAAAGGCCTGAGACATAACATGAGAAAGAATGGAAAACAAATGAATTGATAAATATTCAGGTAAATCTACATACCTACGTACAAGCAGACTTGTGGAGCTCTTAAAAAGAAGTGAACTTAGAGCTATCTATGACAAACCCACAGCCAATATCATACTGAATGGGCAAAAACTGGAAGCATTCCCTTTGAAAACTGGCACAAGACAGGGACGCCCTCTCTCACCATATCTATTCAACATAGTGTTGGAAGTTCTGGCCAGGGCAATTAGGCAGGAGAAGGAAATAAAGGGTATTCAATTAGGAAAAGAGGAAACCAAATTGCCCCTGTTTGCAGATGACATTATTGTATATCTAGAAAACCCCATTGTCTCAGCCCAAAATCTCCTTAAGCTGATAAGCAAATTCAGCAAAGTCTCAGGATACAAAATCAATGTACAAAAATCACAAGCATTCTTATACACCAATAACAAACAAACAGAGAGCCAAATCATGAGTGAACTCCCATTCACAATTGCTTCAAAGAGAATAAAATACCTAGGAATCCAACTTACAAGGGACATGAAGGACCTCTTCAAGGAGAACTACAAACCACTGCTCAATGAAATAAAAGAGGATACAAACAAATGGAAGAACATTCCATGCTCATGGGTAGGAAGAATCAATATCATGAAAATGGCCATACTGCCCAAGGTAATTTATAGATTCAATGCCATCCCCATCAAGCTACCAATGACTTTCTTCACAGAATTGGAAAAAACTACTTGAAAGTTCATATGGAACCAAAAAAGAGCCCGCATCACCAAGTCAATCCTAAGCCAAAAGAACCAAGCTGGAGGCATCACGCTACCTGACTTCAAACTATACTACAAGGCTACAGTAACCAAAACAGCATGGTACTGGTACCAAAACAGAGATATAGATCAATGGAACAGAACAGAGCCCTCAGAAATAATGCCGCATATCTACAGCTATCTGATCTTTGACAAACCTGAGAAAAACAAGCAATGGGGAAAGGATTCCCTATTTAATAAATGGTGCTGGGAAAACTGGCTAGCCATATGTAGAAAGCTGAAACTGGATCCCTTCCTTACACCTTATACAAAAATTAATTCAAGATGAATTAAAGACTTAAACGTTAGACCTAAAACCATAAAAACCCTAGAAGAAAACCGAGGCATTACCATTCAGGACATAGGCATGGGCAAGGACTTCATGTCTAAAACACCAAAAGCAATGGCAACAGAAGCCAAAATTGACAAATGGGATCTCATTAAACTAAAGACCTTCTGCACAGCAAAAGAAACTACCATCAGAGTGAACAGGCAACTACAGAATGGGAGAAAATTTTCGCAACCTACTCATCTGACAAAGGGCTAATATCCAGAATCTACACTGAACTCAAACAAATTTACAAGAAAAAAACAAAAACCCCATCAAAAAGTGGATGAAGGACATGAACAGACACTTCTCAAAAGAAGACATTTATGCAACCAAAAAACACATGAAACAATGCTCACCATCACTGGCCATCAGAGAAATGCAAATCAAAACCACAATGAGATACCATCTCACACCAGTTAGAATGGCAATCATTAAAAAGTCAGGAAACAACAGGTGCTGGAGAGGATGTGGAGAAATAGGAACACTTTTACACTGTTGGTGGGACTGTAAACTAGTTCAACCAGTGTGGAAGTCAGTGTGGCGATTCCTCAGGGATCTAGAACTGGAAATACCATTTGACCCAGCCATCCGATTACTGGGTATATACCCAAAGGACAATAAGTCATGCTGCTATAAAGACACATGCACACGAATGTTTATTGCAGCACTATTCACAATAGCAAAGACTTGGAACCAACCCAAATGTCCAACAATGATAGACTGGATTAAGAAAATGTGGCACATATACACCATGGAATACTTTGCAGCCATAAAAAGTGATGAGTTCATGTCCTTTGTAGGGACATGGATGAAATTGGAAATCATCATTCTCAGTAAACTATCGCAAGGACAAAAAACCAAACACCGCATGTTCTCACTCATAGGTGGGAATTGAACAAGGAGAACACATGGACACAGGAAGGGGAACATCACACTCTGGGGACTGTTGTGGGCTGGGGGGAGGGGGGAGGGATAGCATTAGGAGATATACCTAATGCTAAATGACAAGTTAATGGGTGCAGCACACCAGCATGGCACATGTATACATATGTAACTAACCTGCACATTGTGCACATGTACCCTAAAACTTAAAATATAATAATAATAAAATAAAAGAAAAAAAAAAAGAAGTGAACTTAAAATACCCAGCAACAATAGCCTATGAGCTAGAAGGTGGTTAAACGTAAAAGTTCCAAAATCCTTGTTTTTTGAGTAGGAATATAAAGGTAAATGTTGATACATTGGATTTGTTGAAACATCGATTGTTATTTTTCATCATTTCCGAAAGATTTTTGCCATTGTCACTTCAAATGTTGTCTCTGACCCTTTCCTCTCTCTTCTGCTTGTGACAATCCAATTAGACATCTATTAGAGCTTACACCTGTATCCTCTACGCCTTTCGACTTCTTTCTCCAAATTTCTACCTCTTTATCTCTCTTATAAGAATTCCAGAAGTTCTTTGGTTCTATTTTCTAGTTTTCTAATTTTATTTTCAACTGTGTCTAATTTGTTATAAAATTTATCCACTGAAATTTGTTAATTAAATAATTATGTTTTTACTTCTCAGAGTATTGTTTGATTTGTTTGCAAATATGCTTAGGCTTTAACCATATTTTAAACTTCTTTGCCTCACATTTATCAGTTTTACTCCTCAGTTACTGATAAGCAACTTATAATATGTACTCTCTTTCCTCTTTAAATGTCCAGCTATGCTAAAGCGCACAGACATACAAACCGGTTAATCGAAATCTGAAGACAGACTTATTAGCAAGATAGTATACAGTGGGGAGTTGAAAACATTTCCAACATTCTGTGGAGGACACTACTGTTTGTAACCTATTTCTGGAAAGGAGTTCTGTTTTCTAAAAATAAAAGTTTGTAATTTTCCATAAACAAAATGCTAAGGGGAAGCATTTATGTTTTCTAAATCAAAGTATAATTTTAAATATAAACAAAGAGAATCCCAATAAGCTAAAACTAAAAAAAAGACAAACACTTGATTACTTTGACAACAAATTATATTTTAAATGTTTCATATTTACTTTTATATTTCCATACAATCAGAAACAGTAAAAAAAATTTGGAGAGCACATAAAAACATCTTAAAGTTAAAAATATAAAGCCTTGTATTTAAAAATGCAGTCATTTAAATAATATTATAAGAATCTATTTGTACATAATAAACAAGTTTCAACCAGCAAGAAATTACTAATATTGACTGTGGAGTTTTGGCTGTTTTAATAGTTCTAACTCATTATTCCGTAATTCAACACAGCACTACCAACACAGCTGGCAATGACAAGACTGGGAGTATCAAACTAGGATTGTTAGTTCAATTAAAATTTCAGATAAACAATAATGTACTTATACTAAAAAATTATTTGTTGTTTATCTGAAATGAAAATTTAACTGGGTACCCAATTGTTTGTTTGTTTAATCTAAAAACCCTGATTGAAATTTATCTAATAAAACATCATTTAATATCTAAAATAAAATAAATTTACTATAACATCTTTATAACTATTCAATCAATGATTCATCTTCTATTTTTCCAAATTCTTGCACAAATATTTGATGCTTAAATAAATACATAAATAATAAATAGGTTAATAAGTTACACTTGAAAATAATTTATGTTATGATGAAAAAACTTAAAGTGCTTCCACATGTCCTCACAACATCACTGTGAGGTAAGATGGTGGCTAATACTTTTTCCACTTAGAAATAAAGGAGAAACCAAGGCACAGTGGAACAAGGACTTGTGGATCCTGGCTAGCAGACTAGGGTTGCCAGATTTAACAGAAAAAAATCCAGGATTTCCAGCTAAATTTGACTTTATGGCAAAATTTATTGTCCCATCATTTTTATGTGATGCTTCAAATATCACATTCTAGCAAACCCATTCAATTCCTGAAATTAAAGTTCGGATATTCTCTTGGCCCTTGGCCTCAATTTTGCTATTTGTATATTCTCCCGTGCAATATCTAGGAAAATCCTTATATTTAAAAATTATTTGTTGTTTTTTGTAGATTCAAATAAATAATACTTTACATATAAGTATGTTCTGGATATTTCATGGTACAATGAAAAACTATTCATTGTTTACTGAAATTCAAATTTAACCAGGAATCTTGTATTGCATCTGGCAACCCTACAACAGACCCACACAATACATGAAGTGTTGAAGTAGATTTGCTTGAAGTTTCACTGGCATCTTCACTGATTCTTGGATACCACAGAGAATGAATTTTTTTATGAATTCTCAGCCCTAAAATAAAATTAAAAATATAAAGATGAGCTATGTTTAATAAGAAGGAAAGTAGGGTTCTTGAAAAGTCAATATAGTCTTTGACATTCATGTGTTAGAAATGCTCTATATTCTCAACTATAAATAGGGAGATCAAAGAAATTATCATCTAAAATAGGACACTACTGGGAGTGACAAAGAACTTTACTAAGAGTATAGGACACAAGCTTAAACCCAGAATTTCCTGGGCAAACTATGTATGGTCTTTCTGGTCATGAGTACAACAAACTCACTATTGATGCTATTCCTTTTTTTTTTAACCAAAAAGGCAGATACCTAATGACGATTTTTAGCAACAGAAAGAAATTTATAGGCTGACTTTGGATTATATGTCTCAGGATAAATGAAAAATTTAAATTAAAAAATATATAACTTACCTCTTCAAAAACTTCTCCACAACCCTCTGCACCCAGTTTTCCTTGGGGTCCAGACAGAGCTCTCTTCCATCAGAAAGCTTTACACTGAAATAAGAAAGAAATGGTTCAGATTAATATTTAGTTTTTGCATTCAAATCATGATTCCTTAAGTCAGGCATAAAGTCTAAGTCCAAAATAACATTTATAGTAGTTGTGGAAGCTACCATATTTAAATGTCATGTAGACAAATATTTTTATTTTGTTTTGTTTCATTTACTACTGTAATCCTAACACCTGGAACTTTCCTAAATATTTCCACCTTCCTTAATTTTAAGTTTGCTAAAACAAAATATCTAATCTTTTTTAAAGTACTTACATAATTTCTGTGTTGGCGCAGTGTGGTCCACTCTCAATCACTCTCAGTTCTTTGATAAATTTGGGGTGGAAAGGTTTGGAGTATGTCTTTATGCACTGACATCTAAGTTCTTTAGCACTCCTTGGCAAAACTGCACCTGTTGGGGGAAAAAGTGATTAAGGATTGATTTTATCAACAGGCACAGCTCTGCCAGCTACTTCCTTTCTAATTCCAATATGATTATTTGGAGACTATGGAAGGCATCATGTTTCTAGTGAACTCATTCCTGAATATTCTCCTAGCCCTTGACCTCAGTTAGTTCTTTGTTTTAAAAAACAGTCATAACTGACAACATTGAACGACTTCCTATATAAAGAGTTAGAGTTCTTTTTGTACAATATCAACATCTTCATGGTATTTTTATCTGGTCAATATTGCATAATCCTCTGTGATACCACAGTGTTATTTATAGTAGGCAAGCTAAGACTCTCCAGCATAGAAATTGCCTTCAGAAAGAATTAACAGAAATATATAAATAAGTTATACATGCCTGGTCTATAATCAGGGTATCTTTAAACCAGACAGGAATTAATGACAAATCTGAGGCTTGTCAATGAAATACTACAAGGAGTGGAATTGTCTGAGTTACCTTGCTCAACTCAATATTAATACATAATATAGGTAACCGTGGTTCTCAATAGGACATACTATAAATTACTTATTTACGTTAAATATATGCATGCTACATGGTATAAATTATAAAAGCAGAATATCTATATTGATCAAACTTTATACTTTCCTAAGTGTTATATATAGTTTTTTCTAAATCTTCAATTTAACATTAATTGACTGCTAAGATTATATTCTGTTTCTGAATAAAAAGGATGTTTGTTACCAAAGCATCAAGAATAGCTTTGCTATCTAAGGATCACATTTAGACATAGGAAAACGCTGTAGGTCAGAAAGATGTGCTTACCTTCACACAGAGCTGCAGAAATCAGGAAGGCTGCCAAGAGAGCCACGGCCAGCTTGGAAGTCATGTTTACACACAGTGAGATGGTTCCTTCCGGTGGTTTCTTCCTGGCTCTTGTCCTAGAAGCTTGTGTGCTCTGCTGTCTCTGAAAGTTTGTGCCTTATGGAGTGCTCCGGTGGCTTTTTATATCATCACCCTACTAGAGAACTTATGCACCCTCATCTTTTCATTATGTCAGAGGAAATTCCACGATTTGCAACTGATGGCCCATCCCCTCAGGGCAAACCTGAGTCATCACACTTCCTATTTGTTCCTTATCAAATACGGAGTATGACGAAAGTTTTCTTTGATCTTTAAAATAATTTAATTTTAATATACATTTAAAATACTGAAGCTCCACAATTTGGTGAATTATCAATTGTATGCTTTTTTATTTCTAGATAACTTTATCATAGTACCATGTGACAGATATAGTACTAGAGTGGCAGGTGTTAGAACAAGATCATGGATGATTTTCTTTTAATGGCATAATTATTTTTTTTCAGTTAATTACAGATGCTATCATGATGGTGAAGATAAGCCAGCCAATCATTTTATTGGGGAGGTAATTTAAAATAAATCTTTTTCTAAGCATTTTAGAGAGTTTCTAGGAACTGTTACTGCTCTTAGGGGGCATACTACAACTTTTCAAAAGATTTAGTTTTCTAATGCATGTTAACAGAGTGAAGGGGCACATGTGCTTCACATAGAAATCAGTTCCACAAACATTTATGGAGTAACTTTCTGAGTAATGTGGGGGATCTAGAAATAGATAAGACTAGGTACTTGTCCTTAAAGAGTTTGGTCTATCAGAAGAAGAAAGCAATGTAAGGACTGACTATATAGCAGAATAGACAAGTGGTACTAAGACATTAATTCCAGTGGAGGCATAAGAGCAGAATCTTCCAAAGGCAGTTGGAGCAAGGCATTGAGGAATAGGAGGGCTTCAATAGAGGAAGATGAAAGAGAACAGCACATTCCAGATAGGAACAGTATTCAAGGCCACTCAAGTTGTAAAGTTAAGGTATGTTTATGCTCCAGAAAGTGGTGCACTGGAGCTGCTTGGTTGGGGTGGGAGGGAGGTGTTATCTAATGGAAAGTTGTATGCTTAGTGGAAAGAGCATCTGGGTTCCAACTCTGGTTCAGCCACTGTTGCTTCATGCTCTTTATCCAAGGACACCAAGTCTGACCTCTGAGGACCCATGATCACTAGCAAAAGGGATGGAGTGAGAAATTTCAACAAATCATAAAAAGGTGGCTTTATGTCCTAGTGTCCTGAAGAAAAGAATCCAAGACCTTTCTTGAAAGGTCTTGGATTCTGTAGATAAAGAGCACCAAGGAAGGGTTCTTATGATAGTAAAAGTCTGTTCGCTTCTGGGCAAGTACATAATTTATAAATAATTCACCTTGGTGTAACAGTTCTTCATTTTCAGAAAGTACGACAGAGCAGTGAATTTGCCCACACTGTGAACACACTGTGGAGGGGGAATGCCATTTTCAAATGCTTTCCAAAAAGGTTTGTCTGTTTCTGCACAATCATGTTTCTTTTTGTTATCTTTCTCCAACCAACCTAAGACTTGAGGATAAAATAATGCCTGGGTTACACTGAATTCTATAGCAAAGTAAATGTTTATTCTATATAATGTAGCTCCTATAGTTTTCAACTGTAGTATTTCAGAAACTTCATTATTCATTTAATATGTGTTGTTTATCTGCTAATGTCCCTTATTGTAGGAGATGTGAATGCTATGTAAATAGATATAGTACCTGACTTAAAGGACTTTGTTGTCTAGTGCAGAATATGGAAAATTAGTTACACAAGTAAGTAAAATACAGTGATGAGTGTTACAATAACAGGTAATTACAGGAAGTTCTGGAATCAAACAAACATGATCTTTGAGGCAGTTTTGATGAATGAAGGTTTTCTGAAGAAACAACATCAAAAGTGTTACCTTTATTGTTAATGAGGAGAAGAAAGACCAATGGGACTGCTTTGCTAGTACAGGACAGGAAGTACAGGACAATGAAATGTAGGCGAACATGGCCCATTTGGGTTTCTCAAACTATTTAGCATACGGAACACAGTGCATGGAGTGACAAGAAGAGAAAGCTTGGGCCGGATAGGTAAAAAAGACCTATATCTTAAAGAAAACTCCAAGTTTCTTTGCTTCAGTGATGTTGGCATGTTTAGCAAAGACACATTCTCATATGGACACAACCTGGCTTGACTGATTCAGTTCACTATCATTAAGACTCACTCATACAGCATCACTAAGACATTCAGAGTTCTGAGGATGTGCAAAGACTTCTTTGCTTTTCCCTAACGGTTGCCTTTGTATTTATGGTGAGCCCAACTTACATAGACACCTCGTTTTCCTCCTTATTTTCATGTCACTATATCTCCCTCTCATTCTCTTCTCATGGGCCCAACTTTATCCTGATATCATCCTTAAAGTTTGAGCTAATGAGGTCTACTTAACCTTGATGCTCACATTTTTTTTTAAGAATGAAGCCTTTCCAAGGCAAAAAGACCTCTTTTGCAAATGTTGTTCATCTCTCACAATGTAACCTTCAGTGCATTATGTCCTAGAACCCTCTCCATCAGAAGTGGGAATGGACAAAGATGAAGTGACTACAAGAGCATTGATTCTATCTTGTCTCACTTCTGTAAAGATAACCATTTGAGTCCTTGCATAATGAGTAGAAGGACTAAATGGGCTTAGGCGGAAAAAAAAAAGCAGGACTAAGTATCCTTTTTAAGGATATTCTGCTTTAAAATAGAGCAAAGTGGGGTACAAAGTTTAACTAAAGTGCCACGCTACACATAAATACAAATGTTTTGTCATCTTCTAGAGATGAATGCAAAGTGAGTTCATGAGACTTAACTGTTTATTTACGTCCCATTCGGCTCCTGAGCCATAAGAATCATTTGATGAGCAGAGACTAGCACCTAGATATCCTCATTAGACGTTGACGAAGTCTATCACCCAAGAAAAGGAAGAGTTCAAGAAAGAACAAAGACGGCCGGGCGCGGTGGCTCAAGCCTGTAATCCCAGCACTTTGGGAGTCCGAGGCGGGCGGATCACGAGTTCAGGAGATCCAAACCATCTTAGCTAACACGGTGAAACCCCGTCTCTACTGAAAATATAAAAAATTAGCCGGGAGCGGTGGCGGGCGCCTGTAGTCCCAGCTACTCAGGAGGCTGAGGCAGGAGAATGGCGTGAACCCAGGAGGCGGAGCTTGCAGTGAGCCGAGATAGCGCCACTGCACTCCAGCCTGGGTGAAAGAGCGAGACTCCCGTCTAAAAAAGAAAGAACAAAGACAAAGATGGCCTCTACTTTTCCCATATTAGTACATAACTCTTCCATCAAACTCCATGAAACTGGGTGTTTCTTGCCTATGCAAAATCATCTAAATCCCCTCCCACCCACGCCATAGGAATTTTAGAATTAGGACTTTTTTGTAAGCCTGAACTAAGTTGTAGTCATATAACAAAGCAAAATATGGTGGGCAAAATGTGGTATGAGCTTTGAAATGAAATGAACTTGGGTTTAAATCTTGTTCCATGGTTTATTAATCAGGAGATCTTGGGCAAGCTGATTCTATGCCCATTGTTCAACTCCTGCTGCTAAAATCTGAGATCCCGTCAGAGCTGCCTTTCTCAGTCTCAGGAGCAGTCTCAGCTCTCACCTGGGTTTTTTTCCCATTTGAGGAAATTAGTCCCAGCTCAACAATCCTCTAGGTTAAAAGAATCATAAACAGAATGCTTAACATATATTAGTGAGTTTGACTTACGATGTTGTTAATGTTAAGAGTCATAAACATAAACATACTGCCCACTAAAATTTTAGTCAATAAAAGTCAGAGTTAGTGGAAAGATTTAAAATATGTTCTCAGCTCTGTACTTTGTTTATGTGATAACTTGATCTTCTCTAGTACCGCAAGACCATTTCAGTTCCATCTCCAAATTCAAATGTCTCCAGTTAACAGTTTATAACAATACTGAGCAAAGTTGGTTCGTGTTGCCAAAAGTGTCCTACCTTTTAAAGAAAAATCTTGGTAATTGGAGAAGCAAACAGCTGAACACATTGGATTTGAGCAACACAAGTCAGAATAACTTAAATTTAAGGGTATGTATGGGTGTTGGAATAAGACAAACCTGCCTTCAAGCCTCACCCCTCCACTTATTATTAGCCAAACAATCATAGGCAGTTCTTTAATCTGACTGTCTCTCAGTTACCTCATCTGTAAAAATGAGAATAACACAGTTCCAAAGGATCACCATGAGAATTAAATGAGGAAACATAATGAAAATGCCCAGAATGGCACCTGGCACATTGGAGGTACTCAGTAAATGTCTGCATCTTTTTCCTCTAGACTATCACTTCAGTCACCCTTATCTTTTCCTGGAGTTAGAGCACCACATTTCTTTTTAAAAGCTTACCACTCAAAAAGTAAAGCTGTATTAACACAATAGATCTCTTAAAGCTTATGTCTAGATGCTTTATTTTCTTCCACTATATAAGCTTTCTTTTTTAATGCCTAACAATTCCATTTGCATTCACATGTAAAAAAATGTACTATAACCATTAATATGAATGCCATTTCTAATACTATCCAAATCGGTGGAGTTTGGAGTTTGAAGTTTGAAGTTTAGGTTTAGGGGAAGACACCAGTTGTGTAAACAGGCATTTATTAAGGACTTAGAAAGGCTAAGATCAGCCAATCTTCAATATGAAAAAAAAAAGTAAATATTTACTTGTAGCTATTTCTTTTCTTTGTTAAATTTATTAAAAAAAAAAAAGGGCTCACTGTGGTGGCTATGCCTGTAATTTGGAAGGCCAATTCAGGTGGAGCACTTGAGCCCAGGAGTTCAAGACTAGCCTGGGCAACATGATGAAACTCTGTCTCTACAAAAATATACAAATATTAGCCGGGCGTGGTGGTGCATGCCTGTAGTCCCAGCTACTCAGGAGGCTGAGGTGGGAAGATCACTTGAGCCAGGGAGGTCGAGGCTGCAGGGAGCTGTTATCATGCCACTGTACTCCAGCCTGGGTGACAGAGAGCCTGTCGCAAGAAAAAAAAAAAAAAGTAAAACAAAATTATGTGTAGACCTAATTTCTTTATTAGATTTATTCTAAAACACTTAGGCATTATTTACTCCAATGTTTACAAAAAAAATGTATCTTTGACATGGCAGTGATCACGTTACATGTTACTAGTATTTCTTTCCAAAAAAATAGGAAATGAGATCACTTGGCAAAAAGGGAAGTTGCTATGTTAGAAATGACTGAACTGATGCGTGCATTTAATTGTGTCTTGTGGTAAACAAGACTCACACCAAGCAATAAGTCAAATGACTAAGGGAAAAAAAGAAAAGTTTTCATGCTGATTCAAAGGTGGTTATGATTCTGTAGTGATATGTAGTGATGTTTTTCTTATTTTCTCAAAAGTTTCTTTATTATTTTGATCTATTATTTTTATAAATAGATGTAAAATTTTTAAAAGCTCAGTTGAGATAAAACTCTTAGCAACTTGAAGAAAGTGACTTAGGGAAAAAAAGCAGTTACTATGCTATAATTTCTATATTTTGTTTCTCACAACTCTCCTAAAACTTTTATTTTTAAAGTTTTTGTTTCACAATATGAGCTTCATCTTAACTGCATCTTTCTCCTCACTTTGGCCTTGGGGTGACTGAAGTATTTAAGACAAAGTTTAACCCACATAGACATTCCACATTGATGGATTCCATTGAAATGATGAGCTCTCCACCCATTTGTGTAACCATTTATTGATATTTGTCTCACCCACTTGACTGGAAATTCCACAAAATCAGAGACTACAACTGCTTTATTTAGACTGTGTTCCAGCTTCCAGATTAGTGCCTGCATGTAACAATGTTCTACAAACATTTCTTGAATGAAAGCAGAAATTTCCCAGTTCTTGCAACCTATCCAAACAAGAACAATGTCAACGAAAGAAAACGAAAATGCTTATCTTTGTTTTTGTTCTCCCTTGGGGACAATTATTTTATTTCCATGAACAGAGAAGAACTTAGCATGGAAAATACAGTTTTAGTTAGTGCTCTAATTTAGCAGTGGTGGATAGATAAAGCAGTAAACTGTGCAGCCAAACAGCAGTTTCATTCCACTGGTGAATTAACCATCCGATATCTTCTAGGCTCCTTGAAGGCAAGGGTAAGAAATAACAGGTTAGGATACAGTGGCATAAAGGATGGTGAGCAGCATGCGGGAAGTCCTGGCAACTGAAGTCCACCACTGGGGGAGAGGCTCTGCTGCTTGCTCTTTCCCATCAACTGCATTTCACAGAACTGTGGAGACTCCAAGGGACCACACACTGTTTCTGGAGGCCAGAGAGTGAATATAAATGGTGTTCTATAGGTTTTGTCTAATTAACGTTGACTGTGCTAAGACTAAAACAGTTTAGCTTCCATTTTAAGTATTATCTCAGTGGTTCTTAACCTTTCTTACTTTAACCATTTAAGTCTTTGAAAATATAATGAAAGTTTTATACCTTCTGCTCAGCCTCAAGGATGAATGCTGGCATGAAGTTTCAGGGAGTTTACTGAACTCCCTTATAAACCCCTAAGGGCTAAAATCAGTAAAGGGTAAGTTGGAGGTATTACATTTGACAATAATGAGCTAATCCTATGTGTACTACCTTTAAGTCAAATCAATTGAAAGAGAAGTGGCATTTTCTGAATGGTGCCTGCTCTTTCTGGATATGTCCTGGACAGAATTCAGAAAACGTTTTTTGAAGTTTTCAAAAGAGAAAGTGGAGATGGATAAGGAGCAGAATGAGGAGGAAGAGAACACTCATGGTATATAAAGGCAAGATTTGAGTGACCTTTCATATTCTTGTGACCTATAAGAGTAAGACCCAAATCCATCTAGAAAAAGATCAAAACTGAGTACTACTTTCAACTGAGGTAGCCTCCTTCACAAATCTACTGAAAAGCAGTGTCAATGGCAAAAGGAGGCTGAAGAGAAGGGTTACATTTTAGTTCTTCCATAATTCTCTTCATTTCCCCAAAATAGATATATTCAAGAAAAGCTACATAATTATTTCACATAAAAAGAAAACAAAATTAAAAAATAATTCAGATTGTGTATGAGTTTTGAGATACTGGCCAATCTCTCAGCATTCCTCAAATTTATGGCAAAATAAGGACATAAAACTTCTTTATCTCTTTCAGTATAACCTGGTGCCCCCAAATTGTCTGATTTCCAGATTTGAGCCCTTTTCATTTTTAGGTGGCTTATTCTCTCATCTAGCATTTATCTCAAAACTCATTTAGAATGTTTTTTGACTGCATCACCTTACTTGTCTATATTAAATCACTCCATGTGGTCCCTAAACCAGGAAGGAGGAAATCACCACTCACAGATGCTATTGGAGTTTTGAAACAAAGGAAAAGCTGTCTGCTCCAAACTTGCTGGATGAACTTTTTATGCACTTCCTTTCCCCCAAGAGTGGGAGGTGGACCTGGAAAACACAACTGGCACCATCTCCTACAAAGCTGGATATAAAAGCAAAATGGGAAGGGTGGGTGGGGGAGGTAGGTAAGAAATAACACAACCAGCCAGAAAAACAGGACCATGAAAGCACATCATCAAGAGACCCAAAGATAAATGAAGCAGGTACTAGAAAGCCAAGGTTAATGAGAAAAGTTAAAAATAGCACATTTCTTTTCTAGGTTTGACTTGCTTGGACTTTAGCAATGGGTATACAAAGTTCTCACTCAAGAATAATTGTACTTACAGAATCTTATTACTGAGTACTTCATGTTTTATTTTTGTAATATTCACAACAACCCTATATTTTAGTATTAAATATCGCCATTTAAAAGATAAGAAAACAAACTTAGGTTAAGTATTTAATAACTTGCAGAAGGTCATCCAGCAAGTAGGAAACAGAGTTAGGATTAGAACCTAAGCAGAGAGTCCAGAATTCTGTGCTGTCTCAGGGGGTTTCTCTCATGTGTCTGTAAGACTTACAGACTTTCCTTTGAGCACATTTATCTTCTTTCTCCCCTCCTCTCCTGCCAGATTAGACTTAGAAGACTGGAGAAGAGAATCTTGATTCAGTGAGGGGAGAGGGACATCATAACCCAGTAGAAGGACGAGTCCCTCCTATCGAGGCCTCAGGTTTTTCATTTGTAAAATGATGGGGTTTGCCTATACAGCTCTTCTGACTGTTTTATTACCCTGTAAGCTAAGGTATGTGAAATGGAGAACTTCCTCTGGGAAACTTGCCCACTTGTACCAGCAGAGGACACTTACCCAACTCTCAGATTTAGCAAAACTGTAAGAGAATATGTACTCGTCCTTCAATGTGGCTAACTAAACATTGCCATTTGCAAAGTTCTCTTCAACCAAGAGGAGAAGGGCATGGGTTCAATGAAGTAAGGAGCTGTAATTGGAGGCCATGGTGATGGTGTGCATTACCATCAGACGCCTATTCCCTGCCCCCAAGAAAAGAAGGAAGTGCTTCCTGCGCTCTTCTCTTGCCGACACTGTTTCCTCTTGCCTGATTTCCTCATGACTCTCAGACAAGTTGCAACCGTTTAACCTGTCGTTGTGAAACAAGTAATGTGGTTGGAGTTGGAAAAATACTAAGAAAAAAAAGTAAGAAAGAAGGAAATAAACCCAACTGATTTGCTCTGAAGCAAAAGCATCAAACTTAGTGAATATTGCTTGAAAATATATGTAGAGAGGCTTAACTTTCCCATCACTCATCCATTTAACAGATATTTACAGAACACTTTCTATATCCCAAACACTTTTCTAGGTGCTTGGGAAAGGTTAATGAATATCACAAATAGAAATGCCTACCCTTAGGAAGTGCCTTCGGTGAATAAATGTTATGAAAAAATAAACATAAAACAGATGGGGGAATTAGGGGAGTCAGGTGTGTGAGGAGTGAGCAGACTGCAGCATTGGAGAGTCAGAGGAAGCCTCCTTGAGAGATTGATGCCGAGCTACAAATGGAAGAAAGTAGGAATTGGCTCTGACTATGTGGGCGAGCATTCCAGGCAAAGGGACAGTGAGAGTTAACAGTTAGTTGGGAGCATGACTGGCGTGTATGAGGAACAGTAAGGAGGCCAGTGTGGCTGGAGCAGGGAGAGCTGGTGAATGGGAAAGGAGGACAGACAGCAAGTGGCCACACTAGATAGGCCTTGCGGGTCATCGCAAGGATTCCAGCTTTCACTCTGTGGGGAGAACCATTGCAGTGTCTTTGGAAAATCAGTGACATGATCTGACACTCTGACAGCTAGGGTAAAAAGGAGTATGGCAGGAGGAAGGGAAGCAAAGCAGGATAACCAGTTAGAGGGCATGATGGAAATCCAGGAGAGAGATGATAATTGCTTACATTAGACAAGCGTGGTGACTAGTGGTCAAATTCTGGATAATTTAAGGTAGAGACAGCACAAAACCCTGAAGGATTAGGTATAAGACATGAGAAAAAGACAAAAGTCACAGACGATGAAGACTTCAGGTGTGAGCAATTGGAAGGATGGAGCAACTAAACTAAAGTTGCAGAATTATTTGAATGTGGGGCAACTCTTGCTTGATAGAGCTCTTCTGACCACATCCTCAGTGGATATCCTCAATTAGGCAATTAGGCCCATAGTTGTGTGACCCAGTGGCTATGGCTGGTGGTGGAAATAATGAGGAGGCACGGAGGCAGATAGAGGGGTGGGGGGCAGGGTAATATTTATTGTCTTCCAGCTCCTGTACTGGGTTCTTTATAAAAGTTAATTCATTTAATTCTCATCACAAATTTATGTGCTTGGCGCTATTATCTCCATTTTTATGTTTAAGAAAACAGGCTCAGGGAGTTAAAATTGTACACACATAGCAAGCAAGCAGCTGGACCCAAACCTGAATTTAAATCAGCACCCAGGTCTCTGGCCCCAAAGCTTGAGCTCTCTTCCCTCTGCAGAATGAAGTCCAGCCTGGGTAGAGCTCTGGCAGCCCACTTAGTGTTCATGTCCCAGTGGCCCAAGTCTTGAAAACTAGTTTAACAAAACTCTTTTAAGCTTAGTAAATAAGGTTGCAAGAGCATCAGGAAAAGTTTCTGACGGGTCTGAATTTTGTGCTTAAAAGGGTGAAACATGCCCAGTGACCTCACCTCCATTAAATCTATTCAATGACATCTGTGGTTTGTAAACAGTTCATCAAATGGGCGGGGTGGGAGGAGTATATTTGTCCAGGGCTTTGCATTCACAAAAACCCTTAAAGCTGATCTTCAGTGTTATTAACAAATAAGGTCAAGCTGCCAGCCAGAGATATTTTGATAAGATTGAAAACAGAAGACACATAATACTTAACTTTAAAATCTTATCCTGTCCTGAACATAGAATCTGAGTATACTACGAAGTGCTTATACTTTTAATACCACAAATACATTGCAATATATTTGTGCAATCTAAACATGTTAATTTATTAAATATAGGCAGTTAATGTATTTGTAAAAGTTTTATAATTTTGTTGTGACATTTCTCTTCTTTCTCTTTAAAATATTGATATTATTTAAAAAGAAGAATAAGAAAAGAAAGGCGATGACTCAGGCCCACCTTGACCTTCACAAGGGCTCTGTAGTAGAAACTTACAACACAACAAGCCACCACCTACCTTAATAAATATACCACAGTGAGGGAAAAAGAAATTCAGGAAAAATGACATATTTTTCTCTTTTCTGTGGTAAGTAAGTGTCCAAGTACAGGTCTTAAGCTCTGCACAAATTCCAACTTGGATGTTTTTGGAATCTTGGAGCTTGGTAAGGTAACGTATAGTAAGCCCTTAATCATATCTAGTTGGCAATATAGAAAGATTTCTAAAAGGAAAAGGCTCAAACAAGAAATCCTTCTGATAGTCAGTGTATCCCAGTATAAGCCCCACCTTGTGGTCAGAAGGCAGCACTGTCACACTCCCATCCACAGAAGAACTGCTGAAAGGCAGGGCTGGGAGAGTTTCAGTAAATGCAGCCAGAATCTTAGGCAAGCACGTTGTCCTCTATTTCTCAGCTTTTCTCATTTCTGTGGAATGGTACCAGTTCACTTGCTCATTTCCTCTGTGTATGTGTATGTGTGTGCTGTTGTTGGATTTAAACACTGGAGCTTGTCATTTTCTGCATCCACCTCCTCCCAGTTTCATCTTCATTGGAACTTCCACGTCTCTGAAATTAGGCCTCCCAGCAGGGCCCAGTAGCTCACACCTATAATCCCAGCACTTTCGGAGGCCGAGATGGGTGGATCGCCTAAGGTCATGAGTTCGAGACCAGCTTGGCCAACTTGGCAAAATCCCGTCTCTACTAAAAATACAACAATTATCTGAGTGTGGTGGCAGGCACCTGGAATCCCAGCTACTCAGGAGGCTGAGGCAAGAGAATCACTTGAACCCAGGAGCCAGAGGCTGCATTGAGCCAAGATTGCACCACTGCACTCTAGCCCGGATATCAGAGTAAGACTCCATCTCAAAGAAAAGAAAAAGACAAAAAAAAAAAAAAGAAAGAAAGAAAGAAATTACACCTCCCAGGTTAAAACAAACCTGTTTCTTCTTCCATTTACAGTGTTAGGATCAAGAGGACTTGATCAGAATCCCCTTAGTTTGTGAACACCACGAAGACTGAGGTGCAGCCTCAGCAACACTGGCTGGTCAGAGACACTTGTGGCTGTGGACTCTGTGTGTGTGTGTGTGTGTGTGTGTGTGTGTGTGTGTGTGTGTGTGTGTGTGTTGGGAAGGAAGGCAGTCTATCCATCTGTTCAGGGTGAGGAAAGGTGAAAGAAGGATGTGAGAAGGGACAGAAGGAGAATAATTTTTAAAAAGATGGAGAGGGGAAAAAAGGAGACAGAAAGGAAACCTATGCTGAGGTTCCTTGAGCCACTTTAGGGAGGGTATTAGGACCCTGTTTTCTTTCCATTTAAGGGAAAGCAGGCAATTCCTTAATGTGGGGTCTATCATAATAGTAACATCAAAATATCTTTGGAATATGTAGCAATGTAGTATACAAGGTATAGACTTTCTTTTTTAATTGTAGTGAAATACGTGCAGCATAAAATTTATAATCTCATTCATTTTTGAATATATAGTTCAGTAATATTAAGTCTTCACATTATTGCGCAACCGTCATCATCATCTGCCTCCAGAACTCTTAGTACCGAATAAAAGTCTTTGTTCAAATTGAGGCTCTGACACTTACAATCACTTAGTGTCTGAGGCCCCAGTTTCTCTCATGTGTAAATGCTGACTTTAATGAAAAAAAACAATGGAAATGAGTTGTCGTGAGCATTAATAACAATATTTGTAAAATGCTTAGTATAGTAATAAATGATAGTAGCCATTATTTTATTATGATGATTTCCTGGAACTCTTTGTTTTATTATGATGATTTCCTGGAATTCTCGCTGCTTGTTTCCTCTTCATGAATAACATGATCCTAAACCTTCCCATAATCACCTAGTGAAGCTACTTCCCTCCCCACTAGATCAAACATACCCTATTACCCCATAGATTTCTTACATTATTTTGTGTATTGTTTTTTAGAGCTGTGTATTATTTCCTATGGCAGGGAAATGGGACCAGAAAAAAAAAAAAGTAACTACCAAGGTAACCAAAGAGTACGTCTTTAGCACAACTGTGTTCCAACCTATGCAAATTATCAACTCATTTTCATAGCTAGAACGCTGAATGCTCAGAGTCAGTGAGGCCCAGACTGGAGGAGGGCAGGGTCAGGGAAGCCAGTCACCGGCACAGCTTTCGCCCAACAGCCTCCAAGAAGTCAGACTCACAAGACCTTCTTCCTTGTGTACACATCCCCTTCTTGTGAAAGGAGTGGCTGGACCGGTGGGTAGTCCCTCCCTACCGATTGCCCCAGCTCTGGCTCCTCGCATGTCCAGTGCCCCTCCTGCTACCCGCTAAATACCTCAGCTCCCTGTCACAGCCTGTCAGGCTGGATTTGTAGGAAATTTTTAAGACAGGTTAAGTTTAAAAGGCTCCTGCAGGAATTGTAATTTCCGTCTATTTATGGAACCATTCTGACTTCCCATACATTATCCCATTCAGCTCTCAAATATAACCCTTCCTTCCTTCCTTTCTTCCTTCTTTCCTTCCTTCCTTCCTCCCTCCCTTCTTTCCTTCTTTCCTTCCTTCCTCCCTCCCTCCCTCTTTAACATTTGCAGTTCCTTATTATAATATGGTTCTCTTTTAGTGTAGCAAATTTGGAAAATAAAATATAAAGAAGGAAATAAAAATTGGCTGTAATCTCACTACACAGAGATAAAGATTTTAATGTACATCTTTCAGTATTACATGTGTATTCATGTACATACATTTTTAAATTGGCATTACATGGGGCATACCATTTTAGGTTCTCTGCCTATCTCACTTTCCAATCTCATAGGCATTTGCTGCCAGTCAGTATACTACCTCATGATTTTTGGCTTCTGTGATGTATTATAACATGAGGTTCTACCAACTCCCTTTTCTCAGCTGTTCTCCTGTTTGAGACCCTTCCCCTTCCTAGCCCCCTGTGCTAGGTGAGTCCTGCTTTCCCTGGCCCGAGATCACCATAGAAATCTCCTAACTGCTTCAACTTTGAGCTTCCTCCCCTCCACTTTTCACTCACATCTGCCAAGTGAGCTTTCTAAAATCTGAAATTTTATAGCTTTTCTACAAATCTGAGTGTGTCTTTCCCAGACTTTAGCCTTCAGCCTTTATCCCAGTGCCATGGTCTTCATAATACAGTTTATACTCCCAGCCCTGATAAAATTCTCTCCCCACTTGGCCCCTTCTGGCCTCTCCAGACTCTTCTCTGGGTCTATCTTCCTCCCTGTCACCCTCAGCTTTAGCTTTTCCATTCTTCTTCCCTCTGCTGGCTTTTTTTTTTCTCAAGAATCTTATTAATCCTTTAAAAGGTCTAGGCACCACCACCTTCTCAACCTTGTCCTCAACCTACTCCCATGTTATTTAAGGCCTCCAGAACAACTCTCTCCTCATGCCAGGAGGCTTCCTTCTAGCCCAGTGGGTTCTCAGACTTTACAGTATGTCAGAATCCCCTGGAAGGGTTGCTGAAACACAGCTCACTGGACTCCACTCCCACCATGTCTGTTTCAGAAGGGAAAAGGAGGCCTCCAAAATTGTCTTTTCCAACTAGCCCACAGGTGATGCTGATGATGCTTGTCCAGGCACCAGAACTTAAGAATCACTGCTTTAGTCCAATGTGCTGTATCATAAGTGATTTCTTGTGTCTCCCTTCTGGACGGTGACCTCTGTGTAACAGGGTCTGAATTGGATCCTAAAATCCTCACGTATGGTGGGTACATTAAAAAATCTCCTGAAGAGAGGAACTCTTCCAGAATTCTTCTGGCTCAGCAAGTAAGTGGTAACTGTGACCAAGGACACTCAACTTCCTTCTCCAGGCTCCATTCAGATCTCAGATTCCAGAGAGGTGACTCAGTATAAAATCCTGTGCAATGTCTTTGGCTGACATGCCTCAGGAGTCATGGGTATGAGCCCCTTGACCATGTGTGGAATTTCCCAAGGATTTTTTAAAATCTCCCTTTGAATCCCCTTTCCTTATTGAATTTTCCCTCACAGATGCCTCAAGAATAATAATAATAAGGCATTGTTTATCTGTAGATAAGTCACAATTGCAGAAACTTCTCTCCTTAACTTTGCCATTAGGAGCCACAAAATGACATACAGGAAGCTATATAAGGTTTACCTTAGAATTTTGGTAAACATTTTCTTCACATAAAAATTATTTGTGTTTCTGGAAGAGGGTAAGAAGGAAAAAAGGTGAAATTTTGTGTCAACGCAAATATGGTATCGTGGGAAGAAAAGTTCCTTTGAATATGACCTAATAGAAGCTCTTTCTGGGAAGAATTCTGTTCTATCCACTACCCTATTAACCACATCTGCTTTCACACACATGACATGTCCAATCTAAACCTAAATCTACTAAATTCAGGAAAACCATTGTTCATGCAGCTTCCCAGAATCACATGAAGTCAGGGAGCAATGTGCAGTTTCCCTAAAGTGCTCTTGTTTCGTTTTACATGTTAAACTTCTAGGTATTGAGACAGTCTTTCAAAATACGCTAATAATTTGTACATTAGTAACTTCATTTACAAGTGCTAACAATTTCTATAGTAACAGAAAATAAAAGAACTCATGGTGGCTCCATATTTTTTAGGAACCCTGTGAAATAAAGTTTATATTTTAAGGCAAGCTTGGACTGGCTAGGCTTAGAAGATAGTTTTCCTTCCCGGTAATGAAAAAAATCAAGGCAGGCCATGGGAGTGTACTCCCTAAGTACATGTTTTTCTCTAATTTCATTGGAATTGTTACCTAGCCTTTATGAGGCCATCCAATTCTGATTGTTTTTTTCCTTTATTAACACCATGATCAACAGGGCACAATGATGGTACATGAACACATGTGCAGGGAGCTGAACTCAAAAGTGAACATTCAGTGATGTACCCCATGGATGATCAATAATTAATGGATGGCTTATAGATATTTAATCAACAAAAAAGAAACAGCCATAAGCAAGACACATTTCAGCTAATTCTTACCTATAAAGAATATTAAGTGTGGGATAAAACAAGACATTTTTCCCCTCCCTCCTGAAACATCAGGATAAGATTTATCTTGAACAATTCCAGTGACATTTTCTTGAGTTCTAGCCTCTTACTAATATTGCATATTCTACTAAGAATATGCAATAATTTAATAACCAATCAATTAAAACTCAGGAGTTCTAACCTGCCATTCTAGTAAAAAGTGGACAATTCTATGTTTCAGCCAAAAGAAACACTCTCAACATTATTCAACTCTGTGCTGGACTTCAGAAAACCTAAAAAGCTGTACCATTCAGACAGACACAAATGAAAATGTTTTCTCGTCACAGTTGGCCAAAATTACAGAATGATAAAAAACTGAATTATTTCTAGAGAACCATTTCTTCGAAGATTTTATGAATTGATCTTGTAATATTTATTCACCAAAATACACCAATGATAGAAAATATCATGAATTTACCTACAACATAATCACAGCAGTGCTTTCATTCATGTTTTTAAAAGGGATTCTGTGATTAATTTGCTTTTTGTAGTATTTCATTCATCCATCCATTGAATTAATGTTTATTGAATGCCCATTAAGTGCTAAGCATGGTGTTGGGCACAAATAAATTCTTGTTAAAAGGTGCTAACGCTGTCCAGTAACATTTTTAAATTAAAAACAATCTAGCTGAGTGTGATGGCACACACCTGTAATCCCAGCTACTTGAGAGGTTGAGCCAGGAAGATCACTTGAGTCCAGGAGTTCTGGGCTATAGTGCACTATGCCAATTGGGTGTCCACGCTAAGTTTGGCATCAATATGGTGACCTCCGGGGAGCAGGGGAACCACCAGTTTGCCCAAGAAAGGGTGAGCCAGCCTGTGCAAATTATCAACTCATTTCCACAACTAAAACGCTGAACACTCGGAGTCAGTGAGGCTCAGACTGGAGCAGGGCAGGATCAGGGAAGCCAGTCACCGGCACAGCTTTCACATGACAGCTTCTAAGAAGTCAGACTCACAAGACCTTCTCGTGAGTCTAAGCAGGTCAAAACTCTTTTGCTGGCCAATAGTGGGATCATGCCTTTTAGTAGCCACTGCACTCCAGCCTGAGCACTATAGTAAAACTCCATTTCAAAAAAAAATTATAATAATTTTTAGTATCTACTGAATTTGAAAATATTTGTGACATCAATATTACTTTAAACAAAAAAGTTACACTCATAAAGTTAAACATAAAAAAGCCTTGAAGTACAACATACTAGTTCTGCCCAGAAATTATACAAATTTCAATGTTTTCTTTGTTGCACAAACAAAAGCAATTAGAATACGTTAGACAAAACTCCAACTAGTTCAAAAGTGGGAAGGAAAATGAAGGGGAGTAGAGAATGCTTCAGTTTAGCTTTATTTATTTCCAGAGTGGTTAAAAACTAGTATCTCCTTGTTTATGTTGCTTAGAACAGAAAAAAAATAAGCCTTATTAGTGTTGTTAGTGTTATAGAATCCAAATACTATGAAACTTTAAAATAGCCTGAAAATAAAGACGTTTAGATAAATCTTTCTTAAATAATTATTATTGCGAAGATTTCTGAATCTTGGATAATCTTGCATATATCAAAATATTGGACTTCAAATGGGAAAGCCAGGCCCTTACAGGCACACTTGACAATGTTAAGGTCCCTGTAGGGTTATGATCACCATGAACCTCCTACAGAGACTTAATTTTTCCCCAATCCTTTTCTCTCTCTGCCAGTTATTGATTCAAATGGTGTTGGAATATCAGCAGGTTGTAATTGGTGTATGGAAAAGAAAGCATAGGCCACTCTATCCCTTGCTTCCTTCCAGACTGTGAATCATAGCTTCTAATGGAATTATGTAAGCAGTGGTGGGTGATGAATGACGACATTAACGCAGGAAAGGTTCTAGGTGCTAGGTTGCACACTTCCGTACACCTAAGCACCAGACTAAGTCACCCTGATTCTCAGGGTTACAAGGCATTATATCTGCTTATATAAGAAGCCACAGGATCAACGTGGCATCTCCCTGGAACATAAATTTCCATGGTTGTAAAGCAAATTAAAATACTGATTTGATGCTCCATTAAAATAAACAAGAAAAGAAATAGATGCTTTGAAAGGAATTTCACTCTTATATGGGCCGTCAGGCTTCTTCTGCATGCTCTCTCCTATACCATTGGAGGCACTTTGCTTGCAAGGGGGAGAAGTGCAGGTCTGTCATCTCCCACTGACTTCTGCTCATTTCCATGCCTCTGCTGTGCTTAGCAATTTATTGTAGTTACATGTGCATGTATTTTGTCTGCTACTAGATTGTACACTCTGCAAGGACAGAAACTGTGTCATTTCAGTCTTCTGCCTCCTTTATCGTGCCCAGCATATGGCTTAGTGCACTGAAAAGAGTCAGACTCATTCATTCCAGGATAGATGTTGTTTTAGGAATATTGAGGTGGAAAGCTGATTACAAGGAAAATTGTGGAGAATGGGTATAATGTATGTTATCTGGGTGATGGGTATCCTAAAAGCACTGACTTTGCCACTACATAATCTATGAATATAACAAAACTACATTTATACCCTGTAAATTTATACAAATTAAAAAATGTGGGGAAATCTGCTATCAAAGTTCCCAGACCACTTCAATTGGATGGTTCACTTGTAGGACCCGGAATCCTCATTTTCTCTTCTCCTTTCCCCTTTATCAAAATCTATCTCTTGAATTGTCTTTTACAAGATTATAGAAATGATTTTTAAAAACTCAAATTGTTATTTCTAATAGAAAAATGTGTGTTTCAACAGGGGACAACTCCTTAAACTAAAGAAAACTGCAGACATCAGTCAGTGGGTGGAAATTATTTTTGACAAGGGGCATTCCCAGATCTCCTAAAGACACGACATAGACAGTTAGATGTTCCAATGACTTATAAGGCCAGCCCTGGAGTGACCCTGTACTGGACCACATGAGTCAAACTGAACTCATTCTTTTATTGAAAAAAAAGTTATTTTCAAAGTTCAGGATGAGCTGTCATTATTCACTGTAGAATACAGTGAGATTTATCATACAGATTTATATCTATGACAAACAAAGCTCTATTCTCTGGAATATAAAAAGTGATTTGCTACTGATGACTTTCACTTTTTCATCTTTTAAATGAGAATCCTGGCCAGGTATAGCAGAGAATATTTAACACTGTATTTTCTATGTGCCAGGAACTATCCTCAGCGCTTGCCATGTATTAAGTCATTTAATCCTCTCAATAACCCTATGAGATCAGTACTATTATTATCCCAATTAGCTAATGAGTACATTGAGGCAGAGAGGATATGCAGCTTGTTCAAGGTCCCATAGGAGTATATGACAGAGCAGGATTCAAACTTTAATATCAAATTCCAGAGCCTGCCTTCTTAACCACACTCCATGAGCTCCAAGGCTTTTCCAGAACTGAGAATCTACAAGCTTTTCTCATTTATCCATGATACACATCTGCTATTGCGTCATTAGCCCATGAAGCATTGTAATAAGGAAATTGCACAATACACAACACTAGCATAATGAAGAAATTATAAAGATACTGATTATCCAAGATTCAGCAATCTTCTTAATAATAATTATTTGAGAAAAAATTATCTAAATCTCTTTGTTTTCAGACTATTTTAAAGTTCTATGGTATTTGGATTCTGTAATACTAAGACCACTAATAAATAATTGTTAATATTGAAAGTTTTTTCTCCCTTTTGCTGATCCTTTCTCTTTTTTCCGAATGAGTAAATTTATCACACTAATCCCATTGTACATAAGATATAGCAATTACTCAATTATTGATATGTTTTGGCTGTGTCCCCACCCAAACCTCATCTTGAATTGTAACTCCCATAATTCCCACGTGTCATGGGGGGAACCTGGTGGGAGGTGATTGAATTATGGGAGCGGGTATTTCCTGTGCTGTTCTCGTGATAGTGAATGAATCTCACAAGATCTGATGGTTTTAAAAGATGGGAGTTTGCCTGCACAAGCTCTCTCTTTGCCTGCCACCCTGTAAGATATGACTTGCTCCTCCTTGCCTTCCACCCTGTTTGTGAGGCTTCCCTGGTCACATGGAACTGTAAGTCCAATTAAAACTCTTTCTTTTGTAAATTGCCCAGTCTTGAGTATGTCTTTATCAGCAGCATGAAAATGAACTAATACAATCACTTATTGTCATACCTAGGATTTGAGAACTATAGGTGTGTTTAGAAGTCATCTCGTCCAAATCCTACATTATAAGATTCTAATCTCCATTTTTAACTTGTACAAATGTTGTGTATTTCAAACCTAAAATAGAACTACAATTTGAAGAGTTGTAAATATTTGTTCATGTTTTTATGGGCAAGAGATTTCTACTTACAAAGTGAACAAAGATTCTAAATGTCAAAAAGGACAACATTTTTAGTGGCACAAGAGCTAACCTATGTGTTAAGACCCCTTTAGAGGGCTCTTATCAAGGAAACTCATATAAAATTTGGAATTTTATCTATGGACTAACCTAATCATTTGATCTTCTATTTCCCTTTGACTGAAAGATGTAGACTACAGTTTTCATGGTAAACCATTTATAAAACTTGATTATTAAAATCATCTTGTTGCGTGCTTAGCAGACCAGATAAATCTCAGTTAATAGACTCTGTCCTGCAATATTAAAGGCTGATAATTAAGCATATTAATTTATTTTACATAATTTATCCTTGCTTTAAAGCACTTCCCAAGTGGTCTAAACTGAGCAGGACTTCAGAAAATTGGGTTCTGAGCACTGGCTCCATTGCTTGCTTGCTCTGTGACCTTGAGAAAGCCGCTTAATCTCTTTGGACATCAGATTCTTCATCTACTAAACTAGTGGCTGGAGTTACACTCATCCTCTTTATCCCTTTCTGCAGCTGTCTTAGTGATAAATTTACAAATGGAACTTCAACAGTGTTGGTCTCATTTGAGGGATATGTCAGAAAAAGTAAATAGGTCCTTTAAAGTTCCTCAGTCAAACACCCACAAAAAGTTGAGATGTCTCAAAGTATAGCTATGATAAGGCCATGATATGCTTTGCCTTTGTGTCATCTCTCTCAAAAAACGTGAATTTTTTTACATTTCAGAATTTAAATTCAAATTTCTGATAGGAATATGTGCTTGTATTTAAAATCATAAAATCTTTGAGATATATGAGCTGTTACAAAACTAAGCTTCGATATGCAATTCTAAAGAATAACCATGTATTACCAAGAAAGTTTTCAATAATCTCTATGTTCAGTCCAAATATGATATTTATTTGAGCTACCCTATTAGGTCAGCTTAATGGTATGTCATTTTGACACTTCACTTTTTAACTCAGCATACCTTGACCAGCCTTACGAAAAAATAAACAAAAAAAAATGAATTTAAAAAAGAGAAAGATTACAATCTATCTAGTAGAGATTAGCTGAATGAATCCCCAGATTAGATATACTTTAACAAGCAAACAATTATTGCCAGCATCTTGAATTTTGAGCAACTGCTAAGAATATAACTAACGTGGCTCTAGGGAAAATTTTTATGAGCAATTCATTGTTGCTCTGAAAACATGTTTTCAGAATAGATTAACATAAGCAGGCACCATAATGTTTCAGCATCATCTTTAAAGGGGAAAATGATCAACACGCTCCAAATAATAACCAATTTTGAAGAACATTTTTTGAAAAGGGAGGTAATGCCAGAATATTTCATGGGAGACTTGAGGTACTTCTGTTTAGTAATAACATTCTTACTTAACTTCCTCAACTCAGGTTCACTTGATCCCACTATTGGTATCTTGTGATTATCTTTGGCAGAGTAGCCACAAGTTTGCCAGACATATCATTATCACATCTTCTTTCTACCTTTTACCTATGTACTCATAATAACATTGAAATATTGTGAAATCCTGCATCCAGGGTCAGGAAGATTTTCTTCCCCAATCTGTGAAAGATATGAGTATTAAGGATGATTTCTCACATTAGCCCATTCTCACATTATATAAAATAATTGCACCATTCAATTCCACAGTTCTGATTCACCAATAAATGAGAATCTTCCTTTTGTAATCCCTTTAGTAGTTCTTTGTAAATATCTGTGCTCAGAATAGTTCATACATATAATTTACTTCTCTTCCATCTTCTGGTGATTAGGCCAGGGTGTAATTCTAACCATTCTAGTCCTTCCACAGTGACTGTGTTAAAGGAGGAAATTGCCACAAACCACTGTCATTTTGCTAGAACACTAATACTCAAAACAATCTTTTAAATTTGAGTCAGCTTTTTTCATGGCTCAATGACTTCACATTTTTCTCTTTAGAAACCAAAATACTTACAAGGTAATCTACTCTTTAGACTTTCAACATCACATTTTCTCTGAGACAATAGTTTTCCTTCCTCCTTGGGTTACCACTAGATCATAACAAAATGACAGAACTGAAGTTATTATTCTTAAAAGAGACCAATAACTGGAAAAATGGAAACAATGCTTTCAGGTATTTAGGCAACATGCAGCAATGTGCAATAAAAATAACACAGAGTTTGGAGTTAAGTGCATTAGAAAAAAAATCCTAAACCTGCTGCCCACCATGTGACTTTGACCAAGTTATTTAATCTGTCTTCTCCCCAAGTTTCTCATATATAAATTGGGGCTAATAATTACTACTTCCCGGACTGTTTTGAGAACTGAACAAGACAGCATAGGCAAAAATATTTAGTTAAGTGTTTGGTCTACTATATGTGGTCAGAAATATCTCAGTTTCCTCAGTCAACATAGAAATATCAAACTCTATGGAAATTAAGAGAGTCATCTGAGCAGCCTAAGGAGAGGCCCATCGGTGACTGTTTCTCCCAGCTTTAGCAATCTCACTAAGAGTTTAAAAAACAAATGAAACAAACCACATAGTTGAAGAGAGAGAGAAAAACAGGTTCATTGTGCAAGTTGTGTGAGGGGAAAAAAGAGTGAAAGCATAAAATAAAAACATGGACATGTGCCTTTCCACACACAGCCCTAATTCGGCTCTAAAGAAAATGGTGGCAAGAGCGCAGACCGTATGGTCATACAAAGCCGGCTTCCAACCATGAATCTGACACACTTACCAGTGGGGTGACCTCAGCCAATTATTTAATGATGGAGTCCACGGTTCCTTGTGTACAAAGTTGGGATAATTGTAACTCCCTTGAAGGATTAACTGATATAATTACTGTATGTAGAGTAATCAGTATACAATATGCATTCAACAAAGAGTGCAACTATGGTCACTATCATTTACAAAGAGAATTACTCTTAGTTGCTTATTTGAAAGGCCTAAATCAAAACAAATCTCAAATCAGCTTCCAATGGGTAAAGAGCAGCAATGAGCCACGCCAAACATTCTACTTATTTGAAAGTATAAATGTTTGTAATTTTCCAGGAAGTTGCTAAGGAAGACAGCCTGACATCGAGGACAATATCCTCTTACCTCACACATTATTGGCATAACCATTTGACAGCATTTCTTCTGATGATGTAAAAAGCCTGTTCCACATGTGAGAACACAAACACTGCCATTCTGAATCGGATATGCCATCCATTCCACCAGAATTTTCTCTTAGAAAGTGTAAAAATTTGTGGCTATCTTCTTTGATGTAATGAGTCTAATTTTAGAGGTTAGCAATGGGCTATAATTTTCTTAGTTCCTTTTTTATTTTTTTTTTTTGAGACGGGGTCTCACCTGTTGCTCAGGAGTGCAGTGGTCCAATCACAGCTCACTGTAGCCTTGACTTCTTGGGCCCAAGATATCCTTTTGCCTCAGCCTCCCAAGTAGATAGGACTATGGGCATGTGCCACCACACCTGGGTAATTTTTTTTTTTTTTTTTTTTTTTTTTTTTGGTAGAGACAGGACTTGCCTCGTGTTGTCCAGGCTGGTGTTGAACTCCTGGGCTCAAGTGATCCTCCCGCCTTAGCCTCCAAAAGTGCCTGGATTATAGGCATGAGCCACTGTGCCTGGTCTGTTCTTTTTTTTTTTTAATTTCAGCATTTACTTTAGCATCATAGGCATTTTCATGTATGCTAAATTATTTCATCCTAACAACTCTGTGAAATAGACATTCATTATTACTCCCCATTACTGATGTTGGCTACTCATTGCCAGTGAGCTATGAGGGGAAGGAGGTGAGGTGCAAGGACATTTCTCCAGACAAGGACATTTCTCCTGGCAAAGTGGCAACTGTCAGCCATTATCAGCCAGCACTTCTGGTAGCTGGAGAGTGGGTGCACTGGTCTGGGAAAGGGAATGGGGCTGGATGGGCACCAGCAGAATCTACTATATCCTCATTTTGCAGTGGGGAGTGGAGTGGACAACAAGGATTAGAACATTTAAGTGACTTACCATGCTAATACAGCTGATAGTGAAAAGCCAGATTCTAAATCAGACTGCCTGATTCCAAGTCAAGTGCTATATCTCCCATACCATTGGTTTGCTGAAGGAAGAGGGGCAGCTGTGAATGTATATAAACCTCTTACAAAGTGGTAAGTTGGAAGAATGACTTCATTAAGAGCATTAATCACTATAAAAAGTAGTAATCTCCTTAGGTGTCTCTACATTTAGTCCTTCTCAACTTCAGCTGATGCCCCGCTCATCTCATTTTCTGAGAACTAAAAAGCAAATCCATAGGCATTCTCTGCAGGTTAGCCACAACTTCATGCTCTTTGATTTTGAGTCTTTTCAGAAATTTATTTTAAACTCAAGTCCTGTCCTTTGAGCCTGATCTCACAGAGGAGTTTTTTTATTTCTTTGGAATAATGGTCAATGCTAGGGCTTGACCAGGTGATGTCTGATATCAAACAGGCTTGTTCTCACATGAAATAGGTCCTATATCTCCAGTTTAGAATGACATATATACCCAGCGCTTGCACTGTGACCACAGCAAGGCATCACAGTGGTGGAATCACCAGCACTCCAGTTCCTCTTTGACGTCTTAGATCTAACATCACAGGTTAGCAGTGGCTTATACTATCTTAGGTTTTGTCCTTCCTTCCTTCCTTTCTCTCTCTGTCTCTCTCCTTATTTATTTATCAGTTAGTTAGCACCTCTTATGTACCTAATGACCTAGGCATTTTCGTGTTGGAAGAAATCTACTTTCAGCTACTCCAGCTTCCTGGTTGAGAGTAGTAAGGGAATAAGACAAGGGGATAGGCAGAGGAGTAAGAAAGAGATACTAAGTGTCAATCATCAGAAGGCATTCCCTTCAGGGAGCTGAATAGTCATGATGCCCAGGCATAATGTAGCTGGAAGTCATGATTCAGGGTTCTCAAAAGGTGAAACAGGTGGAAGAGAGAGGAGTGGTGGGAAGCAGCATTTATAGAAGCCTATTAGAACCAGGTGCTATGCCAGTTATTTTACTTGATCGTTATCTTCATTTAATCCTCTCATGTTACCAGTTGGTAAGTTTCCAAATGTAAAGTTTTACAGAACAAAAAGTGATTTTTTTTTGCTTGTTTTCTTGTTTTGTTTCATTTTTGTTGCAGGCATCCAAACTGAAGAGCAGCTCAGCCTGGCATTTTGACCACTTTGCGGGTCTTCACTGACCCTTCTTGAGCTCCACCTAACAATTAAGAATTACTCCCTTATGAGCTTAAAAAAATCATAAAAGTTCCAGCCTGAGCAATGGAGTGAGACCTGTTTGGAAAAAAAAATATATATATATATATAGTTGTATCTTTATGTAGTTGAATAGGAGACACAGCTTGATTTATGGGCTACTATTCTGTTCTTATTGGGCTATTATCCATAACTGGTTCACAAGTCTAAGAAACCATTGGTATAACAAAGTATAACCATATACAGTTCCTGAAGATGAATGAAAGCTGTTACTGATTTTACTGCTTCTTCAACGTTAAGAGACCCTATCAGACCTCAATGGGGTCACTATCAGCTCTAAGTTTGTTTCTATCCAAACGGACATAATTAAACATTAAAATGTTAATTTTACAAATATATTATAAGACTACTTACTTTCTACAGTGAGAATTAAGATCTAGTTTAGTTTTTGATTAATCACTATGTAGAATATAATTCAATAAAGATTTGATATTTGAACATTTCAAGATATTATTTAAATGGCCGTAGTTTCACAAATCCATTCTTAAAACATTTGTTATACTCGAGATATTACTACATAATTTTTTTTAATTTAGAAAATCAAATTCTGAACACAATTTATTTATATGAGCTATCCTATTGACTCAGCAGTTTTCTATTAATTAAGAGTCTTTTGGCTTTCCTGGTTTTCTTTGAGTATAGTATACCTTAAAATAATATTTCTTGGGTATCTGCTGTGTCCTGTGATGACATTCATTGTACAAAAATGTGAAGAAGAAAAATTCCCCCCAGTGGAGCTCATTGCAAGCCCCTCATGACTGTCTTTACTTCTAGCACTTAAGACTGAGTAAGCCCTTTTTTGTCACTGCTGTTTAATCAAACACATTGTTTAATAAGTTAGGTATTTAAAAAACCAATTATTGAACAACGGATATGGGCCAGGTACTATGAAGACTCTTGGGATTAAATATGACTGAGATAAATACAGTTCCTGCCTTTACAGACTATACAGTTTAGTAGACTCAACATTCGCCTCTAATTTAAGATTCTGAAGTTGAAGGCATGTGGATCTATACTTCTTGAGCAGTAATTCAGCATCTCTCTGTCCACTGATCTAAACTGGTGAAAATGGAAGTCACTACAAGTATTCTATGTGAGCAGCTCTTCAGCCTATAGTGAGATTAAGAATTGGCAGGCCTCTGGAATGAAGCAGAATACATTCCCACAGCAAATGTTCACCGTGTACCAACTCTTTACTAGATGATGGGGGTTACAATTTTGGTAGCAGTAGACATATTCTCAGCTCCTCAGAGAGTTTTGCATTCTAGAAGGAGAGATGTTTTAAAAATAAGTAATTAAAAGGTCATGTAAAATAGCACAGATTTCAATAATAGGTTTTCCTCTCTTCTCCCCCAACATAGTGCTGTAAGCACAGCATGACACAATCACCCAGTGAGATTTTACACCTGCCATGGAACCTCATTTAGTGACTGTGGCCTTAGAGAAACTAGTGCTCTATGGAAACTGGATCCGCAAGTCACTAGGATTATTCAAAATGTCTATGTTCAATCTTTGTATTCAACTCCACAGGGAAAGCCTTACGGTCATTTCTCACAAATGCTCTAGTCTTGAGAAAATCTGTAGATGACACATGATGAGTGCATTTCCTGGTAGGCTGAGTGCACCTGTTCACAGGTGTTGTGTGTGGACATCACAAGCCAAAAACAGACAGATCTGATATGCCTGGTTGTGTCTCCAGAATAATTTTCTGTCATTTGATTACGTGATTTGGCCTTGGTTATCTTCAACTAAGAAATGAAGAACTTAGGCCAGAAGAGATAGAAAATTCTGATTCTGCATTTACTTATTCACATCCCTTTCAAACTTTGTTTGGAGGGGTGGCTGAAGACATTGTTTGGGACAAATTCCTATCTCCAGCCTTGGGTCACTTTCATTTTTGAGGGCAAATAAGTAATAGTGTCTCCGTTCATATAAATTGTTTTCTCCAAATTAGCATTTGGAGAAAATACTCACATGGAAGGCACCACAGTAGCAGATACATTTGGGCTGCTCTATCTCCAGTGTTTGAGAGGAGCCATTTCCAACTTGTAGGGTTAATATGCAGACTAAAAAAGATCCACACATAAAGCGCCCTGCAGAGCGTGTCACACAGAGTAAGCATGAAAAATGTCTTGTTCTTTTCCTTTCATCATCCCTCTCTCCTTCTAGCTATCCTTTAATATATAAGATAATTTATTTCTAAAAATTTGATTATGCAACAAAATTCTATGTATTAGATCTGATTTTCTCATTATTACCTTTTATAAAATTATACATAAATTTTATAAGGAAAAATTATTATACATAAATTTTATACATAAAATTCATCCCTCTCTCCTTCTAGCTATTCTTTAATATATAAGATGACTTATTTCTAAAAATTTGGTTATGAAACAAAATTCTATATATTAGATCTGATTTTCTCATTACTACCTTTTATTAAATTATACATAAAAGTTATGAGGCAAAAAGAGTCTATCTTAAGCTTTTATGAAATACCTCTGAGAAGTATTTTATTTTCTCACATTTAAAAAGTTTCATTGTGTTTGAGAAAATGATGTCCTGATATTAGCAGATAAAATGTCTTTATGAAATTATAAATGGGATTACATTTTGCTTTGAGAAGTCCAAAATATATTTTTAAATATTCATTTAAAACTTCATTGTAGAAAATGAAAACAAGCTTTACCTGCAGTGCTGTGCCAGATATTATGCTGTTTTGTACAAATAGCATTTTATTTAACTCATGCAGTAATGCTGTGAAGAAAGTAGCTTATCTGCAACATTTCACGTAGAAGCTTACTTTCTCTTCCTCTTCCTTTGGCTTCCAGGATACTACACATTCCTGAATTTTCTCTACCACCCTGTTGCTGGTTTCTCTGTCATTCTGTTGCTGGTTCCTCCTAGATTTCTAAACAGTAGCCAACTCCAATCCCTTGGAACTGAGACCTCTTTCCTTCTCTACCTATCCCCACTTTTTGTGGCTATAAATATCCTCAAAAGCTGACAATTTGCACATGTGTATGTACAGCCTGGTCTCCTTTGCTGACTCCAGATATGACTATCCAAATGGCTCCTTGACAACTCGCTTGGGCAGCAATAGAAATCTCAAACTTAACTTGTCCAAAATTATATACTCCTCCCAAAGAGTTTTCCATTTCAGTAATCAGTAGCTCCATCTTTCCAGTCTCTCAGCCTAAAACTGCAGTGACATCTTCAACCCCTCTGTGGTTTCTATGGCCTCTTGATTTCCATTCAGTCTGTTTCAGCTACATTGATTTTTTTCCCTTTATCTCACAAGGCGTTGAGTCTTTGCAATAGCTCTTTCCTCTGTTGAAGACTGTTTCCATCTGCTGAAACAGTCTTCTCTCAGATAGCTACCTGACTCCCTCCCTCTCCTGCCTTAGAATTTTTGCTTCTCTGTGAAGGTTTTTTTGACTGTCCTATTTACAATTCTAACTCTCACCATCTTCAGCTCCTCATCTCTTCCTGCAGCAAATACTTCCTTTCACCTTCTCTGCATTATTTTATTCTTTAATACTTGTAAGCATCTGACATACTATATATTTTCCCTTTTCACCAATTTAGTACCTGACTTTCCATGTTCCCCTCCTTCCTACACACACACTAGAATATAAACTTAAGAAGGGCGAAGATTTTGTCAGGTTTTTTTTTTTTTTCACTGCTCTATGCAGTACCTAGAACAGTGCTTGGAACATTCTAGGCATTCAATATATATCTGTTGAAGGAAACCTCATTTCACAGTTGAAGTAATTGCAGCTCAAACCTTGGCCTAGGTGACACTGGGTGTGAATAACGGCTTGAATGACAAAACCCAGTTCTGTCTGTCTCAACACACATCCTGAGCCATCAGCATCATTTTGCTGTTAATATTTTCTATGTATGTATGTATTTATGTATCTATCTATCTAGTCGGTATCAACTGACTCAAGACTTGAATATATCCAACTGCCAACATGATATCTCACTGGGGAAATAATAGATATCTCACATTAACCTGTCCAAAATCAAGTGTGTTAATTTTCATTAGCGGACAAACAGTTCTGAGAACTAGAGGCTACCAATGGCCCTTCTCTTAGAAGTGTTAGGATCCCTGCTCTGGGAAAGGACAGGACAGGACCAGAGTTCCTTTCTCATGGCCCCAAGTGACTTAGTGTTCCCCTTGCCCTCCTGCCATGAAGCTCATGACTGTGCATGCCATATGCCTCATTTTTCCAAGAAGTCTTGTTTGCACATTCTTAATGCTTTGAAGAAACAGTATGCATATACGAATTAAATTCTAGGTAGGAACGATCTATGAACTGCAGAGTATGTTGTTAGAGGTTTCATCAGTGTTTGGAAAATCTTCCTCTTTATACGGGGCCAGTGCAGTGGCTCACACCTGTAATCCCAGGACTTTGGGAGGCCAAGGCAGGCGGATCACATGAGGTCAGGAGTTCAAGACCAACCTGGCCAATATGGTGAAAGCCTGTCTCTACCAAAAATACAAAAAAATTAGCTGGGCCTGGTGGTGGGAGCCTGTAATCCTAGCTACTTGGGAGGCTGAGGTGGGAGAATCGATTGAACCCAGGAGGCAGAGGTTGTAGTGAGCCAAGATGGCACCACTGCACTCCAGCCAGGGCAACAGAGGGAGAATCCATCTCAAATAAATAAATAAATAAATAAATAAAGAAGACATATGGGACAGTACACATCCATTTTTTATTATAAATTAAGACTTTACAAGATAAAAATGAAAGCATAAATGTTAAAGTTGGAGGACTAATAAAAGCCTAGAATGCTTATGTTGTAACAATTTTAAAAATATGCACAGTAAATCTTTAAAAGAGCTGCACATATATTTATGTCATACTAATTAAATTTATAACTCAGAGGGACAGAGTAGAATTGTGGTTAAGAGTGTGGCTTTAAATCCCAATTCTACTACCTACTCCTATGTGATCTTGGACAAGTTGCTTAACCTCTCTGCATTCAGTTACTAATCCATAAAACTGAGATAAAAAGAGCACTTACCTGGAGTGTTGCTGCGAGAATTTGTATGTTAACACAGATGAACTGTTATGAAAGTGTTGTCATTGTTATTATGGGTCTTAATCTCCACATGTATAATGTGACTGGAAAACCCGGTTCAATGACATCATAAAGGAGCTGCTTAAAACTTATAGAGTAGTGCTTAAGAACACACTCTAAAGTCGGATATTGCTAGATTAAAGACTCATGTCCAAAACTTACTGTCAATGTGGATTTGGACAACATCTTATCCTTTCTACATCTCCTTTCTCAGTCTAAAAAATGGTGCCAGTAGTATCTACCTCAAAATATGGCAAAGAATTAAGGTGACTCTTGTCAAGCCTTCAGATGGAACCTGGCACACAATTAGTGCTAAATAATTGAGAGCTCTCACTCCTACCACACAGAAACAAAAGTAAATTATCAGATGAAAATTTTAAAATGTAGCCCAGAGAATTATCTGATATATATAGTCTTACATTCTATCCCCCTGCCAAAAAAAAAGTGGGGGAAGGAAAGAAGGAAGGAAGGAAGGAAGAGAGGGAGGGAGGGAGGAAGGAAGGAAGGAAAAAAGCAAGAAAGGAAGGAAGAGAAAAGTTATTTTACTAAAAAAGCATTGCACTTTCCATTTTATACAACTCTGTTTTGTGATCTGAGGCCTAGATGAAGCCAATTGCTCAGGACACTGGTCACAAAATTCAAGAACTCTTGATAGTCTGAGGTTTGTTCCCCAAACCTAGCCAGAGAACTCATTTCCCTTTTTACAATGACATCAGTTCAATTCAGCGTCCTGGAAAGAAAACACAATGTTTTCACACTTGTCTCTCGTCTCATAGTTATTTACCTTAAAATGAGGCTACATATTTTGGAATAAGTTAAGCAATGGTGGAAATCAGAGAGACCAGACCTTTGTCAGAGTGAACCTGACCCTTAGCAACCTTGCCCAATCTCTCTATTCTTTTCAATAAATCAATTAAATATTAATATGTATTGATATTTATTAAATTAAATATCAATATGTATGGTAGTTTTTATTATGTACGTTGTCAGAGATTTAATCTTTTTCATAAATGAATAATCCACCAATTTTTGCTAAACTATAATCTAAAGGAATGTAATGTTCTGAACTAAATTCTTAAATCTCCACTGGAGTTTTCTATTGTTGTTTTCTATTTTCTAAAAGGATCACAGGCAGAACAATATTTTTTAAGAAGGTAAGTGATCCTTGTATACTTTTGTATAGTCTCAGAATGTCTCTCCTGGCCAAAAATTGTCGTTCTTTGTTCAGAGAAATTGCATTTTAGTGAAACAGTTACCTAGAAGATTCTCTGATGGTGTGATTTATTGTGTGGCAGCAGCCACCTAGTCCAGTTGAAAGAGCACTGGTATAAAGTCAAATCGTTTATAAGTAGAATCCCAATCCCTCTGTTTGCTGCCTGTGTGACTCTGAATAACTGAGTCCTCATTATTTTACCTATCAAATATAACTAATACTCTCTTCTTATAAAATTGTATTAAAAATCAAATAAATAGAACCATATATAAAGCCAGCACATGCCTAGCTTAAAGCAGATTCTTAATATATATTTGCATTTTCACCTTCTTTGTAACATTTGCTTTATTATACTCTCAAAAGTCAGCAATCTAGACATCAATATGCATATTATAATCATCCACATCAGTGTAATGAGTTAGATTTTACAAATTGTTTGCATTTATGTCATTGGAAACTCAGGCTCTGGGAAATGATCTTTTGCAAAGCTACTAAGACACAGAGCTGAGACAATGGGCCCAGTTCTCCCTGTGAAATTGTTTTGTGGATTGGTATCATCAGCTCCCTGAAGCACCTTCATTAAAATAGATTTGGAAAGTAGCTAGTTTGGGAGCCATGTCTTTGGTTTTGAAAGCTGCAAGCTGGAAGAGCATGTGCGGGTTGATACAGGATCTGAAGATGGAACAATCACATGCCCAATATTATTCCCAAGGAAAGAGCCAGCCTGCTGGGCTGGATAAAGAAAATCCACTATAAAGTGTGTTTATCCTAAGAACCGGGACTGCCCGGCTTCCCTATAAGTGCCAAGTGGAACACCACTAATAAAGCAGCTGACATTCTTTATATGCAAGTTGTGAAACTGGCTTTAAAAGTTTATAAAGAAAATAAAAAAGAGAAAGAAATGGAAAAGAAAATTCTAACAGAAATTCTTAAGACACGATTGCAAGAGGAAGTCGTTTTTGCTTTCCTGTGCTAGCAGTTTCTTTCTCAGAGTGGTTCTTCCACCTAGTTCTGGTGACTCACATCCTTGGCTGCAGGCACTTTGCTTATCTTGAGTGCTATAAAGCAGCGGTTCCCAACCGTTTTGGCACCAGGGACCAGTTTCATGGAAGACAATCTTTCCACAGACAAGGGGTAGGGAGATAGTTTAGGGGTGATTCAAGCACATTACACTTATTGTGCACTTTATTTCTATTATTACTACATTGTAATATATAATGAGATAATACTTATAAAACTCACCATAATGTAGAGTCAGTAGATGCCCTGAGCTTGTTTTCCTGCAACTAGATGGTCCCATCTGCAGATGATGGGAGACAGTAACAGATCATCAGATATTAGATTCTCATAAGGAGCATGCAACCGAGATCCCTCCCATGCACAGTTCACAGGAGGATTTGTGCTCCTATGAGAATCTAATGCCACAGCTGATCTGACAAAAGGTGGAGCTCAGATGGTAGTGCAAGCAATGGGGAGCAGCTGTAAACACAAATGAACCTTTTCTTGCTCACCCGCCACTCACCTCCTGCTGTGCATCCTGGTTCCTAATAGGTCACACACTGGTCCAGGCCCGGGGACTGGGGACCTGTGCTGTAAAGCATCATGAAATGTGAGCCCTCATGGGATCAATCAAATTAAATAGCTAGCAAACATCTATACTGAGCACCTACTATATGCCACATAGTAGGTACTCAACATAGATGTTTTAATCAGATATTCTACTTAACTCAAATAGGATCCTGATTGTGACTTCTCAAAAGTCTGTAATCTAGACATCTTTATGCATATTATAATCATCACATCAGTGTAATGAGTTAGAGTGTACAAGTTTTCTGCATTTATGTCGTTGGAAACTAAGGTTCTGGACTTACTGTGGCCTTTAGTCTGATTTGCTACTAAGAATATCTGACCAGGAGTATCTATCTCATGTTGTCTCTCCATCTGGATATAAGCTACCCTAGGGCAAGGACTAGGTCTTGTCTGTGGAGGACAGACTACTTAGCATGGCATATGTGGAACACATGGATAACTTTTCTTTGATGGATTACTTTTGTCTAAATTATCAAGTCACTGTTATAGACACAGTTGCTGCCTAGAAGAATTCAGACAATTTGGTTTATATATATAGTGGCATTAGTAATATTTTATTTAAAACCTTCAGAATGCCAGCGTTCTACGCTGTAATCCAGTCAGTAGAATGTTGTGGGTTTTTTTTGTTTGTTGTTTTTTTTTTTGAAAAAAGCTTGAAATCAAAGGCAAAAAAGGTCTGAGGGGTTATTTTACCAGGGTTAAGGCAAGGCCTTTCTACAGAGAAGCTGCCTTCCAGTGGCCACATTGCTGGAGTCTCTTCAGTGCTCCCCTCAACTCCTTTATTTTCTATTTCATGAGGTAATTAATTTTTTACAAAAAATATTTACAGAAAACTCTGATTTACTATAACTCCTTAGCAAAATATATATATATATATATAATCTAAAATAGTATAAAACAAATTTTCCCAACTGGTTTTGGATAACTTTCTTCTTTGGCTTTCTCTCTGGTTTCCTCCAGTTGCTTGTTGCATGCCTTCTAAACAGCCTACCCTGCCAAGTGCCATGATTACTGTGACCACATCTTCAGAACCAGAAAACAGGATACCTGGCCCTAAGCATGCACTCATGGAGCAGAAGAGTTTTAAATCTGGAATGCCACAGAAGACAGAAGATAACATGCTTACTACACTTGTAAAGCAACATGCAGCCAGCCATTTCCAGTGCAAATTATCTCATTGCATAGTGTGACAACTAAAGGTCATAACCATAATACAAATCGTGTTTTTCTTGTAATCTATCCTTGGGTTAAATGTGAACTCCAGGAGAGCAAAGACTTTGTGGGTATCCCCAGCACTGACATCTGTGACCAGCATATGATAAACTGTAGTTGTACATAGGAGAGAATCAATAACTATTTGTAGAACTGAATATATTTTATTGCAACCCTTTTCATAATGTTAAGATAATAGACATCATAGTGTAACTAACAGTGCCTTAGAAGTGGATATCAGAGACTTGGCTACCACCAACAAGCAACTGTGAATGAGTAACTTCTCTGAATATCTCTTTGTTCATCAGGAAATTGAGAGAGATGGGGCAGATTTATTTTTTAGGTCCCTTCCACCTGTGAAGTGCTATTTCTCTCCACCTTCACTTATGATCATTCATTCACCAGGGCATGCAGACATTAGTCATTGCTCAGAACTCAGTGTTTCCAGTAGACATGGATTGGGAGCAATAAAAGTGGACCCAGAGCTAATTACTGGGAATTCCTACTTGAATACAGAATGCTATAGCAGTTCAACACATGGAAAAGGATGTCTAGCCCATGAGGAATAAATACTCGATCTTTAATGCTTCATTTCTAGAGCCACAGCTTGTGTTAAAAGAACCACCTTCACCAAGCAGTCCAATGAGAACAAACTCTAGGACAAACATTCTCTGCCAACAGAGCTAACTAGATGGAGAAAAAGAAAATGAATGAAATCTAGGGAAAAAAATGGAGCCACCCAGTTCAAGACAGTGCAGGTGGAGGAGCAGTATGTTTAGACCGCATCGCAGGTAGAATTCAGAGGGACTGTAAGCGATGCCTGGAAACGCTTGTTGACCAACAATGGGCTCCTATAGAACCAAGGGACTATCATTCTCCTATTGCAGAATAATTTTTCTAGATACTTTATTTTATTATAATGAAAGTTCCTTCTAGTATCTTAATGACCTTAGGGAATTGGTATTCATATCCTGTTAGTTGAGAGAAGAGAGTTTTTCCAGTGGGAACGTGAATAAATTTAAATGAGTCACCCCTCAAGTACCAAGCACCACTGTTCCCAGGTTTAAATGACAATTACTATTCCTTCAGTGAACCATGGCCACTCTGAGATTGGGTGTGGGGAGGAGAAAGGAATGGAATGCCAGTGAAACCATCTTCTATTGTCATCCTCCTCTGGGGCCTCACTCAGTTGTAGTCTTGCATCTGAGACCTTGGCCTCTTTGTGAAATAAACATTTCTTGGCCCTGTCTTGCAGGAAAATTGGAAGCCTGACCCTAAAATAAGCTAATATCATCCATAGACCAGACCAAAAGAAAAGCAGGGAGAATTTGGCACAAAGCAGCTCTCTTCAAGAAATTATTTTCCATGTCATATTTGCATAAATTAGTCATGGGCCCGCCAATTCAATGAAAGAGGAAAAGAGCACTCATGACCCTAGTGTGCTGGCATCCTGTTGTCCTTTATAGCTAAGGTCAGACTGTTTCTCCTTTTGCCTCATGTCGGCTCCTCTTAGTCGACTAAGACTGGCAAATCTGAGGCTACAGATTGTGCTATGAATGAGCAGCTGGAATTGCGCAACATTTTACTTGGCTAATATTTCAGTTTGTTGAGTCAGTGGCCTGACAAGTAGCTACAGCCCATGAAACAGCATTTTCTGACTCAGTGCATGTGCGAAAGAAGTAGTAGCTAAAGGTTCTGTTGGCACAGCCTTCTGACTCCACAGCATTGTTCTAGGATCTAGATTCCTCTCTACTTAACTCGGTTTCATTGCTTCCTATAAATTCTATGTAAATCTCAGACCCTCAGTAACATATCCCAAGACACATGATGAGCAACACTTGGTATTCAGTTTTCTCCAGCGCTGTGAAAGAGTCCCACCAGGAAACAATAAGGCCTTTTAGCCTATTAATTCATGAGCAATTTGATGCCTCTTAGGCGATAAGTGCAAGTTGAGAAATGAATTTCCTGCTGCTAAAATTCCAACGCTTTAGAAACTCTTCAGTGAACAAATAAAAGTTTATTCTTTGCAATAATGATGGAAACAAAGACTTTCATAAAACCAAACAATTGAAATGTCTTGATAAATGCCTGCAGAGTTGGCTAGGTTTCTAAACTATCAAATAATGAGTTTACCTCTTCTTACACTTTTTCAAGAATCCATTGAAGAATCAAGATAGGAAAGAGTATGATTCTTCATTTTTCCTAGCCATGCTCCACTGCTCTATGTTATCATAAAAGGACTTTAATTAAAGTGTTATTCCATTAATTGCCCAAGAAGTCATATTTGAAAGAAATAAATGCTTATATATGTATGCTTACATGTCCCTTCTGGAAGTCTTAACCTTTAAAACTACTCCAGCCCCTTCCCCAAACGTCCTTCCCCAATTCCTTATGCACTTACTGGATTCAAAGCACGACACTATAAAAGCTGTGAGAAGAAAAAAATATAAATTTAAAGAAAACTTTTTTTCAGAAAGATAATTAAATTCAATGTAACAATAATAACTACTCGTTTTCAAAACTCAGCTCTTCAACTATTTCTCCTAGAATTTTTTTCCAAAACTCTTACTTCAAGTCTAACACTCCTTCATCTCAGTTTTCTCTTTCATGATTATGTATTTTAACTCATAGGTATACTCTTTAAGACAGGGGCTATCCCTGAGACCTATCCCACATCCTGAGAAGGGCTTGGCACTCTCCTTGTCAGATAGCCTGTTGCCTCCTCAGCCACACTGTGAGCTCCTTGATAGAAAGAATTGTGCTATCTGTGGCTTTCAGAGCCCTATTCAGATACTTGATGCTTAACATGTGCTTGTAGAGTCGGTAAACTGAATGTATGTGGAGCCTCCAGAACTGTGTTCCCATTGAGGATGACAGGGAACAGATCAATCCTTGTCCTACATGGCCTAAATCTTAGTTTGACAAATATCTGGAAAGAATTACAAAAATATAAGGTAGGAATGACTTGGGAGTCCAGGGTGGTGTCTGAACCCTAGTCACTGCCTTGGGCACACATTTCTCATACTGTTGCAATATCACAGTTGTTGACTTTCAGTTCACTCAGTTGGTCAACTCCCTAAAGTTGGTTAAGGACCCTCATACCCCTCATCCTACTCTTTTCTTCTACCCCAAACCCCCTTTGCTCAGGACTTCCAGTGGTTCCCTCCTTTTAACCTCAGTATTAGCCCTTTATCCCCAACTCTTTGCCTGCCAAATGACATAGGAGCAAAGGATGAGAGGGAGCTGTCCTGGAGGGAAGTAGTACCTGCAAGGTAATCAGACCTTTCATACTACTCAGATCTTGTGGCCATCTCATGTGTGATTATGTTACAAGGATGTTTGTTTTCCTTATGATTTCATGCTATATGAACTCAATCTCAGGAAGAAAAAGAAAGAATTTTCAAGGCTCATCCTGCTACTGATGAGTTTTGTTTTAGAATGTTGCCTCCGAGATGCCTAACGCCATGCAGGAGAGAAAGCTAGGCAGGCAAATTAAAACATGGGCCTCAAAGCTCCCCTGGGAGATGGGAAGTTCAGCTCTCTGTGGCTCCATAGTGAAAAGAGATCAGAAGCAACACCTCTCTGGATCACCAGGACTTCAGAGTTGCTTGCTCATAACCAGACAACTTGTGAAGGCTTCTGCAAAATTTTATGGTGAAGGCTGAAGAGAAAAGAAGTAAAACCCTCTCTAACACTTATACACAGAGCCCTGTGACCCTGACCCTTAGCATATCTTTCACAGGGTTCTCTACTGCAGTCATCTCACCTCTCACCATGGATTTCTCTATTCCAATTTTTTAATTGTAAGATATGTCACATTCACAAAAAAAAGTGAAAAGAACACATATCTGGCTGGGTGCAATGGCTCACACCTGTAATCCCAGCACTTTGGGAGGCCGAGGCAGGTGGATCATCTGAGGTCAGGAGTTCAAGACCAGCCTGGCCAACATGGTGAAACCCCATCTCTATTAACAATACAAAAATTAACCGGACATGGTGGCACATGCCTGTAAATCCCAGCTACTTGGGAGGCTGAGGCAGGAGAATCGCTTGAACTCGGGAGGTGGAGGTTGCAGTAAGCAGAGACCTCTCCATTACACTCTAGCCTGGGCAACAAGAGCAAGACTCCATCTCAAAAAAAAAAAAAAAGAAAAAGAAAGAAAGAAAAGAACACATACCTATAGTTTAAAACCATTATTATAAATGTTAAACACAAATAAATGGTAAATGTTCATATGTGTAACCACCATTCAGATGAAGAAATAACACATTACCAACATTCTCAGAACCCTCTCCCCTATTTCACCTCTTCCTGTTCCCTTTGAGTAATCACCTCCTGATTTTTTCCATAGTCATTCCTTTGCCTTTCTTTATATCTTTACTATCTGTGTATGCATTTCTAAACAATCCAACTTATGTTGCCTGCTTTTGTGCTTCACGTAAGTGAAATCATACTTTTTGTATTTTTTTGTGCCTTGCTTCATTTGCTCCACAATGTGTTTGTGTAATTCATCCATGACATTCCATGCAGCCATAAGTGGTTTATTTTATTTGCCATTAGGGATTAAGAGCAGAGACTCTAGAGCCAGACTTCTCAGGTTTAAATCTCAGCTCTTTTCTCGTTCAGATGTATAACCTTGTGCAAATTATTTCCATCTTTCTGTACTTTAGTTTTAATTTACCTGGAGCTGATTGTGGGGTATGGTGTAAGTTAGGGGTCTTAGGTAGACCTCCCTGGGAAGATCTCTGAGATGGTGATTTGTAAACATGTGGTTTATTGGACCATGAGCATGGGAACTGTACCTGAAAAAAGGTGAGGAAGGCAGATTTGGGCAGAGGAGAAACGAATGGTGAAGCATATGCAGTGGAGGCCTTGGCAGGTCCCATAATAGCTTTCAGCTTGTCTCAAATTGATAGAATTTGTATCCCCACATCAGCTAGTCTCGATGTGAGCTGCCTTCAGGGAGGGACCACAGCCTTCAGCAAGGCAGCTCCTTTAGGCCAAGGGCAATTCCTGAGGAGTGATTCAGCTGCGACCTGTCAACCAGCAATATTGCAGCTGGAACAATTAGTGTCATCACTCTGAAGGGGAGAACTGGGAAGGGCACCACGGCATACAATACAGGGTCCAGTTTGATTTTTTCCCATACAGGTACTCAATTGTCCCAGCACCTTTTTCCACGTTATATGATGCTACCTCTTTCATATCAAGTGTTCATACAGTAGTCTATTTCTGAGGTTATTAAAAGTTATGTTTCCAGCCGGGCGTGGTGGCTCACACCTGTAATCCCATTACTTTGGGAGGCCAAGGCGGGTGGATCACGAGGTCAGGAGATGGAGACCATCCTAGCTAACATGGTGAAACCCCGTCTCTACTAAAAATACAAAAAAATTAGCCAGACGTTGTGGTGGCCCCCGTAGTTCCAGCTACTCGGGAGGCTGAGGCAGGAGAATGGCGTGAACCCGGGAGGCGGAGCTTGCAGTGAGCTGAGATCGCGCCACTGCACTCCAGCCTGGGTGACAGAGTAAGACTCTGTCTCGAAAAAAAAAAAATATATATATATATATATATGTTTCCTCGGTCAATTATCTGATTAAAACAAATTGATATCAACATATATATAGAAAATTACCCAATGGAACTAAGAACAAAGAAAGAGGACTTGACATATTAAATATCAAGAGTTGCTGTAATGATCTCTTTTTTTCACAATCTCTTTCCTTCCTTTTCTTCCACATGAAATGTCCTCAACTGTCTTGTCCACCAGGGATGCAGAGTTTACTGTGCATTCTTCAAGACTAAGCTGAAACATGATTTCCCCTCGGAAGCTGTCATTGGCTTCAGGTTCTTCTTCCTCTGTCATTCTTCAGAACTTCAAGTGCTGTCTCATAAACCGTGCCAGTTCAAGCCTTGAGTAACATCCTATAGTTGTATGATCTTGGACTACTTTATTTAAACAATATATTATAGACATGCTTCACAATTTTCTGTAAAAATTGAAATTGAAGTGTTAACTATTACCACTTAGCTCTATAATATAGCTCAAATTATTTTTATTTGCCATTACTGACAATGAGTTTCTTCGGTGCAGGGATCATGGACCATTCAGCTTTGGATCCCTATCACCTAGCATAGTTTTATCATATGGATATGACTGAGATTCAAGATGGTAAGGCTCATAATCAAGAATGCAAGTAGTACATTGGCTTACTGGAAAGAATGGTCAGACATTCATATACAAGTCACTTATTTCTGGAAATAAAGCCACAATATTGAATAATGTAGCTTCAAGCTAGGATGCTAGCAATTCTTTTCTTAATTCAAAGTTCCCATTTTCCACCTACTCTTTTCTCTAAGTAAAGGATGCCCCCACTCACCACCTTCACTGCCCTACACAGAACCCCAGATTTCCCTGTAGGCTGGGGGAAACAGATAATCTGAAGGAGAAGGAGAAGCAGGGGGAGGAGAGGAAAGAACAAGAAGACAAAGAAGGGGAAGAGGAGGGAAAAAAGAAAAGGAGGAAAGGATGGAGAGAAGAAAAAGAAGAAAGAAAAGAAGGAGAGGGAGGAGGAAAAGTGGAGAAAAGAGAAGGAGAAAACTATCGCCATATAATATTTATGCATACCTTTCCCTTTTTAAGGTTCTAAACAGGATGTTTCATAATATTCCAGTTTGAAACCTTTGGAGTATTTTTCAAAACATCTAAGATTTCCTAAGGAAAAAGAATCAGTCCCAGAATTGACTTTACCTGTCTAGGGAGCGTGCCACTAGAACAATGAACAAGTATGCCCCCCACCAAAAAAAATAAATAAATAAATCTATGTTTACTACGGAAGCTCACGAAGTAAGTTTTGGACAGTTTTTTGTTTTGTTTTGTTTTTGAGATGAAGTTTTGCTCTGTCACCTAGTGACAGAGCTCAGTAATATTAGCTCAGTGCAATCTCTGCCTCCCGGTCTCAAGCGATTCTCCTGCCTCAGCCTCCCAAGTAGCCAGGATTACAGGTGCCCGCTACCATGCCTGGATAATTTTTGTATTTTTAGTAGAGACAATTTCCCCATGTTGGCCAGGCTGGTCTTGAACTCCTGACCTCAAGTGATCCACCTGCCTTAGCCTCCCACACTATTGGGATTACAGGTGTGAGCTACCATGCCCGGCCTTGGACAGTTTTAAAATAATTACTTGATCTTGCTTCCAAGCATTGATCATTCAGAAATACTGAGGTCTACTTTAAAAAGAAAGTCGATTTATTCTGCTTTCAAATTTTTATTTTAACAAACAGGAAGCTAAAACATTGGACTGCTATTATAATGAATGTGTGAACTATACTGGCTTATACTTAGGAATAGAAAACCAAACACCGTATGTTCTCACTTATAAGTGGAAGCTAAGCTATGGGTTTGCAAAGGCATAGATAGTGATGTAATGGACTTTGGAGACTCAGAGCAGGGAGGGTTAGAGGGAGGTAAGGGGTGAAATAACTACATCTTGAGTACCATGTACACTACTTGGGCGATGAGTGCACTAAAATCTCAGACTTTACCACTATGCAATTCATCCATGTAATCAAAAGCTACTTGTACCCTAAAAGCTATTGAAATCTAAAAAAAAAATAAAATATATAGCCAATATCTAAAAAATATAGTACAGAGTTGGAGAAACTCAAGAGCCTATCTCTGAGTCTGTTCACAAGGTCAAAAAGAGTTTTTCCGTTTGTTATAAGTCTTATATTGTCAGCCCCATGAATTAGGAGGTTTATTTTCCCCTGAACCACATTTGTCTTCACTGAAAGCACCATTAAATGGAGATTCTGGCTCAACTCAGTGAAGCAGAAATGTGCTTCCTCCTTTGGAGCTTGATCTCCTGAGCAGCTGTTATTGTAGGTGATCTTATGACACAGCTCAGAACCTCAGTTATTTTAGTAGGCCAGTAGGGCATTAGAGAAGTAGGTCATTCTGGCTGCAGTCCTGCCAGAACAGGCCTTTGGAATTTGCTATTGTTTTCTTCCAGGAATAAGCAATAGGGTACATTGTTAGTCCTGCTACGTGCAACTGGATGCCACAGTAAGTTTTAGTGGCAAAGCTCTAATTAGATATTACCCTACTCAGGTGAATAACAGCATTAAGAATGAGAATTTCAGAATGTGCTGCATTTGTTACTCTCCTGCAGCACATGACTAACTGAATAGCAGGTAGGTCAGGGCCAAAGCTCAGATCAGCATGGAGATGGTCTTTCCAAGCTTGGGGAGCATACTTTATGGAGTCATTGTTTTACGTTTTGTGCTCCCTGCCCACTTTGTACTCTCTTGCCCTAGGGGAGCTCCAAATTAATTGGGTCTAAAGCAGAATATATCTAAATAAAGCATTTTATTTTTTGTAAAAGCCTAAAGTAATTGAGGTTATCATAGCAATTCTGGAGTGGAGAGGATAAAGAGAAGAGTATCTTTGAGCAGAAAGAGACCTGAGAAGGAAAGAGAAGGTACATTATCCAGGACTAAGAAATACATAAGCCTGGATGCGGTGGCTCAAGCCTGTAATCCCAGCACTTTGGGAGGCCAACGCAGGTGGATCACGAAGTCAGGAGTTCAAGACCAGCCTGACTAACATGGTGAAACACCATCTCTACTAAAAATACAAAAAAAATTAGTGGTGGCTCACGCCTATAATCCCAGCTACTCAGGAGGCTGAAGCAGGAGACTCGCTTGAACCCAGGAGGCGGAGGTTGCAGTGAGCTGAGATCGCACCATTGCACTCCAGCTTGGGCGACAGAGCGAGACTCCATTTCAGAAAAGAAGGAAAAAAGAAAAAAAGAAAAGAAGTACATAAACATATGACTTTCTACTCAGAATGAGGACCATGGACCTCTCCTGTCAGGTCCCTAGAGAGGTGACAGGATTCTGGGAAAATGGTTGTATTTTATACATAGGAAAGTTAGACCCAAGATTGGAGTTTTCAACTTGGCAAAAATTTCTGAACTCCAACTGTGGTCTCCTGATCTGTGTTCCATGCTTTGGCTTTCGGTGCTCCAAACATGCAGCTCTGCAATTCAATGGACACTGTGGGTTTGGAAAATGTGTCTTTTAGGAATAGCAAGACAACGGGGACATTCTCCAAATGTTTTTTGTGATTTTGTTTGTTTGTTTGTTTGTTTTGTACACGTTTCCTGGGACCTTAGAAGTGTCTAGGAAGTAAGGTGATAGAAACCAAGGAGCCCATTAAAGACTGAAATGAAATATCCCATAGTTCTGGTGGAATGGGGAGTAAGGGTCAAATTTAATATCACTTGAATGTGTAAAAGGAATGTGAATTTTCCCATATACTTAAGATTTTAATGTAAAATTCATATTCGTCACACAAACCTTGAAGATACTAAAAAGGCCTTGACTCAGAAGCAACAAGTGTTTGAGAGGCAGTAGATAAAAGATGGACTTTTTATTAAAGGCAGGTTGGGAACCCAGAATTGTAAACTTATGGTATTGATTTTGCTATGGGTCTTGATCTTAAATATGACAGGTATACAACAGAGCTAATGACCACTTCTTATCTCGTAAAAGCATCATCTGTTATTCCATGTGCTTTTGTGACTCAATAACACAAGATAAGGCAAATTGTCTGCATAAAAGTGTGTCATGAAAGGGTTGCACTCCAGATACATATGTGTAAATGAAGCTCTGTGTACAATTCAAAGATTTATAAGCCTTAACAAATGACTCGTTTATGTAAAATAATGTTGATTTAATTAAAATTTTATCACCAAACAAAGTATGTGAATAGTTCTCAGTAATATGTATAAATAATATTTGACCTGCAGGATTCTGAGAGTACAAAACTGTCCTTCAAAACACAAAGCATTAAACAGGGTGCATACATATCACAAAGTTAGTAGAAACTGGAAATTTGCCGTTTTTCTAGTATTTTAAAAATTGGACAAAATTCACTTGGAGTGGATTCCTGAAAACAACCATATGGAATCCTGAAACAACGAATGCAAAAAATCCAAAATTCCCCTGCAACTGTTACCGTAAAAAAAAGGAAAAAAAACTGTTGGACCATTGATGATAGCAAGAAACACCTAGAATTTCATCTTCAAAATCTCCATGTTGAGTCATTTATTTAATAAGGTAAAAGTGTTTACAATCCATTATTCCTCTACCTTTTCACTGTCCTTTATCTCCTCATGTTCTTGCTTTGCTCCTAACCAGCTTAGCCTCCATGGTCCTTCAGTTTAATCTTTCCCTTGCCCCTTTTCCTTTGATTAAGTTTTCTGCCAAAGTCCTAATTCCAAGTAAATTCAGCTGCACCTTGGCCTCCTGAATATGAGTGGAGAAAAACATAAAACCATAAAAACTGGTGTCTCTAAATTCGTGACCACTAATCTCAAGGAGCTCTTTGGAAAACCCTTCTACTCTCTATTACTCCAACACTGCTTTTGTACTGTCTCACACAGCCTAGAGACCTTGCTTCCTATTTCACTTAACAAAACAAGCAATCAGAAAAGAAATTTCGTCCACCCACCACCACCACTCTACCAACATGCCAGTATCTGAACCAACTTCTATACCTTCTGTTACAGTGAATCAACTACTATGCCCCTTTTTAAGGCCAACCCCTTCAACTCTATGGGATTTCTTTCACTTTCAGCTATTCAAGGTTATCACTGCAGCAGCTGACCTTCTCTCTTCTGTTTCATTAACTTTCCTCTCTTTAGAGCTATGCTGTCCAATTCACTAGCCACTAACTCATGTGATTATTTAAATTCAAATGGCCTACAATTAAATAAAATTTAAAATTCAGTTTCTCAGTTACACTAGCCACATTTCAAGTGCTCAGTAACCACATGTGACCAGCGGCTACTCTATAGGATAGCATGGACATGAATGATAGAACATTTCTATCTCACAGAGAGTTCTGTTGGATAGCGCTCTTCTGGAAGATTATTCCCATCTATCCACAAAGTTCTATAATCTCACATCTTAAAAAATCATAAATAAAAACCAAAAACTCTCTGGGCCTCTTCCTTCTCTACTACCACTTGCAGCACAATTCTTCAAAAAAGGGTCTACACTTACTGTCTTAGTTTTTGTTTCTCTTTTGAACTTACTTCATTAAGGCTTTCATCCTCGCTATCCCATAAAAACAATTATTGTCAAAGTCACCAAAGATGTGTTACTAATGACAATTGTCAATATCAGTCCTCATCATGACCAATCAGAAATGCTGGACACAGCTGATCTACAAGCATATATCTTCACTGGATTTCCAGAAAACCATTCTCTCTTGATTCCCTTTATACGTTTCTGCTACTCTTGCTCAGTCTCCACAAATAAATCCACTTCATTAACTTCAGGCCTTCTCCTCTTCTCTTTTCTCCTGCATTCACTCCCTTAACAATCTCATGTCATCTCATAGTTTTAAATACCATCTTACACTGATAAATCCAAAATTTATATTTCCAGCTCAGACCTCTTTCCAAACTCCATACTTCTTTATCCAATTACCTCTTCACAATCACTATTGGAATGCCTAATCGCCATCTCAAATATGGCAAATTCAACTCCTGTTTTCTCTCCTGCACACAGCCCTTCTACTGCTTAAGTCTTCCATTTCAATAAATCCTAGTCCCCTCCTCAAGTTGCTCAAGCCTCAACCTTGGTTTCAGTCATGACTCTTCCCTTTGTCCCATGACCACACACAATACACCAGCAACTTCTATCTGCTCCTATTTAACATATCTAAATTTCAATCACTTATTAGTTCCTCTCCTGCTACCACTAAGGCCCAGGCCACCAGCATCTCCCACTTGCAGTATTGCTATAGTCTACTAATTGGTCAAATTGGTCTACTTACATTTTCCTTTACAGCCCTACACACTATTTTCAAATATAAACGCATTCATTTTTGAACCAATGAAAGAAATAGAAGCTCCCGTAAAAATGCAATGCTTATCATGTTACTACTTAGCTCAACATTAAATTTAAGTGGCTTCCCATCTAACTAAGATAAGAGTCAGAAGTTTATACAGTGGCTTTCAAGACACCATTTCAAGACTCCACTTCCAGTACTCCCCACACACCTCTCTGCCTCATCCTCTGCCACAACCACACTTTGTGTTGGGCTATCTGCTGCAGACTTCTTGAGCTGGCCTCCTTGTAGTTGCTTGGCACATGTCAACACACTTCTTCAGAGTCTTCCTCTGCTTTAGACCATCTTTTTTGCTTCTTTATGTTCTCTGTGCAAATGTTCCCTCTTGAGAGAGGCCTTCTGATCACACCATAAAAGGCAACAACCCTCCTAGCTCTTGCTATTTCATTTATATCCCCATGGAATTTGAATTACCAATGTGCTCACTCTGCCAACATTTTTTTTCAAATGAAGTAGTAAAAGCATCCTGATTAAATAACATTTTTCAAAGAAACAGCAAATAAAGCTGTCAAAGTCACCAGAGATGTGTTCAACACATCTCTGGTGACTTTGACAAAAACGTCATACTAATTTTCTTCATTTCCTTTCTTTTGTCACCTACAAATCAGCCAGGTCTAATATTAATTATCCCAATTTTTTTTTAATTCTATTGTCCACACTCAGATTTCTAGGCTTTCTTTTCTGTATACTTCTTATGTTGAGTGGCTCTACATGCTTCTCTCAAATGTAGACTTATTATAAAAAAGCTCAAGCATCTGTCTGCTTTGTTATGTGTTCCAGAATGTTTATATAATAAAATACATATTATTTAAATATAAATTGCTTTCCCTTTATTTCTACCTTATAGATAGATTATTATATTCAATTTCACTAAATTTTGTGTGCACAGAGATAATATTGCTTCTGCAGTATAATCTGGATAGTAAATAATAATATAATTATTATAATATAATATAATTCTGGATAGTAAAGAATAATACAGAATTTTTATTATGCTAAGGAGGAGTTTGAATTGTATGGTTATAGACAACTAATCTAACCCAACTCCTTCATCTATCTGATGAGGAAATAGAAACTCCAAAGATAATAGCACTGGCAACAGAGGCAGGGCTGGTACAGGGGAGGGATGGAGTGCCTTTCATACATTTCTCTTTTTCTACAACAGATTGCCTCAATCTGTTCTGATGCTAATGGAATTAATAGAAATACTTGTTAAATTATCCTTCTTGCCCAAGAATTTTTCTTTGAAAGGAAAAGTTTAATTCTAAATGGCTTCCCTGAAATCAGTTTAATTCTTCATCTCTTTACAGAAGACTATAATTTAAGAGACTTCACTTTTTATAAAAATTAAAGTGTATCAGCTCACAAATAGAACTTTTCAAAGAGCCATTGCACACAGTCATATTGTTGCATTGTTTGTTTTAGTGTTTGATTTCTATTGATTGTTTAGTGAAGTCACCCCACAGACACTCTTGTATTTCTTTGTCAAATATACTCAAAATATTTACCTGGTAGGAATGTTTCCGGTTCCCATAGAATAACTCAATACTGTAGACATGAAACCAACTATTGCAAAGAGAGATCTGCAAAATACAAGCTTTTCAAATTTTAACAGGTAAATATGACAGTGTCCAAACAGACGTTATAAACTCAGCCTCAGAACATGGATTAAGAGGTATTTTATTGTTGAGTCCCTGTAACATGTGTAGCTTTGACATAGTTTGAAACAAGAATGTATCTAAGATGATCTTAAAGGTATTTTTGAGTTTCACATCATATGAATCTACAATTTTATTTGCTTATTATTAATATGAAGTAGATTGTGTTTTGTGCCTGTGTTCAGATATCTGAGTGTTTCCCTGCAGATATTATCAGCAATATCTGTGCTGCTTTTACAGCATGAATCACAGTGTCTCTATTAAACTTACTTGGATATGTGCCTGGCCTCAGTGCAATACTCGTATGTTCATTAGGCAAATATTTTTAAGCACCTTTTATGTACTAGGTGCTGGGAGTATAGACATAAATATGGTGGATTTTGACACTGCCTTCATGGAACTGTCTGCTTTTGAAGAAGAAAAAGCCATGCCTTTCATCTGTGTTCCTCCATATGATGGCATAAAGTGGTTTTGCACAACTTGTGCTTGTAGAATCGAACAAAAGAAAATAGCAAATACGGTTAAGAAGAAAACAACACACGTGCTGTTGGCAGCTGGATCCACTAGGCCTAGCATAGTCCCAGAGTGTGAGATCTGGGGTCTTTTCTGTCTTCTCTTTTTCAATTTCTTGTAATTAAAAAATGATAATAATATCCAGAAAGGTAGTGAGAGATTCTACCTCCCTCTCTGGAAGACATAAAAAAGGCAGGGAAATGTTCCAATTTTAAGCCATTAAACACTCTGGCTTGAATCAAATCAAAAACATTATCTAAACTGTCATACACTAAATACCCTTGACTCTACTAGGGCTATTTATCACTGAAAAGCACTGGATTAGTGGTGTGTTTCTTTGCTTCCTAAGGATTATTGATGATAAGAGCATACAAGACAGCCAGTGTAGAATGCCAGAAAGAGACACATTGCAAGTCATCTCTTTCTTTTTTTTTAATTATATTTTTAATTACAGAAGTGATATGCAAATACATTCTCTTTTTTTTTCTTTTCTTTTTTTTTTATTATACTTTAAGTTCTAGGGTACATGTGCACAACATGCAGGTTTGTTACATATGTATACATGTGCCATGTTGGTGTGCTGCACCCATTAACTCGTCATTTATATTAGGTATATCTCCTAATGCTATCCCTCCCCCCTCCCCCCACCCCACGACAGGCCCCAGTGTGTGATGCTCCCCTTGCTGTGTCCTAGTGTTCTCATTGTTCAATTCCCACCTATGAGTGAGAACATGCGGTGTTTGGTTTTTTTGTCCTTGCGATAGTTTGCTGAGAATGATGGTTTCCAGCTTCATCCATGTCCCTACAAAGGACATGAACTTATCCTTTTTTATGGCTGCATAATATTCCATGGCATATATGTGCCACATTTTCTTAATCCAGTCTATCATTGTTGGACATTTGGGTTGGTTCCAAGTCTTTACTATTGTGAATAGTGCTGCAATAAACATACGTGTGCATGTGTCTTTATAGCAGCATGATTTATAATATTTTGGGTATATACCCAGTAATGGGATGGCTGGGTCAAATGGTATTTCTAGTTCTAGATCCTTGAGGAATCGCCACACTGACTTCCAAAATGGTTGGACTAGTTTACAGTCCCACCAACAGTGTAAAAGTGTTCCTATTTCTCCACATCCTCTCAGCACTTGTTGTTTCCTGGCAAGTCACCTCTTTCTCCTCCAGAATATTATCCTTTACCCTCCTTCAATTTCATTTAAGTGTTGACATCAGCTTTCCTCTTCGGCTCCTGCTGGGGATCACTCCCAGTTGATGAGCTAATATGCCTGTCTATCCCTTTCTCTCTACCAGCCGTGTTAATTGGCTGTAAGGGGAGTTCAGAGTTAGGAATACCCCTATACCTCCCTTGCCCCTCACTATGGAGAGTGCTTTGTGCCCTGGCATCCCACCTCTGACATCTTTCCATGGCCCTTCCATTCCATACTCACATAAGTCAGTCTCCAAATCTTATCAATAACTTTCTTCAAATAAAATATTATGTGAGATTCTTACCACCTAGGCAGTGGTAATTATAATTGTTCTCAGTGTTTGAAAAACTTATGCTTCTAGAGGTATGTGAATATTCATATTGATTAAACTAGGTAGGATGAGTGTGTATACAGATCTAGTACTTCTTCTTTCCATATGACCACTCAGAACTGTTGACCCTGCTGCCTACACTCCTATTCCTGTACATCTTTCTTCATTTGCCTTCCCTGACATTACACAGTTCTGATTACACTATTTCCTCTGTGGCTACAATTGCCTCAGTTTATTTTGCAGAGTCTTCTTTCTCTTTCATTTTATTTTAATTGCTGTTCCTCAGGCTTCTGTCTCTGTCTTTTTCTTTATTCATTCATTCAAATTCCTTTACACAAGTAACCAATTATTTACTAATAACTCTTAGACTGCTCCTGAATTAAGAAACTGTGTTTCTACTGTCTCCTGGACATATTTATTTACATGGCTTATGATTCACCTCCCTCAAGTAAATCCAAAGCCAATGCATCATCTCCCTCTTGGCTCCAGATCTCCCCTTCTCTTGTTGTGAATGAAACCACCAGCTACTTCATAATTCAAGCAGGAACACTGGGCTCTCTTCTGGACTTGTCCCTGTCTCACCACCCAAATCCTATCAATAACCCTCCAAACCCTATTTGTGTCCACTGACATTTTACCTGTCTACATACTCATCATCCCTTGCCTGGATTACTAGAAAATCTCATTTTCTGCCTCAAGTCTTGGTACACTCCAGGCCATTCTCTACACTGCAGGCAGAGATGATCTTCCTAAAACACATATCAGATCATGTTATTTCTCATCTCCAAATTTTGGGACGGCTTTCCCATTGCTCTTAGGATAAAGGCTAAAGTTAGGTTGGGTGTTATAAGGCCCTCCATTAATAGGCTCCTACCAAGTTCTGCCTAGACTTCTGCTACACTTACACTCTAACATTCTATCATTTCTGCAGTTCTTAAAAGTTATGTTCTTCAAAGTGATACATTTTCTAGAATTCTGTGCTTCAGTAAGCTTATCCCGTTTCTGGGAACACTCTCCCTTCACCCACACAGGAAGGCTTTCCACACATTTTTACAATATTTATATGAGTTCTTGGATTAAAGTAGTTTAATTTTTTCTTCTTCTTTTTGCTATTTTATTTTAAATGTTTAAATGCAATGAACATGTATCACTTTTATTACTAAACAGCTAGTCATCAACATATGCATACCCTGTGATTCCACTCTGGATATATACACAATAGAAACGAATATTTTTTCACCAAAGGACTCAATTAATTGTGGGAGAGGTTTTCCCTTTCAAATTAAAGGTAAATATATTCATAGTTTTAAAATACTTTTATTTTATGTTGAGGGGTACTATATGCAGGTTTGCCATATAGATAAACCAGTGTCATGGGATTCTTTGTACAGATTATTTCATCACTCAGGTACTAAGCCTAGTACCCGATAGTTATTTTTTTAGGATCCTCTCCTCCTCAAGTAGGCCCCAATATCTGTTGTTTGCCTCTTTGTGTTCATGAGTTCTCATCATTTAGCTCCCACTTATAAGTGAGAACATGCAGAATTTGGTTTTCTTTTCCTGCATTAGTTTCCTAAGGATAATAGCCTCCAGCTCCATCTATGTTCCCGCAAAAGACGTGATCTCATTCTTTTTATGGCTGCATAGTATTCTATAATGTATAAATGCCACATTTTATTTATTCAATCTGTCATTGATGGGCATTTGGGTTGATTCCATGTCTTTGCTATTGTGAATAGCATTGTAATGAATATTTGTGTGCCTGTGTCTTTATGATAGAACAATTTCTATTCCTTTGAGTATATAATTATTATATAACCCAAGTTCTACAGTATTTCTGTGTTGAATGGTATTTCTGTTTTTAGCTCTTTGAGGAATCACCTCCCTGCTTTCCACAATGGTTGAACTAATTTATATTCCCACCAGTAATGTATAAGGGTTCCCTTTTCTCCTCAGTCTTACCAGCATCTGTTATTTTTTACTTTTTAATAATAGCTATTCTGACTGGTGTGAAATGGTATCTCATTGTGGTTTTGATTTGCATTTCTCTGATGATCAGTGATGTTGAGCTTTTTTTCATATGACTGTTGGCACTGTGTATGTCTTCTTTTGAGAAGTATTTCTTCATGTCCCATGCCCCCCTTTTTTAATGGAGTTGTTTTTTCTTGTAAATTTGTTTAAGTTCTTTATAGATACTGGATATTACACCTTTGTTGGATGCATAGATTGTAAATATTTTCTCCCATTCTGTAGGTTGTCTGTTTATGCTGTTGATAGTTTCTTTTGCTGTGCAGAAGCCATTTAGTTTAATTAATTAGTTTAGCTCTATTTGTCAATTTTTCCTTTCTTATAATTGCTTTTAACGTCTTTATCATGAAATCTTTGCCTGTTCTTACGTCCAGAATGGTATCGCCTAGGTTGTTTTCCAGGGTTTTTATAGCTTCAGGTTTTATATTTGTCTTTAATCCTTCTTGAGTTGATTTTTCTATATGGCGTTTGAAAATAGTCCAGTTTCAATCTTCTGTATATAGCTAGCCAGTTTCCCAGCAACATTTATTGAATAGGGAGTCCTTTCTCCATTGCTCATTTTTGGAAGCTTTTTCAAAGATCAGATGGTTATAGGTGTATGGTCTTATTTCTGGAGGCTATATTCTGTTCCATTGGCCTATGTGTCTGTTTTTGTATCAGTACCGTGCTGCTTTTGGTTATTGTAACCTTGTAGTTTAAAGTCAGGTAACATTATGCCTCCAGCTTTGTTCTTTAACTTAGGATTGCCATGGCTATTCAGGCTCCTTTTTGGTTCCATATAAATTTTAAAATGTTTTTTCTAGTTCTGTCAAGAATATCAATGGTAGTTTGATAGAAATCACATTGACTCTGTAAATTGCTTTGGGTAATATGGCCATTTTAATGATATACATTCTTCTTATCCATTAGCGTGGAATGTTTTTCCATTTGTTTGTGTTATCTCATTCCTTTGAGCAGTGTTTTGTAATTCTCATTGTAGAGTCCTTTCACCTCCCTGGTTAGCCACATTTCTAGGTTATTTATTTGTTTATTTATTTTGTGGCAATTGTGAATGGAATTGCATTCCTGATCTGGCTCTCAGTTTGGCTGTCATTAGTGTATAAGAATGCCAGAGATTTTTGTATGCTGATTTTGTATCCTAAAACTTTGCTGAAGTTGTTTATCAGCTGAAGAAGCTTTGGGCCAAGACTACAGGGCTTTCTATATATGGAACCATGTCATCTGCAAATAGGGACAGTTTGACTTTCTTTATTCCTATTTGGATGCCTTTATTTCTTTCTCTTGCCTGATTGTTCTGGCCTGGACTTCCAATACTATGTTGAATAGGAGTGGTGAGAGAAGACATCCTTGTCTTGTATCAGTTTTCAAGGGGAATGTTTCCAACTTTTCCGCATTCAGTATGATGTTAGCTGTGGGTTTGCCATAGATGACTTATTATTTTGATGTTTGTCCCTTCAATACCTAGTTTACTGAGAGTTCTTAACATAAAAAGACATTGAATTTTATCAAAAGCCTTTTCTGCATCTATTGAGGTAATCATGTGGTTTTTGTCTTTAGTTATACTTATGCGATGGATTACATTTATTTATTTGTGTATGTTGAACCAATCTTGCATTCCAGGGAAAAAGCCTACTTGATCATTGTGGATTAACTTTTTGATGCACTGCTGGATTTGGTTTGCAAGTAGTTTGTTAAGGATTTTTGCATTAATATTCATCAAGAATATTGGCCTGAAGTTTTCTGTTTTTGTTGTGTCTCTGCCAGGTTTTGGTATCAGAATGATGCCGGCCTCATTGAATGAGTTGGGAGGAGTCCCTCCTTCTCAATTTTTAAAATTAGTTTCAGTAGAAATGACACCAGATCTTCTTTGTACATATGGTAAAATTTAGCTCTAAATCCATCTGATCCTGGGCTTTTTGGGGGGTTGGTAGGGTATTTATTATTTGTTCAATTTCAGATCTCATTTTTGGTGTGTTCAGGTAATCAAATTCTTCCTGGTTTAGTTTTTGGAGGTTATATTGTCCAGGAATTTATCCATCTTTTTAAGGTTTTCTAGTTTGTGTGCTTAGAGGTGTTCATAGTAGTTTCTGATGGTTATTTTTATTTCTGTGTGGTGAGTGGTAACATTTCCTTTGTTGTTTCTAATTGTGTTTATTTCAATCTTCTCTTTTCTTCTTTATTAGTTTAGCTAGCAGCCTATCTATCTCATCAATTTTTTCAGAAAAACTACTCTGGGCTCACTGATCTTTTGAATGGTTTTCCATGTCTTTATTTCCTTCAGCTCAGCTTGGATTTTGGTTATCTCTAATCTTCTGCTAGCTTTGGGGTTGGTTTGCTCTTGCTTCTCTGATGCTTTCAGTTGTAATATTAGGTTGTTAATTTGAAATATTCCCTTTTGTTGTTGGTGTTTAGTGCTATACATTTCCCTGTTAACACTCTTTCAGCTGTATCCCAGAGATTCCACTATGTTGTATTTTTGTTCTCATTAGTTTCAAAAAAGTCTTGATTTTTGCCTTAATTTCATTATTTACTCAAAAGTCACTCAGAAGCAGGTTGTTTTATTTCCATGTAATTGTATGGTTTTGAGCAATTTTTAAAGTTTTGACTTCTATATTTATTGCACTGTGGTCCAAGAGTGTGTTTGTGTGATTTTGGTTCTTTTGCATTGCTGAGGATTGTTTTATGTCTGACTGCTAGTCAATTAATAGAGTGTGTGCCATATAGCAATGAGAAGAATGTATATTCTCTTGTTTTGGGGTGGAGAGTTCTGTAGAGGTCTGAAAATATAATTCTCTACGATCAGATTTATTTTAATGTTGAGTTCAGGTCCAAATATCTGTTAATTTTTCACCTCAATGATCTGTCTAATATTATCAGTGGACTGTTGAAGTCTCCCACCATTATCGTGTGGGATTCTAAATCTTTTTGTAGGTCTCTTAGAACTTGCTTTATGAATCTGGGTTATCCTGTGTTGGGCGTGTTATATTCAGATTTTTAAAATAGTGCCTGTTACCAGATTAAAGGTACACTGTACTCCTCTGTACTATCTTTGCTATTTCCTATGTGTTCCACAATAAAAAAATAAAAAAAATATAGTTACTGACATAAATATTATCTAGTAATTTAAGATAGCATTCCTCTGAAAATTAAAATTCAGTTGGCAACTGAGTACATAATAGAAAATACATCATTCATGATCTGTCTTCAGTGTTACTTTATGGTTTTAGAAAATACTTTAAATAAATCATTCAAGTTATACTTACTGAAATATAAATATCAGAGTGGTAAATGTCAACATATTAGAATAAATATTTTCTTTTCCTGGCTCCTAAATCTAAGTGAATCTAGAAGTTCATCGACTAAGAAGCTTTAATATGACAACTGGAATGGGAATATATCAAGTGTGATAACATCTCAAAGATAAATGAGGATTGCATAAGAAAGGAGATATGGGCCAATTATTGCTTACCTTTTTTGAAAAGTGCCTCATTTCAGTCCCCATAAAGATAGTCAGAGGAGGACATGGGAGAGGAAAGAGAACTGATATTCCTCTCAGGGGTACATGGCAGAGCCAAGGCTAGATTCTGCATGGCAGTCACCAACAATCATCTCATCTTTGAGCACATTCTCCTTCCTGCTTCTGTGTCCTCTCCTCTCTTCACTTACGTCTCCTTCATGTCCAGCTCGCCTCATCTGCCCATGCAATCAATCCATCAGTCACACAAATAGAAATTGTAACAGTGTATGATATAATCTATAAATGGAAGGTATCATTAGCAATAATGCTCCACTTAGAAGTCTTGGGGTCTCCCCAGGATCTTATGGCCAACACAGAGCTCTTTCCCTCTGCAAACCAGCTCACACCCAAGGCTTCCTCAGTTGGGTACATGAGACCATTATTCACCTAGTTGCTCAAGTCAAACACCAATAACTTATCCTCAGTTTCTCCCTATCCTTGCCACAATGCCACTTAATAGATCAAGTCCTCGTATATTTATATTCAAAATGCATCTAAAACCTGTCTGCTTTTCTCTGTCTTCACTGCAACTACCTTATTCTAAACATCATCCTTTCTTACTTGGATTATTACAACAGTTTCCTTGCTTCTATTCTACACAACAGCAAGGGTGATCTTTAAATTAAAAAATAATAAATAAATAAATAAATAAAATCACTTTGTTGTCCTGCTTCAATTCTCCAACAACTTCTTACTGTAGCTAGAATAAAGTACAGACCCTTTGCCATGGCCCCTCAGGGTTCTCAAACTCTGGCCTATCCCTGCCTATCATGTGGCACTGACTCTGCTCCAGCTGCTCAGGCCTTCTTTCTCATCCTCAAGCATGCTAATCTCCCTTCTGATGGAGAGTCTTGTGCTCTGCCTGGAATGCTCTGGCCCCAGAGTTACGCATGGTTTCAAGTTACAGTTAACTACCATCACCAGCTGAGGTGTTTTCAGAATTCCCAAACCAAATGAACCCCTATTATATGAAATAATTACTGTGTCCATTTATTTATTGTCTGTTGCCTGCCCATGCCATGTAAACTCAAAGTGAGTGAGGATCACTGGTTTTCCTGGTCCCTAGAATAGTCTGGCATGTAGCAGACTCTTTAAAAGAATGTGGTGACAATTCATTTTGTCAATTTTTTCCTCTCTTGACTTTCATCAAGATGACTAAGCTTGGAGAAAATGAGAAGAAAATAAAAGAAATCAAGAAATAATAATCTCAAGACAAATAGAACAGTTCTAGATTCAAATGTTTAATATGAAATAAAAAGTAAAGAGTTGAGTGTTATTCTTGAATGAGATCTATGCAAGTCATGTGCAGGCAGAGTTCAATGGAGACACCTATTAATTTTTCTTATCATGACTATTATGCAAACGCTTTTGTTTTCTTTTTATTATGAGTATTATTTTCCATAGTAGATTTGGGTTAAGTAATAACTGTGGGGTTTTTTGCAAGGAGTATTAACATTTTATACTTGAGCAAGAAAAAAATGAAATCAAAATATTGCTTACTCTGTAACTACTGCCACACTGCCCAACTTCCCCTGATTGCTGTGAGTCTATTTCCATCTGAGGAATCAAAACTTCTTTTTTTGAAAAAGAGACCAGTGGAGAAGGAGAGGGGGAGATTTAAGTAATCATTCATTGAACTTTGCATATAAAATAGTACTATACATTACCAAGGCCCACCTTAGGATTGGGGAATTTCTCTGTCTCATTTTTTAATGTATATTTGTTATTTATGAGTCATATATATTAAAAGTTACCCTTTATAAGACTTCAGTCAAAGCTATGAATCAAAATCTTTGCATTTGTTTTTGGAGCAGAGAGGTTTCTATTTACCTAAGATGTGTTCTTTTGTCTGTAGAAAAACGATTGCCGACATGAATAGCAGCTTTGTTACCTTATTACCCAATGCAAATAAAAGAATAATGAACAGTCATTTTATGTGACTAGTAAGAAAGAAATTATTTACTATGCTTAAAATATGAACTGAGCTATTATTCTGTCATTCCACAGAACTCTGAGCCAGTTGTTGAAGAGCTCCACTCAGATTGATCATAAGTTAGAAAAGCTCGTCAAGTTCTATCTGATGACAAAACAAGTTCGGTCAAAGAACAACCCAGGTAGTCAATATAGTAAGAAAGAAAAGCAGGCATCTTTTGTTTGTCTGAAATAACTATTTGTTTGTAACACCAGGATATCATCTTATATCTAGCCTCAGCCTTGGGCCAAATTATGATCCAAAGGTTTAGTAAAAAGAAATTTGTTCTCTCCAGAATTTCAGATTTACTGCTGTATGTTTTCTCTCTCTATTTTCTGCTCAAGAAAAGGTAAGATGCTTCTGGACTATGAAGCAATCACGGGAATCCATGAAGGGCAGAATGTTGTAATGAAAAAAAAACCCAGCCTGAGAATCAGGAACTTGTTTTCTAACCCTATATAACTTCTCTGGAGCTCATATCTCTGGATGCAAAATAAGCATAGGAATCTTTTGGGTTCCATTAAGCTCTAAAAAGGAATGAGTCATTGCAGTAGAGCTTTCCTAGGTGGTAAATTAAGATTATATCTACACTGAGTTACTAAGAGAATAACAAAGACATTATATATTTTTAATAAGTATCTCATTTACAAAATTGTCCCAAATGTTGCTGTTATTTACTGGAGGTACTTATTAAAAAATATTATTTGCCAAAAATGCAACACAAAGAGTAGAAAATCTGCCAAAGTTCTGTTCAATGTAACCAATATTTATTGAGATTCCAATTCCTGGGAAGCTTTAGCTTGACCTTAGACAACAGCATGCAGAGTTGTTTCTCAATATTGTGGATTTATTATACATAGTGGATTTATTTCTACAGTTAGAAACAGTTTCCCTCATTCTTTAGTAACACACATTGAGCTCTTTCAGAAGGCAGGAGAGGGGGACAGTTTTGAATGCCCTAAATTTTCTAAATTATACCCTTTGATTCAAAACCTTTACTTTCATCAAATGCACTTTATATTCTTATATATGGAGGAAACCTTGGGGCAGCAGAGTTAGTTCATATACAGAGAGAAAATCTTTGCACCAAGGTTAGATTAACTGAAAGAAAAAACATGTAGAGAATATGTGTCTATAAGGAGACTGAAGCCAGTGATAAAGCGGTTTTGAAATGGTCAGAACCCAGACAACATGTTTAAGCCTGAAAGTCTGAAATCTGGGACAGCACAGAGATCTTTTGGTAAGTAGGTCAGTGGAAGAAAAAAGACTTTTGCAGTGTACATCATGGTCTCAAATGAGTATGCTTGGATTTGCATACTTACGTAAATTCAAAACCCTTTTTTTCTTTTATTTTTTAATTGACAGATAATACTGTATGCATTTATAGTGCACAACATGATGTTTTGTAGTTCATATACGTTGTGGAATTGTCAAATCTAGCTAATTAACATGTGCATTACTTCACGTAGTTATTTTTGTGGTAAGGGCATATAACATATACTCTAGATTTTTCAAGAACATAATATATAATCATTGACCATAGTCACCTTGCTTTATAGTAGATCCCTTGAAATTTATTTTTTCTATCCTGCTGTAAGTATGTATCCTTTGGCCAACATCTCCCCCTACCCCCACCACCCCCAGGCTCTGGTAACCACCACTCCACTCTGCATCTATGTGATCAAATTTTCAAGATTCCACATATAAGTGAGATGATGCAGTATTTGTCTTTCCGTGCCTGGCTTATTTCACTTAACAGTTCATCCATGTAGTCACCAAGGCTGGATTTCATTCTTCTTTATGGCTGAATAGTATTCCGTTGTGTATATATACCACATTTTCTGTATTCATTCATCCATTGATGGACACTTAGTTTCCACCTAGGTTTCTACCAATACCCTCTTTGGTGTATTCTATACCAACCCTGGCTAGTCCCACAGCACTGCCACCAGATATTACTACTTAAGTGGAAATGAGAGCCCATTTCCTTCTATTAACATGCCATTAATACACAGAGAGTCGCTGCAGAGCATTTGCACATTTGCTGTTCCCTTTGCTTGGAATGTTTTTCACCCAGATATATATATGCATGCTCTCTCTCTCACTTCCTTCAAGTCTGAGCTCAAATATTGAATGAGAGGCCTACCTCCCTCCTTTTAAGATAAGCATTCTCCTATGAATGTGTATTTCTTCCTCAGCTATATTTTTTTCACAGCCCTGGTAACTCCCAACATATATACTTATCCAAATATATTCATTTGTTTTTATTTTTTGCTTGTGTCTGTGACTAGAATGCAAGCTCTAGAAGAGCAGAGACATTTATTTGTCCATTGTTGTATCCCAGATCCTATAATACTGCTGGCATATAGTAGGTGTCTAAAAAACACACACCTGTCTAATTTGTTGAATGCATTAATTAAATACATCCAATACATTTGATCATCCTTTAAAACAAGCTAAAACACTGGGCAGGTGGAAAAATAGTCAAGGTCATTTCTGCCACCTGGTTTTTCCTCTGCTATCCCTTCCAAAGGCTTGAAAATGGCTTCATCTCAAAAAACAATTACAGATCATGGACAATGTAAAAGCATATTTGTTCCTTATTTTCTGGAGATGACTATAAACCTGTAATTTTCCTAGAAGGAACATTTATAAGGTGTGTTTTAAATCTTTAATTGTTCTGATAGTGAAGCAGTGGCTAAAGTTTAGGGATAGAGGCTCGATGAGGAGGTAGCTGATATATATAATGACCTGCATCTCTCCATCCCTCCTTTATAAAAAATTCCAACCTTGGTTTTGTCAGTCTAGCTTAACTGGTCAAGTTCAGGAAGCTTGATAAAACTTTCAAAATATGAATAAATCTAACAGTTATTTAGATATTCTTCTCTTCCTCAAGCTCTGCTGGAGGTCACAAGAAATGTGCAGTGTAATTTCTTAGCTTGAGAGATCCCAAAGAGAATAAAACGAGAAGAGGAAGAAGATCATGTTGACTTGATCCTTCCCTCTTGGGTTTGGATGCAAGTGACTAACATTCTGGGAGCATTCCCAAGTTTTAGTCTCCTGAATGATCCTTGATAGAATACCCCCTCAGAGGAGATTTGCAAGGTATTTTATTGAGTTCCTGCTTGAGTCAGAAAGTATGTTCTGTTCAGGCGACTTGAAATCATTATTTCCATTTCCACGCCTAGTTTCTAGATAGCCTGGTGAACTCATCTGCCTGAATGTTCCATTCACATCTTGATAATTCCTTAGTCCCTGCATTAAACTACAGGGGGTCATGGGGCTGCATATACTCTTTGCGTGTATATATTAAATAATACTGGGCCAAGCAAAATAATTTATCTGCTTCATCCAGGAAATACCCTTTCCTGAAATTTAAGGCTGTGAGCCAGACAGCTTATTTATGAAGACTAAATAATTTCTCATCCAGACTTGCTTCAAGACTTTTGCTTCACTGTCCTCACTCATCTCTACTACCCTCCTTGCAGAACCTGCCTTAAAATCACTTAGCCCAGGTCCTGAAATGCTATAAACTCCTTGCCTGAATTTAGCATTTTGAGATATCACTAAAAATGGATAGTGCTTTAATAAACTTAACATTGTATGATCAATAGGAATGAATAGCCAACAGCCAAAGTGCAGTTTTAATCTGACCTCATTATTTCCTCTCCGAACTTACTCTTTCTCCTTTGATGACATTAGAATCCAACCAACAGAGTCCATGAAACAGAATTATTCTTCACTACTCCCTCTGACCTTCAATAACTAACCAATCCTGAAGTTCTACTAATTTTGTCAACTTTTCACTTTCAATATATTCCTGCTGTCTTCCCACTCTTTTTCATCCCCACTCCCCCACCCCCCGAATACTCTATGTAATCAACTCCACTTATGGCTGGTATAGTTGCAGGCTGGCATCATGTATGCTGCCTAAATCCTATTAAAAGAAAAACTTCAACCAATTTTTTTTTTCGGCAGTCTCGCTCTGTTTCCCAGGAGGGAATGCGGTGGTGCCATCTTGGCTCACTGCAACCTCCGCCTCCTGGGTTCAAGCGATTCTTCTGCCTCAGCCTCCCGAGGAGCTGAGACTACAGGCGCCCACCACCACACCTGTCTAATTTTTGTATTTTTAGTAGAGAGAGGGTTTCACCAGGTTGATCAGGCTGGTCTCGAACTCCTGACCACAGGTGGTCCACCCACCTTGGCCTCCCAAAGTGCTGGGATTATAGGTGTGAGCCACTGCCCCCGGGTGCCTAATCAAATTTCAAGGAGTTTAATTGAGCAATGAACGATTCACGAATTGGGCAGCCCCCAGAATCACAGCAGATTCAGAGAGACTCCAGCACAGGCACATGGTGGGAGATTTATGGACAGCAAAAGGAAAGTGAGGTACAGAAAAAGGAGGTGAAGTAGAGAAACAAGTGGATTGGATAAAGTTCTCCAGTTGCCTTATTTGACCAGGATTTGAGTAGTTGGGTGCATTTGATTAACCAAAACCCAGTGATTGGCATAGTTGTGGGCTACGGTTGGTTTACAACTCCGCTTGTTATAGTTCACAATGTACAGAAAAATCTTTAGGCCGAACTTAACTATGTAAGGAGGCAGCTTCAGTCTCATCTTGATTTAACAATTCCATAGATGCTATCTAAATCGATATCTCCAGGGATGAGAGTTTTGGAGACTTCCTACCCCTTCTCCTTTCCCCGTGGATTGGGAAACAGGAATTGCTGGGCTCTCCTGTGTGAATGATATATTCCCTTTCTTATACAATACCACCACCTCACCTTCACTTCCGTGGTTGCCGTTATTGCTGCTGTAATACTGGTTGTAACATGGGGGATTTTGCTTAGGCCATGGTGGAAGGAAGATGAGTTTTAAGCACTAAAGATGATTTTGAAGGAATAAGTGGTATTTATCTACCTATAGTCCCATGGCTACCTCCTCATTTCATTTGCCACAGTTTTTAATATTTTTACCAACAGCTTGACATCCCTTGATTTGTCCTCTTTTTTCTAAAACAATCTGTGATCTTTTTTCTAAAACAAAGTGCCAATTTGATGTCTGGAACTGCAGTGTCTAGACCTTGGCTTGCAGAGTTCTCAGAAGAAGGAGCAACTGAGGAGGGCTTCAGTCTCTGCCTACCTAGGCAGCCCTGCTAGACAGCCTTCTCATGGAAGAAAATTTGAGCCCCTGGTGAGAAATTCCCAGGTCCTGAGAACTCAGAATTACAGACCTATAACACGAACTGTATGTAGGCTGGGAGAAGAACCACATGGACCTCTCTTCTCGTTTAAGAAAATTCTTACTGATCTTAATGCTTACATTTTTAGGTCAATAGCAGGATGGACATGACCTACCACAGAAACAATGATTTGATTTTTTTTTTTGTTTTAAGGGCTTCTTTTCCTCCTATATCAGCAGATGACAATACGAGAGGAGATTAAATTCTATGGGGGTGAAGAAACTAACCTCAAAATTTAAAACTGAAGTACCATTTTTTAAAGATAACAGTTAACATCTGTTGGATGCTGACCATGAGCATATTTGCAAGGCCTTAGAAGATAGATGTCATTATGACATTAATTTTACTGATGATGAAAGAGAGGTAGGACAGAGTGTTGAAATCACTTTCTCAAAGTCACACAGCACCTAAATGGCAGAGCCTGGCTTTATCCCTGAGCCTACGTGCTAAAGCATTTTTACCAGGGTTTGTGAAAATGTATTCTAAAGGAAAGTAGTCCCACAAGATGCTCCAATAAAAAAATGATTTTAGAGTCATTTGAGCTCCCTTAATACTTAGCAATTCACTATGAACAACAGCAAATAAAGGCTCTGAAGAAACTTGTTTAACTTAATATTACACAGACTTTCACAAACTTACTGGAGCATGGCACACTTTTCCGCGTGACTACCACCAATACGTTAGCAAACACATAGTAGCAGAAACACCTGTCAGAGGACAGTGTCTCAGATTCCCTTCACATCCTTTCTGGCTCCAGACCCAGCATATTACAAAGGTGCTCCATATTTCCCAAGTGAGTCATGAAATAGAAACTCTGTCAGGAGTCTCTAAACACGTATGGCAGATTTGTATGTGTGGTCTTTAGTTTTACCCGGTTGCAAAGTCCTCCAGGATAGGCATATCAAGTTCCATTTATAAAAGCTCAAGGGAAGTGCTAGGCAAGGATCAGAACTGCTCTGTGCCTTCCTGAAAATCTGTGTCCAGCTGGCTGCCCTTTGAGGTCAGCCAAAGTGTCTACTGGCAGGCAATGTGAAAAACTCAGCTAGTGAGTCTGTAAAGAAGAAAAAGGCAAAGTTTAGCAGGCATTACTCCTTTTGCTTTCAAAAATATAGGCATCCTACAGGACTCAGAGGGACAACAATTATCAGGCACAAAGTTCTTGCATCTCACATCACAGAGTGTTCAGAGCACACAGTGGTGCTTATGAGTTGTGCTGATTTGGACTTATTATTCACCTCTCTTTACTTTATTTGCACAAATTATAAACCTTTCTTTAGCTTCTTCCAATGAATATAAGTAATGAAAGTCCTATTCCAAAAGGCTGTTATGAGGGTTAAGCAAGATAATGCAGGTAAGGTTCCAGCACACAGTAAAATGCTCATTAAATTTGGCTATTATTAAGGCAGTCCAAGCAGCTGTGCAGAAATTCAGTTCTACATGGACTCAGGCAAGTTACTGACTCCTTTCAGGAGCCTGCTCTCAAGTCTTGAGAGTTTTCCCAATAGCTCCTTGGCCTTTCAAAGAAAATGGTGGGGAAAGAGTGGTGTCATTAAGTGGAAACAATATAGGAAGGTGACAGCTACCCTGAACCTGACTCACAGGTTCTGACAGAAAGAGGGTGGGTATCCAGTTCCAGGACTTTCTAGTCTCACCAGTATTCAAAGCATTTAATGGAAATACAAATTAGAGTTCCCTGAATAAAGGAGAGCTTGGTGCCAATCAGGAGCAGACTTCTTTTAATCATTATGTTATTTACCAATGCAAGGTCACGGTGGGAAGTGCCTTCAAACGATAGTAAAAAGTAGCAATAGCTAAAATGTAGTGAGCTCTCACTGTTCAGTCTCTGAGCTAAGCACTTAATGTACATTTTCATATTTGATGTTCTCAGCAACCTAATGATGTAGGTACTATTTTTATATCAATTTTCCAGACAAGATAATAGATCCTTAGGTCAAGGAAGTAGCCTGAGGCCACACACCAGGTAAATGTGTTGGTGCCTTGATCTGATTCCAGGAATTTCCATTCTAGAGTCAGTACTTTTAATAACTTTGCTCTGCTGCCTACTCAACCCAAACCCACTACCCTGCTGAGATAATTCCGTTTAAGTGGCTTCTAAGAAGCTGTGTACATGTGATGTGTAAGCAGCTTTTTAATGACCAGAGAAACAGCCGAAATGTTATCTTTTAGCTCAAGATGTGCACCTGTGTTTCACCAACACTTTATCCACATTATACTCATTTCCAACCATCAGAAACTCTTGTGTTACTTGAGTAGTGCCAACTGGATAATTCACTTGTCAAAAAATAATCCTGACTGCATATTCCCTATTTGTGAGTCTTCCCAATCTCTAACTAGGGTTAATTCCTCAGTACTACAATCGCTGTTTTCAGCTACACAGGTAATAATCCTACCAGGCAGTGCTCCTTAAAAGAAGAGGCGGTGATGCCGTTGCCCACCCCAAACTCATATGGATGTTAGGTGGATATATTATGTAATAAGGTAATTAGATCATTATACTGAAAGCAATCAAAACCAACCCTAGAATTTCTATCTCCTGAAACTAGGGGTCTTGTGACTAAATTGATTGGCTATTTGCTTTGGTATTGGAAAAGTCTTGCCTCTCGATAGATTTCTTTTTTTAAATTCTGAAAAGAGTCCATTTTTTATCTCACATATGTAACACTTCTGCCTCACATATATAAAGAATTTAAAAGAACAAAATCTTACATTTTAATTTGAAAATAAAGTATAAGATACTTAAGAAAATTTAAAACAAAAATGTTGATGAAAATAGTGATCACAACCAAGTAGCTATAATATTGCCTCTTTCAGCCCCTATCTTGTGCAGCCCAGCAATCTTCTTAGTTGATGTTACTTGTCATCTAGATTTGCTAAAGTTGATATACAGCATGTCTGAATTGGGATGGAGGCAAGTGATGATAGTCTTACTTACATAGTGTTTTCTATGTGGCAGATACCATTTTCATTTAATCTTTATTACAGCCCTGTGGCAATGGCAAAGAAAGTGAGGCTATGAGGCAAAGGGACATGCAGCAACTCCCCGAGGTCACATAGCTTGCTAGAGGCAAAGCTGGGAATTAAGCCCGGAACATGTGGCTGCGAACTCTGAGCTCCTCATCACAACTCTCTGACTCAGTGTGACTCTCAAAATATCAGCTTCAAGCCCAAGGCCACTCCTTGGAAATATGGGGCCCTAGGTAAGAAAGTTCATGCTCTGGACTTCCAGTCAGGAAAGATTTCAAGAGCTACCAAGATTAAGCATGACTGGAAAGATACAAACTGACTGGCCTAACCAGAGCCTGCCAGAACAAGCCCGCCTCACAGAACTGCCTTCCCCCAAGAAAACATTAGGTCAGGAGGACAGCCCAGAGGTGCTGATGGGTGCACACCCCGCCTTACTGGCCTGCAGTGTTCATGTTTCAAGACAGAAGAGTCTGTGATGTATCCGAGACCCTCTCCCTGCCAGGGTAGTCCCTAGAGAATGTGCAGTGTTACATCAAGTGACTGATGGAGACTGAGGGTAATCATAGCTTCCCGTTTTCAAAAAATATATATATATATATATACGTGTATATATATATATACGTGTATATATATATGTATATATATATACGTGTATATATATATGTATATATACACGTATATATGTATATATATACGTATATATATGTGTATATATATATATACGTGTATATATATATACACGTATATATATATATATATACGTGTGTGTGTATATATATATATATATTCTAAAGTTCCTTATTGGTAGCTATTCTTGATTTTCACTTCCTTCAGGCTTGCCTAAAATATCTTTTGTGTTTTTTTCTTTTTTTTTTTTATTTTGAGATGGAGTCTGGCTCTGTCGCCCAGGCTGGAGTGCAGTGGTTCGATCTCGGCTCACTGCAAGCACTGCGTCCTGGATTCACGTCATTCTCCTGCCTCAGCCTCCCTAGTACCTGGGACTACAGGCGCCCACCACCTTGCCTAGCTAATTTTTTATGTTTTTGGTAGAGATGGGGTTTCACCATGTTAGCCAGGATGGTCTCGATCTCCTGACCTCATGATCCACCCACCTTGGCCTCACAAAGTGCAGGATTACAGGCGTGAGCCACCGCACCTGGCCAAAATATCTTTACATACTTCATTTTCATAAGAATTCTAGTATTACACATTGATTTTGACTTTTCAAACTGGGAAATGTGTTGACCATTAAAGTCAACTGGTTAACCCATGAAAACCAGCCAAACAAGTTACAGTGGATACTGTGCACGTACGCCTTGCTTTGACTCAGACACAGGGCATCGCTGAAGTTTAAGATGTGATGAGCTGGCCCCTAAATCCCTGATATTCCTCAACCGTGGTCGCTGGGACTGATGTGTACCAATAAGCTTGGGAAGAATAGGGGCCTTTGTGCTATGAAAACAGACTAATCTCTACGCCTACTCTATGCCAAATAATGTCAGTTCATGAGCTGACACTGCCAACACCACTTGTTGCTTTCACAGCAAACTGGAAAATCATTGCTAAACTGCCTGAAGTATAATAATAAAAAAAATTAGAAAGTGGCCGGAAGTGGTGGCTCACGTCTGTAATCCCAGCCCTTTCTGAGGCTGAGGCCAGCGGATCTCTGAGGTCAGGAGTTCGAGTCCAGCCTGGCCAACGTGATGAAACCCCATCTCTACTAAAAATACAAAAAAAATTAGCTAGACGTGGTGGTGGGAGCCTATAATCCCAGCTACTTGGGAGGCTGAGGCAGGAGAATAGCTTGAACCCAGAGGGCAGAGGTTGCAGTGAGCTGAGATCGTGCCATTGCCCTCCCGCCTCGGTGACACGAGCGAAACTCCATCTCCAAAAAAAAAAAAAAAGAAAAAGAAAAAGACAAAATTAATTAATGCCAAATCAAGAATCTTGTCTTATGACTTTGCCAAGTAACTTTGAGTGAAACTATGTGTACAGAGATTATTTTCAATGTAAACTTTCTTGAACATCTGTGAGTGAGAAAACATGTTAGCTTCTTGGAATATAAAGTAAGACACAGTCACCTCCAGTAAAACACTGGTAACACAGTGTTGGTGGAAGCAACAAATGTTCACAATATTTAATTAAAGGGGAGCAAAACTGTCTTCTTTCCTCTCTGATGGAGACTTAATTTGATGTTAACTTAGAGTGCTGATTTATAAATAAACAGTTTACTCTCTCAGCCTTAGAATTTGGACAAAGAGATGGAGATCATACTGTTCTCAACTGCTAGGCAAAAACTTTTTTAAAGTTTTTGATGGTGAAAAAATTATAATAGAAATACTCATTGGAAGAAAAAGAATGTTGATGATGCAAGGTAAAGAAATTCTCATGTAAAAACAAAAACAAACAAACAAAAAACAGCTGAGGGGTAACAAGCCTGCTGCTCCTTCCCCAAGGGCCGTTGTCAAATTGCCTATTTCAGAGACAGTCTGAACAGGGAGGCAAGACATTTATCAATGGTGTGATAGAGGCTGACAGTTGTCAAACCAATATTATCCTACCGTTTTTTTGCCTCCTAAAAGGATTCCAATTTGACCATGTGCTCTTTAGTGACAATGTGAATTCTGCCCCTCAGGAATGAATTATGACTGATTTAAGTCCATAGTGATAATCCTACTCTCTTTTGTCAGTGATTGGTTTAGGGGTCGGCCTGTGGCCTATTTCTGGCTAGGTGGATGAGAGGGAAATCTATTAGAGGTTCCTGGGAAGGACTCTTTTCCCTGATACATATGTTCCCTTTCTACTAAGGACTTTGCCCTGTGAAGGTGTGGTGGTTGGAGTTACCACAGCCATCTTATACCCATGAGGAATGACATTGTTAATGTGATAGGATCAGAAAAGCCTCGATAACATGGTCAAGTTTCTGAGCCGCTCTTAGAACCAACCATCTCATGACTTCCTTTTATGTGAAATCATAATAAACAATTATTTACGCAAATAAGCAAAAAAAATACCATGTCTCGAGCTCAAAGGAGCAAAGAGGAAGAGCTGAGATTTCAAACCCAGATACATCTGACTCAAAAGCCATTCTCTGTGGGCGGCAAGCCACCCAGGTGCCGAGGCAAGAGACCGAGGGCACGAGCTGTTCCAGTATAATAAAATACATAAAACAACAAGAGTTATACTACATCTAGATCATAGACATGATTATACATGAATATCATTAATTATTAGTTTGTAGCAATTACTCTTTATTCCAATATTATAATAATCCTCGCTCTACAATCATAACCTAGGAAAAGCCAGGCCATACAGAGATAGGAGCTGAGGAGACATGGTGAGAAGTGACCAGAAGACAAGAGTGTGAGCCCTCTGTCAAGTCCAGACAGGGCCACTAGAGGGCTCCTTGGTCTAGCGGTAATGCCAGCATCTGGGAAGACGCCTGTTGCCAAGCAGACCATGGTCTAGTGGTAGCGTCAGTGCCAAGGAAAAACACCCGCTACTTAGCAGACCAGGAAAGGGAGTCTCCCTTTCCCTGGGAGAATTTAGAGAAGACTCTACTTCTCCACCTCTTGTGGAGGGCCTGACATCGTCAGGCCCACCCACAGTTATCCAGAGGCCTAACTGTCTCCCTGTGATGCTGTGCTTCAGTGGTCATGCTCCTAGTCCGCTTTCATGTTCCATCCTGTACACCTGGCTCTGCCTTTTAGATAGCAGTAGCAAAATCAGTGAAAGTACTAAAAGTCTCTGATATGCAGAAATAATGGCGTAAGCTGTCTCCTCTCTCCGCCTCAGCTGCCAAACAGGGAAGGGCCCCCTGTCCAGTGGACACGTGACCCACGTGACCTTACCTATCATTGGAGATGGCTCACACTCCTTACCCTACCCCTATGTCTTGTATCCAATAAATATCAGTGCAGCCTGGCATTCAGGGCCACTACCGGACTCCACGTCTTGGTGGTAGTGGTCCCCCAGGCCCAGCTGTCTCCAATTTTATCTCTTTGTCTTGTGTCTTTATTTCTACAGTCTCTCATCTCTGCACACAGGGAGAAAAGCCCGCTGACCCTGTGAGGCTGGTCCCTACATCTGGCGCTCCGACATGGGGCTCTCCCTCGCTGTGTGAAGTTGCACCTTGAGTGCGGGACTCAGCAGAGGATTTCGACGACAGATTCCTGAGGATTGCGGTCAATAAGCTTGGTGGTAAGCTTGAGCACTCAGCATTCCGGGGACACCATGGGACAGGCCAGTACTAGGTACTCGGCTTATTTAAACTTTATAAAAACCCTCCTGTATTATCTCAACCCTGTCCCTGTTCAGCCCTGCTGTAGGGCTGTCAACCTTCTGCTTGTTCTACCCAGTAATGAGGCCCTCAACCCTATCCCTCCACAGCCTAGTTTTCTCATGCCTGTTTCTTTTCCTCCTAATCAGACTCAGTTAGAGCCGCAGGCTCCCTTGAAGCCTGGTTCCTTTCCTCCTAATCGGACTCGGCTAGAGTCACAGGCTCTCTTGAAGCCTGGTTCTTTTCCTCCTAATCAGACTCGGCTAGAGTCACGGACTCCCCTGGAGTCACAGGATACCTTGAGGCCTGGTTCCTTTTCTACAAACCGGGTTCCCTTGAAGCCTCAGGCTCCCTTGAAGCCTGGTCCACAGTTGCCGGTGGCAGCCTGGATTTCAGGCCCATGAAAGACCTGCTCAGCAAGTAATCTCGTCTACCCAAGTTTGCCACTCACAAGCAACAAGTTACATACATTCCTCAAAATGGCACTCCTCTTATCAGGGCTATAGCACAGGCAAGAGAATATGGGGATCCCAAAGCCTGGCAATTTCCTGTAATTTTACAGCCTCCCTGCCGTCCTGCGGCACAAAATCAGCTACAGCCCGCTGATGTTGCTCAGCAAGCAGCTGATCTCGCGGCAAATTCTCGCTCTGTGTTAATATCTTGTTTTTCTGCAGTACAAAAAGCAGTTGCAGCAGCCGGTTTAGTTATTGCCCCAGAAAAAATCCAAACTTCTTCTCCTTATCACTATTTAGGAATGCAGCTAGAAGACAAGGTTATTAAGCGCCCCCCCCCCACCAAAAAAAATCATTGTTCCCCTCACCCGATTACAAGTCCAACAGGCTTTTGCAACCTGCATCGCTTGGCAAGTACATTTGGCAACTTTCCCGGGTATAATTGATAATCACTATCCTAATGTAAAATTATTTCAGTTCCTTCCTCACTTCTTGGATTTTACCTAACATTACTAGAAACACCCCATTGGCTGAAGCTGTCACTGTTTTTACTGATGCTTCCTGTAATGGCCGAGCAGCATATACAGGACCAAGAGAACGTGTTCTTAATACAGGAGCTATTTCAGCACAATGAGCTGAGCTACTTGCTGTTATGGCTGTCCTTGAAGATTTCCCTGAACCAGTTAACATTCTTTCTGACTTGGCGTATGTAGCACATGTTGCTCGCAATATTGAAACTGCCTTAATCAAATTTCTGCCTAATGATAACCTATTCTTTCTTTTTCAAAGGTTTTAGTCTGTGCTCAAAGCAAGGTCTTCTCCTTTCTACATTACTCGCATTCAGGCCCACACACCCCTCCCCAAACCCCTCTTGGCAGCAAATGCCAGAGCTGATATATTAGTTGCTCCCATTTTTACAAATGCACGAAATTTTCATACTTTAACTCAAGTCAACGCTGCGAGACTCCAAAAAAAGTTCCCCCTTACATGGAAACAAGCTAAAACCATGTGCGTCACTGTCCTACTTGTCAAGTGTTAATTTTACAGCCACTTTCTTCAGGAGTTAACCCTAGAGGACTTTCACAGAATGCTCTCTGGCAAACGAACGTGACTCATTATCCTGCTTTTGGCAAGCTTTTTTTATACATGTAACTATTGACACCTTTTCTCATTTTATCTGGGCCACTTGTCACACAGGGGAAAGTACAGCTCATGTTAAACAACATATGCTTTCATATTTCTCGGTGATGGGCTGTCCCGAGAAACTGAAAACTGACAACGGCCCCGGATACACTAGTGCTGCTTTTAAAAGGTTCACTCAGACATGGGCAATTACTCACACAGCTGGCATCCCCTATAACTCTCAAGGACAGGCCTTGGTGGAACGAGCCAATAAAACACTCAAAGATCAACTTCGAAAACAGGACACTAAAACAGAGGGATGCTGCCACTCCTCATGCTCAGTTAAATCTGGCTCCTTTTACACTAAATTTCTTAAACCTAGCAAGAAATCAACCTTTTACAGTGGCAGAACAACATTTCACTGGAAGTAAATTTGATCCACAAAAAGGAATGCGGGTATGGTGGAAGGATGCAACTAACAAATAGGAATTAGGCACAGTCGTAACATGGGGTAGGGGTTTTGCTTGTGTTTCCCCAGGAAAAGGACTACAGCCCATGTGGGTCTCCCCCACCGACAACTGAAATTGCACCATAACTCCAAAGATGAAACGTTCCCAGAAACAAAAGGCAAAGACCCCTCAAAAACCGAGGAGGAAATTTCGCCTCCTGACACATAAACTTCATGACCTCGACATTGAGACAAAATCTCGCTGTGTGACCTACAACACCACTCGTTCAACTCCACCAACATGGGGTCAAATAAAGGTCTTATCCCATCACACAGAAAATTTATTAAAAGAAAAAGGAATCCCAAAAACGACCAGTAATATAATTCTGGCTGTCTTTATGGTAGTCAGTGCAGCAGTAAGTATACCACCAGTTGGGGCAACTCAAAATTATACCCACTGGGCATATGTTCCTTTTCCCCCTTTAATTTGGTCTGTCTCCTGGATGGACTCCTCAGTAGAAGTTTACACTAATAATAGTGCATTCATGCCGGTCCCTAATGATGATAGGTTTCCAGCTCAACCGGAAGAAGAAGGTATGCACTTTAATCTGTCATTTGGCTATAAATACCCACCACTGTGTATCACCTGGCTGTTTAGCTTATTCTTACCAGAATTGGATGTGGACCGTACCATCCTTAACAAATGATTCTTATCAAGTACATAATGTGTTCAGTAGCAATTCTTTTCAACTTCTCACTGTTAAACTTAAGCCTCTTGAGGAATTGAGGGCTCCTGTCACTACTAACAGCAATAAAACAAAAGGACTGCCAGACTGCCCAAAGAAACCTACAAAGGGAACTTTTCTACTGAATTCAATTTTATGGAATGATTGTAATGCTCCCAAGGCCATTGTGCTGCAAAGTCTAGCCATGGGAACTGTTATTGATTGGGCTCCAAAAGAGCATTATTCGCAGGATTGCTCCAGCAAAAATACCTCATGCTCGGAGTATAATTATTTGTTAGATTATATAAAGGATGGATGGCAGTCATACAGGTTGAGACAATAGGTGTCTCCTTACCCATTTAAATGGATGGACGCAGGCATTGTTCCTCCTAGACCAAAAATGATTCATCCCATTGTTACCCCAGAACATCCTGAATTATGGAAATTAGCTGCAGCTATAACAGGAATAAGGATATGGAACACTACTTATCAACTCCTTCACACTAATACCAAAACACCCACATTCAACATCACCTTGATATCTAAACAGGTAATACCCATCAGGAGTTGTGTCAAAACCACTCACCTGCTGTTAGTTAGAAATATAATTATCATTCCCAGTACACAAACTATAGAATGTGATAATTGTAAGCTGTTCACGTGCATTGATGCTACTTTTAATCCCACAACAAGTATTCTCTTGGTAAGTGCTAGGGAGGGGGTATGGATACCAGTTTCTTTACATCATCCGTGGGAGTCTTCCCCCTCTATATACATAGTCAATGAAGTTCTTAAAGGTATCCTCAAAAGAACAAAGAGATTTATTTTTACTCTTATTGCAGTCATTGCAGGTCTAATTGCGGTTACTGCAACAGTGGCAACTGCTGGAGTTATGATTCACAATTCCGTTCAAACCACTCAATGTGTTGAAGCATGGCAAAAAAACTCCTCCAGACTTTGGAATTCTAAGGCTCAAATTGATCAAAAATTAGCTAATCAAATTAATGATCTCTGCCAACGTGTGATATGATTGGGAAATAGAGTTATGAATTTGGAACACCGTATGCAATTACAGTGTGATTGGAATACTTCTGATTACTGCATAATGCCTTATGCTTATAATAAAGATCAGCATAGCTGGGAAAAGTTCTCAAGACATTTAAAAGCCTGGGATGATAACTTAACCTTGGATATTTCAAAACTTAAAGAACAAATTTTTGAGGCTTCACAGGCTCATTTATCCACTGTTCCTGGCTCAGACATTTTTGAAGGAATAACTAAAGAATTATCTGATCTTAATCCCTTTAAATGGATCAAACCCCTTGGAGAATCATTGTTGTCACTGGCATTATTAATACTGGTATGCTTATGTTGTCTCTTTTAGTCTGCAGATGCCTCCAAGGAGTCCGGAAACAAGTCCAAAGTCAACGACAAGCAATGATGGTGATGGCGATCCTAGTTAATAAAAAGGGGGCAGATGTGGGTGGCAAGCCAATCAGGTGCCAAGGCAAGAGACCGAGGGCACGAGCTGTTCCAATATAATAAAATATATAAAACAACAAGAGTTATACTAGATCTAGATCATAGACATGATTATACATGAATATCATTAATCATTAGTTTGTAGCAATTACGCTTTATTCCAATATTATAATAATCCTCGCTCTACAATCATAACCTAGGAAAAGCCAGGCCATACAGAGATAGGAGCTGAGGAGACATGGTGAGAAGTGACCAGAAGACAAGAGTGTGAGCCCTCTGTCAAGTCCAGACAGGGCCACTAGAGGGCTCCTTGGTCTAGCGGTAACGCCAGCATCTGGGAAGACGCCTGTTGCCAAGTGGACCATGGTCTAGTGGTAGCGTCAGTGCCAAGGAAAAACACCCGCTACTTAGCAGACCAGGAAAGGGAGTCTCCCTTTCCCTGGGGGAGTTTAGAGAAGACTCTACTTCTCCACCTCTTGAGGAGGGCCTGACATCAGTCAGGCCCACCCACAGTTATCCGGAGGCCTGTCTCCCTGTGATGCTGTGCTTCAGTGGTCATGCTCCTAGTCTGCTGTCATGTTCCATCCTGTGCACCTGGCTCTGCCTTTTAGATAGCAGTAGCAAAATTGGTTAAAGTACTAAAAGTCTCTGATATGCAGAAATAATGGTGTAAGCTGTCTCCTCTCTCCGCCTCAGCTGCCAAACAGGGAAGGGCCCCCTGTCCAGTGGACACGTGACCCACGTGACCTTACCTATCATTGGAGATGGCTCACACTCCTTACCCTACCCCTATGTCTTGTATCCAATAAATATCAGCACAGCCTGGCATTTGGGGCCACTACCGGTCTCCATGTCTTGGTGGTAGTGGTGCCCTGGGCCCAGCTGCCTTTTCTTTTATCTCTTTGTCTTGTGTCTTTATTTCTACAATCTCTCATCTCCACACATGGGGAGAAAAACCCACCGACCCTGTGGGGCTGGTCCCTACAATTCTCTTGGTCTTCTGTTCCAGCTCTAATGAATTAAAAAACTAAGAAAGTAAGAAATGGATATTTAATATCCTGGCTATGTTCTTTGAAGGGTGTCTCTGCAGACCACTAAAGTGAATATTTCTATAACATACACTGGGCAAGTCCCAGATTTGTCCCGGAGTTTCTGCTTCCTATGCCCTAAGTCAAGGTCAGATGTAGAGCAGCAAGTAATATTCTGACCAGTGAAGTTTAGCCAAATGATCCAAACAGACAGTTTGGTTTAAAGCTGCTTTAGGGATTCAAATCCAAATATCAGAAGGATCAACAATTCTTGATCGTTTTGAATCTAAACAAACACTACCAGTATCCTTCTTGATTTTTGGTTGTGCAAAATGATTGTCTTTAAAAACTTTCCAGAGCAGTCAAATAAACTTCTGGAGGTGTTAGAGTTATGTCAAATACTTTAACAACTCCCTTTTTCTGATGAAATTATGATCATTTTGTACTGAAAACAGAAGCATACATTTCTCATAAATCAAAATCACTTTAAGAAAAGTAGAGCAATTTGAAACACTCCAGGGGAAAGGAATAACATTCTACTCTCATGAATAAAAATTACTGGGGCCTGTCTCAGCAGAAAAAGTAATTCCTGGGAAGAGAAGTATCTCTTATGAAAGGCTTTTCCCCAAAACTGGATGGTTGTGTGGGAGAGGAGTTGGAGGGTGCAGAGGAGGCACAGAAAGGAAGAAATAAGCATAATAGGATGAGTGAGAACCCCAAACAGAGCCCCACTCAAGGCTGCTGTCCAGGAACTGGCAGCATCAGCATTGCCTAATGTTGGGAATGCAGGATCTCAGGCCCCACTTCAGACCTCCCAGGACCAGAATGTGCAAGTCCACAAGACCCCAAGGTGATTCCAGCACACATTACAGCGTGAGAAGCAATGGTTTAAAACAATGGTTCTCCACCTTGGCATCACTTTGAATTTTCTGCAGAACTTTAAATAAGCACTGATACTTGGGTCCAATCCCAGAACTTCTGATTTAATTTTTCAGGAGTATAGTTGGGGCACTGAGGATTTTTAAGCTTTCTTAAGTGATTACAATGTGCAGCCAAGATTGAGAACTACAGATTTAGTGGACTGATAATGGCAGTTTCTGTTTATTTGCTCTCCTCAGTGGCACTAGGATGTATGTAAATTTCTGTTTTAGACTTGAAGCCATGAGACCCTGTAAGAGGAGAATTTTTTATGATCGGGTGTAGGACACTCGACAACAGGTCATGGAAATCTGAGTGGTTTGCATTATATAACAGATCTTTCCTTACAAAATGTACATGTACAATAAATTTTTATAAATAAGAATTATTTTGCACTCTTAATATTTCCCATACACTGTACTAGACAACCATGCCCATTATTTCTAATCATCCCATAAGCTCTACAAAGATAGTGTTATTATCTCTCTTTCACAGATTTGGAAACTGAGGCTCAGAGATGTCAAGGGATTTCCAAGGTGACACATCTGATAAACAGTGCTGTCAGGACTTGAGTACAGGTCTTCTTGTCTCCAAAGCTGAAGTTCTTTACTCTGCCCTAACTGCTTCCCTTAAAAACACAAATCACATTTCAAAACCACCAAGTTTGTCATTTTAGTAAATACACAAGATGAATTATTTTGCAAGGCAGAGTTACTTGATGCAATCTCTCTTAATTTGCCTACTTTACACATTACAAAGTTTATGTAGATTTTCCCAAATGTAATCCAAGCTTTGATTTTAGCCCTCACATGGTGAGTTTTAAAAACAAATAACTAACTAGTTATTCCTCCTCCTTTCTTCCTGTTTTCCCCACCTTAACTCCAAGTCTTTTATAGAGTGAAGTTCAATTAAAATAAAATAAAATAGAGTATTGCCATGTAAGTATATTTAGCCTTCCAATTACCTGAAGGAAGTAATAAAGGAATAATTAAAACATTATGGTTCTGTGTGGGTTTAGTGGGCTTGGATGGTAATTTTCCTGACAGGAGCACACAAACTGATGCCCAGTAAGATGCTGCTGTACCCTGTTCTCAAACCACTTAAGAATGATATTCACGTTGCAAAGGAAACTCCCTATTGGGAACCCCTGGTGGGGCTTCCTTTTGAACATTTATACCACGATGTACCAGAACACACTGCTTTTATAGTATCAGACCACCCTCCAGTCTCTGGGTCAAAAGTCTGCTTAAAATGAATCCAGTAGCTGATAAAAATGACCTGAGGATGGAAAGAGAAGCCCCCAAATCACACTGGGCACCACACAGATGCCCAAGCAGATAAAAGTGATGCCTTAGAGAGACCATCAAGTGGCTAGTTCACATGCAAATGTTGCTCCAAGTACTTACAAAGTGAGGAGCTCTATACTAAGTGCTTTATATGCATTTTTCCATTGAATCTTCATAGAAACTCTACAAGAGTCTGTTAATTTTGTTTTACAAATAAAAATGCTGAGAAATGGAGAAGTTAAGTGACTTTCACAAAACCATGTTGCTAGTAAGTGATGAATTAGGAATTCAATGGCCACGATCTAAGTCCAGAGCCCACGTTTTTAGCCCAATACTGCCACTTATAGGTAGGATGTAATATCATTTTCTATAGAGATATTAAAATGGCAGATGCTTGACAGGTCTAACCAGCACCTACTCCCCCTGTTCCTCTCCAAACGGACCCCTATTTTCCTTTAAGGAAATAACTGTAGTGACCACCTGGTAATTACGCAGTAACCATGATTTCTTAGTGGACTGACCCACTTCCAGCTCAGGGGAAGGTCTTCAGCATATTCTTACACCCCTTGCAATGATGGTCAATTTACCTTGGTTCAATCTGAGTAAAGATCTGGAATTATCATTTGGTGATTGTGAGAAGTGATGCTTTCTACTTGGGAAATGAATAAGGAAGTGTGCAGCCTTAGCTGTTACGGCAGCCATCTTTGTGACCATGAGGTTACAGCCAGGCTGAGGATGAAGCCAGCATGAAGACAGAGGCCAAAATCTTGACCAAAAGAAGTCTGATGCTGGCTCTTCCTTTGGTTTACAGTTTTATGAACCAACAAATCTACATTATTGCTTAGTTCCCAAGGAGTTGGGTTCTCTGCAACTGAAAAGTCTTATCTGATACATGGATACCAATACTGTATGCTTTGTTGTCTTGAAATAATTCTAAGTGAGGAATTTACTTTCAGCATGCTATGGTCTTAATAGGAGCTCCATTGTGGACATCTTCCTGAAGATAAAAATATAGAATAGTCTCTAGACAAGCTCACTGCTCAGATAATTGCTCTACTGCTAATCTAGACTCTATAATTTGAAATTCATCATAATAGGTTAATATGAATAAAGGCATTCACAATGAGTCAATTATATTGCTATTCATCAACTTGTGTAAGTGCCTGAAGCACAATTTATGTCAAACTCAAGGAACACAAGCTTCATATCCTGAAAATTTGGGGAAAACGTTATTAGTCATAGGTACCTTTTAAACTAAAAACAGGAAATTTTGTTGTGAAATAAAACATGACCAAACTAATTGTTTCTCATTTTATTCAAAATCGTTTCCCCCATGAAGCTTTCCTCAGGAATTGAAAGAATGATATATACACTTCATGACTCAAGTCTTTCCACTGACCTCACTTACCAAGAGCTGCAGAATGTGGCTCCCCACATTGGCTATGATGCTCACCACAGCCCTTCTTATCATAACAGACCTCTTTCCTATCCACATTCCATGTGCACCTCAGCATGTTTCCTGTGGGTGTCCATTGGTCTTTCTGTTTACTCCCAGATAGTTGGATCAGCTGTACTCAAGATGGGAGGAAACTTCAAAATGTCAAAATGCCTATATAAGCAAATGGCAAGAAGTGTACCAGCCAAAGGCAAACTGGATTGTCATCTCCTTGAAAGTAGTTCTATACTCAAATTGTCTAAAGTGACAAGTATACAAATATATAATGAATATGCATGTATATGTGCTTATACATATATATTAAAATTTATTTGGGAATGAGGAAGATTGTTGAGCATTTGAAAAAATTTCATTGGACTATTAACTTGTCTGAAGAAAAGTATAATGGAAATTGAGGAAATCAGGAAAGGAAATATTGTACAAGTTAGGAAAGTTAACCTGGAAGGCTAGCTTATGATAATTGTGGGTTTTGCCATTGAAACTACTGTTAAAAAACACAACTATTTTTGCATCAACCTAATACATTATCCCATAATTATCCCTTGGAAGTCACCTGAGGGAGAATTGTTTTGCTCTCCAATAAATCTAACCAAGTTAATCTGAAATTACTAAAAGGTAAATTTTTAAAGTTCTCAATGTCCTCCTCCAGGAACACACATGGTGCGGGGCAGGGGGTGGGGTGTCTTACTAAAAGGGCATTAGAAAGAACTTACAGAATGTGGCCTTGTGTCACGTGATTTGGAGGAGGGTTTGAGAAGCATGGCTTTGCTCTAGATCGGATGTTGTTAGGAAGTGATATAAGGTCATGACTGGATCTCTCAATAATTCTTATCTAGGAAGAGGGAAGACTAGAGTCAAGCTAAAACTGTCAGCAATAAACAAGCAATAGCCACTCTAATTAGCCAGGATTGGGAGATATTGGGCCATGTTTGTGATTTAAACAGATTTCATTCTTTGCCTGTGTTCATGCATGGTTACGGAGAGGTCTTGTTTTTGTCTTGATTCACCATGGTCATAGGGTGGCATTGTCTGATGTCGGTATTCTGTGAAATCATTTATTTGAAGAGGAGATCGCTAAGACATAGCTGGAGTGCCAGGCCAGCTCCTGGATGTCAGAGGCATCTTTTTCTTTCCCAAAGCCATACAAATTTTTCAATGTCTAATCATATAAAGCAAATCTTTCCACTAAACAACAACAACAACAAAGTCCAAAAAGGCTGAAAAAGATATGTGTAGATTTATTGTATGAGTAGGAAATTGTTTTTTCATGTTACCAGTAACTTTCATTAGAGAAAGTTGATAAACTGTCTCATCTTCCTCATTCAAATTTGGATTAAATTTTTAGACTTTGTGAACACAAGTTTTCAAAATTAGCTAAACAATTCTTCATGCCAAGAAAAACTGAGCAGAATTTTTGAGAGTCTACAAATACTTGAGCTAGAAAAGTCAACAAGGTGTGGACTATACAGAAGCATATATGTTTATGTATGCCACAGCAAACCTGTGAGACTCTTTTGAAAAGCAATTAAGCCAGGCATGGTGACTCACGCCTGTAATCCCAGCACTTTGGGAGGCCGAAGCGGGAGGATCACCTCAGGTCAGGAGTCCAAGAGCAGCCTGGCCAATGTGGTGAAACCCCGTCTCTACTAAAAATACCAAAAAAGAGAAAAAAAAAAAAAAGAAAGAAAAAAAATTAGCCAGGCGTGGTGGCAGGCACCTGTAGTGCCAGCTACTTGGGAGGCTGAGGCAGGAAGAATTGTTTGAACCCGGCAAGCAGAGGTTGCAGTGAACTGAGATTGCACCACTGCACTCCAGCCTGGGCAAAAGAGCGAGACTCTATTTCAAAAAACAATAAATAAATAAATAAAATAAAATGAAAAGCAATTAAGCAATGGAGGTCAGGAGGTATAAAAATATACATGTGCCTTGAGTTAGTAACACTGCTCTTAGGACTTTATCCTGTAAATATTCTTTCAAGAGAGAAAAATTGCATGCTTAAGATATCTCCATCATATTATTCATAGTAATGAAAATTTAATAGCATTCTAATTTCAAACAATAGCAGAAACTTTAAATAAATGTGCATCTACTTCTCCTAGACTGTCTATTAAGTCGTAGCTTAAATGATCATTCCTGCTGCTTTAATGGCACAGCAGAGTTGTTCTGCCTTGAATCAAATGGGTCTTTGTCCCTTCACTTTTATCAGTTACTGGGTGTGGGCAGGCCCCAGAAGGGCATGACCTTGGGTGAGGTGACTCTCTAGCTGGTGTGATTGCTGAAGTGCTCCAGTGGCAATGAAAGAGAATCTGGGTGGCACAGCTGCATGTTCACTTCCGTCCACCCCTAGCACTGCTGGGATCCACTTTTTTTCAATATATGGGGAATAGCTCTTCCAGAATTCTATGGCCTCTCTTCCTGGGGCAAACTTAGGAAAGACAATTAAGTGGGAAGAACTATAGTCCTTGCCTCTGCAACTGGCTGTGGAATTTCAATTGATTGTCTCCCTCCTTCATTGTTCACTGTAGATCTCCCTTCTTTTCAGCTGCCACCGCTGTTTGTCTTAGAGGCTTTCCTGGTGACGTGACCCAGAAACTCGTTCTCAATGAGCCTACATCCCTGATCGCAGTGCCTTTCTCAAGCCAGGATTGCTACACTTGTCTATTTACCATCAAAATTGGGCAAGAGAGCACCAAGAGGCACTAAAGTAGATCTTCTGAGTTCAGTGCATGGGTATGGGGTGCCACCTAACATCACGCTTAATCAGAGACACACACAGGAGACAAAGGAATTGGCTCATGGCCGTGAGATTCACTGATTGTATCAAAAACTGAATCACCCAGAGGTCAGCAGCCCAATAGAGCATTAGAGTGGCCTGCCAAAGGCACAACTGAAACACCAGCCTAGAGGTGATATCTTACCACAAGAATGGGAGCCATCATCTAGGTAGTATATGTACCTTGAACCGAAGACCTTATATGGTGCAATGACCTTAACCAGATGACTGCATGAGTTTGAGAATAAAGAGGTGAAAGCAGAAGTGGTCCTGCTTAACATCCATCCCAATGATGCACTTGGGGAATGTATGCTTTCTTTCCTGGCAATTCTGGAAGCTTCAAGGTTAGAAATTTTGTTCCCTATCAAGAACACATTAAATAGGCCACAACTAAGCATCCTATTGAATTATAAGATATGGCCTCTGAAAGCACTTCAGTCTTTTTCTGTGCAGGCACCAGCAGGCAAGAAAAGGAGTCACCATCATGGCTTGGTAATGCTGATCACGGATTTGACCCCGACCATCAGGAGGACGTAGAAGGAGATAGGCCTACTGATACATATGATAGGGGCAGGAAGGAATATGCTGGCACTGGTATGTCAGGAACTTAAATCTTTGAAGGGTTTCTCTTCTACCCTCCGGAGCACATTTGTCTTAAAGCCTCCAATGTGCCAGCCAATTCTTGCTCATCTGACCTGATTACCATGATGTCATTGACACAGTGGATCAGTGTGATATTCTGGAAGATGTCTAGACAGTCCAATTGCTTTAGACTATATTATTACAAAAGATGGGGCAGCCTCAGGGAAAAACTCTGAATATATATGATTATCCATTCTATGTGAACGGGAACTCTTTTTTGATAGGAATAGAAAAGAACACTTGCCAAATCAGTAGCTCCCCACCACATATCTGAGGCCAGGTTCATCTGCTCGGTCTGGCACAGTGGCTGCAGTTAGGGGTGTTGCTACCACCTGGTTGAGTTTGTGGAGACAATAGTCCACCAGTATCATCTGTTTTCTTCAGAAGCCACACTGCTAAATGAAATATGACAGGAACAACCCCCACCATGTCTTCCAGATACTTAAGAGTGGCAACAATTTTCAACTGCCCTCCCTCCTCTAATATACTACCCTGCTTTTTACTTACCATTTTGACCAGGAATAGGTGGGTGGAGGTGGATCATTTAAGTGCTTGTATTTGACATTCTCATCTGTGACAGCTCTTACCCTACCCACCAAGGACATAACATAAGATTTGTACCAACTATCATGTATATCAAGCCCAGCTACATATTTGGAAGTAGGAATGACTCCCACACAGGTGGGTTAATTAATGGGTTCCAGTATTAAAAACAGGCTTAGGTCTGGAAACTGGGAAAAGGACCAAGACATTTTATTGGCACAACCGCACTCAATCTCTTGACCATCCAACCTTGATTTCTTCTGATGGTACAAGTTGAGTACTGTCCTTGTTGGTGGCCCCGCTATTCACCTCTAGGATATACCATGTTCTATTAACCGTCACGATCATTCTCTGCAGGTCAGGGTCCTACACCGACCACTCTGAGCTTGCCACTCATTATATCGATCACATCCACTTGTTCTTGATGGCTAAGTACAGCCAGATGGCCTTATGCATCAGCTCCAGCCAGCCTGGGAGATATACCACTGAATCTACTGATGTTGATGCCAATCTCACCAACATGTTCCCAGTGGCCTTCACAAGTGATCTACCCACCAGGACGTTCTATGCGACATAATCGTCTTGTGGGGTTTTCAGTCTTACACAGTATGTCTACTCCAGCATACCCACTTCCCTGACTCCTTTTTGTAAAAATAAACTTCACTGAGGTAGAATTCACATATAATCAAATCACCAAATTTACAAGAACAATTTGGTGAGTTTCGAAAAATGTTTACAGTTGTATAACCAACACCACAATAAAAATATAGAACATATTATTCACCTCAAAACATGCCTGTAATCCCAGTAGTTCGGGAGGCCGAGGCAGGCGGATCATGAGGTCAGGAGATTGAGACCATCCTGGCTAACACGGTGAAACCCCGTCTCTAATGAAAATACAAAAAAAAAAAAAAAAATTAGCCGGGCGTTGTGTCCGGCGCCAGTAGTCCCAGCTACTCGGGAGGCTGAGGCAGGAGAATGGCCTGAACCCGGGAGGCGGAGTTTGTAGTGAGCTGAGATCGTGCCACTGCACTCCAGCCTGGGTGATAGAGTGAGACCCCGTCTCAAACAAACAAACAAACAAACAAAAAACATTCTCTTGTGTTCCTATTAGTTAGACATCTTTCACCACCCTCCGCCTCTGACAGCCATTCTTCCTGCTTTCTATTACTACAGTTTTGCCTTTTCTAGAATTTCTTATAATTGGAATTATATAACACATTGGTTTTTTTGTATGTGACTTCTTTCACTCAGAATAACGTTTTAAGATTAATCTATGTTGTGAGAATTAGTAGTCTACTTTCTTATTGCTGAAAAGTATTCCACTCTATGGATATACAACAATTTCTTTGGTTATTCAATATTTTTTAGACATTAGAGTTGTTTCCAATTGGGGGCTATTATGAGTAAAGGGGCTATTATGAGTAAAGCTGCTATGACCATTTTCATCCTAGTCTTTGTGTGAACTTAGTGGGAGCACACTAATATTGCATTAAGATTTTATTTGCTTTTATCTGATAACAAGTGATGTTGAGCATCTTTTTATGTCTTTACTTGACATTTGCATGCCTTCTTTTGTAAAATATTTGCTCAATTCTTTTGCCCAGTTTTTAAATGGGTTGTTTGTTTACTAATGTTGAGTTATAAGAATTTTGTATATATTCTAGTTCTTTATCACATATATGTTTGGTAATTATTTTTCCCAGTCTTTACTTACTATTCTCTTAAAGCATCTTTCCTAATGTTTACAGTGTTTTTAATGCTTAAGAAATCTAGTTATTCAGTTTTTAATTTTATGATTTGTGGTTCTTGTATCCTATTTATTAAATCCTTGCCTAACTCAAGGTTTTGTGTTTTCTTCTAGAAATGTTTGCAGTTTTAGTTTCTCTGTGATCTTTTTCTAGTTAATTTTGTATACAATACAGGATAGTGATCCAAGTTTATTTTTGTATATAGAATACCCAATTGTTTCAACACCAATGCTTAAAATACTTCTTTTCTCCATGGTCAAGATCAATTGATCATAAATATATTAGTCTATTTTTGGACTCTATTGTTTTTTATTATCTCTCTTTTTGCCAATACCATAGTTGTGATTATATTGTAGTTTTATAAGTAAGTCTTAAAATCAAATAATGTGTCTTCCATCTTTGTTCCTGTTTTTCAAAGATTTGTTTGATATACTTAGCATTTTCATATAAATTTCAGAATCATTTTCTAAAATATTTTCTAAAAAGAAAAGCAAACACAGTAGAATCTGAAATTCTCATTGTTCAAAGACGCCTGGACACTCAAGGGACTCAAGGCAGGGACGTTCAAGGCAGGGACTCCATTATTTCTGAGTCAAAAAGATCATAGGCGGGGTGACCATATGTGCCAGCTTGTTCCAGACAGTTCCTATTGACACCTATTATTTGGGCATAATTATTAATAGCATCTCCTTTCACTTTCAACAGTGGCCCTGTTTGGATAATAAATTATATGGAACCCTGAGCCTTGGATGCCTTTTCTAAGACTGGAAGCTCCCATGTCTATGACTGCTAGTTGTACTAATACCTCCTTGTTATCCTTCCAAGAGGCTGCCAGGGGATGAGGCACTGCTACCCTCAGGATCCACTGACACTGTTTTATTCACATTCTGAGGAAATGTCTCCTCTTACCTCTTCTTATGCTTCAAAGCTCTGCTCTGTATTTTCCCCCTTCTTTCCTCCCTCAGTACAACTTTTTGGATACCTTATGTTTTAAGAAAGCAAAAAGCCAAATGAAGGTTGCCTCTAGCAACTTATTTTCCACCTCTCCTCAGACAAGGGAACATAAGAGCTGGGAATCCAAAAAGGAAAAACATCTGGGGAAACAGAAATCAGTATCTCACTAAAGTATCCTTCTGTGTTTGTATCTTCAGAGTTTGTTACCAGTGAATAGCACGGAAAGGAGATGCTCTATGAATACTGGAAGGAAGAGAGAGAAAAGGATGACAGTAGGGAGCTCACATTAAAGAGAAATAACACATTATTTAATGAGTTCCCCAGCTGATGCCACAACAAAACAGCCTCCTCTGAACTTTTATGCTCTTTTAAATCCTCAATCTATCCCACCACTCTGCCGACTAACAGGTTCAAATCATGCCCTGCTGCCTACCTGCAGTATTACCTTGAACCTGTTATTGACACTTACTCAGTCTGAGTATCCTAAAATCGTGATGGCGATACCTACCTCATTTGTTGATTATAAGGCTTAAATGAAAACAGCGTAATAAAGTGCTTAATACAGTACCTGACCTCAATAAAGCCCTTATTACCCTCAGCAAGTGTGTGAGAAAGGAAAAGGAGCCCACATGCAGAAAAAATGGCTTAAGGTGTGTTAGCATGCTTGTCCCTGTATTTCATTAGAGGCTGAAGCATACTAGGTATTCAATAAATTATTAGTACGCATGCATATTTCTTAAAATAAGGATTTCTTATTATTAGCATTATCCTTGCTGTCTCCAAATAGCAAAGGAGCAGCTGCTCTTCAACCATGGAGAGGAGATGACTGTATATTAGAGGATACAGTGTTTTATTTCTGTTATATTCTATTGTCTATTCTATTTGTATTTGTTTTATATTAATCTTCATAGGGTTTCTAATACCCTTGTATTGTCACTCCAGCCTCCTGTTCTGCAGGCTAAAAAATCAAGCTGATTACAGTTCTTCTTTTATTTGTCACAAATCAAAAGAATGTAGTGAAAACAGTTAATACTATGAAAAGCACAATTAGTTACTTTATCACTAGGTCAGGTGGCAGCTCAGGAAAATCTGTTAATCTAGAATTTCTGTTGACATATAACATTGGAGTCAGCTGGGCCTCAGCTCGTTCCCATTTGAACAGGCTGTTTGTTGACAGTTATTCCGTGCCAGGTGCAGCTGTAGCCACTACAAACACGCAAAAAAAAAAAAAAAAAAAAAGTTTACGTCACTAGAGGGCGCTGCAGCCCAAGACCTGAAATGAGGACTGCGTTAACCCCACTGCACTGAAGTTGCAGTGCGGTTTGTACTACATTACATTGTGTTTTGCTGTATTGTGCTGTAATGTATTGAATTGCATCAAATTAAATTACATCATTTGATATATATTTGGATTTATATGGTTTTTAAATGTGTTGCCTTAGAGAAAGCACAATTTGCTATTATATTTTTTGATGCCTATAGTTATCCTTTTCTTAAATAACAGTGGCTGAAATAGATGCACAGCAAAACATAACTCACCTCAAGAATTTACCAGAGTCATTCGCAAAGAGACAGCAAGTTGTAGTTGAAAGAGAATTGGTCATTTGGTCGATCTTGCCTCTTCGGAGCCTAAATATTGCTTGTGCACAGTGCAAGAACATATTTGAAAGACAGACATGATTTATATTTATTGTATGCCATTCTCTGGGCAAACTTGGGTCAAGTATGTAATCAAATATATCTCAAAGTGGATCCTCTGATTACTATGCTTAAATCATCTGGGTGTTTCTTTAAAATGCTGTTTCTTAACCTACCATAGACCTAAGAGATCAGGACTCTTGTGAGGCAATGGTGGAAGTGGTGGGGAATCTGCATTTTTAGTAAGCATTCCATGTGCACACTGAACTATTGGCTTAACCCATTCCCTGTCTTAGTTCCCTCCCTCTCTTCATCTGAGGAATTAATGAATTAGCTCAATCAATTATTTGGTACAGGTGCTTCTATGGAGTAATCACCACTACCAAGGGAGAGGAAATGTCAGTTCTCCTAGTTGCAGAAGCAAAGCTCAGCTGGGAAGGATGAGACTTCAGCTTACTGCCATGCATTCTTGTGTAGCCCTCACTCTCAGCCATGGCAGGGTCCCTGAATGTGAAGGCGAGCAGGCCAGCGCACAGGCACAGAGTTCAGCAGTGAAGGTGCAGAAGTGGTTTGTGTCAAGCCATAGAAAAGAGAAGCAGCAAACAGTGGTCAACACCCTATTCCAAAGTCTGGTTCCAGAACCAGCAACATCAGGATGCTCTGGTATATTTCCCCTTCCTCTCCTGGAAGCATGAGTGGAGTTTTCTCCAACATTTACTGTAAGAACCTGGTGGAGCTCCTAGAGTTAAAACTCACAGAAAGTGAGAACCTCCCCATGACTGTCCCCTACCCCAGATTTTTAACTCCCAGGCTTGTCCATGCTGAGCCTCCAGCAACTCATCAATGCAGTTCAGGTTTCCATACCCAGCACAGGTGCCCAAGGTGGTTTTCTACTAGTAGATTTCTGCTTAGGTAAGCTGTGATTCCCTGTGTCTGCCTATCTGTCTCTCAAATTTTGGGAGCAGCACTTTACTCTGTGACTTCACTTCTCTAAGAAGAGTTGTTGATTGTTCAGTTTGTTCAGATTTTTACCTGTTGTTAGGACAAAGTAACAAATTCTAAGCTCTTTACATGCCAGACCAGAAGCCAGACATCTCAATTTTATTTCTTAGATGCATAACAGATTTTTGACTGAAGAGAAGGAGTGCTAGAGGCAGAGGAGGGACCTTTCTTCTCCAGGAAGAACTCTCTGAGGCCTTGGACTTGAGCAGTATGATTTGGGCCTGGTAGCAATGTGCACAAGGGAAGCGGGAACCCTCTCCTCACTGATGTATGGACCACTTGGGCCTTTCCAGGGTTCACAGTTTTGAAAGCCTCAGGATAAAACACCTTTGTCTCAGACTTGGATATGAGCTTTTCCATAAAGAAACCCAACAGCAGAGGAATTGGTATGGCCTAAAATGTTGCAGATGGGGGGCAGGGAGAAGAATATGGGAGGACTGGGTTGAAATCTCCCAGGAGAATCTAGAAAACCTTAGAAGGGATTTTTCTGGGGACTGACTTCTCGTGCTATGTAGTTAAGGAACAAATGTCAGTGAAATATGGGGGTTACCATTAACCCCAGGTAGAGCCCACATTTCACTCATACATGAGTGTCAACATTTCCTTTTATAGGGGTTTCTAGGGAAATACAAATTATTAGAGCAAAGAAAGTTGGGAACATGACAAATGTCAGTGGTGGCCAAGAAAATGTGTTGAATTTGGCAATGTAGAGAGCCACAAATAGGACTCAAGTAGTAACATGTATGAAAATGAGAAATGGTTGATATGTGTGCTGGAACTGCAGCTTCAACAAAACTGAGCACAAGCTCCTGCAGCCTCAAGTTCTCCAACTTCATAAAAGAATGGCAAAAAAACAGATCCTCACAGTGACAGATTGACAGGAAACAAGGTGACCCTCTGGCTGTAAGGTTGCAATGGAAATGTGAGCTGTTTCGGATAACAGCTGATGTGGAGTTTGGAGAAGAGGTGCTAATGTGTCCGTTAATCCCTTCTTGTGTACCCAAAGGCAAAATTACTCAGAAACCTGAAGACTGGAAAAAAACTTGAGTTCTTACTCAGGAGAGCTCAGCCTTCTGCAAGCAAAGGTGGTCACGGGACCTTAGTCTGGACACAGGAAGCACAAGGAATACACTGGCTTCTCAACCCCCCTCCCTGCTATCTTCTGTAATTTCTCCTTAGGGCTTCATTTTGCTGGGGTGGGTGCCAGGGCCACGGGACAACTGGTAAAGTTGATGTGGATTGATGTTTACACATATCAGGAAAGGGAAGAAGAACTATCCCCAAAATAATCCTCTCCCACTCCTTTCCACCTCATGCACTAACTGTTATGAAACAACACTAGATCCTAGAAAGATGCTGTAGAAATTAAAACATGTTCTTCCTTTTGTCTGTTGTTTTAAATAACTATGGTATTTGAAAACTTACTAAATTCAAAGTCTTTTCAATTATACGACACCCTGAAAACATATCCTTCCTGACAAGATCATAAAAATCTTGTGTGCTTATATATATATATATATATATATATATATATATATATATATATACACATTATTTCTATTTATATATGTATATGGACATGTGGGTGTGCAAGTGTATATGTTGGAAGGAGGGAGGGCAAAACTGGCAGCCACTTCAGGCATCATAACACCAGCTAACACCTGCACACTTGCACATACTTACTCTGTGCCAGGAGCTGTTCTAAAGGCTTTACACATTTACTGTGTTTACTCATTTAATCCTCACAACAATTCTATGAAGTAGGTATTACTATATTCATCATTATCCCCATTCATCTGATTGGACAACTAAAATACAGAGAAGTCAAGAATGAAGAAGGGATTTGGTCTGAGGCTGTGAGTGCCGCAGTTCCTGGGCTACAGGCCCCTCTCCTTGGAGTCCATTTGAATGTCACCAGACAGGCAAGACTACCTGACTATGCAATTGAATTCAATTCCACTGATAATGCCAGAAAAAAATTCCTATATTAGCTTCCTTGTTCAGAACGTTGCTTGCAGAAACATGTTGGGAGGTTTAAACGTTTGCCTGAAGGATAAAAAATGACAGATTGGAGGAAAGGAATGTCACATTTCAAAACATGTCTGGGGAGAAAAAAGACTTTGAAAACTAAGTTTATTTGATTTCTTTCCTCCTTCCTTTTAACCACACCTTCCCAACATACCTTTTTCCACTGACAGGCCTCTACATAGTCCAAGACCGAAAGAAAACGTTCCATTTTCTCCACAAACTACAGGTCTGCTTGGCATTGCAGGGCTGTAGGGACTGAGATATATTTGTCTGCCAGTGGTCTGATTTGATTTCTTTCCTCCTTCCTTTTAACCACGCCTTCCCAACATACCTTTTTCCACCAACAGGCCTCTACATAGTTCAAGACCGAAAGAAAACACTCCATTTTGCCCACAAACTACAGGTCTGCTGGGCATTGCAGGGTTGTGGGACTGAGACACAGTTGTCTGTGAGTGGTCTGCCTTAAAGGGTGAGTACATCCAAAGTGTTAAAGAGAAGGTAGATCTGACATTATGTGTTCAAAGAACAGTCTTCACCTCTTCAGCAATTATAAAATGATCCTTGTAACCACCATTTGATGTGTAGCCACTAATGGTTGGAGATTATCATACGCTGTCACTAATCCATTAAATAACCTTGTGTGCTATTGTCCCTAGTCTACACACAAGAAAGGCATCTGTATTCTCACTGTCTTCACCTGCTCTTTCTCAGGCTTTTAATGTTCCTTGCTCCTTCCTGACACAAATCTTTCGCATATGCTGTTTCTTCTGACTATAGCACTCCCCACACTCCCATTAATAAAACCTAGAAATTATTTCAATGTGGAATTATACATTCATTTGTGTCATTATTAAATAATGCCTATGTCCCACTTGATACCTAAGGTCCATAAAAGCAGGTATTATAGGTGTCTTTTGCTCACTATCATGTCATTAGAAAGTAGTGCAGGCACAGATAGGAACTCAATAAGATAGGTCACATTAATTAACTTTCCCAAATTGGCTGAGCTGAGGGTCAAATTTTATTCAGCCAAGATCCAAAGCTGAGCTCTCTATTGAGCTGTACTGCCTCCAACATATTCATGGCACTTTAGGAAAAGAAATCAACCTTAAATTAATAACCTATAAAGAAATGCCAAGAAAATGGAGACTAGCAGATGACATGACCACCATAGTTGCAAAACGCAGGCCTTGGGCTGAGTGATATTGCAAGGTCTTTCAACTTTCGAGCTTGTAAAGATGCTCCATCTTATGTACCTGTCTTCTGTCATAGCTATCTCTCCATATCTATCTAGAAATCTGTAGTTTTCGCTTTCACCACTCTTCCTTTCCTATTCTTTCCTCATCCCACACTTAATTTCAATTGCCCTAAGTTTATGTTTGTCAGATAGATAGACAGATAGATAAATATGTGTGTATATGCTTTTGAAAATAATTAAAATGGATATTTGAATCACAATAGAAAAACAAAATCTTCAAACTAATTTTTTTCTAAAATATTTTTCTTTCTATTGTTCACATCTACTTTCATTTTTCTTTTAGTTCCATCTCTCAGTTATAATTCATAACTTCTTTGCTGGAGTCATAAATTTTGAAAGCATAAGTTTCTTGCTTTTGAGATCGTTGCCCTCTCTATCTCACACCTCAGTAAACGGCAGTAACAATTGCCATTTATTATGCACCTATTATGTAAGGCAGGTGGTGTTTCAATTCCATCTCTCTGTGTAATATGACTCCTACCTGAGGTCTGTATCAAAGTCTTCATTTTACAGGCGAGGAAATGAGGGCTTCAAGAGGTTGAGTCTGCCTAAGGTAATGCATTCAGTATGGAACAGGGCCAGAATTTAAATCACTCCTGATCCTAGTGTCCTTGTTCCTTTTGCCACACCACAAAATATCTAGAACAGTTAAACTCAATTTAAAAGAAATAAGAAAACAAATGATCTCTAATGCCAATGACTACTTGAACCTATGAATCAGTAAGGGCAGATGTCAAGCTACACTTACCTCTCCATTGTCTCTCTCAATCTAACATTTGCCACCTCTCACTTCTCACCACTTGCTCCTACAGAAAGAAAACTAAGAGTACCTGACTAAATAGTCACCTGAAAACTGTCTAAAGAACTTATTCTTTATTATCCCCCAGAAGAAAGATAAATAAATACCATTTACTGAGTTTCTACTTTTGCCAAGTACTTTGTAAAGGTTAACTCATTTACAATAATGCATATAATAGTATTCACATTTTGTAAGTGAGAGAGACTTGGACAGGTTAAAAAATTAAATCTCAAGTTTTAGTTATGAGTCCTTTTGTTTCCCTTTATAAACTCCTTCTGAACAGTTTCATCCACATGCATGTTTAAGTCACCAGATAAGTGCTGGTTACTCCTAAATATAAAGCTCAAGGTCTTACCTTTCTCTTTGTTTCCAATCATGGATTCTTAATTGTTTCAGTTTATGGAACCCTGTCTGCTCTTCAGAATTTTTGAGGACCCTAAAAAACTTTTGCTTATGTGGATTATATTTATTAATGTTTACCATATTAGAAATTAAAACTGAGAAAAGTTTCAATATTTACATATTAATGTATTTAAAATAATAATAAACTTGTTACATGTTAATCTTACAACATATTTTGTGAAAAAAAAACTGTTTTCCAAAACAACAACAGAGAAAAGTGTACTAAAAAAAGACCATTGTCTTATGGTTTGAAAATCTTAATATCTAGCTTAATAGAAAGTATCTAGATTTTCATATCCATTCCTGCATGCAATCTGTAATAGTGAGAAAAACTGGCCTCATATACATATGTACTTGGAAAGAGGAATATTTTAATTGTTCCTCCTTTTTAAGATTTTCAGATAATTATGGATATTCTTTTTTGATATTACACCAAAACTAAAAAGTAGTAGTTCCTTAAGGGTTAGTTGCAATGTGAAACCTGAAACCACATCAGTGAACTTTTCATACTCTATTATAATAAAATATGCTGGTCTATTTTGAAATTTGAATCGATCTTTTACCCATGCAAGATTTTGTGACATGCATTGGTCATTTGGAAGACATTGGTTTACTGAGTTATGCAGATGTTCCGAATGTTGACAGATTTTTCACATCATATGAAAAAATAACATTTGTTAATATGGCGACTGATCTCACCAGACAAGTGTTAAAGTATAGGTAAACCTTTCCAAATTCTATTTTTTAATTGAAAACTCAATTTTCACATGAGCAAAACATGCAAAGGAAACACTGCATGTTTCCTTTGAAGTGACAGGTTCATTTTGTTCATTTTTGAGAAAATGTCAGCCAAAGATACAAACCATAGTTTACCTGTCTGTTGTTCTTCCAAATAAAAATGGCATTCCATAAAAAGTCGCCAGCTCAAATGGCGATTCAAACAATTTTCACAACTGTTATTCCTTGCGATAAGCATTATAGACTGATATGCAGCATAAATGACTCATGAAATTTCTAGAAATACAATTTTAAAAGCATAAACATATGAAATATGAGAAGATAAACCAGTCAAAAGTTGTACATAACTTGATATTGAAAACTATGAACTATTATTGAGAGAAACTAAAGATTATTTTAATAAATAAAGAGAGAATCTATGATCTTAGGTCAGAAGACTAAGTATTATTTAGATTTTAATTCTCCCCAAACTGACATATAATATTAACTCAAACTCAAAATATCAGCTAGAGGAAAGAGGTGGAGCAAGAAGGCCAAATAGATGGCTCTACCAATTGTTTCCCCATGTGGGAATACCAAGTTTAACAACTATCTACACAAAGGGAACACCTTCATAGGAACCAAAAATCGAGTGAGCACTCACAGCGCTTGGTTTTGAATTCCTATCACTGAAAGAGGCACTAAAGAGGGTGGGAAAGACAGTCTTGAATTCCTGATGCCACACCTCCTCTATTCCCCAGCAACAACCACTTCTATGCACTTGGGAGAGGGATGGGGTAGCGATTGTGAGCCTTTCCATTGAACTCAGTGCTGCCCTGTCACAGTGGAAAGCAGAACGGGGCTGTACTCAGCTTATGCCTGCACGTGGAGCAAACATTCCGGGCAGGCCCTCGCCAGAGGGGAATTGCCATCCCAGCAGTCAGAGCTTGAATTCCAGTAAGTGACATAAACACAAGCTGGAGTGCTCTGGGGCCCTAAGTGAACTTAGTGGGCCGTCCAGGACCCAAAGACTGCAATTCCTAGGCAAGTTCTAAGTGCTCTTGTTCCTCAGGGAAGAACAAGCAGCCATACCCATATAGCATGTTGTGGGCTTTTGAGACTCAGATGTGCGGGCTTGAGATAACAACCAGCACATTCCCAGCTATGCTGGCTATGAGAAGTGACTGCTAAAGCTTGAGGAAAGCAGAGGGAAAAGTAAAGGAGGGGACTTCGTCTTGGACCTTAGGTACCAGCTCAGCCATAGTAGGATAGCGCACCAAGTGGGTTCTTAGGGGTTCCTGATTACAGGCCTTGGCTCTTAGACTGAATTTCTGGACCTGTCCTAAGCCAGAGGGGAGCCGACTGCCCTAAAGGGTGAGTCCCAGGCCTGGCAACATTTAATACAAGTTAACTGAAGAGCCCCTTCCTTGGGCCTTAACGGAATGTGAGTAGTAGCCTGGCAGTACTCCATGTGGGTCTGTGGTGGTGGTGGCAATGGGGTGAAGCTCCTTGGCCTGTGGCAAGTGGAGGGAAGAGTGGGAAGGACCGTGGCATGTGATTTGAGTGCCAGCTCAGCTGCAGTAGAATAAAACATCAGGTAGATTTCTAAGCATTTGAATCCAGTCCTTAGCTCCCAGAAAGCATCTCTGTACCTCTCTGGGGTCTTGGGGAACTCAGCACCCTGAAAGGAAGGAAACGAGGATGGCTGGCTTCATCACCTGCTGACTCTAGCGTCCTGGGACCTTGCACAAACATAGGCAGTAACTAGGAGAAAGAGAGATATGTGACCTTTCAGAGAATTCAAAATAGCCATTTTGAGGAAACTCAAAGAAATTCAAGACAACACAGAGAAGTCATACAGAATTCTACCAGATAAATTTAACAAAGAGATTGAAATAATTGAAAATAATCAAACAAATTCTGGAGTTAAAAAATGCAACTGATATACTGAAGAATGCACCAGAATCTCTAAATAGCACAATTTATCAAGGAGAAGAAAAGATTAGTGACAGGCCATTTGAAAATACAGAGAGGAGACAAAAGAAAAAAAAATAGAAAAGAATGAAACATGCCTACAAGATCTAGGAAATAGCTTCAAAAGGGCAAATATAAGAGTTATGGGCATTAAGGAGAAGATAGAAAAAGAAATAGAAGTAGAAATTTTGTGAAAAGGGAAAATAACAGAGAATTTCCAAAATATAGAGAAAGATACCAATAAGAAGGTTACACACTACCAAGTGGATTTAACCCAAAGATGACTACTTCAAGGCATTTAATCAAACTCCCAAAGGCCAAGGATAAAGAAAAGATCCTAAAAGAGGATACACACACACACACACACACACACACACACACACACACACACACCATATACAATGCCGCAGACAGCAGACTTTTCAGCAGAAACCTTACAGGCCAGGCAAGAGTGGCATGACATATTTAAAGTGCTAAAGAAAAGAAATTTTACTCTAGAATAGTATATCCAGTGAAAATATCCTTAAAACATGAAGGAGAAATAAAGACATTCCCAGACAAACACAAGCTGAGGGATTTCATCAACACCAGACCTGTCCTACAAGAAATGCTAAAGAGACTACTGCAATCAGAAAGAAAAAGATGTTAATTAGGAAGAAAAACATCACCCTAAGGTATAAAACTCACTGGCAATAGTAAGTATAGGGAAAAACTTAGACTATCATAACACTGTAACTGTGGCGTGTAAACCACTCTTAAGTAGAAAGACTAAAAGATGAACTAATAAAAAATAATAACTACAAAAACTTTTTAAGACAGAAACAGTACAAAGATCACTGAAACAATAAAATTTTTTAAATCAGGTGATGAAATTAAAGTGTAGAGTTTTTCTTAGTTTACTTCTTGCATCTTTGATAAATCGTTTACACAAGTACTATAAAGCTGTTATCAGCTTAAAATAATAGGAAATAAGATAGTATTTGCAAGCCTCATGGTAACCTTGAATCAAAAAAACATATAGCAGATACACAAAAAATAAAAAGCAAGAAATTAAATTATACCACTGGGAAAATTACCTTCAGTAAAAGGAAGACAGGAAGGAAAGAAAGAAAGAAGAAGAGACCGTAACACCATCAGAAAATGAACAAGAAAATTATAAGAGTAATACCTTACTTATCCGTAATAACATTGAATGTAAATAGACTAAACTCTCCAATCAAAAGACATAGAGTGGATGAATGGATAGAAAAGTACGACCCAATGATTTGTTGTCTGCAACAAACACAAACTATAAAGATACAAATAGACTGAAAACAAAAGGATGGAAAAAGATATTCCACATCAATGAAAACCAAAAAAGAGGAGTAGCTATACATACATATATATGTATAAATATATATGAAATATATATAGAGAGAGAAATCCACTTTTTTTTTGATTTGGGTCTTCTTTCTTTTTTTCTTAGTCTGTCTAATGATTCGTTAATTGTGTTTATTTATTCAAAAAAACAACTTTTTCTGCCATTAATTTTTTGTATTTTTTTCATTTAAAATTTATTTCCACTCTGATCTTTATTATTTCTCTTCTATTAGTTTATATATATATATATATTTGATGTTTATATATATATATATTTGATATATATATATGTTTCAAGACAAAAACTCTAAGAGCCAAAAATCACTATATAATGATAAAGGAGTCAATTCAGCAACGGGATATAACAATTGTAGATACATGTGCACCCACCACTGTAGCACCCAGATATAGGAAGCAAATATTAATAGAGCTAATGAGAGAGACCGATCACAATAAAATAATAGGTGGATACTTCAACGCTCTACTTTGAGCACTGGAATAATCTTCCAGACAGTAAATCAATAAAGAAACATCTGACTTAATCTGCACTATAAACCAAATAGACCTAATAGATATTTACAGAGCATTTCATCCAATGGCTACAGAATATACATTCTTTTCCTCAACACGTGGATTATACTCAACAATAGACCATATGTTAAGTCACAAAACAAGTCTTAAAACATTAAAAAATCTTGAAGTGATATTCATCATCTTCTCTGACAACAGTGGAAACAAACCCTAGAAACAAAAACAAATGAGCAATTTTGGGAACTGTACAAACACACAGAAATTAAATGATATGCTCCTGAATAACCAGTGGGTCAATGAAGAGATTAAGGAGGAAATTTAAAAATGTCTTGAAACAAATGACAATGGAAACACAATGTAACAAAACTAATGGGATACAGAAAAAGTAATACTAAGAGGGAAGTTTATAGCTATGAGTGCCTACAGCAAAAAACAAGAAAAACTTCAAATAAATAACCTAACAATACATCTTAAAGAACTACAAAAACAGGAGCAAATCAAACCCCAAACTAGCAGAACAGAAATAATAAAGATCAGAGTGGAAATAAATTTTAAATGAAAAAATACAAAAAATTAATGGAACAAAAAGTTGGGTTTTTGAATACATAAATGAAATTAACGAATCTTTAACCATACTAAGAAAAAAAGATGGAAGACCCAAATGAATAAAATAAGAGATTAAAAAAGGAGATATTACAACTGATGCTGCAGAAATTTAAAGAATCATTAGTGGCTATTATGAGCAACTACATGCCAATAAATTAGAAAAATCTTAAAAATAAATAAATAAATTTCTAGGTACATAAAATCTAACAAGTTTGAACAATGAAGAAATCCAAAACCTGAACAGACCAATAACAAACAATGAGATCAAAGCCATAATAAAGTTTCCCAGCAAAGAAAAGCCCAAAACTCAAAGGCCTCCCTGTTTAATTCCAACATTTAAAGAAATAATACCAATCCTACTTTAATTACTCTGAAAAGTTGAGCAGGAGGGAATACTTCCAAACTCATTCTATGAGGCCAGTATTACTCTGATACCAAAACCAAACACACACACACACACTCACACACACACACAGAGAGAGAGAGAGAGAAAACTACAGGCCAATATCTTTGTTGAATATTGATGCAGGATATCCTCAACAAAATACTAGCAAACTGAATTCAACAATGCATTTAAAAGATCATTCATGATGGCCAAGTGGGTTTTTTCCAGAGATACAATGATAGTTTAACATACACAAATCAATCGAAATGATACATCATGTCAACAGAATGAAAGACAAATACTATATGACCATTTCAAATGATACTGGGAAAGCATTTGATAAAATTCAACATCCCTCGTGATAAAACCCTCAAAAAACTGAACATAGAAGGAACATATCTCAATTCAATAAAAGCCATATTAAAGACTCACAGCTAGCATCATACTAAATGGGGAAAAGCTGAAAGCCTTTTATCTGAGAACTGGAACATAACAAGGATGCCCGCTTTTACCACTGTTATTCGACATAGTACTGCAAGTCCCAGATGGAGTATCAGTGATGAGAAAGAAATGAAGAGCGTCCAAATTAGAAAGAAAGAAGTCAAATTATCCCTTTTTTAGATGTTATAATCTTATATTTGAAGAAAACTAAAGACTCAACCAAAAATGATTAGAACTAAAAAACAAATTCATTAAAGTTCCAGGATACAATATTAACATACAAAAATTAGTAGCATTTCTATATGCTTACAGCACAATCAAAAAAAAAGCTACAAAGTAATCCAATTTATAATAGCTACAAATAAAATAAAGTACCTAGGAATTAACCAAATAAGTGAAAGTTATTTACAATGAAACTATAAAACATTGTTGCAAAAGATTGAAATGACACAAAAAATAGAAAGTGTTCCATGTTCACGGATTAGAAGAATCAATATTGTTAAAATGTTCATGCTACCCAAAGCAGTCTACAGATTCAATACAATCACTTTCAAAATACCAACAACATTCTTTACAGAAATAGAAAATACAGCTCTAGGACTTATATGGAAGAATCACATTATCTGACTGTAAATTATACTACAGTGGTGTAGTAACCAAAATCGAATGGTACTGGCATAAAAACAGACAAATAGACCATAGAATAAAGAATCCCAAAATAAACTCAGACATCTACAGTGAACTCCTTTTTGATAAGGGTTCCAAGAACATACATTGGGGAAAGAACAGTCTCTTCATTAAATGGTGCTGGGAAAATTGGATACCTATATGCAGAAGAAAGAAACTACACTCCTATCTCTTACCATATACACAAATCAAATCAAAATACAGATGTAAACTAAGACCTCAAACTATTAAACTACTTAAGAAAACATTGGAGAAACTCTTCAGGACATGGGTTTGGGCAAAGATTTCTTGAGTAATACCCTACAAGCATGGACAACCAAAGCAAATATGAACAAATGGAATAACATCTAGTTAAAATGCTTCTGCACAGAAAAAAGCAAATCAACAAAGTGAAGAGAATGCACAGAATGGGAGAAAATATTTGTGAACTACCCATCTGACAAGCGATTAGTAACCAGGATATATATGGAGCTCAAACAACTCCCTAGGAAAAAAGTCAGATAATCTGTTTTAAAAATGGGAAAAAGATGTGAATAGATATTTGTCAAAAGAAGACATACAAATGTCAAACAAGCTTAAGAAAATGTGCTCAACATCGTTGATCATCATATAAATGCAAATCAAAACCACAACGAGATATCATCTAACCTCAGTTAAAATGATTTTTATCCAAAGGATAGGCAATAACAAATGCTGGCAAGGATGTGAAGAAAAGGAACTCCTCTTGGTGGGAACGTAAATTAGTACAAACACAATGGAGAACACTGTTGGTGGGAATGTAAATTAGTACAGCCACTATGAAGAAAAGTTTGCAGATTCCTCAAAAAACTAAAACTAGCACTACCCTATGACCCAGCAATCCCACAGCTAGGTATATAACCAAAAGGAAGAAAATCAGTGTTAGTGTTATCTGCATGCCCATGTTTATTGCAGCACTATCCACAATAGCCAAGATTTGAATGCAACCTAAGTGTCCATCAACAGATGCATGGATAAGGGAAATGTGGTACATATACACAATGGAATACTATTCAGCCATAAAAAAGAATGAGATCCTGTCATCCTGTCATTGCAATAATATGGATGGAACTGGAGGTCATTATGTTATTTAAAATAAGTCAGACAGGGAAAGTCAAACTTCACGTGTTCTCACTTATTTGTGAAAACTAAAAATTAAAACAATTGAACTCATGGAGATGGAGTAGAAGAAGGGATATCAGAGAATAGGAAGGGTAGTCAGTGGGGTTGGTGGGAACAGAGTGATGGTTAGTGGGTACAAAATAAGTCAGAGGGAATGAATAAGACCCGATGTTTGCTAGCACAACAGGGTGACTATAGTCAAAAGTTATTTTAAAATAACTAAGAGAGTATAATTGTATTTTTTTAACATAGAGGATAAATGCTTGAGGGAATGGATACCCCATTTGCCCGATGTGATTACTGTGTATTGCATGCCTGTATCAAAATATCTCATGTAACCCCAAAATATACACACCCTACTATGTACTCACAAAAAATTAAAAATTATATATATGTTCATATATGACACATATATCAGCTAAATTTTTAAGTAAAAAATGGCAAGCTAATCCTAAAATTTATATGGAAATTCAAAGAACCTAGAAGAGCAAAACAACTTTGCAAAATAATAATAATATTAGATAATTAATACAACCTGACTGCAAGGTATATTATAAAGGAAGCGTAATCAATGTTATGTGGTATTGAGATAATGTTAGGCAAATGTATCCATGAAACAGGATAATTTTCTGGAAAAGATCTACATACAAATGAACAGATTATTTTCTACAAAAGTAGCAAAATTCAGTTGAGAAAGTGTGGTATAGTAAATTTTATTCACACAATCTAAATTAAGCCTCCATAAAGTTTATTTAAACAGAAGAAATAGGTCATAGTGCCCCCAAAATTTGGGAACTACTCAAGATTCCTGGGATTGTTGGACCAACATGAAATAAAAGCAGAAAAAGCACAGAACATTAGATGCCAAAAGCAAAGGTAAACTGTGAAAATTAGAGGGGAAAACTACATAGCCTAAATAAGAGTGGCTCAGATAGAGTAGTATTTATTTCACTGTGTGTTTTCATAATATACATGCAGACACTGCCCATAAGGTATATAATTACATCACTCAAGTGCTTACCTTACTTCTGTCAGTATACCATGATCTGCTTGACATCACAAGAATTTAGCCCAGGAAGGATCCCTTATTGCAAACAGGATATGCTCCAGGAGCTGTTTGTTGTGGCTGTAATCAACATAAACTCAACTGTCTCCTATTTTCTGAAACTATGCAAGCACCTATGACCCACTTGTAACTAGAGTTATTAAGGATGGGACAGAAAGCAGTTGTGAATCCATCTAAAAACTACAATCAATGGTTTATAACATTTTTAAAACTATTTTTGAATTTCAATAGCTTTGGGGGTACAAGTGGTTTTTGATTACATGGATGAATCGTACAGTGGTGAAGTATAAGATTTTAGTGCACCTGTAACCCAAGTAGTATTCAGTTTACCCAATATGTAGTATTTTATCCTCAGCCCCCATCTCATCCCCTCCTTCTAAATCTCCAAAGCCCATTATACCACTCTGCATGCCTTCGTGTACCCGTAGCTTAGCTCTCACTTATAAGTGAGAATATATGGTATTTGGTTTTCCATTCCTGATTTAGTTCACTTAGAATAATGGCCTCTAGCTCCTCCAAGCTACTGCAAAATATATTTTTTTATTCTTTTTTATGGCTGACTAGTATTGCATGGTGTGTATATACCATTTTATTTATCCACTCATTGGGCAACGAGCACTTAGGTTGGTTCCATGTCTTTGCAATTGTGAATTGTGCTGCAAGAAACATACACAAGAAAATGTCTTTTTGATGTAATGACTTCTTTTCCTTTGGGTAAATACTAGCAGTATCTGGTATATCTACCATTTGCTGAATCAAATGGTATATATACTTTTAGTTCTTTAAGAAACCTCTATAGTGATTTCTATAGAGGTTATTCTAATTTACATTCCCAATAGCAGTGTGTAAGTGTCCCCTTTTCACCAAATCGATATCGATACCAATATCTATTGTTTTTTGACTGTTTAATAATGGCCATTCTTGTAGAAGTAAGATAATATCTCACTGTGGTTTTAATTTACATATCTCTGATGATTAGTGATGTTGAGCATTTTTTTCATATGTTTGTTGGCCTTTTGTATATCTTCTTTCATGAAATATCTATTCATGTCATTTGTCCCTTTTTTAATTGAATTTTTTCTTGCTGATTTGTTTGAGTTCCTTGTACATTCTGGATATTAGTCATTTGTTCAATGGTAGTTTGCAAATATTTTCTCCTATTCTGTGGGTTGTCTGTTTATTCTGATGAATATTTCTTTTGCCTAATGGAAGTTTTTTTAGCCTAATTAGGTCCCATTTATTTATTTTTGTTTTTGTTGCATTTGCTTTTGGGGTCTTAGTCATAACTTATTTTTCTAGGCCAATGTCCAGGAGAGATTTTCCTTGGTTATCTTCTAGAATTCTTATGGTTTCAGGTCTTAGATTTAAGTTGATTTTTGTATAAAGTGAGATATAAGGGCCCAGATCATTCTTCTACATGTGGTTATCCAGTTTTCCCTGCACCATTTATTAAATAAGGTGTCCTTTCCAGAATTATGTTTTTGTATGCTTTGTTGAAGATCAGTTGCTTAGAAGTATTTGACTTTATTTCTGGGTTTTCTGTTCTGTTCCATTAGTCTGTGTGTCCACATTTATACCAATACCATGCTGTATTGGTAATTATAGCCTTGTAGTATAAATTGAAGGCAGGTAATATGATGCCTCCAGATTATTTCATTTTGCTTAGGAGTGCTCTGGCTATTCAGGCTCTTTCTTGGTTCCATATAAATTTTAGGATTGTTTTTTCCACCTCTGTAAAAAAAAAAATGTGTCGGTATCTTGATAGGAATTCCATTGCATCTGTAGATTGCTTTGGGCAGTATGGCCATTTTTATGATATTGACTCCTCCAATCCACAACGTGGGATGTTTTTTCATTTATTTGTGTCATTTGTGATTTCTTTCTGCAATGTTTTGTGGTTCCCCTTTTAAAGATCTTTCACCTCCTTGGTTAAGTATATTCCAAGAATTATTTTTTGGCGGCTATTGTAAAATGAATTGAGTTCTTGATTTTATTATCAGCTTGGTCATTGTTGGTATATAGCAATGCTACTAATTTTTGTACATTGATTTTGTAACCTAAGACTTTACTGAATTTATTCATCAAATCTAGGGGTCGTTTGGAAGAATCTTTAGGGTTTTCTGGGGGTCTATGATTATATCATCAATGAACAGTCATAGTTTGACTTCCTCTTTTCCAATTTGAATTCCTTCCTTCCTTCCTCTCTTTCTTTCCTTTCCTTTCCCTTCCCTTCCTTTCCTTTCCTTTCCTTTCCTTTCCTTTCCTTTCCTTTCCTTTCCTTTCCTTTCCTTCCCTTCCCTTCCCTTCTGTTCCCTTCCTTCCCTTTTCTTTCTTTTCTTTCTTCCTTCCTTCCTTTCTTTCTTTCTTTCTTTCTTTCTTTCTTTCTTTCTTTCTTTCCCTCTTTCTTTCTTTCTTTCTTTCTTTCTCTCTCTCTCTCTCTCTCTCTCTCTCTCTCTTTCTTTCTTTCTTTCTTTCTTTCTTTCTTTCTTTCTTTCTTTCTTTCTTTCTTTCTTTCTTTCTTTCTTTCTCTTGCCTAACTCTTCTGGCTAGGACTTCTAGTACTATTCTAAATAGAAATAGAGAAAGTGGACATCTTTGTCTTATTCCTGTTCTATGGGAAAATGCTTTCAACTTTTTTCCCATTCAGTATAATGTTGGCTGTGGGCTTGTCAAATATGGCTGTTATTATTTTGAGGTATGTCCCTTCTATGCTTCTTGAGGGTTTATGTCATAAAGAGGCACTGTATTTTATCAAATGTTTTTTCTGCATCTGTTGAGATGATTATATGGTTTTGTTTTAAATTCTGTTTAGGGGATGCATCACATTTATTGACTTGTGTATGTTAAACCACCCCTGCATCTCTGGGATAAAACCCACTTGATCATTTTGTATTATCTTTTTTATATATTGTTGGATTCAGTTAGTATTTTGTTGAGGATTTCTGCATCTATGTTCATCAGGGATATTTGTCTGTGGTTTTCATTTCTTGTAATGTCCTTTCCTGGTTTTGGTATCAGGGTGATACTGGCTTCTAGAACTATTTGAGAGAATTTCCTCCTTCTCTATCTTTTAGAATAATTTCAGTATGATTGGTACCAACCCTTCTTTGAATGTCTGGTAGAATTCAGCTATGAATTAACCTGGCCTTGGGCTTTTTTTATTGTTGGCAAGCTTTAAATTACTGATTCAATCTCACTGCTTGTTACCGGTACATTCAGGGTTTCTATTTTTTCCTGATTTAATTTAAGAAGGTTGTATGATTCCAGGAATTTGTCCATTTCCTTTAGATTTTCTAATTTGTGTGCCTAGAGGTGTTCATAGCACTCTCAAATGATCTTTTGTATTTCTGTATTGGCATTTGTAATGTCTCCATTTTTATTTCTAATTGAGCTTCTTTGAATCTTCTCTCTCTTTTTCTTGGTTATTCTGGCTAACGATCTATCAATTTTATTTACTATTACAAATAATCAGTTTTTTATTTCGTTGAACTTTTGTATTTTTTCTTTCAATTTTATTTAGTTCTCCTCTGATCTTCATTATTTCTTTTCTTCTGCTAGCTTTAGGTTTGGTTTATTCCTGTTTCTCTAGATTCTAGGTTGTCAATTTGTGCTCTTTCAGACTTTTTAATGTAGGTGCGTAGCACTATAAACTTTACCATTAACATTCCATTTGCTGTATCCCAGAAGTTTTTATAACTTGTGTTATTTATTTCAAAGAATTTTTAAATTTCTATCTTGATTTTATTGTTAACCCAAAAATTCAGGAGCAGATTATTTAATTTCCATCTATTTGTATAGTTTTAGGAGTTCCTTTTGTAGTGGATTTCTAGTTTTATTCCACTGTGGTCTGAGAAGACACTTGATGATTTCAATTTATTTTAATTTATTGAGATTTGTTTTGTGGCCTATCATATGTTCTATCTTGGAGAATATTCCATGTGCTGATGAGAAGAATGTATATTCTGCAGTTCTTGGGTAGAATGTTCTGTAAATATCTGTTAGGTCCATTTGTTCTAGAATTTAGTTTTTAAGTTCATTGTTTCTTTGTTAACTTTCTGTCTTGATGATTAGTCTTGTGTTGTCAGCGGAGTGTTGAAGTCGTCCACTATTATTGAGTTGCTGTCTACCTCATTTCTTAGGTCTAGTAGTAATTGTTTTATGAATCTGGTAGCTCTAGTGTTAGGTTCATACACATTTAGGATTGTAATATGTTCTTGTTGGAGTGATCCTTTTATCATTATATAATGATCTTTTTTGTCTTTTTTACCATTGTTTCTTTAAAGTCTATTTTACCTGATACAAGAATAGCTTCTACTCACTTTTGGTTTCCATTTGTGTGGAATATCTTTTTTTACCCATTTATCTTGAGTTTTTATGAATCCTTATGTGTTAAGTGAGTGTCTTGAAGACAGTAGATATTTGGTTTGTGATTCTTTAAGTTCATTCTGCCAATCTGTATCTTTTAAATAACATTTAGGCCAGGCCATTTACATTCAACATTAATATAGAGATGTGAGGTACCGTTCCAGTCATGATATTAATTGTTACCTAGACTCTTTGTTTTCTTCATTGTGTTATTTGTTTTATAGGCCATGTAAGTTTCATGCTTTCAAGAGGTTCTATTCGGGTGCATATTGACTTTTTATTTCAAGATTTAGAACTCCTTTTAGCCTTTCTTGTAGGGTTGATCTGGTGGTGACAAATTTCCTCAGCATTTGTTTGTCTGAAAATGACTTTATTTCTCTTTCAGTTATGCTACTTAGTTTTTTTTAATACAAAATTCTTGGCTGACAGTTTTTCTGTTTAAAGAGGCTAAAGATAGGACCACAATCCCTTCTGTCTTCTAAGGTTTCTGCTGAGAAGTCTGCTGTTAGTCTGATAGGTTTTCCTTTATGGGCTACCTCATGTCTTTGTCTCACTGCTCTTAGAATTCTTTCTTTCACTTTAGATAGCCTGATGACTACATGCCATGGTGATTTTTTCTTTTTTTTTTTTTCCAATGAATCTCCAAGGAGTTCTTTATGCTTCTTGTATTTGGACATCTAAATCTCTAACAAGGCCAAGAAAGGTTTTCTTAATTATTCCCTCAAATAAGTTTTCCAAGCTTTTTGCTGTCTCTTCTCCTTCAGGAACACCAATTATTCTTAGGTTTGGCCATTTTACATAATCCCATATTTCTTGAAGATTTTGTTCATTTCTATTTATTCTCTTTTCTTTATTTTTGTCTGATTGGATTAATTAGAAAGCCTTGTCTTCAAGCTCTGGAATTCTTTTCTCTACTTGATCTAGTCTATTGTTAAAATTTTCCACTGCATTTTGTAATTTCCTAAATGTGTCTTTATTTCCAGAAGTTCTGATTGGTTTTTCTTTACAATATTAAACTCTAGAGAATTTTTCATTCATATCCTCAATTTTTTAAAATTTCTTTATGTTGGTTTTCACCTTTCTCTGGTGTCTCTGATAGCTTAATAATCAACTTTTGAATTCATTATCTGGTATTTCAAAGATTTTGTCTTTGTTCCGATCCATTGCTGGAGAGCTAGTATGATCTTTTGGGAGTGTTATAGAATCCTGTTTTGTCATATTACCAGATTTATTTTCCTGATTCCTTCTCATTTAGGTAGACTATTTATTCTGATTATTCTTAAATTTATTTTTTATTGACTGTGTTTTTGTTCCATTTATTTTACCCTTAAGGATGTAACTTTAATGTTTATACTTTATTGTGGCCTGAGTTCTTGGTGCTTTCAGGGATGAAGAGTCTGTATGGGTTCTTTGATTATAGAAAGTCTTGGATGATGACTTTCTCAGATGCCGGTTGTAGTAGCAATGTGCACAGTGCAAGAGCAAGTTCACTTTCTCCTATGGAGTTGGAATGGCAGAGATCTTTTCCCCAATATTTTATATACTGGATTGAAGAGTTTAGGCTTCAGGCCAGTAGGGGAGGTGTCCCTGTGTAGAAACTAGTTTTGGCTATGCAGGTGGGTAGATGCAATGCCCAATGTTGGGCAGAGGTCTCAGCCTTGACAGAGGTGTCTGGGGGAGCTCTCAGTGAAATGCACTGAGATCTTACCAAGGGGAATTGTGGCAGCCACCTCAGCTCTCCTGCCAGTCCAGCAGGAAAGCTATTCTCCTCCTAGACATGCTCCTTACCCATGGTTCTGGCTATTCAGATCAGAATACCTATTTCATTTGCAGAAACACTGAGGTTCCAAGCAAAGAGAAATTGCAACTCTACCCCTCATGCAAGCCTAAACCCAAAAGGTACTCCTTCTGTAGCAGGGGATGCAGTCACCCTGAAGTGTTCCAAAAAGGCTACCTGTAGGTGTAACCATGCTGAGCTCCCAAGGGCAAAGCCTCGGCTGTGTCTACAGTGGTGTACAATGAGAGAAAAAAAAGTTTCCTTCTCCAAGATCCTTCAGAAGCACCAGGGCTGCCTGACTTTTGGGGTAGAACTGCAGACTTTCCCCACTGAGCCCAGCACTGTACCTGTTCCTCTGCTGAAAGCAATTTCCCATCCACAGAAAGTTCTGGGACTCAAAAAGCCTGTTATCTGGATTCTTTTGTCCCATGCATGGGGCAGTCCCTTGACATGGTGCATTCCCCCTTCCCGTAGGAGTAGGAGTCCCTGAGAGCCAGACTACTGTGAATGCTGCTGCTCCTCTGGATGTAGCCATCTAGTGGGAATGCTACACTCCAGGCTGGAGCTGCCAAATGTCTGCAAGGGATCTTGTGATGTGACCTGTCTTCTAGTCTCCCAACAACAGGTACCAGTGCCAGCTCTGATGAGGGTGGCAGGGGAGTGATGTACATTCTGTGAGATTCCTTGGTCATAAATAGCCTTACTGAGTTGACTTTCTGAAATGTGAGTTGTAGTGGTAATAAAGTGGTCCCATAGACAGACTCAGGACCTCTTGGTTAGTCAGGTTGCTGCAGACAATGGTGATAGCTGAGGTCACACACATGTTTTCTCTTTACTGGGCACAGTGTTAGTCTACCTGGAGATGCTGTAATGGACTGTGTCAGTTGGCCTCTAGCCAGGAGGTGGCACTTGCTAAAGAACACCAGCTGCAGTTGTAGCGGTAGGATTTGTTCTTGCCTTGTTACCCAGGGAGGTACTCTGCTTTCTCAGGTGATAGGTGAGGCCATGGAGCACCCAAAATTTTCTGTCCTTTGTGTTAAACTACCAGGGTGGATGGAGGGGTAAAGCCAGACTGGGGCTGGGTCAGGCAGGTCTATGCACTGGCTCTGTGTGTGCAAGGAAAGCAGTGGCACCTGTGGGGGTTGGAATGTAGTGCTCTGGCCACTGGGGTAATGTTCCAGAGGGGAGTGTGCAACTGCTTCTGCTGCACAGAAGAGTTTGCACAGGGAGTGGGGAGTAGCAGAGGGTAGTAAGCCCCACCGAACTCCTAAGATTTTGGCAAGGGAGGTCCCACACCCTGAGTGTTCCACTGGCAACAGCTAACTAGGTTCCAGGCAGTCTGCACTCAGAACTCAAATCTGCCCCAGGCCATAAGCCTTCCTGGGGAGACAGCAACCATGGCTTCAGGTCATGTCTGCAAAGCTGGGGTGCCCAGCTCCCGTGCTCATGGCTGCAGCACGCTTCCCACTTGCCACCCGGTTCTGACCAAGGGAGTTTATTACCACTTGAGAATATGTCATGAATTTCAGTTGAGAGTTTCTCTTAACCTGTAACCACTGCCTGATATAGCTTGCAGACTTTTGTGAGGTCCCCTTTGAGGCAGAATCAGAAATAGCTTCCCTCTGTCCATACTGGAGACTGAGAATGCACACAAAGCTCTTCCTGTGCTGCTCCTACTTTTATATTCCCCACTGCTCCCTAAATCAGTTCCAGTGCTGGGTAGTGTTAAGGCCTTCCTCTGCAGCCTAGATTTCAAGGTTCCCAGGAGGAGTGTATATCCTGGACACAGTTTATCTCCCTCTCACACTATAGGGACTTTTTTTTTCTACCTACTTCATGGTGTAGGCTACAGCCTGCCACTTATTTCAAAGTGTCTTTTGGTTTCTTTCAGTTTTCCTGTTAAGTTTCTGTGTTGCTTCTTAGAAAAAAGTTACAGTGTGAATCTCTGTATGCTATTCTGTCTTTCCAAATGGGAAAGACATGCTAACACTGCCTTCAATGTACCATCTTGGAAGTCCTTATAACATTCTAAGTGTGTCAATATGCATGAGCACTTCTAAATTAAAAACTAAAAAAAAAAATTTAAAAATCCATACCCACACACATACCTTCAAGTATAACTACTGAGCCAAGTGTGTACTATAAGCAACAGGATGATTAGATAAATGATTTCCTAGTGAAATACTAATTTCATGTATTTTACCTCAGATTTCAGACCATATAAGACCAACAAAATACTCCAATTTTTTCTTTGTAAATATTGTCACTATAACAATACATTCCTAAGGAATTTTCAGTCTACAATGACATTTAGTATCATTCAACTGCTGATATTCAGATAAAAGTACATTGACCTACATTTCTTACAAGCTGTTGGCACTTGGAGTTAAGTGTTTTATATAATATATTATTGTTTATTTTATTTCCCCAAAAGTTTGTGTTATCTTGTATGATATTAAAAAGTGTTGTCTGTGTGTCTGTGTGTGTGTGTGTGTGTTTAAAATGAAGGAATAGAGAAACAGAATACAAATCAAAACCGGCTAGAGCAAGATGGCCAAGCAGAGACCTCTTGCACTCATTTATCCCACAAAGACAGCAAAAACAACAAATAAGCAACTATATTTTGATGAAAATAACTAAAGGAGACCACTTGAATACATCAAAGGAGCAGCAGAAATTTTGTAGAGCCTAGAAACCCAGGATGGCCACATAGAAAAGAGAAAGAAACACATAACCTCTGCCACCCCACTCCCCAGTCAGCTGCAAATAACGAGGTACTTCCTCCTGCAGAGAAAAGGTAAACTAAAGGAACTTAGCAGACCCCATCGCTACCTTGGGCACCTATAATCCCTCAGCACTGGGGACTCCTGCAGTGTCTCAGGAGCTGAGCCCAGATGAGGGAGCTGCCTGGAGTCCACACAGATGCACTGCCCCTCGAGAAGTTGCCAACACTGTGTCCCACTCCCCGTGGTCTGTGTGGCTACTGTGCTATGCCCTTATTGAACTAGAACTACTGCTGGAGTATTCCTGCTTCAGGGGTGAATATCCATCCCTGAGGCTTTGTCACTGCTATATCACCCCCACCTGGTGGCCCGCCATTCCTGAAACAAGCTGCTTCTACACCTTATCCTGTGGGGGCAAGTTGCTGTGCCCTACCCCTCTTAGTTGCTGCTGCACTCTCCCCTCAGGCAGAAATTAAACAACATGCTCTGGAACAATCAATGAGTTAAAGAAGAATTTTTTTAAAAAAGAAAAATATCTTGAAACCAACAATAGAAATACAACATAACAAAACCTACGAGATGCAGCAAATTAAGTTATAAGAGGAAAGTTGATAGCAATAAATACCCACATTAAAGAAGAAAGATCCCAAATAAATTTCCTAACTTTATCCTCAAGGAACAAGCAAACAAGAGACAAACTTAACTGAAAGTTAGTAAAAGACAAAAAATAAGGTAAGAGCAGATATATATATCAAATAAACCATCTGATCTTCAACAAACCTGACAGAAAGAAGCAATGGGGAGACAATAGATGTTGGCAAGGCTGTGGAGAAATAGGAATGCTTTTACTCTGCTGGTGGGAATGTAAATTAGTTCAACCTTTGTGGAAGACAGTGTGGCAATTCCTTAAGGATCTAGAACCAGAAATACCATTTGACCCAGCAGTCCCATTACTGAGTATATACCCAAAGGACTATAAATCATTCTACTATAAAGACACATGCACACGTATGTTTATTGCAGCACTATTTAAAACAGCAAAGAAATGAAACCAGCCCAAATGCCCATCAATGATAGACTGGGTAAAGAAACTGTGGCACATATACACCATGGAATACTATGCAGCCATAAAAAAGGAAAGAGAGATCATGTCTTTACAGGGACATAGATGAAGCTGGAAGCCATCATCCTCAGCAAACTAACACAGGAACAGAAAACCAAATACCACATGTTCTCACTCATAAGTGGGAGTTGAACATGGAGAACACTTGGAGACAGAGAGGGGAACATCACACACCAGGGCCTGTTTCAGGGTGGGGGATGAGGGGAGGGAACTTAGAGGACAGGTCAATAGGTACAGCAAACCACCATGACACACGTATACCCATGTAACAAACCTGCATGTTCTGCACATGTATCCCATTTTTTTTGTAGAAGAAATAACAAAAAGAAGAAGAAAAACCATAGGAAAAAGCAAAAAAACAAAATTGGTTCTTTGAAAAAGTTAACAAAACTGACAAACCTCTAGCTAGATTGAAAGAAAAAGAGAGAGAGAGAGAAGACTCAAATAGGTAAAATCATAAATGCAAGTGGAGGCATTATTAAATATGCCTCAGAAATAAAAAGAATCATAAGTGACTATTATGAGCAATTATATGGCAACAAATTGGATTACCTAGAGGAAATAAATGAATTCCCAGACAAATATAGCCTACCAAGATTGAATGAGGAAAAAATAGAAGGCTTGGACAGACCAAGAACAAATAGATTGAAGAAGAAATTAAAAACTTTCCAACAAAGAAAAGCCTGGGGCCAGATGGCTTCACGGATCAATTCTACCAAAAATTTAAAGAATTATTAGTGATACTTCTTAAACTCTTCCAAAAAATAAAGGTAGAGGGGATACTTCCAAACACACATTTTAAAAGGCCAGCATCATTATGATACCTAAGCCAGATAAAAACACCATAAGAAACAAAACATATAAGCCAGTATCTCTGATGAACATTGATACAAAAATCCTTAATAAAATATTAGCAAATCAAATTTAACAACACATCAAAAAGATTATACATCATGATCAAGTGGGATTGATTCCTGGCATGAAGGTTGGTTTAACATAAACAAATTAATCACAGTGATAGGTCACATTAACGGACTGAAAGATTGAAACCACAATATCATGGCAAGTGATGCAGGAAAAGCATTTGACAAAGCTATGCATCATTTCTTGATTAAAAAAACTCTTAATGGTTTAGATAGGGAAGGAAAATTTCTCAACATAATAAATGTCATTAACATCATAATTAATGAGAAACAACTGAAAGTTTTCCACTATGATCTAGTACAAGATAGCGATGTCCACTCTCACAACTTCTATTCCTAAGTGTAGAAAACTGCAAAGAGTCCCCAAAAATCTAATAAATGAATAAATGAATAAATGAATTCAGTAAAGTTGCAAGTTACAAAATCAACATAAAAAAATCAAATAGCATTTCTACAAATAAATAATGACCTAGCTGAAAAAGAAATTTTTAAAAATACTGTAAGCAATAGCATCAAAAAAAATACATAGGAATAAATTTAACCAAGGAAGTGAAAGATTTGTACACTAAAAACCATAAAATATTGATGAAAGAAATTGAAAAACACACAAATAAATGGAAGGATATGTCATGTTCATGGATGAAAAGAATTAGCATTATTAAAATGTCTGTACTACCCAATGCAATATACAGATTTAACGCATTCCCTATCAAAATTCCAACGGCCTTCTTCATAGAAAAAATAAAATTCTAAAATTTGTATAGAACCTCAAAGAATCCTGAATAGCCAAATCAATACTGAGACAAAAAAAAATTGGAAGCTAGATATTTCCTGATTTAAATTTATATTACAGAGTTATAATATTCAAAACAGTGTGGTACTAGCATGGAAACAGAAACACATAGATCAGCATATGGAACCCAGAAATAAATCCAAACATATGAAGTCAGCTAATTTTTGATAAGGGCACCAAGAGAACACAATGGGGAAAGAATAGTCTCTTCAATTAATGGCGCTGGGAAAACTGGGTTTCCACACACACACACACACAAAATGAAATTGGACCCTTATCTTACACCATACACAAAAATCAACTCAAAATGGATAAAACACCTAAATGTAAGACCTGAAACCATAACACTTTTAGAAGAAAACAGGGGGAAATCTCCTTGTCATTGGCCTTGGCAATGAGTTTTTGTGCGTCACACCAAAATCCCGGGCTACAAAAGCAAAAATAAATAAATGGAATTGTATTAAACAAAGTGAAGGAAACAAATCAACAAACTGAAAAGGAAACCTATGGATTGAGAAAAAATGTTTGTCAACTATATGTTTGATAACAGATTAATATTATAAAGAACTCTTATAATTAATAGCTGAAAAACAACCCAATTAAAAAAATGGGTCAGAGACCTGAATAGACATTTCTCCAAATAAGACATAAAAATGGCCAACAGGTATATGAAAAGTTGCTCACTGTCACTAATCATCAGGGAAATGCAAATTAAAACCGCTATGAGATATTACCTTACACTCATAAGGACGCCTATTACCAAAAAGACAAGAGATGGCAAATGTTGGTAAGGGTGTCAAGAAAAGGAAAGCCTACTACACTGTTGATAGGAATACAGATTAGTACTGCCATTATGAAAAGCAGAATGGGGATTCTTAAAGAAATTAAAAATAGAATTACCATATGACCCAGCAATTCCCCTTCTGGGTATATAACCAAATAAGATGAAATCACCACTCCATAAAGATATCTGTACTCCCACGTTCAAGGCAGAATTATTCATTATAGCCAAGATATAGAAACAATCTAATTCCTAATTGTCCATCAATACATGAATGGACAGAAAAAATGTTATATGTATACTTGTGTGTGTATGAATATTATTCAGCCTGAAAAAAGTATATCCTGACACTTTTATCCACATGGAAGTACCTGGAGGACCTTATGCTAAGTGAAATAAGCCAGACACAGATGGAAAAATTTGCATAATCTCACGATCTCACTTATATATAGAATCTAAAAAGGAAAAAAGTAAGGTCAAAATACAAAGAGAATAAAACAGTAGTTGCCAGGGACAGGAAGGGCAGGGCAGAGGGAACGGGAAGATGTAGGTCAAAGAATACAAAGTAGTAGATATGTATGATGAATGGGTCTAGAGATCTAATGAACAACATGAGGACCATAGTTAATAAAATTTTATTATATTTGGAATTTTTGTTAAATAAGTAGATTTTAGCTGCTCTTATCACCAAAAAAGTCACTGTGTAGGTTTGTTAACCATAGTAACTATTTTACTATCCGTATGCTTCCCAACATCATGTTGGTAAACCTCAAATATACACAATAAAATGTAATTTTTGAAAACAGAAATCAAATATGCAATAAGAAAATCAACAAAGTTTAAAAAATCAAAATTGATTAAGTGCCATATTTTGAAAAACAGCAATCACTGTTACATTTCACTGGATTTCTTTATGTTTTATATACAATAACCAATTTTAAAAGGCAGTAACTTTGGGGGTGGGAAAATTATTACTGCCCATTTCATTTTTTTGAAAATGATTCTTCACATTAAAAAAAAAATTATTTCTCTTTGTACCTGTTAAAGCCTATCAAAACATCATTACAATCTGGGTTTCTTTCTGTCACTGAATTTTGAAAGTATGTATGCTTTTAAATTTCTTCTCTTGAGGTTGAAGATTGTCAGCTCCTTGAGAGAGGAGATTTTGTCTTATTTGTCTTTGTACCATCTCTGCATCTGCTTGGAAAAGATTAATTTTTCAAGGAATGACTAAACTAGATTATTTCCACTATCCATTAGGTTATTGAAAAACAGTCTATATTGAAGATAAGAAACTGTTTCTTAGAGCTTCTCAGACAAGAAACTTTCTTAGAGAAGAAAAAGCTTTGGAAATAAAAATTAATTTCATTAATTAATGAAAATAATCTTCATTGTTCAAGTTGCGAAAATGGTTGTGTTGCACTTGTCCCCATCATCATGACAAATCATGGCCTTACTCAAAAGTCACTGTTGAATCTTATGATACATAACTATGGAAAGGTGAGGCTTTTTAAAAATTCATCAACTATCTAAAAGTTTTAAAATGATTTGTACATCAATTACAGCACTGTTTTAATTAAAGTTCTGTGTATATTTTTAAAGGAAATTTCTCCTCCCTTATTTTTCTCAACAAAGTTTTTTTTTTTTAATTAAATTTCTTGTCTGTTTTCACAGAAAAGCAGTATATGTTCCTCAATTGAAACAGGAAGTGACGGTTTATTCTTCAAGTTCAAGTTAAATGTTGGGATTTTCCAAAAATCTTAATCTGTTACGGTTGCTGTAATTTATTAAAATCTTTATGGCAAAAATTTCCAGTTGTAAAATATATTTATTTTAAGCTTTACACATCGGAAATGTAATTAACACATTGCCTCCTTGTGAAGGCCTGGCTTCCTCTTTAAGGCAATTTTCCAGCTAGGTTTTTACTGGGAGTCCCCTCATTGTTTGGAACTACACTGCCTCTGCTTCCTTTTTTCCTTCCCTAGCACATATTCTTTAAGTACAGCCTCAGATATGAAATGAAGTGTAAGGCAAAAAATATGTATGCCCTCAGTATTTGATAAAAGTGTCATTTCATATCAAGAAAGAGTGTGATCTACATTTATTTACTCAACGCTTATTTATTGTTACTATTTTTTCTTGACCCAGTGTTTCTTGACCCTCAGGGGACCACACATTGTTCTAGACACTAAGCATAGAGGAGTGAACCTACAAGTCAAGGTTCCTGATCTCTTAGCGTTTATATTTTAATGACAGGAGACATAAAATAAAGAGGTAACCCCAAACAATAAAACATAATTAGCTAATGATAATTGCCACAAATACAATAAAACAAGGTGCTATAATAGAGAAAGATCAGAAGTCTTCTTCGAATACAGTCGTCATAGGAAGCTTTTCTAAGGAGGTAATATTTGAGGAAAAAAACATAGTAATGAAAAGAAACTACCCATGACCAGAGCAAAGCTTTCTTGAGTGAATCAATAATAAATACAAACGCAGTGAGACAGGAAGAAGTTTAGTCTGTTCCAGAAATAAAAATTAACCAGGGTAGCAAGTTTAGAGTTAGTACCAAGGAAGCAGAAAATCAAAAAGGTCGAAGAAGCAGGGATGAGCCAGTCATGTGGGGCATTGTAGGGCATGGTAAGCAGTTCAGATTTAGATTTTATTCCAGATGTGCGGTGCAACCACTAGAAAGCCTTTAAACCAAGAAAATCAGAAGTGGTATTGTTGTCTGGATATTGCTTATAAAAGATTACGCTAGCCACAGGTGGAGAATGGACTGTAGTAGGATAAGAGGGGAGGCATAAAGCCCAGTTCGGAGGTCATTTGTGGTATCCAAGCAAGAGATGATGCTGGCCTGATGTAAGGTGGTAGCCATGGAGATACAACATCAGGACTTGCTCATTTACTGGGCGTGGAAAGAGGGAAAGAAAGAAATCAAGAGTGCTAGTTAAACATTTGATCTGAGCAACCATGGGCCTGCCAGTCACTGTGCTAAGCTTAGTGGTTAAAATAGAGGATAAGACATTATGAATTTATGAAGGTCCTTGCCTTCATAAATTTTATAATCTATAGTTATTTAATAAACATGACTCAGTTAACAAACTAATAACTTAGAAAAATTAAGTTAGATCTAAATTTCATGGTGTATTAACATAATAAAGTCTAGATGGGCTAAAATGTTCAATTTAATAAATAAATAATATCTAAATCTTAGAAAAACTAGAAGAAGCAATATATGTGCATTTTTACATTCTTTAAGGATGGGAAAGCTTTTATAAAACTGATGTAACTGATAAAGAAAAATAATAGATTCGACCATTTACATTTTTAAACTTTTATATGTCAAAAATACCATAGACAAGACTGCAAGGTAAACAAGTCACCTTGAAAATATAGTCACAGCATATATGATGAAGAGTTGATATGTTTAATATATAAAGAGAATTTATAAATCAATAAGAAAAAAGATGAGCAAAGAGTCCAATAAACAATAAAGCAAAAGTGCAAAGTCTAAAGAGCCCAAACTTACAAGTACGATAATATATATATTTAAAATAAGATATGGATTTTTTTATGTTTCAAATTAATAAATGTTTAAAAGAAGTATAATAACCCATGTTAGCTGCCCTGGGAGTATAAAACTGACAAAGATTTTTTAAGCAGGGAAATTCTTCAAAATGCACATTGCCTTACATCTGGTAACTTCAATTTTTGAAATGTATCTAAAAGGTGTAGTCATGCTTGTGTGGAATCATATGTAATCATTCACTGCAGTGTTGTTTATAACAGTATAACTTTATCATAATAATTAAATAAGTAACGGTATTTTCATTTGGTGCAATACAGAGCAGCTAGTTAAAATTACATTGCAGGAAAAAAAGTGACTGATTTATAGTAAATTGTTCATACTACGTTTGATGTGATGAAAGCAGGCTATAAACCAACAAACCAAATGTAATAGCATTTTGATAAACAGCCACAGGGAAAATAAGTCAATAAAGACATTCAACAAATTGTTTATGATGATTATACTTGAGAGATGGAATTATAGGTGCTTTTTGTCCTCTACATTTCTGTGTTTTTCAGATTTTCCACATTGCATATGTGCAATTATATACTTTTTATATTATCAAATAAAAATTACATATTTACAAACAGATAAAACACTAAAAAACGAAGTCACTAAGCCTCTAACTTTACTTTTCTTTAGAAAACCAGTTGGAAAGCAGTCATCAGAGTAAAAGTTTCCACAGCATCTGCCATTTAACAGTTTCTAAGCCTTTTTGGAGTCCTTTTGAAATTGGAGATATTGGCAAAAAACAAAGCCCCCAAATCCAATGCTTGCAGGTAAAAGATGCAAAAGAATGTTGCCCTGATGCTGACAATAAGCAAATGACCCACTTCAAGCACAGACAATGGAGGTGGAGCATGGATTTGAGCAAGATATCCTGGAACCGAGAGCTGTAACTACTCTAGGTCCTGCTAGTCATCATTCAAAGGTCAGTCCATACCAGCAGCCACATACCAGAGAGTTATGGAGCCAACATGATGATCGAATTAATATCTGCAAGTAATACTAAGTCACATCTGTCCTTACATAAGATTGTAAAATCTTTGATTGTGATCCAATAAAACCATTTGCTCAAATAATGATAAATCTGATAGTTCCTGGTCTCCGCACACCACAGATTAAATAGATAAACTGCCTAATATTTTTTCTTTTTTTTTTTTGAATCAGGCTGGAGTGCAGTGGTGCAATCTTGGCTCTCTGCAGCCTCGACTTCCCAGGCTCAAGTGATCCTCCCACCTCAGCCTCCCGAGTAGCTGGGACTATAGGCATGCCCCACAATGCCGGGCTAATTTTTTTTTTTTTTTTTGCAGAGACAGGGTTTTGCCATGTTGTCCAGGCTGGTCTTGAACTCCTGGGCTCAAGTGATCCACCAGCCTTGGTCTCCCAAAGTGCTGAGATTACAGGCGTGAGTCACTGCACCTGGCCTGCCTCACCTTTTGAACATATAGGATCTTACTTAAAGTGCTATGACAAACATGCAACCTGAACATCTAGAGTCATTCTGTTTGTCTGGCGTTTGAACACGAAAGATACTAGAAATTAACTCTGCCTGCTGAACTTTTTGCAGGAATCAGATTGAATTTCTTTTGAGGGCTCTCAGGTTTACACTTGTAAAATAACCTATTATGTTTAAAAATTATGAATAGTTGCTTTACATAGGAAACCAGTAAAATAACAATGATCCTTAAAAATCTGTGTGTGTGTGTGTGTGTGTGTGTGTGTAAATGTACTTCATATTTCCACAGCATCTGTCATTTAACAGTTTCTAAGCCTTTTTGGTGTCCTTTTGAAATTGGAGATATTGGATAAAACAAAGCCCCCAAATCCAATTCAGTAGATAATGACTAAATTATTATTTATCTCCTCTGTTTTGTTTCATTATGTTCATTTTCAAACTTTGATGTCTACCAGTTTCTTCTGTGGAGCTTATAAAAAATATAAATACCCGAAGTGTATGCATGGCCTACTAAATCAGAGTCTCACAGTTGATGGTACCTGGGTTTAGCAGAATACATAGGTGGTCCTGGTGCACCCTGAAGCGCGAAACGCTGCTCTGGGTGAAAAAAAGTGCTAGCAGGGAAATGTGTTAGCAAAATAACAAGGAAAAGAAAGTTAACAAATCTCAAATTGGAAAAGAAAAATCTTAAAAAGAAAGACGTGAATAATGGCGTTCAGTCTTGGTTGGTGTCATTTCTCACAGGCCAATTACCTACAGTCTGGGTGGACTAGAGAATAGAGATTAACATCAGTCAAATCCCGTGGTTAAAGCGTTAACTAGAATGTCCATTCATTTCTCAAGAAGTGTGGCAGAGAGCAAAGGAGTGTACCTATCAGCTGTTCCTAAGAAAGTAAACACTCCCAACATGCACTGAGGCACAGGGAGTGGCTCAGGTTTCTTGACACTTCCCTGCTGTGGCGAAAAGGAGAAATAATTAACAGCTCCTGGGGCTCCAGGATCGCTGATCGCGTCGGGGGCACTGCAAGCGCCCAGCTGAGCCATGCTCTGGGAGGAGACAGGCGCCGCCCCTGCGCCCGCGCGGGCCTCGGACCTCCCCTACAGGTGAGTGACTCGCGGAGTCCCAGCCCGGCAGAGACAGGGCACTGGTTTCCCTCTACCAGAGTTCCTGACCCAGCCGAGAACAAACCGCGAAGCAAGTTCAGCCGAACAACGATGGTGAAAAGGGTCCTCCTGCTCACAGTGTGAATAACAGGTAAAAAATGGGGATGGGGAAAAAAACTTTCTAATCCACTCCCTGGGGTCATGTTGAGGGCAAGTTATTAGAAAGCAGAATCCATAGGCAACAAAGTTAAGTGTGTGTGTGTCATAGCAGCCTGAATCGCACACATGCCTTTTCCTTTTGATTTTCTCAGAATATGCTTTCCTAACCAAGGTAAGCTTGTAGGGTGGGAGGGAGAGAGGGGAAAGAAGGGAGGGAAAGGGTGCAGAGAAGGGCTTGGAGGTAAATGTGACCATAGGACCCCTCCTCCCTTTAGTTCAATGAGCCCTTCACCTGTAATTGTGCCTGGCAAAAATCGTGCCTTACAAAGATACTAGACTTCTGGATGGCATACTCCTTCCTCTGAGTATCCTTATGGTTAGAATATTGTGTTGAATCATCGCACTGGAAAGAACTTAATTGAGGGTTCAGCTCAACTTTTATTTGTTTCTGCAAAGTGACAGAAAGCATGCCCCCCACCAAAAAAAAAATGAATTTTCAATATAAGCGCTCACCAAACAATGAAATAATAAACATAAATAATTAAATGGGAGTGCATGAGTTAAGGATATGAATTCTGAAGCAGAAGAGTGGTAGGTTCAAAGCTCGGCTTTGCCACTTATTAGTTTGCCCCCTCTCAAGTTTCTTAACCTAAGCCCCAAACGTTTGTCTGTAAAACAAGCATCATCAAAGGATCTGCCACATAAGGCTTTCTTTGATGGGAACTGAACAGTCAGCAAGTGTTCTGTAAGTGATACCTACTGTTAGCATTAAGAATAAGCTGCTCTGCCAAAGGGGCCGTTATCAGGGAGGGCAAGCTGAACTAGGGAGACCAGACAGTGTGTATTAGGATGCTGGAATTGAACTGGTTCCCGGAGACTGGATCCAGGACAGGCAAGCAGGTGACAGGTGTGCTAGGATCATCTCTCTGGGTAGCAACGAAATGACCTGGCTTCTTTCCATTTTTCAGATAGAGTATGTGGTGGCAAATTCAGACATATTTGCTACTCAATCAGTTTTCTTTTGAAAAATTCACATTTACATTAATCTGTTATTCCTAAAAAGAAAATAGAATTTTAGAGTAAGAGAGTTACACACAATCTCATATTGTGGAATTCATGCCATTTGGGTTTTATAAAGGAGACTGCTTTTGAATAACTTTCATCAATTTAGACCATATAATCCATGTCTTTATATTTCAGCACATATTGAATTGTTTGTATTGAAGTGCTGTTTTTAATTTGTGTTGATGGACAAGAGACATGAAGGAATAATACTTGTATTTTGTCAGTCTCTACCTCTTAAGCTTAAATTACAGGAAAGTGGCTTTATTTTATGAAGTTTCACTTAAAGGGCACTTTTGTCAATGTTGTTAGTTATTAATGTTGCTAATTTTCTTGAGGGGACCAACTTAGTGTCTATGACTAGTAATTTCCATTGACTTCATTTTTATCTTGTTATTTTATTAAATAAAGCAGTCAAAGAGTTTGCAGTATACTCTAACTTAATATCATTGGTGTTTTAATGGATTCTTTTTTCAAATTGCAGAGTTGAAATTCTTCAGTGTGCTTACAATTAGATATTGACTGGAGAATTGTGGATAGAATTCTAAACCCAACCTAACTGAAGTTTACTATGTTATTTCCCTCTGGGGTCTGATTGTGTTTAGTACAGTTTAGCTAAAAACTTATAAAGGAATCAAATTGAATTAGAATAAGTTAGGGTTCCAATATTCATTAAAGATTTTTCAAAGAGGAAATATGCTTTTATGCTGAATTTCCATATTGTTATACATCCTTAAACAAAGTTATTTGCCTTTATATTTATTGATAGACATATGTCTAAATAAAGAATAGTAGCCCCAATTGAGATAAATTTATTTAACCATATTTGAAATTGATTTGAGATTAATCTACTTAACCGTAACTGGGTGGAAGTCTTTCTAGTTAAAATCTGTTTAGATAGATAGATAGATAGATAACAACTTTATATCTATACATTAGAATATTGTGTTGAATTTACATTTATTCTACTATTTCTCACGTGTATAACATTTTATTATAAACTATTAAATGTTGTGGTCAATCAGAGAGAGAGAGAAAGAGAGAAAAGAGTGACACAGAGAGACCCAGCAATGATTACGAAAAAATTAACTTTTCCAGTTATATTCAAAATAGTGTAACATGTATGTAACAAGTCTTTTAAGCATGTAATTAAAAGTTCTATACCTGATTCTTGTTTTAATTTCCTAAAATAAGAAGGATCCTTTACTTTTAACTGAGATAGAAACCCAATGCTGACAGTCCATTTGCTTATATAGATTCATTGATTGCAATGTAGGTGGGGAATTCACGGTTACTAGAGTTACATGGGCTTCATATAAAAGCTTAGATTTTTAAAATATTCAAGTATAGGCCATTTGAAAACAAAACCTCTGAGAAAGGAATTCTGAATATTTTCCTTTCACATTACAGTTAGAGAGTTATTCTGTTGCAAAAATTAATTTGTATGTTTAAAATGATAAATTATAGTGATTTCATCACTTTCATAACATAATCTCAACAACCAAACTTAACTAATACCACTGCTTTCAGGAGTAGAACATGAAGTGTCTCCTATTTAAGTAATAAGGATGTTAACTTAAAGGAAAACTTCATCATCACCTAGAGCCTAGTAAAGGAGCTTAAGAGGAGAGAGTGTCGATTCTTTTGCAGCAAATATACAAACAGGAAAAATGAGTCGTGATCTTTGTGACGTCAGCCTAAGAATTTCTACTGGGAAGCTCAGGTGAAGCAGAAAATTTTTGAGTTCCACCACACCAGTAATTCCAGAAGATGCTGTCGGCAGACTGAGCAGCGCCTCCCAGACCCAGTGGTGGCAAGATGCCTTAAGTGCCTTAATACAAATTTGCTTCTCTGACCGTTTCTGCTTTCTTTATCTCCCTGAGGGCACCTTGAGCAGAATAAAATGCATGGCATTAGTACCATGTAAATATGCAATAGAACAGTAAAGTTTTGGCATTTCCAATTAGATTCCACTTGAACTGAGGGCAGTGGCATGCTCACATAGAAGTGTGTTTGATTCATATTCTGCTTAGTCCTCTCTTAGATTCAATGATTATAATACATTATTTCTATCTCAAAACCAACAATCACTGACTGCAACCAATATTACTTAATTAAGTGATAGTTTGTATATATGCCAACTCTTGACCTTTACTGTCTCTGCAAATAAAGCACATTTTAAGAAAAAGTATGGAGCCAAATGTTTCCCAGAAACCATCACTCTGTTAACTCTTTTCCTTTTTTGAGAGAACTAGATACTGGATGGAATTATAGATGCTTTGTCTCATTTTCTTGAAGTGATGTAATTGCATATAACTCTGCTCTTCTCTACTCCAAGGTTCCAGGTCATAACTTTGAGAAAACAGTTTCGTTTTGGAGATGAATACATAATTGTAACTTTCTATTGCTTCTTCAAGCTGAAACAATATTTTATTAAAAAGACTCTCCGTGTGTACAGCCCTTAACATACTCTTATCTCATAATTGAAATACACACTTGCTATTCTAGTGTGATACTTTCTGTTCTTTTTTTAAGTAGCTTTTACTGGGGACGTGGGTGAGAGAGATGTAACATATATTCCTTGTCTATGATTTAGACAGTACATACAAAATAAAAAAAGAAATAATTATCACACATAATCTCTTAGCTCTTAATTTTACCATTAATATTATAATATACCTCTCTGTATGTTGGATGTATTCAATATTTTGTGTATGTTTTATCTATATGCCTGCATATATTCACTCACTTTAGAAGACACAAAAATGAAATAGCAATAATTCTGTCCTAAAGGACCTAGTAATCAAATTAAGTAAAATAAAATATGGTTAGAGAGAGAAAGCAGTAAGTAATTAGAAAGCTACAGAAAATTTCCTGTGAAATTTCAGAAGCAAGAGAAATTGTCTTTGGCTGGGAAATACAGGGAAGTTAGCACCTGTATATATATGTATAGATAGATAGATAGATAGATAGATAGATAGATAGATAGATAGATATAGATATATGTATATATATTAGTTCTTTGTAAAATCATTAGCATTATGACACTTTGTGCACCTTGTGGCCTCAGAAATAAGAGGCTATAGATATAGATACAGGCTATACTTTCTGTGCCTAGCACGGTAGCAGGTGCAGAGAAGGAACTCGTGAAATATTTGTTGAATTTACAAACGAGTGAACCCAATTTTCCACTTTTAGATATGTAACCATTTAATTAACTCATGGTTGGATAACAGGAAGTTACTTTAAATGACTGACCCATTTGATTTAATTTGTACTAGAATTCACTTCCTGTCCTCTGGCCTCATTCTGGTCACAAGGCAACTGGTAAGTCCAGGCAAGCCCACCTCTAGGCAGGAATGCAGAGCAGGGGGAGGTGAACCACGTTCCAGCATTGCTGGAACGCTAATGCTGCCCAACACTGCCTCCTCAGGCTCCATCCAGATCTCATTGGCTTGTTCAGACCAATTCTACCTCTCCTATACTTCTAGTGCTGTTGATTTCTCCAGGACTTAATTGCTGACCTATCTAATTCCCTGTTTCTCCAGCTTCATTGTTTCTGGACAAAATGAAAAAGTAAATAACCAAACTTATTAAATAATGATCTTATTTTACACACAATCTAAGTCAATAATCTCTGGCCCCAGGGCCTACATAGATTTGTAACAACCATCTTCCTCCTCAAGTTGTAGTTTATTATGTTCTACCAAAATTACTGAACATCCCAAGTAAGACCTCCAGGCTTCTAGAACTGTAATTTTTTCTTTCTTCATAAATTCTCTCCCTCGTTGCTATTCATGACTTCTCTGTTATTCTCCTCTTAAGTCCTTGAGAAAATTTGCTCAGATGCTTATATCTACCAAGTCTTTATAATTTAGGAGATTTTCACAAGGGCCCTAGCAGGTTTTAGTTTGCTATGAATCATGGTGAATGGGAATGGGAAGATGAGGATGAAAAACTATTTGAATTCATAGATCTATGCCTCACTTCATTGTTTTTGTTTGTTTATTTGTTTTGCTCTTTTTTTTTTTTTTTTTTTGAGACAGAGTCACACTCTATCACCCAGGCTGGAGTGCAGGGACACAATCTTGGCTCACTGCAACCTCCATCTCCCAGGTTTAAGTGATTCTCGGGCCTCAGCCTCCCAGGTAGCTGGGATTAAAAGTGTGTTCCACCACACCCGGCTAACTTTTGTATTTCACTTCACTGTTAATACTAACAATGGGACTTTTACCAAAGCATGTTCTTACCTTTCAGGTATTTAAACTGTTTGAATATTTTATTTACCCAATTTTTAGATCAGACATGAATAATATTATTTCCTACTCAAATATTATGTGCTGCCTATGAATGAAAATTTTATCCTGTTTTTATTTTCTTACATTAAATTATATTCAACTTTCTTCCTTCCTAAAGTCAGAAAATAATATAAGAGCCTTGGAAACCCTTTCATCACATCTTCTGAAGTCTTCTGAAGCTGGCTATGAGTTACCTCAGCATAGATCAACAGTGTGTCACTATAACTACATTGCAATTATTTGCCCTCTTTAATGATATCTTTGATATTTCTTATGAATGCAAATAAAGAGTGAGCCAGTTGGAAAGCTACTGCAATGATTTTTCAGTCCATCACTGCCAATTTTCACTTTGTAATTATAAGAAGCTGCTATCAGTGGTTCTTCAGTTCCAAATATCCCCAGTGTCTGGTGAGGGAAGCAAGCTGTCTGGTTCTTAGATGGTCTTTTTGCTATGCTCTGACATGGTGGAAGGGTCCAGGCAGCTTCTGGGGTCTCTTTTATAAGGGCACTAACCACATTCATGAAGTCTCCACCATCATGAACTAATCACCTCCTAAAGTCCTCACCTGTTAATACTATTGCATTGGGGGTTAAGTTTCAACATCTAGGTTTTGTGGGGACACAAACATTCAGACCACAACAGAGGGAGGCCCTCTAGTAGGCTGACGCAATAATCCAGGAAAAAGATGATGGTGGCTTGGCTTAGGGTAGTAGCAGTGGAAATCAAAGCTTTCGAATTTGGAATATGTTAGTGGTACAGTGAATAGGACTTACTTTTGGATTGAATTTGGCTTATGATGAAAGAGGGAAAAAATGAGACTAAATATTAGTTTTGATGCCTAGATGGGAAAGAATTGTGGAGGAGGAAATTTTAGAGCATGGGAGAAAGTCAGTGGTTCTTTTTCAGCCATGTAGATATCGAGATGCCTGGTACACATCTAAGTAGAGATTAGGTAGGTGGTGACATGCGTCTGGAGCTCAACAGAGATTATGGGATGGAGACAGATTCGATTACCTGGAAGAATGTATAGATAGAGAAGAAAGGATGGCTGAGAATGGACACTCAAACAAGCCAGTATTTAGTGATCATACAAAGGAGGAATCAGCAAAGGAGACTAGTGTTGAGGCCTGTGAGATAGCAGGAAAATAGAGTGAGGTGATTGTTATTCATGGTTTGTCTCAAAAGCATCAAGAAGAAAGTGTTTTAAAAGGTAGGAAAATCAATCTTGTCAAATGTTGCTAAGAGGCCGAGAAATGAGGAGAGAAGTGAACTCTTTGGCAAGGTATAGGCTCTTGGAACATGGATGGAGAGGTGGAGGTAGGGCTAAATTAAAGGAATATATGATAAATAATCTGGACCCAGGAGGAAGAAGGAAGTGTTTGGACCCCAGGGTCATCACTGGGGGATTTCAGTCGGGGACATTAATAACCCTTTTGGTGGGTTATTAGAATGACAAAATCCAGGGGCAAAACTCAAGTTTGAGAAGCTGGAGGAACCTGTGTAACCTGTATAACCAAGTTGCCCAGACCAAATCCTGTGAATAAGTAACTGGGATTCACTGGGCTCATGGAGCATGTTGTGTCTGTGTGCCCAAGGCAGCATAAAATGCCCATGTGGCTTCTGACGTATAGAATTACTTTGCCTGGTGACTAAGCTTCTGTGTCTCTGGTATGAGTCCTCCAGGTGTCCTGCATGAGACCTGCCAATGATGTGCTATCAGAGGATGCCATTTCCAACTAGAGAAGCACAATTCTTTGAGCAAGAAGATAGCAATAGAAAAGAAAGTAAGGTATAAATCAATAATGACAATACAAGGTAGAAAGCAGAATGATGACAACAGTGTGGATTCAAAGGACATGGGGAGACTTTAAGATTTCCCACTGGGGACTAAAAGGGACCAGATATCTGGACCTGCAGTGAGGAGGGCCCTCTGCTGCCAGGGGAAATGGGTGAGAAAAGACTCAATGACATGAAATTTCATTAGATTACAAGGCCTGGTGTTGAAGAAATGTTTCAATTTGGAGCCTGGAAAGGTAGGTTTGAGTGGAATTGAAGAAAACTTGAGAGTCAGGTTAAGGGACTTGGGCTGTATTTATTAAGAAAGATACCAAGATGGTTTGTGACCAAATAGGTGATGGGATGATCGGAATGATAAAAGCCTAAAATGAGACTCCAGCCAAGCATTCACCCTGAAAACTGTAACAAAGTACCTAGTGAGTTTAACAACATGCTATAAAGAAAAATATGCATCAGAGATTTTATGAGAATAGAAGAATAGCTTTCCTGTTTTCTTTTTTTCCTGGTACTCTGAAGAGTTAGGACATATAATTTCCTAATTTTTATTCATCTTACCCAACCCAAATAACCAGATTTGAAAGGAAAAGGAGGAAATCCACCCCCTTATACACAACGTTTTTTTTTTTAAAAAAAAAAAAAAAAGAAAACTGAACTCTCTCATCCATCTTTTTTATTCTGGCTCTATCCCCTAAAATCTTATAGACTTGGAGCCATGATAACTGAATATTCAATTTTTGCAAAATGGAATGAACAGAAAATATTATACTTTACATCTCTGGTCACACCCTAATGCCATTTATATGAACATATAAAGGAGGAGATTATTCACATCTGACCACAGTTTCCAGAGCTTGAAGGAGACTTGAAAAATATTACATCATACCTAATCAACTCTTCAAGTCAGAGCTTGATTTTAGCTGCCTAGAATTGCAGTTGTCTTCTGCTGATTGGGGCAAGGTTCAGCCAGTTTGGGTGAGTTATTGCAATAGAAGGAATATGCTCCCTTATACAGAATTATATAAATCAATAGAGTCATATTTATTTTGCTAGAAATATATCTAAAACAGACTTACCAAATTGTTCAATCCATCCGTGTCTGGAGTTACTGTTTCTGTAGTTTTTCATTTACATAATACATTTTTCTGTATTTTTGCTCACACATGACATACTACTTAAAAACTTTCTAAAACCTTCTTATACTCTAGAGACACAACAAAACACTCAACTTAAATCAGAAACTAATTTTTTAATGCATTATAGGAACAAATCATTAATATTATTCTCATGTTTAGGATATCCTCAGACCATCTCAAAAAGGAGGAAAAGATGACTATGATGGCTCACCAGTACCCCTCTTGGATCTTCATTAATGAGAAGACATTCATAACCAGGTAACCACACACCTTATATTATACATTGTCCTACTCACCAGTCATTTGTGGAATATACCGTCAAAGTTTTCTAAGCATGATGTATGGTCAACAAGATCAATAATATGAATCATCAGTAGAGATACTAGATAAGAAGTTGGAAAAGTATGTTCCTAAAGACTCTCAAATTTACTCTCATGGAACAATCACTAATATTTTGTTTAACAGTGGTTTTACTTTATTAAAAGCAACATTTCTGTTTTAATAGTTGGGATAATATTGAAGAGCAGCATTAGGTGAAAGATCTAAGGCTTCTCATAAATGATAGTTCTAAAGAATTAACCCCAGGGCCAAAAACATTATGTCCTGTCCTAACCTCTCCATCCCTTGCTCCTCATGACACTTTATTTTTACTGGTTCCCTCTTGACATTAGATTATGCAATATATGGCCAACATCCACAGCTTTTCTTGTACGCAGCAAACAGTATCTCATATTGCTTTGGGAACAATAGAGTAAGGGCTTAAAAGCTATAAGAGTAGAGATGAAAACTGAAACTGGCCAAGCTACAGCAGAGGCTGGGGGCTGAGAGGAGATGAAATCATGAAAAAATAAGTGGTACTGAAACATGACCCAAATCTTATGGGGGGTGGAAAAAGGAAAAAAGCCAAATAAATGACAGAGAGAAGGAGAAGTGAATGATGCAGGGTTGGGCAGTAGGAAAGTGAAGGAAACAAATATGATCAAATATGGAAATAAAGCCACAGCTGAAAGATAAGGATGAACTATAAGCAGTGGGAAAAAGACCTGATGCAAAGGATAAAGGATCCACTGACTTATTCCTCAAACACTTACTGATTACTCACTGTGAGCAGGTGTATTTTTGGACCCTGAGCATTCAGTAATGAACCAAACAAAACCCTTACTCTCATGGAGTTACATCATAAAGTCGGGATGCAGTCAATACATAAGATAAATGCTGAGGAAATGGAGTAAAGAGTGCTAGAGATAGAGAGCGGAAAGGGTTCTGATTGCATATAACCTAGTTCCTTCCTCAGTGAGCGGGAAGCACTGGAGGAAAAGCCTGCAGAAAGGGAGAAAGCAAGCCATGCAGCTTTCGCAGGTATTCCAGGCAAGGGGAATGGCAACTCCACAGCCCTAAGGCAGATGCATATTTGTAAGGGTCAGGGAGAACAGTGTGGGGAAATGGAAGTAGAAAGACAGCAGGAGAAGAAGCCAAATGGGCTCAGAACATGTAGGGTTTGATAGGCCATTATGAGGCTTGATCTTTCCCACTAAATAAGATGAGAAGCTGTGGAAGGATATTGAGCACATGAGTGGCAATATCAGTCTAGCTGCTGTGTTAAGAACAGAGTAGAGAGGGGACAAGAGTGGAAACAGAGAAGTTACCAAGGAGCTGACAGTCCAGGGTGGAGATGAAGGTTGCTTGAACCAAGGTGGCAGCAGTAGAGGTAGAAAACAATGGTCAGATTCTGGATATAGTTTGAAGACCAACACAATAGGATTTCCAGAAGGGTTAGACATGGGTGTGAGAGAAAGAGAATAACCAAGGATAATTCTAAAAATTTTGATCTAGAAAAATGGAGTTAACATTTTCTGAAATCATGAGGAGAAGCAGGAGCTACAGGAGGAGCAGGTTTGCAGTTGAGGATCCGGAATTCAGTTCTGGACACATTACATTTGAGATTGAATAAGAAGCATTTCTTAAAAATGAGGTCCATGGACCACCTGCTTCTGACTCAGATGCCTGTTCACAGTATAGACCCTTGGCTTCACCCCAGAACTAATCATGTGATTCTGATGCATACTGAAGTACTGAGAACAAATTCTCACCATAGGAAAGGATTAAAGTTCTGAGAACTTCTGACCTCCTAACATAAACAAAATTCCTGGAGCTAGGGGAAATCTCTGCCAGGCTGTCACCAGAAATTATAACAATGCCACTGACCAACTATGATATCCAGCATACCACAAATCTGGCAAACACCCCTACTCATTTATTCACTTGGCAAGTAGTTTTTTAGCTCCCTCTCTTTACTAGGCATTGTTGTGGTAAACAAGACAAAAATTAGCAATTTATTGAGGTATTTTTATTTTCCTGCACAGAACTACATGAAAAGAATGGAAATTAATAGTTAAGCAGAATCTTCATAATCAAAATTTTGGTTTCAGCAAATTTCATGAGGATTGCATATGATCAGTAAAATAAGAGGTCCTGATATTAATAATAGCATAGTAGGAAACATAACGTTTATATCCCACTACTGGATGAGAATTCTCTGAGTTTAGAAACTTCCCTGTTCAAAGGGTATTGGCACAGGTTAGCTTTGTACTGAAATGACTAAGCTTCCAGTTGCTGTTTTATTGCCTGGAGTCATCATTGCACACTGCTTCACACAGTGAGCTGGGTGGAAAAAAATAAAAATAAATGTTTTTTATGGTTACTTTCAAAGTATTTTCACTTTAGGTCATAGGCTGAAATCTGGGCACTTTAGAGGTGAATAAATGCTAACCATGTATTTAAAAAAAAATTAATGGAGAAGTTTAAATCCAGTTTTAGAATACCAACCAGATTTCACTCTCAGAACCTATCAGACTTTTTCTGCTACTTAGTAACCTAATAAAAACTTTGCAGTCTATGCCTCTTCTAAGGGCAGCTCAAAAGGCACGTGTACAATCCTGTCCTTAGTAAGTTTAATTAACATGATGTAATAAATTTTAGCAGAAAGTGCATTATTCCAAACAGTTTCTTTTTCCAAGCATGTTGGCCAGCAACCTTTGTTGAAACAAAGGAACCAGCCACCTGCACTTCTAAGCACAAATTAAGCACAAAGAGCCAGTGTTCCAGAGGCTGCCTTCTACCTGGCCAGTACAGCCAGAAGGCAATGTTTGCCCAGGTTTCATATACAGGGTCTTCTCCTGATCAAAGGAATAGGAGCAAACACTGCATGCCCCTGTGAGTCCTGAAGGTAAGTTTCTAAGAGGAGGGCATCATTCTCCTGAAGAACGCTGAATACCTGTCTTTAATTAAAGTATAAGAGAGCCTGTTCTGACTTATTTGTATAAAAAGTTAGAATTTCAAAATAAGCCAGAGACAGAGGATTTTAATCGCATATTTAGGAGCATCTACTTTAAAAATTAGAATTTTTGTCCACATGGGGATTGTTTTTAAAAATTCACATTATCCATGTTTGATGACCCAGTGAAATGAAAAGAAATTATTATGAGAAACTGGGTATCACATCTGTTATTTTGTCACAAAAGGGTCAATAACGTCATCATGAGATATGTGAAAGAAGGACATTTATTAGGTTTTTTTATATCTGATATTTTTCAATAAGCATATATTGTCAACAGTCATTGAGCATATCAATATGACTTAATAATCTGTTATTCCTAGTAAAATTTATCTACTTTGCAGTTACCTGTTTTATCAATTAAGGAGGTTTAAAAACGATGAGATCATTTGTCTGCCCAAGATAATCTAAAAATGTTCTCAGAGAAAATCCAATGATTTTCTATGAGACTCCAGAAGTTCAGACTCCAGAAATATATCACATGTATGGAATTTATTTCAATTTCTGGATGCGTGAATTTTCTATGCTGTATTCCCTACACAAATAACTTTTGAGAGCATACCATAAGCAAGGAGGAGGAGGAAGAGGGGAGAGGAAGGGGGAGAGGAGAGGGGAGGGGAGGGGAGGGGATGGAGGAGAGGAGAGGAGAGGAGAGAAGGGGAGAGGAAGAAGAGTAGAGAGGAGGGGAGGGGAGGGGATGGAGGAGAGGAGAGGAGAGGAGAGAAGGGGAGAGGAAGAAGAGTAGAGAGGAGGGGAGGGGAGGGGTTGGAGGAGAGGAGAGCAGAGGAAGAAGAGTAGAGAGGAGGGGTAGGGAGGGGAGAGGAGAGGAGAGGAGAGGAGGTAGCTGTCCTACTCTTGTGGAGCTTGCAATCTGAAGCTGTAGCTCAAACCTGAGCCTTTAGCAGAACCACCTGGAGGGTTCTTTAAAAGAAAGATTGCTAGGCTCCATCCCCAGAGTTTCTGATTCAGGAGTTCTAGGGTGTTTTGAATATTTGCATGTCTAAGTTCCCAGGTGGTACAGATGCTGCTGGTCTGGGGATCACACTTTGAGATCCACATAGATCTAAAGGCCTGAAACAAACTGACATGTATTCTGAGGGAAGGAACCCAGTTCTATGAAAGAACAAAGCCCTAGTTTAAACAAGAGTTCCAAGAAGGCTTCCCTAGAAACAATGTTTGTACAGAGATCTGACTAAGAAGGAGCTATCAAAGTTCAGGACAGTGGGTGGAAGAGTGTTTCTGACACAGGAAATCTGCCAGAAATCCTTACAGCCATGGAGCAAAGAGTTCCAACAAGTGAAAGGTGCCCAGGGTGCTGGGGTGCAGGACACAGGGAAAATGTCTCTTGAAAGGAGGCTGAAGAGGAAGGCAGGAGAGAGACCAAACAGGACTTAACCTGCCATAACGGTGTGGGGGTTTTATCCCAAGAGCAATGGAAAGACATTTAAGACATTTAAAGATGTTAACAAAGCAGATGATATGATTAGATACATTCTACATACTCTGGATTTAGTGTGGAGAATGTCTGGAGGATCCTCTGAATAGCAGCAAGGAGTTTGCTTATTATTTTTTTGTTGAATGTAAAGATAACCAGTGGTGAAAGTCATGGCAGCATTACTGAAGAACAAAGTCAGAGCCAGTGAGTGTAAGAGCCTGTGTGTCAGGAAGTCTCCCGTTTTCAGGCTCGTGCTCAGGTTGATGGCCCTGGGAATCACTGGCTCCTTGTTGTGTTTCAGACCCTCTAGTAACAATCCCAAATGTCCAGGGGGCTGAAAGGCATATCGCTACAATAAATGAAAGACTTCATTAAATAGGATAGTTTCTCCCTCCCAAGGGAGCAAGGGGCATCAGAGTGTGAAGTCAAGTTACTCATTCTCAATAAGCACAGAAGTCCCTATCTGTTCATACACAAAGGGTGTAATTTTACAGCAAGTTTCCATCTGCTCCCATAATGCTTACTGTTGTGTGGCACACCTGTGTTTACTTTTCAACTGGCTTTAAAAAAAAAAAAAAAACTATAAGGCTTGTCTCAGAAAAACAGGAAATGAAAGGCTAAACCACAGACAAATGAGAAGCAAGACCCAAATATGAGCTAAGTACCAGCCTAATTGCTCCATTCCCTTGTCTCTATTTTGCATGATGCTGAGGTTTGGAGTACGGATGAACCCATCATCCCAGTAGTCGGCATAGTATCCAATAGATAGCTCTTCAGCCCTTGCCGCTTTCCCTCTCTCTTGCATCTAGTGGTCCCCAGTGCTCATTGTTCCCATCTTTGTGTCCATGTGTACCCGGTGTTAAACTCTCACTTATAAGTGAGAATATACAATATTTGATTTTCTGTTTCTCTATTAGTTCACTTAGGATAATAGCCTCCGGCTGCATCCATATTGCTGCAAAGGACATGATTTTGCTCTTTTTTATGGCTACAGAGTATTCCATGGTGTCTATGTACCACATTGTTTTTATCCAATCCAGCACAGATGGGCACCTGGGTGGATTCCATGTCTTTGCTATTGTGAATAGTGTTGTGATAAACACAGGGGTGTGTATGTCTTTTTGGTAGAATGTTTTATTTTCCTTTGGGTCTATATCCAGTAAAGGGATTGTTGGGTTGAAAGGTAGTTCAACTTTTAGATTTTTGAAAAATCTCCAAACTGCTTTCCACAGTGACTAGACTAATTTACATTCCCACCAACAGTGTATAAGTGACCAAAAGACATGGGCAGACACTTCTCAAAAGAAGACATACAAGCAGCCAACAAACATGAAAAAATGCTCATCATCACTAATCAGAGAAATGCAAGTCAAAACCACAGTGAGACACCATCTCACACCAGACAGAATGGCTTTTATAAAAAAGTCAAAAAATAACATATGTTGGCGAGGCTGCAGAAAAAAGGGAAAAATCCTCAGGTATTTGAAGTTGGAAGAGTGAGACAGAATTCAGAGCTTTCTGATCATTCAGGGTTTGCATTTTTGCTTCAATCGAGATAGACTACTTCTCCACAAATTTCTCAGTTTCCAGACTTTGGAACTCAGTCCCTTCATTTGCAAAGGAAATGCGAATAACCTACTTTCCTAGCTGAGGAGGGTCTCTATGCAAAGATTGAAAAGCATTCTTTCTTCATCATTTGAACCAGATGAGGCCAAAAGCGAAAAGACCTGGAGCCATGGCTGTTTATGAAAGAGGAGCCAAAACTTGTAATTTTAATTCCAGGATTCAAATGGACAGGAATAAAGGATAAAATGGGTTTGGAGAATTCTGCTTCTATTACAGACATCATTAATATGGAATGATGATTTATCTTGGCAAATAGCTTGATGACAAGGCTTTATTCAGTTCTCTTCTGCGTCCTCATATTTCCTGATTCCATCTTTCCAAAAACATACAAGAGTGTATATTACATTTTTATGAACCTAAAAAATATCATGAAAGTATCACACGTTTCTTATATAGAATTTATAGGCCGGGCATGGTGGCTCACACCTGTAATCCCAGCACTTTGGGAGGCTGAGGCAGGTGGATCATCTGAGGTCAGGAGTTTGAGACCAGCCTGGCCAACATGGTGAAACCCCATCTCTACTGAAAATACGAAAATTAGCCTGGCCTGGTGGCAGCTGCCTATAATCCCAGCTACTCGGGAGGCTGAGGCAAGAGAATCACTTGAACCCAGGAGGTGGAGGTTGCAATGAGATGAGATCACACCATTGCACTCCAGCCTGGGCAATAAGAGCGAAACTCCATCTCAAAAAACAAAAAAAAAAAAAAAGAAAGAAAATGATTTATAAGGTATATAGAATTATAACATAGGAAATAAAAATCACAACCTTAATTCCCAGCAAATAATTTGTTACCTTTACATATTTAATGTAATGTTTAATATGTTTAACTTTAATATTTTGTAGTTATTTTATAAAACTATAAAGTTCTAAATTCAGCTTTTTGAACCTGACATATGAAATTGTTAAATAGCTTCACTGCTAAAATTTAATATCGTGAACAAAATCAGTGGGAAAAAGAAAACCTGTGCAAGAGAACTAATTAGCACTATCCTTTTCTTCCTCAGTTTTTCACCTGCTGAAGTCTGTTTCAAATATTCTTGGTTCCTGCTCTTAAACATGGCAACACACACAGTGGAATGGTTGTTTTGCTTTGTTTTGTTTTGTTTTGTTTTGTTTTTTTGAGACAGAGTCTCACTGTCGCTCAGGCTGGAGTGCAGTGGTGTGATCTCCACTCACTGCAACCTCCACCTCCCGGGTTCACGCCATTCTTCTGCCTAGACTCACGAGTAGCTGGGACTACAGGCGCCGGCCACCACACCTGGCTATTTTTTTCTATTTTTTAGTAGAGATGGGGTTTCACCATGTTAGCCAGGATGGTCTCCATCTCCTGACCTCGTGATCCGCCCACCTCGGCCTCCCAAAGTGCTGGGATGAAATGTTGTTCTTAATGTTGTTGTCACTAAGCAGCTCAGTGGCTGCTTAATTGGAACCATGAACATTTTTCAGCAAGTCTCCAAGAAGCAGAAGTAATACAAACTCAGGAAGCACAGCCAGGGGATAAACATGCCTTTGGCAACCTCGTTGAGTGTATTTTCCCCTGAGGTTCATTTGTATCACACGGAAGTCTTTCAAGTTTGTGTAGGGTGACGGCATATGACAATATTTATGCTTTGTCCTTAGTGGGTTCAAACTGTAAGAATCACTTTGTAAAGACTAGGACAGGGTTCTTTGCCTTTTAGGGAAGGACTAGGATGGCCACTTAATTATGCTGTAAGTCATTATTAAAACAAGAGGAAAAAAATCTCTTAGTACAACTAATATTTGACATCCACTCTATCTATGGATATCAGACATAATTCACTTCCACCCATAATCCTATCCCACATTCATGTATATTACAGTTTTATAAAATTAAATAAAAAGTTTCTTCCAGCCAGCCAAATACCTGATAAGATTGAGGAACTCATTTCATGCTAAGTACATTATTCATGGCAAACGTCAGAATGCGGGTAATTCCCATAGGCTGAGCAGCTGCAATTCAGGCCACAAAGTACAAAGTACACCAGAGCATTTTACAGTAAACTCTGGGTCCACTATTACTCATTAAAACCAAGCTGGAGCCTTAAAGGAACAGGACCCTGGGATCCCCTCAGCATCCCTCCCCCTGACCTGCCCCCCACCAAGGTCAGTCTCTCCTTGGCTAGCTCTCTTCCAGGGCCATGATGAAGAATCCTGGGTATTCATCGGCTTATACCAGGATTCTCTCTCCACACTGCTTGTGGCAGGGTGCCAACTTCTATCCTGGAGAAACTTATAATTTACAGTTCATTTAGATAGAAGTCCAGTTTATATGGAAGTTTGGTTTTCTTCAGTTTAGTGAAAACACCATCCTTATATAGTGTTTGATGATGTTTAAAAACACCCTTGTTACATATTGTGATACAGTGTTTCACGTTCCAAAAACCAAGGCTCTTTCCTAGAAAATCAATTTTTTGTGTCTCACATATAAAAGTGTGAGAAATTTGTGTCTATTTCTTTTTCTTTCTTTCTTTCTTTCTTCTTTTGAGACGGAAACTTGCTCCGTCGCCCAGGCTGGAGTGCAGTGGCGCAATCTGGGCTCACTGCAAGCTCCGCCTCCCGGGTTCACGCCATTCTCCTGCCTCAGCCTCCTGAGTAGCTGGGACTACAAGCGCCCGCCACCGCGCCCTGCTAATTTTTTGTATATTTAGTAGAGACGGGGTTTCACCGTGTTATCCAGGATGGTCTCTATCTCCTGACCTCGTGATCTGCCCATCTTGGCCTCCCAAAGTACTGGGATTACAGGCATGAGCCACCGCGCCTGGCCGAAACTTGTGTCTATTTCTTGGGCGTGCCTTGGACATCACAGACTTGTAAACTGGAAAACTGGACATAGAATCCATTTCTTATCACCCATTTTAAAGTATTTTAAGGGCCATCAAACAGTTTATGCTAAGCCGTCTGATCATGTTGGAAGGTGAACTTTTACAGGTTTGAGGGAGAAAGGTGCACAAATTCTTTTTGAGGGGGTCCGCATGTAACAGGTGGACCCTAAAAAAATCTGTTAAAATTACCACTGACAGGCAACAGTGTATATTAAATCAGGGCTCCTCTTATTGATTAGGGACTGCCCAGATAACACTTTAGTGATTGCCTTTGGTTCTTCTAAACCATACAATGCCTGTAATTATTATAGGTCCCTTCTGGACTTTAGAACCTTCTATAGACATGGCACATTTGTTCACCTTTCCGTGGAACATCAGCCTCATTTCTGCACCTCTACCACACTAGTGTTGCAGTGGTCTCACTCATCTTGCTGGCTCTATCTTGTCTCGTACTGAAATCTATCTTTCACATTCTACCTAGTGATCCTTAGTATCATCATGTCTTTCACCTGCCTAGAATCTTCAATAGCTGCCCATTGCCTGCGAAGTGAATTCCAAGTTTCTTAAAATGGTTCACGGGGCTCATTCATTGCTCAGCATTCCCCATTTTACATGTTGCATTCTTGGAATCCCAACTCTTGAGTTTTTTTCTGTGAACTATAGAAATAGCTACATGTCCCTTTTCATGTTGTTTCTTTGCCAGGTAAACTCTTTACATTCTTCTTTTCCTGTTTAATTCTCACCAACCAAGGTTCACCGTAGGCAACATCTATTCCTTAAAGCTCTCACCCACCCTCCCAGCATGACTGAGGCCTCTTGACTGTGCTCACACAGCAACTGTATCATGTTCAATAAATGACCTTCTGTGGGATGGTGTAATGTGAATAGACACAGATGATCAACTTAACAGTAATTCTTCACCTTGCTGTTCCCCTAATGCCAAGTTAAATTAGAATGTTACAGACATACATTGTATTTTCAAGGTTATATTAGACATATTGTTTCATCAGGTACATAAACTAATCATCTTCAAAAGTTTCTCTGGTAAGGTGTACACACGATTAAAAGAAATGTTTGGACAACATTCACCATTGCTATAATTTGTTCAGGCAACTTCTAAATTTTCTTTTCTAATTCCTTGCTTTGTATTGCACCACTAATTTACCTAATTTTACTCCAATACTTTAGTTTACTGAGCTCTAATCTTCAACACTCCAAAATCCTTCAAAATCCAATTAATAATCAAAAAGATTCTACTCATGGTGAGAAAAATACTTCTATGGTATCCAGCTACCCTGTATTACACAGTGGATTACAGATTGGAAGACTTTCTCTGCGAAGAGCCAGATTAGAAATATTTCAGGCTCTGTAGGTCATATGATTTCTGTTACAACTACTCATCTCTGCAGTTATAACAGAAAAACAGACATAGACAATGAGCAGACAAATTAGTGTGGTGATATTCCAATACAACTTTGTTTACAAAAACAGGCAGCCTGGGACCACCATCTGCCAACTCCTTATGTCATTTGTAGACTTATTTCAGTTGAGGATTTAGTCAGGCTCTATTCAGGTTCAGAAACATTTTCCAACTGCACATGATCCTGAAGTAAACACTTTAAAGGCTGCTCATACTCTACTATGTAATGTACTTTTATCAGAAGCAGAAGCTGAGGGAATAAGATTATGTAAGGCTCCATTTGCTTTCATAACAACTCTCACAGCTCAGCATATCAGGAGTTGCATCCCAAGTGTCCCTGAAGTTTCTTTACAGTAAAATTTCTTTATGGTGAAATTTCTTAATAGTGTTCTGGCACTAAACAATGAGTGCTATAAATCATGTTCATGTTCTTGGCCAGTAGTATAATTTTTAGGAAATATCCTATGACAATGACCCCAGGAGAACAAAATCAGTGTGACCAATGATATTTAGAAGAGACATGTTCATTAACATTAAAAATGGAAAGTAATCCATTTGGGAAATGAACCAACAGTATGGAGGACTTCAGGAGGATCTTTTTATGGCAATTGTGTGAAGTGTATTGATCCTTGGAAACGTACACCTTGAAAATTACAAGTGAGAAAAAGCCAATGGCAACATACATGCTTACCTGATTTCAAACATGTAACAGTCAGTATATATAAATTCTGTCATTCAATATTCAGTATTTATTGAAGAAGAGCCTACTGTGAGCAAGTTTCTGCTCTGAGAACCAGGAACACAGGAGTGAATAAAGTGGACCAAACTCCCTGCCCTCTCATTTTCTTATGAGACAGAGACAGATATTGAGGATCAAAGGGATTTTAGCAATTGAAATACTTGGAATTTTAATATCATGACTTGTTGGGTCTTTTTTTTTTTTATAAAACCGCTTATATGAGAAAGCTTTTCTTCCTTTGTTTATTGTTGTTTAGGCAATGAATATTTCCCGATAATTTTAGTCAACCAGAATTTGTCCTGCTATGTACCAAGTACTCTTCCAGGCACAGGATACAGTGTGAACAAAATGCATACATACCCCTGCCCTGTTGGAGCTACATTCAATGGAGGAGACAGAACATAAGGAAATAAGTAAAATATATAGAAGTTGACTCAGGGACAGGGGCAGAGGAGAAAATCAAGATATGAAATGCTGGGAGAAGGTGAACTTTTAGATTGGGTGATCAGGAAGGACTTCTTGAGAAGATGACTTTTGATTAAATAATTAAAGAAGATGAATGAGCTGGCAAGGTGAACGTTTGGGGGAATATCATTCTGGGCAGAGGGATCAGCAAGTGCAAAGGCCCCAAGATGAGAATCTGTCTGGAGTGGCCAAGGAACACCAGGGAGGCTGGTGGTTGCATGAAGTGAGGGAAGGGTGGGAGGAAATGAGATGAAAGAGGTAACAGAAGACCAGTTGCATCCAGCCTTTTAAGCCATTGTAAGGATGTTGGCTTTTAATCTGAAAAACAAGAAGACATTGAAGAGTTCTGAGCAAAGAGGAGAGATGGTCAGGTTTGCATTAAAACAGTTTCTGCTGTTGAGAGTAAACAACAGATACAGGGAGGCTTTTAGGAGGCTGCTGCAATAATCCAAGTGAGAAATGATGATCATCTCAAGAGGAGCATCTCAAGACATAGAGACACTGAGAGAAAGATAGAATAGAGGTATGGTAAGAGCCAGTGTTCCCACTGCCAGGGCCCACCTGCCACAAAGGGTGAGATAAGTCAGGAGCATTCCTTACCACAGCTGTTTTCCCAGTGGGAGACACAGGGAGGAGTTTCCAGGCAAGAAAGCGCTGAGTCACTCACCAGCACATCTGGTCTCAGATCTTGATACCCAGCTAGAAGGGCGGAAAGGTAGAGGGCTCCTCCCCTACAAACTTTCCTGGCCAAAGTCGGCCATTGTCAGCTGTGTGGGGCAGGCCAGGAGAGAAGCTCCCCTGCCACAGTAACAATGAGCCTTTGCTTACTGTTGCTTCACCCAGCCAGCTGGGATCTTTGACTTCTGTGGTTGCCTTTAATAGTCTAAACAGCCCCGGCAAGTAGGACAGATCACCTTCATTTCACAGCTGTGGAAATTCAGGGATACTAAGTGACTTACACAAGGGAACACAGATTTGGAGAGTTGGGGCACTGGTGTCCCATCCCATGCCCTGGGGACACAGGAGGGAGTAGTGTATAGAGAGATGGTATCAGCCACACACCAGTGCTTAATTTAGGTTGGTTAAAAATGTTGAAATACAAAAAGGAATATGAAACCAAATTCCTGTTTCGTGGCTGCCTCCTGCTACAGAACACTGTTCTCACCATTTTTGTCCTCAGTCATTTCCCACCTTTGGTTATTTATTTATGAATTAGCAACTTCAACATTTGCTGATATTTTAAGAATGCTTCCACTTCCAATGACTTATGTTAAGTTAAAGTGACAGAACAGTAAAGATTCCATTAAACTATTTCTTTCTATCTCATACCTTTATGAAAGTACCATTATCACCTTTTACGTTAAAAACTCTAAGACTGATTGTAATTAATTTTTTTTTATTTTTAGGGAACAACTTAATTCTTTATTGAAGACCTATAACATTTTTTATGAGAACCAGAAAAATCTGCATATTTTATATGGAGAGGTAAGCCCACTGAAGAAAGGCAATCCGGTGTTATTCACACACACACATGCGTGCACACACACACACACACAATTCTGGAAGAAACAGGTGAAAGTTTAACTTGATTATGATTCTTTTAGACTTGGGCTTGGAACACTTGTGACTTTCTAAGCATTTTTGAGATAGAAAAGCATTTAAAAATTTTAATGACATATTTTCTTTCTATTTTAAAAATAGAATATGAATATTTTAACAGCATTTACACTGAAAATCTATCACAATACTTTCTTACAAATGCGTCAGAATGTATATAGAAAGATATTCATTGTGATGTCATTTGTAATGCAGAAAATTGAAGACATCTCTATCAATTAGGGATTATTCAAATAAATTATGATGCATCTGTAATGTCAAATTTGATTTGGGTTTTAAAATGAATGCATTAGATTCCAATAGATGTGCACTATATCAAAATAATAAAAATTTTGAAATATTAAAGAAAGAATTCAGGAAAGTCCTGAAGCTAGAAAGCATTTTTCTAACTTTTAAGTTCAGGGGTACAAGTGCAAGTTTGTTACATAGGTAAACATGTGTCATGGTGGTTTGTTGTACAGATTATTTCTTCACCCAGCTATTGAGCCTAGTACTCATTAGTTATTTTTCCTGGTCCTATCCCTCCTCCCAAATTCCACCCTCTGATAGGCCTCAGTGTCTGTGGTTCCCCTCTATGTGTCCATGTGTGCTTATCCTTTAGCTCCCACTTATAAGTGAAAGCAAACAGTATTAGGTTTTCTATACCTGCATCAGTTTGCTAAGAATGATGGCCTCTAGCTCCATCCCTGCAAAGGACATGGCCTTGTTCTTTTTTATGGCTGCATAGTATTCCATGGTGTACATGTACCACATTTTCTTTATCCCATCTATCATTAATGGGCATTTAGGTTGATTCCATGTGCTTGCTGTTATAAATAGTGCTGCAATGAACATATGTGTGAATATGTCTTTATAATAAAATGATTTATTCTCCATTGGGTATATACCCAGTAATGGGATTGCTGGGTCAAATGGTGTTTCTGTCTTTAGGTCTTTGAGGAATCAACACACTGTCTTCCTCAATGATTAGATTAATTTACACTCCCCAGCAGTGTATAAGGGTTCCTTTTTCTCCACAACCTCACCAGCATCTGTTATTTTTTGACTTTTTAATAATAGACATTCTGACTGGTGTGAGATGGTATCTCATTGTGGTTTTGATTTGCATTTTTCTAATGATCTGTTATGTAGAGCTTTTTCATATGATTGCTGGCCACATGTATGTCTTATTTTAAGAAGTGTTTGCTCATGTCCTTTGCCCACTTTTTAATGGGGTTGTTTGGTTTTTTCCCTTGTAAATTTGTCTAAGTTCCTTGTAGATGCTGAATGTTAGATCTTTGTCAGATGCATAGTTTGCAAAAATATTCTCCCATTCTGTAGATTGTCTGTTTACTCTATTGATAGTTTCTTTTGCTGTACAGAAGCTCTTTAGTTTAATTAGATCCCATTTGCCAATTTTTGGTTTTGTTGCAATTGCTTTTGGCATCTTCATCATGAAATCTTTGCCCATGCCTGTGTCCTGGATGGTATTACCTAGTTATCTTCCAGTGTTTTTGTAGTTTTACATTTTACATTTCGATCATTAGTCCATCCTGAGATAATTTTTGTATATGGTGTAAAGAAGGGATCCAGTTTCAGTTTTCTGCATATGGCCAGCCAGTTATCCGAGCACCATTTATTGACTAGGGAATCCTTTCCCCTCTGCTTGTTTTTGTCATATTTGTTGAAGATCAGATACTTGTAGATATGCAGTCTCATTTCTGGGTTCTCTACTCTGTTCCATCAGTCTGTGTGTCTGTTCTCGTACCAGTATCATGCTGTTTTGGTTACTGTAGCCCAGTAGTATAGTTTGAAGACAGGTAGTGTGATGCCTCCAGCTTTGTTCTTTTGCTTAGGATTGCCTTGGCTATTCAGGCTGTTTTGGATTCATATGAATTTTAAAATAGTTTTTTCTATTTCTGTGAAGAATGTCAACAGTAGTTTAATGGGAATAGCATTGAATCTACAAATTGCTTTGGGCAGTATTGCCATCTTAACAATATTAATTCTTCCTATCCATGATCATGGAATGATTTTCCATTTGTTTGTGTCATCTCTGATTTCTTTGAGCAGTGACTTATAGTTATCTTTGTAAATATCTTTCACTTCCCTTGTTAGCTGTACTCCTAGGTATTTTATTCTTTTTGTGGGAGTTTGTTTGGGATTTGGCTCTTGGCTTGATTGTTGTTGGTGTATAAGAATGCTAGCAACTTTTGCACATCGATTTTGTATCCTGAGACTTTGCTGAAGTTGCTTATCAGCTTAAGAAGCTTTTGGGCTGGAACGATGGGGTTTTCTCAATATAAGATTATGTCATCTGCAAACAGGGATAGTTTGACTTCCTCTCTTGCTATTTGAACGTCCTTTATTTCTTCAAAAGCATTTTTAGGAGTGCCACTGGCAGGCTACTGTACAAAGTGGCCTTATGTTTACTTTTTTTCTTTTTATTTAATTTCAGTGTTTCATTCTCCACACGTCTCTTCACTCAGCCTTGTATTCTGATGGAGCTCACTTTACATATTTACAATATCTTCCTGGCCAAAGGGGACATTAGAATTTTCTACTCCTGATTTAATTTCATGGCACAGCATGGACTTTAGGCGACCATGATTTGGCTTAAATCTACAGTTTGGACAGAAGGAAATTTACAAAGCACTCTGGCCTTTCCTATTGAGCTTAAATGATTTAGTTCAATTGGGTATTTCAGTTACTTTCCCAAATTCAATAATATACTGAATTAAATAACTAATCTCTTTATAAAGAAGTGGGCCTAATTTTAAATTATTTCAACATTGTCCTGTATCTTAAATCTTAATATATACAATTATAAAAATATAAAATTTAGGAAAAGAGTAAAACTAGGAAAATGATTATTTATACTTTAATTCAAAAGTTTCCACAAAATTCATGATGTTAAGTTTGTTTCCTTTAGGTAAATATTTGAGTTTTTGTGTTATGAACATTTAAGTTGAGGCATATTCTTTCCAATTCTGTACATCAGTGCTCCATTTATAATACAAAAGTTATTCAGGTCAGGTGCTGTGGCTCATGCCTATAATCCCAGCACTTTGGGAGGCCGAGGCAGGTGGATCACCTGAGATCAGGAGTTCGAGACCAGCCTGGCCAACATAGCAATACCCTGTCTCCACTAAAAAAGAAATACAAAAATTACCCAGGCATGGTGGTGCATGCCTGTTATCCCAGCTACTCGGAAGGCTGAGACAGGAGAATCACCTGAACCAGGAGGTGGGGATTGCAGTAAGCTGAGATCACACCACTGTACTCCAGCCTGGGTGACAGAGCGAGACTCTGTCACACACACAAACAAAAAAAAGTTATTTAATTTTTTAAAATAGTTTCATGTTTTATATAATTTTTAAAAACTGTATGAGGTGAAGTGTACGGTGAGGCTACCAGACTTTTCAATCTTTACACACTGATCAATAAAGTCATAATTCAGAATTTTTCAAATCTTCTGACACTGTTTAAAAGGGGCAGTCCTTGGATGACAATATGTGGCTTTATTCATCTTTGGTTAATTAATCAATTAATTAAACAAATATTTATTGAATGTCTACCATGTACCAGACACCATTTTAAAAGCTGGAGATATAGCAATGAAGAATTTAACAACCTCAGCAGAGTAGTGGGTTTTGTTTTTCTTTTCAGAGATTCTATAAGTTTTTGATACAAAGGCTTAATTGAGTTCTAGTTAGGCAGAGAAAGAATGCTGTCCACCATTAACTATATAATCTATATCATATACAGTCATTTCAAGGAATAAATTGTGTTTGATTGTTGAAAACAACTGATTGGTAACCTGACCTCTTAGTAATCTGAAATGTAAAGTCAAAAGTGGAAGAAGTGCAAAACTTTGTTTCAGGAGTGATTCCAAAGCAAGTTTATCAGCCAAAGAAATAATAAACAGTAATATAGAGCACCTATTGAATGCCAGGCGCTGTGAATTAGGGGTTATCATAATGTCTGTTTTTCACATGAGAAAGCCCAAGTTTAAAGGTAGCCAGTGACTTGTCCAAGGCCACAACTAGGAAGTGGCAGAGCCAGGGTTTGAGCACAGGTCTGTCTGATTCCAGAGTCTGGAGTTTTCATTATGCTCTCAAATAAGAATTGAGTGTTTAAATGTTGTCTAACAATTGATTCTTCATAATATTAATAATAGTTAATGAATGTTAAAATAGGTATTGGGTGGCTGGCATATGACTTTTGTTAGTTTCTACATTTTCCAAAGTTTCTATAACAGAAAACATTACTTTAACATTGGAAAAGCACTTTCATATATATAATGATTATTTATGCTTTAATTCAAAACTTTCCACAAAATTTATGTTAAATTTGTCTCCTTCTTCTGCTATACTACAGTATTTCTAATTTTAAAGAAATTCTTCAAATGCTATTGTTTTTACAAAAAATATATCTATGTTTTGAATTTTTACAGCGTGTTTTCACACGTGTTATTTTACTTGTTTTGCATAACTTTGTGAGTTAAATTTTTTTCTGTTCAGCAATGAGGAAATAGCTGCTAAATCTTTAAATAGATGTTTTTTTCTAATTTCTAGTTCAGCATAATTTTTAAATCTGCTTTAATTTTAAATTAAACAAAATTAGAGAATTAAAATTCCACTTAATGGAAGAATCAGAGTTCAGAAAGCATTTTGACATACTGTGCCCTCTGGTGGACATGCCATTACCATTATGATTTACTCACTTTGCTGGGTATAGCTGTTTTCAAAAATAAAAGAATGTTTCAAAAATAGAATTGCTTTGTAGATAAATTGGAAAGCCAAACAACAACCCTGGCGTTTCTTTTTAATCTATTTAGGTTTCTTACGCACTTAATTTCTACATCTTCGTTAAAACATTTACCGTCTATAAATAATACAAAAACAATTGGGGGATTATTCATTTCTTCCTTAGACTGAAGATGGCAAACTAATTGTTGAAGGAATGCTGGACATTTTCTGGGGAGTAAAACGACCTATACAGCTAAAAATACAAGATGAGAAGCCATTCTCTTCTTTTACTAGTATGAAGTCATCAGACGTCTTCTCCAGCAAAGGGTAAGCTATCTTTCATGTTTTTAATTCCTCAGAAGATGATCTTCATATCTAGTTTTATTGCGTGCACTCTTAAGGAGGGAAACTTAAGCTTGTGTAAAACTGATTACACACAATCTCATTTAATTTCCCAGCAATGGCCGGGCACGGTGGCTCACACCTGTAATCCCGGCACTTCGGGAGGCCAAGGCAGGTGGATCACCTGAGGTCAGGAGTTCGAGACCAGCCTGGCCAACATGATGAAACCCTGTCTCTACTAAAAATACAAAAATTAGCTGGGCGTGGTGGCAGCCGCCTGTAATCCCAGCTACTCGGGAGGCTGAGGCAGGAGAATCGCTTTAATCCGGGAGGCGGAGTTTGCAGTGAGCCGAGATTGCGCCATTGCACTCCAGCCTGAGCAACAGAGTGAGACTTTGAAAAAAAAAAAAAAAAAATCCCAGCAACTCAATGAAGTTGGTGTTCAGAAACTAGGGCTCTTCAAGATTAACTAATTTGTGCAAGATCCCCAATTACGATGTGGCAGAACTGGACTGGGCCTTACTTCTGTCTGGGGTCCACAGCCTGTGGTCTTGACTCCTCTGCTCTGCTACTTCTCTCCTGGAGACTGCATTCCTTCATTGGAAAAGGCAAAATGTAAAGTCAGAATTTGATTTACCCTGGCCTGGTCTCCAAAATAAGAGGATAAAATCTAAATGTCTTCTTTCCTTGGAACAAAGGGCTCATTGTGCTTTCTACCAAGGAAACTTAATGATGTTCCATCTGATTGTCCCAATCCTGTTCAACAGAGCACCCTGAAATGCACTTGAAGTTAAATAAATGCACAAAACAGTCCCTTGTGTGGGCTTATGCAAGTGTCCCTTGGATATCCAGGTTGGGCTGATTTTTTCCTTACCCCTTTACAAGTTTCAGAAAAATTAATAAATATTCTCAGCAAGAAACATACCTGTATAAAAGTTCCTTTCATCCTTTTTTTCCATCCCTTCTTCCTTTTTAGTCCTTACCTCTCCAGCTCAACCCACTGTGTATATACATTGAGATACCAAGCCTTCTTTTCCCACCATTCATCCTCGCATCCATTGTTAGATGAGCTGGCATTCTATCAGAGGAGGCAATGGAGAAAGAGCTGCCAGGACAATTTGCCCAATGTAATATTTGGCCACAACTAGGGAAAATTAATTATCACCTTGACAGAAGTCTGCTTTTCCTTTGGAAAAAATATTTAAGCCCGACTATGATTTTCACCTTGCCAATATTTCTCAAAAATTATGCTACTGCCATGCTGAATGTTTTGTAATTCCCTACACATTTCATGCAATTTCTAATTTTCCTGACTCTGCCTAGAAGTCTCCCTGCTTCTCCACATCCATTTGCCTGAGTCTCTTCCACCAGTCCTTTAAGACGCAGGTGAGGTAACATGTTCTCCAGAAAGCCATTTCTGACCCCTCAGTCTATACGAGGCTCACTGAAAACTTTTCTATATCACTTGACACACATGCAGTCAATTGTATTTTTGTATACTTATCTCCTTGTCTATAGTGCAAGCTTCTCGGTGGTAGGGAATGTGCTTTATTCATCTTTGTTTTATTTGCTTTATTCATCCCAGTGCCCAACTGTGTGCCTGGCACAAAGAGGAGATTCAAACCATAGTATAGAGCAAAATCCCCAGAAGCCTGTGGTTAAATTACCTCTGCTTTGTTGTCACTACTTAGTCCCTCTATCTATCTCGTCTCCCATCCAAGCTAAGGATTGCCAAGGAGCTTAGGGCTCAGGGCCTAAGGAAGAACGGAAGGGAGGCAGCAGCCTCCAGCAGCCTGAGAGAGCCCCACATTTCTCACTTCAGGTACCTGATGACTGATGGGGCTTATGATTCTAAATGACAAGGAGCATCATTTAAAAGGAAAAATTACTCTTGGGCTCTGCTTTCCGAAAACTGTACAAGATACGGATTTATAAAATTAACTACCATACTTCATATTACCTAAGACCTCATTGCAAAATTCTCTGAGCAGTCACATCTATTTGATGCATTTTAATTTTTTAATTCATGAAAATGTAATAAATATCAAACATTAAAGGAAAATGCCACAGAAATGAAGTAAGGTAATTTTAGTATCACCTTAAACCATCATTATTTTGTATGGCTTTACCAAGATATGTTTTAAGTTTTATTTTATTTTTAATTGACAAATAATAATTCTATAAATTTGTGGGATACATGTTTTTATGCATATGTACATTGCAGAATGAACCAAACAGGCTAATTAACATATCAATCATCTCAAATATTTATCATTTTTTGTGGTGAGAATAGAGAATATAAAAAATTCTCTTATTTAACTCTTTTGAAGTATGCAATATATTATTATTAACCATGATATTTTTTAACTTCTCAAATTTAAAACACTTGTTCCTAGCAATTCTGAATTTTTGGATGAGTTTCAAGAGCCCAGGTGGACAAGGTAATATGCCTCTCCATATACTGCCACAGGTTCTAAAATAATATCCTCATGATACACCTGCTATAGGATCCATTTACATTTTGCATTGTTTATTAGTACATTGCTGTGAAGCAAACAGGAATTGGCTCTTTTTGTTTAAAGTGGAGAAAAATTACCTAGAAACCTTGACTGGCTTGTCCTTTTCCAGTAACAAGATTAACTGTAGAACATTTGGCAGAAAAAGATCCCATTCCTTTTACATACACACAGAACCACACGCAAACAAGAGCAAGATTAGATTTGGTTGTCATTAATTAGCCAAGAGTACTTCCTGGGAGCCAGCTGAACACTCAGGCAGGAAGGCACAGCACAATTTGAAGTGGCTTTTCCCTGGTTTCTGGTTCGCTAATGGGGTGCATAGCCACCTAAGGTATCACTTTTGTTGTTTCAATCCAGTTCTAGACACCCTCCCTCTGGTTGTCTCATTTAAGATAACATCTATTTTAATTCTCAGCCTTTAATTGTGAAAAGAAATTTACTGTTTTCTTACTTTTAAACTATTTTCTTTTTCCCATAGTGGGCACCTCTAGGCAAAACTTACACCTCTGCTCTTGCAGGATGACAGATTTTATATCTGCAGTGGGTAAACGTGGGGTAAATGACAATAGAACTTCAGCTGCAGGAAGGGCTATAATCTTGTGTCTTTCAGTTCTCTCTTTGACGGAATCATTGGTCTTGTCACATTAGTTTAATTATGTTTGAAATGAGTCACACAGAGGAAGTATCAGCTTAATTGGAGTGAAGAAGCTTTTAAAAAATCAGTTTTTTTGAGCTCTGACCACTTGTTATTCTTTATGGAAACAATTCTATGGGCAGTACTTTGATCTCTCATATCTGGCACAAGTGTTTTGGAAATCTTTCATAACAAAAGAGAAGAACAGCCTTGTTAAGGTTGTGTTTGCTTATGCTATTTTTCACATCTGTTTTTAATATCTTTCAAAACTCAGCTTTTGCATATTTTGGACAAGTCATGACAGAATAACATAAAGAGCACAAACTGGACAGGTGTACATTTGAATAACGTCAGTGGTGTTTTTTTACTTACAGTATGGGTAGGGAAGTGACCATATTCTATTTGTCTATCAAATTTCTACCTCCTTTTTATTTTTAAACTCCTTAGAAAACCTCCCCATCATTTAAATTTGCAAATGATATACATCCTGAACTTTAGTCAGAGCAACAGAAGTCCCATGTTTGGGCAAGTTAAACTATTTGATATTACATAAAGTTCCAACCAGTTTTCTCTTGAAAACTCTGGATAACTGCCCTGAAGCTTAGTCATGTGCACAGTTGTATGGGGTGATGCTTCAAATTACACAATCCAGAGCTGAAAACTGGTGTTTTCTGCTGTAGATGGTAGAAAAAAATAAGGGGCCAAACACAGAATATATTGGATGACTTTTGGCCTCCTATATTTGTGTGACAAAACTAAGCTGTCACGTCTGCGAGGGTCACCGAGAATTTGACTGGCATCCTGGGGATTCTTATCTTTAGCCCTATGACATAGCATCAGGTTACTTTGCATTTTTAGTTTCTGTTTTTCATTGGTATTGACTTTTCCATTCCTAACCCCCCTTCTACGATAATTATGTCTGCCACTTTCTGATTATTAAGCTGCTATAGATTTGGGGAAATGGGTAATTTTATCTGCCATAAGACTAATTAGATTCTGAGTCAGGACCTGGTAGTTTTCCTTTGAGTTAAAGTTATTACCTGTAGTTGGGCTTTATGACATTTGTTTTGATTGGCTGTATTCTGAATAGTACAGCTTGCTGGAAAATTAACAAATATATTAGGATTACCTTCTCTACATCATAAGGCTATTGTGAGACTCAAATGATATAGTAGCCATAAAACACGCTTCAAAAGAATTCAAAAGTAAAGAGGATAAGGGATGACTTTCTTCATATTCACTACCATTAGTATTAATAAATATTTTTTGTTGCCACCAATGAAATTCGGGCAGAGTCAATGCCATAAATTCCCTATAAGTGAATATATTTTAGTCATAAGAAAAACAGACATTACTGAAGAGATTCTTAGATAATAGCAACCATTTGCCTAGAGAGATCCAGGAACACCTTGGGTCCCTAATGGTTCCTGGCCCATCAGGAATGAAATAGATACAGATGCTGGTGATGATGATGATGATGATGATGATGATGATGATGACAATGGAGATGAGGATAATTATAATTATTGTTAATCTATATTGAATGCTTACTATTTTCAGGGCACTGATTCAAGAATTTTATACAAATTAACTCTTTTAATCCTCAAAACAACCCTATCCTACCTCATGCTATTATCATTTTTATTTTACAGATGAGGACACAGGCACAGAGGGGATAAGAAACTTGTTTAAGACCAGATAAATAAAATAAAATTGAGTTTTGACCTGCCGTAAAAATAAACATTTGTCAGGTTTCATGTATTCTGAGCACTAGAATGCACTTAAAATTGCTAGTTTCTTTATGAAATCATAATTTTCTGGCAAAATTCTCATACATTTTCCTCCTTCGTAAACTACATTCTTCATGGTAGTCAAGGGCCTTAAACGATAGGCACTATATTTTATTATTTTAGAGCCACTCTACCTAACAATGTTTTGAATGCAAAAGGTACAATACATATTGACAGAATGTATAAAGAACACTTTTATACCCAAGCTCCCCTAAGAGTATTGTGAAATATCTTTATAACAATTGATCATCTTGGTTTCTACTAATTCAATTTGGACATATGTTTTACAGAATCTATATAACTTGTGTTTCAGTATGTAACTGAATTATTACGTCAAAAAGATATGCTCTATAAAAGTACAGGAAGCATTTAAAACATATATTGACCACTTTGGTATGAATATAATTTTAATAATATCATAAAATTGTTATAACTTTGGACAATATATCCACCTACAGAGGCCCACAGTATTACTATATTAATATTGTAAATCTGGAAACCATCATAGGCTTCAATATAAATGGAACTGATGTACTTACAAGATTTATTACTTCTCAGAATGACACGCTGGGGGGAATTTGACGATCTCTATCGTATTAGTGAGCTGGACAGGACCCAGATTCCTATGTCTGAAAAAAGGAATTCCCAGGAAGGTCAGTATCAAAATCTTATTGATTGGGAGACTTAATTTTTAATTAGTGTAAAGTATGACTCCATATGTTTCTCTGAAATCTAACCTTTTTCATACTACTACACAATAAACTCTTGTTTTATATGTATATATATTTTTAAATATCTTAGGAGCATAGTAACTTAAGTCACTATAGTGCTTGTATGATGTTTAAGAACCTTACTTTGGTATATAAAAATATAATTCTTAAAAAAATTATATTATGTCACTTAGATTTATTAGAATAGGGAGAGCTAATAGTTTTAATAAAGTTTGTATTCATAAAATTGTTAAATATCTTCCCCAAAGATTAGAGTCATTTATTATTCCCAATAGCTTTATATGTTAGGCCAAGCCCATCAGACCTAATTCTGTATCTTTTTAGAAGTTGAACGTTTTAGTTAGTTAATAGATATGTCAATAACATTACTTCTCAGAAAGACACAGATATGCTGGAGTCAATTTTATATTTGATAGAGTTATTTCAGAGATCTTTTTAAAAGAGAAATATACTTAAGGATCAAATGGATCCATACTGAACTTGGCAAACCAATGGGAAATGCCAGCTCCAGGGATGTGTGACATTAGTAGTTATAATCATAATGGTGATGATGTGAGAGTAATAATAGTGATATTGATAGCTGTAATCTGATGAGACTCTGGTAAGTATCAGGCATAATATTTTGTACTTTATATGAATTTTTTCATGTAATTCTCATAAACACATAAGATTCAAAGAGTAGTGGATGCTGATGACTGAAGCTAGAATGAGGGGTGGTGGACAGGGTTCATGTGCCTGAAATGGGGCTGTGATTTACGAAGTCAGTTCAGTGTGAACAAAGGTATCCCACTAGCATTAACTTCATAAGCCTACCAGCAACTTGCAATGTTTGTTCTCTTTTTTTTTTTTTCAAATCATTCTCAATTCTGCCTCGTCTGCTATTCCACAGGAACCCAGATCCTGTGACAAACATGATGTTCCTTCCAGGGTTCCCTTTTCTCTTTATGCCATGGGATCTTTACATCTTGTTAAATATCGGCCCTTCCAATTATCTTTTAGAAATATATATGAAACCCAAGGAAATCCCAGTATCTTGGCATCAAAGACATCATAAAAATATATTTGTATTTAAACAGCAGTGCTAGAGAAGGAAGAAATATCTCATGCCTATTTGATAATGTTCTAATTACAGTAGAAAATTTTTTAAAATCCTAAAGTAAAATAAAACACAAATGCCACCACATGGTCTTATTCTTACATATGAATATGCATAGGAGAGGAAATTGAAAAAGGTACTATCAATTGTATACAAGCAGAAAGGGGGGCAGAAGGCAGGTTTGAATCTTCTGCATCTTAGGCTAGTAACACATTGTAGCTCAATTCAATTCCATTTAAACACCTTCTGCCTACTCAATAGATACTAGAGTTGTTCAACGCTACACTATAATTTTATACTCTAAAATCTGCTATAGAAATTGTAATAATTCAGTAACCAAATTTTGACTAATCAATTATGAATCATTGTTAAATATACATGACTCAATGAGAAGAAATAATAGGATAGTGGACAACTAAGTGAAAAAGTCATTCATATCATACATCTGGAATGTTCTAAAAAGAACATAATGTGATATATTACAAATAGTAGGACTAGTCCAAAGCATACTATTCCTTTTGCTTTTATAAAAGATGGGAACAAAATCTTTCAATGCTCCACATACCATATAAATAGCTTCTCAAAGAGCTTTCTGTAGTTTTATAGGAAAACTAAGGCCCAGTGTTTATTTTTTAGGAAAAGCTCCAAAGAACTTGGGCCAACATATAATGGGGTGGGGGGAGGGGGGAGGGATAGCATTAGGAGATATACCTAATGCTAAATGACGAGTTAATGGGTGCAGCACACCAGCATGGCACATGTATACATATGTAACTAACCTGCACATTGTGCACATTACCCTAAAACTTAAAGTATAATAATAATAAAATAAAAATAAAAATAAAAAAATAAGGATCCAGACCTGATTCTATCATTTATGAGTACTATGTCCATAGGAAAGCCACTTCAACTCACTGTACTTTTTCTTACCTGTAAGAGATCAAACCTGATAAAGTATCAGGTTTATTCCAGCTCTAACACTCTGAAATGCCACAAAATGCACTCCCCAATAAATTAAGATTAAAGGAATGCCCAAACCCCAAACATGATCATTGTGATCATTTCTTATGAAACATAAGAATGAGACATAAGAATTTTATATGAGATACTGGCAGAATTTGCTGAGTCAGTCTCAGGCAACATTTAATAAGTAAATATGCAGCTAAGCAGTGGACTATAATGCTTTTACACAGCCAGAAAATAGCAATATTCCTAAAATTAATGAAAGCATACACAAATCCACTCAGGATGCTAGGACACAGGCAGCTGAATGATATGAGCTTATAATCTATTCTTCCCAGACTATTTATCTTATCACAGCAACACCCTGAAGCCACATGCAAAGGATGAACCAGACTCCCCAGTGCTCTATAGAACCATGAGTGAAGCAGCTCTGGTGAGAAAAAGGATGAAGCCTCTGATGATGGACAGAAAAGAAAGACAGAAAAATAGAGCCTCTATTAATGGACACTTCTATAACCATGAAGTAAGTGAGTTACAATTCCATTAATGTAATATAAAATAAGGTTCCCTGTTTCACTAACAATACCACCCAATTCAATTCACAATTTAAAGTCATAATAATAACAGTAGCATGTCTAACATCTTGGGGGCACTCTCTATGTGCTAGATATTAAAGTAAATGTGTTTTAAATAGATTTTTACTGAATTATCTTATTAATCACTAAAACAATCCTATGAAATAGGTACCATTATTTTCTTTACTTGACATATAAGCTAATTGAGGCTTATGGAGATTAAGCAATTTGTCTTAGATTATGCTACTCTTAAGTAGTAACTCTCAACCTGAACCCAGCTTTGTCTGACTCCAGAACACAAGTTTTTAACCACCATGATGGGTGAACTCTATCACTGTGCCAAGTATTAAAAACATGCAGATGAGGCAGCCGATGTCTCAGCCAGCACGGAGCTCAGGGATTGAGCAGGGAAACCAACATACCAACAATAATACTGGAATAATGTAAGTGCTACAAAGTGGTTGGATCAAAGGACATTTGAACGTGAACATTTAAATAAAAGGAAAAAGCCACAGGCCAATTTATTCCAATAAATCAAACTTCTCATGTTGCCATGTTCCAGGTCTTTTACCTATACACATACCGTTTTTATATAAGTGTAGTTGTAGTTTAGATACAATTCACATTCTGCTTTTTCACTGAATATGTGTTAAATTTATATGTGCCTTTCCATAGTGCTTGTAAGACATTACATTTTGCTGAAGGTAGGAAATATATCATCATTTTTTTCCAGAACTCAAATATTTTTCATGTGATGTACTTTAGCAATCATTCATCGCTCCATCTCATAAATACTTAGCACTTACACTGTGCCAGGTATCTTCTGAGGCCTTTAATAAGAAATAGGAACTCATTGCTTTGTAGGCTTTTTCCTGTAAGGATTTCTACTTTATTTCTTCTTCTTCTACCCTTGGGGGGTAACGATAGTGTGTCTTTGGAGCCTGGTGGGGAGAAATCTCTCTTCTCAATTATTTATTCATATCAGAATTTTAGGGTTCCAGAATCATTCTCATAGCTATAAAGTAGCATTGATAGTCCCCCACAGAGAGGTACCTACCAATTGTCCTGTTTCCCTCTTCACAGAAATTGTGTTGTATGTCATTATCTTGTGGGGTAATTTGTGTTGAAGAAGGAAAGCCACATTGCTCCAAGCAAGTGGCTTTCAGATTGGATCACTTGTGCTGGAAATGAAATTGACACTAGGTTGGCAGCACGGAATGGTGGTTAAATGCTTGGGCCCTGGAGCTTGACAGCCTGGTTTTACATTCTTGCTGAGCAAGTTTCATTCTTCTTACTTTACAAGGCTGTTGATGGGATGGAATGAAATGAGGTAAGTTCAGCATAAGAATAGTACCTGGCACAAAAGAACTCGGTCTACATTAGCTTATGTTGTTGCTGTTGATTGAATGAGCTCAAGCTGGGACTATAGATATTTTACACAAATGTCATTCACTGCAATTTAATAACTAGCAGAAAACAATACAAACAAAAAAGAAAAAACAAAGCATTCTATCAACAATTATACAATGACGGACATCTAGGAATTTTAGTGGATATGTTTCTTAAGTTGCTGTGTGTCGTAAGATATGTTTTTATACTATGAAGCCCCTTGTTAATGCCAATATTGTTAGGCTATGAATAACACACATATTAAAGGCTTAGATTGTCATATCTGGAGATTAGTTATGGTGAATATAACTTGACCAGTAGTATATTTCTATCAATGTGATAGTAAATGATAGCAGGTTTCATTATATGTTTTGGCCAACACAACTGATATAAAGACTATAGATTTAAATACTGCTCTGAAAAACAAATTCACTATATGTTGACATTTTAGAAGAGCTCTTAGAGATTAGTCTTACTATCTTATTTTATAAATGAAGTCATTTATCAAATATATGTTAAGTGAGTCAATAAAGATGTTAAATGAGTTGACAAAGTTGGAGTTCGTGGGCATTTAGTGGGCACTAAAATCTAGGTCTCCTGAATGGTAATCCATGTTATTGTCATAGTGCATGAAGCTTCTTCACATAAACAACATCAAACCACGTGTACAACATATCATATTCACCTTAGCGCAGGATGAACATGTGGTTTTTCAGGGCTCCATAGAAATCGTAAATGTCACAGAATAACTTATCAATGCTCTAAAATGTCTACAAATATTGAATTTTCTCATACTTATAAAAGTTTATCCTAGACACTCTCCACACATCTTCTCAGAAAACTTATTTACATATCCACATTTTTACTCACACAAATGCCGTGTGTGTGTGTGTGCGTGTTACATGTGTGGGTGTTATAAATGTTTGTGTCTGTATACTTTGATGTTAATTTACTGATCTCTCAATATAGGACTTATCTTTTTAACAGTCCAATGAGCCACCCCAAAACCCACCCATCTCTACATCTGCTGAACCCACCCCATTTCTACAGAGCCTTGGAATACTTGGAGATTGTGCATATAAATAAAATATGTGGAAATAAATCCTTACTTAATATCTCTATCCGTTTTTAAATATGCATCTGGTGACATTCTTTCTTACTTATTTTGAAATCTTAAACTGCACTAAAGAGGGGTGTAATTGTCCAGTGAAAATGTTATAAGCATCCTCAAATGGTGTTTTACCTAATTTACTCTAGAAACAATATAAAGCTGCTTAAAAGAACACATAATATTCAAAAACAACAAAGAAAAACAAACAAAAACAAAACAAATTTTTTAAATTAATGACCTTGGATTTTTTTTGCCCTATAAGAAGATTATGTTCAAGATATTGAATACCCTTAATATAATATAATTTTAAAGACTTATGTGACAATTCTTTTTCTAGACATCAATTTTCATTCCAGCCTTTGAATCAGAAACTAAGGTCAGAGTAAACAGTAACATGAGAACTGAAGAAGTAATAAAGCAACTTCTCCAAAAATTTAAGGTAACCTTTATCACTTAACTGAGCTATAAATATATTATATATAATTCAACTATAAACACACAAATCCACTCTTCTGAAACAGATCTATAAAGGTGTAAATCTAAATTGGATGTTGAGCACTGAAAGATTCTTTCCTTTGTATAACACCTTTTAGTAACTATCCCTTGAAAAATTATATAATTCCCATAAGAGCAGAGAAGATTTTATGTCTAAAAGTGAAAAATGGAAGAGAGAAAACAGACATGATTTGGGTCTGGTCAGGTTAGAAAACATCATATAACAACAAAGAATTTATATTTGTTCATTTTTTCCCTTGACAGATTGAAAATAGTCCCCAGGATTTTGCTCTTCACATTATTTTTGCAACAGGAGGTAAGAAAGCTTGATCACACTTTTTACCTGACTCTAGAGTGCTACAGTTTGCTGCCCAGGGGGAAGGCAGAAGAACAGTTTGCCTCATTCTGTGGAGAAAGGGGAGGAATGGGTAGGAGAAAAGGAAGGAGTGGTCTTTAGAACATTATCTATAGTCCACAATTTTAAAGAAAGATAACTTAAGAATAAGGTATCCCTGAAGGGTTGATTATATGAAAGAGTTTGCTTGTTGGCCAGACATTAAATTATCTAAATGGAGATCAAAACCCTCTGGAACTGTTTCGGCACTTTTGTCTTTGCTCACCTCTGTAACTTTCTTTTTGGCTTTCCTTTCTGAGTGTTGCTCTTAGAGGAGTCATGATTGCATACCTGTTCTCTCTGACATTGATATTGCCTCTTTTTTAGCACAGGGTCTGACACATTGCGGGAGTGCTATCTCTTCCTCAGTAGAGATGCATATTCAGAACTTCGTGGTGAGGGGTGAAAGGTTAGAAGCAGAACATTGGGAAGGCGCTGTAAGTGGGATGCTAGGAGCATAATAGAGAGAATAGAGAAAACTTAAAGTGATACTGAAATGAAAGTTTTTAAAACTTCACAAATGAAAAATTTTATATATCAATTTGTAGAAAAAACTCATGCTATAATTTAAGTGTCAGAATGTTCAAGCCAGAAATTTATTAGAATAAAATAATACATTTTGATGCCAGAACACCTTAAGAAAATGAAAGCTGTATCTCTAAACATATATAAAATTAAAGTTCTTATAATTGAAAGCTTAAAGATCTATAATTAAAGACTTAAACGTTAGACCTAAAACCATAAAAACCCTAGAAGAAAACCTAGGCATTACCATTCAGGACATAGGCATGGGCAAGGACTTCATGTCTAAAACACCAAAAGCAATGGCAACAAAAGCCAAAATTGACAAATGGGATCTCATTAAACTAAAGAGCTTCTGCACAGCAAAAGAAACTACCATCAGAGTGAACAGGCAACCTACAAAATGGGAGGAAATTTTCGCAACCTACTCATCTGACAAAGAGCTAATATCCAGAATCTACAATGAACTCAAACAAATTTACAAGAAAAAAACAAACAACCCCATCAAAAAGTGGGCAAAGGACATGAATAGACACTTCTCAAAAGAAGACATTTATGCAGCCAAAAAACACATGAAAAAATGCTCACCATCACTGGCCATCAGAGAAATGCAAATCAAAACCACAATGAGATACCATCTCACACCAGTTAGAATGGCAATCATTAAAAAGTCAGGAAACAACAGGTACTGGAGAGGATGTGGAGAAATAGGAACACTTTTACACTGTTTGTGGGACTGTAAACTAGTTCAACCATTGTGGAAGTCAGTGTGGCGATTCCTCAGGGATCTAGAACTAGAAATACCATTTGACCCAGCCATCCCATTACTGGGTATATACCCAAAGGACTATAAATCATGCTGCTATAAAGACACATGCACACGTATGTTTATTGCGGCATTATTCACAATAGCAAAGACTTGGAAGCAACCCAAATGTCCAACAATGATAGACTGGATTAAGAAAATGTGGCACATATACACCATGGAATACTATGCATCCATAAAAAATGATGAGTTCATGTCCTTTGTAGGGACATGGATGAAATTGGAAATCATCATTCTTAGTAAACTATCGCAAGAACAAAAAACCAAACACCGCATATTCTCACTCATAGGTGGGAATTGAACAATGAGAACACATGGACACAGGAAGGGGAACATCACACTCTGGGGACTGTTGTGGGGTCGGGGGAGGGGGGAGGGATAGCATTAGGAGATACACCTAATGCTAGATGACGAGTTAGTGGGTGCAGCACACCAGCATGGCACATGTATAGATATGTAACTAACCTGCACATTGTGCACATGTACCCTAAAACTTAAAGTATAATAATAATAAAAATAAAATAAAATAAAATAAAGATCTATTTTTTGGAAAATTCTAAGGACACATATATATTCATATTCTAGTTGTTTAGGAAAGAAAGAAAACCAAAAGATATAAAATAAATGGTAGCAATACTGGACTGTGTAACAATTTAAAAGATACAAATAGTAGATTACAAAGAATATTGTCAATGTACTCCAAAGATTAATAACTATAATACCAATAATTTCCTACAAAATGGTAACAAAACAACAGACAATCCGATAAAAATAGAAAAAAGCATGAAAATACAATTGAAAGGAAAAACCATAATAACCAGTTAAATAGTTTTAGAAAAGTCTTAAATTCAGTGAAATGCAAGTAGCTAAGGAAATGCAAGCTCAAGCCACACCGTAATATTATCTTGCACTTCTCAGATTGGCAAAATGCTTTAAAATGATTCTACCCATGGCTGGCATGCATCAGGGTAAAAAGATATTTTTATGCAACACTAGTGAAAATATGACTTTCTTCTTATTGGAATTTATTCTTGCAATATTTATTAAAATTTACAGTATATATGTCCTTTAACTTGACCATTCCATTTGTGAGAATCTATCCCACAAAAATATAAGCACTAGTGCCTACAGATTTATGTGTAACACTGTTTATAAGGACAAAAAGCTAAAGACAAAGTTACTCATCCTAGGGAAATGATTAAATAAGTGATTGTTAGGCTGCCATTGAATGGAATGAGTAGATTTATGCCAATAGAATGGAGGGAGTTCCATAATATATTTTAAGTGAGAAATGCAAGATGCCTAAAGGTATATATAAAAGATCCCATTTTTTAAACAGTTACAAGCTCCCATTTAAGTATGTGGTATATATGGTCTTATGACTAGGGAGAAAGGTATGGAGTGATAAATACAAAACCATTGAGATAGATTACCTGGTGGGGGATTGGGGAAATGCAGATGAGAGGATGAGAAGGGGGGTGTCAGGCACGGTGGCTCATGCCTGTAATCCCAGCACTTTGGCAGGCCGAGGTGGGCGGATCATTTGAGGTCATGAGTTTGAGACCAGCCTGACCACTATGGTGAAACCCCGTCTTTACTAAAAATACCAAAAAAATTAGCCAGGTGTGGTGGCGCACACCTGTAATCCCAGCTACTCAGGAAGCTGAGACAGGAGAATCGCTTGAACTCAGGAGGCGGAGGTTGCAGTGAGCTGAGATCGTGCCATTGCACTCCGTCTAAAAAAAAAAAAAAGAGAAAAAATGATTTGTTTAAAGGTGTGTACAATAAAAATAGCAAGCACGATATGATTACCTTTATGTATTATGAGTTGTGTGAGGGGGACACTCAAAGGGTAATGCAGAGTATCTCAGGGCTTGGAAATTCCAGTTGTGCTTTACTTCCTGCTTTATACTTTTCTCGTTTGTTCCAATTACAATAGCATGCATGTTTGGGGAAGGGAATTTTTTTTTAAGTTTAAAAAAAGCAGTTTTATTAAGAAGTCTTAAATGATTGTGTGATAACTTGAACAGCTAGGTTGTACAAGATTTGAAAATTCCCTCTTTGGTGTTCTCCAAGACTTGGATTCCATTCACATGCACCTCGTTCTTTCCTCACACCTCTAACTTTAGCCTGCAGTTGAGCAGAAATATGGCTTAGTTTCCTTCCAGTCATTCTTGGGCTCCACACAAGGTGCTGGACCTATGAACGAACAAGCGTGTTGTTTTTATAAGAAAAAAATGTCTATTTTCATTATAAAAAATGTAGTTCTTTATAATTTCACCTATAAAAATCCCATTTTCTTTTATATTTTGTGTCAAAATTTTGCATATATCCATAACTGCAGATAATAATAACTAGGTCAGAAGAGAGCATATGGCTCCTGTTTGGGCAGTAATCTGGAAAACAGAGATAGGTGGGTTTTAACTTTATATCTACAAAGCCCATTACAGTGTATCTCACACTGTAGTTCATTTCAGATTACCTATAGAGTTCACTTAAAATACAGATTCCCAAGTCCTTCCAGATCAGGGGACAACTCTAGGAATATGCATTTTTAATAATCATCATCATAATTTTTTAATCATTATTTTTAATAATCATCCCATAAAGCAGAATCATGAAGCAAGAGGATGCTAAGCCAAGTTAACATTGGACCTGAAGGTCAAAAGAGGATTCTGGTGGGTGGATGAGAGGAGCTAAGTTGTCAAGGCTCCCAACTGCTTCAGAAATGGCAGAGGAATTAGAACAGTAAACACTGACACTATGTGAACAGGAATGGGTAATATCACTTTAATTGTGGGGAGGCTGGGCTTTTGAGTTCTAGACTCTCTCTTGACTCTTTTCCTGGGATAAGTCCAGCTCAGGGAATGAGAACAGTTCTCACTGTTCTGAAGAAAGTAAGCAAGGTGAAGGAGAGAATGAGGAAATAAGATGAATATAAGGACACTATGTTTTGTTCATGCTTTATTCTGATAAAAATGAAATCCCAGATGTGAAACTACTTTGACAGAAAGCTATAAGTACTTTTGTAGCAGGAGTATTTATATTATAACTTTTGGAAATTTGAAGTTCTGGAAACACACCAGATTGGAAGATATTTTCTTTCTCTATCTCATTTTCATGGCTGAATGGATTAAGCCCAGATGAATGAATAATAAGAATATTATTGATCTCAAAAACCTCATGAATATATTTTTAAAGATGAGCCAAGAATTGGGTGTGGAGCGAGACAAAGGAAGAATTGAAAATAATTACATGGTTTTGGACCTGAAGAACCAGAAAGATGGAATTACATCAACTCAACTTGGAAAGAACCAATAAATATTTGTTGTATGGATGAAGGAATGGTGGAATGAAACCTAAATAATTATTGAGGCATATTGCTTTATAAAAGGCCTATCAGACCGGAGATTTGTTTGAACACTCTAATCAAAGGAAGGCTGAGTTCTTTGAGACATTAATCAAAACTTGAGATACAGTAAGAGAAAGAAGTTCATTTAAGTTTTAATTTCAATTTGCTTTTTTGAGTAATTGCCTCCTGTTGCAGGTGTTATTTTTTTCAAAGTGAGTTAAATACGAAAAATAAATTGGAAAATTATCTTCCTTCTTTTCCTGCAGCATGAACTTCTGATTGTGGTTGATTCTTGTTTTCACTGCAGAACAAAGACGACTAAAGAAGACAGACATTCCGCTACTGCAGAGGCTCCTACAGGGACCTTCTGAAAAGAATGCTCGCATTTTCCTCATGGATAAAGATGCAGAAGAAATTAGCAGTGATGTATGAATACCATCACCCTGAATCTGTTTTTTGCTTCCCTCCTGACTCAGCACCTCTTGCATAATTGTTCTGCTTTCTTTTTTTTTTCTTCTTCTTCTTTCTTAGGTGGCTCAGTACATTAACTTTCACTTTTCTCTCTTGGAATCCATTCTTCAAAGATTAAATGAAGAAGAGAAAAGAGAGATTCAAAGAATAGTAACAAAGTAAGTCAAGAGCATGCACATTGGATACTCCGTTCTTTAATATGTCCAATGCACAAAATATGTCCAATTTTTAATAGTCTTTCTTCTTCTCATTTTCAGATTCAATAAAGAAAAGGCGATTATACTGAAATGTCTTCAAAATAAACTAGTAATAAAAACAGAGACAACAGTTTAGCAGTACAAGCTTCTATTGCTAAAACATTTCAAAAAACTCAGAGATATTACTCTTTGATGAATGCATAAGTTCTGTACTTGCATTTATACGAACATATATGAGACTTGAATCGTAGAAAATTGAATGTCAAAAAAAGCTCATTTCTTTTTGAAGTGATGAGGTTAATTAGGGTTCACAGTTGGACAAAATGAGTTTGAGTTTAGTTTCAGTAACTGAAATAAGCTTGAATACTGCATATGCCAAATAGCTTTTATAGTAAACCATGTAATGAACTCAAATTTAAATGGTGTCTTCAGATAAGCAGTTTAAACTTCATTTAGCTTGGACTCTCAAGAGAACTGAAACATAATCAATGGATTCAGAAATGACTCAGAAAAAAGAAGCTGCCAGTTCTTGGAATGAAAAAGAAATACAGTCTTACACCATCAAGGAATCTACCTGATAGTGACAGTAGCTTCTTGAAAACTCTGGCATTTTCATAAAATCTAGGACTATCTTAAATGGCCTGTTGACTTCTGACTATCTGTAACATCAGAGCTGTCTGGCCTTTGGAAAGGAAAAATTATGGACTCTGTTAAGAAATCCTAATTGAAATTTTCTGAACCTCCCCCCAGCCCTTTTATTCTCTCTCTTCTGCTGATGAAAGACCTTTCATCAGTTCAAAGCTTTTCTTAAGCTCTTTTTTAAGTTAATTGAACTTTTTCTTTATTTATTTTTCAAAAAAATGTTTATATCACATAGACATATTACATCGGCTAAAGTAAGACTTGGCCCACAAATACCTATTTGTTGCTGAATGAATACAATGGATAAAGCAAGGCTGTTGTAGCTGAAGTTACATAGGGAATCCCAAACTCTGCCCTCTTAGCATCTTATTCTACATGACAACTCTCAAGGTACTCACAGATCTGTTTAACCCACTTGAAAAAAAAACACTAAAAATGAAGAAATGCTATAAGTATAAACTATGATTTTATTTATAAATTCTGTATTAAAATGGAATTATATGCAACATTCTTTCATTCTGTAAACTAATTCCATTTGCATTCCTCATAAGCATTGTAGTAAATTGATCATATTACATGTACTAAGGAATGAGATTATATGCAGTAAACCCAACTGGAAGATTAACAATATTAAAATATGAAACATTTTTAAGACAAAGGCATTACTTCTCAGTATTACCAAACCTAAACTGGTTGAAGGTGAAAGTGTGCTATGGCCTTTTCAAGCCTAAGAAGTCTCTCTTACTGAGTAAACCAGAGGCTTGCATCGCTATTCTTTCACCTGTCAATATTAATAAGAAAATAGTCTCATCTCACTTAAATGAGGCAAATGTAATAGTTAAAATTCAACATACTTATAAAAAACTAGTGTCATGTACCTGCCATGAACATGACAAAAGGTTAGTCTTCAATAGACTGAAATGTATAAGAGAAGAACCAAGTCTTACATAGAAAAAAAAGGTAGATATGAAAAGAAAAATCACAGAAGAGAGAATGCAAATGGCCACTAAGTATATGAAAAAAGTCGTATCTTAACAGTGAACAACTGTGTTAGTCTGTATCAATCAGAAGACAGAAACAAGGTAGTAATTTAAACAGGGAAAGTTTAATATAAATAATAATTAAGCTATGATAGGAGAATAATAATAAAGATGAAAAGAGAAGGTACCCTAAGGCTGAGGGAAAGAATCCTAACAAGGAAAGGCAGGAATGAGGGTTTCAGAATTCACTGGAGAAGGTGTGGTTGCAGCCCACTGGAGAGAAGTTTGCTGGCTTGCCCAGGCCAGAGCAGGACCACAGATACTGGACAAGCTGGTACAGCCAACCCCCTAGGTGTGGACCAGCTGAGGCAGGTGGGCAGATATGCAGAGGGACTTGGGGCTTTGCCAAAGGGTAAGCACAAAGAAGGAGTCACGGGTTCTGTTCGAGGCACTGTTGGGATTAGGAGCCGGAGGGACCTACTTTGCAGGAACCTAGCATAACTTTGTGTGACGAGACTGCACAAGACAAAGCTCAGGCAAGTGGCTCAGTAGTTGGCCAGCCCAGCAGGGTCCTCTGTATGAGTGTGCACCCAGCTGAAGAGAAGAAATGGAGAGCAGCAATTGGAGCTTCAGGACCGGCTTGCACTGTGGCTCCAGGTTATACCACCACTGCCCAAAGCAAAAGCTAGAGAAGCAAGTGGAGAAATGCTGGAGAAAGCTGCACCCTACAGGCAACCAGCACTGCAGAAACCACTCCAGGCAAAGTAGTGAAGGAAAAAAGCCTGCTCTCCAGTAGCCTGGCCTGTCAGCCTGGAGGAATCAGGAAAGACCCCTTCCTCTTGCAGTGTGTCTCCAGCGCCCTCTACTGACAAAGTATGCCATCATGCAAGCTGCAAAGGAAACATTTCAAGAGTCTATATCTATTTTCACGGAGCGGGCAACCAACAGTGAATGTGGAGCTGAGAGACAGTAAAATAATAACTGACATGCCACCGAAGTACAAAGTAAAATAAATAAATAAATACACATTTTGGCCTATTAGCAAAGATTAAGAAATGATAACATTAAATACTCAATAAATCACCATGAGATGGGGACTCAAACTTCTGGTAAAAATACAAATAGATATAATTTTTCTTGAAGGCAATTTAGTAGTCTGTTTATCCTATAATTCTACTTGTAAGATCCTATCATATGAAAATAACCAGAGATACAAAGACATTCTGCAAAGATATGTTTTATATTGTTATTTATTGTGACAAAAGGAAATAAAAAGCCTAAATGTTCAGAAAATTATTTTAAAAGATGAAAGAGGGAAATAGGCCATGGACGGTGGCTCACGCCTGTAATCCCAGCACTTTAGGAGGCCAAGGTAGGTGGATCACTTGAGGTTGGGATTTCGAGACCAGCCTGGCCAACATGGTGAAACCCTGCCTCTACTAAAAATACAAAAAATGAGCCGGGTGCAATGGCAGGCACCTATAATGCCAGCTACTCGGGAGGCTGAGGCAGGAGAATCGCTTGAACCCGGGAGGCGGAGGTTGCATGAGCCGAGATGGCGCCACTGCTCTCCAGCCTGGACGACAGAGCAAGACTCCGTCTCTAAAAAAAAAAAAAGAGGGAAATAAACATTTATTTGTATATTGTTATGTAGCCATTAAAATTCTGTTTCCAAGTAATTTTAATTACAGGGGTAAATTCTTATATATCTAAATAAGAATATACACATACACATGTTCCAAAATATTTATTATGTACTTAAGGCATATATATTATATATGTATGTGTGTGTATATATATATGTATTTGTGTGTGTGAACACTAATATTTGCATATATATACACACAAGAAATAAAAACATGTTAAAAATGGCTATATCTGCATTGTAGAATTATGAGTGATTCATGTTTTTCTAACTTCCCTATCTGTATTAAGTGTTCTATAGTTTATATTTGTTACTTTTTACATCAGGAAATAGTAAAGTTATTATTTAAAACTTATGAACAAAAAAGTAACAAGCACATGCAAGCACAGAGTTCTACCAAATGCAAAAAATTTCAAATCAATTATTCAAATGAGACATTAACATCACTTCTGTGGTAGTTTTATATCCATAAAGTCTGATTCTTCTCCTTTGAAGAGATGAAGCTTAATCTTCCTCATCCTGAAAATGGGCTGGACTTAGTGACTTACGTCTTTTTATTTTATTTTTAATTGACAAATAATAATTGTATGTATTTATGGGGTACAATATTATATTATTATATATGTATACATTATGGAATTATTAAATCAAGCTAATTAACATATCCATAACCTCTTATAATTTCTTTGTGGTGAGAACATTTAAAAATGTACTCTTTTAGCAATTAGGGACTTACTTTTAATACAGGAAAATGGAAGAGACTGTGAGACTTTGAAGTAGGTCATAAAAGTCACTGTGGCTTCCTCCTTGCTCTCTCTTGGACCACTTGCTCTGGGGGAAGTCAACTGCCATGTCCTGAGCAGCCCTGGAAAGACCTACATGATGAAGAACTGAGACCTTCTATCAAATGCCAGCAGGGAATTGAGGCCTCCTGTCAACAGCCATTTTAGAAGTAGATCTTCCAGCCTCAGTCAAGCCTTCAGATGACTGCAGCCCTGTCTAATAGCTTGACCGTAATTTCATGAGAGACCTTCAGCCAGAAAACCCAAGGAAACCATTCTGGATTCCTCATCCTCAGAAACTGTATGAGATAAGAAGTGTTTGTTGTAGTACGCCGCTAAATTTGGGGCAATTTGTTACATAGCAATGTATAGCTCATACAATTTCTGGGAAAAAAATAGTTTATTTTCGAATCATTTTTGCATAATGCAAGAATATAAACTTGTCACAGAATAATTTATCCTTGTTTTAGGTGGTCCAAATATTTCATTGTCAGTTATATATTAGCTCAAATTAAATTTTAGATAATATATATTATTATTAATGGTAAAGAATGTGTCACATTTATCTTTATAGCTTTTCTGTACCTAATATTGTGTCTTGTGCGTAGGATGTGCTCAATAAAAATTGATTGAATAAATAAGTGAATGAAAGAATAAATGAATGAGTGAAGGAATTATCTGAAATATTTTTATAAAATTCCCCATATGTATGTATTACTTATTACAAGTCTGGTCCCATAGCTGAAAAAATATTAAACATTATATATATATATATGTTTTTCCCTGATATAGTGGTATATTTTATTATCTCTTGGCTCTACTATGAAATATTCAGTTAGGTGTCATTACTGTTTAATTTGGTTTAGGGCTATTTAGATTGGTTTTTGAAACTGAAGGGGAAAGAAGCCCCTTGCAATGCAATTGATGAAGTGATAAAGACAGCAGGTATAACTATTAGGTGGAGGCATATATATGGGAAAGAACAAGAAATAGGATGTAGTTACAGAGGGCAAAACCTTTCAATGACATTCATTTGTCTTCTAAATTAATAACATCTAATACCTATTAGATTGAGCCATTTGAAATTGCCAATATTTGACCTACAAAGGCAATGATTTCATATTGTTCAAACTAATAACAACTTATTTGCTGGGCACTACGTTTAATATTCATTACAATTCCATAAGGAAATTATTCTTTCAACCTCATGCTACAGATAAAGAAAGTAAGCCATGGAGCAGTTAGGAGATTTGCCAAGGTTTTTAGTAGAAGAAATAGGTAGGATTTAAACTTATGGCTCCAGAAGCCATACAGTTAACCACCATAATCTGTGGCTTCCCCCGAACTATGCTTCCCGAATCTGCCATTCTAAAATGTGTCCTCATTTTTAAGTGGAATAATAGTACCTACTTCATTGGACAGTTGGGGGAGTTACAAGAATAGCACATGTAAAGCCTGGCACTTTGCACATAAGAATGTGATAAATATTAGCTATGTTATAATTAAACTTCAGTATATTCCCCAACCACCATCGTAGCCTTATCTTCTACTAAGACTTACTGCCCACAGCTATGTCATTTTTGTCTTAAAACCAGCCAAACTAAATCACTCAGCCTTCCCTGAAACACTGCACACTTTAGCACATCTCTTTCTGTTGAAACATTCCCATTTTCTAGTCCCTGGTTAGGGTCCCTTCTTCCATTACCTTTCCTGGTCTCTGTAACAATGTGTGATCTCAAGCTCCTGTGTACCACAGTTTCAGTTAGCTCTGCTCTTGTGACACCAGAATTTTGAAATTTGCCTTTTATTATAATTCTTTATGTGCTTATATCTTGTATAAATGCATTAGTGATCTGGTGAAATCATATTCATATTTGTATTATTCCTTGTAGTATCTAGCACAGTGTATTGAATGCATTAGGTACTCAGCAAATGTTTATTGGATCTAATTCACTAATGCATATGAATGTGTTGAAGTCACTGAAGTGAGGAAAAATAATTAAACTCAAGGAAAGGGTATTAGAATGATAATTAATTTTTTTATAGTTCTCTAATCAAAATAATTCATTTATTTAAGCACTTAGTTTTACTTTATCTTTTATACAAAAATATCTGGAAAAATAAAAACAAGTCCAAATGATACCCATCAGTTCTTTATGTCTTTTGCAGAAAGATTTCCAAAGAAAAAAAGTACTATCACAAATAATCACTTCAAGCTCAAATTAATTTAAGTGCATTATATTGTATTGGTGCCAATACAGCATCACATATTTAGGGTAAAGATTAAAGGTGAAACCTTTAGGAAGGTAACTTTATTATGAAGCTTATGATTAGGAAGGTAACTTTATTATGAAGCTTATTTCATTCAGTTTGGCAATAAACATTTTCAGTATTGGCATAGACAAAAACTCCAAGTTGCTTTTAGGGTTTTGTTCACTGTGGAAACTTGGCAGACAATTCCCAGCTTGGTGTGAGAGCCCATCACATCTACCTGAGCCCTTTGAAAGCTGTTTGATTTCATGTTTCTGTTTCTGCTCTTGAGAAGAAGAAAGCTTGTTGTTGAGAGAGAGGGGTAATTACGGTGGGTTTTCTGAGGGTTACAATAATTAGATTTCTCTGCTGGGTAAGAAAGGACAATTTCAGTGTAGACTGGCCAGTGTTCTTGAGCAACTTTGTGAGCACCTGAAAATTTATTTTGTTGATTCTTATTTTGAATATTAGATATGTTTGATGATTTATAAGAATAAGTGTAGATCTCATCAAAGATCCTACATTGACATTTTCTGGGATCATTTAAGCTCCCCATAGACACTAGTACTTTTTGATCCATTTGGACCCTTAGGAAAAGCAAACAAACAAATAATTACATTTGTGAGGAAAAAAAAAAGACAAAAAAAAGTAAAAACCTAAATACATATGATCACAAAATAGAAAAATGTCTAAGACTTAGCTGGGAAGGGCAGAACAAATTGGCCAAATAGAAGCCTCCACCAATCATCATTCTTCTCCACCAAACAGGAACACCAAATTTAACAATGATTTACACACACACACACACACACACAAAGAAAAAGAAAAAAAGAAAAAACCTTCATAAGAACCAAAAATCAGATGAGCAATCAAAATACCTGGTTTTAATTTCATATCACTGAAAGAGGCATTAAGAGGGTAGGAAAGACAGTCTTGCAGAAACCACCCATCCTCCATCCCCCAGCAGCTGTATGGTGTGGAGAATCTGTGCACTTGGGAGAAGGAGAGCACAAGGATTATGAGATTTTACATTTAACTTAGTGCTACCTTGTCACAGTAGAAAGCAGAACCATACTGAATTCATCCCATTTCTACCCATGGCGGGAGCATTTAGACAAGCCCTAGCCACAGGGAAATTGCCTGTCTCAGTCATTGGAATCTGAGTTGCAGCAAGCCTCAGAACCATGGGCTGAAGTTCTCTGGGATGCTAAAAAAAACATGAAATGCAGTCTAGACCACAAGGATTGCAACTTCTAGGCAAGCCCTAGTGCTGTGCTGGGGTCAGAGGCAGTGGATTTAAGCAGCACAAAACCTTGTGAGACACCAGCCAGGGTGGCTAAGGGAGTGCTTGCACACTCTTCTCCCAACCATAGGCTGCACAGCTTACAACAACTAAAGTGACTCCTTCCTTGTGCTTGAGGAGGGAAGAAGGAAGAATCAAAAGAATTTTGACTTGCATCTTGGTTACTAGCTCACCGACAATAGGATGGAGCACCAGGCAGAGTCATGAGACCCCCATTCCAGGCCCTAAACCCTGACAACATTTCTAGACACTCCCTGGGCCAGAAGTGAACCCACTGCCTAGAAGGGAAGGACACAGTCATGGCAGGATTCATCATCTGCTGACTAAAGGGTCCCTGGGCCCTTTATAACCAGCAATGATACTCAAGTAGTATGCTGTAGGTTTGGTTGAGACTCTGAAATGTGCTGGCTTCAGGCGAGACTGAGCACGTTTCCAGCTACGGTGGCTATGGTGAGAGACTCCTTCTACATGAGAAAAGCAGAGGGAAAAGTAAAGGGGACTCTGTTTTGTACTAGCTTGGCCACAGTGGAGCAGAGTATCAAGCAGGCTCGTGGGGTCCCCAGTTTTAGGCCTCGACACTTGGACAGCATTTCTGGACTGGTCCTGGGCCAGATGGGAGCCCACTGCCCTGAATTGTGAGTCATTGGCCTGGCAGCATTACCACAAGCTGACAGAAGAGGACTTGGGCCTTAAATGAACATCAGTGGTAGCCTGGCATTAGTCCCTGTAGGCCTGTGGTGGTGGTGGCCACAGGGAGATATTCCTTTGCCTGTGGAAAGGGGAGGGAGGAGGAGAGGGATGGACACTGTCTCATTATTTGAATGCCAGCTTAGCTACAGAATAAAAATCATCAGGTAGATTTCTAACATTTTTGATCCCAGGCCTTGGCTCCTGGACAGCATCTCTGGACTCACCCATGGCCTGGGGGAGCTCACTGCCATGAAGGGAAGGACACAAGCCTGCCTGGCTTCAGTATCTGCTGATTATACAGCCCTAGGGCATTGAGTGAATATAGGCAGCAACCAGGTGGTAACTACCGTGGACTTGGGTGAGACCCAGTGCTCTGCTGGCTTCAGGTCTGATGCAGTGCAGTCGAGTAATGGTGGCCACAGGGGTGCTTGTTTCATTTCACCCTAAGCTCCAGGCAGCTCAGCACAGAGAGAGAGAGAGACTCTGTTTGGGGAAAAGTAAGGGAAGAGAACAAGAATCTATGCCTGGTAATCCAGAGAATTCTTCTGGATCTCTTCCAAGACCACCAAAGCAATACTTCCACAGGCCGGCAAGAAACACAACATTGCCGGGCTTAGGGTATCCCCTAATGCAGATTGGCTTAAATCATAACACTCAAGTCCCTTTGAATACCTGGCAAGCCTTCTCAAGAAAGATGGGTACAAACAAACCCAGACTTTAAATACTACAATAAATACCCAACTCTTCAATATTCAGACACTGACAAACATACGCAAGCATCAAGCTCAGCCAGGAAAACATGGGGAAAACATGACCTCCCCAAATGAACTAAATAAGGGACCAGGGACAAATCCTGGAGAAACAGAGATATGTGACCTTTCAGACAGAGTATGCAAAATAGTTGTTTTGAAGAAACTCAAAGAAAGTCAAGATAACACAGAGTAGGAATTCAGAATTTTATCAGATAAATCTAACAAAGAGATTGAAATAATTAAAAACAATCCAACAGAAATTCTGGAGATCGCAGGAGAATGGCGTGAACCCGGAAGGCGGAGCTTGCAGTGAGCGGAGATCGCGCCACAGCACTCCCGCCTGGGCGACAGAACGAGACTCCGTCTCAAAAAAAAAAAAAAAAAAAAAAAAAAAAAAGAAATTCTGGAGATCAAAAATGCAACTGACATACTGAAGAATGCATTAGAGTGTCTTAATAGCAGAATTGATCAAGCAGAAGAAAAAAATGAAACAGATCTACAAGATCTAGAAAAATAAGCTCAAAACAGAAAATCTAATTGTTGTTGTCCTTAAAGAGGATTAAGAGAACGAGATGGGGTAGAAAATTTATTCAACAGGGTAATAATAGAGAAATTCCCAAACCTAGAGAAAGATATCAATATCCATGTACAAGAAGGTTATAGAACACCAGGCAGATTTAACCCAAAGAAGACTACCTCAAAAGATTTAATAATCGAACTCCCAAAGGTCAAGGATAACGAAAGGATTCTAAAAGCAGCAAGATAAAAGAAACAAATAACATGCAATGAAGCTCTATCTGGCAGCAGATTTTTCAGTGGAAATCCTACAGGCCAGGAGTGAGTGGCATTACATATTTAAAATGCTGAAGGAAAATACTGTTACCCTAGAATAGTATATCTAGTAATAATATCCTTCAAACATCAAGAAAAATTAAACACTTTCCCAAACAGACAAAAGCTGAGAGATTTTATTAGCGTCACAACTCTCCTACAAGAAATGCTAAAGGGAGTTCTACAACCAGAAAACAAAGGATATTAATCAACATTAAAAATCTTCTGAAGGTACAAAACTCACTGGTGATAGTATGTACATAGAAAAAGATAGAATATCATAACACTATTATTGTGGTATGTAAACTACTCTTAACTAGAGAGACTAAAAGATGAACCAATCAAAAATAATAACTACAATAAATTTTCAAGACATAGTACAATAAGACATAAAGGAAAACAACAAAAAGTTTAAAAGTGAGGGAATACAATTAAAGTATAGAGATTTTATTAGTTTTCTTTTTGTTTGCTTATGCAATCAGTAGTTAAGTTGTCATAAGTTTAAAATAATAGGTTAAAAGATACAGTTTGCAAGCAACATGGAATCTCAAATCAAAAATCATACAATGGATACATGAAAAAATAAAAAACAAGAAATTTAATCATACTACCAGAGAAAATCATCTTCACTAAAAAAAAGACAGGATGCAGGATGGAAGAAAAGGAAGAAGAGAACACCGCAAAAGGGCTGGAAAACAAACAACGAAATGACAAGGGTTAAGTCCTTACTTATCAAAAAAAAAAAAAACGTTGAATGTAAATGGACTAAACTCTCCAATCAAAAGACATAGTGTGGCTGAACGCATGTAAAAAAAAAAAAAAAAAAAAAACAAGATGCAATGATCTGAATGATCTGTTCCCTACAAAAAACACACTTCACCTGTAAAGGCACATTTACATTCAAAATAAAGGGATGGAAAATATATTCCATGCCAATGAAAAGCATAAAAGAGCTGGCATAGCTAGTTGGCATAGCTAGAATACACCTCCTGCTCAGCATATAATCATCCTCAAGACAGACCATGTGTTAGGTCACAAAACAAGTCTGAAAATATGCAAAAAATTGAAATAATATCAAGCAACTTCTCTGATAACAATAGAATAAAACTAGAAATCAATAACAGAGTAATTTTGAAAACTGTACAAGCACATGGAAATTAACATATTCCTGAATGACCAGTGGGTCAATGAAGAAATTAAGAAGGAAGCTGAAAAATTTCTTGAAACAAGTGATAATGGAAATGCGACATACAAAAACCTGTGGGAAGGCAGTGAAAGCAGGACTAAGAGTGATATTTATAGATATAAGCACCTACATCAAAAAAAGAAAAAAAATTTCCAATAAATAACCTAACAATGCATTTTAAGAATTAAAAAAACAGGAGCAACCAAACCCAAAATTAGGAAAGAAAAGAAATAATAAAAATTAGAGGAGAAATAAATAAAATTAAAACTAAGAAAACAATACAAAAGATGAATTAAACAAAGTTTGTGTTTTTAAAAGATAGATAAAATTGACAAACCTTTACCCAGACTAATTAATAAAAAGAGAGAGATGACCAAAATAAATAAAATCAGAGATGAAAAAGGAGACATTAAAACCAATACCACAGAAATTCAAAGGGTCATAGATGGCTACTTGGAGAAACTATATCCTAGTAACTTGGAAAATCTAGAAGAAATGGATAAATTCCCAGATATATACAATCTACCAAAGTTGAACCATAAAGAAATCCAAAACCTGAGCAAACCAATAGCAAGTAGTAAGACCAAAGCTGTAATAAAAGTCTTGCAGCAAAGAAAAGCCTGGGACCCAATGGCTGTGCTGTGAAATTTCCCAAACATTTAAATAACTAACACCAATCCTACTCAAACTATTCTGAAAAATAAAGGAGGAGGGCATACTTTGAAACTCATTCTATGGGGCCATTATTACCCTGATACCAAAACCAGACAAGATATTAAAAAAAAAAAAACCCACAACACTACAGGCCAATATCCCTGATGAATATTGATATAAAGATCCTCAACAAAATACTAGCAAATGAAATTCATCAACACATTAAAGAGATCACTTATCATGACCAAGTGGGATTTATTACAGAGATGCAAGGATGATTCAACATATGCAAATCAATCAATGTGATACTTCATATCAACAGAATGAAGAACAAAAACCAAAGATCTTTTCAATTGATACTGAAAGAGCATTTGATAAAATTCAACATCCCTTCATGATAAAAACCCTCCAAAAACTGGATGTAGAAGGAACTTACCTCAACATAATAAAAAGCCATATATGACAGATCCACAGCTAGGATCATACTGAATGGAGAAAAACTTAAAGCCTTTCCCCTAAGATGTGGAACGAAACAAGGATGCTCATTTTACCACTGTTATTCAACATAGTACTGGAAGTCCTAGCTAGAGCAATCAGACAAGAGAAAGAAATAAAGGACATCCAATTTGGAAAGGAAGAAATCAAATTATCCATCTTTCAAATGATATAATCTAATATTTGGAAAAACCTAAAGATTCCACCAAAAAACTATCAAAACTGATAAACAAATTCAGTAAAGTTGCAAAATACAAAATCAACATACAAAAGTCAGTAACATTTCTATATGTCGACAGTGAACAATTTGAAAAATAAATCAAGAAAATAATCTCAAATAACTACAAATAAAATAAAATACCTAGGAATTAGCCAAATAAGTGAAAGTTATCTGCAATGAAATCCATAATATACTGATGCAATAAATTGAACAGCATACCAAAAAATGGAACACTATTCCATGTTCATAAATTGGAAGAATCAATATTGTTAAAATGTCCATACTACCCAAAGCAATCTACAGATTCAACACAATCCTTATCAAAATATAAATGACATTTTTCACAAAAATAGAAAAAAATTCTAAAATGTATATGGAACCATAAAAGACCCAGAATAGCCAAAACTATCATAAGCAAAAAGAACAAAACTGGAGGAATCACAATTACCTTGACTTCAAATTATTCTACAGAGGTATAGTAAACAAAATGGCATAGTACTGGCATAAAAGCAGACAAATAAATCAATGGAACAGAATACAGAATGCAGAAATAAATCCAAACATATACAGTAATCTCATTTTTGACAAAGGTGCCAAGAACATCAACTGGGGAAAGGACACTGTCTTTAACAAATGATACTGGGAAAACTAGACATTCATATGCAGAAAATGAAACTAGATTTCTAACTCTCACCATATACAAACATCAAATCAAAATGGATTAAGACATAAATCTAAGACCTCAAATTCTGAAACTACTGCAAGGAAACTGAGGAAGCTCTCTAGGACATTGAACTAGGCAAAGATTTCTTGAGTAATACCCCATAAGCATAGGTGACGAGAGCAAAAATGGATAAATGGAATGACATCAAGTTACTTCTGCACAGCAAAGGAAACAATCAACAAAGTGAAGAGACAAACCACAGAATGGAAGAAAATATTTGAAAACTACCTATCTGACAAGAGATTAACAACAAGAATATATAAGGAGCTCAAACAATTATCATAATCTGATTCAAAATGGTCAAAAGATCTGAATACATATTTCTCAAAAGAAGACCTACAAGTGGCAAACAGATATATGACAAACTACTCAACATCACTGATCATCAGAGAAATGCAAATCAAAGCTATAATGAGATATCATCTCACCCATTTAATATGGCTTTTATCCAAAAGACAGGCAGTAACAAATGCCGGTGGAGGATGTGGAGAAAAGGGAAACCTTGTACACAGTTGATGGGAATGTACATTAGTACAACCACTATAGAGAACATTTTGGAAGTTCTTCAAAAAACTAAACGCAGAGCTACCATCCAATCCACGAATCCCACTCCTAAAAGAAAGGAAAGCATTATATCGAAGAGATATCTGCACTCCTTTGTTTATTGCAGCACTTTTCGCAATAGCCAAGATTTGGAATCAACCTAAAAGGCCAAAACCAGATGAATGGATAAAGAAAATGTGGTATGGAGTTCTATTCAGTGATTAAAAAAAAGAATGAGATCCAGTCATTTGCAACAACATGGATGGAACTGGAGGTTATTTTGTTAAGTGAAATAAGCCAAGCATAGAAAGACAAACATTGCATGTTCTCACTTATTTGTGGGAGCTAAAAATTAAAGCAATTGACCTCGTGGAGACAGAGATTATAAAGCTGTTACCAATGACTAGGAAGGGTAGTGGAAAAAATGGGGGACAAGTTGAGATGGTTAATGGATACAAAAATAGAGTTAGAATGAATAAGACCTTGTATTTGCTAGCACAACAGGTTGACTAGTCAAAAATGATTTAATTGTATATTTAAAAATAATGAAAAAATATAATTTGATTGTTTGAAATACAGAAGATAATGCTTGAGGTGATGGATACTCCCCCACCCTTGGCAAAAAGACTTACTATCACAGCCTGAGATGGGTTCTAATGTACCCTTTGATCAAGGTCTTAGGCATTCCCACAGTGGTAGTCCTTTAGCTTAAAGGCTTAATGAACTGTAATTCCTCTTCTACTTTCAGGGCTCCAATTGTAATAAATATAAATTTGCTTCCTCCTCACAAAAATGTGAGACTGGGCTGGGTGCGGTGGCTCACGCCTGTAATTGCAGCAAGTTGGGAGGTCAAGGCCAGGGGATCATCTGAGGTCAGGAGTTCAAGACCAGCCTGGCCAACTTGGGGAAACCCCGTCTCTACTAAAAATACAAAAAATTAGCTGGGCGTGGTGGCATGGCCTGTAGTCCCAGCTACTCGGGAGGCTGAAGCACAAGAATTGTTTGAACCTGGAAGGCAGGGGTCACAGTGAGCCAAGATGTCGCCACTGCACTCCAGCCTGGGCGACAGAGCGAGACTCCATCTCAAAAAAAAAAAAAAGTGATACTGTTTTGCTGCAGGGTAAAAAAGACCATCAACAACGGCATCTCACTGAATTTTAAACTATTCTAGGCTATTCCCACGTATCACTACATAGTTAGATACAAGAACTCAAGAGGAACAAAACTGCTAACATTAATCATAGCATCTCTAAGCCTCTCTCTCTCTATATATATATTGATATAGTCTTCTATATTAAGCCCAGAAGTTTTCTCCAATTTTTACTTGTATAGTATTTCTTCAAATAAAAATCATTTATAAAAGCCTAGACAGACAGATAAAAGTGAGATCTTCATTAGCTAAAGTTTGAATGGGACTCATAGAATGACACTGTTAAGGTATGTACACACACACACACACACACACACACACACACACACACCCTGGGGGATAGCTGACTTACACTCCTACGAGTCCCTAGGATCCTGTGAAAAATTGTTAGAAATTTGTAAATTTAATCCTTCCTCCCACTTTCAAACAGTACCACACTAAATTATTTGGGCAGATTATAACCTATTTAAGCTTGATTTTTAAAATACCTCTGGAGTTTAAGGTATCCTTGCTTCTTTGGCAATACATGACTTCCAAAATCAATCTTCTTGGGAAATTTCCCCATAAGCTTAACCCAAGATCTTTATATTTAATCTTGCCTATTTTCTCTGAACCTAGCAATAGCGATGAAAGTAATCTTTCTCTATATTTGTCCTTCCTGACTTCATGTATTCCATAGTTCCTTGATAAATCTCTAATTGTTATAACAAATGCTGTAAAAAAAATACTTGAGGCTAAGGTAAGGCAGAAGGAAGTCCTCTTAGAAGAGTACATTAATAAATGAGGAATTCCCTGCATTAAATATAAACAGGAATAATCACTTCCCAGTCGGAAATAGGCCCATGCCAGATTTTGTTATATAAAACATTGACTCGTATGATGGAATGTAGAGGACAGAGAAAAGAAAGGACAGATATTCCTTATGCTGAGTCCAAATTTTCCGCTATTTAATTTCCTAGAATTCTGGGCCTGTTGGGAGACTGCTAACATGTCACCAATCCTAAGACTTTGTAATAAACATTACCGGTCTATCCCTTCATGTCCCTGGTAACATGATTTTCAATCCCTTTTCCGTTCTGAATACTCTCTGGACATAACAGTTTTCCAACATACTCTTAAAATATGTTGTCTCTCATCTCTTCTGAAATCTCAATGCAATAATGGCAAAAAGATACAAAAAGAGAATAAAGCCTGGACAATGCTTTTAAAAAATGCACCATCAGTGTAAAAGATGTTGATGGACTTCTGGGGGGAAAACTGGAGAAAGCAATTTGAGATGATATTGACCAATATATTAAAGTGGAGAAATAGGAGCTCAGAATAGTAACATAAAAAGATATATCCGCAGTAAAAGACCAGAAAGGCATTGATTTCTGAGCCACTTTGATTCTTGTCTGGTGCCCAGCACTTTTCAAACTTCCCAAAGATGCCTGAAGCCACCAATATCATTTCAATATATTCATATTTACTTAGGTTAGCCAGAATTTAATTCCATTATTTATCATTTTAAAACCCCAACTGACATACCCGCAAAAAATACTGTGCAAATAGATGGACAAAATAATCAGTATAATGGTCCAATTATATGGACAAAATAATATTTTAAAATGCAAGGAACCAAAAAGTTTGTCTCCCAGTTGCCTATTTTGAAAAAAAAAAAACATATGTACATACATAACTTAAGAACATAGCCTAGCAAAACTTAAAAGAATCCAAGAATACAATATAAAATAATAGAAATAGTCAAATTTACTAAGGATTACACTGAAAATAAACCCTATGTAAATGGTCACTAATCTAACCTAAAAATAACAGGATCCAAACTGAAAGATAAATCAGAAGATGTTTTGAAATATAGCCTTAAGATGATGGAATATTCTATTACAGAAATTATATAATTAAGAACTTGAACTATGTTAGTGGTATAATGAAAATAAGTGCTTTGTGCTTTCTTTGTCAACATGGAAAAAGAAAGGCAAGTAAAAACTCAAAAAAAGGAAGGACATACTAGAAAATCATGTTCAAATTGCAAAAGTAAATACATGTGGCATGGTTTCCGCAGTTGATAGTAGGTAGTAGGTAGAGACTTTATTTAAACTTGACATCTGTAATGTTCTCTTATGAGAGATACAGGACAAGTCATTGACCCATAGGTTAATCCATTTATAGAACCTCTGTAAATAATATTCCAAGTAAACACCCTATTGAGTCTACTATTTAATGGTTTCTACATTTTAGCAGCCACCTATTAATAACAAACTATAGAAATGATCCCTGAAAGTATACTCTTAGGAGCCACCTATTAATAAAGCACATAGATGTTATATTTACAAAGCAAGATGTATAAATTTAAATAATGTGAATGAAAGTAATGGTATAGCTAGAAAAATAAAAGATAGGAAATATTGCAAATAAACCAAAGGAAGTTTTGACATGTTAATTATGTTTTGGACAATCAGTTAGATGCTGACTACAGTTGAAAGACCAAGAAATAGAATACAACCAATAAAACAATTAACAATATTTTAACTAAAAATTATTGAGAGAGAGTCTGTGAATAGTGTGGCTGAACTTAGCATAAGTTCACTGTGTTTCTTATGTGATGACTGTATTTTAAGAAACTATAAAGTGATGATGGTAATCACAGAAGAACTAAAAGGGAAAACTTGAAATTGGTTGTTTCTGGGAAATGGAAAATGTGTTCTACTCGTCTATTTGAACTTTTACCATGTTCATAAACTGAGCATAGTACCTCAGAATGATCTGGCTAGCATAGGCCAGGATTATCAGTTTGCTTAATCTGGTTCTTTAATTTTTCCCTTCAGAACTGAGTCCCAAGATTGCAGTAGCTTTGATAGTAGACCTATCAAATGTGGGAACTCATTGTTAAGTATGGACTTAAACCAAAAGGTCTTCTCACATGTGCTTCTGTTAAGCTACATCTAAAAGCAAAACAGTTTATTCTTATTACATTTCATGTTATTTTCAAACCATCATTTCAATCTGACCAAATTTCTGCTAAATCATAATAACTTTGTCCTATATTCACATTCTGTTGGCTAATAAATACCTAATAAGCAAGGAATAATAGTTATCTTTCGTCCTTGACCTGAAAGAATTTCTGGGAGTGGAATTTTCTCCTTGATCCAGTTGATGGCTATGGTTCTCATTATTTCATGAAATGTGAGATGTCTGCCTCTTCTTTGAATGGTTCAAATTCACCCTGGCGTATTGGTATATTAAGTGAATAAGCTATACACACTAGGCTATTATACCCTGTGTAAGTGAAGTAGACTGAGCTGCTCATTTTTCTCATTCTTTACATTTTCTTCTTACTCTTGTAAATATGCCAATATTGACATTGGTTCTTTTTTTCCTCCTTAAAATTATCCTTCATTCTTGGCTTACTTCTTAAAATATGTCTTCTCTCTTGTCTAAAAATGCTTTCTCCTCCCCAAATCCATAGTAGAAAGGCAAAGTTTAAGCCTGCCCACTCTCTCTTTTAACAGAAAAGAACAGGTTTGCATAATTGACTATTAGTATCTCAGAAAAAAAAAACAAAGAAAATGCTTTGTAGGTCCCTGGAGCAGTTAGTCTTTTAGAGGTATTGGAACACCTACAGACTGCCAGAAGCTGAACCTCCTCACTTGGGGATCTTGGCTCCATGGAGATGCCTGGGAAGCTACTAGGTATTATTCCTGTATACCATCGTCAAACCTAGACTTCTTGGGCAAACATAAAAGCCAGAGACTTACACAAATTTTCATGATAAGATTCTAAAATATTTTGATCATCTATTCCCACCGTTTTTGCTAAACCTTTTCTTTTTTTATTATATTTTAAGTTCTGGGTTACATGTGCAGACTGTGCAGTTTCGTTACATAGGTATACACGTGCTATGGTGGTTTGCTGCACCCGTCAACCCATCACCTACATTAAGTATTTCTCCTAATGTTATCCCTCCCCCAGTACCCACCCCCTGACAGGCCCCAGTGTGTGATGTTCCCCACCCTGTGTCCATGTGTTCTCATTGTTAACTCCCACTTATGAGTGAGAACATGTGGTGTTTGGTTTTCTCATCTTGTGATAGTTTGCTGAGAATGATGTTAACCTTTTCATATACTATAAGGTTATTTTTTAAATATTCCAGTCTTCTTATCCTATTTAATATCCTCAAATTCTTTCATTTTCTTTTATAAACATGTTATTTTTCTAGCTGTTTCAATATTTATTTTGCCATACATGGTTCCAACTCCTCAATCATTGGGAGGGGAATGGGGAACAATTTGTGATTGTCTATCTCCACCTTAGAAAAGTGGTTCCTAAAGTGTGGTTCCCAAATCAGCAGCATCAGTATCACCAGGGAACACGTTAGAAATGTAAATTATCAGGCCCCAGCCCAGATGAAATCAGATGAATCAGAAATTGTGTGAATGGAGCACATTCATGTGGTTTTACACACCTTACAGGTGATTCTGATGCACACTAAAATTTGAGAATTATTGCCTTAGAATAATCATACAAAGGTAAACCCAACCAAACTTTAGAGATTATGCATAATTATACATATTAAGCATTTTATCTGAAGATGTAGTTACAGAAAATTATAATTAGCATGATATAATCTTCAGATAACTTCTATTTTCTCTTTTAATTTGGGGGAAAATCCTAAAAGAAAAGAAAGGATAAAGATGGAAACAATTTTGAGATTTTTTTGTTTTGTTTTTTTATTTTTTATTTTATTATTATTATACTTTAAGTTTTAGGGTACATGTGCACAATGTGCAGGTTAGTTACATATGTATACATGTGCCATGCTGGTGTGCTGCACCCATTAACTTGTCATTTAGCATTAGGTATATCTCCTAATGCTATCCCTCCTCCCTCCCCCGACCCCACAACAGTCCCCAGGGTGTGATGTGCCCCTTCCTGTGTCCATGTGTTCTCATTGTTCAATTCCCACCTATGAGTGAGAATATGCGGTGTTTGGTTTTTTGTTCTTGAGATAGTTTACTGAGAATGATGATTTCCAATTTCATCCATGTCCCTACAAAGGACATGAACTCATCATTTTTTATGGCTGCATAGTATTCCATGGTGTATATGTGCCACATTTTCTTAATCCAGTCTATCATTGTTGGACATTTGGGTTGCTTCCAAGTCTTTGTTATTGTGAGTAGTGCCGCAATAAACATACGTGTGCATGTGTCTTTATAGCAGCATGATTTATAGTCCTTTGGGTATATACCCAGTAATGGGATGGCTGGGTCAAATGGTATTTCTAGTTCTAGATCCCTGAGGAATCACCACACTGACTTCCACAATGGTTGAACTAGTTTACAGTCCTACCAACAGTGTAAAAGTGTTCCTATTTCTCCACATCCTCTCCAGCACCTGTTGTTTCCTGACATTTTAATGATTGCCATTCTAACTGGTGTGAGATGGTATCTCATTGTGGTTTTGATTTACATTTCTCTGATGGCCAGTGATGATGAGCATTTTTTCATGTGTTTTTTGGCTGCATAAATGTCTTCTTTTGAGAAGTGTCTGTTCATGTCCTTTGCCCACTTTTTGATGGTGTTGTTTGTTTTTTTCTTGTAAATTTGTTTGAGTTCATTGTAGATTTTGGATATTAGCCCTTTGTCAGATGAGTAGGTTGCAAAATTTTTCTCCCATTTTGTAGGTTGCCTGTTCACTCTGATGGTAGTTTCTTTTGCTGTGCAGAAGCTCTTTACTTTAATGAGATCCCACTTGTCAATTTTGGCTTTTGTTGCCATTACTTTTGGTGTTTTAGACATGAAGTCCTTGCCCATGCCTATGTCCTGAATGGTAATGCCTAGGTTTTCTTCTAGGGTTTTTATGGTTTCAGGTCTAACGTTTAAGTCTTTAATCCATCTTGAATTAATTTTTGTATAAGGTGTAAGGAAGGGATCCAGTTTCAGCTTTCTACATATGGCTAGCCAGTTTTCCCAGCACCATTTATTAAATAGGGAATCCTTTCCCCATTGCTTATTTTTCTCAGGTTTGTCAAAGATCAGATAGTTGTAGATATGCGGCGTTATTTCTGAGGGCTCTGTTCTGTTCCATTGATTTATATCTCTGTTTTGGTACCAGTACTATGCTGTTTTGGTTACTGTAGCCTTGTAGTATAGTTTGAAGTTAGGTAGCATAATGCCTCCAGCTTGGTTATTTTGGCTTAGGATTGACTTGGCGATGTGGGCTCTTTTTTGGTTCCATATGAACTTTCAAGTAGTTTTTTCCAATTCTGTGAAGAAAGTCATTGGTAGCTTGATGGGGATGGCATTGAATCTATAAATTACCTTGGGCAGTATGGCCATTTTCACGATACTGATTCTTCCTACCCATGAGCATGGACTGTTCTTCCATTTGTTTGTATCCTCTTTTATTTCATTGAGCAGTGGTTTGTAGTTCTCCTTGAAGAGGTCCTTCATGTCCCTTGTAAGTTGGATTCCCAGGTATTTTATTCTCTTTGAAGCAATTGTGAATAGGAGTTCACTCATGATTTGGCTCTCTGTTTGTCTGTTATTGGTGTATAAGAATGCTTGTGATTTTTGTACATTGATTTTGTATCCTGAGACTTTGCTGAATTTGCTTATCAGCTTAAGGAGATTTTGGGCTGAGACAATGGGGTTTTTTAGATACACAATCATGTCATCTGCAAACAGGGACAATTTGACTTCCTCTTTTCCTAATTGAATACCCTTTATTTCCTTCTCCTGCCTAATTGCCCTGGCCAGAATTTCCAACACTATGTTGAATAGGAGTGGTGAGAGAGGGCATCCCTGTCTTGTGCCAGTTTTCAAAGGGAATGCTTCCAGTTTTTGCCCATTCAGTATGATATTGGCTGTGGGTTTGTCATAGATAGCTCTTATTATTTTGAAATACGTCCCATCAATACCTAATTTATTGAGAGTTTTTAGCATGAAGGGTTGTTGAATTTTGTCAAAGGTTTTTTCTGCATCTATTGAGATAATCATGTGGTTTTTGTCTTTGGCTCTGTTTATATGCTGGATTACATTTATTGATTTGCGTATATTGAACCAGCCTTGCATCCCAGGGATGAAGCCCACTTGATCATGGTGGATAAGCTTTTTGATGTGCTGCTGGATTCGGTTTGCCAGTATTTTATTGAGGATTTTTGCATCAATGTTCATCAAGGATATTGGTCTAAAATTCTCTTTTTTGGTTGTGTCTCTGCCCAGCTTTGGTATCAGGATGATGCTGGCCTCATATAATGAATTAGGGAGGATTCCCTCTTTTTCTACTGATTGGAATAGTTTCAGAAGGAATGGTACCAATTCCTCCTTGTACCTCTGGTAGAGTTCAGCTGTGAATCTATCTGGTCCTGGACTCTTTTTGGTTGGTAAGCTATTGATTATTGCCACAATTTCAGAGCCTGTTATTGGTCTATTCAGAGATTCAACTTCTTCCTGGTTTAGTCTTGGGAGGGTGTATGTGTCAAGGAATTTATCCATTTCTTCTAGATTTTCTAGTTTATTTGCATAGAGGTGTTTGTAGTATTCTCTGATGGTAGTTTGTATTTCTGTGGGATCAGTGGTGATATCCCCTATATCATTGTTTATTGCGTCTATTTGATTCTTCTCTGTTTTCTTCTTTATTAGTCTTGCTAGCAGTCTATCAATTTTGTTGATCCTTTCAAAAAACCAGCTCCTGGATTCATTAATTTTTTGAAGGGTTTTTTGTGTCTCTATTTCCTTCAGTTCTGCTCTGATTTTAGTTATTTCTTGCCTTCTGCTAGCTTTTGAATGTGTTTGCTCTTGCTTTCCTAGTTCTTTTACTTGTGATGTTAGGATGTCAATTTTTGATCTTTCCTGCTTTCTCTTGGGGGCATTTAGTGCTATAAATTTCCCTCTACACACTGCTTTGAATGTGTCCCAGAGATTCTGGTATGTTTTGTCTTTGTTCTCATTGGTTTCAAAGAACATCTCTATTTCTGCCTTCATTTCATTAGGTACCCAATAGTCATTCAGGAGCAGGTTGTTCAGTTTCCATGTAGTTGAGTGGTTTTGAGTGAGTTTCTTAATCCTGAGTTCTAGTTTGATTGCACTGTGGTCTGAGAGACAGTTTGTTACAATTTCTGTTCTTTTACATTTGCTGAGGAGAGCTTTACTTCCAACTATGTGGTCAATTTTGGAATAGGTGTGGTGCGGTGCTGAAAAAAATGTATGTTCTGTTGATTTGGGGTGGAGAGTTCTGTAGATGTCTATTAGGTCTGCTTGGTGCAGAGCTGAGTTCAATTCCCAGTTATCCTTGTTAACTTTCTGTCTCGTTGATCTGTCTAATGTTGATAGTGGGGTGTTAAAGTCTCCCATTATTAATGTGTGGGAGTCTAAGTCTCTTTGTAGGTCACTCAGGACTTGCTTTATGAAACTGGGTGCTCCTGTATTGGGTGCAGATATATTTAGGATAGTTAGCTCTTCTTGTTGAATTGATCCCTTTACCATTATGTAATGGCCTTCTTTGTCTCTTTTGATCTTTGTTGGTTTAAACTCTGTTTTATCAGAGACTAGGATTGCAACCCCTGCCTTTTTTTTGTTTTCCATTTGCTTGGTAGATCTCCCTCCATCCTTTTATTTTGAGCCTATGTGTGTCTCTGCATGTGAGATGGGTTTCCTGAATACAGCACACTGATGGGTCTTGACTCTTTATCCAATTTGCCAGTCTGTGTCTTTTAATTGGAGCATTTAGTCCATTTACATTTAAAGTTAATATTGTTACGTGTGAATTTGATCCTGTCATTTTGATGCTAGCTGGTTATTTTGCTCGTTAGTTGATGCAGTTTCTTCCTAGCCTCGATGGTCTTTACAACTTGGCATGATTTTGCAGTGGCTGGTACCAGTTTTTCCTTTCCATGTTTAGTGCTTCCTTCAGGAGCTCTTTTAGGGCAGGCCTGTTGGTGACAAAATCCCTCAGCATTTTCTTGTGTGTAAAGGATTTTATTTCTCCTTCACTTATGAAACTTAGTTTGGCTGGATATGAAATTCTGGGTTGAAAATTCTTTTCTTTAAGAATGTTGAATATTGGCCCCCACTCTCTTCTGGCTTGTAGAGTTTCTGCCGAGAGATCCGCTGTTAGTCTGATGGGCTTCCCTTTGTGGGTAACCCGACCTTTCTCTCTGCCTGTCCTTAACATTTTTTCCTTCATTTCAACTTTGGTGAATCTGACAATTATGTGTCTTGGAGTTGCTCTTCTCAAGGAGTATCTTTGTGGCATTCTCTGTATTTCCTGAATCTGAATGTTGGCCTGCCTTGCTAGATTAGGGAAGTTCTCCTGGATAATATCCTGCAGTGTTTTCCAACTTGGTTCCATTCTCCCCGTCACTTTCAGGTACACCAATCAGATGTAGATTTGGTCTTTTCACATAGTCCCATATTTCTTGGAGGCTTTGTTCGTTTCTTTTTATTCTTTTTTCTCTCAACTTCCCTTCTCACTTCATTTCATTCATTTCATCTTCCATCACTGATACCCTTTCTTCTAGTTGATCGCATTGGCTCCTGAGGCTTCTACATTCTTCATGTAGTTCTTGAGCCTTGGCTTTCAGCTCCATCAGCTCCTTTAAGCACTTCTCTGTATTGCTTATTCTAGTTATACATTTGTCTAAATTTTTTTCAAAGTTTTCAACTTCTTTGCCTTTGGTTTGAACTTCCTCCTGTAGCTCTGAGTAGTTTCATCATCTGAAGCCTTCTTCTCTCCACTCGTCAAAGTCATTCTCCATCCAGCTTTGTTCCGTTGCTGGTGAGGAACTGTGTTCCTTTGGAGGAGGAGAGGAACTCTGCTTTTTAGAGTTCCAGTTTTTCTGCTCTGTTTTTTCCCCATCTTTGTGGTTTTATCTACTTTTGGTCTTTGATGATGGTGACGTACAGATGGGTTTTTGGTGTGGATGTCCTTTCTGTTTGTTAGTTTTCCTTCTAACAGACAGGACCCTCAGCTGCAGGTCTGTTGGAGTTTCCTAGATGTCCACTCCAGACTCTGTTTGCCTGGGTAACAGCAGCATTGGCTGCAGAACAGCGGATTTTCGTGAACCACGAATGCTGCTGTCTGATCGTTCCTCTGGAAGTTTTGTCTCAGAGGAGTACCCAGCCATGTGAGGTGTCAGTCTGCCCCTACTCGGGGGTGCCTCCCAGTTAGGCTGCTCAGGGGTCAGGGGTCAGGGACCCACTTGAGGAGGCAGTCTGCCGGTTCTCAGATCTCCAGCTGCATGCTGGGAGAACCACTGCTCTCTTCAAAGCTGTCAGACAGGGATATTTAAGTCTGCAGAGGTTACTGCTGTCTTTTTGTTTGTGTGTGCCCTGCTCCCAGAGGTGGAGCCTACAGAGGCAGGTAGGCCTCCTTGAGCTGTGGTGGGCTCCACCCAGTTCGAGCTTCCCGGCTGCTTTGTTTACCTAAGCAAGCCTGGGCAATGGTGTGCGCCCCTCCCCCAGCCTCGCTGCCGCCTTGCAGTTTGATCTCAGACTGCTGTGCTAGCAATCGGCGAGACTCCGTGGGCATAGGACCCTCCAAGCCAGGTGCAGGATATAATCTCCTGGTGTGCCGCTTTTTAAGCCTGTCAGAAAAGTGCAGTATTCAGGTGGGAGTGACCCGATTTTCCAGGTGCCGTCTGTCACCCCTTTCTTTGACTAGGAAAGGGAACTCCCTGACACCTTGTGCTTCCCGAGTGAGGCAATGCCTCACCCTGCTTCAGCTTGCGTGCAGTGTGCTGCACCCACTCTCCTGTGCCCACTGTCTGGCACTCCCTAGTGAGATGAACCCAGTACCTCAGATGGAAAAGCAGAAATCACCCATCTTCTGCGTCGCTCATGATGGGAGCTGTAGACTGGAGCTGTTCCTATTCAGCCATCTTGGCTTCTTCCCCCCCAGTTTTGAGTTTTTTAACCATTAAGTTGAAGATTGTTGTTGGGCAAAAAGCATAAGAAAAAGCACACAAAAATCTTTCTATTTTTTTATTGATGAAGTAGTTCAAGCAAGTAGTATTCAGGCTCAAGAGCAAAAACATTTCAAGAAAATTTCCTTGGAAATTCACTTGGCACTTCACTTCAGCAGAAGTGTTTACTGAGTAGATACAAAATTGTAACTCAGAGAGATGTTTTCCTAATGTTTCATAAAAACTAAAAAGACTTTAAAATAAATAAATGGATTTTGGTGTAGGTGAGTTTATTTGTTTTGTACTAGTTCAGGGGTCAGCAAACATTTTCTGTGAAGAGAAATATTTGGGGCTTTACAGTTCATAAAGCAGTAGTTACTCATTCTGCTGCTGTAGCCTGAATGCAGCAGTGATAGACAATTTTTAAATAAATGGATGTGACCATTTACCAATAAAATTTTATTTATATAAACAGGAAGCAGAGCTTGTTTAGCTCAAGGGCTATGTAGTTTGCTTAATCTTGACTAAACTATAGACATATGACTTAACATAAGCATATGTGCAGTTCAGCTGAACAGGTAAAAAGGAGCCACTGCAGGTAAAGGCATTCATGAAAATTATTACCTTTGAAAACATTTCCCAAGGCCATTATTAAACTTAACCCAAGTCCTCACCAGCCCCAGCCTATTTTGCCAAAGCACAAAGCTACTTTGTGTTTGGTTTGTTTGGTTTTGTTAACTATACACTTGCATTTCTCTATTCAGACACTATCACCTGCTATATCTGAGTTTCCGCTCCTAAAGTCATATCACTGGTAGAGCAATCTGTGTCAGATCTCCCTGCCTCAGAGAATTTGCATGAATTTACTGTGCTACACGCTACCATGATATTCTCAGCAATTTAAGTCACACAACTATCTTGTGAAAAATAATTTACTTATTAACTATACACAATTATATTAATTGTATAAGTAGTCTCCTGGCAGTTGGTGTGTATGCATAGACTAGGACACTTTTTTCTCCTGTCCTTGATCTTTCCTCTATTCCTCAACCTCTATTCTCATGAACTTCAGACCACTGAGAAAATAAAATATTTTTTTACCTTGTTCCCTAGTTAAACCCCAAACCACATTCAGTGACTCTTTCTGATTATGCCCCAGAAACTTCTAGAACAAACCTCCCATTTAAAAGATACGCTTTTAAATTGTTATTTCTTTAAAATTTCTCTATATTTTCCAAGGATACCATTTCTGTACAATTACCAATGTTTTTCAATTCATCCTCTTTCCACCAACTGCCAATTCTAAGCATTCCCCCTCCAGCTGGGATCTTGACTGCTGTATTCATCTCTACTCATGTCTAGTCCTCCTGGTTTCCTCAAATGTTCATAAATATTAACATATTCTAAACCCAAATATAGCCAATTACTCCAATCCACCTAGACTGTGATTTTTCTCCTAATCCACTCATGATTGGAATGGGAAATGGTCTTGGCATTTTTTGTGGTAACTTTTATTTATTTTTTTACTTTAATAAACCCTAAGAGTGCTGAGAGAATAAACATGGAAACAAGGGAGTGTCTTGAAAACACAGTTTCACTTTTCTTTCCTTGGCAGCTCATCTCCAACAGGTGAACCAAATCCACAAAAATTGATTGGAACTGCATCCCTGTTGCACATGGTTCCTGCTTCACAAGGTTGTTCAGAAGCCGACATCAGAAATGAGGAGCAAAAACACAAGCACTCCCTAAGTTCTGGAAGGCCATCCTACAAGACTGCCTGCCTTGTTTAGAGACATGCACCAGCCAGACCTCTTCATTGTTCTCACTTTTATGGGTAAAGGCCGCTAAAAGGCCCTGATGTCCTCAGACTTCATAATATCCATCTCTGTTTTCAAGTTTATTAAACATATTTTTTCTGCAAGCAAACCTCCTAAACAGAATTATTACATTAAATTCTCTTTATGTGCTTATTATTAGGATAAACATTTTTGTTTTCTACTCTTTTCATTGTATATGTACCCATTGCATATGTAGTGGAATATTACAGAGACATTTTGGGAAGGAAGGTCACCCCACCAGATTATTTTGAAGAATAATAACCCCCCAGAAATGCTGTTTTGAAGAATAATGACAAAAATGCAAACATTATATGTTTGAAAAGCTATATTTAAAATAAAGGCAGTAGCCAATATCTTTTGAGTATATTAACATTTACCATAATTCATGCAATGTGCTAATAATTTTATATGTTATGTTATGCTTTCTATTGCCTTCTTTAAAAAGTTCCATATTATCTCCAGCTTGCATTTGTAACAGTGGTTTCACACTCCTTGGGAATAATTTAATCTGGACACATATAACAACAGGTGGGGTGCCCTTTCTTTTCAGAATGCATGAAGGTCGGGAACTACTTGTGAGAATTGATCCTGACATAAGAGGCCAGGCTCAAAGACTTCTACTCAGCAGGAAAGGCTTTCTTGGTTAGGGGAAGACAGGAGTAATCCTGTGGTTCCCAGCTGGGCCTCCACTAGACTCATTTCTAAGTCATGCAAGGATTAGGGTATGAAAACTACCAAAAAAGTACTTTCACTAGAATCTTGCAAACTGTTAAGACACAAATAGCCTTTCTATGGCACCCACTAAACATATACAATCCTCAGGGTAAGGGAGAGGTATTATCTTCCCTTCAGAATAAAACATAAAGAAGCTTTGCCATTTCAAGGAATCCAGTTTGCAACTGAGCAAGAGGAAACTGTACCTGGAGAGCATAACTATTCCCCATGGCGCAGGAGTAGTGCCCAGGAGAGCTACCATGGAGAATTCCTGAGAGGTGGAAAGGGGCGAGGAGTTTCATAAGCTCCTCTCAGAGGATTCTAGGGATAATCACTGGAACTGAAATTCTGTATAAGCAGTGAGTAGCAACAGCCTGCAACACCTGAATTATTCACCATTTAGATCCAAAGATTGATAGTCAGAAGGCAATTGTGAAAGTGTGCACACATATGTGCACTGTGTGTGTGTGTGCCTGTGTGTGTGCGTGTGTGTGCTTTAAAGTAACCTTATAGAAAGGCAGTGACTAAGACCCTTTCCTTGTTCCCAACTTCCTGTTAGGGTGTCGATTTTAGATCTTTCTGGCTTTCTCTTGTAGGCATTTTAGTGCTATAAATTTCCTTCTACACACTGCTTTAAATGGGTCCCAGAGATTCTGGTACGTTGTGTCTTTGCTCTCATTGGTTTCAAAGAACATCTTTATTTCTGCCTTCATTTCATTATTTACCCAGTAGTCATTCAGGAGCAGGTTGTGCAGTTTCTGTGTACTTGTGCACTTTCGAGTGAGTTTCTTAATCCTGAGTTCTAATTTGATTGCACTGTGGTCTGAGAGACTTTGTTATGATTTCTGTTCTTTTGCATTTGCAGAGGAGTGTTTTACTTCCAATTATGTGGTCAGCTTTAGAATAAGTGCAACGTGGTGCTGTAAAGAATGTATATTCTGTTGATTTGGGGTGGAGAGTTCTTAAATATGTCTATTAGGTCAGCTTGGTGCAGAGCTGAGTTCAAGTCCTGGATATCTTTGTTAATTTTCTGTCTCGTTGATCTAATATTGACAGTGGGGTTTTAAAGTCTCCCACTATTATTGTGGGGGAGTTTAAGTCTCTTTGTAGGTCTCCAAGGACTTGCTTCATGAATCTGGGTGCTCCTGTATTGGGTGCATATATATTTAGGATAGTTAGCTCTTCTTGTTGCATTGATCCCTTTACCATTATGTAATGGCCTTCTTTGTCTCTTTTGATCTTTTTTGGCTTAAAGTCTATTTTATCAGAGACTAGGATTGAAACCTATGTCTTTTTTTGCTTTCCATTTGCTTGGTAAATATTCCTCCATCCCTTTATTTTGAGCCTATGTGTGTCTCTGCATGTGAAATGGGCCTCCTAAATACAGCACACGGATGGGTCTTGACTCTTTGTCCAATTTGCCAGTCTGTGTCTTTTAATTGGGTCATTTAGCCTGTTTACATTTAAGGTTAATATTGTTATATGTGAATGTGATCCTGTCATTACGATGCTAGCTGGTTATTTTGCCTGTTATTTGATGCAGTTTCTTCACAGCGTCGACGGTCTTTACAATTTGGTATGTTTTTGCAGTGGCTGGTACCAGTTATTCCATTCCATGTTTAGTGCTTCCTTCAGGAGCTCTTTTAGGGCAGGCCTGGTGGTGACAAAATCTCTCAGCATTTGCTCTTGTGTAAAGGATTTTATTTCTCCTTTACTTATGAAGCTTAGTTTGGCTGGATATGAAATTTGGGGTTGAAAATTCCTTCTATAAGAATGTTGAATATTGGCCCCCACTCTCTTCTGGCTTGTAGGGTTTCTGCCAAGAGATCTGCTGTTAGTCTGATGGGCTTCCCTTTGTGGGTAACCCGACCTTTCTTTCTGGCTTCCCTTTACATTTTTCCCTTCATTTCAGCCTTGGTGAATCTGGCAATTATGTGTCTTGGGGTTGCTCTTCTTGAGGAGTATCTTCATGGTGTTTCTGTATTTCCTGAATTTGGATGTTGGCCTTCCTTGCTATGTTGGGGAAGTTCTCCTGGATAATATCCTGCAGAGTGTTTTCCAACTTGGTTCCATTCTTCCCGTCACTTTCAGGTACACCAATCAGATGTAGATTTGGTCTTTTCACATAGTCCCATATTTCTTGGAGGCTTTGTTTTCTTCTTTTCACTCTTTTATCTCTAATCTTGTCTTCTTGCTTTATTTCATTGAGTTGATCTTCAATCTCTGATATCCTTTCTTCCACTTCATCGATTCGGCTATTGATACTTGTGTATGCTTCACGAAGTTCTCATGCTGTGTTTTTCAGCTCCTTCAGGTTATTTATCTTCTCCTCTAAACTGGTTATTCTAGTGAGCAATTTGAATTTGTCTTATCTTTTTTCAAGGTTATTCCTTGCATTGGGTTAGGACATGCTCCTTTAGCTCAGGGGAGTTTGTTATTACCCACCTTCTGAAGCCTACTTTGGTCAGTTCGTCAAACTCATTCTCTGTCCAGTTTGGTGCCCTTGCTGGTGAGGAGTTGTGATCCTTTGGAAGAGAGGAGGTGTTCTCGTTTTTGAAATTTTCAGCCTTTTTGAGCTGGTTTCTCCCCATCATCATGGATTTATCTACCTTTGGTCTTTGATGTTGGTGACGTTCAGGTGAGGTCTCTGAGTGGATGTCCTTTTTGTTGATGCTGATACTATTCCTATTCCTTTCTGTTTATTAGTTTTCTTTCTAACAGTCAGGCCCCTCTTCTGCAGATCTGCTGGAGTTTGATGGAGGTCCACTCCAGACCCTGTTTGCCTGGGTATCACCAGTGGAGGCTGCAGAACAGCAAAGATTGCTGCCTGATCTTTCCTCTGGAAGCTTCATCTCGGGGGGCACCCACCAGATGCCAGCCGGAGCTCTCCTGTATATGTCTGTGGGCCCCTGCTGGGAGGTGTCTGCCAGTCAGGATAAACAGGGGTCAGGGACCCACTTGAGGAGGCAGTCTGTCCCTTATCAGAGCTCGAACGCTGTGCTAGGAGAACCATTGCTCTCTCTTCAGAGCTGTCAGGCAGGGACATTTAAGTCTACTGAAGCTGTGCCCACAGCCACCCCCTTCTCCCAGGTGCTCTGTCTTAGGCAGATGGGGGTTTTATCTATAAGTCCCTGACTGGGGCTGCTGCCTTTTTTTTCAGAGATGCCCTGTGCAGAGAGGAGGCACAGCAGCCTTGCTGAGCTGTGGTGGGCTCCGCCCAGTTCAAACTTTCTAGTGTCTTTGTTTACACTGTGAGGGGAAAACTGCCTACTCAAGCCTCAGCAATGGCGGGTGCCCCTCCCCCCACCAAGTTCCAGCATCCCAGGTCCAGTTCAGACTGCTGTGCTGGTAGCAAGAATTTCAAGCCAGTGGATCTTAGCTTACTGGTCTCCTTGAGGGTGGGACCCACCAAGCCAGACCACTTGGCTTCCTGGCTTCAGGCCCTTTCCAGGGGAGTGAATGGTTCTGTCTCACTGGCGCTCCAGATGCCACTGGGGTATGAAAAAAAAAACTCCTGCAGCCAGTTCAGTGTCTGCCCAAATGCCACCCAGTTTTGTGCTTAAAACCCAGGGCCCTGGTGGGGTGGGCACAGGAGGGAATCTCCTGGTCTGCAGGTTGTGAAGACCATGGGAAAAGTGCAGTATCTGGGCCGGAGTGCACTGTTCCTCCCAGTACAGTCTCTCACAGCTTCCCTTGGCTAAGGGAGAGAATTCCTCAACCCCTTGTGCTTCCTGGGTGAGGCGATGCCCCACCCTGCTTCAGCTCGCCCTTCGTGGGCTGCACCCACTGTCCAACCAGCCCCAGTGAGATGAACCAGGTACCTCAGTTGGAAATGCAGAAATCACCCTCCTTCTGCATCGATCTCATGGGAGCTGCAGACCATAGCTCTTCCTATTCAGCCATCCTGCCAGCCTCCCCTCCTTGCTCCCAAGTTCCTAAGTCTCAGGCTGCCTGTGGCACCAGGACTGCTGCCCCTGGGTCCCCCGCATTCCAGGGCAATGATGGAAGAAGGGGAAGCCAGGCCAAGCATGAGGAATAAACAGTCTTCAGTGGGCTTAAACCAGGAGTCCATGGGTCTTGAGGACCTCTGTGTATTTGTCAGTTTTCTTCTCTACATTCTTTTTGGCCTGTTTCCATAGCCTCATGAGCTGTTTCTTATGGTAGTGGAACTTGGTCTTCTCCTTTCTCTTTTCCTCCAGGGTAGCTGTCATTGCCTGGTACTTCCAGCCAACATCATGAGCCAGGCGCTCCCGACATTTATATATATATATATATATATATATATATATATATATATATATATACACACACACACACACTATATTTCTATACTATATATAGCGTATATATTTCTATATATACTATATATACTATGTTATATATACTATATATACTATGTTATATATACTATATATACTATGTTATATATACTATATATACTATGTATATATATACTATATATACTACGTATATATATACTATATATACTACGTATATGTAGTGTATATATATACTATATATACTACGTATATGTAGTGTATATATATACTATATATACTACGTATATGTAGTGTATATATATACTATATATACTACGTATATGTAGTGTATATATATACTATATATACTACGTATATGTAGTGTATATATATACTATATATACTACGTATATGTAGTGTATATATATACTATATATACTACGTATATGTAGTGTATATATATACTATATATACTACGTATATGTAGTGTATATATATACTATATATACTACGTATATGTAGTGTATATATATACTATATATACTACGTATATGTAGTGTATATATATACTATATATACTACGTATATGTAGTGTATATATATACTATATATACTACGTATATGTAGTGTATATATATACTATATATACTACGTATATGTAGTGTATATATATACTATATATACTATGTATATTTCTATATATTTCTATACTATATAGAATATATAGTATATATTTCCATACTATATTTCTATATATATATTTCTATACTATACATATCTATGTTTATAATGGATTTCTCTGCATGTTGCAATTAAATGATTGTTATTTTTTCTTTCTACTCTTCTGTATTTTCTAGATTTCCTGCAATAATTATGCATTACTTAATAGTAAAATAAATTAATATTTTAATAAAAATTAGGATAAGTAATATTTTTCTATACAACTATTCTGTACATATTCAGTCTTCATTCTAAATTAGGCCTAACTTGAAAAAAAAAACCGTGTTTGTGTCTCTATATTATTCAAGTCTGTATGACTAGGATATATTGTCAAATCAGATTGTACTACTTTTGAATAAGAATCATTTTTAACAAATTAATTCTTTAAAGTGATAAATATAGACTACTTCCCATTGGAATTGGTGGATTTTGTCTCAAAATATATTTTTTTACAGGAACAATATTGTTCGTGAGACTGAAATTCACTGGCAAACCCATAAAAGCTTAAGTCCCACATTACAGAAAGCAATCACTCCATGGGTAGCCTGGAGAAAATAAAATCACAGACCCTTCAGGCCTATGCAATGAGATTGCTCCATTTACAAAGCCTACTTGGGGCTTCCAAGGCCTGGCATAGGGGATTCAGCCCTGCAAGGAAGGGGACAAAGTTTACTGCTAGTTCATGCAAAATCTGGACTTCTCTTTTCTTCTAATATCACAAAAAGGGCACAAACTTTGAAGTCAAATGGACTTTGGTTTTAGTTAGGTCCTCCACTTACTCGTCTGTAATGGTAGTTGAGACACTTAACCTCTCTGATTTTCATCTATAAGAAGAAAACTTGAGCACTTATCATGCAAGGTTTTTGTGAGGACCGTAAATAACGCATTAAAAGGCTAAGCACAGTGCCCAGCACACTGAAGGCACTCAGCACATGAGAATGTGTTGATTCCCAAAGCAACAGAAACTTTGTCTCACTCAGCAAGATGGTATTATTGGACTAATAATATTTAGACCCTGCTTTGACAGAGTGAAACTTAGAGTAAATAAATTTGTGGAAATAAGCTGCCACTTCTTATAATCTTGGAGGAGGAGAAATAATATGAACCAGGGCCTGTGTTCTCCTGAAAACAGGAGCAGAGGTGTGCAAAGAGGCCAGGAAGGGTGGCTGGACACTGGAAGGGAACTGCCCCACTGTCAGGGGGGCACATTCTGCTAGTTCTGGGAAACTAGAATTTTACTATCTGACTTTTCCTAGAATAGTCATTTTTGGTAGATTCCAACAAAGGCCCCTAGCATCACTTTCATCACCAATGGAAACCATTCCAACAGAGAATGCATGGCCAAGGGACTGTCTTGGGTCTTGGCTCAGTCGTGGGAGAGGTGGGAGTGGAGAGATGGATGATTGATGGCACTAAGAAAGATATTTCTATGTCTATAGAAAAAAAAAATGTGCCTGACTCTTTTTCAAGACCCTGATAGGTGACTCAGTTCACCTCGATGGGTAGGATAGAAAGAATCAAAGGAACTGCCAGTCATTTGTAAGATCTCAATCACATTATGTTATCAGTAGCCAAGGCAAGACCAGCTACCCTGAGGTTGTGCATGCCACGTGTGCAACTGCCAAGGCCAAGCCCTTCATGCCCCATTCACCTCAGTCCCAGTCAGAAATTGAAGGCTCCCAAATCATGCTCCATCACACTGATGTTTTCCACATCTATAACCTGACCCATCGACTGCTCTCCCTGCCCTATTTAACTCTTCCTCTGACTCCTTCATAATCTGTGGCTTTTAGAAAACTTCCCTATATCCACAGCCTCTTCTCTGAACTTCTCTTTCTGGCTCTATACAAAACATGAGAGGCTCTCGTGAGAACAAAGCTTCCCCCCACAACCTGTCAGGAGGAGGCTATTTTTGCTTGAAAACCACTTACTTTAGCATCTGGTTCCTTTTTACTGCTTCCAATGTATCTCTCCATTCTCTTCTAAAAGCTGTAGCTTTTTTGAAGTACATGCCATTAAATCTGACAAATTCCAGATCCCTATTTATTTTATCCCACACAGAGAAAACCTAGTCATTCTCCTCATTTTTGATGACTTCAGACCCAGTTAATTGCCTCACTTTCCATGATTATCATGTCATTCATTATTCTCTGTAATTTCAACAACTACATTAATGATCCACATGCATGTTGGAGATTAGAACTTTCAGAACAGGCAAAGTCACGGATGTGGTTACCGAGTTCTCAATGCAGACAAACTGTTGCTTATGTCTCAGTGGGCAACATTTGGTGACAGCAGCTACCATCATCTTTGTGAACACAATCTACTCTATTTGTTTGAGACAGGAGTCTCACCCTGTTGCCCAGGCTGGAGTGCAGGGGCGCGATCTTGGCTCACTGCAACCTCCACCTCCCAGGTTCAAGTAATTCTCCTGCCTCAGCCTCCCAAGTAGCTGGGATTAGAGGCATGCATCACAATGCCTGGCGAATTTTACAACCAACTCTTGAGCAGATGGTTGTGGGGCTTTCTTACTGTAGAAGACTATGAACCTAAAAGAATATTTCCTCTTACTCCTGGCAATGACTGTTTGACCAAACATGAATTCTACCAAGCTTTCCTGAGTACCTGACATGATCTCTGATTTAGGATGAACACAGCATTAAACTGAGTTTAATTATATCCTTTCAGCCCTTATTCAAATGGCTCAATGGCTCTTTCAGTACACCTGGAAATGTCTTTTCACCTCAGGCATTGCTCTACCCTGACCCATCTTTTTTCTACTCATTAAGGTACTATGAAAGCTTATTTGGATAGCTGCAAAATCAGACTTGTAGTAAACAGCTTCTAAAATAAATATATGCATAGGTCATTAAAGCTTTTATTGATTTTCTAGCATGTGTAGGAATAGGGCTACAGCAACCATCAGGAAACAGTCCTATTCTCAGAGGGCTCACACCCTAGTGGGGGAGATAGACAGTACATTGGATGTATTAAGAGGAGTACCAAGTGCTGTGGGTGCTGCAAGGACACATAAGAAATTAAAAATAGGAAGCTTAATTCTATTAAAAATAGAAAAAGGCCTTACCCTTCCCTCCTTTTTTCTTAGTGTATTTACTTTAGAAAACTTAAAATTATTAGTACTGTCTCCTCTCTTTGAAATGTACACAAATCCTATTGAAAACCAGATATATTTTTTGTCAGCGTTATGCGCCAGAAATGTCTTTCTCAAGGACCTGAGAGACATCTTTTTGAAATACAAACAAGAAAAATAGCACCCCTATCTCCAAGTTTCTGTGGGAAGGTTTGCTTCAAGTTGCAAGACTACCTTCTCCCATAAAAATATAAGAAGTTTTTGTTTGGTTTTTGTTTGGGGTTAGTTTCCCCCACTCCCTGATAAAGCCACTTAGCTAACACAGTTAGTCACTCTAATCACTGAATAAAGTTAAGATTAATTACGTGTGATAAATGGTACGGCCAAGTTCTCTCACTTGAGGATGAGTTATTGTTTATATTAAAAACACGTGTGTAATGGGTTATGTCCATTTGGCTGCATAACAGGGTAAGATTTCCTTTAGTCTTTGGAATCTCTTAGTGGATGGCCTATGATGCACATTGCATATTGGTTTAATGCTTATTCAATTTTCTAAAAAACTAGATTATTTCTCCACTACCTTTGTGGAGAGGTTTCCCGAGGTGGGAGAAGATTTTGTTTACTTACATTTCCCCAACAGTGCACAAAGAACGGCATCTAATTCCATCCCATGGAGGTCAAGCAGGCTGCCCAAAGGAAATGATATCTAAGCTAAGATCTGACAATAACTCTGAATGAGCCAGGCGAAGTGGGGTGAGGGTGAGAGGGGAGTCTTTGGAAAGTTATTGAATGTCGTTTTATTTTCTTGAATGGAGGTGGTTTGAAAAGAGAGGAGGAGGCAGGGAGAAGAAAGAAAGCCTAGCTACAAAATCAGATTTACATTGTCTTTAAAATAGTTATTATTTCTTTATAATGAATGGATTGGAGATGGGCAGGAGGCAAAGTGAGGGAAGAAGCAGTTCAAAAGCTGTTTCCACCATTCAGGTGAGAGATGATGATGGCCTAAACTACGAGAGTAGTGGTGGAAGTCAGAAGATATGGAGAGAGATTTTAATAAGAAAGACTCTACGCAATTACATGTTGAGGACAACAAAGTATTAGAACCAATTACTACATTTATAATAGAAATGGAGTTGCGGGAAGAATTTAGTTTCTATAACAATCAATGAAACAGTCAACCTAATCAAGTGGTTCTCAAAGTGTGAACCCTGAACCAGAGTATCGGCATCACTGGTAATTTGTTAGAAGTGCAGATTCTCAGGCCTCATCTCAGACTTACTGGATCTGAAACTCGGGGTGGGGGAGTCTGTGCGTTTTAGTAAGTTTTCCAGGAAATTTTGAGGCCCCCTGGAGTTTGAGAACCATAGATCTAATTTTTATCCTGGGCATTAGCAACTGAATACAACATTTCTTTAAAAAAAAAAGTAATACGCCAAAAACTCTCTAAAATAAGAATAGCTTTTCTGGATCCATTATTCTGGATATTTAATTTAAGCTCAATATCTTAGGCTAATATAGCAAACTAAACTTTTCCTCAATACTCTGCTTTGACACAGAATTATAGTAAAATCTCAAAGATTACTCAAAATTGGCTTTTGTTTTTTGACAATTGAATTTTTGAAATACGAGGGGATTTCCCAGGCTCCCTGCCCACAAGAAAGGGTGTATGTTCCCACAGGCAAATAACTAATATATCTGTTTAGCTCTCTTCTTGGTGATGAAAATGCGAAATTTGCTCTGTGGATCTGACTTGAAACTGGAAAAGGAACCCTGGATTAGATCTCTGTCAGTCTTGACTCAAAATCATAGGCAAAGCCCCAAACTAAATGTTCAGGTGTGAGGGAGAGGTCTCTATGGGATTGCAGGAGGGCAGTCAGAGCCTGCTTTGCACCCTGACCTCTGGGCATTGTCTGGTATCAGAGGAATTGGCCTGGAAAGTAGTGTGAAGGCACCCAAAGTTAGGTTGCTGTCTATCTCATCAGAGAGAGCTAGGTTAATTCTCAGCTGACTTTTTTCCTTGGTCTCTGACATTTTTAAGTTTGGATGTAAACTCTTAGCAACTCTCAGCATCCGGAATGAACTAAAACCATCAAGCACAAATGTGAACACTATCTTACAGGCATCCCTGTCATGGAAGTTACTACCTCCTAACTTCTCATGTAAATCATAATGATTTTTTTACATGATAATTGCTTTTTACATACCACTCTTTGCAAAATCTGCTTCTGAAAAATAGAGATAATCAGTGTTAAACTATCATTGCAATAATTTATCTTAAGATTGCAAAAACATATTCTCATATAGTATAATGTAACTGTTTTCCTAAACCCAAAGCTTTATTTAGTTACTGAGTTTGCAAATATTGGAAGTCAAGTTTTGCTAAAAGGGAAACTGCCATGTATTTTGTGGAGAAAAAGTGGGACAGCAAGACTGGCCTTCAATTTTCTGTGTTATAAACTCATTTGTGGCCTTAAATGAAATACTTTACAAACACAAGGCAAATTATTTATCAAGCCAGAAAGAGAACCTTAGAGCTATTTTATCAAGGTAAGTTTGATTGGTCAGTGTGCATGTGTATGTATTGGTTATTTCAATAAAATGGGCTTTTTACATAAATGGCACAGATACAGAGATATAGACGTAGGTATAGAAATATAGATACATATTAAGAAGCCATGATTTAATAAAAGCATATACTTTTTATTTAGTAAAATATTTAGTATTTAGTAATAGTAATAGTAATAGATACATATTAAGAAGCCATGATTTAATAAAAGCATATACTTTTTATTTAGTAAAATATTAGTATTTAGTAAAATACTCCATGAATATAAATTGAAGTGAATTAAATGGATTCTCGAGAGAAAGACAAATTCAGAGTTCTTGAACCATGAATATAAGATTCCAGTGGGAAGGTACCAATAACCTTGTAGGCTTAGTTGTTTAGCAAGAGCGCTGGTTATCAGCTTAATTAGTCAGACCTAGTCCACCTTATCCTAACGAGCAGTGGCTGTTATAGGGAAAATTGTTATTGTTTTTGCAAACAGTTGGCCTGAATTTCACACTTAGCCCTGTCCTTACTGACTGTGTGACATCAGGCAAGTCACTTGAACCTCTTGAAACTCAATACTCTACCATCTATAAAATGTACTTAGTGACTCAGGCTGTTGTAATCAAATAGGACACTGGTTGTAAAGCTGCTTTGTAAACTCTAAATGTCCATTCTCAATCCCAGCACTTTGGGAGGCCGAGGCGGGCGGATCACGAGGTCAGGAGATGGAGACCATCCTGGCTAACGCGGTGAAACCCCATCTCTACTAAAAATACAAAAAAATTATCCGGGAGTGGTGGCAGGCACCTGTAGACTCAGCTACTCTGGAGGCTGAGGCAGGAGAATGGCATGAACCCAGGAGGCAGAGCTTGCAGTGAGCCGAGATTGCGCCACTGTACTCCAGCCTGGGTGACAGAGCGAGACTCCATCTCAAAAAAAAAAAAAAAAAGTCATTCTCCTGTAAGGTGTTATTATCATAATGACTCTTGTGGAGGCCTAACAGTGATGCCATCAGACAGTGCTTACCTGCAGGAGGCTAAATCACTCTCACTTATCCTTCTTTATGGGAAAGAAAGATGCTAGGCATACCTGCTTGAGCCCACTCAGGACAAGAGATGTTTTTGCCCTTCATTCTTCCATTTCTCCCCTCCACTCTAATAGTCTGTGCTGTCTTGCTATCTGCTACTATGCCAAGCAAACAGCTACATTCACTGTAAAGAAGAGATTGCAGAAGCTTCATGAAACACAGAATCCATAAGTCAGTGACTCATCCATAGAGTTGCTATAGTATGGTGATGTGGCCTGTGGTTTAGACGGAAATTTTATTTCTTGTCTAGTGTTTGCAGTTAGCAAAAACATGCACAATCATTTACGAAAGCATGGAACTACTAATAGCACTAGAATATTGCCTATTTTTATAATCATTTGTGAGAAAGGGGGTTTTTGCTTTTTTTTTATTTTTAAGAAAATTGTCCCACAGCTATAGCATTCCAAAGGGTTTTCTAATTTGTAGCACTTTCTCAATCCATTTTTATATACTATATCCACTCTTAAAATCACTGGAACTGCCAACTTTGGATATCTTTTTGAATATTCATAAGGAAACCTGTATCATATGAAACACATTAAAAGGTAAACAATAAAAGTCTGAGGTCATGAAGTTTTCCACAAAAGCCAATTATGACTATTAAATTTTAACTGACCTTAAAGCATTTGGAAACCTGGAAAGCTAGAAGAGAGGTTTTATTGCCTACATTTTAAGATAAGAAAATCAAATCAATACATGATTTTTTTTGTTTGTTTGTTTTTGAGACAGGGTCTCACAATGTTGCCTAGGCTGGAATGTAGTGGTGCGATCACCCCTCACTGCAATCTTTACCTCCTGGGCTTAAGAGGTTCTCCCGTCTCAGCCTCCCAAGTAGCTGGGACTACAGGCATGGGCTACCACACCCAGTTAATTTTTTAATTTCTTGTAGAGACAGGATGTCACTACGTTGCTCAGGTTGCTTTTGAACTCCTGGCCTCAAACAGTCCTTCTGCCTCAACCTCCCAAAGTGCTGGGATTACAGGCATAAGCCACTGTATCTGGCCAATTACATGATCTTTCTAAAGTCACACAGTAATGAGTGGCAGATTTAGAACTTGAGCCCGAAACATCCTGATTAACAACGGGTAGTTTCTGGCTCAGAGACTCTATTTACTTTTACTAAAAATAATTTCAAGTGTTTGGTGAGAATACACTTTTCCTAATAATCTTTAAGACTAAATTTTATATTAGTAAGTATGACCATTTTTTCAAAAAAAGTGCTGGCTGCCTGTCCCAAATAAACTTTTAAGTGAACCATCCATACATAATCTAAACATTCTTCTATGTCACAAGAAAGAGAAATTCGAACTCTAGAATATTTTCAAAGGAACAGAATTATAGAAGGGATCTTTGAAGTTATCTTCCAACCACCTTAATTTACAGTTGTAACACAAAAGCCTGGGTAAATCAAATGACTTGACCTCCATTCCACAGCTATGCACTCAAAACTAGGACTGGAACTCACATTTCCCAACTCACAGTCCAATGTGCTTTCCACTAGGAAGTTGTGCCTGTCAACATTTTACTACCAAATGCAAGTTTAGACATTTATAATAAGTGAGTTCAGATGGCAGCATTTACCTTTATTAACCAGTATCAAATATAATTTTGGAAATATAACTAAGATTATTCTACAAAGAACTTTGAGGAAAACTGAGATTCTGTTGTTCTGTTTAGCTCTAAATAACACTCCCTAAAGGGACTTTGGAAATATTTCCATTTCCAGACAATTTCCACAGCAATAATGTATTAGTGTATATTGAAATCAGTTTGCCTAGTTAATATACACTTCTGAATGCACACCAGAGATGTTAATACCCCAACTCTCTAATCTTTAAATGTTTTACCAAGGGTCTGGCAGTAGATATTAAGTTAATTAAAACAGAAGAGCTGACAAAGTATATGAATCTAAAGCTCTTGCTTATTTCTAAGTCCCTTAAAACAAAACCTGCATACACTTGACTTCATCTTTTTTTTTTAAATTCCTATGTTAGTTGTGAACATTTAAATACCAAGACATTTCTAGCTTCTCTCAAAATGCAGGAGACCCAACTACCTGAAGTCTGAGTTCCCATATGGCAATGTTTCTGGTGCTGAACAGTCACTGCCACCTCTGGACTCTACAAAGCATCTCCTCCTGCCCACAGTTCCCACTCCATCCCTGGCTGGCCCTTGTGGTCATTCGAGTTTGCAACCCTTCCCAAGGAATTCATAAATACATATTCTATCACTAAGAGTTTACAGAAAAACTGTATTATGCTTGTAGGAATTCTGGCTTGTAAGTGAATTGTTTGCATACAAATTGGTCTTCTGTAGAACTGCTGAGTGGCAGGGATGAAAGGTCAGGTGTGTCAGCATTTTCTGAGTTAATATGCCTTCCCCTTGGAATGGCACTGGCTGTTCACAGGATTGAGTGACCTTGCTGGATAGGATAGCCTGTTTAGAGCAGGGGTAGTTTATAAGCTGGCTCTATAAAACATAAAAAGGAGAAGTTATTTTTGAAGATTTCATTCTGAGATTATTTTTTATTGTTCTTAACAGAAAAACAGAGAAAAAGTTGGTAACTTATATTGCTTTATCCCTGGCAAACTGAGAGAACAAAGAGATCATTTATAGTGACTCACTCTAACAAAGAAAGCTTCTCTGCTTGACCATACTCAAGTGTCACAAGATTTTCAAACATCTCTTAAAGAACATAAGAGGAGACAGACTGTATTATTGTTCCCGTGTTTAGCCCAACAAAGTACAAATGGAGAGTTTTATTGTTTTTCTATTGTTGTTCTTATTTTAAGATCACAGTTTGGGAAGTATTTCATCTCTGAACCACATCACTATTTGTTAATTTACTATACACGTTGTATATTATTACTACTACACTTCCGTATGTACTAATAAACATATATACACAAATAATTGTGTATGGGTGTGAATAAGCTAGTCTCTACATTTAGAAACTCACACTTGGAGAGTGAAACAATTAAACAATACCAAGAGTGAAACAAACAATACCAATTATAATACATTATAAATAGAAGTTGTAAGAAAAGTACACATATAATGGTTTAGAAGAAAGAAGAGGGACTGGCTCCAGACTGGATGGAGGTCACCATGAAGATCTTGAACAATTTGAATCTTAAAGGACAAATAGAAGTTAGCTTGAAACAGCTGAAGAAAAAGAAGAGCATTTAGAACTATTCATCTTTATATATAAAGAGTCTTAGAGGTATAAAAACATGACATTTGGGAAATGACATACAAGGTATTTAGAGGCTATTGAGAAAAATTACCTTTAAAATGGTGAGGTTTGAACCAAATCAATGTCCAGATAGACTTAAGCACTTCTGAAAGGTAGAACTGATAATTTTAATAAACAACAATTAGTTTAGAAACAAAGTAGAGTGAAGAAAAATAATCTAGAATAATATAGGAGACTGGGTTGATGGTAGCACAATTTATTAAAATTGATATTCAGGAAAAAAGAACAGGTTTGAGGAGCGTGGCTAAAAAGCAAATCCAAATAGTTTGCTGTGTGAATATAGAGCTCAAGGATATTTAAGACTTCCGTGTAGCATCTACACATCTCTAAGCAGTCATGGATATAAACTAAGGGTTCAGGAAAGAAGAATTGGATGAAGATCTAAATCTAAGAGTGATACGTTGAAGCTACATTATGGCATCAGGTTAAGGCTGATAAGGCTGAGTGTGTGCAGCAATTAAGTAACTAGATGCACATGTATCCCTGAACTTAAAATGAAAGTTAAATTTAAAAACAAAAGAAGTTGCTTAGATAAGCAATGAAATATAAGGTTGACCAGCCTTCAAAATTTATCCATCCTCACTTTCCTAGCTAAATCTATTATCATAAAGACAAAAAGTATAAGATGCTTGGGTTTCCCTTGCTTCTGTTGACAATTGAGCAACATCCCTGAAATTTCTCTGGAAATAGGGAGTCTGGGCCTGCCCTGTAAGGAGAACTGAGCTTCCAGGAAGCCCAGTGTTGTCCTAAGTTGGAGAAAGTGATGTTAGGTAAATGTATGTCCTCAGAGGTCCACTTGTATAGAAACACAGTCTGGGCCAGGGAAGAAGCACACTGGGCAACAATCTCTTCCACCCCCAGCCCCACTTTTTCAGTTTCACGTGATGTTGGAGCAAAATTGTTCCTAGCTTCCAAGAGAAAAAAATACCTTTTCTCCTCCAGCCTTTACAATGCAGAAAAATTCAGTAAGTGCCTGAATCTGAACATCCAAAATCTTTTGTTCTCTGAGAAAGAGACTAAAGGATTTGAATGGATGGAATAAGTTGAAGTAGGAGATGACAAGGGCAGTTGAGGATTATGCCTTTTCATCTACATCTACGGCACTATGTGCCCTATTAGAACAGGCAAGTAACATAAGTGGAGAGAAAGGAGCCAGGTTTCCATTAACAGACTTTGTAAAATGAGAGATAAATGATTTTTCAAACAGGTTTAATCAAAAGGGGTGATTAACAACAGCAACAAAGTCTACAAATCTAGATATAACTTACACTGCTTTTTCTACTTCATAAGTAAATTTAATTACAGCATCTGTAAGAAACTTAAACAAATATATAAGAAAAAACAAACAAACAACCCCATCAAAAAGTGGGCAAAAGATATGAACAAGCACTTTTCAAAATAATTTCACATAAATTATGATATCTCAAAGATAATTCTCTAATATATTTTTGTTGCATTCTAGCTGTGATTAGAAAAAAACAGTTTATTAAAGAAGTCTTGCAGTAACAGAAAAAGTTAATCTCATTATTAATAAAGAAGGAAACAAAGATAAAAATTGTGTTTCTCTTCGAAATTAAAAAGTCTTCTACTGAGTTGTTTAAAAGAGGCCAAAATGCAGAAGTATAGCATGGTGTGTTTTATAAAATCTTTCTTTCCCAAAGATCACTTGTTCCGGAATCTCAAGCATTTAGAACATAAGTGAGCACAAGAAAGTAAGCAATCAAAAGTTCAGAGAGCCACCAGAACAAATTTCAATAATGTCTTAGAGTTGTATTTTGCTTTCATCCAAGTTACTAACCGTGTTATTTGGAACATATCTCATACTCATACTCATACTCCTAATCTTAAGTGTATGTTCCAGTTTTGTAATATATATTAGTGAACTCCCTCATCCCCTCAAATATTCATATCTTTAACTTAGGATTACTGCCAACTCTCTTACCAAGAAATGTTTCTAAATAAATAAAAACATAATTATGGAAAAAGAAGTACAGGCATGTTTTGTTAGGGTTGCAAAATTTTGGAAATAAATAAAATGGTTCAACAGAAGGGAAGGGTGACAGTTAAATAAATAATGTTCATTATTCTTGAGAAGATATATACTTCTAGTACAAAGTAGGTATGTCTAAATCTCTAATCAAAATTGTATATTCAGTGTGATCATATCATGTATAAAATAAAATCTGTGACTAGAAAAAAATAAGACAAGAAAATATACCAAAATTGGTATCTCTTTGTGGTAAGGATATAAGTCATATTTTAAAATTTCAGGGCCTGGTACGGTGGCTCAAGCCTGTAATCCCAGCACTTTGGGAGGTCGAGGCAGGTGGATTACTTGAGGTCAGGAGTTCCAGACCAGTCTGGCCAACTTGGTGAAACCCTGTCTGTGCTAAAAATACAAAAAAAAAAAAAAAAAAACAAAAATACCTGGGCATTGTGGTGCATGCCTGTAATCCCAACTACTCAGGAGGCTGAGGCAGGAGAATCACTTGAACCAGGGAGGCAGAGGTTGCAGTGAGCCAAGATCATGTCACTGCACTCCAGCCTGGACGATAGAGCCAGACTCTGTCTCAAAAAGAAATAAATAAATAAACGAAAGTTTAGAACAACTCCATATTTTTATTAAAAACATTATATTGATCACATATTGTTTTTACTATGAGTAACTGTACCTTACAGTGAGGTTTTCAAAAACAAGTTAGAAAATGCATGCAAAGGTGATATTCAAACCATAAAACTGGCATGATAATAATATTTTTATTTAATGAATATTATTAAATAAAATTTAATTATATTTTATAATTTATTATTATTTTGTTGTATCATACTCATTCAAAATCAAAAACAAGCAAATGTATTCACTTCTTCATAAGAGATTCTCTGAGGCTTTCCCTCATAGATCACATTATCTGATCATAGATAGAATGTTTATGCAATCTATTATGTAATTTTCTCTGAGAAAGGAGCAAACGCCACTAGGTACAGACACCCTGGCAGCAGCAAGGCTATAAACATCACAAAATGAGGAAGAAAAAGGAATCCCTAGCTTATGAGCATCTGCTTATGCTTAGCATTATAGGTGCATATTACACATTTAGCAAAAAATTTCCACTGAAAAAAATTAAGATTATGAAAACCTTGTAACTTAAAATAGTGTAAGTTATCTAAAAAGCTCACCTCTGTAAAAAAAAAAAAAAAAAAAAAGTCATTCTTTAGAAATGCTAGGTAATGGAATATAATAAGTCTGTGCATGAATACTGGTTTTTGGGGTTTAAATTAGTTTGAAACCGAAAGAAAACTATGACTGTTCTGCCTAGAAATTCAGAATTGGCTTCTAAAGGAATTGCAGTTCACCAGGAAAAGAAAGGAGAAGGAGGTAAGAAATATATATAAATAGGTTTAATGAAAATACCTGCAATCATTGAGTATGTAGCATATGCCAGAAACTCTTTAGACATAATATTTAATTTATGATATGAAGAACTCAACTTTTAAAATAGGCAACATTCTAATGGGCTTTGGAAGAAGATGAGATAATTTCTCACTGAGAAGATCAAAGAAGATGACAAAGGAAAATTCAGCACTGCATTTAGCCTTGAGGAATTCATCAGAATCTTTATCAAACTACTAATAATTTTCAGCATGCCTTTTGGAAAAGCCATCTGGTACTCTACCTCCTCCTGTAAAGTAAAGACGGCTATTGAGCATGCCAAAAAGTACCTTTAACCTGGAATTAATCACTGATTTACATCTACACAATAAAGGAGTAAAGGCAATAGTTATAAATATTAAGTGTGTCAATTGTATTTTGCAAAGGTGGCTACAACAATATCTCCTATACTATGCTCTTCTTACAGAGAGACTTTGACAATCCTCCCATGAAGAGGTAAGGTGTATATACTGTCTCCTTCAAACTGATGATGTTTTACAGTGTTTCAACAAATAGAGCATGGCAGAAGTGACTTCTAAGGCTAGATCAGAAAAGCCAAGCAACTTGTGCTCTCTCCACTAGAGTACTCCTTTTTGAAGCCATCGGCCATGTGTAAGCAGTCCAACTGACCTCAGGCTACCAGGCTTTGGGAAGCCCAAACTAGCCTAGCAGCAAGATTACATAGAGAGGCCCTGAGATTGTATAAGAAGAAAAAAAGATGTCAGACCAGTGACCAGGTGCTTCAGTCCACCAGAGTCCCAGATCCAGACATTGTCTGACTGCACCCATATGAAAGATCATAAGCCAAACACCCAAATGAGCCTTTCCTGAATTCCTCACAATAAAGTGGTAGTTGTCATTTTAAGTCATTAATTTTGGGGTGTTTTGCTATGCAGCAATAGTAACTGAAACATTAAACATTTATTATGAAGTAATATCTATGCTAGATCATACTTCTCAAATTTTAATGACTATATGACTTGCCCGGTTATATTGTTAAAGTGAAGTCTGTTTAGTAGGTCTAGATGAGAGCTTCAGATTCTGCATTTGCAACAAGCTGCCAGGCGACACACATGCTGCTGGTCCACAGTCCACACTTTGCATAGCAAGTTGACATAGGAATAGCATTTCTTTATCTAGAGGCATTCTGTCTTCTTTTCTTCTTGGCAACATGACTAAACAGCTGTTTCATAGCAAGTAGACATGCCAGGAGAGTAAGTCTATACAAGAATGGATGACTTCTAGAGGTTTCATAACTGTACCTGTAATTTGACAAACACAAAGTTGTATAACTTGGAATTCAAGAACATATGCTGACACTGTTTCTTAAAAACCTGTGAGTCATTGTTTTGTTGACGTGAAACTTCTAGAATTTCATGACGATGAAGATGAGTTAGGACTATATTTACCTGCATTAAATGTTTACTATGAACAGATCACTGTGAGGTAGGTCAGACATTCCTTGAGTGCCCATGAAATGACCAACTGCACCTTCCAGGCTAGTAGGGGAAGAAAATCATTGATTTAAACCTTTCGTTTTTACAGAGGGGAATGGTAGGTAGAAAGTTGAATAGTCTAAGCTGAATTGTAAATGCAGGATTGTGCAGCTGGTGCAGAGGAATTAAATTTAGAAGTATTGGTGGGTGGAGAAGAGTTCTCAAGAACACCCAGAAGTTTTTTCTAGACTAGGAAAGGTAATGCCATTGTCCCCTAAGATGTGTCATTCAATGTCACTAAATCTTCAGTCTTTATTTCACCTCTCTATTAGAGATTCCTCATGCTCAGTATAATGCCTGGGCATCAGACCTGCCTTTCATCTGTAATTATATCTCCTACTAGTCTGCAAAACTTGTGCAAAACTTACCCCCCACAACACACATACATACCCAACAAAAGCTGACATCACAGACAGAAATTGGCTGAATGTTCACAAAAAATCTCTTTTCTCTTCCTATATACACAAGAAAACTACTTTTCCAATCTGCCTTGACACTGGCTTGGAAACATGTAACTGAGTTCTGACCAGTGAAATATGAATGAATGTGCTATGCACCACATCTAGGCTTGGCCATTAATTTATTTGCACAGTTCCCTACTCTCTCTCCTTCTGTTTCCCAGTGACACTGGACACAAATGCTCCAGATAGTGTAGCTTCAAGATGGAAACATCTTGGATTCCTGAGTTACTCCTTGTAGAATTATAAGGAGCTGAGCTGACCTAGACAGAGCTAAGCTGCCAGGTATCAGAGTAGCCAAGAAGCAAAAATGAAGCAAGAAGCAAAAATGAAAGTAACAGTGAAACCTTTAATCACTTACAGGGACAGGATAAGCAAGAGGTTAACCTGAAGAAAATGGTGACTCCTCCTGATCAATTTTTTTCCCATGGACCAGCACCAGTCAAGAATTAGCAGGACTAGCATAGACACGGTATCTGGCTCACTCCTAAAGGAGCTTCCAAAAAAAGGCTCTTGGGATTTTATGGACGCTGGAGCAAGGGGAAAGGAAAGGGGAAAGGTCTGGGAGTGGAAAAGTCCTAAATATTGAGTTAGGGTGGAGAAATGTTTCTTCAAGTTTGATTCTTCAGCTCTTTAATAAGGAGGTCTCAGCAGAGGCACCTGAGGAAGGCCTCAGCTGAAGGCCTCCTATAAAGAAGCCTCCAAATGGAGGCATCTCATCTAGGAATGGTGATATGTATAAGAGCAAAGTCAGCCAGGGAGCCTGAGTCCTCAACTGCAACCTCCTTCAAAGATTGCATTTGCCACACCAAGACTGGTGTGGGGAGGGCAGCTTTGTGACTGCCTATTGTTTGTCACAAAAAAAAAAAAAAAGAAAAATCACATGTTGATTTTAGCCAGGAGTTTTAGTCAGACTCCTTAAGAGTGGCCTAAGGGAACCATTCAACTTAGACTGTGATATGAGAAAGAAATAAATCCTTATTGAATTAAATCACTAGAACTTTGGAGTTTACTTGTTAGCACAGCATAGCCTAGTTTATCCTATTATAATATTGCCCTTAATGAAAGTTTAGGATGTAATGTCTACAAAGTAGGCCTGTCACTAGAAAAATGACCCTGGTTCTCAACGTAAAAGAGCTAATGGGGAAGTGATAGATAAAGAACAGAGAAATGGTTCATGTTTTTATATCTCCCTCCCACCCCAGTTTCTTAGATAACATACAAATCTCAATTCCCGCAGCTTATCTATCTTCCACTCTTCTTGGGATGCCAATAAGGATAAAACTGCAGCAGCCATTGAAGTCCAGTCAAATGACAAAACAATTGAAAAAGAAATTATATCTCATGACAAAAGGCCTAGCATATGCTTAAAATATTTGAATAGATGTCCCCCATTTACACAGAAACTGGAAAACTAAATTACGCTAAAGAATGTGGCTAGAGTTTCTGGATTCAGGAACTATATCTATATATGTAACCTTATCACAATAGTATTTCCTGATGCTCTCTGGAGACTAGAGCCAGATATAGAATAATGATGCTGTCATGAAAGATGACAGATATTGTAAGAAACCTGAAGTACTAACCAAAAAATCAGTAGAGACATTATCTAACAACCAATGAGTACAGAAATCTTGTGGTAACATTTCTTTATGTTTAAAAATAAGAAATCTTTTCTTCTTGGTGGATGATTGAGGTAGTGGCCGTTAAAGTTAATTATATCAAATATTTCCAGCTCCTCTTTTTCAAGGTAAATGGTAGGGCTGCATGTTCACATCTCCTTTGAAGTGAAGTATGACAATATAACTTGCTGTCATTAATGGTATATGAGTAGAAATGATGTGCTTACTGCTGAATAGAAGCTTAAGAGATAATGCATGATTTAGTATCATCCTCTCCCTCTGACACAGCGAGCATATGGCAGGTGTTGAGATAAGGTCTTCATTGCCCTGAGTCCCTTAGTGACTATGACAGCAGACCTCCTACCAATCTACATTAGACAGGTGGCATAAGTGAAAAAGAAATTTTGTTAGGCTAAGTAAATTAGAGATAATTTGCTACCATGCTATAACTTTGTTTATCCTAGGATTATTATTTTTGCTTTTAACAGACTTATAAAGGAAAAAATCATCTGCAAGTCATGGAAGGAGAAAACAGGTCAGACACTAGATCAGATATTAGCAGCTGGGCAACACTTAGAAAAGTAGGCACATGCTTTGCATGAAACCTCCTCTTCACTCTCACTAAGGCACCCCAAATTTTGCCTCTGAAAGTTCAGTAAAATGTTTGTATCAACAGAGTGCATAATGTTAAACTTTGGATCCAATAACCCTGGGCATAGCTCTTTCGAGCAGAAAACCTTTTAGTAAGTGTAAATTCCCACACACTATACAATGGCCAAATAGATTTGTCATTCTCTATTGTTCACTTTTCTATACATTTGTTCATTGTCATATAGTTGACAGTTACTAAAATAAACACAAAATGTTCAGGACAAGGTATTTTTAATGAGAACTATCTGCCAAGAAAGATAAGGTAGGTTATTCTCTGGGTGGGGGCAGAGGACCTATTCCCCCTACCCCTTACAGGAACACCAAATTTAACAACCATCTACACAAAAAAAGTATGTACTTTATAACAACCAAAAATCAGGTGAGCAATCACAGTTCCTCTAGTTAACCTCATATTACTGAAATAGGTACTGAAAAGGGCAGAATAAAACAGTCTTGAATTGCCATTGCCACTCCTTTCCTACCTTCCTAGCAGCGGCTGCATGGCACACAGAATCTGTATGCTGGGAAGGGAGAGTGTAATGATTGTGAGACTGCATTGAACTCAATGCTCCACTATCACAGTGGAAAGCAGAACCTTGCTGTACTTAGCTAATGCTTGCCCATGGAGAGAGCATTTGGACCAGCTAGGTACAGGGAAATTGCCCATCTTAGCAGTTGGAACTTGAGTTTCAGCAAGCCTTGCCACTTGGGGCTGAAGTGCTCTGGGGCCCCACATAAACTTGAAAGGCAGTCTAGGCCACAAAGACTGTGATTCCTAGGTGAGTCCTAGTGCTGAGCTGGGCTCAAAACCAGTGTACTGGGAGGCCCAAGGACTACCGAGACACCAGCCAGGACAGCTAAGAGAGTGTTTAGAGTGTTTGCCCTCCCCCAACCCCAGGCTGCACAGCTCACAGCTCCAAAAGAGACCCCTTCCTTCCAGGTGAGGAAAGGGAATGGTAAAGTGGACTTTGCCTTACATCTTGGATACCAGTTCATCTACAAAAGAATAGGGCACTGGTCAGAGTTACGAAGCCCCATTCCATGCCTTGGCTCCCGGAAACATTTCTAGACACACCCTGGGACCGAAGTTAACATGCTGCCTTAAAGAGAAGGACCCAGTCATGGCAGGACTCATCACCTGCTGACTAAAGAGGCCTTGGGCCCTGAATAACCAGCAATATTACCCAGGTAGTATGCCATTAGCCTTGGGTGAGACGGAAACTTGCTGGTTTCAGGAGAGGCACAGCACACTCCCAGCTGTGGTGGCTGTGGAGAGATGCCCCATTTGCTTGAGAAAAGCAGAGGAAAAAGTAAAGAGGACTTCATCTTGTACCTTAGGTACCAGTTTGGCCACAATAGAGTAGAAAACCAGGCAGGCTCTTAAGGTTCCTAATTACAAGCCTTTGCTCTTGGACAGCATTTCTGGACCTGCCCTGGGCCAGAGGGGAGCCTGGAAGAGTGAGTCCCAGGCTTGACAACATTCACCACAAGCTGACTGAAGAACCCCTGGGCTTTAAGTGAACATTGGTGGAATCGTGACAGGACTCTCCATGAGCCTGTGGTGGTGGTGGCCATAGGGTGAGGCTCCCTTGCCTATGAAAAGGGAAGGGAATAGTGAGAAGGACTGTGTTACATGGTTTGAAAGCCAGCTCAGCTCGGCAGCAGTACAATATAACACCAGGTAGATTTTAAAGGTTTTTTTACTCTACTCCTTGGCTTCTAGATGGCATTTCTGGACCCACCTGGGGCCTAGAGAGCTCACCACTCTAAAGGGAAAAAGATAAGGTTGTTTGGCTTCACCACCTGTGGATTGTACAGCCCCAGGGCCTTCAGTGAACAAAAGCTATAGCAAGGTGGTAGTTACAGTGAGCCTAAGGCAAAACCCAGTACCGTGCTCCCTTAAGGTCTAACCAGTGCAGTCCCAGCAGTGGTGGCCAAAGGGGTGTTTGTGTCACCCCACCTCAAGCTCCAAGTGTCTCAGCATAGAGAGAGAGACTCCATTTGTTTGGGAGAAAGTAAGGGAAGAGAGCAAGAGTCTCTGCCTGGTAATCCAGAGAATTCTTCTAGATCTATTCCAAAACCACAAAGTGGTACCTCTAAAAGTCAATAAGAACCACAGCATCACTGGGCTTATAGTGTCCCCTAATGAATATAAGACTTAGATCACAATACCCAAGTCCTTCCAAATACCTGGAAAGTGTTCCCAAGAAGGATGGGTACAAAGAAGCCTAGACTGCAAAGATTATAATAAATACCTAACTCTTCAATGGTCAGACGCAGATGAACATCTGCAAGCATCAACACCATCCAGGAAAACACGACTTCACCAAACAAACTAAATAAGGCACCAGGGAACAATCCTGGAGAAAGAGAGATATGTGATCATTCAAACAAATAATTTAAAATAGTTGTTTTGAGGAAACTCAAAGAAATTCAAGATAATAAAGAGGAGGAATTCCAAATTCTCTCAGATAAATGTAACAAAGAGATTGAAATAATTAAAAAGAATCTAGCTTCAGTACCATAAGACAGGGTGAAAAATAAGAGGCCAGACACGGTGGCTAATGCCTGTAATCCCAGGACTTTGGGAGGTCAAAGCAGGCAGATCACTTGAGGTCAAGAAATAAAAACCAGCCTGGCCAACATGGTGAAACACATCTCTACCAAAAAATACAAAAATTAGCCAGCCATGGTGGTGCACACCTGTAATCACAGCTATTCAGGAGGCTGAGGTGGGAGAATGGCTTGAACCCAGGAGGCAGAGGTTGCAGTTAGCCAAGATCATGCCACTGTGCTCCAGCCTGGGCAACAGAATGAGACCTTGTCTCAAAAAGTGAAAATAAAAGATTAAAAACAATCAACCAAGGCCCAGCACAGTGGCTCACGCCTGTAGTCCTAGTACTTTGGGAGGCTGAGACAGGCAGATCACTTGAGCCCAGGAGTTCAAGACCAACCAGGGCAACATGGCAAAACCCCATCTCTACCAAAAAAAAACAACAACAAAAAAAAAAACTAGTTAGGCATGATGGTATGTACCTATAGTCCCAGCTACTCGGGAGGTTGAGGTAGGAGGATGGCTTGAGCTTGGCAGGTGGAGGTTGCAATGAGCTGAGATCACACCGCTGCACTCTAGCCTGGGTGACAGAGGCAAGTCATGTCAAAAAAAAAAAAAAAATAGAATCAAGCAGAAATTCTGGAATTGGAAAATGCAAATGACATATTGAAGAATGCATCAGTCTTTTAATAGCAGAATTGATCAAGCAGAAGAAAGACTTAGTGGGCTTGAAGAGAGACTATTTGAAAATACACAGAGGAGACAAAAGAAAAAAAGAATTAGGAGGAAAGAAACATGTCTACAAGCTCTTAAAAAAAATAGCCTCAAAAGGGCAAATTTAAGAATCGTTGGCCTTAAAGAGAAGGTAGAGAAAGAGATAAAGGTAGAACATTTATTCAACAGGGTAATAACAGAGAACTTGCCAAACCTAGAGAAATACATCAATATCCATGCACAAGAAGGTTATAGAACACCAAGCAGATTTAATCCAAAGAATACTATGTCAAGGCATTTAATAATCAAACCCCCAAAGGCTAAGGATAAAGAAAGAATCCTTAAAGCACAAAAGAAAAAAAAAATGCCATACAATGGAGCTCTAATACATCTGGCAGCAGAGTTTTCAGTGGAAACCTTACAGGCCGGGAGAGAGTGGTACCACATATTTAAAATGCTGAAGGAAAAACAAACAAACAAACAAAAACAGTTACCCTAGAATAATATATTCAGTAAAAATATCCTTCAAACCTAAAGGAGAAATGAAGACTTTTCCATACAAACAAAAGCTGAAAAACTTAACACCAGACCTGTCCTACGTAAAATGCTAAAGGGAATATTTCAATCAGAAAGAAAAGGACATTAATGAGGAATAATAAATCATCTGAAAGTACAAACCTCACTGCTAATATTAAGTACACAGAAAAAAAACACAGCATATTATAATACTGTGATGCATAAATTATTCTTAAGTAGAAAGATTAAATGATGAACCAAACAAAAATAACTATAACAGATTAAGATGGTAGAAAGGAATCAGGACTAGCTTGCAGCTCCCACTCGGACAGAGAGAGCAGCATGTGGAGACTCACATTGTAAATTTTTGTTCCAAGAACTATTGCAGAAACATACCAGGAAAGCTGAGAGAATCCACAAACCCTTTAAAGGAACTGGATCACCCCTGCAGGCTCCCTGAGATACTGAAAAACTGTGAGTCGGCTTGCTTTCTCAACAGGGAGGCTCATACTCTCGGGCAAGTTTTCAGCCCTCGTCACTGGCTGCCTGGAAATAGACTTGGTGCTTTTGGGGGAGCATAGTGGGAGGGAGACCAGCCTTTAGGATTGCAGGCTGCATGGGAGTGAGATGAGGCCTGTGGTTGCTGGCTTTCCCTCACTTCCCTGGGGACCTGTATGACTCAGCAGAGGCAACCATAATCCCCCTGGGAATATAACTCCATTGGGCTGGGAACCACACCCCCATCCCCCACAGCCTAAGCAAGCTCAGCCCAATGACAGGCTGAATTCAGACAAACCTATCCCTGCCCCCACTCGATGGTCTTTCTCTGCCCTCCCTGGTATCCAAAAACAAATGTCATAATCTCTTGGGAGCTCTATGGCCCTGCCCACCACCTGAGAAACCTGAATACTTAACCAGGTGTCCTTAGGGCAAGTTTGCATCCTCCCTATTGGACTGCAGTTGATGCACTCTTGAAAATCTTCGCCAGAGCAGGTGCTGGTATTCATGGCTGCAAGACCTGAAGATGGATGATATTGCAGGACTCTTTGCAGACACTCCCCAATACCACCAGCCCAGAGCCGGTAGCTCTGCTGTGTGGCTAGACTGAGAAGAGCAAAAACAATCACTACCATTTAGCTCTCAAAAAGCTCCATTGCTACAGGAAGGAGGAGAACACCACATCAAGGGAGCAGCCTGTGGGACAAAAGAATCTGAACAGCAGCTCTTGAATCCCAGATCTTTCCTCTGACATAGTCTGCCCAAATGAGGAGAAACCAGAAAAACAATTCTGGTAATATGAGAAAACAAGGTTCTTCAACATCACCAAAAGATCACACTGGCTCACCAGCAATGGATCCAAACCAAGAAAAAAATTTCTGAATTGCCGTAAAAAGAAATCAGAGGGTTGATAAGCTAATCAAGGAGGCACCAGAGAAAGGTGAAGTCCAATTTAAAGAAATCAAAAACATAATACAGGATATGACAGGAAAATTCTTCCATTAAATACATAGCATAAATAAAAAACAATCACAACTTCTGGAAATTAGCAAAATTCACTGGAAAGTCTCAGCAATAGAATTGAACAAGCAGAAGAAAGAACTTCAGAGCTCAAAGACAAGGCTTTGGAATTAACCCAATCCATCAAAGACAATGAAAAAAGAATTTTTAAAAAATGAACAAAGCCTACAAGAAGTTTTTGACTATTGTAAACATCCAAACCTAAGAATAATTGGTGTTCTTGAGGAAGAAGAGAAATCTAAAATTTGGAAAACATATTTGATGGAATAATTGAGGAAAACTTCCCCAGCCTTGCTAGAGATCTAGATATCCAAATACAAGAAGCTCAAAGAACACCTAAAGTCATCACAAAAGCATCATTATCTAGGCACATAGTCAACAGGTTATCTAAAGTCAAGACAAAGAATCTTAAGAGTTGTGAGACAAAATCATCAGGTAACCTATAAAGGAAAACCTATTAGATCAACAACAGATTTCTCAGCAGAAACTCTACAAGATAGAAGGGATTGGGGTCCTATTTTTAGCTTCTTTAAACAAAATAATTATCAGCCAAAAATTTTGTATCCAACCAAACTAGGCTTCATAAATGAAGGAAAAATACAGTCTTTCCCAGAAAAACAAATGCCCACCAGAACTGCTAAAAGGAGATCTAAATCTTGAAATAAATCCTCAAAATACACCAAAATAGAACATCCTTAAAACATAAATCTCACAGGACCTTAATAACAATAACATAATGAAAAGAAAACAAGGTATTCAGGCAACAAATAGCACAATGAATAGAATAATACCTCATATCTCAATACTAACATTGAATGAAAATGTCCTAAATGCTCCACTTAAAAGATACGGAATGGCAGAATGGATAAGAGTTCACAAACCAAGTTTTTGCTATCTTCAGGAAACTCAACTAACACATAAGGACTCACAAAAACAAAGTAAACAGGTAGAAAAAGATATTCCATCCAAATGGACACCAAAAGTGAGCAGGAGTAGCTTTCTTAGACAAATTTTAAAGCAACAGCAGTTAAAAAAGACAGAGGGATGTTACATAATGACAAAAGAACTAGTCCAACAGGAAAATATCACAATTCTAAATACATGTGCACCTAACTCTGGAGCTTTCAATATAAAACAGTTACTTCTAGAAATAAGAAATGAGATAGTGGATTCCATTCCAAGATGGCCAAATAGGAACAGCTTCAGTCAGCAGCTCCCAGCGTGATCGACACAGAAGACAGGTGATCTCTGCATTTCCAACTGAGGTACCTTGTTCATCTCACTGGGACTGGTTGGACAGTGGGTGCAGCCCACAGAGGGTGAGCCAAAGTAGGATGGGGCATCGCCTCACTTGGGAAGCTCAAGGGGTCAGGGGATTTCCCTTTCCTAGCCAAGGGAAGCTGTGATAGACTGTACATGGAAAAATGGGACACTCCTGCCCAAATACTGCCCTTTTCCAATGGTCTTAGCAGCCAGGAGACAAGGAGATTCTCTCCCACGCCTGGCTCAGTGGGTCCCACACTGACGGAGCCTTGCTCACTGCTAGTGCAGCAGTCTGAGATCGACCTGCAAGGTTACAGCCTGGTGAGGGGAGGGGCATCTGCCATTACTGAGGCTTAAATAGGTAAACAAAGCAGTCAGGAAGTTCAAACTGGGCAGAACCCACCACAGCTCAGCAAGGCCTACTGCCTCTATAGACTCCACCTCTGTGGGCAGAGCATAGCTGAAAAAAAGCCAGCAGAAACTTCTGCAGACTTAAACATCCCTATCTGACAGCTCTGAAGTGAGCAGTGGTTCTCCCAACATGGTGTTTGAGCTCTGAGAATGGACAGATTGCCTCCTCAAGTGGGTCCCTGACCCCCATGTAGCCTAACTAGGAGACACTTACCAGTAGGTGCCAACAGATGCCTCATACAGGCAGGTGCCCCTCTAGGACGAAGTTGCCAGAGGAAGGAGCAGGCAGCAATATTTGCTGTTCTGCAGCCTCTACTGCTGATACCCAGGAAAACAGGGTCTGCAGTGGACCTCCAGCAAACTCCAACAGACCTGCACCTGAGGGAACTGACTGTTAGAAGGAAAACTGAAAACAGAAAGGAATAGCATCAACATCAACAAAAAGGACATCCACACCAAAACCCCATCTGTAGTCACCAACATCAAAGACCAAAGGTAGATATAACCACAAAGATGGGGAGAAACCAAAGCAGAAAAGCTGAAAATTCTAAAAACGGGAGCACCTCTTCTCCTTCAAAGGATCATAGCTCCTCACCAGCAACAGAACAAAGCTGGACAGAAAATGACTTTGATGAGTTGACAGAAGTAGGCTTCAGAAGGTCAGTAATAACAAACTTCTCCGAGCTAAAGGAGCATGTTCTAACCCATCGCAAGGAAGGTAAAAACCTTGATAAGAGGTTAGACAAATTGCTAAGTAGAATAAAGTGTAGAGAAGACCTAAAAGGACCTGACGGAGCTGAAAACCATGGCACAAGAACTTCGTGATGAATGCACAAGCTTCAATAGCTGATTCAATCAAGTGGAAGAAAGGATATCAGTGATTGAAGATCAAATTAATGAAATAAAGCAAGAAGACAAGTTTAGAGAAAAAAGAGTAAAAAGAAAAAAACAAAGCCTCCAAGAAATATGGGACTATGTAAAAATACCAAATGTATGTTTGATTGGTGTACCTGAAAGTGACAGGGAGAATGGAACCAAGTTGGAAAACACTCTTCAGGATGTTATCCAGGAAAACTTCCCCAATCTAGCAAGGCAGGCCAACATTCAAATTCAGGAAATACAGAGAACACCAAAAAGATACTCCTCAAGAAGAGCAACCCCAAGACACATGATTGTCAGATTCAACAAGGTTGAAATGAAGGAAAAAATGTTAAGGGCAGTCAGAGAGAAAAGTTGGGTTACCCACAAAGGAAAGCCCATGAGACTCACAGTGGATCCCTCAGCAGAAACTCTACAAGTCAGAAGAGAGCAGGGGCCAATATTCAACATTCTTAAAGAAAAGAATTTTCAACCCAGAGTTTCATATCCAGTCGAACTAAGATTCAAAGTGAAGGAGAAATAAAATCCTTTCTACAGAAGCAAATGCTGAGAGATTTTGTCACCACCAGGCCTGCCTTACAAGAGCTCCTGAAGAAAGCACTATACAGGGAAAGGAACAACCGGTACCAGCCATCACAAAAACATGAGAAACTGTAAAGACCATTGATGCCATGAAGAAACTGCACCAATTAATGGGCAAAATAACCAGTTAACATCATAATGACAGGATCAAATTCACATGTAAGACTATTAACCTTAAATGTAAATCAGCTAAACACCCTAATTAAGAGACACAGGCTGACAAATTGGATAAAGAATCAAGACCCATCAGTGTGCTGTATTCAGGAGACCCATCTCATGTGCAGAGACACAAACAGTCTCAAAATAAAGGGATGAAGGAATATCTACCAAGCAAATAGAAAGCAAAGAAAAAAGCAGTGGTTGAAATCCTAGTCTCTGATAAAACAGACTTTAAACCAAAAAAGATCAAAAGAGACAAAGAAGGCCATTATATAATGGTAAAGGAATCAATGGAACAAGAAGAACTAACTATCCCAATATATATGCACCCAATACAGGAGCACCCAGATTCATAAAGCAAGTCCTTAGAGACCTACAAAGAGACTTAGACTCCCATACAATAATAATGGGAGACTTTAACTCCCCACTGTCTAATATTAGACAGATCAATGAGACAGAAGGTTTACAAGGATATCCAGCACTTGAACTCACCTCTGCACCAAGCAGATCTAATAGACATCTACAGAACTCTCCACCCCAAATCAAGAGACTATACATTCTTCTCAGCACCACATTGCACTTATTCTAAAATTGACCGCATAATTGGAAGTAAAATACTCCTCAGCAAATGTAAAAGAACAGAAATCACAACAAACTGTCTCTCAGACTACACTGCAATCAAATTAGAACTCGGGGTTAAGAAACTCACTCAAAACCACTCAACTACATGGAAACTGAACAACTTGTTCCTGAATGACTGCTGGGTAAATAATGAAATTAAGGCAGAAATAAAGATGTTTTTTGAAACCAGTGAGAATGAAGACACAACCTACAAGAATCTCTGGGACACATTTAAAGCAGTGTGTAGAGGGAAATTTATAGCACTAAATGCCCACAAGAGAAAGCAGGAAAGATCCAAAATTGACACCCTAACATCACAATTAAAAGAACTAGAGAAGAAAGAGCAAACGCATTCAAAAGCTAGCAGAAGGCAAGAAATAACTAAAATCAGAGCAGAACTGAAGGAGATAGAGATACGAAAAACCCTTCAAAAAATCAATGAATCCAGGAGCTGGTTTTTTGAAAAGATCAACAAAATTGATAGACCACTAGCAAGACTAATAAAGAAAAAAAGACAGAAGAATCAAATAGACTCAATAAGAAATGATAAACGGGATATCACCACCAATCCCACAGAAATACAAACTACCATCAGAGAATACTATAAACACCATTACACAAATAAACTAGAAAATCTAGAAGAAATGGATAAATTCCTGGACACATACACTCTCCCAAGACTAAACCAGGAAGAAGTTGAATCTCTGAATAGACCAATAACAGGCTCTGAAATTCAAGCAATAATTAACAGCCTACGAACCAAAAAAAGTCCAGGACCAGACGGATTCATAGCCAAATTCTACCAGAGGTAAAAAGAGGAGCTGGTACCATTCCTTCTGAAACTATTCCAATCAATAGAAAAAGAAGGAATCCTCATTAAATCATTTTATGAGGCCAGCATCATCCTGATACCAAAGCCTGGCAGAGACACAGCAAACAAAAAAAGAGAATTTTAGACCAATATCCCTGATGAACATCTAGAAAACCTAGATGAGATGGATAAATTTCTGGTAATATGCAACCCTCCTAGATTAAACCAGGAAGATGTAGAATCTCCGAACAGACCAATAACAAGCAGTGAGACTTAAATGGTAATTTTAAAAATTGCCAACAAAAAAAATGTCCAAGACCAGACAGATTCACAACTGAGTTTTATCAGACATTCAAAGAAGAATTGGTACCAATTTTATTGACACCATTCCAAAAGATAAAGAAAGAGAGAATCGTCCCTAAATCTTTCTATGAAGCTAGTATCCCCCAGATACCAAAACCAGGAAAAGACATAACAAAAAAAGAAAACTGAAGACCAATATCCCTGATGAACATAGACACAAAAATCCTCAACAAAATAGTAGCAAACCAAATCCAACAGCATATCAAAAAATAATCCACCATGATCAAGTAGGTTTCATACCAGGGATGCAGGGGTGGTTTAATATACATAAGTCAATAAATGTGATACACAACATGAACAGAATTAAAAACAAAAAATCACACGATCATATTAATAGATGCAGAAAAAGCATTTGACAAAATTCAGCATCCCTTTATGATTAAAAGCCTCAGAAAAATTAGCACAGAAGGGACATACGTTAAGGTAATAAAAGACATTTATGACAAACCCACCGCCAATATTCTACTGAATTGGGAAAAGTTTAAAGCATTCCCCTTGAGAACTAGAACGAGACACGGATGCCCACTTTCATCACTTCTATTCAACATAATACTGAAAGTCCTAGCCAGACAAGAGAAAGAAATAAAAGGTATCCAACTTGGTAAAGAAGTCAAACTGTCACTGTTTGCTGATGATATGATCACATATTTAGTACTTAGATCACATACTTAAAACCCTAAAGACTCATTCAAAAAGTTCCTAGAACTGGTAAATGAACTTCAGCATAGTTTTAGGGTACAAAATTAATGTGCACAAATCAGTAAGCTCTGCTATACACCAACAGCAGCCAAGCTGAGAATCAAATCAAGAATTCAACCCCTTTCAGAATAGCTGCGAAATAAAAATAAAATACTTAAGAATACACCTAACCAAGGACATGAAAGACCTCTACAAGGAAAACTACAAAACGCTGCTGAAAGAAACCATAGATGATACCAACAAATGAAAACACAGTCCATGCTCATGGATGGGTAAAATCAATATTGTGAAAATGACCATACTGCCCAAAGCGATCTACAAATTCAATGCAATTCCCATCAAAATACCACCATCATTGTTCACAAAAAGTTAAGAAGTGGAGAGACAAGTTAAGGTGTAGTTTTTATTAGGTTTCTTTTTGCTTGTTTGTTCATTTGTTTATTGAATCAGTGTTAAGTTATCGTCAGCCTAAAATAATGGATTATAAGATAGTATTTGCAAGCCTCATGGTAACCTCAGGTCAAAAAACATGTAGCAGATAAACAAAAAATTAAAAGCAAGGAATTAAATCATACCACCAGAGAAAATCACCTTCACTAGAAGGAAGACAGGAAAGAACTATATGGCAATAAATATTTTATACATAAAATAAAATACCTAGGAATTAACTGAAAAAAATGAGAGATCTTTACAATGAAACAGAAATAAGAATCCTAAAATTTACATGGGACCACAAAAGACCCATAGTAGCCAAAGTTATGCTGGCCAAAAAGAACAAAGCTGGAGGAATCACATTACCTGTCTTCAAATTATACTACAGAGATATAGTAACAAAAATGACATGATACCTGCATAACTGGTGTATGGTCTATGACATATAGACCAGTGAAACAGAATAGAGAACCCAGAAATGAATCCATACTTTACACTGAACTCATTTTTGACAAAGGTGCCAAGAACATACACTGGGGAAAGGACAGTCTCTTCAATAAATGGGAAAATTAAACATCCATATGCAGAAGAATGACACTAGACCTCCTAGCTATGGCAAAATACAAAAGTCAATTTAAAATGGATTAAATATTTAAATCTAAGACTTCAAGCTATGAAACTACTACAAGAAAAAAGTGAGTAATCTCTTCAGAACATTGGAGTGGGTAAAGATTTCTTGACTAATACCTCACAACCACAGGTAACCAAAGCAAAAATGGACAAATGGGATCACTTCAAATTAAAAAGCTTCCTCACGGCAAAGAAACAATCAACAAAGTGAAGAGACAACCCACAGAACGGCAGAAAATATTTGCAAACTACCCATCTGACAAGGGATTAATAACCAGAATATGTAATAAGCTCAAACAACTCTATTGGGAAAAATCTAACAATCTGATTTAAAATTGGCAAAAGATCTGAATAGACATTTCTCAAAAGAAGACACACAAATGGCAAACAGGTATAGGAAAAGATGCTCAATGTCACTGATCATCAGAGAAATGAAAATCAAAATTACAATGAGACATAATCTCACTTCAGTTTAAATGGCTTTTATCCAACAGACAGGCAATAACAAATGCTGGTGATGAAATGGAGAAAGGGGAATCCTTGTACACTGTTGGTGGGAATTTAAATTAGTATAACCACTATGGAGAACAGTTTGGAGCTTCCTCAAAAAAGTAAAAATAGAGCTACTATAGGATCCAGCTATCCCATTGCTAGTTATATACCCAAAAGAAAGGAAATCAGAATATTGAAGAGGCATTTGCACTCTCATGTTTAGTGCAGCACTATTAGTAGGCAAGATTTGGAAGAAACCTAAGTGTCCATCAACATATGAATGGATAAAGAAAATGTGGTACGTATACACAATTGAGTACTAGTTAGCCTTAATAAAGAATGAGATCCAGTCATTTGCAACAACACAGATGGAACTGGAGATCAGTATGTTAAGTGAAATAAGACAAGCACAGAAAGACAAACATTGCATGTTCTCATTTATCTCTGGGAGCTAAAAATTAAACAATTGAATTCATGGAGATAGAGAGGAGATAGAGAGTAGAGGGATGGTTGCCATGCCAGAGGCTGGGAGGAATAGTGAGGGTGGGAGGGGGCAGGAAGTGGAGATGATTAATATATACCAAGAAATAGTTGGAAAGAATAAGACCCAGTATTTGCTAGCACTACAGCGTGACTATAATTTTAAAAAAAACTATGCATTTAAATTAGCTAAAAATTTATAATCTGATTGTTTGAAACTCAAAGGATAAATGCATGAGGTTATGGATACCCCATTTGCCCTGATGCGATTATTGTGCATTGCATGCCTGTATCAAAATATATCATGTAACTCATAAACATATACACCTACTATGTACCCATAAGAATTAAAAAATTTTGAAAAGAGATATACAATAGTTTGCTTTCCTTATTTCCTATTTTTTGTTTGGTTTCTGTGAGAACTTGCCTTAAGAATTGAACTCTGAGACAATGCGTATTCAGTGTCAAATATCCAAATGAAAATTTAATAATTCAGTTAGTTTTCAAATATCTTTCAGTAGCAGTAAATATATGAGATTCTGTAAACCTCAGATGGCATGTGTTTTCAGATTTAGAGGGTAAGGGCAAACAATCATCATCTTTTGAAGCAGAAGCAAGTCAGAATTACTATAAAATAAGTAGGACTAGTCAAAGGCAGAAGTGCTTCATTTGAAATGTGTTTCTAATGAGACATGATTTTTTTTTTTTTGAGGTGGAATTTTGCTCTTATTGCCCAGGCTGGAGTGCAGTGGCACAATCTCAGCTTACCGCAACCTCTGCCTTCCCGGGTTCAAGCGATTCTCCCTCCTCAGCCTTCTGAGTAGCTGGGATTACAGGCATGCGCCACCACGCCCGGCTAATTTTTTCTTTTTTTTTTTTGTAGAGACAGGGTTTCTTCATGTTGGTCAGGCCGGTCTCAAACTCCCAACCTCAGGTGATCCGCCCACCTCAGCCTCCCAAAGTGCTGGAATTGCCGGCGTGAGCCACCGCACCCAGTGAGACATGATTTTTCTATGTCTACTCAGAGTCTAATAAAAGATAGGTAGGATTTAGCCCCAAGAAGATGAAGTTTAAAAATCTATAAACAAAGAATAAAATCATTCATTTACATTTTAAATTATTTAGCATGAGGATAATGGATCCAAAAAATATGTGGATTATAAGAATAGGTCAGTATTTATCAAGAATTTTCAAGTAGAATCACTATTTTCATGGGATTTGCTAATCACAAAATAGATACATTTTATAATGAGGCAATAATAACGCCAAAGATTTTCTACTTACTGGGAAAAGGATCCCATCATATATTTACTGTTTTTTTTCTTTTTCATATTTTCTCAGAAAATTTTTAAAATTAATACTTCAGTTTCCCAGGATTCATTATATGAGAATGTCAGACAATAGCATTCTGTGACAGAGGCACAAAATGTAAATTCTGTGTAACCAAATGTAACCAATGTAAATCAACCAATTAGTATTCTAGGTTATAATTCATTTTCTTGAGTGTTGGTTCTCAGATCCTGGTGTCCTAGGAATGAACTGATAAAATGTAGGTTTAGATTCAGGTGTGGTTGTTCACACCTGTAATCCTAGCAACTCAGGATGCTGAGGCAGAAGGATTGCCTGGGGACAGGAGTTTGGGACCAACCTGGGCAACATAGCAAGATCCCATCTGTAAAAAAAAAATAAAAGTCGGGTATGGCAGTGGACACCTGTAGTCCTAGCTACTTGGGAGGCTGAGGCAGGAGGATTGCTTGAGTCAGGAATTGGAGGCTGTCAAGAGCCATGATTGCATTACCAGCAATACCATAACTCAAAAAAAAAAGTTTATAAACCTACAACAAATACATCTAGGATATGACTCATCTACATATCTTTGTCTTATAAGCCCTTGCCTAATTATTCAAGCCCCTTCATAAAAACATCTTTTGGTTGCAATAGAGTTTAAAAAGAGAAAACAGGAGAACATAATTCACCTACCAATTGGTGAGTGCATTCTGAAGGTAACCATGTGACTTAAAGGTCCTGTGCTTCTCATTGAAATCTCTCAACTTTCTAACTGTGGTTTGTACTTCTCCATGAGTTGCTTTCTGAAGAAACTGAGCAACCATAATGTTGGAGCTGAAACATAATATTTATGTTAAAGATAGCCTCAAGCCCTTTTCTTCCATTGTTTTTTGTTATATCATTGCTCCATTCCCTCCAAAAACAATTAATGTTATTTCAAATTTCAGACAAAACAATAGTGATAATAAAACTCACATGTCTCTTACATTCTGCCCGGGTAATTCTGGCTATTAATATACTGTATGGCTGAATAAATGAGATTTTATTTGCTGCTGTGCTGCCTGAATGCTTGTGTCCCCTAAAATTCATACATTGAAAATCTAACCCCAAGGTGATAGTGTTAGTAGGTGGTGCCTTTGGGGAGGTGATTAGGTGATGAGGTTGGAGTCTTCATGACTGCAACTATTGCCCTTATAAAAGAAGCCCAAGGGAGCTGGTTTACTTTTTTCACCATGTTAAGACACCTCAGTAGGCACCTTCTATGGACCAGAATGTAGAGCCATCCCAGATTCCGAATATAAGGATGCTTACCAGATACCAAATCTGCCAGTGCCTTGATCTTGGAGGTCCCAGCCTCCAGAGCTGTGAAAAATAAATTTTTGTTGTTTAAAAGCTATCCAGTTTATGGTATTTTGTTATAGAATTCAGATGGAGTGAGATATTTGCATAAAAGAAAATTTTCCAAATTGAAATCCCTCTTTACAATTCTACAACCTATATTTGTTCTCTCATAAATTTCTAGATGTATTTTTATTTACTGTAAGTTAAGCAAATTCTCGGAATATGTCTTCACTTGTATTTAAACTGTATTCTGTGAATGACTTATATTCAAATATGTTGTGTAGGTGAAATCTATCATTGTTCTACAAATAAGCTGCATGTACTTCTGTTAACACTTCTGAATTAAACTTAATATTTCAGTTATTTAACTCTTTATATTAGAAGTTACTAGCACACCGAAAATTAAGGTTTAGCATTGGATATAAAAGTATAAACATTAATACCTTGCCAGGCTTAATTCGGCAAAGTCGGTGTTTCACACATCTTGGATCACCTCCATCTTCTTCATCATCTCCACTCACCAAAATCACATGCATATGTTCTCTATTGATAACAGTGTCATTTTTCCTATAATAATAGCTCCCAAAGAGCTTAGCAGTTGTTAAATAAACAAACCATTATCATTTACTATATTAAAATAAGAAAAGGTTTCAGAAACAGCTATTCTGAGTTCAACTTCTAGCTCTGGTACTTACTATGGTCTTGGGAAAATAACTTAAGTTCTCTGAGTTTCTGTTTCTCTGGCAATAAAATTTAAATAAGTTCTACTATATTGGGTGGTAGTTAAGATTACATGAAAGCATATATGGGCTGGGCATGATGACTCATGCCTGTAATCCCGGCACTTTAGGGTGCCAATGCAGGAGGCCAGGATGCCAAGACTTGAGGCCAGGAGTTTCAGACCAGCCTGGGCAATATAGTTAGACCTCATCTCTACAAAAAAATGAAAAACTACTCAGGTACAGGGTTAGGCCGCTGTAGTCCTACCTACTCAGGAGGTTAAGGCAGGAGGATCACTTGAGCCCAGGACGTCAAGGTGGTATGAATGATCATACCACTGCATTCTAGCCTGGATAACAGAGCAAGACCCTGTTTCTAAAAATAAAATTTAAAAATAAGAAAACAAAATAAGAAAGCATATGTGTGAAGTACTGAGCACAGGGCCTGGCACATAACAGGTACTGAATAATTTAGCTCATAATATTATTTCTGCTATTATTCAAAGTATTGCTTTGTCTGAAACTGCTTATCCAATTCTAAACGTAAGTTTAAAATAGAACATTCTCTTACCTAGAGTGGAAGTGAGGCTAAAGTGGAATATTCCTGTGTGTGTTGCTTCAATATATCAGCTCTCTCTGTATATTCATTCCACAAATTAATGTCTTGCAATTTTCAATGATTCTATTTACAGTAATGACCTCTGAAAAAGATAAGCCTTCTCATGTACACTGTAGTAGTCATTGTGGCTTACTTATCTTATCCTTATACCTGGAATATGTAAATTGTAAATAGGATTTTCCACCCGCATCTAGTAAACTTCTCTAACGAGATTGACATTTAATGTAGCTGAAGAAAACAAGAAAAGATGTGGGTTTAGCAGTCTTCATTACTTCGTGAGAACCTTTATGGAAAGTGTTCTATCATTTGAGAGAAATGAAGAACTTTATATTCTTTCCAAGTAATTACTATTAAAAAGAAACCTTTTTCTGGTGAATATTTTTTCCAAGCAACTATGGCCCTGATAAAACTGAGGAAATCTATGACAATGAAGAAATATTGCTGATGGATTGAATTCATTAATGAATACTGCATTTTTAAACAAGTCATGTCAATCTGCTTGTTTCTTTAAGATTTCAACATGCAAACTTTATAATTAAGTAATCCATAAACACTCTTGGCAAATGTTGGTCTGCAATACCTCATTTCTTAGAAATGATTGTTGACATGTCCAAAGTTCTAAAGTGGAAGGGAAGAAGATAAACATATACTACCACAGATTGACTAAATGGTCAGGGCTCAGGTTCTAATGCTGGGTACATTTTCAAGTCCCTGGGGAGAAGGGGAGTTAGGAGCTGTACAAGCATTGGGAGTGAACCTAAAAGAATGGGACCTAATTTATCAAACACTTACTATGGTCACTTTATATGACTCTCAGATAGTTAGCAATATTAGTATGTCTTGAATGAGAAATTAAGACTCAGAGTCAAGTAATTTGTTCATAGACTCACAGGTAAAAATTCATGTCTGTCTGACTTTACAGCCCACACATCCAAGAGCTAGTGTTAAGGCTGAGACACCAATATCCCTCAGCTATTGTCTGCTTTGCCTATCAACCAATTCTTGGGTCTAAGGCAGCAAACAGGTAATTAGTTACTAAATAACAATTGTAAGATGTCTATACATGTAAAGTCTAAAATTTTGAAAATGGGAGATCATGGGTTATTACTTTATTCTCTTCTCAATTTCCTCATTTTTAAATGGAAGGTTTGGATCAAATAAGCTCTAAGGCTGACAGTATCTTACTTAATTCTGCTACTCACATATTCTCAATACCATTTTTCTAAGCAAAAATATATCACAAGTGAGAGAGACATATTTGCCTGAAAAACAAGCCCAAAACATCTGTCATTATTTAGTTTTGGGACACATAGGCTTGTCATAAAGAATATGAAGGATGCTAGAGAGCCCACCAAGGTCAGCAAGGGGAAGACTATCTTTGGCAGGTCTCCATCATCCATTTTGAGGTCCTCTAAACAGTCTTAACATTCATTGTCTCTTTTGTCATGTATCCTTAGTGCTGTTCCCTTGAAATCTTACTCTAAACTTCTTAGAACTATCAAAAATGTACCTATTAAACTAAGTCCAATCTTTTGTCAAATCCTTTGGAAGAATGCTCCAAGACTGTTACCCACCGCAGACACTGCTATCTGATCACTGCACTCTTTCTCTCTGAGCTTATGCTCAGTCTTAGAAACACTCACAGCACAAAGCTGCAGGACAGCCACTATCAGTTGATTGGAGTTAACACTAAAAATTTTTTAACAACTGTTATGTGTGCTAAGCTAATTCCTCCTTAAAAAAATAACTGACCAAAATTAACATTCCTTGGGAACCCTTCTTCAGAGACATTTGCAATTAATAAGAGATTCTTGACAACATTTAAAATGTTAAATCCTTATCAGTAACTAGTGGTAGAATTCCAGACCACAGGAAAGAAAAGTAGCAAGGATTATTTAAGTAAAGGCAATGAGATAGGTTTTGTGATATCAATCAATAGACACCAGCACAGAATTGGCTCTAGAAGAAAATAAGCTCTTCAGGCTAGCCTTTAAGATAAAATATGGAAGGTATGCAAGTACAAGATGCAGTGATGATGTTTAATAAATACTATTTTCATAGAAAACTTAATTCTTGCCCAGGTCATAGAAATAGAGTTCAAAGAGGCCTTAGAAAGACCATGACTGGATGCCACCAAAAACCCAGGTGGTAGCTGCTCACACACATGCAGTCTTGGCATTGAGTATTGCAGCAGGAGGCTTATCACATGTATAAGCATCTCTAGTGTTAGAAAATTTTTTTCTGCATCAAACCAGATATGTTCTATTCATTGGTATGAGTTCTGTCCAAGTAATACAGAGTAAGACTAATTCATGCCCACTCCAAATCTCCTCCTTTTCAGGCAACTGTGTCTTTTGCAGAAGCCATTCTTCTCCCTCCTTTCCTGCTTTGATCAATGTGTGTTCTGGCATGGCAGTAGAGAAAGAGTTGTATGGCAGTTTCCATTGCCATGATAGAAACTTTATGATGGCGGCAAGTGCCTGGGTCCCTGATTTTGTATCTGCTTCTCTTAGCACAGTATTGAATACATAGCAGAATCCAGTATAAAATTAAGTTCACTAATTATGCTTTGTTTCACTTCCGTTTTCTAAATCTACTATCTATTGTTTAAGTAAAGCAATACTTCCTTCTTATCCTCATTGGTAAATGAGAGTGCTTGGAGAAAGTGGTTAGAGGACAAAATAACTTTATGACTTACACACCTGTTATCTGCTGGCCAATGTATTAAGTACTTTATATAGTAATTTAATTCTTTTCTCTAAAGCCTTTGTGACTTGATATTAGCCCATCCTACACAAAGAAATTGATGTCATAGAGTATAAGGAACTTATCTGGGGCTGTACAGTAAATTAATGGCAGTAGGGATATAAAGCACCCGCTGCCATCCCTTTCTCACTCTGCACCTTCAGCTTAGAGTGAGTGCCTGGACCCTGCACGTATGACATTGAAACGTGATTGCATGTTTACTGTCCCTCTCCCCTGCTTAGCAAGAAACAGGAACCAATTCTGTCTCATATTTGTATCCACAATGTCTGACACACAATAGAATTCTAATAAATACTTGTTGAATAAATCAATGAGAATCCCAAAGACTATGCTCTAAACACTCTACCAAAATAACTCTATGAATAGCCTCATGTATTATCTATTAAATGGCCAACATCTTCAAATGTAAACATTGGCATACAAAAATCTTCAAAGTTTAGAGAACCACCAGGAAAGCCAGGCCATGAGTCCATAACCAGTCTTCATTTCCTGAGTTACTTCTCCTTTGATATCAATATCAAGCATTTATATCACTAACACAACAGCAATTCTGGCTTGGAATGGAGGGCGAGAACCACCACTGTCATTGTTGCCTTGTACAATCATTCCACCTCTCTGAATAACAGATTTTGTAAGGCATGCAACATGGCCATACCTAAGAGGTAGTGTATGCAATGGTTAACAATATTGTTCCACAAAGCTGGAGGCATCACATTACCCAACTTCAAACTTCAAACCAAATACCGTGGGAGCTAAACATTGAGTACATGGACATAAAGACAGGAACGATAGATACTGGGGACTACTACAGAGGGGTGGGAGGGAGAGGGGTGTGGGTTGAAAAACTAACTACTGGGTACTATGCTCGCTACTTGGGTGATGAGATCCATACACCAAACCACAGCACCATGCAATATACACATGTAACAAACCTGTACATGAACCCCCTATATCTAAAATAAAAGTTGAAATTATAAAATATATAATATATATAAAATTCTGGAAGTATATATTATATTATATATTATATATTTTATAATATGTTACAGTAATGTAATATATTATACAGTATTATATATAATATATAACATTATTATTACATAATATATAATATATATGTTATATACATTTATATATAGTTCCAGAATTAGAGAACCTAAATTCAAACCCTGGTTCTGCCAATTACTAGTGATATCACACTGAACACATTAGTTTATCTCCCCAAGCCTTAGATTTCCTGTTTGTAAAATGTAAATGAAAATAATACCTACCCATAGAGTTATTAGATTAAATGAAATAATGCATGAAAACTAGCTAGAACAATGTTTGGTACATTGAAAACATTCAATGTCATCTACTAGTAGTAGCAGTAGTTGTAGCAGTAAAGTTTCATGCCCAAAATTCTCAGTTTTCTTTCTGGTAGTTTCAAGGACATCTTAGAGCACTGTGCCTACCCAGCTGCTATTCAGACTTCCATCTTTCATGGATAGGGAATGGTGCAGCCATGTGAGCAAAAGATGCTGATGGAATGAATGAATCATGATTGCTTGATTTTGTGATTAGGTTGATTTATGACATCGGTCTGAAAAATAACTTTACAAAATGTTGTGTTTATTGCTTGCTGCAATGTATTATTTCAGGTGACAGTTACAGAAAAATCCTTTTATTTTGTTCTCAGGAAATGCGATTCATCACCACACAGATAGGAAGCCTTCCCTGGAAAGAGAAGATAGTATTTCATGCATCAAAAAAACATGAAATGTTGAAAGTTGGGTGATAGAAAGTCGAGTATTTGAAAAAACTATTAGTGGTAACCGTGTTTTGTCCCTTGTAAATCCCAACCTACCTTCTGTTGAGGTCCAGGTCTCTCTTCACTGACACTGTATATAACTCCTATATCTACGCAACATTTTGTTGCTAAAGTTTGTGTTTCAGGTCTTACATAAGCCACAAAGGGGAGGGCATCTTTATATATCTTTTTGAAATCACAAACATATCGCTTTTTGTTCACGTAAATGCTGTAGCAATACCCTTGGTTTGTATGTGAATCATATCTCAGTAAAGCAATATTCTTAAAAGATTATTGGAAAGGGTCACTGAGGTCTGTCTGCCCACCTCAGTCCCCAGGGAGTTACCCCTCTTCTTTCTGTCAACATTCAGAGGTTCCATCATCCCTCCTTTGTGGTCCAGACAGCTGAATACATGAGTAGGAAGGCAGAGGACTTAAGCGCCTCTTGGTTATCTAGAAAACTGATTGAACAGCAAGAGAAGGGCAAGCACAAATGCAGCATTGCCACCCCATAAGGAGTGGCTGATACCCAGAAAAACACAGGAACAATATCGGGGTCTGTTAGCTACATGTGCATTTCTTGTTCATGTAGGATGAACCAGAAATAGACAAAGAAGCATGAGGGAGAAAAGGCAAGGAGATCAGATAAGCCACAAATACATTTGACATTTGAATGAGGCAGAGGGTATTACCTTTGGTGCTTTTTTCTTTACATATCTCCAGCAGCTGGCTTCAGTTGCCAATTTTTGGACTCTGAGGTGAGGGATGGAAATAAAAACACATAGGAAGAAAAATTTAAGACACTAGTTTAAATTTAGATAAGCATGTTTTCCTGAATTTTGAAGAAAATTAAATCATTCCCACGTTGTACAGGGAAACAGTAAACATTCTTTCTTCTAGTGAAAAAATAGACACCGAAAGGCTCTTTACAACTGCCAAAAATTCATCCTTTCCTTCACATGGCCCTAATGTACACACTCACTCAGATAAATGCTAGATATTGATTAATATCCTTTACTTAAAATTAGGTATATTTTTTAAAAACTAGTAATATGTACCCCAGAAAAATTTCCACAAACTAAGTGTCACTCAGAAAAGTAGATGGCTCACAACCAGAATGAATCACGTGTGTGAGTTTGTCTGCCTGTGAGTTTACATGAATTGTGAGTTTGGAGTGGAGTGAGTGTTCCTAGAAAAGAAACAGTGAGAAATAAAGTTGGAAAACAGTGAACAGGCATTTCCATGGAGCCATCCATTGGGGCTAACATTCACAGGTTGCTGAGGTTCAAACCAGAGCAAATGGCTACAGACTACCTTCACTGGAGCGAGGGCAAGCAAGGGACATTTCTCCCTTTTCTCCCTGACTACCCTTACCCTCCACTCCCTCATTATTCTCAACTGCAGGATGTTAGCACAAGGCCTGGGAAAGTGAGACAGCCACTCCTGAAAGACTTCACTTTCTAATACCCTTCCTGCTCTGCTCCATTTGGAGCTGTTTATGATTTCCTTTGCAAGTCGCTTTGACTCTGTCTTATTAAGATAATGAGTGGTTCAAAACCAAAAAATAAGAACCAAAGGTGTAATTCAGGGATAATTATTACCATCCTCATTTAAAGATAGTTAATTGCCATTCAGTTTAAGTTGCATGACTTACAAGACTGCTGGGGTTACAACCCAGGTCTTCCGACAGCTTTTTCTGTACTAAGGAGACACTGCTCAAAGTGTATTTCAGAGATGTCTACATATTAGTTGTGTAGCAATTGTGCTCTCAAATGTAGTCCTGGTAGACACTGCAGAGAGGAAGCAGTGTCCTGCAGGGTTCTGTTTTATTTTATTTGACCAGGAAAACCAGTTGAATTTCAGTAGAAAAGAAATAAAACTACCTCTTCATTAAAGCAGACTTCAGGACTCTCTGCTTTGCAGCACTTATCCACTACATTTGCGAAATTTGTAAACAAAGACTGCAGCTCTTCATCTGTGAGTTCATGCTTCAGCTTCACTAAGTTGACAAGAAACCTGTGGCCAAAAGATGTCAAATAAAATTAATTAACGCTTTCTTTCTGAAGCGTCTCTACTCCAAAATGCTTGTTACAGAATCACGTCTTGAGTCTCAGCTTGGGTGTGGGTAAAGAGTTGAAATATACCACTTTGAATGGGTCTTCTGAAACTTTCCTATTAAATTTAGAGAATGGTTTCCACAGTAACATTCTTTGAAGGGTTTTGTCACACACAAAATTATACAAAAAGTATTAACAAGGAGGAAGAGAGGGATGACGAGAAGTTGGCCAAGGAGTACAAAAATACAATTAGATAGCAGTAATAAGTTCTAGTATTCAGTAGTATAGTAGGAAAATTAAAGTTAACAGTAATTTATTGTATATTTCAAAATAGCTAGAAGAGGAGAATTGTAATGTTCCCAGTACAAAGAAAAGATAAATGTTTTAGATGATGGACATTCCAATTACCCTGACTTGATCATTACACATTTATGCAGTTATCAAAATATCACATGTACCCCCAAAATATGTACAACTATTATATGTCAATTAAAAATGATGTCAAAGGAGCAATTAAAAAAATAAGCTATCACAATTAAGTGTGACAACAGCCATAGACAATAATGATTTCCTTATTTTCTAGTAAATTCTAGAATTCCAGTATTCTAGTAACTTATAGAATTCCAAACTTCAGGGGGCAACCCATTGATGTCTTAAAAGTACATTTTAGAGTACATTTTTAGAGTAATTATTTTAAGTAATAAAATTTTAATGCACCAAAGAGGAAAATGTAATAAGTCCCGTATGCCCATCCTTCGATCTAAGAATTAACAAAAATTTGCATTTTCTCGCTTTCATTTTTAAAATGAAAACAGGATAGTTAAAAAGAATAAAATAGACCAGACTAGAATAGGATGGACTGGAAAATACAAGAGTGTATTGCACTGTGAATCTATGAATATTGCACATAATAAGAGTATTATTCTATTTAAAAATGAAAACATATATTAGGCCTTTATTATGCCAAGTATTATGGTATACATGACTACGTCTGATCTTTCCAGAAAATTCATGTCCAAAACAACCTCCATTTCCTCATATTTGGTAGCTGAATGTTGTCTCCACTACACATTAGGCAGACTCTGTCTAAATCCAAAAAACTAGGTCTAATTTCCTGGCATTTTAAAGCATTTATTGAGAAAATGAAAGTAAACTTCCTGGCCCTTTAGGCCTCTCCTTTGTAAACACTAAATGATATTCTCCGGGCATTCCCTCAAGGAAATGAAATTCATTATCAGCCTGCCTATGAGCCTTTTTGCTGGCTGCTGTAAACTTTCTAAAGGTAATGTTAGACTTGGACATTCCAAGTCTCTTTCAAATGAAAAGACAAGCTAGATATAAACAATGGCAAAAAAAAAATATGCACTTGTATTTTTCCATATAGAAGAGACTGGACAATTTGGTGGAAGGAACAGGATTGTGATATCAAAAAGACATATCCACTAGATAAACCTTCTCACTAATACATGGTGTGTCTTCAAACCAAAGAAAAAGAAGAATGGAAGAGATTATTTGTACCTGTCTGTCTTCCTCTGAAGCTCCTCATTCTGAGATTGACACATGTCTGCGTGAAAGGTAAATAAATCTTGAGAGAAAGGTGGAGGCACATATGTTTTATCAGCTTTCAAACTCTCAAAGCAGGGCCTTCTGAAGGCAAAGTTTGTTTTACAGCAGTGGTCCACAGCAGGGTTGATAGTTCGATTTTCATTTACTCCACATAACTCTCCAAAAACTAAATCTGCCTGTACCAACAAGAGTTGCAACTGAGATACGATCTTAAAACTTGAATGGAATTTCTAAAAATATGGTTAGATGAATACTTAGATCTTTCTAAGATCACTGTTAACCTCACTCATAAAACACATGCACTCATGACATATCCCTATATACAAGTAAAACTAGAAGCTGGGGTCCTAAATGGCATTATGACCAAAATCCAAGCCATAAGAATTTAGATGCCTACAAATTAATTTCTTGGTGGCATATAAACAAACTTTCAATTGCAAACAGACAGCTGCAAAAAGCCAACTGAAAGGGGCGATCAAACACTGTGGTACAGGGGTTTCTTCCCCTCCTGGCATCTGCCTCAAGGTACTCTCCACCCCAGCCCTAAAGAGATGTATTCAATGCCTGATTGCTGGATGAAGCAATGGGGCCAAGAGGAAGAATCTGTAACCTTACTTAAAATTATAAAGTTTCCTGTATCATTTTGAAACAATATTATGATTCCTAAATCATTTGTCCTAACAAATCCCTTCTAATACAATGAAGAAATAAGAAAGATAATTTGAAGTACTCTCCAAAAATATTGAAGACATTCTGTTTTACTTCTTAGGGTTTTCACAAAGTGAGCCAAAAGGAAAACTTGACAATTTTTGCTTAACAATATTAAAACAGTGAAGAAAGGAATATGGATAATCACGGTAAATCAATGAGTGCAAATATTCTTTTTTTTAAAAAAAAAAAAAAAGAGTAGTCTGGTACACAGGCCATGCTCACCAAATTATCAACACAGGCAAACTCTTCACTTAGCGTACAGCAAGTAGTGAAAGCTGTCACCATTTTCTCGCCAAGAGACACCAGTTCTTCAGTGGAGAGTTGGGGAGCTATCTTCGTGAGCCTGATGAGGTAACTGAAAGAACATTTGTCTGTTTGGTTCTGAATGAAAGCAGATACCCATTTTCCCTTGAATTACTGCTGAAGCCCAGACCCTTCAAGGCTAGCGACAACCAATATAGGTGCAACATGAACCTTAGCTCTCTCATAAAGTAGAGAAATATGTCTTTACTTCCTGTTTTCCTGCACCCTGCTTCCTATATCTATTTTAGCTTCCTTTCTAATTTCACGGTTGTCTCAGAAGCTCTTAGATTTGCCTCCCCGTGTTATCTTTAAGTATAGGAGCTCCTTGACAGCAAATACATTGGCTAGTATCTAAAATCTTGCTTAAAATAATTTACATCATTAGAAAATATTTTAAAGAAAGAATTTAATCAATATATGTTGTAAAAGGATAATCTGAGATGAAGAAAACTAAGATTTTTAATGAACTAAGTTTGAATTGTCAGCTAACAGCCAAATTGCAGAAATAGGAAAGTCAGATATTTTTAAACTGTGTTTTATTTTGATTTAAAGATGTTTAGTTTCAATAAATAATACATTAGCATGAGGCCAGGTGCAGTGGCTCACACCTGTAATCCCAGCAAAGTCCGAAGGGTTGGATTGCTTGAGCTCAGAAGTTCAAGACCAGCCTGTGCAACATGGCAAAACGCCATCTCTACCAAAAAATACAAACATCAGCCAGGGATGGTGGCTCACGTCTGTAGCCCTAGCTACTTGAGAGGCTGACGTGGGAGGATCACTGGAGCCTGTGAGGCAGAGATTGCAGTGAGCTGAGATCACACCACTGCACTCCAGCCTGGGTGACAGAGAGACCCTGTCTCAAAAATATGTAGTAATGATAATAATAACAATAATAATAATGATAATAAAATACATTGACATAATAATTGAAAAAAACCCAAACTGCATATTATTCACAAATGCTCACAAGAGCACTAAAAAGCTAAATATTAAAGTGTTAAACACATCCTGAGTTATTTCTATAAACTCAGGTAAGATAGCCGTAAGGCAAGGCAAGGCAAACTATCTCTTCCCCAAAGAAACTGTAATGACCTGAAATATGCAGTGTCCCACTTTGAAATGGGTGAGGATGCAGGGATTCTAGATTGGCAGTGAGAAAGCCAATGTCAAACAGAAACCAAAGCATTAGAGAATCAATGTCTCCAGAATCCTGTATTTCTTTTATTTTTAGCTTCATTTCTGATAAAAGATTAATGTGACAGTTCAATAGGCATTCTTGACTTTAAAAAAAAATTCTTCCAAGAGTTTATGAATCGGCCATAACTGAAAAACTTGACAGCTAACTTTTTTACGCTTCGAGGGATTATGTATTCAATTCTAGTGGCAAGTGTTAGCCCACTTGTGCAAACAACATACTGGTATTTCAAACCATCCTTCCCCAAATTCTGGAAATGTTTACATTCTTGTTGTACCATCTTGAGGCTTTTCTCAGTTGTCTCATTGAATTTGTCTTCCTGAAAATAAGAATAATCATGGTTACAAACATTTTATCTAAAATTTAACCATAAGCTTTACATCAATGTGTAGAATAGCATTTCTTATTTCTATGGTATTTTCAAATTCTCATTATTACACTAAATTCAGGGCACTTTTTACAAGCACGTGCAAGAACTTAATTTTTTAATTATGTATATAAAAATATATTTCTTGCTAAATTTAAAAGTCCAAATTTTTTTATTATCACCTTGTACATATTTCAGAGCCTTCCAAATTACAAAACAGAATTTAAATTGTATGTTGAAAATAATAACATTCAGTTGTCACTTTGAAGTGGCAAGAGCAGTTGTTATCTCCATTTTTAAGTAAAGGCAACTGGCCTTGTGAAATTAAGTGACTTACCCAGAATACCCCAGCTAGTAAGTGTTGTTACAGAACATTTTAAATCATGTTGCTCTTTTTGATTTTTTCATTGTTTAGATTTGGAACTTAAAACCTCCAACAGTTTTCTTCAAATATTTGATGGACTATCTCTCATGTGGCATAAAATTGGACATCTTCTGAGTGGCCACCAGACAGAGAACTAAACACCAGTGGATAGCTATTGTGGAGCAAATTGTATCTCCATGAAAAGAGAGAATTTTCTAGCGCTATGATTAATTTAAGGATCAGAAACAGACTACCTCATTAGGGACAGTTACAGAGCAGGGATCCAAGTCTTATTCCATTGCTCAAATTTGAGTGGGTATAAACTGGTGTTTGTGGCAAGTGAAAAAAAATGTTTTGCTAAAGCAAAAGTAGCACATATCAAAGGAAGGAGAAATAAATCAAAAAATGTCAAATTATTAATTTCTCTAATATGTATTCAGAAATACATATGAATTTATATGAAAAACACTAATTTCAACAGGAAAATGGGTAGTACACATGAACAGATTTTTCACAGAAAATGTGTAAATAGCTAAAATCATATGGAAAAAATTTAACAATTTAAAAATCAAATAAAGGTGTTTTAAAAACACAAACACTGTTATTTACATATAAATCTAGCAAAGTTAATTTCCATGTGCAATGTTGGTAAAAGTGACATTGAAATGAGCATTTCCAAGCACTGTTGTGGGGCCAGACACCAGAAACAACTTTCTTGACAGTAATTCAACAATTTGTGTTAAATGTTTTTTAAAGTTCATATATTTTGATCCAATAATTTTCCTTCTGATAATCCATCCTAAGAAAAAAGCCATAAATATTAATAAAGATAAATGGAAGGAGACGTTCATCTCAGGGTCACTTACAAAGTGAAAAACACCCTAAGCAAACATCCAAAATGTCAAACACACAGTAGGAAATCAGTTAAATAAATTAAATAATTATGATGGGATACCATCATTTAAAAAGAAGTTTATTTTCAAGTCTGTTTAATGACGTAAAAAGTTTTCTATACTAGACACAAGAAGAGTCAAGGACTAGCTTCCCTAGAGGGAACACAGCCCTTCTGACACCTGATGTTAGCCCCATGAGACTCATTTCAGGCTTCTGGCCTCTTGTGAGAGAATAAATTTTTGTTGGTTTAAGCCGCTCCCTTTGTGGCAACAGCAGGAAACCAAGGAAGCACAATTTATAACAACAACAACAAAAAAGTTTTCTATGATACCAAATAAAAAAACAGGTCCAAACATTTTCTAGGAATTATGCCAATCTTATTTTTAAAATACACGTATATATACGTATATGTACTGAAGAGTTGAACACAAATGTTAATTATAGCTATTTCCCAGTGGGAGAATCAGAAAAGGGTTCTTTGTAACCTTTGTTGCTTTCCTAATAATCAACAACAATCAATCATTACTTTTGAAACCATAAAGAATCCAATATGGCTTAATAAAATACAGAATATTTTCCTAGTCATCTACAGCAATCATTGCTTTTGAAATCATGTAATATCCAATACGGCTTAATAAAATACAGAATACATAAAGAAAAATGTAAATTTAAAATGTTTAATGGGAAGACTTTTTTGAATTAACACATTGGATTAGTAGTCCAAAACATTATGCATCAGCCAAACTGATGACATTGGCCTTCCCAATAATCTTCTTAGGCTGAATCTACAGTGGACTCAGATTAGCCAATCACATTTTCTACCCCCAGACTGCAGCAAAACTCTGATATCAATTTTTAAGTGTTTTCTAGTTGTTCTTTTTTGATTTTCTGAACCTACAACAATGGAACCTACCGCGTAACGGTAACAACCTGGAGGGTTTTCTGTGTTGCAGCAATTTCTCAGGAGATCTTTGTATATTTGAACAATTCTTAAAAGCTCTGGTATAGACAGGTCTGGATGTCTCCTTGAGTATTCAAAAGTAAACCTGCAATGTGTAAAATTTTGTATATTAGAAATTAGAGAAAGAGCAAAAAACCCAATTCCACTATTTTGTAATCCAGTCAGATCTAATACTGACTCTGCTTTCAAAAGCTAATTTTCTCCTCTGTCTTGGTCACAGAGTAATTTAAGAGGACATTTTGGCTATAGATCATTTTACAAAAGTTCTCTTCCATGGTACGTTTTAGATTAACAATATTTTTTATTTGAGAAGAGAGAATTAGTAGAATTATTTGGAACTAATTATTGGAATGATTTAATCTATAAAACATTGGAAATAATAAATTGTGAATATACTTTAAAAAATACATATTGCTTATAATTATGTTTGAAGATGCATTCAGATTTCCAACTTGACATGCTGGGAATATGGCTTCCTTCCCGCCCACAATGTGGTCTTCGTGAGAGATAGGGAGCAAGCTTTGCCCATTACTACATCCTGTCACTTGCCAACTATGGGAGTGTTTACGCCTTCAGCTCCAAATCACTGGCAGTGGCTTCCAAATCCTCTGTCAAGGACTTCAAGAGCATAGGTGGGTGTGATTTGGAAAGAAAGAGAGAGGAAGAAGGCTAACAGTTATTAAGCCCTTAGTAGGTGCTAGGCACTGGATCAAACTTTGGGCATAACAGATATAGATGTGCTTCCTGGACTTTATAAACACTTTCTCATTTCACTTCACTTAGTCCCCAAAATATGTACTGTTTTACAACTGAGGAAACTAAATCACAGACTGGTTAAGCACCTTCCTATCAATGGAAGATATAAAATTTGACCCTAAGTCCCCTGGGATGTTTACTCCATTCTTTACCAAGCGAACTCTTTTCTCAAGACAGAGATGTCATCTTGAAGTACCTCAGCTGGGCTATTTACAGTCTTCATAAAAAAAAGAAAACTCATCTATTCATTCACAATAAGTTCAGATCTTCCACGTTTTGTGAGCGCAATACCTCACAAGTTTTTCATGACCAGGTAACTCTTTTCATCCCCTCCCCACCCCTATTTTTTCAGGATTTGACCTTCTTGATTAATCTTGGTTTTTCTGAAACCATCTCTCCAGCTTCCCATTTGCTTTTTCAATTCCATTTGTGAGATATATTCCCATATCCCATGGCAGTAGTGCTTAACGTTCAGAGAATCAGGGCTCCTCTTAATATCTGATGTAAGCCATGGACTTCTTCTCTGGGAGTGGGGGAGTAACACACACACACACACACACACACACACCTAAAAACATGTCTCAAAATACTGTGAAGAAAAATCCCTGGAAGCTTACTCTAGGCTGGAGAAGCCACTGAGGACTTGCCTAAAATGTTCACATCCAGAAAGACTCTACCTTAAAACACTGAGCACTCTGACTTGGTGTGCTCACTGTTACTCTATCATTTCTCCCCATGTTTCAAACACTTTTTATGTTGTAATAGTGACGATTATAAAAATGGCTTTTATCTATCAAACACATATGTCAGGTACAATCTATCATTTTGTTTAATTGAACTTGATTTAATATCCACAACCATGAGAAGCCGTAGAGGACAGTAGTTATAAGACTAGGAGTTTGGAGCCACACTGCTTGCATTTGAATCCTGGCCACACCACATGTGTGACTTCGGGTAAATTACTTAACCTCTCTGTGCCTGTTTTATTATCTGAAAAATAAAGATTATAAAAGTATACTAACTTCAGAGGGTTGTTTTTAAAATTTGGTTGGTTAGTAGATGAGAGGCACTTAAAATTTAGTAAGTATTCAGTAAACATTAGTTGTTGTTATGTCCTAGATTTCAAGCCAGATTCCCTTCCAGAGCTACAGGTTCACATATAAAATTCTCTTCTGATAGTTCCAATTAGTTATTCTACTGGTACCTCAAAGTCAATGTGCTCATACTTAAACATATTATCTTTCTCACAAAACCTGCTACTTTTTCACATTGAATGGGAAAACTACCCACCCAGTTATCCAAGCCCCAAACTGGGATTTTCTTCAGATGAGGTTTCTAAAAACTGAAAGTGAATTTGTCCTTCCTCATTCTTCCATTAAAACCATTCAGTGGCATCCCATTACTTAGCATGCCTGCATGATCTGGCCCCACCTACCTCTCACCATGCTGGTCTCTCGCTGCAGATGCCCTACTCACAGCCACATACACAACAAACCATTATAAACTTCAATTCATGCTCTACCTATCTAGATTACCAAAATTTCTTCAAGTACCACTTCCCTATTAAGCCTTTCCAGGGTCCCTATATACAACTGACCATTTCTTCTTCTGTTCCCCTGCATTACCTAGAACAGGATGCTATTAGAAATAAAAGAACATTTTTTGCACTTATTTATTTATGTTTGTCTCTTCTCACTTTATACTCTCTATAGATGAAGGCTTCCAGGAGATAAAAAAAACAAACAACAACAAAAAAAAAAACAGTAAAGTCCCTGGATTATATTACATTACTAATAAACTTTAAATTAATAAATATTCTTTTTTTTTTTTTTTTTTGAGACAGTCTCACTCTGTCGCCCAGGCTGGAGTGCAGTGCGTGATCTCGGCTCACGGCAACCTCTGCCTCCCAGGTTCAAGCAATTCTCTGCCTCAGCCTCCTGATTAGCTGGGATTATAGATGAATGAGTATTCTTATATGAATTTTATATATGACAAAAAAAAAAAGCACAGAAAGGTTAACTTGTCCCAGCAACTCAACCAGAACTCAAATATAGTCCCTGTGGCTCCAAGTTCACTAGTCTTCCCCTTAACAGTTGTAGATGGCATAGCATAGCAGTTAAGCCTGCAACTTGCTAGGCCAGGCTTCCTGGAGTCAAATTCTTACTCTGTCACTTTTTAGCTGTGAATCTGAACAATTCACTTCATTGTATCTCAGCTTGCTCATCTGAAAAACTGGGAGAAATTGTACTTATTTTGTATGATTGCTGTAAGAATTAAAATAGTTTATCTGTATAAAGTATATAGTCCCATGACTGGCATATATTAAGTGCTCAATAAATGCTAGCGATTATTTTAATAATACAGTTGATTTTTTCTTAAAATTGTGTGAAAACTACACTCTATAGCCATGATTTAAAAAAAAATTATATGATACCTAGTGAAATAAACGGTACCATGTCCTTCCACCTAAATTAGCAACAAAAGTCAAATCTTATAAGTTTCTTTCTGTTTCCCTTATAAATTCAATAAAGAGTTATATTACTTCGCAAAGAAGGTGTCTGGGTCAGCATCTCGTTCTTGACACACATTTTCACTGTCAGTAAATTTTCCTTCTCTTAGAGATAAATCCTTTGGTCTATCATCTTTGTTTGAGTTAATTATGCACTGGCCGCGCTCTGGTATTTTCTTTTCACAGCACTCTTTGATTTTGCTGGAGATAGAATCTTGTTTTGAACAAATATGGTTCATAACCTTGCTCTGTACCAAATAAGAATGAGAGATTATTTTACTTTCAGGCTGGGTTTTCTTCCATTATGGAATGATGGCATGCAAAACCAGTCATGATCGCAGCATCTGGAATCACTTCATCAATTAATTTGCTAGATAATATTTGTTTGAATTAAATTTTGGATTTACTTAATGCACATGAAGTTTTACATTAAAACTTCTCAGGATTTAAGATGATATAATTATGAAAAAATAGGCTGTACTATAGATTCACATCCATTATTAAGCATTAGTCTTTTAAATAACCCTCCTACACTGATATATTTACATCTTATATTCTAAATGTTGTTTCTTTTCCATAAGAGTCCACTTGTGTTTTCAGTGGAGGCCACCAAAGACATGTTACTATAATATCTATAATCCTGGTCTTCTCTTGTGGCTGAGCACATGGCAAAATCAAAATAAATATTTGATAAATGAATGAAAGAATGACAAGTGAGTGAACTACAGCAACTACCAGATGACGATTCATCAAATATAAGAAGCTATTCCACTCATGGTATCATTTTCTAATGGATATCATTTTCTAATGGATATCATTCATTTGAAGCTGTTCAGGTTAGCAAATACTGCTCAAATGGACAACTTTATTCTGTCCCCATCCCTACCAATTGCCCCAGTTCTAACCTCTACATAAGAGTTGGGAATTAGAGAGAGGGTGGGGTTATCTTATTTACACATTAGTTGAATAATTTTTAAAAACTGTTCTGGGCCCTTCCAGACTCTAGAATGAGACTGCACATTATTTCCCCTCTCCGTTTCAGCCTCACTTGAATTATGTTGAGTTACAGCAACACACTAGACTATTTCAAGCCTTTATGACTTTACTCAAGCTATTTCCACTGACGAATCTTCTGGTGAACATGGAGGATAAGGAATAAGATGAAGCTCAGGACTGAGGTAAAAAATAAAATGGGGATCGGCACCATGTTTCCAACAAACCACATAGAACCAGGAAGCCAATCTTCAAAAAGACATTTACATCTCATGTAATGCCAGCATTGTTCTAGGCAGAGCATCTCTTATCCTCTGGGAAGTTACTTCTATTTTCAGTTAACTGTAATTCAATTCCTCTTATTTCTCCAAAAAGACATTAAAAAGAAGGAAATTTGAGACATAATCCCTTAACCTAAGCCTCAAATTTCACAGAAAATCTATAATTATATCCTAATTCAGTACCTTAGATTTCACATTATAAAACATACATCCTGGCTAATACAGTGAAACCCCGTCTCTACTAAAAATACAAAAAACATTAGCGGGGTGTGGTGGCAGACACCTGTAGTCCCAGCTACTCAGGAGGCTGAGGCAGGAGAATGGCGTGAACCCAGGAGGCGGAGCTTGCAGTGAGCCGAGATCATTGTCACTGCACTCCAGCCTGGGCGACAGAGCCAGACTCCGTCTCAAAAAACAAACAAACAAACAAAATCCTACATCACCAAGAACAATCAAGCAATACAAAAATAAATCGCAAAGGAGATTGATTTAACTTGGGTACAGTTAGGAGCAAAAATAATTATTGGGAACATCTGTTGTCCATTGTTTGAAATAAACATTTCTCAATACCCTAAAATTCAAGTTATTTAATTGACATGCTATCTTCACTGTAAGCCTAAAAGTTGAATCTTTCTTTCTTTCTTTTTTTTTTTTTTTTGAAATAAGGTTTCATTCTGTTGCTGAGGGTGTTGGGATTATAGCTCACTGTACTGTATCCTCGAACTCCTGGACTCAAGCAAGCCTCCCTCCTTAGCTTCCTGAGTCCTGAGTAGCTGCAATTACAGGTGCAACCTATCATACTCAGTTATTTTTTTAATAAAATTATATTACCTTTGAATGCATGAGCAATTTTTTTTCACTTTAAGTTCCGGGATACATGGGCAGATGTGCAGAATGTACAGGCTTGTTACATAGGTATACGTGTGCCATGGAGATTTGCTGCACCTGTCAACTTATCACCTAGGTTTTAAGCCCCGCATGCATGAGCTACTTTGATGCTCTCCTTTCAGCACCCAATCTCAACCCAACAGGCCCTGGCCTGTGTTGTTCCCCTCCCTGTGTCCATGTGTTCTCATTGTTCAACTCCCACTTATGAGTGAGAACAGAATGCATGAACAATTCAAACTATGCCAACAATATTCGTACCAATACTTTTCCTTGGAAAATCACTTTAAAGATTTCTAGAGGCTGGGAATTGGGGAGATGTTGGTTAAAGGACACAAAATTTCATTAGGACAGAAGGAATACATTCAAGACATCTCTTGTACATCATAGTGATTCAATGATGAATTCATACCACTATATTGAGTACTTTAAAATTGCTAAGATTTGGAGTATTCTCACCACAAAAAAATAAGTATGTGAGGTAATGCATATCTTAAATAGTTTGATTTAGACATTCCACAATGTGTGTGCATGTATACATTAATATATATGCATATATAACATGTTATATATACACATACATATATATCATGTTGTATACCATGAGAATATACAATTTTTAATTGTCAGTTAAAGGCCAGAAAGGAAAGGGAACGTGGAAAGAAATGAAAGGGAAAAGGGAGGGAACAGGAAAAGGGAAGGGAGAAGGTAAGGAAAAAGGAACCAAAAGAGAAAGGGAAAAGAAAAGTTAAATTAATGTATCCACTTATTTGGAAGGACTATACCTGAATAGCGTAAGGAAGCTCAGGGAAATCAGCTCTTAAAAACATAATGTTAACAAGTCATTCCTTGAAATTTACTATTTGTTTCCAACCTCTCTAAAAGAGGATTTATAATGTAAGAGAAAACTTCAATCTGTACTAAATGAACTATGAAAAATTTGAAATTTCTGAAGTTTTACATCAAGACATTTAGCCATATAATATACAATCTATTCAGTAATCTTTAAAAATTCCAAGTATAAAAAATCCCAAGGTTTATTTATAAAAATGTTTATATTTCATTTTATGCTTTCATTCAAAAGTTAAATCACATTCTGATTTCATTGTGGCAAAGTAACCACATATCAGGGCAACTTGAGAATAAAAAAATGATAATTGCCAAAAATCACTATTTTAACTTGGTTTTAGAGAATATTCACCGTGTCACGGATGCACTGCACAACATCCCCTTCACAGCATCCATCATAGTTGGAAGAAACATCTTCTACAAGAGAAATAAGCTCCTTAAATTCAATCTTGGGGAATTTTTGACTGAGTATCGCAATATATCTGGAAAGAGAATTGATAAACCACAAAAATAATTTGAACAGCAAGTAGAACAAGTGGGAGTAATTTGCTAATATGATATGAATAGCTACAAAAAGTATTGCCACCATTGCTGTTGTTGTTGTTTTTATAGAAGTCTTTATCAAATAGTTGGTGCACAGCCTACATGATCACTTTGAAAATCTTAGGGTGATATTTTAAGAGCCCCAAAGTCCTGGATGTGAAAAAAAACAAAACTGAGAGGTGTGCTTTCTTCCATAATTATTATAGTAAGACATGCTGTGTAAGGCCACCACTTCCTATTGTAAGCTCATGGCAGGCATAGATAATTCATGATAGAACTCTTTCCTGCTGATCTACCTGAAATCTCAAAATTTTTCTCAAGACATTGCCTTAACACCCATTACTAATTGATTAGGGTGAGCACTAGAGATAAAATTTATCTTTGCAAGCACTAGAGATAAAATTTATCTCCTCATTGTTAAAGTCAAAGACCAATGGATGAATTATTTCTAAAGCACTTGTGGGTTTTATAACCCTGGTTTGAAACATCCAGAGCAGTTCAGATTCTCAATTAACCTAAATATGTCTCAGACCCAGCCACCATTCTCTTTTGGGTCTCCTCACCTCCCAAAACTTCTCTCATCTCAACCTAATGTCCTGGTCCTGAGCTGTCTAAGTAGGCTCAGACTCACCCCAAAGCCCCTAGGTACTAGGAAGAATATAAATAAAAAGTTATCAACCATTTAACAAAAATGGGACACAGACAAGGAAATGCAAGCAGAGACAAGACATATAGTATAAAACTCACATAAAGTGTACAACTTTGGTTCCAAATTTCAAAAGTGCCCCACAGACATGTTTTTGATAAGAAGAAAATGCTTTTAAATATTGTGTGACAGGTATTGCCTGAAGAAGAAAGAGAAAATTCTTTTGAAACAATAGCAAAATCTCACTATTCTCTTATTTTTTAGTCATATTTCATTCAAACTATTACAAAATTTGTTCAGAGACAGAAAATCTACAGGATTTTTATTTCAGTAAACACACATATTAAAAGAAATATGCACTTACGGCACATCACAAAGGTAGGACCAGTCTTGCTGATGATTGAATTGCACTTGGTAAAAAGGTGCATAAGTGCTCCCTTGGTGGGGCAGCATGCTGTGAGCTTGGCCATCCCTACTGAGATTATACCATGTTGTTTGTAGTCAAAAGACTACAAATTGTCAAAGATAAAAGATAAAATGTCATCATTCACCCTGGGCATTCACTCACCAGGGCTTCCTTCCAATTTACAAAGAAAACAAAGCTGGAAGAGAGACCCTGAAAATGACTGGCTGTCATTCAAGAGTCTCAAGTAAAGAGAATATTTAGATCAGCACCTGGTGACCAATGGTTTGAAAATCACTGAATGTGACAAGAGAACATCATATATGGTAAGCAAGCCTTTTGCTATAATATAAGTCAGGGTCTGGATCTGTGGTATTGAGTGATTTCTTATCCTCTTCATGGAACAAATGCTATACCCACCCTTGTTTGAAGGCAGTTGACTTTGTTTTGTTCTTCACAACATGATTTGGCCACCTCCTCAAAATGAACAGCAACAGTTAGAAGTGTAGGGGCGAAGACAAATGGGTTCCTTCTGGCAACTTCATATAAAAAGCTATAAAAAATAAAAATGAAAGAGAGAAGACGGGTGAGGGAAGAAACAGGAAGCAATGAATGTAGACAAGGGAAGGGAAGGGAAGGGAAGGGAGGGTAAGATGGGAAGGAAAAGAAAAAATAGAAAGAGACAAGAAGAGCAAGTTGTAAAACAAGGTAAAAGGAAGAAAGGTTTCCAGTTATAGAAAACTTCAATATAAGGCAGCATTAACCAGTTCCCGATAAGAGTCCTTTGAAGTCCTTATCATTGAAGTTGCTAACTCCAAAGTAGGAATAATGATTGCAATTCTAATCCCAAACACTGAACTGTGGCTATTGTCCTTCCATCCACATGCTACCAGCTGGTCAGCAGTTCTCTCTTCCATGTTCAAAGAACAGCTATCTATACACACTCTATCTGAGATTCAGGGGTCCTGTTTACTTTTTTTCAGATAAATTTGTGATTTAGATTTAGATTTCAAGGAGCATACCAACCTTCCAGAAAAAGTCTGTTTCTGCAATGACAGCACTATATTAAAAACAGATGTTTTGCTAAACATCCTGTAATTGAATGTCTGCCTGAGGTGAAAACAGCAACTTCCCCTTGGGAAGAGTATATTATTTCCTCTACTGTGCATCCTACCAATTTAACACCATGTACACACCTCTGCTCTAGGACTTACCAATTAGAAGATAAAATTCGTTAATATAATGGTCTTGTAAGCAGGGTCCATATCTTGATCATAGTTATATCCTGAACACTGAGCACAGTATCTGACACACAGTATGTTTTGAATGAATGAAACAATTAATCAATAAATTAATGAACCCAGCCATATTTATTTGAGATAGATATTAGATTCAGCCTAAGACTAATTCTTCAACTGGATCATTTTTTACTAAGATTAAACTTACTGATTTAAAAGGGATTCTCTGTTACTTTCATAAGCCTGGCATTTCTCTTCGGGATCCAGGGTAGGGAAAGGAGGCAGAAATCCCACATCAGATTTCTTGTTATAGAAGAAACAGAGTCTTCTTTGAGCATCAACCTTACTGCAGCAGTGTGAGAAATTATGCTTTTGTGGCAGCCCCTCCATAGCACATATTTTTTCCTGTAAAACATTATTCTATACAACAGAGAAGAAAAGGACAATTTTTAGTCATGGTAAAGTAAAGCTTCTGTACTCACTGAGAAAACACAATGACTAATTTTCCCACCATTACCAACAGAGCTCCTTCTCTTTCTCCTACTCCTCTCCTTCCCCTTCCCCTTCCCCTTCTCCTTCCCTTCCCCCCCTCCTTCTCTTCCACCTCCTCCTCCTCCTCCTCCTCCCCTTCTTCTTCTTCTTCCTCTTCTTTTTCTTCTTCTTCTTCCTCTTCCTCTTCCTCTTCCTCTTCTCCTTCTCCTTCTCTTTCTCCTTCTCCTTCTCCTCCTTCTCCTTCTCCTTGTTTTCTGCTTCTTCTTTGGAATGGGATCTTGATATGTTGTGCAGGCTAGATTCGAACTCCTGGGCTCAAGTGATCCTCCAGCCAAAGTGTCCTAAATAGCTGGGAGAACAGGTGTGCCAAATCAAAGCATTTTTACCCAAACCCTTGACAATCATCCTGCACTTTCAGAATCTTTGTTCCTCTGTCTTGTCACAAGACACTTCCACCTCTTACTCTTCCCTTGCTGCCTACATTTCCCTTCCACCAGGCTTTTCTACTCACCTCCCAAGGTGATGACATGCTGGTATGTTAATGTATTGGTAGAGTGTTTAGAAGTAGTGTTTAGTAGTAGTTTTTTGGAGATGCAGATAGTGATTCTACTTGGAGGAGGCCCAGAAAAGGGATGTAACAATAGAATACATATTGAGAGAGGCAGCTAAGGAGGTACCTCTGTAATTTCATGTGCAGTTTCAAGCTATGGCTTCCTCTTCTGCCTGAACATATAGGGCATACTGTATACATACTGCAAATACACAGCAATCTCCTTCTGTGCATCAAAATACAGAATTAGTATCTTTTCCAAGGAAAGTACCTTGTTCTAAATACCAAAATTAAGCAAAATGAAAATGCTGCGCACAGAACATCTTTCATTTCATATTTTCAAGCCAGAAATTTTCTCAGTGTTGGGCAAAAAATCTTGTGTGTTTAAGAAACACAAGCAATTGGCAGGGCACAGTGGCTCACGCCTGCAATCCCAACACTTTGGGAGGCCAAGTTGGGAGGATCACTTGGGGTCAGGAGTTTGAGACCAGGCTGGTCAACATGGCAAAACCTCATCTCTACTAAAAATACAAAAAAATTAGCTGGGCATGGTGGTGCATGCCTGTGATCCCAGCTACTAGGGAGACTGAGGCATGAGAATTGCCTGAACCCAGGAAGTGGAGGTTGCAGTGAGCCAAGATTGCCACTGCACTCCAGCCTGGGTGACAGAGCGAGACTCTGTTTCAAGAAAAAAAAAAGAAGGAAAGAAAGAAAGAAAGAAGAAAGAAAGAATGAAAGAAAGAAAGAAAGAAAGAAAGAAAGAAAGAAAGAAAGAAAGAAAGAAAGAAAGAAAGAAAGAGAAAGAAAGACATAAGATAAAAGGAAAAGAAACACAAGCAATTTACTTACAGGTAATTTTGAACACTCTGGGAGCGTCTTGTCAGCCATACATCTGTCTTTGTATTCTACCATGTCTTTCACCAGCTTTTCCATTTCTTCAAAGGTTGCTTCCTGAACATACTGAGCAAATGCAATGATGGTGCTGCAACAGTTCACATGGGGTATACAAAGATCAGTTGCAGAGTTTCCATTTATGGTCAAGAAAAAGTCACAGGAACATCCTGACTAGCCTCAGGAAATTATCTATTGTAATGGCTATAAATTTTACAACTTCTTTGCCTGAATTTTATAATTAAAGTTGTCTTCTTGGATATGGCTTCTATTTAGTTAAATTACTTTTGAGAAGCATTAACATTTCTAGAATATATCATTTTAAAAATCATCATCAAAAAGTATTTAGCACAACTCACATGTATTCAATATTATCTTCTATAAATTTTTGAGTACTATTGAAGTTCTCTGAAAAGCAAGAATATTTAGGTTATTACATAGCATGGTTTTCTAACATTTTTCAAATAAATAACTATACATGGCATTTAAGTGTATAAAATACAAAATAGACCACTGATGACAGGAGATAATTTTGCATATTTAACAAGAAACAAATAAGTCATGTGAACAAAATAGGAAATCTTAGTCATTGTTGATTATGTGTTCAAGAAATATTTACCAAATTGAATTGACCTAAATAAATCTTAATCTGACTAGACTTTAAATTTGCCATTGATGGCTCCCCAGATAGAAATGTCAAATACATTACCATGCTAAATGTCTATCATTTATGACTAGAGAAGTGATATGAAGATTAACTAATGGCTGATTCAATGCCATAACAGAGCCTGATGAGAGATGCTGTAGCATGCTGGTGGTCAGCATAGTTTTTAGCGCTACTCAGTCACAGCTATTTAGGTCATCTCCAGATCCACCTAAAATCATGGATTCCCTCCCAATGAGCATACACTAATTGGAGCATATTTATGTTTGTTCACATAAGCTACATTTATTTTTTGCAAAGTGTTGTGCTGGACCCTGTGAAGCAATCAACAATGACTAAAATATCTCCCCTTGACATCAGGTTCCTAAGCTGCTCTCTAATAGAAGTTACTCGTGCATGTGACAATAATCTAATTTAGAATGGGATTAAGTTGGGAATGCTTTATGAATCCTGGGTGAGAAAGAAAGAAAAAAAAGGATTATAGGAGGAGTGAGATATGAGTTGAGCATGAGTAAATGTAAGAGATTCAGCTGACGGAAAAATGAAAAACCCTGTCTGTCTGTGTGGAGAGAGAATGATGTGAATAAATGCATTAAGAAATCTTGAGAAGTATTTAGGGAAAGTCAATCTATTTTGATGAGAAAGTGGGTCACAAAGAGGAATAATGGTACCTAGGATAGAAAGAACCTGGGCCCAGATTATAGGAGTCTTGTATATAAAGCTAAGGAGTATGGGCTTCATTTGGAAGACATGGAGAGCCCTGGAAAATGTTTATATAGGATAGTAATCTGATCATTTCTATACACTAAGAAATACGAGTCAGGTAGTGGTATATGTAATGTCATGGGACTTTCCACAGTGCCAGACAAATAGAAAAAGGTAGAAAGAACTATTGTCAAATAAATGGGCAAAAGAAGGGTGGATGGGACAAAGTAAGAAGGCCATAGGAGACTTTGCAACTGTCACACTGAGAAATCAGCAAGATCTAAATTTTGGTAGGAGTAATGGAAATGAAAAGGAAAATATAGATACAAAAGATATTAAAGAGGCAAAAAATCAAGATTTTGAAACAGGTTGTTACGAGGGAAAAGGAGCAGGAAAACTCAGAAATGACCAGTCTTCACTAGCTGGTATTGTAGGGGCATGTCAAATTGAGTAAGACACGTAAGACACGATCCATGCCTTCAGGGCCACTGCCATGCTTAGGGCACATTTGTTCAAGTCAAAGAAAGGAGCTCCTTCTAGGCCAAAAAGGATTAGAAAAAGACACCTCCTCTAGACATATGAGGTTCAAAATATTTCCCCTTTGGATGGAAGAAATAAAAAAAGTCATCCCTTCCTACAGACTGAGATGGCCTTGGCCAGGCTCAGGAGGGATGTTCAAACTGTACAGTTGAAGGAGGAACTAGGTTCTGCATTCCATAAAGATATAGTTGGGAAATATGTTGGACAACCAAAGGTTCCAGAAAAATCCCAGTTAACATCTATTGTTCCACTGTTACCATAAACTATACATATATGCAAGAAATACCAACATTAAAATCCAAATGTATCTCCCAGCAACACTTTCTGTCCTGTCATAGACTGCTGATTATTCTTCAGATGTGACAACTCTTTCTTCATATAGACTTGGTAATATAAAAATTACCATCAAAATAAAAATTCTGAAAAGGTTAGTTTTGGATAACTGGTTAGCCTATGTAAATTAGTGAGAGGGTGAAAAAAGCAAGTAAAGAATTAACTTGAAAGAAAACAAAATTTTAAAAATAGAAATTATCCTAACTGGTCATGCTTTAGCTGATATACAAGTAAATTTCTTACCTATATCCCGAGGTTGTGTGGGCAGGGTTAGGGATTCAGTCAAAAAAAACAAGAAAAAAATAAAACCTGTAAGTTTTAGTAGTTTCATCTTTGTAGAAACCACATTTACAAAAGAAAGTAATGTTGTTGAGGAAAATCAAGTTTTTATATCATTCTTTCACATTATCAGTAAAAAAGTAACCTATTTAATCTATTTCTGAAATACTGAGTATTTGATTTTTTTGATCACTCTGCAGAATTCTTGCTAAATATTAACCAGAAAAAAAAATTACCTTTGTGTTTCGCTGGAAAAAATCTACTGAGTTGGAACAAAAGTCCACAGGCTAAGTATGCACAATACTTAATCAAATAGACAACCAAAAAAAAACTTAAAATACTGCAAATGTTAAAGGAACAAAGGGCCAGAACAGATATAATCAAGCAATCTCTCTTATGCATATATATCCAAAGGAAGTGAAATCAGTATCTCAAAGATATATAAATATGTACGCCTACTATGTACTCACAAAAATTAAAAATAAAAAATTAAGAAGATATACCTGCACTTCGGTGTTTATTACCTCATTATTCACAATAGCCAAAATATGAAAACAACCTGTCAGTCAACATATAAAAAACTAAATAAATAAATAAATCTCACACGCACACACACACACACACACACACAATGGAATACTATTTAATCTTTAAAAAGAAGGAAATTCTGCCATATGAGAATATGTGGATGAACCTGGAGAACATCATGTTAAGTGAAATAAATCAGACACAGAAAGAAAAGCACTGCATAATCCTACTTATATGTGGAATCTAAAAAATCAAACTAGAAACAGAGCATAAAATGGTGGTTATCAAGGGCAGGAGGTAGAGGAAATGGGGAGATGCTTGTCAAAGGGTGCAAAGTTTCAGTTACGTAGAATGAGTAAGTTCAAATGCATCACATGGACTACAGCTAATAATACTGTATTGTATGCTTAGAATATGCTAAGAGACTAGGTCTTAAGAATTCACACTGTCTTAAAAGAAAAAAAAATAGATAACTGGCTGGGCGTGGTGGCTCACACCTGTAATGCCAGCACTTTGGGAAGCCGAGGCAGGTGGATCTCTTGAGGCCAGGAGGTCAAGACCAACCTGCGCCAACATGGCAAAACCCTGTCTCTACAAAAATTAGCTGGGAGTGGTGGCATGCGCCTGTAATCCCAGCTACTCAGGTGACTGAGGCATGAGAATCACTTAAACCTGGGAGGCAGAGGTTGCAGTGAGCCGAGATCGCGCACTGCACTCCAGCTTGGGGGACAGAGCAAGACTCTGTCTCAAAAATAAATAAATAAATAAAATACGTCAAGAGACGGATGCGTTGATTAGCTTGGCTGTAGTACTCAAGTCACTATGTATATGTATTCAAAACATCATCTTGCACGCCTTAAATATATATATTTTTTATTACCTTTTTTTTTGAGACAGTCTCACTCTGTCACCCAGGCTGGAGTGCAGTGGCGTGATCGTGTCTCACTGCAACCTCTGCCTCCCGGGTCCAAGCGATTCTCCTACTACAGCTTCCTGAGTAGCTGGGATTACAGGTGCACCCCACCATGCCAGGATATTTTTTGTATTTTTAGTTGAGATGGGGTTTTACTGTGTTAGCCAGGATGGTCTTGATCTCCAGACCCTGTGATCCGTCCACCTCAGCCTCCCAAAGTGCTGGGATTACAGGCATGAGCCACCACACCAGGCCTTTAAAGTAAAAAGAGTTTTTTAAATGCAATGGAAGCCGATGAGAACTTGATAATTAAAATAAATAATTACTGGAATATATTATAACACAGGAATTTTTTTAAATTCATGAACCTATACCAATACAAAATTAAAAATTGGGAAAGGAAAGTTCTTCTCTACAGAAGAATGCCAACTAATAATTGTAGTTAGAAACAAAGCATAAACATTTGTAACCACCATAGTAATAGCTGATTTAGGCCAGTTTCATGAAAGAATGATAAAGTCATAGGTGAATAATTATTGAGGAATAGCATATTTATACTTTCAAAATATCACTTCACAAGTCACTCATTAATTTAAAAGTGCAAAACACATCTTTGCAGGTGAATACATAAACAATGATATAGTCACTCTATGGATTCTTATTTGTCTTTAAATCTAATGAATATTAAAAATATGTCATATCAGAGGAAATATTTACTAAATGACTTTTGGTAAAACAGTAGAATACAAAATTTTATATGTGATGTGTAGAAAATGGCAGGGTGGACAGACTCACTAAACCAAAGAAAGGGAATGAGAGAGATAAAAGAGAGACAGACAGGGAGACTGAGAGATCGATTTTGTCTCCAAACAGAATTATGTAACAGTATGGTCAGCATCTTTGCTTGCAGTTAGTGAAATGTCCTAATTGTGCTGTCCTCTCATTGTTGCCTCTGTTCTAATTGCCTTTTGTCAGATGATTAAAAAGACCAAAACTGTTGCTAAGTATATTCAATTGGTAGTCAGAGATCCATTCACTTTTTATTTTCTTCTCAGATATGGTACTTCTTATTTCCAATTACTGGTTGACATCTGGCAAGTAGAAAATAGCTCTAATTCATCTATTCCACAAATTTAGTCCTCCCTACCATTAATAAGCATGGGATATTTTTATGGCCATATGAAGTGAAATAGCAGTATGTGCCTACTTAGAAACTTAATGTATTTAAGCTAATTTTCTTCCTGGTTATTTTGTGTATTTGCCTCAAATGATCTAATTACTGACCCCTTCATTAATGAGTAAAGTATTTTTAAATTTTCTTCAGTAAATACGTCAAATTTTGCTTCAACAGTATACATACATACATACATACATATACATCCATACACTGAAGAAAGAAAGAGAAGAAGCCAGCAGTATATGAAAAGCTTGAGAAAATCCTGGAAACTATAAAACAGATGGAATCAAGTTAATGGAGAAAATAGATAAGAGCAAGCTTCAACCCAAATCTTGGGAGATGACATTCATTCTTCCCAAGAGCATTCCAGAACTGTTTCAAGTCTAAAGAACATAAAGAACCGATATGGGCCATGGGGAAATAATCAGGAGAAGAAGCTAAAACCTTATATTCTGAACAGCTAAATTAGGACAGCACATTACTTCCTCCTCTCTTTCTCTACCACCACACACAAATATATAACATACTTGGGTAACAATGTTTGATATCTTTTACATCTAGGTCAAAATCCAAAAATGACTCTTTCTTAGTTTGGATTTCCCAAAAGCAGACCTCTAGGGAAAGACTTGTACTTTATATGGAAGGCAACTGGAGGAGGCACAGTGAGGAAGTAGGACCAAAAAGGGAGAAAAGCAGCCAATAATTCAGGTGTTAATGAGAACAATAATAGTGTAGGCAACTGGGATGTAAGCTTGTTCAGAACTGTCTGGGAAGTGGAAGATGCCCTAGAATCATCCTGACAGAGGACTGAGAGGCTGGGCCATTATTCCATTAACTGAAGACTACATGAGCAAGAATAACAATCAAGACTAATCAGATATACCTGAGCAACAAAAACAATAATTCATAATTATTCATAATTCAGGAAAAAAGAAAGCTATTGAGGCACACATTCTAAAAACATCATAATAGTTAAAACAGTGTGATGATATGGGCAATATGCAGATACAACAAAATGAAAGTCTAACATTTGATCCAAATTTTAGCCTATCTGTACAGTAATATACTTCTAAAAAGATCAGAGATCCAAATGTAGAAATTAAAAAAAGAGAAATTATAGAAGTACCAGAAGAAAGATAAGTGATGAGGGAAAAACTGTCCTAATTATAATGCAAAATAAATTCAACTACATAAACAAATTTTTAAAGACTTTGCATGAAGATTTGGCTGGGCAAGACTTCCTACTAGACACAGCCAGGTGGAACAGCCTTCCCTGAGGGACTGAGATGACTGGCACACTCCTAACAGATCTTCAGGGGGAAGGCACTGAGAGTGGACAGAGGAAAGACACAGAAGCTGGGCTGAAGTGGGAGGAAGCCGAGAACCCTGCATGGGGTTACTATGCACTGGGACTCACTCCCAGACCCCAACAACTCTGGGGGAATGGGTGAGTTGAACTGGCAAGGAGCAACTCGCTTTCACCACGGGCCTCAGGAATCCTGACATAGGAGACCCCTCAACCACCATGGACACTCAAGTTGGCAGAAAGAGCTGCTTAGAGAAGTGATAGGGGCCAGCACAACAGCTGATGTGTAGGCCAAAGGGATTGGTACAGAAGTATCTGTAACAGAACACAGCCAAAGACACCCATCCCCCTAGGCTCGACTTGCTCCTACAGGAGACTTTAGCCCTAGGAGAACTGCAGGACCTAAACTATAGAGGGTGGTCTCGCCCACCAGACAGGGCTGGTCTGACCTGAGCACTCCTTGGTCTGCTGGGCAACCTCGGGTGCCGTGGGGCCCGCATCACAGCTCCTGCACTGGCAAACTGTGCCTAACCGGCAGAAAGCCCCAGCGAGGCAGCCGCCATGGCCATGCACCGGCCCACCTGCTCCCTCTCCACACTGCAGCATCTCTCAGACACACAGCAACCCTCCACCCCCCACCTGCATCACATTGCAGGCACATGTGTGCACACGTAGGTTTTGTCTTCCTAGCCCCGCAAGTGTGCCTGTGCATGAGTCCTGCCTTGCCACTGCTTCAGTGGGGAAGTGCATTTTGTACCCCCTCCTCCCACCAGACGGGCCTTGCAGTTGGAACCTTGGTGGGCACAGAGCCAGACAACACTGCACCCTCCAGTACCCTTCCCTTGCACCAACACAGCCACAGGAGTGAAACTAGGCACGGAGAACAGCAGACCCTCCCCTATGCTGAGCAACCACCCCTGCCTGTGGCTCATAGAGAGCCAAACAGACCTGCACATACCAGTGCCCTGCCCTCCTACCAACACGACCACCAGTGGGACCATGCACACAGTAAGCATCAGGGGTCCTTCACCCTCCCCAAGCCATGCTGCCTCTGTCACTGTGGTGAATGCCCACACCCTGCTACACAGCCAACAAGTGTGCACCCCACCGTGCTGGCTTGCTGACGCTGCCACTGCTGCTGACACATGTAAATTAAGACAGATCCTAGGCCAGGCACAGTGGCTCATGCCTGTAATCCCAGCACTTTGGGAGGCCGAGGTGGGCAGATCACCTTAAGTCAGGAGTTCGAGACCAGCCTGACCAACATGGCAAAACCCCATCTCTACTAAAAATGCAAAAATAGACAGATGTGGTGGTCCGTGCCTGTAATCACAGCTACTTGGAAGGGCAGGAGAATCGCTTGAACCTGGGGGATGGAGGTTGCAGTGATCCAAGATCATTCCATTGCACTCCAGCCTGGGCAAGAGTGAGACTCTGTCTCAAAAAAAAAAAAAAAAAAAAAAAAAAAAGACATCCTGATGCCACCACACTACAAAATGCTTTGTGCTACTGGCACATGTGAATTAAGACAGATCCTGATACCACTACACTACAGAATGCTTTGGCTGACACCATTTGATCACTTGATATGGTTTGGTTCTGTGTCCCCACCCAAACCTTACCTAGAATTGTAATCCCCATAATCCTCACATGTCAACAGGGTGAAGTGTAGGGTACCAGGTGGAGGTAATTGGATCATGGGCGTGATTTCCGCATGCTGTTCGCATGATAATGAGTGAGTGTCTCACGACATCCGATGGTTTTATAAACATCTAGCATTTCCCCTGCTTGCACTCACTCTGTCCTGCTGCCCTGTGAAGAAGGTACCTGCTACTCCTTTGCCTTCCACCATGATTGTAAGATTCCTCCCCAGCCATGTGGAACCGTGAGTCAATTTAACCTCCTTCCTTTATTTACCCAGTCTCAGGTATTTCTTCATAGCAGTGTGAGAATGGACTAATACAGTAAATTGATACTGCAGAGAGAGGGGTGCTGCTATAAAGATACCCAAAAATATGGAAGTGACTTTGGAACTGCGTAACAGGTAGCGTTAGAACAGTTTGAAGGGCTCAGAAGAAGACAGGAAATGTGGGAAAGTTTGGAACTTCATTGAGACTTGTTGAATGGCTTTCACCAAAATGCTGATAGTGACATGGAAAATGAAGTCTAGATGGAGATGGTCTCAGATGCAGATGAGAAACTTCCTGGTGACTCTTGTTATGCTTTAGCAAAGAGACTGGCATTTTGCCCCTGCCTTAGAGATCTATGGAACTTTGAACCTGAGAGACAGAATTTAGGGTGTCTGGCAGAAGAAATTTCTAAGCAGCAAAGCATTCAAGAGGTGACAGAGCATAAAAGTTTGGAAAATTTGCAGCCTGATGATGTGGTAGAAAAGAAAAACCCATTTTCTGAGAATAAATTCAAGTCAGCTGCAGAAATTTGCATAAGAATGTTAATTGCCAAAACAATGGGGAAAATAAATGTCTCTAGGACATGTCAGAGACCTTCCTAGCAGTCCCTCCCATCACAGGCCAGGAGGCCTAGGAAGAAAAAATGGTTTCATGGGCTGGGTCCAGGGCCCCCCTGCTGTGTGAAGCCTTGGGATTTGGTACCCTGCTTCCCAGTTACTCCAGCCATAGTTAAAAGGGGCCAAGGTACAGCTCATGCCATTGCTTCGGAGGGTGTAAGCCCCAAGCCTTGGCACCTTCCATGTGGTGTTGGTCCATTGAGTGCACAGAAGACAAGAATTGAGGTTTGGGAACCTCCACCTAGATTTCAGAGGAGTGTGAAATGCCTGGATGTCCAGGCAAAAGTTTGTTGCAGGGGTGGAGCCCACAGGGAGAATCTCTGTTAGGGCAGTGCAGAAGGAAAATGTGGAGCTGGAGCCAGCACACAGAGTCCTCACTGGGGCACTGCCTAGTGGAGCTATGAGAAGAGGGCCACCGACCTCCAGATCCCAGAAAGGTAGATCCACCAACAACTTGCACTGTGCACCTGGAAAAGCCACAGACACTCAATGCCAGCCCATGAAAGCAGCCAGGAGAGGAACTATACCCTGCAAAGCCACAGAGATGGAGCTTCTCAAGGCCATGGGAGCCCACCTCTTGCATCAGCATGACTTGGATGTGAGACATGGAGTCAAAGATCATTTTGGAACTTTAGGGTTTAATGACTGCACTATTGGATTTCGGACTTGCATGGGGCTTGTAGCCCCTTTGTTTTTGATTGTCCTATTGGATTTTGGTCTTGCATGGGGCTTATAGCCCCTTTGTTTTGGCCAATTTCTCCCATTTGAAATGACTGTATTTACACAATGCATGTACCCCCATTGTATCTAAGAAGTAACTAACTTGCTTTTGATTTTACAGGCTCATAAGTGGAAGGAACTTGCCTTGTCTCAGATGAGACTTTGGACTTCGACTTTTGCATTAATGCTGGCATGAGTTAAGACTTTGAGAGACTGTTGGAAGGACATGGTTGTGTTTTGAAATATGAGGACATGAGATTTGGGAGGGACCAGGGACAGAATTATATGGTTTGGCTTGGTGTTCTCACCCAAATTTCACTTTGAGTTGTAATCCCCATAATCCCCACATGTCAAGGGCAGGAATAGGTGGAGGTAATTGAATCTTGGGGCCAGTTTTCTCCATGCTGTTCTGGTAATAATGAGTGAGTCTTACAAAATCTGATGGTTTTATATAAGCATTTGGCATTTCCGCTGCTTGCACTCACTCCATCCTGCCACCCTGTGAAGAAGGTGCTGCTTCTCCTTTGCCTTCCACCATGATTGTGAGTTTCCAGGTCTCCACAGACATGCAGAACTGTGAAACAATTAAACCTCTTTCCTTTATAAATTACCCATTCTTGGGTATTTCTTCATAGCAGTGTAAGAATGGACTAAGACACAACCCATCTGAGTGTAGCGAACAGTGGTCCAGAAGCACCTCAACCCTCCACAGTGCAGTTAGATTCCTAACTTTGAGGAGCCAGAGAATGAAGTCAGGGCCTGATACAAATCCTCCAGAATTAGAGCACACAGTCCAGGAGTTGAGAGATGAGTGCTGGCCCCCTAAAATCTTCCATAAATGAAGCAAGTCAGCTGAACCTACTTTATACCACAATCAAACCCTTAAGGTCATCAAACAAGATAAAAGGAAAAAGAAACCCGACCAATGGTCAGAACTTCAAAGATTGAAGAAACATCAGCCCACAAAGATAAGAAAGAACTCTAACAACTCAAAAAGCCAGAATGCCTTCTTTCCTCCAAATAACTGCTCTACCTCTCCACCAAGTGTTCTGAACTGGGCAGAGATGGCAAAAATAACAGAAATAGGATTCAGAATATGAATAGAAAGAAAGATCACTGAGATGCAAGAGATGTTGAAACCCAATCCAAGAAAACTAAGAATCACAATAAAATGACACTGGAGCTGACAGACAAAATAGCCAGTATAGAAAATAATATAACTGGCACAATAAAGCTGAAAAACACACTACAAGAACTTCATAATGCATTCACAAGTATTAATAGCAGAAAAAACCAACCAGAGGAAAAAAATTTCTGAGCTTAAAGACTGACTTTCTGAAATAAGATAGTCAGACAAGAAAAGAGAAAGAAGAATGAAAGGTAATGAACAAACCTCTAAGAAACATTGGATCATGTAAAAAGACTGAATCTACAACTCATTAGTGTTCCTGAAAGAGATGGGGAGAATATAAGCAACTCGGAAAACAAATTTCTGGATATCACCCATGAGAACTTCCCCAACCTAGCTAGAGAAGCCAACATTCAATTCAGGAAATGCAGAGAACCCCAGTAAGACACTCCCCAAAAAGATAATCCCCAAAACTAATAATCACCAGATTCTCAAAGGTTGAAATGAAAGAAAAAATGTTACAGGCAGCTAGAGGGAATGAGCAGGTCACCTACAAAGGGAAACTCATCAGACTAGTAGCTAATCCTTCAGCAGAAACCCTACAAGCCAGAAGAGATTGGGAGCCAATATTCAGCATGCTTAAATAAAAGAAATTCCAACCCAAAATTTTATATCCAGCCAAACTAAGCATCATAAGCAAAAGAGAAATAAGATCCTTTTCAGACAAGCAAATGCTATGAAAATCTGTTACCACCAGAAGTGCTTTACAAGAGCTCCTGAAGAAAGCACCAAATATGGAAAGGAAAGACTATTACCAGCCACTACAAAAAAACACACTTAAATACACAGACCAATAACACTATAAAGCAATCACACAAACAAGTCTGCAAAATATCCAGCTAACATCATGATGACAGGATCAAATCTGCACATAGCAATACTTACCTTGAATGTAAACAGGCTACATGCCTCAATTAAAAGATACAGGGTGCCGAGCTGGATAAAGAACCAAGACTATTGGTATGCTGTCTTCAAGAAATCTATCTCACATGCAATGACACACTTAGGCTCAAAAGAAAGGGATAAAGAAAAATCGACCAAGCAAAGGAAAACAGAAAAAAAAAGCACAGGTTGCAATCCTAATTTCAGACAAAATAGACTTTAAACCAACAAAGATTAAAAAAACAGAGAGAGACAGAAGGGCATTACATAATGGCAAAGGTTCAATTCAACAAGAATACCCAACCATCCTAAATATATATATGCACCCAACACAGGAGCACTTGGATTCACAAAGCAAGTTCTTAGAACCTTAAAAGAGACTTAGACTCCCACACAATAATAGTGGGACACTTTACCACCTCTCCACTGACAATATTAGACAGATCATCAAGGCAGAAAACTAACAAAGATATTCAGGACCTGAACTCAGCCCTGGATCAAATGAACCTGATAGACATCTACAGAGCTCTCCACCCTAAAAGAACATAATATACATTCTTATCACCACATGGGACACATACTCTAAAATCAACCACATAATCTAATAGAAAATACTGCTCAGCAAATGCAAAGAACTGAAATCATAACAACCACTCTCTCTGACCATGGCACTTACAAATTAGAAATCAAGACTAAGAAATTCAGTTAAAAACATACAGTTACATAGAAATTGAATAACCTGCTCCTGAATGACTTTTGGGTAAATAACGAAATTAAGGCAGAAATCAAGAAGTTATTTGAAACTAATGAGAACAAAAATACAACATACCAGAATCTCTGGAACAGAGCTAAGGTAGTGTTAAGAGGAAAATTTATAGCACTAAGTGCCCACATTAAAAAGTTAGAGCTCAATTTAACAACCTAAGAGCACAACTAAAAGAACTAAAGAATCAAGAGCAAACCAACCCCAAAGCTAGCGAAGACAAGAAATAACCAAATTAAAGCCAAACTGAGGGAGATTGAAACATGAAAAATTGTTCAAAAGATCAATGATCCCATGAATTTGTTGTTTGAAAACTGTAATAAAATAGACCACTAGCTGGACTAATAAAGGAAAAAAAGCAGAGAAGTTCCAAATAAACACAGTTAAAAACAACAAAGGGGATATTATCACTGACTCCACAGAAATACAAATAAATATCAGAGAATATTATGAACACCTCTATACACACAAACTAGGAAATCTAGAAAAAATGGATAAACTCCTGGAAACATACAGTCTCCAAAGACTGAGCCAGGAAGAAATTGAATCCCTGAACAGAACAATAATGAGCTTCAAAACTAAATCAGTAATAAATACCATACCAACCAAAAAGAGCCCAGGACCAGACAGACTCACAGCCAATTTCTACCAGATGTGCAAAGAAGAGCTGGTACTGTTCCTACTAAAACTATTCCCAAAAATTAAGGAGGAGGGACTCCTACCTAACTCATTCTGAGGCCAGCATCATCCTGCTAACAAAACTTGGAAGAGACACGAAAACAACAACAACAAAAACAAAAACTTCAGGCCAGTATCCTTGATGAACATCAATGCAAAAATCCTCAACAAAGTACTGGCAAACTGAATCCAGTAGCATGTCAAAAAGCTTATTCAGCACAATCAAGTAGGCTTTATCCCTGGGATGAAAGGTAAGTTCAACATACACAAATCAACAAATGTGATTCATCATATAAACAGAACTAAAGACAAAAACAAAATGATTATCTCAATAGATGCAGAAAAGACTTCTGATAAAATTTAACACTCCTTTATGTTAAAAACTCTCAATAAACTAGATATCAAAGGAACATACCTCAAGATAATAAGAGCCATCTATGACTAACCTACAGCCAACATCATACTGAATGCACAACAGTTGGACACATTCTCCCTGAAAACCTGCACAAGACAAGGATGCCCTCTTTCACCACTCCTATTCAACATAGTATTGGAAGTCCTGGCCAGAGCAATCAGGCAAGAGAAAGAAATAAATGTCATCCAAATAGGAAGAGAGGAAGTCAAATTATCCGTGTTTGCAGATGACATGGTCCTCTATCTAGGAAACCCCATAGCGTCAGCCCAAAAGCTCCTTCAACTGCTAAACAAGTGCAGCAAAGTTTCAGGATACAAAATCAATGTGCAAAAATCGCTAGCATTTCTATACACCAACAACAGTCAAGCTGACAGACAAATCAGGCATGCAATCCCATTCACAAGTGCCAAAAATAAAATGCAATACTTGTAAATACAGCTAACCAGAGACGTAAAAGATCTCTATAAGGAGAACTACAAAACACTGCTCAAAGAAATTAGAGATGACACAAACGGAAAAACATCCCATGCTCATGGATAGGAAGAATCAATATTGTTAAAATGGCTATACTGTCCAAAGCAATTTATAGTTTCAATGCTATTTCTGTCAAAATACCATTGAAATTCTTCACAGAACTAGGGAAAAACTATTTTAAAACTATTTTAAAAACTATTTTAAAATTATTGTGGAACCAGAAAGATCCCGAATAGCCAAGGCAATCTTAAGCTAAAAGAACAAAGCTGGAATCATCACACCTACAACCATCTGATCTTTGACAAAGCTGACAAAAACAAGCAATGGAGAAAGGACTCTCTATTCAGTAAATGTTGCTGGGATAACTGGTTAGCCATATGCAGAAGATTGAAACTGGACCCCTTCTTTACAAAATATACAAAAATCAACTCAAAAGACTTAAATGTAAAACCCAAAACTATAAAAACCCTGAAAGGCAATCTAGGCAGTACCGTTTTGGACAAAGGAATGGGTAAATATTTTATGACGAAGACACTGAAAAGCAATTGCAACAAAAGAAAAAATTGATAAATGGAATGTAATTAAACTAAAGAGTTTCTGCATGACAAAAGATCATCAACAGAGTAAATAGACAACCTACAGAATGGGACAAAATATTTGCAAACTATGCATCTGACAATGGTCTAATATCCAGCGTATATAAGGAACTTAGGTAAATCTACAAGAAAAGAAACCCGTTAAAAAGTGGGCAAAGGACATGAACAAACACTTTTCAAAAGAAGACATACATGCGGCCAACAAGCATATGAAAAAAAGCTCAACATCACTGATTGAGCTCAACATCACTGATAACATCATTAGAGAAATGCAAATCAAAACTGCAATGGGATACCATCTAACACCAGTCAGAATAGTTATTATTAAAAATTAAGAAATAACAAGTGCTGAAAAAGTTGCAGAGAAAAAGTAACACTTATACACTGTTGGTGGGAGGGTAAATTAGTTCAGTCGTTATGGAAAAGAGTGTGGTGATTCCTCAAAGACCTAAAAACAAAACTTTAACCCAGTAACGCCATTACTGGGTATATACCCAAAGAAATAGAAATCGTTCTATCACCAAGATACGTGCACCTGTATGTCCATTGCAGCACTATTCACAACAGCAAAGACATGGAATGAACCTAAATGCCCATTAGTGGTAGTCTGGATAAAGAAAATATGGTAGATATACACCACAGAATACTATGTAGCCATAAAAAATAACAAGATCATGTTCTTTGCAAGAATACAGATGGAGCTGGAGGCCATTATCTCTAGCAAATTCAGGAATAGAAAATCAAATACCTCATATTCTCACTTATAAGTGGGAGCTAAATGATGAGAACACATGGACACATGGAGGGGAACAACATACAATGGGGCCTGTCAGAGAAGGGAGGGTAGGAGAAGGGAGATCAAGAAAAATAACTAGTGGGTACTAAGTTTAATACCTGGGTAATGAAATAATCTGTACAACAAACCCCCATGACACAAGTTTACCTATATAGCAAACCTGTACATGTACCCCTGAATTTAAAATAAATGATTAAATATATATATATATTTAAAAATAGAAAAACATAGAGACATCACTGGTATCATAATAATAAAAAGAGTTTACATGAAGAAAATACTACAGGCAAAGTAAAAGCACAAAGGAAAAAATGAGAAAATATCTACAACTTATATCACGATATACGAAGAGCTCCTGAAAACTTGAGGGAACACAAAGACCGATAATCTCATAGAAAAATAGCCAAGTGATAAAAACAGACAGTGCACCAAATGAAAAAGATTAATGAACCTTAACATAAGAAAAAATGCACATAATAAGAGAAATGCTTATCTAAGCAATAACACAGCACCATTTGTTACCCACCTAGTTGGCAAAAATCTAAAAGTTTGACAACATACTGTGAAGATAAAATTGTGGAAAAATAAGCCTTCTCATTCATTGCTGGTGGGACTGCAAAATGGCACAATATTCATGGAGGAAAATGTGACAATATCTTAAAAAATATGCATTTATCATTTGAGCCAAGCAATCCTCTAATAGCTACCTATACTAAAAATACCCTGTCAATATTACTAAATGACAAAAGCACTAGGGTAATCATTGTGGCATTATTTGCAATAGCAAAAGTCTGGAAATAATCCAAATGTCCATAAATAGAAGGTCAAATGAATCAACTATAACATATCTACACAAAGGAATTATATAAAGCTGCTAAAATTTCTGAAGAAAAAAATTACAATATGTAGCAATCTTCAAGATTATATTTTTAAATGAAAAAGCAAGGTATAGAAGAATACATGTAATTTGCAACCCTTTGACTAATAAAGGTTAAGATGACATAATAGGAATATGCTGCTACATATATTTGCTTAGATCTTTAAAATAAAGAATAGAATGGGTAAACTAAAAACTAAAAAATCTATTTTCTATAGGAGCAAGTAGGAACAGGGTAGAAGAGATAGAAGAGAAAGTGAGACTTATCTGAATATATACTTTGTTATAGAGTTTAGCTTTGGAATCATATATTTTACAAATATAAAAAATCAAATAAATCTAAAAGAACAGAAAAAGCAATCTGAAAATAAACCAAATGAAACTAGGTAGCTATAAATTGAATTTATGACACAAGCACAAACAAAAAACTATTTTAAATTATTTTAGGGCACCGTGTTTTCACTGTAAATTAGTTGAATATGCTTTCAGAAAAAACAGCTGCAAATAAATCTTTTTAAATTGACAATAATTGTATATGTATTTATGGGATGCAATGTAATGTTTTGATACATGTATACATTATGAAATGATTAAATCGAGCTAATTAAATCTATACACTCACACACTTATCCATTTTTCTGGTGAGAACATTTGAAATTTACTATTAGAAATGTTGAAATAAACAATACATTACTATTAACTATAGTCACCATGCTGTGCAATAGATCTCAAAAACTTATTTCTCCCACCCCTAACCTCTCTGGTAACTACCATTCGACTCTCCACTTCTATGAGTTCAGCTTATTTCAGATTTCACCTACGAGTGAGATCACACACTGTCTTTTTGTACCTGGCTTACTTAACTTAGCATAATGTCTTTTAGATTTCTTAATGTTGTCTCAAATGAAAAATTTCCTTCTTTTTTCAAGGCTGAATAGTATCCCATCCCACAATTTCTTTATTCATTTACATGATGACAAGCAGTAAGGTTGCTTCCATATCTTAGTTACCGTGAATAATGATGCAGTGAATATAGGAGGGCAGATAACTCTTCAACATACTGATTTCATTTCCTTTGTATGTATAGCTAGAAGAGGGATCGCTAAATCATATGGTAATTCTATTTTTGCTTTTTTGAGAAACCTCCATGCTCTTCTTCATATCTCCATATCCTTTTCTCCCCAATCTTGCCAACACTTACTGTCTTTTGTCTTTTTGATAATAGTCATCCTAACAGTTGTGATGTAATATCTCATTGTGATTTTAATTTTTTTTTTCTTGATGATTAGAGGTGTTGATCATTTTTAATATATCTGTTGGCCATATGTATATGCTCTTTTGAGAAATTCCTATCCAGGTATTTTGCCCCTTTTTAATTGGGTTATTTGAGGGTTTTCTTCTATTGAGTGATTTGAGTTCCTTGTATATTTTGGATACTAACCCTGTGTCAGGTGTATGGTTTACAAATATTTCCTCCCATTCCATGGGTTGTCTCTTCACTCTGTTAATTGTTCCTTTGCTGTGCAGATTTATAGTTTGATACAGCCCTGTTTATCTATGTTTGCTTTTATTGCCTGTGCTTTTGGGAATCAAATCCAAAAAACCATTGCCCAGAACAATATTATGAAGACTTTTCCCTGTGTATTTTTCCAGGTATTTTATAGTTTTAAATCTTACAGAAAGTATTTAACCATTTTAAGTTTATTTTTGTGTGTGGTGTAAAGTAAGGGTCCAATTTCATTCTTTTGTGTGTGAATGAAGAGACTGTCTGTTTGCCATTGTATGTTCCCAACATCTTTGTTGAAAATCAACAGAGCGTAATTCATGGGTTCATTTCTAAGTTCTCTATTCTGTTTCATTGATTGATGTGTCTCTTTTATTGTTTTGTTTTGTTTTTGTTTTGGACAGTATCAAATGTTTTGATTACTATGGCCTTGAAATATATTTTGTAGTGCAGTTCCTGCAGCTTTGTCCTTTATATTTAACATGATTTAGGCTATTCAGGCTCTTTTATAGTTTTTATATAAATTGTAGGGTTTTTTTTCTACTTTTGTGAAAAAGACCTTTTGAATAGGGACTACATTTGATCTGTAGATTACTTTGTGTAGTATGGACATTTTAACAATATTAATTATTCCAATTCATGAATGTGAGATATCTTTCCATTTATCTGTGTTTTCTTCATGAATATTTTATAGTTTTCAGTAAATATTGATTATATATGATTATATGTGACAACATAATCTTACATATAGAAATCCCCCAAACACTCTGGCCTTTTAAAATGAGATTGGAAGTATTTCCTTCTCTTTTATTTTTTGGAAGAGTTTGAGAAGGATTAACATGAGTTATTCCTTAAGTGTTTGGTAGAATTCAGCTATGAAGCTATTCAGTGCTGGAATTTTCTTTAACTGGAGACTTTTACATTACTGATTCAATATCCTTATTCATAATTGGTCTTTGCAGATATTTTGTTTCTTCATGATTCTGTCTTGGTAGCTTATATGTTTTATGAATTTATACATTTCTCTATGTTATCCAATTGTTTGGCATATAATTGTTCATAGTAGTCTTTTATTCTTTGTATTTCTGTAGTTATTAGTTTTAATGTCTCCTGTTTACTTTTTGATTTTGACTCTTTTTGTTAGTCTAGGTAAAGATTTGTTGATTTTATCTTTTCAAAAACTTAGCTTTTAGTTTCATTATTCTTTTAATCATTTTTCTAGCCTCTATTCCTGTTATTTCTGCTCTGATCTTGATTTTCTTTCTTCTACTAACATTGGGCTTAATTTTTCCTTCTTTTTCTAGTTCCTTAATGTGTAACATTATTTATTTGAGAGGTCTCTTTTGTTTCTCAATGTAGGCATTTATTGCTATAAACTTTCCTCTTGGAACTGCTTTTGCTACAACCTATAAATACTGTATATTGTGTTTTCATTTTTGTCTCAAGACATGTTTTAATTTCTCTTTAATTTCATTCTTCATCTATTGGCTTTGTTCAGGAACACATTGTTTAATTTCCACATTTGTTACTTTTCAAGATTCCTCCTGCTATTGATATCTAGTTTTATACCATGGTCAGAAACAATACTAGATATTAATTGTATAATTGTGGTCAGAAAAGATACATTAAAAAAAAAACTATGATTCCAAACTTAAATTTGTTAAGACTTGTTTCATGGTCTAAGGTATGATCTATCCTGGAGAATGTTCCATGTGCATTTGAGAAGAATGTGCGTTCTATCGCTGCTGGATGGAATGTTCTATATATAGGTGTTAGGTCCATATGCTCTGACATGTAGTTCAAATTCAGTGTTTTCTTATTTCTGTCTGGATGATCTGTCCATTGCAGAAAGTGGAGTAGTAAACTTCCCTACTAGTATTGTATTGCAGCCTATCTCTACTTACAGATCTATTAATTTTATTTTATTTATTCAGGTGCTCTTACGTTGGGTATATATACATATTTATCATTTTTATATCTTCTTGATGAACTGACCCTTTTATCATTATATAATGATTTCTTTGTCCCTTTTTACAGTTTTTAATTAAAATTCTATTTTGTCTGAAATAAGTGTAGCTACCTCTGCTCTTTTGGTTTCTATTTGCATGAAGTATCTCTTCTACCCATTTACTTTCTGTCCCTGTGTGTCCTTAAAGGTGAAGTCAGTCTTTCATAGGCAGCATGTAGTCTTGTTGTTTCTTATCCATTCTGACACTACATTTTAAAAAAAATCTTTTTACATTCAAGGTAATTATTGATGGGTAAGTACTTCCTACTACCATTTTGTTTATTGGTTTCTGGTTGTTTTGTATATCTATTGTTCTTTTCTTCCACTCTTGCTGTCTTCCTTTGTGGTTTGATGACTTTCTGTAATAATAGACTTTGGTTCTGTTCTTTTTTTCTTCCATGTATTTACCATAGGTGGTTGTTTTGTGGTTATCATGAGGCCTATATAAACATATTACACTTTAAACAGGCTATTTGAAGTTGATAACTTTATTGCATGCCAAAACTCTACACTTTCACTTCCACACACATATTTTATGTTTTTGATGTCATAATCTATATCTTTTCATAACGTATATCTCTTCACAAGTTATTGTAGTTGTAGGTTTGTTTGTTTGTTTTGAGACACAGTCTCGCTCTGCCACCCAGGCAGTGGTGCAATCTTGGCTCCCAGATTCAACCTCTGCAACCTCTGCCTCCCAGATTCAAGCAATTCTCCTGCCTCAGCTTCCCCAGTAGCTGGGATTACAGGTGCACACCACCACGCCCAGCTTTTTTTTTTTTTTTTGTACTTTTAGTACAGATGGGGTTTCATCATGTTGGCCAGGGTGGTCTCGAACTCCTGACTTCGTGATCCACCCACCTCGGCCTCCCAAAGTGCTGGGATTACAGATGTGAGCCACCGCACCCAGCCTGTAGTTGTAGTTTTTTAACAGTTTTGACTTTTAACCTCCATGCTAGAGATATTATTGATGTACACACCATCATTACTGTATTAGAATATTCTAAATTTGACTATGTGCTTACTTTTATAATGAGTTTTTACTGGGCAGATGTCCTCACAGAAGTATTTCTTGTGTACGATTGTGGTGGCCTTTGTGCAAGGTTGTAATTTTTGCAGAGTATTTTGTGATAGGTCTTGTTATTACACATTCATATACGAGAACCATCTCTTCGTGGCCTTCTCAGCTCTATTTTTCGGAATATTTAATGCATGTGACTCTATTTTGATTCTGAAAATTTCCACAGAGATTAATTAGTTTCTTTTCATGGTGTCGCAATTCCTTGATACTTCATAATCCTTGTGTGTTTGCATTATGTACATTTGAAAAAACAGCCAGCTCTTTTGGACTTTATAGGTGTTCTTTGGCATAGAGAGAACTTAACTATTTAGGCTAGCCTGGGATTCTGAATGGGCCAGCTCGTAATGACCACAGGCAGGCAGAGCTTACTGTTAGTTCTCTATTTGGACTGGGCTTTTGTTCTGACATCAGATGGGGCTGCTAACTGGGCTGCACTTTCTGTGTAACTACAGGCTAGGCACTTCGGTTAGAGAGAACTGATGGATAGGCATTGCTATTATCTATGACGAGGCAGGTTTATAGACTGTATTTCCTGGCCAGGCACTACTGCTGTTTGTGTTCTTCCATTGGACAGGGCTGCACACTAGGCCCCGTGTTTAAGCAGATTTGTTGCTTGGGATGGACATTAACAGAGCCTATGAGCCATAGAAATGCATAGTTGAAATTTGCCTGATTTCCTGGGCAAAAGTTTAAGATGAGCTCTGAGGCTGGGTCAAGTTGCTGTTATGACTTCCAGATTGGGCAGCGTCAGCCCTATGCTCTGCAGAAATGTGCAAGTTTTTGTTTTCCTGGCCAAGTTTTTATCTCTCCCTTGTTTCTAAAGAATAGCTTTTATGGATAAGGTGTTCTTGGTTAAATTTTTTTTTCCTTTCAGCACTTTGAATTATCATCCCACTCCCTCCTGGCCTTGAAGGTTTCTATGGAGATGTCAGCTGCCAGGTGTGTTGTATCTCTCTTATGTTATTTGCTTATTTTCTCTTGCTGCTTTCAGGATGCTCTCTTTGTCCTTGACCTTTGAGAGTTTGATTATAATTATGTCTTAGGGTAGTGTTAGCCCTTCAATTTTATCTTTCTTTTTCAAGGCTGTCTTGGTTATCCTAGGTCCTTTGCATTTCCATATGACTTTTAGAATCAGTTTATTAATTTCTAGAAAGAAATTAGGTGATTCTGATTGAGATTGCATTAAATCTATAGATCAAAAGAATTGATATTTTAACATTATTAAGTTTTTCAATCTGTGAACAAGATATAACTCACTCTTTCTAAATGTCTTATTTAATCTTCCTAAGCAATATTTTGTAGTACACAGGTTATTCACATCTTTTATAACACTTATCTCTAAGCAGAACATATTTTGATGTCACTATAATATTTTTAAAATTAAATTTCCAACTTTTTGTTGCTAATATAAAATATACAAATGATTTTTGTATATTATTCTGCAACCTTTCTAAACTCACTAATTAGTTCTATTAGTTTTTTGTAGAATCCATTGGATTTTCCATTCCAAAAATTATGCTGTCTTCAAATGAAGACAATTTTAGTTCTTTATTTCCATTCTAGATGCCTTTTGTTCCTTTTTCTTGCATGATTTATCGTTAAAGCCTCTAGTACAATGTTCAACAGAAGTAATGAAAGCAGATGACCTTATCTCTTTTCCTTTCTTTAGGAAAAAGCATTCAGTCTTTCACAACTAAATATAAACTTAGCTGTAGGTTTTCATTTATGCCCTTTATCAGGTTTAGGAAGTTCCATTCTGCTTTTAGTTTGCTGACAGTTTTTATCAAGAATGAATGTTGGATTTTGTCAAATGTGTTTTCTGTATCTATTAAGATCATTATAATTTTTTTAAAATAATACACATATTGAATTATATTCATTGATTTTTCCAACGTTAAAGTAACCTTGTATTTCTGAAATAAATCTCACTTAGTCATAATATATTATCTTTTTGGCTTTTTGTTAGATTCAATTTTATCTATGTTCATGTGCAGGGGTCAACATACTATGGCCCGCATGCTAAATTCAGCTTTTAGTTCATTTTTGTATGGTATATGAGCTTAAAAAGGTTTTCACATTCTAAAATATTAAAGAGAAGAGAATGAAAGAGGAGGAGAAAGACCAAGAGAAAGAGAAGAGGGGAAGAAGGAGAAGAAGGAGAAGAGAAAGAGGAGAAAGAAAATGAAGATGAAGAAAAAGAGGAGGAAGAGGAAGAGGAAGAAGAAGAAGAAGAAGAAGAAGAAGAAGAAGAAAGAAAGAAAGAAGAAGAAAGAAGAAAGAAGAAAGAAGAAAGAAGAAAGAAGAAGAGGAAGAGGAGGAAGGCGAGGAGGGAAGGGAAGGGGAGGGGGAGGGGAAGTGGGGGGGAGAAGAAGGGGGAGAAGGGAAAGGGAGGGAGATGGGGGAGGGTGATGGGAGAGGGGGGAGGGGGATGGGGGAGGGGGAGGGGAAGGAGGAGGGGAAGGGGGAGGGGACGATGATGACTGTAAATAGCCTGCAAAGCCTAAAATACTTATCTAACCTTTTACAGAAAATATTTGTTGACCCCTGTTCATAAGGACTATTGGTCCATAGTTTTATTTTTATGCATTATCTTTGACTTATTTTTAGTATTGGGGTAATGCTGGCCTCATAGAATGAATCAAAAAATATTTCCATCTCTTTGATTTTTTTGGAAGAGTTAGTATAGAATTAGTATTATTTTTCCTTAAATGTTTAATAGAATTCATCGTGAAGCCTGGAGTTTTCTTTGTGGGAATGATCTTAATTACAACTTCAATTTCCTTAATACATAAATAACCACGTTAACTACTTGTTCTTGCATGAGCTTTTGTAAGTGTGTCTTTCAAGGAATCTGTCCTTTTCATATGTCATTGAATTTACTGACATATTTTTTTCACAACATTTTCTTCTCATTATTTTAATACTTGTAATACTATCACCTCTCTCATTCCAAACATTGGTAGTGAGAAATCTGGTTAGAGGTTTATTAATAGTATTGATCTTAAAGAACCGCATTTGGTTGCAGTGATTATATCTATTGATTTCTTCTGTTTTCTATTTTATTGATTCTCCTTTGATCTTTATTATCTTCTTTCTCATGACTAGTTTTTTAATTTGCTCTTTCATCTCTAGATTATTAAGGAAGAAGCTGATGTCATTGATTTGAGATCTTCCTTCTTTTCTATAACACATAGGCCTTTAGCGTTATAAATTTCCTTTAATTTAAATGTCACTGTTTTAGTGACATTCTATAAATTCTGACACATTTTTCATTTTCATTCAGGCAAAAATATTTTTTAAATATGCTTCTGATTTCTTTTTTGATTCATGAATGTTTACAAGCATGTTACTTAGTTAATGGATGTTTGGGGACTTTCTAGAGATCTTACTGTTATTGATTATTAATTTAATTCCATGCTATGGAGCAATTCTCTGGACCCTTCCTTAACTCTTTGAAAGCAGCATCATTGGAGGAGACAAATTCCTTATACGGTAATCCACAAGTCCTGGGAAAGTAGGCATGAAAGAGATTGCAATGATGGTTTCCAACTTCATCCATGTACCTACAAAGGACATGAACTCATCCTTTTTTATGGCTGCCTAGTATTCCATGGTGTATATGTGCCACATTTTCTTAATCCAGTCTATCATTGTTGGACATTTGGATTGGTTCCAAGTCTTTGCTATTGTGAATAGTGCCGCAATAAACATACATGTGCATGTGTCTTTATAGCAGCATGATTTATAATCCTTTGGGTATATACCCAGTAATGGGATTGCTGGGCACAGGTACCCTAAAACTTAAAGTATAATACAAAAAAAAAAATAAATAAATAAATAAATAAATAAAATAAAATAAAATAAAGAGATTGGAAGACTTAATTTTTAACAGTAGCTGTTCTGCACCCAGCTGTTTTCACCAGTCTTTTGCCCCAGCTGGAGTTTAGCCTTATCCCAATATTATCCTGTGGTCACCAAGCAATTTGAGCTACTCCTTCTGATTTATGCTTCACAGTGGCAGTGAAGCAAGTGGCAGCCTTCGTTGTAATTTAGTGTATAGACAAAAGCACAAGTTAAAAATCTATCCCCCAAACCTACCCACCCTCTTTCAAGCCAGCTATTCTAGAATGCCACCACTTCCTAATTCTCATTCTACACGATACACACACACACATGCCTACACACACATACACATGCATACACACACACACACACACACACACACACGTCTTTAACATCCTCAGTGGTATCTTATGGTTTTTATGTTAATTTCTTAGGCCTGTGCTTTTTTTTTTTCTCTAGAAAAAAATTTTATTAGAGGAAGCTAACAACCCCTCTAGTTTCACCACCTTATAAGAAAATATATATAGCCCATGGCGTGTAGTATTCCTCCACATACTCAAATAAATATTTCTAGAATGCCTATTATGTTTCAGGCACTGTTCTATATGCTGAAGATAGCCGAAGTAAACAAAGGAGACAAAAGTTACTGTTCTCATGGAGCTTACACTCTAGTGAGGTAGACAGAAAATAAACAAGTAAAATCTAGTGTTTGTCAGATGGTGATAAGTGTTGTGGGGACTGGGAATGGCATTTCTGAATTAAAATAAGGTAGTTGAGGAAAACATCATCATTTAGCAGATAACTACGAGTAGAAGCTTGAAGTTGGTGATGAAGTGAGCCTCACACATAGCTGAGGGTCTTCTAAGCCAGAAGGGTCATGAGGGCAAAACCCTGAGCAGGACATTGATTGGTAACTTGAAGAGCAGCAGGGAGACCTCTGTACCTGATCAGAGGAGTAACAAAAAAGGTCAGAAAGATATTATCATGTAGGGTCATTGGACAGACTTTGCATTTTACTCTGAGAGAGGTGGGAAGCCACTAGAGGATTCTGAGTGGAAAAGTGACATAATGTTCACTTTTGAGAATAGGGTTGAGGGTGGAGCAAGGTCACTTGTAAAAAGACCAATTAGGAATCTATTGCAATAACCCCAGTGAGGCATATGATTGTGACTGGTACCAAAGTATTGAGAAATAGTCAAATTCTGGATACTTTTTAAAGGTAGAGCCGACAAGCTTTGCTCATAGATTGAATGTGTGGGTGATATGCAAGAGAGGGGTCATCAATAAATCCAAAATGTCTGACTCATAAAAACAGACAGATAGACAAGATGGAGGTACAAATTTGGGACAAGGAGTAGATTCACATTCAATTTGTAATGTGCTAAGTTTGTGTTGTCTATACATTATCAGCATGGAGATGTTAAGGAGGAAGCTGACGTAAGAGCCTGTAAGTCAAGGAAGAAATCCAGGCTGGAGCTATAAACATGTGTTGTCAACATCTAGATGGCATTTAATGCACTGAGTCTGGATGAGTGAATTTCGGTCAAGGAAGAACTGTTCTGGGACACTCCAACATTTAGAGGTCAAAGAGTTAGGAGGACACAGCAAAGAAGATTGAGGTGAAACAGCCAATGAGGTTGGAAGAAAGTCCGAACACCAAGTGAGGAAAACGTTTCAAGGAAAAGAGAGTGATCAATTGTGTCAAATGCTGCTGAGAGAACTCAGATAAGCTAAAGACTAAGAATCCACTATTGGATTTTGCAGTGTGAAAGTTGTTGGTAATCCTGACTACAGCAGTTTAATACCCTGAGTCTTTATTTGTTATTTGCCTAACTTGTTCTGTTAATGAGGTAGAGATGTTTTAAAATCTCCAATTTGGCTGGGTGCAGTGGCTCATGCCTATAATCCCAACACTTTGGGAGGCCGAGACAGGCAGATCATGAGGCCAGGAGTTCGAGGTCAGCCTGGCCAACATGGTGAAACCCCGTCTCTACTAAAAATACAAAAATTAGCTGGGTGTCATGGCGCGTGCCTGTAATCCCAGCTACTCAGGAGGCTGAGGTAGGAGAATCGCTTGAACCAGGGAGTCAGAGCTTGCAGTGAGCCGAGATTGTACCACTGCACTCCAGCCTGACGACACAGCGAGACTCTGTCTCAAAAAAATAAATAAATAAATAAAATAAATTTTTAAAAATCCCCAATTTACAATTGTACTTACGTCAATTTATCCTTCTGCCTCCAATCATTTTTTCTTTATATATTTCAACAAAATATTATTTGACTCACAAATTTCCCTAACAGTTTTACCTTCATTGTGCTTTTCCCTTAAAAAAATAAAGCATTTTCCAGCTTAATGCTTTTATATTGAACGTGATTTTATTTTATTGTGATCTTTAAATTAATACCTTTTAGAATTACACCAAAATCAGACAAAGTTCATAGATGTTGCAGTACAATGGAAAGAAAAATGTCAAGTAGAAAGCAATCTAGTTAGAACTAAAAGGGCTAGGTGTAGTGGTTCATGGCTCTAGTCCCAGTTACTCAGGAGGCCAAGGTAGGAGGATCTTTTGAGCCCAGGATTTTGAGACCAGCTGGGCAACATAGCAGATTCCAATTCAAAAAAAAAGAGAAGAAGAACCGAAAGCACATTTTATTGCTCTAAAGCCATTGTCTTCTCCCAGAGCCCAGGCCAAAGTATGCATGTAATTTTCAGATTTCTATTCAAAGCTAAGAAGATAAACAGCTTCCCTACTGGGGGAATGGTCTTTTTGTCACCTCTTGCTGACTTTGCCCCCTCTACCCTTTTCCCTGCCCCATTGCCCATGCTCCGTATCTCATAGATTATCTTCCTCAAAGCTAATTATTAATAGCACACCTCTGCTTAGCTATCACTGTGGTCCTCTGTTACTCATAAGATATTGTCCAACCTCTTTAGAATAGAGCGCTGAGAGTCTGGATTAGCCCTTCATAGCTTCCACATCCTGCCTAACATTCTACATCTCTACCCTTCCTACCTACCCTGTACTCCTCTAAAACTATTCATCATACTTTGTCATACCCAGTACCTCTGACCATGTTTCCTCTTTCATAAAATGGCCTTCTCTTTTACTTGAACTGATGAATGCTCATTCATTTTCTAAGACTCTTCTTAAACATTTATGGCACCTTTTCCAGTCAGAACTGATGTCACCCACCCTTTCGTTCCCTCAACAATTTGTTGTCAACTCCTTGTGGTCATAATCTGAGGCATCATTATTGTGTTGCTTCCTTCTCTACTGAAGCGACTGGAGAACAGTGACTGTACCCAGCCCAAGGCCTGGAACTCAGTGAAGGCTTAATAAACATTTGTGGAATAAAAATTTAATTGATGAAAACATTAATTATATTCAATCAAAACTGTAATATTCTTATGTTTTAAAATGTCTGTGAATAGAGAACTGAACAAGATTGAGAAAAAAAGTAGATGTTAAATTTTCTTAGATCCCATAGAAGAATAATAATTTCTTTTCTCATCTCCAGATTATCTGTTAGAATACTTCAGTGATGGTCATTTAATAAACAAAATGCCCTGGTAGCATCAAATAGTGTTTAACTTGGGAACATTTTTCAGTTCACCAAGTGATCTAGTGCTGTAAATCCATCCTTGGATAGCTTTAATCTCCTATAATAACCAACACTTAATGCTATTTTAACAGAATCTGCTTCAGACAATGGTATACAAAACTAAAGAAATTATCGATAACTTTTCATAAATAAGCAAACTTGGAAAAGGAAACATTTGGAGATATTTTATTTCTGTGATAAGGAAATCTCACATAAAAGTCTTTATCATTTCATTAATTCACAAAAAGTGTTAAATCAGTTAAAATTAAAGAGAAAAGTTCACACCGAATGAAAGACTCGTTTTGTCTTCTCTTCCCCTGCAATATGAGCAAAAATATATTAAATACTAATTAAACTAATAGGTGCAGTAAGTAACTGGTTCTATTATTTTATATCAGAGAAATATTGGATACGTAGGAAAGTCTTCTGATAGCATTTGTTGAAGTCTTTTAAATAACCAAAAAGGATTTTGCATAGTTGAGCCACTAATTTAACATTGTGTGCGTAATTTTGTTCAAGTGTTTTTAAAATAAACTTTTTTTTGAATTCCATGTATTTTTAAGAGAATTAATGGCACTCCTCATGATCTATCTCATTATGGATTGATATTTCTGGAGAAACAACATTGTATTCAGGCTTGTCTGAATGTTTTGTTACCTGAAGTAATTTAAACTCCCAAAGCAGCACGAGTTTTTGAAATCAGTTTTTGTCCCTGAAAATTAAGAATAAACATAATCAGATAAAGAAATGGATTATTATACCAATCATACAGTTAACACTCTACAATCCGGGGTGAATTCATAGGTTTGTAGATTAACTAAGTTAAAAATGAAGAAACACATCTCTGATGCCAACAACCTGGGATAGTAAAAGCCAGGGAGAAAACAATATTCTTTCACATCAACAGTTTTCTTCTATAACAATCTCCAAATCAATGCGTATTCTCAATCTTTCCCCTTCCTCTACAAATTACAAGTTATTAGAAATTAAAAGGTTTGCAGATAAAGCACTGCTACTATTTGTTCATGTTCTCTATATCTAAATAAATGTCTTCTCAGATTAGAGAACATTAATCTTCTTGTGTCATGTTTTTCAGAAATGCTTCACATCAAATCTGTTTCACCAGTTTTATCTAATTTGGTTATCTATGTCCCACCCTACCTGATCCCACCAAAAACACACACATATACTGGTAAGTGCACACACTCAAATGCATCTAATTATATTATTTATAGAAAAACTCTACATTTCTAAATATATCTGTCTTTGGATTTTACATGGTGAGAAAGGTAAAATTGACAAAAACGCTAAGTTATAGAATATCTTTTTAAAGTATAGTGTTGCTATATTCAAATATATGTAGCAATACAAACTAAAGATTTGTAAAATTTAGCCAATTATCTTGATTGTGATAATCATTTCACAATGTATAAATATATTGAAACATCACATGTTCACCCTAAACATATATAATTTGTATTTGTCAATCATGCCTCAATAAAGCTGAAAAAAGGTAATTTTTTTAAATGTTAGGTAGAATCCCCTGGTTAAAGAAAATCTGGCTAATTATCCAGCTAAAATTACTATGTAATTAAAATAACTCCTAAATACTACTCTGTTGATGTACAAAAGCAAGCTTCTAAATGAGTTCAAAAACATTTTCTACAAATAGACTCCTAATACTCTGTTTGCACAATTAATTTGCTATTAAATCCTTTAATCCATTTAGCTGAATTGATCAATTTTAGGCCAGAAACTATCTAAATTACCGTCAATTATTTACACATTCACTTTATGGGTTTCTCTACTAGGAAATAAATTAAAATTACTAATTCTATTAATATATTTTAATATTATAAATTTTCCTAATATTAAGCAAGAAAATGTGATTATTTTTTAAATCTTATAGAATCCCTCAATCTGCTTCTCAATGAAATTTAAATCTCTCTGAAAATATTTTAAAGTTATAAATTTGTAGGGTCTTCCTTTCATTATCCACTACAGAAAATTCCATAGCAAGTATTTTGAGTATGAAATGAGCTGCATGTACCTCTTCAGCAAAGCAGACTTCCTGTTCCTGGCCTTGGCAGCATTTCTCCAACAGGCCTGAGAAATCTGCAATGACAGCCTCAAGTTGTTCCTCTGTTATTTGTGGCTTTTGCTTCACAAGGTTAATGAGAAACCTGTGATTTAAAACAAAACAAAATACAAGAGAAGTCTGTTATGCAATGCTATTTTTCTACAGCCTTCCTAGTAGAGAATTTTCAGAGCCTAAACCCTTACTCCATCAACCTATCACCAGACTGACCACACACACCTTGTCTAGTACTTTCAGTAGAAAGATTGAGGCTGAAAGCATGCCAAGTGTTCCACCAGCCTGGAGTTGTGCAGGTTGTGGATAAAACACTATTTCATACTTGACCATACTTATGTGTAGTGGAAGGCAATCTCCCCTCATCCCCCAGGAATATCCTTTCCTGTCCGCTCTTCTTAACTGTGTCTTATCTACACTCAAAGACCCAGATCTCCGAATCCTGCCCATCCAGTTATCACACCCCTTATCTGGGCACTGGCAGCACTAATTGCCTGCACTGCTCACTTAGCAAGCCTTTCATGTTGGACTTAGACCAGAGCAATAGAAAGTAGACCAGAGCAATAGAAAAAGCTTGCCAGAACAGGCAACATTCTTATCATACTGTGAAACATACCTCAGACTGTGATAGAGGAAAAAAGAGAAGAATGGGTTTTCCAATGAAGGAAGACTATTTACAAAACAAGTGAGGATTAAAATGCATGGGAGTTTGAAGAACATAAGCTCCATTGACTTGCATGACCATCACCATTACAAAAGAGCTCCCACAATGAACTGAAATGTACATGTCATTTCTTAACACCCAAACTGCATGGTTGAATTAAATAAGATGGTTATTCTCTTCAAAGTGTAAATAGTGTAAAAAAAGATTCAATGATGTGTTTCCTGTGCTTGGAATGGAAGTACCCAAATTTGCTGCAAAGATACACTCTAATTCCTCAGAATAGATTGCCCACTTTTCCTCAACCCCCAAATACATATCACAATAACAGTTACAACAGAGATTATTTTTACAAACAGGAAATTGTCCACCCTCGTCAATTTTTCTAGACCTGCTTCCCCAATGAGACTGTGAAGACACTGAGACAAAACTATTTTCAAAGGCATTTTAAGTGTTTTGGGAGTAACGCTCTGTTAGTGAGCCCAATAGTGTTAGGTGAGCGAGGTAGAAGTCTCAGTTACTCTTTGGGGTTGTCATTCTTTTCCATGCTAGCAAGTAACAGTTTCTTACTCTTGCTTCATTGTTTGCAGCGCTACACCCTGAGCTTGGCACAGATCCTTATGGAAAATGAACTTGTCATCAGAGAATGCAGGAGGGACATATGTTTCATCCACCACCAAGCTGCTGAAGCATGGCCTCCTGTTGGCATATGAAGAAGTGCAGCACTGGCCAACACCAGGGTTTACTGGAGTCATTTCATGTCTGATACATAAGTGTCCGATAATAATGTCAGCCTGGTTAGGAGAATGAGAAAAAAAAGTAAGGAGATTGGGCATTAGTCACAAAGTTGGTTCAGTTTTTCAGAAAACTGCTGCAATAATTTCTAATGCCCAGCAATTTATAATTAATATTACAGGAAAATTTGCTATGTAGGATCATGTGACATTATATTGTAAATTCCAGGATTTACCCATTTGTTTGGGCTAAGCCTTAGCAAGTAGTAGCAGATGGTCCATATGTGATGTTGAGGATAGTCATTTAGCTATTTGTGTCAGCTATTTGAAACATGCTTCCAGTTACATACACACTTCTAAAGGACAAAAATGTCTCTGCCTTTATGTTTCCCATGTGTATTTAGTTGAACTTTCCATTTTTCTTTTGATAATCACTATCTGAAGGTAAGAATAGCACAAACTTACCCCTTTTATTCACATACATATACACATGTATACACTTGCAGCTAATATATCATCCTAATTGAAAAGAAGTAAGAGCAATTTTGTGGGTTTTTAAGACTTTCCTAATGTAGAATCTTGCTACCTTGCCTACTTAGGAGATATTTCTTAATCACCTAGTAATAACTTGTAATAAGAAATAATATGTTTTGTGTGCACTTTATCTGTCAGACTAGTGCTGTGTGAGTTATGCAGATTATCTTGTTTAAAACAGCTGTCGTATGAGGGTGGTATAATTTGTATTCTCAAATGTCAGATGAAAAAACTCAAGCTTAATGACATAAGTTGCTTTCCCACTGTGATACAACTAAAGAATAGTGAAAGTAGAATGCGGTTGTTGGCTGGTGGCCTCCGGAACATACACTCCTGAACCATTACACCATCCTGCATCCCTGCAGCCTCCCAGCATGGGAAATTCAACAAACAATTGAGGTGACATTTAATCACAAGAACTCTCCTTTTACTCTTAACCTTTGGGGAAAAAATGTATGACATGAAGACTAACAGCAAATAACTCCCCATTATGAAAAAGAGGAAAAAGGATAAAATAGACAATTTTGTTTGCAATTATGACTTTATAGGAAAAATATTTTTAATTCATCCTGTAATCTTATGTATGATACTAGTGACATTAGGAAGTAAAGAATATTGGCATTACTGACTCGAAAGTCATTTTACTATTCAGAACATAATACTTATCCTGTGCTGTACCCTATACCCTGCGAAAGGGAACCAATTATTCCTGATGTCATAATAATAATATCATGTTACAAAAGGTGAAAATATAAATATGGCTAAAATAGCATGACTAATTTTAATCAATCAAAGATAAAGCTTTTTTAAAACATCAAAGTAAGTATATGAACAAAAAGCAGAAATTATGATTTGAAGTTATGAATTATGAATTGTTATGAATTATGAGTTACATGTTGGTCGTTCTGTCTTTCCGATATATAAAGTTGGCTCAGATATTGTTGACTAAACTGGCTGAACTTCCACCAGCCACCCTGGAGGAATAGGAAGCATGGCCACATGCCAGCCATCCAGAGCTGGGTTCTCACACCCCTCCAACCGTGACTAATCAAACAAGCCTCCTAAGGCCATCTCTACATTGGTTTTTACCGTCTTCCCTAGAGGGGAATTATGAGGCTATTTCAAGTCAAACAGGGCAGAAATGAGATGGGACCAAACCAAGCAGACACTCACCGCTCCCTCGCCACAGGCCAATAGTTTGTCCTCACTGAGTTGGCAACAAGTGGCTGCTGTGGCTGCCATTTTTCTGGTGATGGCCATCAGCTCCGACGAGGTCAGCTGGGGGGCTTTCTTTGTGTAAGCAACGAGAAACCTGAAAGAAGCATTTTTTAACTAAGTCCTGCTGAGTCATTCATGAGTTTTTAGCCGCCTTGCTTCTTCTCACAGACTCTCTACTCTCATGCCAGAAGACATGAGGTCAGCTCGTTTGTTTCATCTACATGGTATTTGAACCAACTTTTGAGATGCATTTACTCTAACAACCACTCCCTGTACTCCTATTATAGAAGCATATCACAATGAAAAAGCAAACTCCAGGAGGAAGCCTGACTTGTATTCTCAACCTCGGAGCTTCATTGATTTTAACTGTGATCTTTTGGTGCTTTAACTCGGACAGACTATGACAGAATGGATATCTTTACTGCAAAAATTTGCACAGTATGGGGAACTTAAAGTCAATACCACAGATCAGACCTCACAGGTCATTCTTGTTGCTTCCAAAGGAGGAGAATGGGGAAGGCTACATTCTCTTTAATAATTTTAATTCACTAAAAATACTGTTTACAAAAACATACGCATTTTGTAAGTAATATTCTCCTAGTTTCTGGAAGAGGCCGCAGCTTCGCTTTGCCAATGCTTGGCTCTCCTGGATGTATTTCTGTAATTCTTCTTCCTGAAAATGAAGAATTATTACATATACATTTTTCTTTTCTTGGATGCATAACTTTGTATATAAAATTGATCAATATTATATACTATTATAAAACCAATCAGAGATGTTTAAATATTAAATATGGTAAAGTGTAAATTTTGATAATTACAGAAAATGGATTTTGGGGAGATTAAGTTTAACATTTTATAAATCACAAAATCATTTAATGGCAAAACTCAATCTTTGGATAAATGGTTACAGTTCTTTCTGTACCAAATTCTTGCCTTTCTGAAGTTATCCAAAAATGAATAATGAATACTACCTTTATTTGTGGATCAAAGGACTTTTGGTTAACATTTTTATTTCTACACTTGATCTTAGCCAAAAGGCTGAGAAGCAATTAACATTTTTGTTTCTAAAGCAAGCCACTAGCTGCTGACTGCTAGTTAATAACAGCTTAATATCTAGACAAATAGATATAACTGGCTAACAACTAGTTGAAAACTAGAGGCTTTCAAACAAACAGCATTTTTAACAGATGATATCAATCCAGTTTTTCATACTCCCCTAAAATTCTAGAGCAACTTACTCCTTTATCTTGGCATTCAAGAGGGTTTTCAGTCTGGAAACACTTCTCCAATAACTCCTGGTATCCTTTAGCAACTCTTAGAATTACTGAGACAGCAAGCTGAGGATGTCTTCTTGAATATTCATGAACAAAACTGAAATATGTGGAGAAAAATATTTCAAGTTATTGGAACTAAGAGACAAAAGGAGCCATCACTTCTCCAGTTATTCCTATATAATATGGCATGTGGAAGTTAAATTCAAATAAATAAACCTGAAAATCAAATATGATTTGAATTATATGAATGGCAAAACTGTTAATACAGACTGTGATCCTTCAAATTGTCCTGTAAAATGGCTTTTTGTTTTCTCCTGCATCTCTCAATTTGACTTTTCAATTACGGACTTTATATTCATTTATTCAACAAATATTTTTCCAGTGTCCACTCTTTGCTAGCATTGCTTTAAGCAGAACGGACTCAATGATGTCTAAGATAAATACCTGCCCTCTGAAAAGCACACATTATAGGGAGGCAGAACAAATAAACAAGAAATAGGCCATCTCATTTCAGTTAGCGATAAATCAATGAAAATAAATAAAGATGAAAAAGAGAAAAAAGGATGATACCCAAGGTGGAGAGGCCACTAACTTTGAATGTGGTCAAGAAAATTCTCTCTAGGCAGCTGATATCAGAACAGAGATCAGCTAAGTGAAAGAAGCCATGCAAATATCTGGGGGAAGATCATTCCTGGCTGAGAAAATTCTACTGCAAAGAACCTTTGCAACTGAAGAACTGCTTCTATTAAACAATTAGATTTAGATGTGCATGGATGTGTAAACTTAAAGGTAATTCTTGACTTTACTAACCGTATTCCCAGATTATAGGATTAGTTCTGTCACCAATCAGTTGTCACTATGTGTCTCCTAAATCTGAACTTTATTCTAGCTTACATAATTTTATTTAGCAGTGCAAACAATGTGTGAATGTTTAATTTTAATGCAATAATAGAGTAATATCTTCAGGCAATATTAAAGAGAAAATTGGGCCTTTATTTTTATTACTACGTTAGAATCAGACTTTTAAATCTAGAAAGACCCTTGGAAATTATCAAGTATAATGTCCTAAGTGCTACACAAATCCCTCCTCTAATAGTGTCCATAGTTACATACTATACAATGAAGGAAAACGTATTAACTTGATTGCTTTCTTCCCTTAAAGGCAAATAGAGTGAGAACGTGACCTATCAGTTGTATTAAAACAAACTACTGTACTGCAAATGTCTCTAAACATGTTTTGATTTTCTTAAAAAATACAAAACATGTATTTAATACATAGCCAATAAGCTGTTCCTATAAAAGTTCTTCTACCTAGCATTATCTCTTGTGTTATCTTTTGGAGAAAAGTTTTTTTTTTAACATGCGTAGCAAGAGTTCATTCTTAATCATGAACTCTTCTTATTACAAAAATATCCATATCCTATTTGAGAGTTCAATGGTGGCCTTGATATGAGTAATCTTTACAGGATGACAATGCTTCTGATTCCAGAGAAATTGATGTGAAATAAAATTCAGCTTCATAAGCAAAGCAGTTAATGAGTCACAGTGGTGAACGCTTCACCGTTAAACACCAAATCCCATTACTTATTCCCTGGTTATCTACTGAAATCTATTTTGGCTCAGAACATTCTAGCCAAATATCCTCACATATTGAACTCAAAAACCATAATCATCACTCTCCATTTCAACAACGCAAATCTGTCAGCCACATAATCATTTTTACTTGCATGAACATGCATTTACAGAGTGTGTTACCTTGCCAAGAAGATATTTTTTTCCCCTGAAGAAAATTGGTTAAAATCTCTATCTCCTAAAAACCTGTTTAGATTTGGAGATAGACCTTCAGGTTTTTCATCATTTTCTGCATGAATTATACATTGACCACGTTCCAGCGTGGTCAGTTTGCAGCATTCTGTTATTTTGTTTGACAGAGTGTCTTGTTGAGAACATATGTAGGACATGATTTTTTCCTGCAACAGAGAAAATAAAGTATAAGTTTTAAAGATTTATTCTTTAATAAAGGATCTCAAAGCCAGCTTTAGAAAAAGGAAGAAAGGGGAGGGAGGGAGAAGGGAACAAAGAAAGAAGGAAAAAAGGCCAGGAAAGAAGGAAGGGGAAAGGGAAATAGAGAGGGATGGAGGAAGGAGGAAGGAAAGAAGAAGAAATTACATAATTTTATTTAGCAGTGCAAACAATGTGTGAATGTTTAATTTTAATGCAATAATAGAGTAATATCTTCAGCCAATATTAAAGAGAAAATTGGGCCTTTATTTTTATTACTACGTTAGAATCAGACTTTTAAATCTAGAAAGACCCTTGGAAATTATCAAGTATAATGTCCTAAGTGCTACACAAATCCCTCCTCTAATAGTGTCCGTAGTTACATACTATACAATGAAGGAAAACATATTAACTTGATTGCTTTCTTCCCTTAAAGGCAAATAGAGTGAGAACGTGACCTATCAATTAAAAAGAAATTTTAACTTGTCTCCCGTTTTAGTGCTTTCTCCCCACTTTTGCCTTTTCTCATTCCTTTCCACTTACCTGTTTGTTCAATTCTTCTTTCCATAGTTGTAAGCTAAATCCTATGTTATTTTAATTGAAAACCTTTACAAATAAGAGGGAAATGTGCTCAAATAAAATAGGATGCATGTTGCTATATGTATTTCTATTAGCATTCAAATTTGCCCCTAAACAACACTTGCAACTGGTATCATAACATGGAGAGCAAACTTTCTGCTCCACGAGAAATTCCGTAAGAATGATAATCATCTTTATCATAACATGGAGAGCAAACTTTCTGCTCCACGAGAAATTCCGTAAGAATGATAATCATCTTTATCAGAACATACTGCAGTGACTGACTATGACCTTCAGAGGGCAGTCTATAGATAATAAAATGGCAATGCACCTAAGTGGCCAGAGAGAGGCAGAGCTTACATATATACCTGTCATGGGACTGAAAATTCTGTACATTCTCAGCAAAGATAATTAGAACCCATTATTCAGCTATCAAAATCCAACTTACATATCATGCTGAAATTAATGTTTCCACTTTAAAGGAAAAGGGTGGTTATGAGCTCCAAAAATTGAAAAAATTAACTTTTTAAAAATGACAACGAGAAACAGTAAAATTGTCCGTTCAAAATGGGAAAACTGAGCTCAAAGAAAAACAAAATACTTCTTGTTGGTTTTCCTAGTATGCCATATTTTTAGAAGAAAAACAAGTAAAGTAGTACAGTCGCCTGCCAGGCTGCCTCCTCCCACTTCTTCCCCAGCTCCTCAGGGACTGTCACTCTCAGGCCTCCTCTGCAGCCTTGGCTTCTTGCTTACTTCAAGCATCTCACTGAATTGCCATCGGATGGGCTGAAATGAGCATTTTATCTTCACTTTCAGCCTTCTGGAAACCATAGTCCAGTGCTGGTTATCAAGCCATTTGAGTACCTAAGAGCAGTAATTTTTAAGCTCCTTGGATTTTAATCTCTTTGGTATGTCATGGAGCCCACAGAGACAGAGTAATCTGAGGGTCAACAGTCCTCTCTTGTAAAATCTAGGAAGTCTAGGGTTAGCCAAAATAAGCCAATGCCACACTGCTTAAACCACCACTGACTAGAGCACACTCAAGAAACTGTTGCTGGGTTTTTTAAATTTTGTTTTCTAATTCTCCGAGACCACTTTATTCACACTTGTCTTTGGCAAGGCTAGCTTTTTACCTGGTAGGACAGTTACTTGTGCAATTTTTATTGCATTCGTTCATTTAACAAACTATTATAGAATGCCTTCCATGTGCCAGGCATTGTGCTATGGAGATAACAGTAAACCAAGGCAGTCCCTAACTCCAAGGAGGTCACTGTCTTATCTCTCCTATCAGACTGTGAATTCCTTGAGGTCAGCCTGTGCTTTTAAAACAAGTGTCTGTCATAGTGGCTAGCAGATAGAAAGTATTTAATATATATTTATTTGTCAAATGAAAGAATAAATGAATGAAAAAATAAATACATTAAACCTTAGTTTCCTCCCGTCCTCCAAGTAACTATGGAGAAGCCTTCTGAGAAGTTCCCACGGTTTTTTTAGAAGTAAGAAATAGATGAGCCTTGGTTTCACAAAAAGGGGTATAGCTAAAGTGAAAGCCAGGATCAACAAAAGATGGTTTAAGTTTTACTACCGAGAATTCTGCAAATTTAAGGAGTCACCTAGTTTACATACTCTGTAACCAATTCAAGTCAAACAACCTTCTCCCTTTTAGAATGAGACAAAAAGAAAGAAAAGGGAGTGAAAATCTTCTATTTTAAGAAGCAAGACTCTTCACCCCATCCTGCAGACAATCCAGCACATCTCCTCTGCAACAGTGCTCATGTACATGGGCCACATCCAGGACTAGTTTCTGGATTTCAGTAAAATTAACTTTGGTAAACTTCTGACTCAGTTTAGTAACAGTTCTAGGGAAAAAAAAGAAATTAGAAATTAATTTCTTGGTTATCTGTCAAAATAAAATAGAATTTATAGAGTATTACTACAGTAGAAGTTTCAAAGAGAAATGACTGAAATTCCCTTGTTGTTTAAAAAGAAAAGGAAACATGTTTTAAGGCTTGATTCCAGCCATATCTTTCAAGGTGGTAGCTCTGTAAACTGTGAGCTGGCCCCACAAATGGTTTAGAAATAATTTATCTTTTCCTAAAACATGTCTTAAGAATTAAGGTAAATTATTTTTGCCATTCAACCCTTATGCTGAGCATTTGTATTGAGTGGACATAAAACTTTAAAAGGATAAACAATTAAGAAATGGAAAATTCCATGAAAATGAGAACCATTTTTTACTGGGGTAAAAAATACTTCTGAGAATCCAGGAAAGGAGGCGTATGTGCAAATCAATGAAATGGGACAAGAAAGTGGAGCAGATTAAACATTTCAGGCATACCAGTGTGCCAAGAGAGTAATGTGGCCAAAAAAGAAGTAAGAAATAAAAATTCTGGTTTCCTCTGCATATTTCATTAAATTTTAAGAGTTGTCTTTGTAAAACCATTGCTCCTAGAGAAAATAGTGTTACTCCTGCTTCTGATAAAGATGGATCTTCTCTATAAATTTAGACCACTTAGCTTTCACTTATGGATAGCAAATGATAAGGGTATTATAATACTATCTCAATTTCTATTTTATTACTAAGATAAATTTTTTTAAAGTAGGTCATAAATTAATCTTTCAATTTCTAATTGAGTTGGAGGGTAGTTAAGGCATAAATCTGACTTCTTACAAGAAGAAATTTCAGTCTTTAGAACTAATTCTATTACTAAAAACTTCATTCTAGATTTCCATTGTCTACAATATGCTTTAACGTGTTATTTAACCAAACAGCAATCAAATAAACTCTGAATATATATACTTACTACTATTCGATTAGCAGCTCAGATATTTTCATATACTAGAAATGTTTTATCATAAAAGAGTTGATGAGTACTTTAAAGAAGTTATATAATTTAAAATGTTCTTTTCTCCTGACACTAGATTCTAATATTATTGCCTCAAAGGAATATTTTTATGGGAAGCAATAAATGCTATAAAGAGCCTTATAGAAGATTAAGAAACACAATTAATATAAAGAATTTCTTGTTAAGGCAAAAGTTTTAAATGACACTCAGTGAAGGCTGACTTATTTTGTAGAAGAGCTAGAAAAATATGGTCTAGTGATGAGGTATAATTTGATGGCAGGCCAGAACTTAAGTGTCTTAAAGAACAGGTAAATAACATAAACTTTAAAAGTCTTTTCTATGTATTATCTCAGCTAGGCTTTAGTAAGTGTTAAACTGACTTATCCGTTAGCTTCCTTCTGATCCTAAGAGTTCATGGTTCTAATCCCATTAGCCCTCATCAAAGGGGTCACAAAGGGGTCTTCATTCTCTAAAACAGCAACAATTAAAAAAACGAACCCAAATTGCAAAATGGTAGTTCTGTAGCTCTCACCCTCTTCCCTAGATAGAACTTGAACTTACATGGCTTGGAAAGTTCGGGTCCCAAAATTTTTCATTACTGCACATGCATGTTGATTTAACAAGCTGCTTTCTCTTAATTCTTTTGTAACTGTTGCTGCCTAGATGTAGAGGAAACAAAATGTCATGAAAGCATATACTAACATTTTCTTTACAAGCTCTAATATTTAGAAAAACAACAAGTATAGGTAAAATGAAATTCCATAAAATATGTTTTTTACTAAAAATTATAAATGTCATACATTATCGCAGAATATTATTGACTCATTTATTCTTTTGGGTTAGTTTATATGCATCTGTGCCAGACAAATTTACTCAAAGTACCTTGAAACAAAAACATAACTTTTATACTGGGGATCATAAATGAACAACTGTACCTTTAAACAGCTTAAAGACAAATTGAAGCCTGCTAATTTCTTAAGTGTCTTCTCAGTTACAAAAAATACGATTGTATCACGGCTTGACACTGAGAGTAGTCAGTTCTCAGGAAATTTTTGTTATAGGACTGCTGGTAGCAAGTAGTTAATGGTGGATATTATTCTACCTCTCTAAACCTAAAAAAAATTTTCTTCTCTAAACCTCTTTCCTAGTTTGTTAAAGGACAAAAATACTTACACCTCAAATTTGTTCTAAGGTTTAAAAAAACAGTAAGTATAAAGCATTTATCATAGTTCTTCATTTTTTCTCTCTCCTCTGCTCCTCCTTTTCTCCGTTTTCTTTCACTTACTCCTTCCCATTTATAGCACCCTCTCTTTCTCTCTTTCTGTCTGTCTGTCTTTCCTTCTTTATCCCATCAAACTCACTTCCTTAATAATAAAATTATTGTTGACTTAATGAATAGATAATAAAAACCAGCAAATCCAGTTTTGTTCACTCGAAGAATATCAGACTGCTGAACTATTTCTCTATTCCAAAAACGATACTCTCCACAATTAAGCACGTTTTCATTTTTAACTTTGTTTTGTTTTAATGAGTCATAGACTACAGTACTGGTTCAGATATCCACGCAAATATGATACCTTTGTTTGGAAGCATTCAACTGCATTTTCAGCTTTGCAGCAAGATGGAATTATTTTGTCATAGCGAGCAGCCCAAAGAAGAATTGTAGGTGCATACAGGAAGGGATGCCTTCTTGCTATCTCATAAATGAATCTGTGAAATAAAATAGAGCTAGAAGATTTATAAACACCTAAAAATAGGACTACTACTGCTTGGAACTGGACACTGGGATTTATTTAAAGATTCAAAAACAACAACAACAAAATGCATTTGACTTTGTCTTTACTGTGTTCCTAAGGGGAAAATCATCATATTTTTTCCACATGTTGTCAAAATTTTCCTCACTAAAGATCCTGGGGGGAAAAATATCTGACAGATGGTACCAGATTCTATTATGAGAAGAAAATAGGCAGACATGCTAACCATGATTCTTATTAAAAGGTCCTTTTCAATAAGCCTACTCAGATATGTTTCAGGGATCAGCAAAGCCAGACTTCTGCTAAGTGCAACAGAAAGATGGACATTTTATCCCTTGTCAGTGCAGAATGGGGTTATGCACCTGGATAGTCGCCATAGCAGAGATGTTCTAAGGGCAATCTCTCTATTTATCTGGTTTAGGAAGTAACATGGAAGGCAGAAGTGATGAAGAGTTACGTACAGGCTTCTCCAACAGAGAACCTGGGGTCAAATGTACTAGCTGTGTGCCCTTAGCCAGTTGTTTTAGCCTTCCAACCTTCAATTTCCTATCAACAAAATGGGGGAAAGAAGAAGAATGAAGAGGAAGAGGAGAAGGAGGCTTCAAAGTTTGTTTGTGAGTGTTAATCTGATCCTCTGTGCAAGCAGACATGTTTCCACAACATCCTTTTTTTTTTTTTTTTTTTGAGACGGAGTCTCGCTCTGTGGCCCCGGCGGGAGTGCAGTGGCGCAATCTCGGCTCACTGCAAGCTCCGCCTCCAGGGTTCACGCCATTCTCCTGCCTCAGCCTCCCGAGTAGCTGGGACTACAGGCGCCCACCATCACGCCCGGCTAATTTTTTTTGTATTTTTAGTAGAGACGGGGTTTCACCATGTTAGCCAGGATGGTCTCGATCTCCTGACCTCGTGATCCGCCCGCCTCGGCCTCCCAAAGTGCTGGGATTACAAGCGTGAGCCACCGCGCCCGGCCCCACAACATCCTAAGTGTTCAGTAAACCTTTGCCATGTCTGTGTATCTTGACCATGCTTGACCATGCTTGGATCTCTAACTTTTATTTCTAGGCAATTAGGTGAACACAAAACACCAATATATGGCTCTGGAAAGCATCAATTTGGTGCAATACTAATATATTCTTGAACAAGGTAAAATTGAGAGTAGAATGGGTAAAAAGAAAAAAAAAAGGTGTATATCTCTCAAGGGACTAATGGAACCTCTGGTAGGTTTGTCCTGTGGTTTGTACTACATCTAGCGTGCTATGGAAACCAAGTTACATTGAATGTTGCTCTCCTAATTACCTTGTCTGGGACCTCAGCAGACACAACACCAAAGAAACATTATACCTCTTACTGGGAGTACATGAGTACATTGCAAAAATACTAAATTAGGCTTGCCATTGCTGTGTTTCTGAGGTTTGCATCTACCTTTAAACTGGATCCTTACTTGTTCATGAATGTCTCCCTGTCTTCTTCATATGCTTCACAGCTTGTGACAGGTTCTGGAACTTGGAAAAGTGGGATCGATGCTGGAGTGGGCTTTTTGTGTGCAAGAAAACAGTTATGTCTTCCCTCTTCACTTTGGCTGCAGCAGTCTGAATGTCCGTACTTCTCCAAAATTTCTTTCTCATGGCAAAGTTCTTCCAGAAAGGCAGGTAGCTATAAGAAATATTTTATGTTTGGAGAAAGACAACTAACTTTGCTTTAAAAATCTATAAGACACATGAAACATTTTCTAATGTCTAAAATCAGAACTATAGATTCTGAAAAATTTTCCATACAAATTCTAATGTATTTTGTTTCAGCCTGATGAAATAGATTTCTTTGCTGCCTTATGGAAAATGAGACTTTAATGTCCAAACAATAAAAGGAAAAAAGCCATGCAATCTTTTGTTTCTCTTTCCCAATTTTGAATTATTTTATTTTTCCTTTTTGTGTTATCAAAAATTTGGACTAGGATATATAAACTTTTATAAATATATAAACCATGTTTCATGGACACAGGGAGGGAAACAGCACACACTGGGGCCTGTCAGGGAGTGGAGTGCAGGGAGGGAGAGCATTAGGAAAAATAGGTAATGCACGCTGGGCTTAATACCCAGGCAACAGGTTGGTAGGTGCAGCAAACCACCATGCCACGTGTTTACCTATGTAACAGACCTGCTCATCCTGCCCGTGTACACCAGAACTTTAAATTTAAATTTAAATAAAAAAAGAAACTGAGCAAAATAATATTTTCATGATTCTCATTAAAGATGTAACTTTTGGAATTGCAAATACATATGTATATATTATGGTATATACATACATATATATACATATACACACACACACACAGACATACCACATTTCAGACATAAATGCTCATTTTACATGCCATCCTTACAAGACAATAAAAAACTGCATATTATTTTCAATTATAAATAAAAATGATTTTGAAATGAAATAATTATTTTTTAAAAAAACACTTTTCTTGGCCACAATTACATATTTAGCTAAAATGTTTTAAAATGTATGTGTTTCCTCCTCTGTGACTTACCCTTACCAAACTCAGATGACAGCATCAATATTCCACAGAAAGCATCTGAGGAATACATGTGTTTCATGTATCTGAGGGAACTTTTATGTAGCTTTTATAGCTGCTACAGTAATATTTAGAGAATCCTGGAAGGCTTACGTAAGATTTCTAATTCCCAATCCTCATTTAAAAGACATACCTTTGAATTTACAAGAATAAATCAGCGATCTGTAACATTACCTTGAACCTCTAATTGGTTGTAAAGTTGCAATAGATAATGTATTCTTGTTTTTTTATACACATTTTGAAAAGATTATCAGAACAAGACAAAAATAGAGATGCAAAACAGAAATTTTTGTCAATTCATAAATTTCAAAGTTGGAAAGAACTTAAACTATATCCTTAAAGGAGCATCTCTTCTATGATATTCCAGGTACATTGTCTTTCAGCCACCTAATTAACCCCACCATAACAGAGTATTCTCTGGGCATGTTGTTTTATAATTGGAGAGTTCTAATCATTATCAAGTTTGTTTCTATGTTGAGATAAAATAAATAATAAATATTATTTGTTGAGCTTCTACAATGAAATATCCTTATACTAAGAAAAGTATTTAGTGTTTATCTAAAATTCAGATTGAACTGGGTATTATGTTTTGTTGTTGTTTGCTAAACCTGGCAACCCTAACGATGTGCTATGCATCTTACATTCACTATAGTTATAGTGTAATGAAGCTACTAAGACTGTCAATTTTAAGCCAGATGGTCTAGTTCAAATCCTGGCTCTGCCATTTGGTGGTTCCCATAAGAAAGTTACTTAAATTCTCTGAGCCTCAGCTTCCTCAGTTGGAAGATTAGCATCTATCTTCAAGGATTATTTTAAATGTTTAATAAATAAATATAGGTAAGCAAAGCTGATATCCTGCCCAGAAGCCCGAGCCAGCATCTCTTGACTCACTGGACAACCATTCTGATTCATCAGTGCTATCTATCCCCTATGTCATAAAATATTTTTATTATCAATATACACATTATGCTCCCTAGAATAATGCCAGTCACATTGTGTGTATAATAAAAGTTAGCTACTATTGCTGTTATATCAATTTCCATGCTAACTATGAAATGGGAGCTATTATCATCCCTTATTTTACAGATAAGAAAACTGAAGCTCAAAAAAGTTAATATGCCCATAGTCATCAAGATAATCTTATTTCAGAACCTTAGCTCTCAGTCATCATATTTATATGGTCTCTTTATAATAACTACCTATTGTTCTCTTCTGCCCTCTTTAGCAATTCAGAATGAATCTAATCCCTCTTTCATACAATAGCTCTTCAAATATATAAATGCATTTTTCACTGCTATTTTTGTATCTTCTCTTCAGCATGCTAAATTTTTGTCAAATATCACAATGCTTTTTTAAAATTATTCACTCACCTGGTTTTCTAAACACCCTGAAGACTGTTCATCTCCAGTGGGTTTCTCAATTGCAGTCAATGCATCTTTCACCATTTTGCTTACTTCCTTGTAAGTGGCTTCTTGAACAAACTGGGCAAAAAATATGGTAGCCCTGAAACAAAAATACGTGTGAATCCTTAAGGAACAGACCTGCAGCAAGCTTATTTTTCTCAAGTATAGTTTTTCATTTGTTTGTTTTGTTTTCTATTTATGTTGTAATCTGTTTAGACATTTGATTTGTAAAATTATGTAAAATTAGCTTCCAGGTCATCTGAGAAGAAACTTTAGTCTTTTTCTTGTTTTCTTTTGCCATAAATATACATATAGATGTTAAAGGCTAAAATAAGTGGATTTCCCATAAGAGTGGTTTCTCCTTCTGTGACCATCCATCTACTGTAATGTACCCATAATTGAGGGTATCTATATTCTTTATGGTTACTTTTAAATTTAAGCAAAAAAAAATTGGTAATTAGACAGACCTCTAACAGTGTCTATTCCCAGTATGATCAAGGTCTAAAACCCAAGACTACAGTGCTCATGGATTGACTCAAAGCAATCCTTATGCAGGTTTGGATGTGCAAGGAGTAACAGCAACACACTACTTTAAATTCTTTGTTAGAAATTTTTAAAATGTGGAATGGAAAGACATCCAAGAGACTAACATACTCTCCACAAATAACAGCAAATAGAATATTTTATCACCTATGGTTTGCTGCTAAGATTTAAATAGTATACAGAAAAGAAAACATTATAATATCACCCTGTTGGTACTGATGAGAAAAATTCCTGAATTAGTATATGGCTGTCACTGATCAGACACTAATCTTCAGTTTCTAAAATCTGATTTGGTTTGACTCATGAGATTTCAAGGAATCAAAAGGTCAATGTCGAAGACATTAGTCAACAGTTTAACCTCTTCAACATCAAGTTGATATTCAGTATGAGTAACTTTTCTTGAAATTGTCCAAATTGCTTTTGTGCTTTTAAGAGCTCACAGGGGTACCCAATTTTATTTAAGTATTTACTTATCCTTGCTTTACACATTTAAAGTACATTTATATAAGCAAAACTTACAGGTCAGCTAAACTTATCTCTGCAGTACATTGGTAAGAATCCAATATGGAAGCTGGAAAGCAAAATAAACTTCATGAAACGTGTTTTCAACTGCAACCAAGAAAGTAATCATTGTTACATATGAATGTTTGTGTTTCAGTTAGAACTGTACAGTTTCAGAATTAAAAGAACATTAGGGATAACCTAAGCATCTTAATTTTATACTTGAGGAAAAGAAAACTAGGAAACTAAGGAATGAAGTTAACAAGCATAATTTATAGTAGACCTATCACTAAAATCCAGATTTTGTCTTCCAGTTGTTTGGTTTTTCCCTGTACTGTAGTGCTGTAACTGTCCTGAAAGTCAAATGGTTAAAAATATATTTCAGGCATTCTTTTGAACATAGTTATACTACGGTTTGCCATTCATATCCCAGTCACAATATTTCTTCTTCAGACCATCAAATAATGACCCATTTTTCTGTATTAAAAACAAAGATTTTATCTATTTTACTAGTCTGAGGGAGTTATGTGAAGGAGCATAATTCTGGCTTCTTCACATATAAAATTTTATTTATATTCATATATATGTACATATATGTGTATATATATAATTTTTCAAAGTTAATATGCATACCATTGAAGTGTAAAAATTAATTCAACATGAAACATACAAACCATTCATCCATTAAACACTGCTATAACTTTGTAAACCTCTTGTAAAGTTACAAGTTTATCTTTCATTTAAATATATCCATCAGTTAAATATTTTTTCTCCATGTGGAATAATAAATATGAATAATAAATCAAGACAAATTAATGCAAATTTTATAATTTAAAAAATTTTGATATAGAGAAAAGACAAGAAAAACACAAAATATCTCACCTATTCCATATTCATTTCTATGCAGTGTTCTGGATTCAGTAAAATTTAGTAGGAAAATTAAAAAAATTGATTCCACCCACTTCATGGTTGCTAGTTATTTTGTTATTGGCAGTGGTGGAAGCACAATATGGAAAATCATGCTGAAATTCTTTTATACTCTTTTCAGGCAATGCCTGTTAACTAGTAACCTTTTGTTGGTATATCTGTTACTTTATGGTATTTCCTTAGGTTGAAAATGGGACATTTGCCAATAATTAACAGCATAGCGGTTATTTGTATTTTATGTTCAAGGACACAGAGCTCTTTGGGGCAGAAAAAAAAAACTTGCAAACTTATTTTATTTTGCAAATATAACAAATATTCTCCTCAAACTACAGAATATTCAAAGAGATGACTTGTCCCTAAGTTGCAGAATAATTAATTTCTCTCAAATTAAGTTAATGAAGCCATAAAGAAAAGACAGCAGATTTGGTATGCAATTCATCTAAATACATTAATTCTTTAAAACTATTAAATGCCTATCATATGCCAGGCACACAAGACATTGTCTGACCAATTCAGACTCTTCATCTTGCAAATATAACAAATACTCTCAAAGTACAAAAAATTCAGAGAGATGACTTGTCCCTAAGTTGCAGAATAATAAATTCATTTCAAATTATCATTGCTTGATAATTATGCTGTCATTGTTTAGCTCAGAAACACTTTTCACTTAATATGTATGTCAATAAGGTACATTTTAAAGTATTTAGTATGCGATGTATGGCTTAACATAGAAAACTTAGAGCACAAGCCCTAATAAACCAAGTCCTATAATAATTTTATTTGCACATGTGTCTTTATAAAGTGGGTCAGGTGCATCATTCACTTAGCAACTCAAGATGATGATGTTAATACTAAATGATGGATGCTAAGAGTGGCTCACCTCCTATCATCCCTGTCTACAAGGGTTCCCGATCTTGGCTACACATTAGAATCACTGGGGGAACTTTTTGAATTCCCAATGCCTAGTCTGTAACCCAGACCAGTTAAATCAGAATCTGTGGAGTTGAGACCCAGGCACCAGTATTTTCTAAAGCTTCACAGGTGTTTCATTATTCTAAAGGTAAGATTATAAAATCAAATAACCCACACCAGGAAATAAATTAATATGGTACATTCATAAAGTAGGGTGATATACAGCCATCAAAATAACTTTGTGGAAGAATATTTAATGAAATGGAAATATGCTCATAATATATTGTTAACTGAAAAACAGGACAAAACAATACATGGAGAGTGCTCTCATTTGTGTATCATTGTACCTCCTCTGTATTCCTCCCACCCTCTAAAAAAAATGTTGAATAAAAGACAGAAATAATGGACAACAAAGTTTTAACATTGGGTTTCTCTAGATGGTAAGATAAGTGAATTTAATTCTATCTCTCTCTCAAAACTTCTTCAATGAAAGAGCAGTATGCAATTTTAAACATAAAATTTTTAAATAAGCTAAGTACAGTACTTAAAAAATAGATCATACTGCAAGCTACTAGGGCACACATTTAAACAAAAAGGGTTTACCGTCAGTAGCACTTCCAGCAAATACAAACATTTATCATAGTATAAACAAGGTCTTCAATGCTAATCAAGTACAATTCCCATTCATTTGTTAGTTTTTGTCCATTTTCTGCTATGCGTGTCTCTCCTAAGTTTTGTCTCCTAAGGAACATGTTAACAAAACAGGCCTTGCTCACGTACTCTCCAGAAAGAGGTAGCACCATCCTTGTCTATCCGTTTGGATTCCAGGATAGTATTTACAAAGTGCAGTTCTTCTACTCTTCCTCAAGGGGGACTTTACTCAAATATATGAAAGCCAAAGTATTTGTTATGAAGGAATACCTGAAAAGCAATAGTCATGAAGTATTAGTTATGAAGAACTGAAATAGAGTTTTATGAAGCAAACTATATAAGCTTGCCCAAGCATGGGCAAAATATCCCAAAGGCTTTCACAGTGTCTGGTTCATAGCCAGGACTCAGCAACATTTGATGAATGAATAATAAATGTATTTGTTCCAACATGGGTTTAATGTAGAGAAAGGGGTTACATTTGGCAAATCCCAGATTCTATAAAGTCTGAAATCTTTATAACTTTACAAAACATATTTCAGCTTTTCTGATATACATATATAGATATAGATATAGATATAGATATAGATATAGATGTAGATATAGATATATCATCTTCAAGGCCAAGTAATCCAATCTGATCATCTCATCAAAAGATTAGAGGGGACAAATGTAAAAATGCCTGGCAAATGGTAGGCCTTTAGTAAATTATGACTATTTCAATATTACAAATATATATATAAAAATACACACACAACTACAAATAATATGTACACATCAAGCCAATGTATGTTGTGTCAGCCACCAGTTCATCAAGATGTCGATGCGACTACACCAGGAGTAACAACTTTTCTATCAGTTCAGGTCCTGTTTGGACTTTTCCTCTGATATTATGCTGGTTTTGTGTCATCCTCCAATCTCCTTCCATATTCTGCCTTACGGAGCAGATGTCTGCATTCCATGCCATATGATCAGAGAGGCAGTATAGCACAGTATTAATCACGTAAAGTTGGGGAACTGGTTTGAATTTTTGCCCTGTCACTTAGCTACATGACTTTGGGTGAGTTAATTCATTTCTCTGGGCTTTATCTTTATCAACTATAAAATAAGGATAGTGATAGTACCTCCTTCATGGTTAAATGAGAATTAAATAAATCAATAAATATAAATGCCTCAGAACCGGGTCTTGCACAAAGTAGCACTCGATAGATGGGGTTTTATTTATTCATTCAATAAAATGTTAAGTCTGCATTCCAGGCACTGTTTTTGGATGGGAATAATCAGCAACAAGAGACAGGCACCATGTAGCTCTTGTTGAGCTTACTGCCTAATCAGAGAAACAGACAATAGTATCAGTAATCACAACATGGTGTGATGGATGCTGTGATTAGTAGAATGAAAAGAGGAACTCATGACATCTTTGGAGGGGTCAGATAAGGCTTCCTGGAGGAAGTAACATCTTCATGGAGATCTGAAAGAAAATTAGAGGTGGGCCAAATGAAGAGGGAGGGTATAGTGTTCCAGGAAAATGTAAAAGGTGGTGGAAAAACCAACCGGTAAGGGAAAACAATGCACACTTAGGGAATGAGAGAAAATGCAGTTTTGAAGAGGCACAAAGTTTAATAGTAGAAAATACTAGATATTGGGAATTCCTGGCAAAGTTGGCAAGGGCCACATCTCAAAGACTTTTTAAATGGAGTTTATAACTCCTTCTGGGACTATTATAGACAACAAAAGGGAGCTAATAAAAATCATATTTGTATTTTGAAACTGTCTCTTTTGTTTCAAAAGGGGATAAGACTATGATAAGGAGACCAGTTAGGAAGTTTTCGCAATAATACTGTCAAATAAGTGGCCTGGATAAAGCTGAGTGGTATGAATGAGATAAAGTCAAAGACTTAGTAACTAAGTACATGTTCAGTTTTGGATATATTTAGTTTAAGATAAAGTGACCAGTTTACCCAAACAGTCCTGGCTCTATGCCTATTGACTTAGTGTAATTATTAATCAGGCTCCCTTTTCACTCTCATCTCCCCATAGGTGGGATGAGCACTGGGCTAAAAGTAATTAGATTTTAAGGAACAAGAGGACCCTATGTGCTACAGGACACATTTTAGGAAACATTCCAGGCAAAACTCCCCGGTTTGTATGTTGAAACGTCTTTAAGCCCTCCAAGTGGAGACGTTGATGTGCATTTGAATACTACTTTTTATCTTCTGGAACAAGATTGAGGCTAGAGATAGATATTTGGGAATCATAAGCTTGCAGACAGTTATTGTAGCCATGTGAGTGGTTGAGAAAAATAGATAGCAGTGAAAAGAGAAACCATGAAGAACAGCAAATTTTCCAAGACAAGCAATAAAGAGGAGCTTTGAACCAGAGTTTGTATACTAACAGCAAACAATCCTCAATCTATATGTGTTATTGCTCAAAGTTTAGTCCTAAGTACAGAGTTCACAGCAATGCTTTTGCATTGATGTAATTCTGATTCCGTTTACTTTTTCATAAGTCTGTGAAGCCACTCAGAAGCAACATGGAACAGTAAACTGAACTTTGGTATTAGAAAGATTCAAAACTAATTTAAATCTAATTGTCTTATGGTCAATTATTAGCTGTATGACAGGCAAATAATTCAATCTGATTTTTAATTTTTCTCATATATCATGAAAATGATCTATCCCCTCAAGTTTATTTTGATATATAAATGGAATAATATCTTCTAAATGCCTGGTACTTATAGACATTAAAAAATGACAGTAATTATTATCATTATTAGCATGATGTTAGTGTTAAATATTAGATATATACTTCTTCAGAGCAGTTGAGCTATACGTGTGGGTTGTGAGAAAATTCCTTCTCTTATCTCACTGTTTCTGAGATTCTTTTCATTTTTTGTTTGTTGGATTGGGTGGTTGGTTAGTTGAAAATGTTTTCAAATATTCACTCTCCTTCTCCATCAATGCTTGAACAAAATGTACCCAACCCTTAAGGTCTATTCAAATAATTATCCCTGAATGTATTTCTGATTAGTCTCTAGCTAGAGAAGAGCCCTCTCACCTTTGACAACTTATTAAACCTTTCAGATTATTTTCTCATGGAACCTCTTGTTTGATGGTATATCATAGTCATTTGTAAGCTATGTAATTATTCCTGGACCATTAACTTCTTAAATTCAAAGACTCATCTTTGTGATTCCTGTGGTCCCGAACAAAACATTTGTCACAAGCATAAATAAATAGAAATAAGTATCTTTATAAATAGAAATTGAATAGTACCACCCCTACCCTCAGATTGTTGTACTAAGGATTTATACACTAATTGTCCTCATTCATTCATTGATACAAATGAATGACACATCTCTCATACTCATCTCACCACAGAACATTATTGAAATGTTTATATTTTCTCAGATATTCAAGCCCCAGAGGCCCCAAAACAGATATGAAAAGAGGACAGTACCTTGGGCCTGGGGAGAAAGTCAGTGAACCCTGTTGCAAGTTGCCAAGCTTAAAACAAGCCCCATAGAACAGATACAACCCAAGTGTTATGAGACAGACATCCTCAAAGTCCTCCAGCCCATAGTCTGTCCCTTAATTCTTAAGAAAGGAGAGGGAGAGAGAGAAAGCACATTTAACCCAATGCTTATCTCACCTATGGGGAGAAAACAGAATTACCACCACCACCCCTACCCCCATATTTCTAAGAATTCAGTGATAGGGGAGTTAAGGACTGCGTTTATCCTTGGTATCATTGGTTCTTATTTCCTCTTGCTGTTAAATTCTCTTTAACAAATGCTCTGTCTTTTCTCCTTTACATGCTGTTTCTTCCCTGCCCTAAACCCCAGATCAGATAGTCCCCAATCACTTTTTCAAGAACCCCCCACCACAAGTTTGTATCAAGGAACTAGGCATAAAACATAAAAAGATCTTTTCCACTCGTATCAATACCACCTGACTCTCTTCTTGTAGAGCCCTGACCGACCTCCTTCTTGCTTGCTCTCTCTCCCTCTCCTTTCTTAATGTCTTCCCATCCAGACCCAGCTTCTAGATTCCCCTCCTATTACTGCTTTTAGGCAGAACAAACTATCCCTCCATTTGTTTAATTTGAGCCTATCTATTTGAATCATGCTCTAGAGTACAAGACTTCACCTTTCCCATTTGCTGCCCCCCAAAAGCTATTATACTTATAAATAAAGTATTTGCTTAAAAAAAGAAGACTATTTCACTTCATCAAAGGGATCTTGTCCCTGGTTTGTAAAGGGAAAAAAAATACATTTTTTTCTCCCTCCCACACGGGAACAAATTCAAAGGAGTCAGTCAGATTAGGCAACCAATCTTGCCTGCCAAACTTAAAAGGATAGAAGTGCCTCAAGGTCAGCAAGGTGAACTAAGACATCAATACGGGTCATGCAGAGATAGAGCAAAGTAAGTCAAGGGCCAACTGAAAATACATTTTACAAAAATCTATGTTCCATTAACAGCATTTCTTATTCTGTAAGTTGGTTGCCTATGCTAGGCTGGGCATAGCTCCTTAAAACAGCAGAACTGGTCCACATGCTCAAAGAGACTGTCAACTGCTTGAGAGAAAAACACTTTTAAAGCATCTCCTAGAACAATAACTTGCACAGAAAATAACACTTCCTAAATCTTTTTTTGTAATGACTTTTTCATATGGACTCCTTCTCTTCCCAGCTTCTATAGCAATGACAGGGTATTAGAAATAACAAAGGGTGTCCATGGCCATCTGCCATCATCAGCATCATTGCTGAATACTAATACTCCCTTTTCTTAATGTCTTAGTCCATTAGATCATTTGTGATACCATAACAAAACACTTGAAACTGGGTAAGTTGAAAACAACAGAAATGTTTTTCTCACAGTTCCAGAGACCAGGAAGTCCAAGATTAAGGCACCAACAGGTTCTGTGCCGGGTGAGGACTGTTTCTCATTTAGGTGTCCCCACAAGTCAGAAGAAAGGGAATGCCAAAAGGGCACTAGGGCACCCTTCAGCTTCTTTTATAAGAGCATTAATGCAACCATGAGGGTGGATTAATCACGTCCCAAAAGGCTCTATCTCTTATTGCTATCACACTGGATATTATGTTCTTACTTGTGAATTTTGGAGCAACACATGCATTTAAACTATAGCATTTCACAAGGTTCAGTGATGGCTCATTGTTATAGAAGTTTCAGAAAAAATTCCTTACTTAGTCAAGAGATTTCACTGTCTGTTATGGACTAGATGTTTGTGTCTCTCTCTTCCCCTTAGCAAATTCATATGTTGAAGTCCTAACCCCCAATGTGATGACACTTGGAGATGGAGTCTTTAGGAGGTAATTAGGGTTCGATGAGATCATGCAAGCAGGAGCCTCATGATGAGATTGCTACCCCTATAATGTCAAAGAGCTTGCTTGCTTTCTCTGCCATATAAGGACGTAGCAAGAAGGTGGTCAACTATAGGCCTGGAACAGAGCCCTCACCAGAAACTAAACTTTGCCAGAATCTTGATCATAAACTTTCTAGCCTCCAGAACTATGAGAAAATAAATTCTGTTGTTTAAGTCACCCAGGCTATGGTATTTTGTTTTGACAGCTTGAGAAGACTAAGACACACACACACACACACACACACACACACACACACAGGGAAAGAGAGAGAGAGAGAGAATTGTCAATATATATTCTTATCATAGAAAATATATAGAATAAAAACTAGAATTATTATTTATTATTCTTAAGCAAGTCATGCCACTTCCCAGAAGATAGACTACCTATTTCTAAACAAGCTCTGTTTTATTTAGAGAAATGCTCTTATTTTTGATGTTCCTAAAAAAGAATAAGAACATATGTGCTCTCTTGTATTCTGCGGGATGTAAGAAATTTGTGAGTGGATTTTACTGTGGCCTCACAATTTCTGTCATTAAAAAAAGTCAGAAGCTAGGTCAGAAGAAATCTCCATTGCCATTCCCAATGCCTCCTGGTCATCTTTGCACTGAGTCAGTATTGTCCAAACATGGCATCTGTTGTCTGCCCCATCACAAAGTTAGGGAGGCCAGCTGTGTCATCCAAGACTGTTCTGAGTATAGAAGAGCCAATCCTTCAGGCAGTGGAAAGAATAAGTAGAGCTAGTATTTGGGTGTTGTTTGTGGTGTTCTACAATTTTTTTTCTATTACAGTTTTTAAAACCAAGAGATCATCTTTCCTATAGTGCAGAAGCATCCTAATTTTGGCACGTAGTCTTCTTGGCAGCCATTGGAGCTAAACTCTGTGCTCTGCTCCTTTGTAGCCTCTGCTCTAATGTCCCAGTGCCAAGCCCAAAGACATGGGATAACCTCATTGGAAGCTTGGGAGCATGTGTCTGCCTTGCAGGCGTCCTCTTCCATCACTTGAAGATATTTATGACTCCTAATACTCATCTGGATGGCTCTTCAAGTCACCAACCAAATTACTCCACCTGAGGTAGATGAGGACCTCTCCCCACACAAACAGGATGGACTTCCTCTATTTGGTATTTACAACACCCCTTATTTCAATTCTTATTTCAAATAGCTCCTTATTTCAATTCTTCCCTTGAGACTCTTTGCTGGGGTTTTAAGAAACCAGTCTCCAGGGCACAGATATCAATTGACCAAATGAATAAAGATTTTTGCAACAAAAAGAACTGAGTGAGACGTGAATGGAGATAGAGAGTAAATATGGAAAAGTAATTTGTTCATTTGTATGCAGTATTTTTCAGATATTGTCCAAGTAACTGCTTCACACTCTAGTGTTGAAGAAATTACACAGCATACACATGAATTAAGTAAAATGGGCAAATGACTATTACTCCCCCTGTACATCAACCATCACACATAACATTTTATTAACATAAAATATTTCACTGGTCAGAAGATTCTACCTTCCCCAAAAGATAAATATCAAAATGCCAAAGTTCTTTTTTTGGTGCCATCCATGTATTCATGTATTTATTCATCAGTTACTCACACGAGAGAGATAATTTGGATAATTCTAAACCAATTAAAGTGATACAAAAGTGACACCACCATATGAGACATTACTATGTCTGCCACCTTCGGACACGCAGTTCTTGATACTTCTTAATGTGGAGAAATTGTTATTATTCAAAGTTGAAAAATAAAATGAATCATGGTTATTTTCTTAAAGCACAAATTCTCATGATTCAAATATTTATAAAATTCAATATACTATATATGCTATTTTGGAAGTCCAGGAAATTATTGTAAGTCAGGATTCTGTGATTTGTAGTTTAGAATATTTAAAGCCCATGGTATAAATTAATTTATTCATCTAATTTTAATTGCATACTTACTATGTACCAGGTTACACTAAGTACCAGGAGAGATACATGGACTTCTAATTCATGATCCCTTCTGATGAGAAACACTATCTAGTTGAAGAGAGAGATATGTAATGAACTGACACCATTAAATGAGTCAGCTTTCAGGGGTCAGAACCTTGTGTGTTCAAATTCAAGCCCTGGGACTCAGATCATATATATTTAAAGTAGATATAAAATCTACAATTATTATAATAAAATATAAATGTGGATATTAACATGAAGTTTTTAAAAAGAATGTGAGTGCTGTAATAAGTCAGGTTCAAAGAGTCAAGGACCATCAGGAAAGAAATGACCAGCTCTATTCAGAAAAATTTCCTCAAAGAACGTAACATTTCAGCTGGATTAAACGGATAAAAAAGACAAAGAAAGACATTCCAGATAATAGGAATCCATGTAAGGGAGGCATGAAAAGCATGGTGTGCTAATGAATAGTATGAAGTTCAAACTGATTAGGGCATTGAAGGCAGGAAGAAAAAGAGATTGGAAGGGTAGTCAGGTCTGGACTTTGTAAAGTAGTTAAGAAGAGCAAAGAGACTTGTTAGGTCAGCAGGGAAGGGTAGGAATGATGGGCTTCCATGTGTACTTTCCATGTATCCAGCTCATCTGTCACAAAATAGCTGCCTTATCACAATCTCAGCTGCCCTTTCATAAACCAAATCCCTAAAATGTTAACAATAGTAATAAAAATAGCCCACGTTGCTAAATTCCAGGAGGCACCCTTCGCATTTTATTTTACATTAATAGTGCCCTCTGATTTATGCAACACCAGCATGCACTCATGTAAACTGTATTAATTTATTGAGATTTAGAATAACGAGTATAGAAGCCAGACTGACATAGTTTCTTACTGTCCAATTGGTGCACATGAAGATTCTTCTTAATGTTCAGGCACCATCTCTTCCTGTTCAGGTCTACCCTGTTGGTACCCTGTTGGTACCCTGATGGTACCTATTGGTACCATCCTGAGGTGGAACTACGTTCTTTATTGTCAAATGCATTTCATTCCGGGCTAACTTTATATCTCCCATCTCAAAAAAAAAAAGTAGCAATGCTGTTATTACTCAAGACACAATGTCTCTTTGGAGGTTGTTCGTATTGAAACAAATAAATCTTCTTGCCTCTACAGTTCTCGATTACCATTGATTTAATTTAAAGCTGGTTACATCATTACTTATGATCCTGCATCATCCATCACGTCACCCTCAATTCTGGCTTCCAGTGACTCTTGTGTTTCACTGATAATAAGCACAAATGCAAATCTCTGTCATGTTAAATTTACTACTCAGACTTTCTTAACATAAAGAGAACAACACATCTTTCGACCACGTTTTCTCCTAAATTCTTAGGACATGATCACAGCATTTCTACAATGTGACCTATTTTAATGTTACTTACACCCCTGCCTTCCACACACAACCACCAACAGTAAGAATAGGTGAGGGGCCTAAGGTGAAACAAAAAGAGTGTTCACATTCCTCCAAGAAATGTTTGGCAGGACTTTAAAACCAACCCAGGGAAGCATAATGTAACCATGTCGATGGAGGCAAGAGAGGACATCCACTGGAAGGGTCCACTGGTATTGCAGACCCATGGTCTTCAAAGCCCTTGGAAGAGATAGGCATGGTCACCCTCAAAGACTGCCTGACAATTGATGTGGAATCTATAGAGAAATGGAGTGACCACCCTGGGTACCTGTGGCAGAGAATGCACTGGGTAAAGGATACCTGTCACCACTGCTGCTACCTTTATGTATTGTAGGCAAAGCCTACTTAGGTGGAAAGAGCTGCTGGGTGGCCCACACATACAGCTCAAGCCCAAAGGCAAGTCAAAGGCCAGTGCCCTAAACTTATTTTGTGTTCAGTGTGAATGAGCCACCCAAAGTCACCTGTCATGACTTCACAGAAGATGGTAATGCAAAAATGGAGCTGACCTACATGACTTTGGAGAATAATGTTTTGACTGGAAATCGTATGGCTAAAGACAAAAGGAACTGTATGTAAACACTGCACTCTAGTTAGTAAATTTGATTTTCATGGAGAAATGGGTTTATAACTCTGAAACTCCTTTACATGCATCCTGAGGTGGAACAAATGGGTAGATGGAGGCTAGATAGTGGAAGAGAAGTTTCTTGCTGTCATAGAGGCAAGGAGGAAGGCTAGAATAAGTCCTGTGGTTCTGGATTAGAGTCAGAGACATCAGTATGAACTCATCATTAACCAGAAAGATAGCTACATACGTACAGAAATAATTACAGTTATGTTTGTGTGTGTGTATTCAAATGAAGATATGAATATTAGTATTCATACCTACCTTTCTTAGCTCCATTCCCTGAAATGGTCTAGAAGCAGTGATATCCCATTAGCAATGAGAATACCCAGCACTCAGATCTTTGTAAAACCATTCTCTAATAAAGAGAACCAGGCCTTCCTTAAGAAATGGCCATTTCTAGGGCTGGGAAAGGGAAATATAAGATGAGCCTGAGGCAGCTTGCAATGCCAGAAAGAAAACAAAGTATAGAGACCTGTCAAAGGCATAGGGGAGCCAACCAAAAAGAGGCCCCAAAGCTGAGATACTTTGAGCAACTAAATAATGTGGCATTGAATTATAACCCAAAGTATATAATATATATGAGTTTATACTGACATAAATGAACAATTAAATAACAAGTCTTTCTTATGAAAATATAAATAAGACATGTAGCTACTCCCATTTTCAGAAGCTTATCCCTCTCCCTCTCTTTCAGTGTGGGCTGGATTTCATGATTTGCTTCCAAAAATAGAGTATGGAAAGGGAAAAGTGATAACTTCACGGTAGAGAAACCTGGCAAACACCACCTTAACCAAGTGATCAATCCTAATATCCCCATGATAAATCATGTTGATATCATACCATGTGCCCTCCAATATTATATGAAAACAACATTTTACACACACACACACACACACGTGCACGCACATCGATGTGCCTGCACCATTGGTACATTCGGGTGTACCAATCTTCCACACTGTGCAGGAAAAAAACAAACAAACAAAAAAGCCAGCTAGCCAGAGTGATGAGCTTGCCAGACCACTCTCTGAAACTAGAGCAGTGAGTCTGGCTCTATAGGCTTAACTGTTGAGTTCCTCTGGGATTCTGGTCGACTCCATGGGAAGTGGGGAAGCTGGAGCTCAGGTTACCATATATGGGGGAATCTTTTTCCAAAAGTTTTAAGTTCGTCTTTGGTGCCTGAGACTGGTCAGGGTGGCATTGCTATTGATACAGGGTGCCCAGACCCGGTCCTGTGTAGGTCCAGTTCAGTGACAGCGCTTTATTGAACATTTTCTAGGTCCGTCTCTGGGGCCTTTGACCAGCCAGGGCCCACCATCTCCATTTCTCTTTTTCTGAGCACTCTCTGACTTTTGTGATGATTGCAACAAATGTGAAAAAAAATATGTTCGATACATTCAACACGGACCAAAGTGGGGGCTGCTTAGGGACAGGGGAGTGGAATGGTGGGGAGCGCAGAACATTCCAGCAATAGAAAGAAACTTTTTGTAACTTTGTACTAGAACCTTTCGTAAGCACCACACTTAAAATGAAACTATTAAGCAGTGTTGTTAAGAACAAGTTGTGGAATAGCATGTACAGTATGAAACCAATTTGATAAAAATTTTAAAAACACAAACTAATAAGGATAAAATAAGTATGTGAATTAATAGACAAAGATCTAAGAGGCCTGTAAATTCATAAACAAAGGTCTGATAGACTTGTACATTTATAGACAAAGGTATGATATGACTTACCTCTGGGAACAGGAAAAAGAGGCCCAGAATAATATTTTAGTGTTTTACAAGAAACATTCACCCTCCAACTCCTCCAGCTCATCAGTTCAGTAGACCTTCATCACTTCTTACTGTATGTTTCTCCAGGTGTTCTAATTCCTCTTCCAATAAGGCTTCTCCAAACTTCTTACACTCTTTGAGTGCTGTTATTCTAAACTGTCTTAAATTTCTTCTAAGATCACTTTTTTCCCCCAATTCTGTCAACCACACTTATCATCATCTCTATCTCCTTTGTTCCTCAAAATTTCTTATAGTGTCTGAATAGTAAAGAAAAGCCATGTTTTACATTTTGGCATATAATAAGTATTTAATAAATTTAACACCTACAGGACAAATGGCCCTGAAAATGCTATTGAGTGATGGTATAACATTGCATCATATGGGTGTTTTGTAATATTACTAGCTATTTTATTTTTTAAAATTTTTTAATTTCCATAGGTTATTGGGGAAGAGGTCGTGTTTAGTTACATGAGTAAATTCTTTAGTGGTGATCTGTGAGATTTTGGTGCACCCATCACCCATAACCCATCACCCGAGCAGTATACACTGTACCATGTTTGTAGTCTTTTATGAGTCCCCAAAGTCCATTGTGTCATTCTTATGCCTTTGCATCCTCATAGCTTAGCTCCCACTTATAAGTGAGAACATATAACGTTTGCTTTTCCATTCCTGAGTTACTTCACTTAGAATAATAGTCTCCAGTCTCATCCAGGTCGCTGCAAATGTCATTAATTCATTCCTTTTTATGGCTGAGTAGTATTCCATTGATATATACATATATCCATACACACAATGAAATACTACATATATATATGTATATCTATATATATGTGTATATATATCATCATGTATATCAATATATATGATGTATATCAATCAACGAGTGGATAAAGAAACAGTGATATATACTGTTTCTTTATCTACTCGTTGATTGATGGGCATTTGGGTTGGTCCCACATTTTTGCAATCGCAAATTGTGCTGCTATAAACATGCGTGTGCAAGTATCTTTTTTGTATAATGACTTTTTTTCCTCTGGATAGATACCCAGTAGTGGGATTATTGAATCAAATGGTAGTTTTATTTCAGTTCTTTGAGGAATCTTCACACTGTTTTCCATAGTAATTGTACCAGTTTACATTCCCACCATCAGTGTAGAAGTGTTTCCTGTTCATTGCATCCATGCCAACATCTACTATTTTTTTATTTTTTTAATTATGGCCATTCTTGCAGAGGTAAGGTGGTATCACAGTGTGGTTTTGATTTGCATTTCCATGATTATTAGTGATGATGAGCATTTTTTCATGTTTGTTTTCAATTTGTATATTTTCTTTTGAGAATTGTCTATTCATGTCCTTAGCCCACTTTTTGATGGGATTTTTTTTTTCTTGTTGATTTGAGTTCATTGTAGAGTCTGGATATTAGTCCTTTGTCAGAAGTATAGATTGTGAAGATTTTTTTCTCACTCTGTGGGTTGTCTGTTTACTCAGCTGACTGTTTCTTTTGCCATGCCATGCAAAAGCTCTTTAGTTTAATGAAGTCCCAGCAATTTATCTTTGTTTTCATTGTATTTGTTTTGGGTTCTTGGTCATGAAATCCTTGCCTAAGCCTATATGTAGAAGGGTTTTTCCCAATGTTATCTTCTAGAATTTTTATAGTTTTAGGCCTTAGATTTAAGTTCCTAATCCATCTTGAGTTGATGTTTGTATAAGGTGAGAGATGAGGATCTAGCTTCAGTCTCCTACATGTGCTTGCCAATTATCCTAGCACCATTTGTTGAAAAAGTTGTCCTTTCCCCACCTTATGTTTTTGTTTTCTTTGTCTAAAATCAGTTAGCTGTAAGTATGTGGATTTATTTCTGGGTTCTCTATTCTGTTCTATTCCATTGGTCTGTGTGCCTATTTTTATACCAGTACCTTGCTGTTTCGGTGACTATGGCCTTATAGTGTAGTTTGAAATCAGGTAATTTGTTCTTTTTGCTTAGTCTTACTTTGGTTCTGCAGGCTCTTTTTTGATTCCATATGAATTTTAGAATTGTTTTTTCTAAGGTAAAAGCCATGTTTTATATTCCTTACCTATACCATGGTTTTTGTTCTTTTATTCAGAATTATCATAATGTCAAAATATTATTTTGAATGTTTATAATCCATAACTTAGAAGAGTATTAATGATTTATTTAATTAGCCCACAAGAAACTAGAAATCCTCTACCGAAGTGGAATAAGAGAGAACACTGGAACTTCCACAGAACCTACAGAATTTTCAGGATAGCAACACATCTTTGAAAAATAACAGTGCTGTACCACTCTATTAGATTCTTTCCATTTTTTATTAATTGAAGCACAGAGAAAAGAGGCAAAATGATTAAAGAAATTTATGTTTTTTAGACAGGGTGTTGGCTTTACACCAACGAAAAAGAAAAACAGATGAATAAGCTTTTGATCTTCATTTTCTTTCTCTTATTCTCATGGTAGGCTGAAAAACAAAAGGACAAATATAAGTCTTATTTGTAAAATGGCATGTGTTTTTCAAACCTATTAAAATAAATGCCAAATTACTTAGATCATCTTTCTGCAATTTACACCAGTGAAAACAATTTAAGCCTGTCCTAGACTTACGGCTGCTGAATTCTTCTGTTGGGCTAGGCAAGGGGACACACCAATAAATGTTGTCATAAGAAGATAAGTCCTATTAAAGCTCAGCATGTTGACAAATTGGAAATGTAATAGCAGATTCTTCACTATAAAGTTCACAGAAGGTAGATCCATCATATTCTCCAATGGAAAGGATGAGTTGAACTATTAGGTTGAACCATGTGAAATCACTGATATTCAACTGTTTTTGCCCTATAAAGCACTCTTTCATGTGGTTCAGCCTAATTCCCAGAGTATTCCACTGCTGAGCCATCACTTACTTGGATGGCTCTGTGTACCGCATCATATAAGTCAGAACAGGACAATGGGCAACACTGAAACTTTGGTTTCAATTTTGAATTTTGACCCTTTGGAAAATTACTTAATCTATGCTTTGATGTTTATCTTCATTTTCTCATCTACAAAATAGAAATAATAGTGGTTCCCAACTCAGCAACTATTTTGAGAATTTTAAAAGCTAATATTTACATACATAAATAGTTTAGAATAGTGGTCGGTGCTGGTCTATATGGCTCTTGGAAATGGTCAATCTTTGCTATTTTAATAATAACTATTATAGTTACTTTTTTAAAAAATTCAAAATATAGTTACCTGAGATGCTTTTAAATGTGATGTTATAAGCCTAAGGCAGCTTGACTTGCAGCAACAAGTTTTTTACCCTGAACACAAAGACATGACAGATGTTAGGAAAATATTAGCATTACTATTAGGATACAAAATTAACATTTATGAAGCTATTGATGATTGCAAAGTGATTTCACGTGCATCATATCCTTTAATTACAATTTACTACTATAATCTCTGGACGGAAGCTCACGGACATAGTTGTCCCCAAATGAATAAAAAAAAGTTACTGTCAGGCCATAAAGGGCAATTTTAAGTGATTTAGACATTTGAATGTAAATTCTCCCACTAGCCTATAAAATCAACTAAATCACAAACCACCACATTTCAAGTAAATGTTTAAATAAATTAATGTTTTGATTTCATGATCAAAATATTTCAGGCCTTACAAATATTCCTATTAATATTCATAAGCATCACAAATTTGGAAACAGAACAGGCATTATAAACATTTAACAGTATGGCACAATAGAGCAGGAGATAAAAACAAAGTGCTGTTTTATTCATTTTGTAAGACAATTGTTTGTAAAATAAGATCCCTGTCCCACATGTACAAAGCCTCCTTTGATATATAAATCCCTAAGCCCTAGCCTAACCAAACATGCAAAAATGAATACTGGACATATTAAAATGAAGAGAACTGTAGTACCTCCTCGGCAAAGCAGGTCTCCTTATCGTCAGCCTTGCAGCACTTCTCTACAAAAGCTGCGAAATCATCCATAACAGCTTTCAGTTGCTCTTTTGTTGCCTTGGGCTTGTGTTTCACGAGCTCAACAAGTGCACTGAGTTTGAATGGAAAAAGAAAAAAAAAAAACAGAAAAAACATTACTCACGTATAGAAAAATGGAGAGAGTAAGGATGGTAGTCCCATCATTTAAGATTATAAATCTTGGAGCCAGGCAACTCTGAGTACTTTGGGGCTCAGGCATACCGCTATAAGTCTCAATATTCTCATCTGCATGATGAGGATAATAAAATCCACTTTCATGGAGTTGGTGGGAAGACCAACTGAAACAATCAGTATAAACCACTCATCACGTTATGTAGTGTCAACAAATTTCTTTTCAGTAAATCTCTGAAAAGAAGTATGTCATTGCAATTATATATTATTCAGATTTTGGAAGTGCCATATTATGTCATATTGAGTTTTATTGCTATTAAAGAGCTAAAAATGATCCTTAAAAATTTAATTATCTTGGACTTTATTTAAAATTTTTCTCATCTATAAAGATGAGAAACTTTATATTTGGTTCTTAAACTTTGCTCCCTTCAAAGCTAATAGTGGGGAGGCTATAGAAAATAAGGCTATCCAAACTCATGGGAGCTGCTGGTTCTCTTTCACTGACATCTGCAAAGACAACAATGCCAGGGAGAGATTTGTGTGGGCATGACAGGTTTTGCAATATTACTCTTAAGCCTAGACGATGATTACAGCCCACAAGAGATGACAGCAACTTTCTATAGCTAAATTTTATGCAATTATAACCCCTGTGATAGCAATAGGGAGTTGAGCTTCAGGGCTTGCATTTCTACATGTTTTTTATCCAAGTCTCATTCTCAAAAGTCACATCTTGGGGGTTTGTCTCATGTGTGGGGCCACCATAGGGCAAACTTAAAATAATTATTTACATCTAGAAATAAATTCTCCTATGGTTCCCATTAACTAATTTGCCATGTGCACAAATTTATCAGTTAATTGTTCATCTTTTTCTACTGAATATGGCCTAACATGTTATTCTATTGTGGCTTTAATCCACAATATTACTCTGAATAATTTTAGCAATATTATAACAGAGGATTTTGTCTTTAAAAAGTTATTCATTTTATTCTGGGTACTCTTATCAGCATAATAAGGGCAACACTCCAATACTTTCCTCTAAGAAATATAATCACTACTTCAGGAAAAAGTTGCTAGCTTGAATTGACAGTTCTTGCTATCAAGACTACAAACACATGCAGTAATGAAATACTCCTCACGTTTGTTTCTTGATTTGTCTCTCCTTCTCAGAAAGTGTGCATATATCTGCATGGAAGGTGAATGTTTCAGCATTAAACTCTTTGGGAACGTATGTTTCATCGACTTCCAGAGCTGAAAAGCATGGTCGCCTGTTCACCAAGGATTCTGTGCAGCATTTGGTGACTCTGTCACTTACTGGCGTTTTCTCATGCAACACACATAACTGGTTCAGGACCACGGATAGCTAAAGAACAGGCAGGAGAGCAGAAATTCAAAAGAGGTGAAGCTGAAAATTTTCTACTAAAAATACAAAAAATTAGCCAGGCATGGTGGCATGCACCTGTAGTCCCAGCTACTTGGGAGGCTGAGGCAGGAGAATGGCTTGAACCTGGGAGGCGGAGGTTGCAGTGAGCCGAGATGGCACCACTGCACTCCAGCCTGGACAACAAAGCGAGACTCCGTCTCAAAAAAAAAAAAAAAATTATCATCCTCGGGGCCTTGACTGCCAATATCACACATACACACACGTGCATGCACACACACATGCACACAAACATGCACACACACACATTACTTCCTTCTGCTTATGAAAGCTAGCATTATCAATATCTAAAGGTAAAATTTTTTCATTATTAATTTATTATATTTTTTTAAAGACTCACATAGTCTTCTGCACAGGGCATTCTTTTTGCTTCAGGATGTTTACAACATTTGCTGCCCACTTTTCCTAGGTTTCTTGAGACCTCTACAAGAGTTGGAGTTGACACTTGGGGTACTTTCTTGGTGTAACGAACTAATAGCCTGAAAAAAAGAAGTCATGTGTTTTCAGCAAGGCAAGAAACTGTCTAACATAGTAGATAAAACAGAGAACACTTGGCCGGAATCAACTAAGATGTTGCTATGTTCCATTCATCATATTATCTCCATCTGCAGAGTAGTGGGTTAGTGGAGGGTAGAAAACATTCTCCTGAACAACTAGTTAAACTTGGCTTTGAGTTCCACCTGTACCACTTGCATAATCTTGGGAAAGTGAGTTGCCTAATTCAGTGACATTAATAAATTTATTAATTTCTTCTTTCAATAAAACCTGGAGAGAGCTTCATATGTATCAGCATATGCTAAACTTGAAAGATACAAGTAGAAAATGGAAGGAAATATATCTGACTCAATAGGGATAGTTCAAGGGTTAAATTAAAAGTAGTAAAGTATTATAATTAATCTGACATGGTACCTAATATATAATAATCATGTATTAAGAATGCCAGTCACCATTAAAAGTCAATGTATGACTTTAATCTACTCGAGGAAAGAAACTATGTCTTGTTCACTGTTATTATCTCTAAAATCCATAATCAGAAGAGCACCATGTGTATGAGCCACACAATAAATATCTACTGTATAATATGTCTCTTCTTGTTTTTAACCTTCATAGATAAGACTCTATTGAATTGGGACATTAGTCCAGCAAGCCATTCTGTCTCTGTCTCTTCTATGGAGGGAAAGGTTTAACCATCAAAGACTAGGTGCATCTCCCAAACAACCTGAATTTAATATTCAAATATGTATCTAAATTCATTTGTTACATTTTTGTGTTCAGCTTACATATTACTTTTTGAGCGACATCTATTCAAGGCCTACTACTTGCTGCTCTACAAAATATTGCCATGCTCTATTTGCCCATTAACTATTTCTTAACCTTCAAGGGACATGCTCAGTTCTGATATACCAAGATTTGGTATTTACCCTCCCAGCCTACATACTTCCAATCTTAAGAGAACAATTTTTAGACTACATTCAAATATAGACCTCTCCACCCCATCAACTATTTTATCTCTCCTCTCCTATCTTTCTTGACAAAGAGTGATTAGAAATATGCAATGTATTTTCATTCTTAAAAGTTCTATGCTAGGTGGCTCATATATTAAGTCTTAAATAATTACAAATTGATAAAAAAAATCAGTCAATAAAAATTACTTACGCATTCTGGAATTTGTACTCTCCAAGCTGCTCAAAAAGCTCACAATTTTGTTTGATTAAATTCTGAGGCTCTTCCACAAGAGGTTTAAATTCATCGAACTGAAACATAAAAGAATTGTGTTAATAGTATTATGCCTCAGGATCAGATGCAGGTTGTTTTTCACCCCTCTGGTCAGAATGATATCCTTTCTTCTTCCTACTCAAAGCCACATGAATAGATGAATATCAATGCCGCTCTGTCACAATACATTCGAACTATTTATTTGGTGAGCTTGCATCATGTAAGTGGTTAAGAATATTCAGGCTCTGGAGTTCAATGACCAGTATTTGAGCCAAGTCATGTAACTCATTCTTCAGTTGTGCAATTTTACTTACCATCTCCACATTTCAGAATCCTTATCCCTAAAATAGGGGCAAAGATGGCACTCATCTCATAGAGCTGCTCTGTAAACCAGGTAAGCTAATGAAATTAAACAGTGCCTTGCATATAATAAAAGTTTAATAAATGATGGCTATGATTGTACATATTATTATTATTAGTTCACCTTTCCAGTTAGATTCCAGGCTCTCCAAAATGAGAGATTTTACGTTGGTCATTGTTTGTGCATGGTGCCTGGCATACAGTAGCTTCTTGAAAGCAGGAAAAATGAGTTTTCTCTGATTCTGAATAGTTCAGAAACCATTACATATGCTAGTGGGAACCCTAAAAATCCTCCAGAACAGATTTCCTCTCCTAACTTAATTTCTTGTAAAACTATTCCTAAACATCCTCAAAAAGATTTGAAAATATTCTAAAGGGATAGGTTCTATAATTTGCCATAAGATACTAATTCTAGTACTTGATTAATCCTGGAATCAGGTTAACTCACTTTACATCTAAGTTAAATATCTTCTAATTAACATTTAAATTTAATTTTTTTTTGTTCTCAGGATTGTGAAAAAGAGAAAAAAAGATCAAAATTTTTTAGAGATTGCTCTATTCAGATCTTTCTATTCTAACTAGTCTAAATTTTGTTAATCATTCTAAGGCTACTTTTTCTTTCATGTTTAAGATTCCAGAATTGAAACCATCTCAAGAAAAGATCTAAATTGCACTGTATATCATTTTACATTCTTGCATTATTTTTCTTTCTCATTATTGGAATCATCAGTCAAAGAACTACATTTTTTTCCAACAATAAACCTACCACTTTGGCATAGCATTCATGAGGATCTGCAGCGGCACAGCACTTCTCTAGAGTGGTTTCATATGTCTTGGCAAGTCTCAGCAGCAGCACGACAGAGTAATCAGGATGCCTTCTTGCATATTCATACAAAAACCTAATTAAGATGAAAATAAAATAGACTTTGTTGGACAAATGAGCACAAAAAATATCACAAAGCTAATCTCAAAAGTAACTCATATTCCAAAAGTCTTAATTTGACTAAACCCCATGCAGTAAAGCTTAGTAGCTAAGGACTTGGGGTCCAGAGTTAAAGTTACCAAGGCTCAATTCCTAGCTCTGCTACTTATATCACTGCATCACCTTAGGCAACTTATTTAAATGATCAGAGCCTTAGTCTCCTTCTCGGTAGAATGGAAATAATAATAGTATCTGTCGGCTGGGCACAGTGGCTCATGCCTGTAATCCCAGCACTTTAGGAGGCTGAGGCAGGCATATCACCAGAGGTCAGGAGTTTGAGACCAGTCTGACCAACATGGTGAAACCCCATCTCTACTAAAAATACAAAATTAGCCAGGCATGGTGGTGCATGCCTGTAATCCCAGGAGGCTGAGGCAGGAGAATCGCTTGAACCTGGGAGGCGGAGGTTGTGGTGAGCCGAGATGGCACCATTGCACTCCAGCCTGGGCAACAAGAGTAAAACTCTGTCTCAAAAAATAAATAGTATCTGTCTCGGAAGGTGGATTATGAGAACTATATGACATAATCTACACAAAGCACACACTGCTTGGCACATATGAAGTCTTTGATGAATGATACTTGTTATTTTTATTAACATTTTGTTTGATTTAAACTACATCTCAAAAGGATTCTGATAAATAGATGGGCAGAGATATGTTCTTAAAATATTCTCTTTCTTCTCTGTATGAGTGAAATCTTGTAGGGTACATAATTTTAGGAAATATTATTTAGTGCATTATCATAATCCAACAACAAAAATGCAGTTTATCACCACAACTTCTGACAATATGTAAACATTTATTTTGTAATTGAGTTGCCTACCATATTGCCATTATACTGAACTTCTGGTCTTTTCACCAAATATAAAGCACCTGGTGTCAGACTCTATATTTCTTTTTATACTTCTTTGCTATCATTGCATAGATTAGATAGATAGACTAGATTAGATTAGATTAGTTAGATAGACAGGCAATACATAGTCACACACATATATTATAGATGTTCAAGAAATACACTTGGAATGAATGACTGAAGTATACATAATTTATATATACACAAAATGTTTCTAGACGTATTTTCAGAAATACCCCTAAGGAGTAAGGAATGTTGAGCTTTGCCATGAACATGTATTATTTTATGACAATGTATTCAACTAATTAACTATTTCAAAAATTGTTAAAGCCTGGGAAAGGGAAGGATGAAGAAACATTCTGGGCAGCAGGGAAATTGTAGCAACTCCACAGAAAAGCCTAGGCTATCCTCCTAAGTTGTGAGGTCATGCCAAAGCTATAAAAGAATAATTTCTTATCTACTTACATGCCCAGGAAGACATCCTTTGCCTCAGCATAGTTTTTGCAAACATCCTTACTTTCAACAAAATCAGCAGCTAATGAAGGCAAGTCAGCAGGCATCTCATCATTTTCCACTTCGGCAATGCAGTGGGATTTTTCCAACAGAGGTTTTTCACAGCATTCCTTCAGTTTACTGGAGATCGAATCTTGATTTTCACAGATATACTTGGCAAGGTCCGCCTATAAGTAAGTTGGTGGAAATTGTTCAACACGAATTGACATTGCTACACTTTCTCCTCAGACCTTTATTAAGTTGGCAGAACATATTCATTGTATTCTAAGACCATACACATATTCCTTCTATGAACATACTCTGTTTGCTCCTAAACCTGGAGATGTAGATAGGACTACAAAAACATTCCCACTTAATTAAAATAGACTAATCAGTAGCAGGTGCTCAGCTCAGTTATTTATTAATTTTATGTTTCTACTGTTAGGGCATTTAAGTTTTTTTCATTAAAACTCAATGCTGTTTTTCCAAATAATCCCCCAAAATTAAGTGCAGGCCTTTTGAAACCAAATAACTAAATAAAATATAGAAGATTTTTGAAAAATGAGTCAAGATCATAGTCATAGGCCCTGCTTACATATATAAAATAACCGCCTTAAATTTTCCAGAAAGTGCCATGAGAGATTAGGATTCTAGTATTTGCCCATAAGTTTAATCTTGAAGAAAGGGAGAAAGAAAATATTATAAGTTTTGAGAAAAGAGATATCATTCCAAATATTTGCACATCTAACAAACAGAGTTAATTAAGGGAAGGAATATAGAGAAGAAAAATACATCATTTCCAAAAATCTCTTCAAGTAGTGACCTTCTCCAAGTCCACCTACCTCCCTCAAAAAATCTTCTTAGGCTGGGCAAGGTGGCTCATGCCTGTAATCCCAGCACTTTGGGAGGCCAAGGCGGGTGGATCACCTGAGGTCAGGAGTTCGAGACCAGTCTGGACAATATGGTGAAACCCCGCCTCTACTAAAAATACAAAATTAGCCAGGTGTGGTGGCGCATGCCTGTAATCCCAGCTACTTGGGAGGCTGAGGCATGAGAATCACTTGAACCCAGGAGGCAGAGGTTGCGCTGAGCCAAGATCACACCATTGCACCCCAGCCTGGGAAACAAGAGCGAAACTCTGTCTTAAAAAAAGAAAAAAAAATCTTCTTAGACATCTACCTTGCAAGATGTTCTGCCAAGTAAAACCTTGTAACTGTTCTACTTCAGTTTAAGCCTTCATTTACAGTTAGAGCATGACTGAAAGGAGTTACAAATCAGTGAATGGGTTTATCTGGTAATTTATAGCCAGGTTAAAAACAGAAAGGTACCACCACCATAGGCAGGGAAAGATTGAAGATAGGACAGACGAAAGCACAGAAGACAATCTCAACCCACTGTCAGCTATCACCAATGATACCAAACGCATCCATTCTACCAACTTGAGCATGCAAGCTACCAAAAAGCATATCGACGACTCTTTACCCTGTCATCAGCACATTCAAGCAGATCTCCATGGCAGCATTCCGTGTGGACTTTGGTAAGATCTGTCACTAACTTGGAAACTTCTGCAAACTCAGCTTTGGGAAATCTCTGGCTCAGGCGAGCTACTGCCCTAAAAAGAAAATCGCCAATCAAAATGGTATTATCATGCGATATTTTATATGAAAACACTAGGCAAATACTATTTCTCATAAGAAAATTCAAAATGGACATACAGAAATAATTTTTAAAATTCATTAGTTCTAGTTCTGAACCAAATGGTAATCACTTATCCTTAGGGCAGAATTATCCATTTAAGAGTGTGTGTGGTAGGTAGAAATCTAGCAAGTCATAAAAGCAGAAATTAAAAAGGAACTCTAAAAGGGGCAACAGGCTGAGAAGCATCAGGTTTGGAGTCCAGATGTGACTTCCAGCTCTGGCTTTATCACTTGTTAGCAGTAGGACTTGTTAGCAGAGGGCTCAGCCTCTCTGAGCTTCAGCCTCTGCAGTGTCATGACAACATGCTAAATTGAAGAAGTTTTGAGGATTAAATTAGATAATACATACAAAAGCATTTTATAATCTGGGAAGTACTACACAAACTCCAGTTATCTTTTTTCTCAATTGAAACACATTTTTTCTGACTTCTAAAGGTCTCTTAGAAAAGAAATCATAACTTCTACAGAATGAGGGAGTTTTTATTGATCTTACTTATAAAAAGAAAGATCCAGCACTATCTTCAAACTCTATGACAAGATGTAAACGTCTAATTTTCTTCATTCTCTAGTCATTTCACAGTTGCCTAAATCAGGTAAAGGTGACTTCTTTCCCAAAACCAATCATAGCCTGTTTATCTGTGTATAATTTTATGTTGGGGCTGTTTTTTTTCATAAATTTGGTTGATTTTGGTGGTGTAGATGGTAGGAATGATGAGCAAATACAGTTCAATTGACAGTTTCTAGAGAGCATGCATAATGTCTATTATTTTCATTTTATTTCCTGTTGTGTTGATTTGCTGTTGACTAGCAGGTGAGGAGTGTGGGTGACGGGGCAGCTAGTATTTTTCTTGACTCGGCTATTAAAGTATGCTCCCAGAACCAACTAAGTAATATGAAAACAGAGGCTCAGGCAAAAACATGAGATGAAGATCAGAGCTGGAGCTATGCAAAAATAAGAAGTAACTTCAACTTAGTTGGTGACTGAATTTAACTATAAGACATAAAAGGACAAGCAAATAGTTTTAGATCATTGGGGGGAAGATAAAATTAAATAAAGGGATTATATATGTTGTATACTTATATCAAAATATCTCATATACCCCGTAAATATGTATACCTACTCTGTATCCACAAAAATTAAAAATAACTTTAAAAAATTAAATAAAGAACCATGCCTACAGCTCTATAAAAATAATGAACCATTAGAATAAGAGTCCAAGATTTTATAAATAAATAGAACTTAAATATCTGTCCCTTTTTTTAGGACAAAAAGGACAGCGTCCTCTAAATTATTCAACTATTTAGAAAAGAAAAGATTAAAAATAATGTCAAATTGTCATTGATATTCTGATTTTTACCTCTATTAGAGTTCTACCTGTTAGACAACCAAAGAAATGTATTTGACAGCACTTTGCAAAATACATAAAAATGTACAATTTGTCACTGAAGCATTATCATTTACATCGTTATAAAGATGCCAACTATGTTTAAAAGTATTTACCATGCTTTGAAAGCTCTTTCTCCAAATTTTTGGAGACTGGCACACTTGAGTCTCTGTTTGGCAGACGAAGCCTTCCCTTCATCCCGAAGTTCATCGAGCTACAAAAAGGAATAATTTGATGAAAATTAGAAGAAAAATTCTACATGAAACACCCCTCCATAAGCTCAGATGAGACTGTGCCAAATTAAATTTTGAAGGCATAATTTATGCCTAAATTCCCAAGTACTCCCTTTAGCGAATAATGATTTTGCTCTCTAAGAAAAGGAAAGATCATTCGATCATTCTGGTCACAGCGGAATTCCCTATGTAGTTAGAAACCAACTGGAAACATTGCCAGGAAAAAGAGCCTTAAAAGTGGGAGAAAAGTCAGAGAAAGAGTACGCTAATATCCCAGGGGCTGCAATTTTGCTAATTTTTAAATTTTGTGTATAATTCATTTCAGTCTCTCCTCCACCAACATCAGTAAACTCCTCAGAAAAGAAAATAAAGCATTCCATAATATATATTTATGGAATGAATGCATGAACTCAGGCATCTAGATGCAGTAAAATTCTCTACTTTGAATTCCCTCCCTACTAAAAATTATCATGAAAAGATAAACAAGAACTGTGGCCCCTTGCTGTGCAATTTGACAAACAAGTTTCAGTATTTCACTATAGTGATCACCACCATAAAAAGTGGTGAAATCTTTAAACACATGCACAGTGATTACCTCTGACAGATCATCATTGGCAAATCTTAAAAGAAGAAACGAGAGTGTAGGCCTTCAAAGATGAAAGATTTTCAAGACAGATAAAAGGAAGGCTTTTTTGACCATGTCGGAAAGTTTGTATCAGACACTCAGGTTCCCTAAATCTAGCCACAAAATGGACAAAATCAGGTTGGATAATGAACTCTTTTTTTCTATTCTTTTGCATAATACCTTTGGCAACAGGCAGGCAGCTTTATCAGCAGCTTGGCAACATTCTGTAAAAGCAGCTTTATACCTTTTAGCAAAGAAAAGGAGTTCCGGGGCATAAAAGTAAGGATGTCTTCTGGCAATTTCATATAAGTATCTAAATTTTGAAAAAGAAAAACAGTCACTTTTCTATAGCAGACAATATTACAGAAATAATTGTAATCGACATTCTCCCCAGAACCTCCAAATTCCAAAGATATCTAATTAACCAATTAAGCTCAATTTGCACATGATGGTCTTGTCTCTGTCATTCTTTAAGTATGTGGAAAAAAGGGTTAAGTGTGTGTGTGTGTGTGTGTGTGTGCATAAATGGTTAAATTTTGGCAATATAATGTTGCTGACTAAAACGAAATCAATTATAACAACCATATATACATATCTTCGTAATACATTAAATAATTTGTCTATCTTAAATTTTTCAGAAAGATTGTATCCTGTTTCAATAAACTTCAAAATATCTTTGATCATATTTTTTGCTGTGTAGAATTTTGTGGTATCAAATACTACTTCTTTAAAAAATCATCATAACAAAACTTCCAAGTCTTAATGTTGAAAATATTTTTGTTATGGTAATTTTTATAGAGTGTTGGCCTATGGAGTTACTCCATGCTTTTTAATTTTGAACTATAAACATCTGATTACTTACTTTTTCAAAAATGTCTCTTCATTGTCATGAAAAGCAGTGCACATCACATCAACCTCTGGTCTCACCAATCGGGGGAGGTTTGGGTTGTCATCTTTGTGTTGCAAGAAGCATTCATTTCTCTCAGGTTCTTGTTTTGCACAGCAGTCAGCCATTTCACCATAGGTTTCACGAAGAGTTGCAACTGTGCATAATTTGTCTCCAAAAAGGGTATGCTAAATGGAAGAAAGCAGGTTTCAGTTGCTGGACAGTACCTTTTTTCTTTATAGCCAAAGAACAGTACAAAGGATTTAATATACTGGTTAAGCTTGGTCAGGAAATCATTTAAAAATCCGCTTCCCCTCCCAATCGAGGTTTACAGTTTCTGATGATTTAACCATCTCTATATAATTTTCATAAGAATTAACTGTCACACTATAACTCATGGTGAATAAAACAGGACAAAAAGACAGTCAATAGCTTTAAGGAAAGTTATATGACTCCTATTTTGAAACTTAAAACTAAAGGGTAAGAGCAATCATTATAACAGAAATCAAGAGAAAATAAGCTTCTAAGCAGCAGGTGAATTCACCTAGGGGAGAAAAACATTCAGAGAGTTTCTCATTTCATTTGCCCCCTTTTTAGAGGGCCATGTTTTAGTATATGCCATTGAAAACTGAGGAGTAACACAATCCATCATATATTAAGTGACTATTAAGATATAGACATTTTTCTTCCAGAAATGTTACCTAAAATCACTTTCCAATAAATGAGTCCTTTCCTTATCTCTAATTTTTATTATGAAAGTAACTGTAACCCCAGGGAAAATATACTACTCTAGACAGAATTTATTAATTTTTATGTATTTTTAAGATTTCATATGTAGAGCCATAGTATTGTGTAAAGTTAAAGTCCTGACTCTGCTGTGAGGGAGAGGTACATAATAAAAAGGGGAAAGGCTCCAGTGATAAAAACTGGCCTTGCCCACAAGAGGTATATATAGATTGAGTGGTGAGAGAAAGATAAACCTGTCCTTGTTTTGAAGATTGATCTGGAAATACTAAAAGTTTAAAGTTCTTCAACATGACTAAGTACTCTGCTTTTTTATTGTATGTAGAAATACAAAGATATCTAAAATGAGGAATATATAGCTGTACTATTATTCCACCCAGGTAACAAAATTAGCATAGAAATCAGTGGGTGTTTTCTGATGATAAAAACCATGATATCATCTCTAAGAGATAGTAGCTCTCCTGTGTTCATTGCAACACTATTCATGATAGTCAAGATGTAGAAAACCAACCTAAATGTCTATCAATCAACAAATTAATGGATAAAGAAAATGTGGTACACACATGCACTGGAATATTATTCAGCCTTGAAAAGAAGGAAATTCTGCAATAGGCAACAACATGGTTGGACTTTGAATGCACTATGCTAAGGGAAATAAGTCAGTCATAAAAAGATAAACAGTACATAATACCACTTATATAAGGTAGCTAAAGTAGTCAAACTCATAGAATCAAAGAGTATAATGCTGGTTGCCAGTGGCTGGGGGAGGACGAAACGAGGGGTTACTAATCAATGGGCACAAAGTTTTAATACAGCAAGATGAGTAAGCTATACAACAGTGTACCCGTAGTTAACAATAATGGATTGTACACTTAAAAATATAACAGGGTAGATCTCATGTTAAGGGTTCTTACTATAATAAAATAAGATAAATAAATAAATAAATACATGCTATCATATCCCTATTAGCCTCTACAAAAAGAAACCAAACCTCAAATTTTAAAAAGAGGTGTTTATAAATGACAAATTGCCATTTAAATACACCATGACTGTTGTGTTTGGTCTCAATAAAGAAATGATTTTAAAACTGTGGACATAGCTAAAGCATCTCTATCACAAAAGAAACAATGGCTTATCAGTCTATGAGCAACTTTTTAGTGTTTCTTACAAATCAGGACACTTAATAATAATTGAGAAAACTTAAAAAAAATTCCTTTGAAATGCTTGGGATTACTTCAAACAGAAGAAAGAATCTCCACAATTAGAATGTACTTACAAGTGATTTGTCACAATTTTCAGCTGACTCATCAGCAACACATGTTTTTGCAAATTCAGTTACTTCATTCACTAATTTTACATGATCTTCAAATGGACACTGCTGAAGATACTGAGCAAAGGCAATCAACACCCTGAAACAAAGGATGTAGAAAAATGTAGTATAATAAAACTTTAATATGTAACAGGTTGCTACGCTAGAGAACAAATCATGTATGGGTATAGGTTCTATCTTTTATACATCTTCTTCACCATTATCCAGAAAGCCTATTCATATCAGGTATGATCTGAGGCCTAGATAGGCATATGTGGCTTCCTACGCAAAGAGAATGGTAGTTCCCTAATGTTTATATGTATGCGTGTGTCAGTAGATCTATGCACACACATAGATTAAGCAAGCAAATTGTATGCCAAATAGATCTAATTGTCAAGACTAGGCATTTTTAAAGTCCTTAGAATTACTTAAAACTAAAACAAACCCCACAGATTTCCTTTTTCTTTTTTGAGACAGAGTCTCACTCTGTCACCCAGGCTGGAGTGCAGTGGCACAATCATGGCTCACTGTAGCCTTGACCTCTCAGGTCCAAACGATCCTCCTACGTCAGCCTCCTAAGTAGCTAGGACTACAGGCATGTGCCACCATGCCTAATTTTTTTGTTTGTTTGTTTTGTTTTTTTTAAAGAGACTTGCCCAGGCTGGTCTTGAACTCCTGGGCTCAAGCAATCCTCCTGCATCAGCCTTCCAAAGTGCTGGGATTACAGGTGTGAACCACCGCACCTGATCCCCACACACGTCTTTAATTAGCCTGTAGGATTAGGTAGACTTTTAAAAAAACAATTTTCTCATTTTTTACTAGATTAAAAAACATTTAAATAGGCCGGGCGCGGTGGCTCACTCCTGTAATCCCAGCACTTTGGGAGGCCGAGGTGGGCAGATCACGATGTCAGGAGATTGAGACCATCCTGGCACACGGTGAAACCCCATCTCTACTAAAAATACAAAAGATTAGCCGGGCGTGATGGCGGGCGCCTGTAGTCCCAGCTACTCGGGAGGCTGAGGCAGGAGAATGGCGTGAACCCGGGAGGCGGAGTTTGCAGTGAGCCGAGATTGCGCCACTGCACTCCAGCCTGGGCGACAGAGCGAGACCCTGTCTTAAAAAAAAAAAAAAATTAAATATTCCCAACTAAGCACAGGAATGCTTGCTATGTAAAGAAGATTTAGTGGGTAAGCCACCAAAGGAAACCTATATTAAAGTCCTTTCCACCAAGCAAGTTCCAGAGCTGTACTGTCCAATACAGTAGCCATTAGCCACATGTGACTATATACATTCAAATTAACTACAATTAAATACAATTTAAGTTTTTGTTTCTCAGTTGCACTTGTCATATTTGAAGTACTCAATAGCCATGTGACCAGTGACTACCTTATTGGATAGCCCAGATACAGAATATCTTCCTCAACGCAGAAAACTCTACGAGGCAGCACTGTTTTAGAATCTGAACCCTGATGACAAGGAAATATAAGCACTTTAGAATAATAAACAACACTATTAGAAACATTAAATTTGATTCATCAATATTTTAACTTACAAGGCTTTGAAATTTTCTTCTCCCAAATCTTTAAACCGATGAGCAACCTCACTCTTGTCTGGGCAAGGGAAGAAAAAAAAGGATTGTTAAATACTGAAGAAAACAAGAAGTAATAATGTTACTTTTTATATTTCTTTCCATTTGACTTAGATTATGCATTTGTTTCAAAATATTGGGCTCTGATTCCTACAGAAAAACTCAGGATGATGTTCAATTATTTCTTCTGCCTTTAAACAGAAGAATAATTCAATTACCAAGAATACTATTTTAAAAATTATTAAATATTTATAGCCTTATATTCAAACTTAGATAATATCTAATACTCTTTTAGTGTCTATCAACAGCAACCAAGAAGACAGACTAAAATGAAAATAAATATAAATACAAGTTCTATTTATGAGATCAACAGCACAGGTTTTGTGGTTTTTAAATAAAGCATAGTGCAATGGATAGGTCTTTGGGATAGTTATGAATTCAATCTTCAACCCTATTCTGTGAAGTTTCAGTCACTCTAAGTTACTTTGCACTTTCCTTAGTGCGCAAAAGAAAATTACAGTCACTAAACAATTCTGACCTTTTTTTTTTTTTACCTAGGATGTTTGAATTTTATTAATAAGATAACCTTGTAAGACTTCACAAATACAAAATACTATGCCATTTTAGAAATAAATGCCAAAATAATTCTTTAAAGATGCAGAGTTTACTAAAACTTTATTTTACTGGGAAAATAGAATAAAAGTTGAACAATAGAAAAATGGATTTCTTACGTGCATCTCGACGAAACACACCCCTGGAATAAGCCGAGCTAAAGAGAAAAAGAAGGGAAATAAAGGTTACCCACTTCATTGTGCCAAAGGCGTGTGGGGTTGACAGAAGAGAAAAGCTAGGACAAACGGAGGGAAATTAGCACTAATATACTTCTTTAACCAATAATTGTAGATTATTAACTAGACTCATCTTTGTATTTCATTGGCTGCCAACCGATTACAAAATTCATAATATTCTTGCCAAAAAATTGTTTGACTAAATCCCTTGTGTATATTTACCATCTGGAACTGTTTTCTCCACAAGACCTTGTCAATGTATTAAAGTTGTGTAAAACATCTTATCAAATTTTACATAAGAGTTTAAACGATTTGTACCTTTTATTCATTACCATGGTATTTAACTGTAATTTCCCACTTGAACATTTTAGTTCTTGGTGTTTGCAATTTAGTTCTCAGTGTTTAGTAATTACTAACCAAACTAAATACTTTGCTTAGAAATAAGACATACTGAAAGAGTTAAGTCCCAAATTGCATCTATTGCTAATTCCAAGTGTGCTTTTACCTATAGATAATGAAAAATTTACACACAAGTACTCACGCATGCACACACACATATACATACATACATATTTTAGGGCTTCTGTGTCTTTTTTACTATTCCAAAGCCATTCTGTCTGAAAAAGCTGATGTTGCCTCAGATGCAAACTAAGAAAAAGACATAGCAACAATAACAAGTAAGATAGGACTTAGAAATTCCATGTTCCCATTCCTGCTGTGGCCCACATGTGATTCAAGCCCTGAGATAGGCTATTTAGATTCAGTGTGAGTATATCTCATGGGATCTTCAGTTAAGCAGAGATGGAGAGGAAAATGGACCCAAATGAGATGATGATTATCTTTGCCATAATATACAATAGGACAGGCTGACCCCAAATTCTCTGTAGGTTATGAGAACCCTTGACCTTCACCAGGCATAGGATTCTTTCCATCCCTGTTTCATATTTTTTTCCTTTCTCTCTTTCAATAAGTAGAAAAATCACATGTTCTTTTATGTTGCTTTAAATTTCAAAATAAATTTAACATTATGTCTAAAAACAAAGCGAAGGAAGAATAATTTTTTAAATATTTCATAAATCTTCCTTCCCTACCCAAGGTTCTTATCTCTACCTCAGAAAAGCTATCCTACCTCTGCCCTTTTGCTCAGAATATGAAGAACTACTGAGCTCAACCAGTAGGAAGAACAACTTTCTCTGATACTACAGAACAATAATTAGTACTAAGCCAGTTATTTTACTTAATTAAATAACTCAGTCAGTCAAAACCAGTAGTCAAATTTCCTCATGGCACATAGAGGCACAGAGACTAACAAAGTATTATTTTTTCTACTCAGTCTTATAATGAAAGAAAATTTTTTCTATTCAGTCTTACAATGAAAGAAATTATTTTCTATAATCTTATGTTATTTCTTCTTCAGAAATGGGTACTAATTAACTAATAAAGCACAGAAGAGGAAAAAATCAAAGCTAGATGGATGATAGATACATAGATAGATAGGAAGATTTTTTTTAATGACTCAAGGGAGTCCTGAAAGGAAATACCAGACTTGTCTTTCTGACTACAGATGAACAGACATAAAACAAGTGTGCCTATTTTCCATTGAAGAAAAACAAGCATTTTTTCTAAAGCCAGAAAAACCTACATCTGAAAAGAAAAAAGAAACTATTCTAAGTTAAGAAAATAATTCTTTCTTGGATAAATTATGTCAACTTTTAACTTCCTAGAAATTGTAGGCATTATTTATTAGAAGTCAGTAACCAACTCTAGCTTTTTCCTTGTAGAAGTCCCTGGGAAAGGCCTACCCAAACATAAAATCCTTACTGTTGAATACAATTGTTACTAATTGACAAATTCAGGCCTTTGTCACTCTCACATATACTTTGTGCATACTTTTTCATTTAACAAATGAAAAGAATAATATTAGTCCATTTAGTTTTCACCACAACATTATAATGTAATATATTGTTAAATACAAAGAAACCTAAAAAAATCTCAAATTCATCATGACTGAATAGAAACTTTGAATTGATTTTCCTATATCTAATGAAGAGCCCTAGCTTTAAAACAAAATTGATGAAACCTAAAAGAATCTTTTCTTTTTTTTTTTTTTTTTTTGAGATGGAGTCTCGCTCTTTCGCCCAGACTGGAGTGCAGTGGCACTATCTCGGCTCACTTGCAAGCTCCGCCTCCCGAGTTCACGCCATTCTTCTGCCTCAGCCTCCCGAGTAGCTGGGACTACAGGCGCCCGCCATCACGCCCGGCTAATTTTTTGTATCTTTAGTAGAGACGGGGTTTCACCGTGTGCCAGGGTGGTCTCGATCTCCTGACCTCGTCATCCGCCCACCTCGGCCTCCCAAAGTGCTGGGATTACAGTCATGAGCCACCGCGCCCGGCCAAGAATCTTTTCTTACAGTACTAATGAGGCATTTTGCATATGTGCATCCTACTAAAAGATTAATAGTTTAGAAATTAAAATATTTAATTCTCAATGATATCTGCATACTTAAAATTAATGTTTCTTAAGAAATACTTGAACAATTGCATCTTCTGGATTTGCAAAGTAAAAATTTCTGCATTTTTCTCTGAAAACCTCTGGCATTAATTCTATATGAACATTCTATACTGAGAGAAATAAACCTACATAATTGTTAGTCATTTCTAAATTTCCTGTTCTTCAAACTTTGAAACTCTGTTTAGTCAGTCATCAACGGGCTCTGGCATGAGGGTAAATGCAAATATTTAGAGTAAGAGTTATAAATATGGTTTAGAGATTCTCTTTACTCGGTAAACAGAAAAATAGCCCCAATGATTTTTAAATGTTTTCTCATCTTTGTGGGAGAAGTTTAAAAATAGAGAGTAGTTAAGAAAAGTATTTTCTTTAGAAAGAATAAGTGTACTGATCATTTAGAAAAGAAAAAAAAAATACCTCAATTGAAATGTACATATACCTGGGATTTAAACCTGAGCCTTTAACCCTTTTGTTCTTTGTTTTGCATTCACTTTGACGTGATACAAAAGGCACAGTTTTTAAGTAGATAAAATGTCTCTGAACCGGTCTCCCATTTTCCAGCCACTCTAACAGTAACTTTAAATCCGCACCCTTCTGCTACCCTCAGGACTCCCGAAGCTTCTCACTGAGTCATTCACACCAGGTTTGCCCTCCATCTAGCAATCCATTTAGTCCAGCTTTTATGCCATCTCCCACTCTGATAGGTTATATTTCTGACTCTTCTTCTCTTAAAGATAAAGGGAAACATATTCATGGAAATGTAATAATATCTAATAATATCCTCAATATTTTATAAGAGACTTTCTATAAACAACCACTTTACCCAGAGTCATTCCAAAATACAAGAAATTTGGATTTGTTTGGAGAGAAAATTGGGGACAGGAAAATCTTACCATTTTTCTACTATAAAATAAACATATGCAGATCCTTCCTATCATGAAGAGCTTGTATTACTCTCTACAAAATATGCAAGAGTGGAAAAGTGAAAGACTGTTAAGCATCAAACTAACCAATTGAAACATAATCAGTAATTTAACTTCTTATTCACTTATGGAGATACATTTCCCTCAAAAAAAGTTAGAATGAAAGTGTATAAACTTATATAAGTATTTCTAATGCAAATAAAAATGTATAAACATATAGGTATTCTAATGCAAATAAAAAATTGGAATATAATCCAAACAATTGCTCCCTTATTTCCCTCCATAAGCCATCCCCCCAGATATTCACTTGAATTAGTGAGAAATATGGAATTGGCTGAAGATTTCATAGGGAATGAGGAGAAAAAAGGTTATATCATAAAAACCACCCTAGGTCACCATCTTTGGCTTGTCCCACCTTTTAAGTCCCTCTGCCCCCAGATCTTCCATGATGAAAGAGTCCCTCTCCTTGACTTTCTTCATGTTACACTGGGCCTCTGGAATATATATACATTCGAATTTCCTAACCTTTTACTTTAAATTTCTCAGTTCTTCTCCGTGTGGTTTAATTCAGCTCAGTGTCAGTTTCTAGCTGCAGAACTGGACATGCAGATCTGCATATATCTCTATGCCATATGGGTCAAGTTGGACTAAATTATCTTTAACGATCCTTCTACCTTGAACATTCTGCAATTCCATGTTTTCAATGTGACAGCCTTATCAAATGAGAAAAGGACCTGAGTGGTAGGAAAGAATATATCAAGTTAGGCAATTAGGATTCAAGTTTGAGAGCTTGTTCATTCCTAAGCCTCACAATTGCTCCTCAAGTATTACGCTCTAGCTAGTTCAGCTTAATATTTTTAAAGAATAAAAAGTTCATTTAAACTTATTTAAACTATATTAATGAGACTTTCTCATATTTTTTTATCAAGTTTTTCAAGTGCAAGAAAAATATAGTTAATGTCTGCAATCCATGTTTATCCATTCTTAATAAATTAACAACTAATAGAATCTATAAACATATAAATTGAAATTAATACTAATCCTGTCTCATAAGGATAGCCACAGATGGAAATTAAACAGAAATGAATGCACTTTGAATCTATTCATATTCTATATTTTAAACATGAAATTCAAGAAACTTGTTACTTAAGTTTAAAGTTATAAAATTGAACTTTATCAATCTTCTATAAAACAACTAAGATTGTATAGCTAAAATAGTCTCATGTTGAAATTTTAGTGGATAGAGTTTAGAATGTTTTTATTAAAAGGTATTTTTTCTTCTTGATGTCTTCTATAGCTTTAAGCTTTGCGAGATGTTTTGTAATCTTTTAGTGCCAGTTCTTAGCTAAAACTTTCTCAACCCGTAACCCAGCTGAAGCTTGGAATTTAAGCCTTGAAATTCTCAGGAGTTTTCCAAGAAGGTATGTGTGCGCTGACATCAATAAATGAATTATTTGATCCAAAAAAGTGTAAGTTTTAAGAAATATATCATATAAATAATTGGCAGATGTTCACTTTTTTGAGAGAAATTCATCTCTAGCCAAATTATAATAAACTACATAATATAAATGCTTTCAAAAATAATTGTAAAATATTTTTGGGTATATAAGCATTGAATTGTTCAGTATTAGTTTTTCATTATATAGATATTGAAAACAATAAAATTCTTTTGTTAGAATAATACTTTGAAAATTTGGTTTGCTAAAATCATTCAGTTAACAATAATATATTGCAACAAAAACATGCATTTAAATAAAACAAAGAACTAATTTTAGTAACATATGATGTTGACAATGGAACTCTTTTTCCAAAATGCTTCTGATTTACAGCAGTGACATAGTCTATGTATTTAACAGCAATAACTTAAGTTACTAGATAAAATACAGATAATTATTATTTTGATTCAATTTTAATTTTTAAATGTATACTGTTTATTTATTCAGTTATTAATGTATTGAAAGCAAATGGCTGTGTTTAAAGCATTTAATGTCTTGAAAGCAAATGGCTGTGTTGATGAGTCCAAACTTATATCTGCAGTTATGTGGAAAATTGACAAAAAATCCACATCAGAAGTGATGATACCTAAAAGTAAATATTGGCCAGCATCAACAAACATGCTAATTATTTAACAATAGCATTCTTGTTGACAGGGCACAACCCATAAGACAGTGTTTCATAATTATTTTAAGGAGCTGATTTCAAGGAGCTCACAATGTAACAAGGGATGCAGGAAAATAAGAAGATAATTATAGTGAAACATTATAAATTACTATGCATGTAGAATACAAGGTACTCCTGGGATAATAAAGAAGCAGTGGAGGAGAAGCTCTACATCCAAGGACAATCTCACGTGTAAATAAGCTGTGTGGGCTCTAACCTCCTTAGCTACCTATACAATCCAACAGACTTCAAATTTCAAATTTGTATTCACTGTGTTTATTTTTGCTTGTGAAGACAGTTTTCCTGGAGAAATGGAATGAGTAGGCAGAGGACTGAAGAAAGTAAGGAGGATATGATGATGTGTAATTTCTAAATGTTTCATAAAATATCAAAGCAAAGAATTAGATCCCAGCTTCAAAGACAATGAAACTTCCTGCAGAACCTTAAGAAAGAAAAGAAATGCAGGCTGGCAAGCAGAAAAAAAAAAAGCCGAGTTCGCAATTATCTGGGTTTTCAGGCAAAACTAAGCATGAAAATGATCATTTCTCTCTCCCATTCCACTGCCTTCTGTATACCTCAAACATCTATCTTTTAGGGGTCCCACCTTTCCAACCATTACCCAGCCTCTAAGTTCCATGTGCCTCCTTTCTAACATAAACCCCATACCAAAACTTCCCTTTCTTAACCTGTTGGCAAATTCGGGTAGGTCTTAAATATTAAAAATCTTACTAAGCTAATTCTACAAAATCTCACAAAACCTCTCCTTATCTGAACCTCATGCTCCTAATCTCATCAACACTCTATTTCCTCCCCCATACCTAACCTTTCTAGAATAGAGGCATTTTATTATAAAAGGGACTCCCATCATGCCAGTTAATTCCTAATGGATGGAATTTCAAACGGGTGGCAAAGTGGAAAAAGAACCTGAAACAGTGGTTCCACAGTTCTTCAAATCTCACCATGGGAATCCTATCCCACTAGAACAAAAGGTTAACTGACCCTTGTAAATAACTGTTAGGGTCTGAACTTTGGTGCCTGAACTTTGGAATCTCTGTTTGGCTGTTCAGAAAGCTTTTTTCCTTTTCTATTTGGGTCATTGAGGTTTTTAGATTAATGTTGCAGACAACAGAAATGCTACAATTTATATCCTACATCCCCAAGATAATAAGTTTCCTGAAAGCACTAACCATGGTTCATCCTCACTGTATCTAACACTAGATCCAGCTCATGCCTAGATACAGATAGATACAGACTAGATACAGAAGTCATTCAAAACTTTCATTGATTGTCAATTTAATTTGTCAGATCGAGTCAACTGTAGCCATATGGTAAATGGCCATGAGCACTTGATACCGTGCATCCTCTACATTTTTCTTTTCTCATTAGAACGCAATCCAGAAATTAGTGTAGTTAAAGGTATACCGTGAAGGTAAACAGGCTAGCAGAAGCTGCCTTACTTCAATCCTGACCAACTGAAGAGGTTAAAAATATTCTAGCCACTAGTCAAAACAGGGTCTATTTAAATGGCCCAATGATATATCCTATTGGCCCAGCAGCCACACCACAGTCATTGCCCAGAATGTTACTCAATACTTACAATGTGCTGTTATGGCTGGCTCTTCTTTGGCCTCCCCACTCAAATCCAAGTCCCAAACCAGTACTAATTCCCATTGATATTATTTTGTATTTGGTTTAGGTGAGTAGACAAAGGGGATGCTAAAGGAGTTTAAATATGAAAATCTTTCCAGTGACTCAACCACCCTGTGAAGCAATGTTTTTTGTTGTAGAGAAACTTGCTCATGGCCACTTACTACATTGGTGCAGTTGCTTCTTGATTAGCCAAATTAAACTAACAGCCACAAATCTGTCCATTCAGGGGTTGTTCTTTTGTTCACTCTTACTGTACCTTAAAATTGTTCATAATCCTGGAAAACATCAAATATGAAATGTATCTACAAGCATAGGGAGGGGAGGATATTGGGGACATTACTCACTAGGAAAAATCCAGTGTAGTTAAATATTAACACAGCTACCTTTATTTTTAAACTAAAACATATATTTTATAGTAAAAAAAATAGTGATGATATTTCATGCTATTTCTAATATTCTTTGTCATCCACATCCTGGGGTATATGTAACTAATTTATTCATGGGTTAGAAACTGTTCTGTTTGTAGTCATGATCATCTAGGAAAAATTTCTATACCCTGTGAACTCAAGCTTATTTCCTAATGCCATATGGCACAACCCCAAAATCTGGATTAGCCTTGACCTTTCTTCCGTAAGGGCCTCATTGCCAAAAATTTCTACAACACACCTACTATAGAAAGTTCCTAATTTTCAACTATCTTTAGAACAACTTTCAAACAGGGTCATGAAATAAATTTAGGATGTCATGGCCAGTATTGTTTAGTAAAATAAAATTAATAGAATAGAATTGATCAGGGTAAATTGCCTGTAGTGGGATTAGCACCATTTTGTAAAAGTTTTGCTATACATATGTATATCAGGTCATCATGTAAAATCTGTGTTTTACTCAGGTCACTGTCAAAAAAACTTGGAAATCCATTCCTCTTCATGAAACCCATTTGACATCACCTCAGCATGTCAGTATGTTCTTAGTCAATTGGCCAATTTCCCTCCACAACCCCCATCTAATTTTTTTTCCCAAATTTACCCATTTGGCTTATGATACTGTAAGTTTTCATGCCATAGCATTTGATAGCTTCGGAGTGCCTTTAATAATTTCTTCTCTTTAACTTCAAGTATCCAATATGTCCCTAAACAGTTTTGATCTATCTGTTAGTTAAATTGTTTTGACCCATTTTCACATTTATTCTTACTCACCAGGGCACTGAGGCCAGTTTGGTTCAGGCTCTCACCAAATCACACCTGAGTTATTACAATAAACTCTGAATTAATGATCATATTTCTAGTCCCTATCTACTCTGATTAATACCAAAACTTTCCTCTCCTTAAGATATTTTATTGGTTCCCCATTACATTTTAAATAAATGCCAAGCTTCTTGCTTTGGTATTCAAAATGTTCTGTAATCCATCTGGACAAGGTGGCTCAGACCTGTAATCCCAACACTGTGAAAGGCCAAACTGGGAGGATTGCTTGAGCCCAGGAGATTGATACTAGCCTGGACAATAAAGTGAGATCCTGTCTGTACAAAAATAAATAAATAAATAAATTGCCCAGATGTGGTGGTGCACACCTGTAGTCTCAGCTGCTCAGAAGCCTGAGGTGGGAGATTTCTTGAGCCCAGGAGTTTAAGTCTGCGGTGAGCTATAATCATGCCACTGCACTCCAGCCTGGCAACAAAGCAAGACCCTGTCTCCAAATTTAAAAAAAAAAAAAAAAGCAACATACTCTGTAATCTGATTCCACTAGTTTATAATGTCCCTGAAAGCAGAAGCTCTGTCTTTCTCCATCACAGCAGTATCCCCAGTGGCTAGCAGATGACTGGCGCATGTGTGTTCAATGTCTGTTAAACAGGTGAGTAGACAAATGAACAAATATGTGAAGAAATGATCTCCATAATATAATCTGTTATTCTCTTTCATGAATAAATTTTCCCATTAACTCAGTTATACTCCCTGTAACATTTTTTGCAAGCCTACAAGGTATTAAATGCCATACTAGATGAGAAGATGTGCAAGGTGCTATGAGGCCATCTTCCTTTTTCCCAGGGGGTCATGTTCATTTTCAGACACAAATCTCTGCTTATTGGGCTTTCTCCCACCATGATGATTTCCCCTGCTTTGTATCTATCTAAATCTTCCCATCTCCAGAGCACACCTCCAGACCTTCTCTTTTCCCAGGCTTACATTCTTCTCACTGTCTTCTGATGACCTGTATTACTTTGTTTTCATTCTTAGTTACATCTCTTGAATTTATAAGATTTTATTAAATTGTAATCATTTTATAAGAGTAAACATTTTCCCTATTCACTGTATTCTTTACAAAATCTCAGTTCAGTACTAGACAGTAGATAGTAATTAAACCTATGAATTAAATTCAGTGAGTAAAAAATTTCCAAGTGATTGTATTATGAAAAAACAAAGATTGCTATATCCCCATCTCTAGCAAATTTAAGATTCACATAAGTAATCACATACATTCCCAGCATGTAGCAAGTGCTCTATAAATATTTGTTGACTGAATGAATAAATGAATAAATAAATGAACAAATAAGCCACTTCCAGTCTGATGTCCATCAACTCCTTGATATCCATGAAAGTACAGTAAAAGTCCATGAGTTTGTTGCCAATAGTAGTTGAAAATAACAATAATAGAAATTTTGCATTTATTCATTATAAAGCTGCAAACACTAAAATCTTAAGTGTATTTATTTTGTATTAGAACTATATTAACTCTACTGAATCCCTGAGTGTGTGAGGGGAAAGAGGACAGCAGGGGATGCCCTGTTTGTTTAACAAGCACTTATAAAATGCCTTCAAACATGCCAGTCCCTGTTCTCAGCAGCGCTTTACCAGCAGTGGCATATTTGCTTCTCTGGTACTCTTACTAGAATAGCATTGTCATTATTGCATTTTACAATTGAGGAAACTGAGGTTAACATAAAGTAGCTAAGATTAAGTAACTTGCCCAAGGTCAATAGCTAGTGAACAAAACAGCAAAGAGGCATTCAAGATATATATATCCTATAATGCCTTTCAAAAAATTAGGACAACTATTCTCTGATAGTCCCTCAAAACTATTATTATGTTGACAAAGCTACATTCATTGCTATTGGCAATAGAAAATTTGGGAGAGGAGGGAAATTGAATTGCGACCTGAGATGAGGGTGTACCCTTTTTGTCTGGTGCTTTATTATTTGCTTATCTTAAATAGGCTTTCTAAGTGTCATAAGGGCTTCTTTGTACCTTTCCTGTAACCCACAGCAGCAAAACAGATCATTAGTACATGGGGCAGTACATGCCGAAGAAGAAAACAGACACTGGCAACCATGTTGGGAATGAGAAACATCCATGACTAGTTCTAATTTCAGAGTCTCACAATAAATCCAAGATGAAATCTACTATTTCATATTGCTTTATTCTACCATTTCTTTTTTCTTGAGACTGAGTCTTGCTCTTGTCACCCAGGCTGGAGTGCAATGGTGTGATTCCGGCTCCCTGCAACCTCGGCCTCCCAGGTTCAAGCGATTCTCCTGCCTCAGCCTCCTGAGCAGCTGGGATGACAGGCCCCGCTAATTTTTGTATTTTTAGTAGAGACGGGGGTTTCACCATGTTGGCCAGGCTAGTCTTGAACTCCTGACCTCAGGTGGTCCACACACCTTAGCCTTCCAAAGTGCTGGGATTACAGGCGTAAGCCACCGCATCTGGCCTATTCTACAATTTTTTAAACAGCCACACAAAGCTTTATTTTATATTTTAACTGACATTCTTTTTACTTATTACTTCATCACTGCTAGAAAACAGGTAAAAAGAATACTCTTTAAAACACTTAAAGTCTTTCTAACCTACACCAAGTTCTGCTCTTCTGGGAAGATTAGGTTTGAATTTGTTTTTGGTTTAGCTGTACTGATGATTACATCTGTGGAATTTGTTTAAAGACAGATGGTTGCTCAGATACAAAACTGCTGGATTAAGCAGAAGCAGAGTGAAGTGGAATGATAAATACAAAAATGCAAGCCATGTGAAGGCAGCAGTCAGAATAAAACCAGGTATTCATGAGAATGAGAGTCTTTCCAGTAATTACCTAGAGATTTTCTGGGTGAGATATACAGTCACTTCATAGAACTACCGCTGCACATTTTTATCTATTTCTTATTTATTCACCGAGCTCACTCAAATGAATATCTAGTGTCTGTTCTATTTCCCACATATTTCTAGTGTCTGAGCTAGGTACCACATGAAATATTATCGTGTATTGATTAAGAGCACTAGTTTGGAATTAGACTTCTCAAGTTTGAATACCAGCTCCACTTCTTACTAGTTGTGTGGGTAAGGTACTTCAACATGCTATGCCTTGATTTTCTCTCTTGAGAATAAATAATAATCTTAATTTATGGGGTAGCTGTAAAAATTAAATTAGTTAATGCTCATCAAGTATAAACATTGCCTGCCTCATATTGACACTCAGTGAATTTTAACTAGTGTTATCATTAATGCTATAAGAAAAAGCAGGGGGGACAAGCACAGGGTCTTACTTCAAAAGTGTTCAAGTGAAATTGCAATTACAAATATGCATGCAAGCGCACTTAACTAATAAGGCAAAGGTATTTGGCTAGCCATGAACTAACCCACAGAGACTCTATGGTTGTTCACGCAGGAAGGAAGAAAGATCTATGGGTCCAAGTGGTTAGAGATGTGACTTAACTAGGTCTTAGAAAATGGGTACAACTTGGACATTTTGCTATCCTCATTATTCAAACCAATCCAGTATTAAGAGAATAGAAAAGAATCTTAGGCCTAGAAAAGTCCTTAGAGATCATTGGTTTCATTCCCTTTGTTTTACAGATTAAAATATAAAGGCCAGTTAACCAAACCATCAGCAAATTTTTTTGATTACTTACCGTGTGCCAGTCTCTATTCTAAGTGCTGGGGATTCAACATTGAATAGACTGTACATATTCTTTGACCTGAAAGAGTTTACATTCCAGTGCAGAAGACAGCAAATTAACAAGTAAATAAATAAACCTTCCATGTACTGATAAGTTGAAGATGATAATAAAATCAGGTACTGAGAGTGAGTATGATAGTGAAGGACTACAGCTTTCCTGAGGGTGTCAGAGAAGGGCTGTCTGAGGAAGTAACACTCTCATTGAGATCTGAATGCTGGTAATAGCATACAAAGTGGTCAGCAGTGGTCTGAATATTCTGAAAATGTTTTCATTCTGAATATGTTTTGTGAGTAGCACTGCCAGTAATTACTGAAAAATTAGGTGTGAAATGTAAGAAAGAAAAAGATTCAGTAATGACTCAGGTTTTGACCTAAACAACTGAGAAAATGTTGTCACCATTTACGGAAATGGAAAAGACTGGGAATGGGGGGTACATGGAAAGGGGGAAATGGGAGGATATACACTAGGCTTAAGGAAGGTAGTTACTAGTTCTGTTTGGCCTTGTTAAGTTTGAAATACTTGTTAGACATCCTGGTAAAAATGTGATGTTGTGTAATATATGAATCTAGAATTCAAGGGAGGACTTCTGGCAAAGGATAAAAATTCGAAAAAAATTAGTACATAGATAGTATTCAAAGAGATCATCTGATCACCCAGGAGGAAAATGTAGACAGGAAAGAGATGAGTGCTGAGGGCGGAAACTTCCATTCTACATTTAGAAGTCTGAGGGTGGAGGGGAGGCCAGAGGAAGCCAGTGAAAAGGAGAAGGTGAAATGTAAGAGGAAAATCAGGAGCATCTGTGATGTACAAGTCTAGAAAAGTAGACTCAGACACTTATGCAATGTAATGTTGCTGGTTAGCAGCAGAGTTAGGAATGTTATTATTATTCTATAACTAACTTATAAGCACTTTAAAGACAGCAGGGGCCATAAATTCCCAGTTATTTTATTTATTTGTCACCAACAGTACTTAAGAGAGCTAAATATATGGTGAAACATATGGGGCAAACTCACTAAGTTATTATTAATTGGTCATACATATATGAAACAAAATAAAAACTAAGTTTACCTTGATAGGAAAACTTAATTTGAATTTGTTTTCAGTTTCCAGGCTTCCATTTTTACTTATTTGCAGTCCTACTGAGTTCCAAATTAATTTTTTTTTTCTACTATCACTTGGTTATCCCCATGAACCATTACTGGATAATCACATCACACTCTGATTTAGAGACATAATACCTATCTTGGTGATATATATATTGGTGCCTATGTATCTTGACACTAAGATTTAAATAATCTGTGCAGAGAACAAGATAGATTTCCAGTTGTGTTTGATTTGGACAAAGAGTTAACTCAAAATCTTTCTTGAGATTTTACATTGTTTTAAAAACAGTTTTACTGGTTAGGCATATGCAGAAACTCCTTACATCTTATACAAAAATTAACTCAAGATGGATTAAAGACTTAAACGTAAGACCTAAAACCATAAAATTCCTAGAAGAAAATCTAGGCAATACCATTCAGGACATAGGCATGGGTAACGACTTCATGTCTAAAACACCAAAAGCAATGACAAGAGAAGCCAAAATTGACAAATGGGATCTAATTAAACTAAAGAGCTTCTGCACAGCAAAAGAAATCATCATCAGAATGAACAGACAACCTACAGAATTGGAGAAAATTTTTGCAATCTATCCATCTGATGAAGGGCAATATCCAGAATCTACAAAGAACTTAAATAAATGTACAAGAAAAAACAAACAACCCCATCAAAAAGTGGGAAAGAATATGAACAGACACTTCTCAAAAGAAGACATATTTGCAGCCAACAAGCTATTAAAAAGCTCATCATCACTGGTCATTAGAGAAATGCAAATCAGAACCACAATGAGATACCATCTCATGTCAGTTAGTATGGTGATCATTAAAAAGTCAGGAAACAAGAGATGCTGGAGAGGATGTTGAGAAATAGGAATGCTTTTACACTGTTGGCGGGAGTGTAAATTAGTTCAACCATAGTGGAAGACAGTGTGGCGATTCCTCAAGGATCTCGAACTAGAAATACCATTTGACCCAGCAATCCCATTACTTGGTATATACCCAAAGGATTATAAATCATTCTACTACAAAGACACATGCACACATATGTTTATTGTGGCACTATTCACTAGAGCAAAGACTTGGAGCTAACCCAAATGTCCATCAGTGATAGACTAGATAAAGAAAATGTGGCACATACACACCATGGAATACTATGCAGCCATAAAAAGGATGAGTTCATGTCCTTTGCAGGGACATGGATGAAGCTGGAAACCATCATTCTCAGCAAACTACCACAAGAACAGAAAACCAGAAACTGCATGTTCTCACTCATAAGTGGGAGTTGAACAATGAGAACACATGGACACACGGAAGGGAACATCACACACCAGGGCCTGTCAAGGAGTTTGGGGCTAGGGGAGGGATAACATTAGGCGAAATACCTAATGTAGGTGAGGGGTTGATGGGTTCAGCAAACCACCATGGCAGATGTAAACCTGCGTAACAAACCTGCACATTCTGCACATGTACCCCAGAACTTAAAGTATAATTTAAAAAAAGAAAAAAAAAACAATTTTAAGCCTTTGTGAAGCACAAAAATATTAATATGCACATTAATTCCTTACACGGATTTTGCAAATTAAAAGCAAAGACACACCAAAAAAATCTCTAATCTAAGATAGGAGACTGTGATAGCTTAATAGAATAATAAGCAATATGTACTTCCATTCATTCATAGTACTTTCAAAATTTAAGATATAGAAGATCCAACACCTTACACTTTAGAATCGCCTCTGATCATAGTTCATTTCTGTTGCCTAAAAAATATGCCCTGTAGAAATCCTTCAATATATTAAAGAATAAATGTATTTAAATATTTTTAAACTGTAATATCAGCCCATCCACCACTTTGAAGGCCATTGACCTTATGTTTACACTTTAATCCTTTACCACTGATAATTTGCAAAACTCAGGCAGACAGCAAATACTCTACAACTCTAATCAACAAGGAGTGAACTATGTCCATTGAAAAGTATACTCTGAGCAAATGAATTACAGAAAGTCTACACAAAAAAAATGACCTTCAAGAACTAGCCTATCTCTGGGAGAAGGAGAAATGCTGAGTCTGGCATTTGTGTATCAACTGGAGATTTCATGGGCAGAGAATCAACAAATGAGTCTCATCATTCTGTAATGCGGTTGACAGTTTACAGCTCTAAAACCTGCAATGATTAATATAATAAAAGAATCATTCACTTAAATATGACAGTGATCTAATTTTGGGAAATACTAAAAATATATTTTATTGTTATATCCCACATACTCTGCTGAGCCCATTTTTAACACATTGGTGGACAGACATTTATAAGAAACAATATGGTGAAATAAAACTCAGGATTATAATGTCAGTTTTCTACAGTCCCTGGGAAAATTACTTTACCCCTTCCAATGTGAAAAAGTCCTTTAAAAATTGCAATGAGTGTCATATTACACACAAATTCGAAAATGATTTCAGGGACAGTGCTTAGAATAGTGCTAGGTGCATAGCAGAAACCTGCATATAAATGTTAAAACACGTCGGCCACTAGGTCAGCCACTAAACTCGGGGTGAGTTACTTTTTGGTGTCTCAGTTTACACTACAAATACAGAAGATAATATTTACTATGTATAATTCATACGTTTTTCTGATATTTAGTACTAATTGTTTTTCAAAATGAATTAGGGCTCATTGTTAAATAATCCTCATTTATCATTCAAAAAATAGTGTCATGGTAGAGAGCATTTCTCTGAAGATCCTTAACTTCTGTTTTAATATGACATAAAAATGCCTTTGATTAATACAAAAATACAGTTAAGTAGAAGAACAAATTCTAGTATTTGATACTACAGTAAGAAGTGAATCATAATTTATATTTCAAAACACCTATAAGAGAAAAATTGTAATATTCCCAACACAAAGAAAAGATAAATGTTTGAGGTGTTAGATATCCCAATTATCCTGATATGATGATTATACCTTATACACACATATCAAAATATTACATGTACCTGAAAAATATGGACAACTAAGACATATCGATTGAAAAAAATGTCAAGAAAAACCCTCCGGTTTGCTTTATTTTATAGGATTCCCAAAATCTTTGGGGTTGACACTGCCATCACTGTCATCTGGATGGTTACAAAAACACACAAACTGAAGCCAACCCAACCCCACAAAGTAAAATAAATATTAATAACTATGTGATGGGATAACATTTCTTGATCTAGTACACTCTCTTTTTTTCTTTAGAAAATGTCAATTTTTGTCATCAACCTGTTGAGTCATTGTGTGCTAAATGCTTTGGAGGAGGGAGGTAAAGGATGAAAAGCATGAACAAAGGGTTTCTTTTTTAATGTTAGTTTCTAAAACCTAAGCTCCTAGAGGAACTGAAAGCATTCTTGACATAAGCAGAATGTTTGGGAGAAATATTTGAGAAAGAGAAAAGGATCTGAGAAGATGCTAGAAATAATCTATCAGGATGGGGAGAAAAAACAGATGTGGAGGAAAGTAATAAGAATATGATCTCTGAAAAATTAACTCAAGATAGATTAAAGATTGAAACATAAGACCTCTAACTATTAGAATCCTAGAAGAAAACCTAGGAAATACCATTCAGGACATCAGCCTTAGGAAAGAATTTATGACTAAGTCCTCAAAAGCAATTGCAACAAAAACAAAAATTGACAAGTGGGACCTAATTAAACTAAAGAGCCTCTGCTCAGCAAAAGAAACTGTCAAGAGAGTAAGACAGCGTACAGAATGGGACAAAATACTTGCAAACTATGCATCCAACGAAAGTCTAATATGCAAAATCTAGAAGGAACTTAATCCAACAAGCAAAAAAGCCAGGCACGGTGGCTCATGTCTGTAATACCAGCTCTTTGGGAGGCCGAGGCATGCTGATCACCTGAGGTCAGGAGTTCAAGACCAGCCTGACCAACATGGAGAAACCCCATCTCTACTAAAAATACAAAAATTAGCTGGGTGTGGTGGTGGGCACCTGTAATCCCAGCTGCTCAGGAAGCTGAGGCAGGAGAATTGCTTGAACCTGGGAGGCTGAGGTTTGCAGTGAGCCAAAATCACGCCACTGTACTCCAACCTGGGCAACAGAGTGAGACTCCATCTCAAAATAAATAAATAAATAAATAAATAAATAAATCCAGTAAAAAACAAATAACCCCTTTAAAAAGCAGGCAAAACATATGAACAGACACTTCTCAAAAGAAAACAAACAAGCAGCCAACAAACATATGAAAAAATGTTCAACATCACTAATCATCAGAAAAATGTAACTCAAAACCACAACAAGATACCATCTCACACCTGTCAAAATGACTACTAAGAAAATGTTGGAAAATTACAGATGCTGGCGAGGCTGCAGAGAAAATGGAACACCTACACTGTTGGTGCGAATGTACATTAGTTCAACCACTTTGGAAAGTGATTGGAGATTTCTCAAAGAACTAAAATTAGAACTACCAGTCAACCCAGAAATCTCATTACTGGATATATATCCAAAGGAAAATAAATCATTCTACCAAAAAGACACATGCACTTGTATGTTCATCGCAGCTCTATTCACAATAGCAAAGACATGGAAGCAACCCAGGTGCCTATTAATGGTAGGCTGGATAAAGAAAATGTAGAACACCATGGAATACTATGAAGCCATAAAAAATGAGATCACGTCCTTTGCAAAAACATGGATGGAGCTGGAGGCCAGACGCCATTATCCTTAGCAAACTTATGCAGGAACAAAAAACCAATACTGCATGTTCTCACTTATAAGCGGGAGCTAAATGATAAAAACACATGAACACATAGAGGAGAATAACACACACTGGGACCTATTGGAGGGTGAGGTTGGAAGCAACAAGAGGATAAGGAAAAATAACTAATGTGTACTGGGCTTACTACCTGTGTGATAAAATAATCTGTAGAACAAATCCCCATGACACAAGTTTACCTATATAAAAATCCTGCACATATACCAAAATAAAAGTTAAATAAAAAGAAAAAAGAATATTTAAAAAAAAAAAAGAAATGGAAAATGTGATACATATACACTATGGAATACTACACAGCCATAAAAAAGGACAAAATTACCCATGTCCTTTGAAGTAATATGAACACAGCTGGAGGCCAGTATCCTAAGAGAATTAATGCAGAAACAGAAAATCAAACACCATACATTCTCACTTATAAGTAGGAGCAAAACACTGGGTACTTGTGGACATAAAAATGGCAACAATAGACACTGGGGATCAATAATAAGAGGGGAGGAAAAGAAGGGAAAGAGTTGAAAACTAACTATTGGGTACTACGTTCACAACCTAAGTGACAAGATCATTTATATCACAAACCTTAGGCAATATACTCATATAACAAACCTGCACATATACCCCATGAATCTAAACTAAAAGTTGAAATTATTTTAAAAACAATAATGGTGGTTGAAGAGAAGGGGCTTGTCTGAAAGACTCCTTTTTTCTGGAATAGCATAGGAAAGGCAAGGAAAAGCAATAGTATCTTGTGAGAGAAAAAGAGAGTCCTTTCTAGGAAAGCCCTCAGGAAAGGGGCAAGACAAGACCCCACAAAGAAAATGACCGTGTGTTATGTCTTAAACTGTCCCAAACTTAGGCAAATTCACAAAAATCAGGAGAAGTAACCAAATGATTCCAGCATCCTTAAACTAGGTGTAGAAGGAATAGAGAGTTTGAACAGTACTAAAGCGGCTGCCCAACAAGATGGAGGGGCGCCTCAGGGGTGAACTGCATAGACAGAGAATAGAGAACCAGATGGGCAATGACTCACATCTCAGCAGAGAGCTGTGTAGACAAACAACCAAGGAACCAATGAAGCCTCACACAATGTCTTGGCATTAGATGAATCAACTCAAGGAAAGCAAGGGGACACCAAACTGTTGACGGTGAATATTTCTCCACTTACGCAGATTCAAAATGGAAATGAATATGACTTACAAAAATTTAAGGAAAGTTTTCAGGAACAAAGAAAGAATGTCACCTCAACAATGTTTTTCAATATTGTTGCAAATGTCTGTCTTTGTTTGCAGATGACATAATCATCTGTGTAGAAAATCCAAAAGAATTAGGAAAACAAAAGCAATTATAGCAAGGTTGGAGGATACAAGGTTAATATGCAAAAGTCAATTGTTTTCCTATATATCAGCAATGAATAAGTGGAATTTAAAATTAAAAACACAATACTGTTTACATTAGCACTTCAAAAAATGAAACACTTAGATATAAATCTAACAAAATATGTACAAGATTTAGATGAGAAAAACTACAAAACTCTGATTGAAGAAATCAAAGAATAACTAAATAAATGAAAAGATATTCCATGTTAATAGATAGGAAGACTCAAAATTGTAAGGATGTCAGTTTTTCCTAACTTGATTGATAGAATCAAGTTAGGAATCGCAATCAAAATCCCAGCAAATTATTTTGTTGATATTGACAAACTTATACTGAAGTTTAAATGTACAGACAAAAGACCTACAATAGCCAACTCTGGGTTGGCTGAACAAAATCAGAGATCTGACACTACCTAACTTCAAGACTTAAATATAACTGACAGTAATCAACACGATGTGGTACTGACAAAAGACTAAGCAAATAGATCAGTGGAACAGAATACAAAGCCCAAAAAGAGTCACATAGATGCAAATGCACATAAATAGAATTATGATCAGCTGATATTTGACAAAAGAGCAAAAGTAATGCAATGAGTAAAAGATATTTTCAACAAATGGTGCTGGAACAAGTAGACATTCACACAGAAAAAATGACTAGGTACATGCCTTACACCCTTCATAAAAATTAACTCAAAATAGTTTACAGACTTAAATGTAAACACAAAACTATAAACCTCCTATAATATAACACAGGAGAAATTCTAGATGACCTTGGCTTTGGCAACAACTTCTTAGATATGACAACAAAGGTATAATATAAATTAAGAGATGAAAAGCTGGACTTCATTAAAATTAAAAATTTCTGTTCTGCAAAAGACACTATCAAGAGAATGAAATGAAAAGCCATAGGCTAAGAGAAAATATTTCCAAAAAACAACCGATAAAGGACTGTTATCCAAACCATACAACACTCTTTTTTTAAATTATTAAGTTCTAGGGTACATATGCACAACGTGCAGGTTTGTTACATATGTATACATGTGCCATGCAAAACATACAACACTCTTAAAACTCAACAATAAGAAAGCAAACAACCTGATTAAAATATGGGCCAACGATTTAACAGATACTTCACCAAGCAACATATACAGATGGCAAACAAGAATATGAAAAGACATTCCGCATAATATGTCATCAGGGAAATACAAATTGAAACAAGGAGTTACCACTACACACCTACTGGAATGGCCAGAATCCAGAACACTGACACCAAATGCTGGCAAAGATGTGGAGCAGCAGGAACTCTCATTCATTGCTGGTGGACTGCAAAATGTACAGGTACAGCCAGTTTGAAAGACAGTTTGGCAATTTCTTCCAAAACTAAGCATACTCTTGCCATATGAGCCAGCAATCGTACTTTTTGTTATTTACCCAAAGCAGTTGAAAGCTATGTTCACACCAAAATCTACACATGAGTATTTATAGCAGCTTTATTCATAATTGCCAAATCCTGGAGGCAAGGTTGTCCTTATGTAGGTGAATGGATAAACTATAGTTCATCTAGACAATGAAAAATTATTAATAATAAAAAACACATGAGTTAGCAAATCATAAAAAGACATGGAAGAAACTTAAATGCATAGTACTAAGTGTAATGAAGTTTGAAAAGGCTACATATGTGCTGTATAATTCCAACTCTGTGACATTCTAGAAAACGGAGACAGTAAAAAAAAAATCAGTAGTTGCCAGATGTTAGGAGGGAGGGAGGGATAAAGAGGCAGAGCACAGAGGATTTTTAGGGTAGTGAACCTACTCTGCATGATATTGTAATGGTGAGGCATGTCATAAATTTGTCCAAACCCACAGAATGCACAATACCAACAGGGAACCCTAATTAAAGTAAACTATGGATGGACCCTGGGTGATTATGATGTGTCAATGCAGGTTCATCAATTGTAACAAATGTATCACTCTGGCCGGGAGAGTTGATAATGGAGGAGGCTATGTATGTGTAGGGGCTGGGGAATATGGGAAATCCCTGTATCGGCCTCTTAATTTGGCTGTAAACCTAAAATTGCTCTAAACATTAAAGTATATTTTTAAAATTAAGGAAAGTCAGCCAGGTGCAATGGCTCACGCCTGTAATTCCAGCACTTTGGGAGGCACAGGCAGGCAGATCACATGCTATCAGAAGTTCAAGACCAGCCTGGCCAACATGGTGAAACCCATCTCAATTAAAATACAAAAATTAGCCGGGTGTGATGGCACACGCCTGTAATCCCAGATACTCAGGAGGCTGAGGCACGAGATTCACTTGAACCTAGGAGGCAGAGGTTGCAGAGAGCCAAGATTGCACCAGTGCACTCCAGCCTAGGCAGCCGAGTGAGAACCTGTCTCAAAAAATAAAAAAAGAAAAGAAAAGTTACATTCTTGCATAACTGCTTTACTTACAAAACATACAGTCACAGTTGTGCATGCATCTTTAAAGACAGATCTTTATCTGTCATCACAGATATATCACTGAACATAAGAGAGTGACAGAAGAGTAAACTCATTGTCTGAGATCAACAAGAAACTCAGCTGACACCAACAAAGAGCTAACAGATTATAAAATCTTAGGAAAAAATACTTTTATAGACATGCTCTCCCTTAATACAACACAACTGTTACCATGTATCTTTTATGTGTGCTTCCCTCAGGACAGTACATTATGATCATAAATTAAAATCAGCAAGCTTGAATTTTACTTGAGTTTTCTTATCCCATTTGTAGCCTTGAGTACATTGAAGATCTTAGATCTCAGTTTAATTTAGTGGGTCTTTGTAATCCGAGGTGGCTCAAATAATCTGGATATTTCATGATCACAGCTGAATTACGGTGACCCACACTATTAAGCTACATTGGGTTTACCTGCCTAATGGGAGACTATTTAAAGTCATGTTAGACATGTAACTCAGCTTCTGGGGTCTCAATTTTCTCATGTATAAAATGAAGGGACTAGACCACATGATTTATAAGGTGCTTTCCACAATTTTGATTCCTCTGAAACTATTATAAAATATGGATTTTTCCCTCCATCTCTAAAAACTAACCAGTTTCTAAGAGTCAAAACTGGGTAACATAAGGCAGACAAAATGAGCCTTAGTCCTTGAAAGAAACACCTAACTAGCACTTACGATGGAACAGGCCCACTTCTAGCACTGTACACATATGCATGCATTTAATCGTCACAACCGAGGTAGGTACTATTATTATGCCTGTTTAGCAGATGAGGAGCCTGAAGGGTCAGGCTAAGTAGTTTAATTTGTTCAAGGGTGCACACCTAGTAAGTAATGAATAGTGTCAGGATGCAAACCCAGGCAGTTTGGCTTTAAAATTCGTGCTCTTAACCACTTTACTCTGCTGCATGCATAAGATTCACAGAGCCCATATAGTTTATTCATTATGGACAACTAATTATGTTAGACTCATAGAACTCTTCCAGCTTCCATACACATTAAACAAGAGCATGGGGCAGGGCTGAACAAACATGTTTTTGTCAGAGCTCTATAAACAAATGTGACTCAAGACTCCTGGCATTGCTAATTTAATTGATATTGTCATCAAAAGTAACCTATCTTTGGAAAAAAATAATATTGTAACCCTGAAATTCCATTCAACATTATAATATTTGCTATTATATCTTGAAAATTGAGGTCCAATGAAGAATTCAGACTTCTTGGCCCATTTTCTTACTATAGTCTGAATTTTATTTAAATTTTCAACCTGCCTTTTGAAGGCCTTCAACGGATCCAGCTCCTCACCCTTAATTATAAAACACCTCTCACTCTAGACTGTAGGCTTCTTGTGATTTGGGACTTTGCTTGTCTTGATTGTCACTCTATCTCAAATGGGTAGAATACTGAGCATACAATAAGCATTTGTTAAACGAGTGAGTAGATATCCAACAAGTGTTTGCTGAATTAATCACATTAAAAACATGGCCAGGTGTGGTGGCTCATGCCTGTAATCCCAGCACTTTGGGAGGCTGAGGCAGGAGGATAACTTAAACCCAGGAGTTCAAGACCAGCTGGGGTAACATGGCGAGACCCAGTCTCAAAAAAATTAGAAAATTAGCCAATCATGGTGGTGTGTGTCTGTAGTGCCAGCTACTCAAGAGTTTAAGGCAGGAGGATCACTTGAACCCAGGAGGTCAGGGCTGCCATGAGTCATGATCATGCCACTGCACTCCAGCCTGGGTGACAGAGCAAGACGCTGTCTCAAATAATAATAATAATATAAAATATATAAAATTCATTTTTAGACAAATAGTCAATTTTCTTCTGCTTTGTCTTTCTAAATCAAAACAAATACACTTAATAAAGAGAAATGTTACCCCTAGTATTTTATTGGTCATTTTGCTGCCTTCAGAATCAAATTATTAGATCCTCTATATGACAAATCACTACCTGAATTATCTGAGACAAACTGATATTTTATTTAATTTTATTCTGTTCAATATTACCTTTAGTTAAAAACATGATTGATTATTATTTCATTTTATACATTTGAAGTCTTGCTATTTAAACTCACAAACAAAAAATAAATCATTTGTTAGATCATGAGTATTTTTAGCTCAAAATATGATCCATATAATTTAATTAAACAGGCATGAGTCTCTTATTTCAGGACCTTACAATGATTATAATAATGCTATATGTTAATGCAACAATATCACTTGTGTAATGTCAAATATAATTCTTCTAACAGCACTGGAAGGGAATGAGGAAAGTCCAGAGACAAGAACAAACTTGTCCTACATTAAAACACTAGTGAGTGGCAGAGTCAGGACAAAAACCTAGTTCTAAGTTGGGATCTACTAGCTGTCTATTATCCTAGTCTTCATTTAAAATATCTAAAATAGGTAATCTATGGAAGAGTAGGAAGATTTACCAACTTCTGCCAAAATAACCAAGAAATATGTATGTTAAATATAGATGTCAAATAAAATATTTTCAGAGCAACATCTACAAAAAAAATTATTTTTATGGCAGGTAAAAGGATGATTAAATCAAGAGATAATAACAATTGTGGTTTGGTTATATATATTATAAAATAGAAATGCAGATCTATCTTTTAGAAACCTTAAAAGAAAACTGAGAACGTATCACACTAAAAATGGGAAAGAGGAAATCTGAATAAGCAGTAGGAGGTGCTCAGTGAGTAAATGTTCTTGCATATTAAGCACTTGTTACATGAGTTTTGATGAGATTCAACCTCAACCAATTATCTTTGATATGTTTTCATTGAAAGATTAAACTTCTTTAACCAATGCACAAGAGATTTCAATTAAAAGTGGAATATCTGGTTTATTTAAAAAATTAAGGTCTATTTCTCTTTCAACAATTAAGAAACTAAACAAGAAAAACCCTAAACTTGAGTTTAGCAAACAAGTCACAAGCCCAACCCTGTTTCTACAGAGAATGTTAAACATCCTATTAGCTGCATTCGACCATCTGACATTGAGTTGAATAAGCTTAATTAAAATTAAACTCCAAAAAGAACAATTTAAAATAATGGAGCATGGGGTTAAGCAAAGGTAAAATATAGTCACCTAGTTTTAAGAATCAAGTAACCTATAGTGGAAATATAGTGGAAATCAAGTAACCTATAGTGGAACCTTAAGGTAAACACATAAATGATTAAAATGTGAATAGTAGTACTGAGTCTTACATTAATAAACTTGTACTTCTGCTGAAAGAGAGTCAAGGTTATCACTGCTTCTCTAAACAAATTCTAAAGCCCACGCATGGTAACCTTTGAAATTTTAACAACGCATCACCAGACGTGCACTGATTGCTTCAGTTTACATGTCACTGGTCACAGAACTTTGAACCAGCCATTTTTGTTTGGAAAACGTGTATATTTTGTATCTCTTTAAGTTAAACAAACCTTGGACATACACAAATGCTGTTTAATGGGTGTTGTCCCATAAATGGAAAATTTGACTGGTAAAAAATTGAATGGAATAGTACGGACCAAACCAAATAATCTCTGGACTAAAAAAACTCTTATTTTCTATCTTTTTTCTCACCTACCTTATATATAAAAGATATCTTTTATATCTTTCCATTTTATTCTTAAAAAGAATGGTCCTATATGATCTTGAGTTACACCTATTTGAAATTAATGTTAAAATATCTTATTGTAATATCATAAATACAATAAAACTTCATTTTTGCTTTATAATATCCTTGATTGAAATGCAGAGGAGTATCTAAACAAATTTCTGGTAGTGTAATTCTGTTTCTCTGTTAAATTTCATTAAAATATCAAAGGCATATTTTTATGGGGAAAATGTAACTCTTTAATAAACTAAGGCAAAGAAAGTTTAAATCAGTTAATTAAATAGAATTAATTTCCTATAAACATTGACAATATTCAGAATATTAATAATATTATTGAGCTATGATCACTACTATTTACCTTGGAATAAAAATCCTAAAGAGAGGCCAGATGCAGTGGCTCCCACCTGTAATCTTAGCATTTTGAGAGGCCAAGGTGGGAGGATCACTTGACCCCAGGAGTTCGAGACAAGCCTGGGCATCATAGCAAGACCCCATCTCTACAGAAAATAATAATTTTAAAAATTAACTGGGTATGATGGTACACACCTGTGGTCCCAGCTACTCAGGAAGTTGAGGCAGGAGGATCACTTGAGCCCAGGAGCCTGAGGCTGCAGTGAGCTATGATTGTGCCACTGCATTCTAGCCTGGTGACAGAGTGAGACACCATCTCTAAAGAAAAAAAAAACTTTAAGAAAGAAATACTAAAGAGAAAATAAATAGCATGTTAAACTCTAATAGCATTTAGTTATTTTTTTTCCTTTAATGAGAGTTTAAACAAAGAATCTGTCTTATCCACAGGTACAGTACAGTTACCTGATGCTGACATCCATTTGACAACTACTTATTTCTTTTTCAATTCATTCCACATTATTACTTTCCCCATTACTCTTCTGAAACTGAAACTTTTCAAGTCACCGTATTCAATCCCAATAGGGGATTGAATTTGCTATATGTTCCATGCATATGAAAGGACACATTTGATGGCATTTGATTAGCCTCTTTTATGTTGATCTTAATGAAATTCCATTATTCTAGCTCCCTATCTTCTTGAACTAACCGTTCACTTTCTTATTTGCTGACAACTCTTCTTTTTATCTTCTAACCAAAGGCTGCTTTGTCTCCTGTTGATTTGGTCAAGAAATTGTTTAGTTGGTTGAATTGGTGTTGATTTGGTTGATATAGTAGCACTGTTTAAATGAGGAAAATTGCCAAAAGTTTAAATTTATTGAGCTTGATGTCAGTTTGTCTTTAATGATTACTATCAGTCAATATAAACATCGATAGGCTAAATAAAGTTAACTATACCTGTATTTTTAAAAAGTCATTTAGTTTTTTTTTCTTTTGGTCTATTTTCTCTCCTCTCTTTTTTTCTCATTTCTGTTTTACTGTGGTAATGTATTAATGGATATATGTAATTCAAACAAACAATTCTGTACGTTACTCCCAGAAATATCTTCCTAGAATATTATATGCATTCATTACCCTCATTCCACTAAAAAATTCATAGGGGTTCTCTATTGCATATAAAATAAAACCCAAACTCTAATAAAGTTCTGGACCCTGTGCTCAATACAGAAAGGGAAGCAGCCTAGAAATGAGAGCCTTTCGTAATCTGAATCACTCGACCAACTTGCATGATAGGCACTTTTAAGGAAGTGAAAAGTCAGCAGATTGGTGGAATACAAGGTTCCAAAAGGAGACGATTATACATAATTGATGTTTGCTAAGTGCTCATCAATGAACGGAAGAGTCAGGTTTTACTTAGGGCAAGGAGACATATAGAATAGATAAGAAATAGGCTTGGGATGAAAAGAGTGAGGATCCAACCATGCTAATGGGAAGAGGGAGTAGATACGATGATATGGGGAATGTCGAGATGGCATGAGTTAGATGAGATAAAAGAAGTAATATCCATAAAGACTGGGTGAAGAGTAGTATGCTACAAAAGAAGTAAATGTTAGGAAAGAAAGCCAATTTACTGAAGGCAGGAAGGCAAAGGCAGATAAATAGACATGAACATTGAAACATATACATATTTAACAAGAATAATTTAAAAATTTTTTTTCTTTTTTGATCCCTTGTATATGATCTTCTCCCTATTCAATCCTTTGAGGAGGAGTAAAATTGGTATAGCAGAAATGCAAAGAGAAAGAAATGTTAATATTCATCTAATATTATCAAATTTTCAAGTGACACAATCATATTGATAAATTTTTGCTGAGAGAAAGGTTTTACTCCTTAATCTTGTTCATCTACATATCAAAAGCCTAACTTAAATGGTCTCAACCTAGAGTGTCTTTTTTTCTTTTACAGACCTTATAAACCAGATAGAACTCTGAATGAGAATAAGGCCATTCAATTCTTTCCAGGAATAAAATGGGAGAGCCTTTCCAGAGGAAGAATAGGAGAAGCAAAAGAAAAAATCAAAAGGAATGAAAATAGGATGAATACATTGCTAATGTCACTCTGAGACCTATTATCCCCAAACAGGGAAATAAGACATAAGATGAAAAATCAGGCAGGTTGAGGAGAAAGCCAAAAACAGTTTTGCACTGCTTCCCATTTGGAACTCTTAGGAAGACTCCTTCACAAAGTACCCATCGGCAGCATTATGCAGAGGCCCCTGTGGAGCAGAAATAAACAATTACATGGTAATGAGAGAGTTCTTTTAGGATCTATAGCATCATGTCTTGAAAATTTACAATCACATCTTATTGAATGAAAGAGAGGCATGTGCACTAAACTCATATGCCAGCTTATGGGTCTGAAGTGGAGGTAGGATAACCCTATTTGGTAAATTCATCTGCTATTATATCTGACTATAGCCAAATACGGTCCTCACAGAACTTTATCTTAGATACAGAAGGTTGAATTTTTGCATGTTTAACCACACAAGATTTGAGATATCCACACAGGATAGTATGCTGAATGGACAGTACACTATAAATCCTATGGAATAAGAAAATTAAATTCAAGAACACTGGAAAAAAGACAAGAAAGTACTCCACAACAGTAAAACTTAGAACTTCATATACTTGGCAGATCTGAGAAGCTAAATCCTAATCATTTCTCTTTAGGTTAGCTACAAACCAGAAAATAAAAGAAGTCCTAAAGAGTCACTCTCATTCTGATCATCATACTGTCCTTCTTGGACTGCCTTGTGATAAGAACATAGTGTTCTGGACAGGTCTCAGGCACAGTGGCCCAACCTATGAGGAGGTAACAGTCCCTTTGGCAACACTTTAATCACTAAGTCCAATGTCACATGGAAAAATCATCTAGAATAGTCACAACGTGTCTTATCCCAGAGAACTCACCCAGGCATGTTTGTCTACTCTGCTCTACTACAAAACTTTAACAATCCCATCCACAGCTTGTTGACTCTGGCCATGAAATTCTAACCACAGGGAGTAGAGGTCACATATAACCAAGTTTAAGGGCTCATGCCAGCAGCCCCCTCCTCACTAAAAAAAAAAAAAAAAAACTCATCTGGAGTAGGCATACCTTCCTTCGGCCTTTTCCCCTCTTGGCCCCAATATTTTCATGTACTCTTGACAAAGTTGCCACATTTCCTTTATTTCATACAGACCTCTGGCATTTACTTCTGGACAAACTACAAAAGTTACTAACTTTTCCTTTTTTAATATGAGACTGCTTTCCTCACTTGCATGGAGAGAAGTTCCTCTCACTGACCTATTTAATTCTAAGTTTGATATTCAATGGGATTTTAAAATATCTAGCCAGGCAGGCAGGGAGTACCAATGGAAAATAACCAGTATTTATTTGCCATTTTGTACCCACCAGAAGAATGTGATCACATATTTGATCCCCCTATTGTTCTAGGGGAGTAGGTTTCAAACTTTCCTACGCCTAAAGTCATCAGTGGGATAATGAGACACTGCCCAGTATTTTTATTTTTTTCGTATTCTTCAAACAACATTCCATACTAAGAATTACCTACTCCTGGTTTTAAAATGATCTTCCAATCATCTAAATGTCATCAATAATGTATCAATTCAATGTAATACTATGTCTTGTAGGAAAAAAAGAGAAAACTCCTTATAAATTTATGTGACATAGTCTCTAAGATAGATTGTTCAGGAAAAAAAGAAAGCAAAGTACAGAACAGAGTATATAGTATGCTATCACTTAGGTAAAAAAAGAAAAAAGGGCATATTGGGAAGGACATATGAATATTGACTGGTTCCCAATTTAAAAAAAAGTCTCTGGAAGTATACACAAGAAAATATACTGACAGGGAAGAAAATTTCTGGTCTCCTACTTCTGAAAAAAGCTGCTGCTGGCCATGGTCCATACATCAACCAATCTTGAATCACACTGGTTACAATGACTGAATAGAATAAGAAACTTCAGCAGCATCCTTCACGAATTACTTCTATCTTTGCACTTTTAAAATTCAACATTAAATCTCAATCATTGCACATGATATTTTTCATTCTATAAGCACTGAAGAGTGATAGAAATGATGTTAAAGAAGTTGAGGAAAAACAAAAGAAAATTTACTGCTTGCACAAGCAACAATTTTTATTCTAGTTGGAAACTAGTCAATGAACTACACTGATGTACATTTTATTGAACAGTGGCTCTGAGATCATGTGATTCTCTGAGACTAACACTATATCTTATTCATCCCTGTAGCACCCAGTACCTAGAACAGTGTTTTCCAAGTTATGTTCTATGGAACCTTGGGGTGCTTCAGATATCTGCAAATATTTGATTTTCTCTACATCTTTAAAAGTATACATAGTTTAAACTCTATGTATGCATACATATAAATACACACATATATACTACGTACGTATATATGTTCTATAACAATTCTATGTATTATAATACACATATAATAAACATGTGTATGTATACATACCCAAGTTGGAGACTTCAGAGATAATGAAAACATTAACTTCTATGGCCAGGGAAGTTCATTTTTTAATAAATCGAGGAAAAATATCTATACATACATTTGAATTTCTTGAAAATGTCGGTGCTTAGGAAGGTTGAATGTTATAAAATGTGTTTTCTAAAATTTTGAACTGAGCATATCCAACTATGTACAATTATATTTAAAATATTTGTTCTAGGTACATAGGGGTTCGTTACCTTAATCTCTCCAAACAGGTACACTTTTCCTAATAAAAAAATTAAAAAAATTAAATAAAAGGTTTGTTCTATTCTTCTGCTGTCCCAGGTGGGTAGACAATTTCAAACTGATTCCATCTAGTTATTTCTTCGTGAGTCAGGGGAAAAAATGTGGCTTCAAGTCACCATCACCCTTTGCAGTGGCTAAATTCTTTACCCTTTTGAGATTGTGTGCATTACAAGAGTCCTGGGCCACTTGAAGCCAAAGGTTCTTTTATGAAGAACTTGGCAGAGCCTCAAGGTACAGAGGATGTCACTCCAAACTGAACAAATGATGGAGAACAGACTGAGGTCTGGTGACTGGCTCTAACTGTGGGACAGCAATAAAAAAAATGTGGAACTCACTCAGGTTTCATGCAGCTTCTCAGTGCTGCATCAGGGGATGGAAGTCATTGCTTTGGTTGGTTGTGAGGTAAGGGCAGATGGTGACTTATGTCATTCCTACTCTTCCCTCTTCCCCAGACATGAGTAGTTCACCTCTTAAGAGGTGGGAAAATTTGCTCCTCAATTATGGATCCAAATCATATTTCCACAGCACCCTCTCACCCTCACCCTTTCCAGTAGTAGTATACTGGCTGGAAAAAAAAAATATCTTCAAGTTACAAGTTTAAGAATTTTGGGAGTCCTAGTTGAGGGACTTGGGGAAAGGGAAGATATAAATTGGTACTCAGAAATGCATGTGCCATACTCTAGTAAATGTCAATCAAGTTTTAAGCATATCTGCCTAGGACATGCTTTTATCAAATTATAATAATCATATGTGCAAAGACAAGTGAACTTCCAACAAGTAGCACGTGAAACCATCATAGTTTTATCACTTACTATATATTTGAGTCGTTCCTTGGCCGACTTACATTTATGATAAATAATATAAATGATCTGGGTGTAGTGGCTCACACCTGTAATCCCGGCACTTTGGGAGGCTGAGGTGGCAGGATCATTTGAGCCCAGGAGTTTGAGACCAGCCTGGGCAACATGGGGAGACCTCAACTCTACAAAAAATTTAAAAATTATCTGGGCATCGTGGTGCACATCTGTAGTCCCAGCTACCTGGGAGGTTGAGATGGGAGGATGACTTGACCCTGGGAGGCTGAGGCTGCAGTAAGCGGTTATCGTGCCACTGCACTCCAGCCTGGGTGGTAGAGCAAGACCCTGTCTCAGAAATAATAACAACAATATAAATGGTTGTTAGATGTTGTTGGTGATGAAGTTATGAAATAAAATTATCCTACTATTCCTACTAATCATGTTATTCTCAGATTGCAAGTCAGGCTGCTTTTCTTTTGTTTTAACTATTGTCATTTTTAGTAGAACCATTCCAACTATTTTACTTGTTATCTTTCAACCAAAGCCCTTCCAGACATAAATTCAGAAGGAGTCTGAAAAAAGCACTGCAACTGTCATTCATGAATTTCAATCAAATGGCTTTATTGGTCTTAATGATTAACTTCATATTATTAAATATTTTAATTTTAATCTATAAAATAAATGTATACCAATAGAAAACTGCTTTTATCTGTGTCTATATTGGGGTCTAAATATGTACAATATGGTACATTTACATATTGATGTTAGAATATTTTTAAAATAACAGCTTAGATCAATAACCAAAGAACAGGTTCAAAATAAGTTTAAAATTTCCTTTTCTAAGTAATGACCACTTTAGCTTTAACAAAATTCACAGAACCATGTAGGTTCTCAAACAAAACAGAGTTTGAGAAATCTATGGTGTGCAGAATAGTCCTGAAAACATCAAGCCACTTCTACCTTGCTATAAGGAGGTAAACTAAAGAAGTAAGAGAGTCCTTGTAAAAAAAAAAAAAAAAATCTGAACTCAAAAACTTGGTTTTAATAATCATGTATGGACAGAAAGGCCTTTCTTTTTTTTTTTTTTTTTTTTTTTGAGACAGAGTCTTGCTCTGTCACCCGGGCTGGAGTGCAGTGGCATGATCTTGGCTCACTGCAAGCTCTGCCTCCTGGATTCACGCCATTCTCCTGCCTCAGCCTCCCGAGTAGCTGGGACCACAGGCGCCCACCACCACGCCTGGCTAATTTTTTCTATTTTTAGTAGAGATGGGTTTTCACCATGTTCGCCAGGATGGTCTCGATCTCCGGACCTCGTGATCCACCCGCCTCGGCCTCCCAAAGTGCTGGGATTACAGGTGTGAGGCACCGCGCCCGGCCAGAAAGGACTTTCTTAAAATGTAAGAGCTAACTGTGATAATCAAGTCACAGTAACAGTCCTATTTATTTTTAGTAATCTTTAATGTTATTCCAAACTTCATAAACATATTTTACCATTTTAAAGTATATGTTACTTATCTATAAATGAGCAAGTATTCACATGTAGTCCTAATAAGCTGAGCACTATAAATACAAATTCTCAATACTACATAAATGAAATAAGTTTCTCAAGTTTTTTCACAACTTTAATCTATTTATTTATTCATTCAGTCAACAGATAATACCAGTTGAGTATCCATTAGCTGAAATATTAATACTTGGGACCAGAAGTATTTAAACTTCAGATTTTTTCAGATTTTGGAATATGCATGTGTATAATGAGAAATCTTGAGAATAGGACCCAAGTCTAAACATGAAACTCATTTATGTTTCATATACACCTTATACACATAGCCTGAAGGTAATTTTATGCAATTTTAAAAAACAATTTTGTGATTAAACAAAGTTTTGACTGTGACAAATCACATGAGGTCAGGCATGGAATTTTCCACTTGTAGCATCACGTCAGTTGCGCTCAAAACTTTTGGATTTTGGGGCACTTCCGATTTTGGCTTTTCTGATTAGAGATGCACAACCTGTATTGACAGCCTATTAAGAAAAGACACAAGCTCCTACCTTCATGGAATTTACATTCTAGCATGGTAGACAGAAAACATTAATGTAAATAGTTATTGTACAATATTTTAGAAGGTGAATAGTACTATGGAAAAAAGTTAGAGCTGGTTAAAGGAGATGGGGAGTGCAGGCAACAGAGACATTGCAATTTTAAATAAGACAGTAGATTTCAATGAGAATGCAGTATTTGAGCAAAGACTTGAAAGAGACAAGGTAGATGCCACATACATAGTAGGGAAAGAGTGTTCAAGGCAAAGGGAATGAGTGCAAAGGCTCTGCGATGGGAGCATGCCAAATGCGTTGGAATAACATTGAGGAAGTCAGTATGTCTGAAATAGGGTGACCAAGGGGGAGTGTAGTAGGAAACAAAGTCATAGGTAAGGAGACCAGATCATATCGTGTCCTATGCATGACTGACAGAATCTCGATTTTTTTCCATGGGTGAAACAGAAAGCCAAGGTAGGGGCATGAGTAGAAAATGTAGCAAACTCAATACTACTCCATAATAAATACTATTATGTAATAGTGCTGAGACCAGCTCGGTCATGGAGACCCTACCTCAGTGACGCTAGAGGAATTAAAGACACACACACAAAAATATAGCATGTGGAGTGGGAAATCAGGGGTCTCACAGCCTTCAGAGCTGAGAGCCTCGAATAGAGACTTACCCACATATTTACTGACAGCAATCCAGTGATAAGCATTGTCTCTATAGATTGTAGATTAACTAAAAGTATTTCTTATGGGAAACAAAGGGATGGGCTGAAATAAAGGGATGGGCTCTGGCTAGTTACCTGCAGCAGGAATATGTCCTTAAGGCACAGATCACTCATGCTATTGTTTGTGGTTCAGGAATGCCTTTAAGCAGTTTTCCACCCTGGGTGGGCCAGGTGTTCTTTGCCCTCGTTCCGGTAAACCCACAACCTTTAGCGTGGGTGTCATGGCCATCACGAACATGTCACAGTGCTGCAGAGATTTTCTTTATGGACAGTTTTGGGACCTGTTTATGGCCAGATTTGAGGGCCTGTTCCCAACATGTCCGCCTTCTTTGTTTTGCAAAGCGATAAAAGCAAAGGCAGCTTTGTCATGGTGAGCTGCTTCTCCCAGGAGTCGGGATCCACATCTGCAGACTATACAAAGACAACATGGATTAAAGGCACAATCATCATTTAAATCACAGAGCTTCCAAGTGTTTTATCCATTTTAATGGGTTACTAGCTGCTAATCTGTCTGCAGCTCCTTCAAGCACTCCAGTTCCTAGCATTAAGGTCAGGTGTGTCTGGGATGCTTTAAATATTTGTTCTTTTCATTTTGCAATATCCAAAGACAAGTTTGTAGAGTGTCCTTCTAGAGCCTTTTTTATTCATTCCCAAATTTTGATCTTATTAAGACCTATTAATAGTTTCCACAAATCCTTATGTTTAGCTCCTACAGTGGGCCATATCATTTGAGGTTGAGGTGCCACTATACTGCCATGGTTCCAAATAGGAACTCTTGCCGTATTTCTTATCATTTCTACCATCTGACCATTTTGTTCAAACCAGCTGAACATAGTGTGGCCATGGCACGCAGATTGAGAGGTGCAATTCAAGCCAAACATCCTCTCAGGGGACCAATCAATAATGATTCCATAAGAATCATTATGCAGCACCTCTGACTGTTCTGCAATGCAATCTTCCTAAACAAGGACGTTCATTTTTTTTGGCCAGGTTCAATTTTGTTTACAAACACGTTTTTGAGGGTGGTATGCCTTAATTATAGGAGCAGATTTATTATGGTAAATACTGAGATCAGAAAGCATGTGTAACTTTGTCATAGAGTGATTACATCCAGGTATTATTGCCAGCCAAGATTGACAAATATGCCCAATAAGTGTAATTGTTTTCTGTGTCAGCCCTTGTTGAAGGAATACTCAAGGAAACGGTGATCACCGCTATCATAACTACCATTAAATTACTCATTGTGACTGGTTGTCCCACTTTCCTCAGGCTTTCTTCTGCCATCTGCGACAGCTTCTTGATCCGTCCCCAGGTGGGTGGCTGTGTTCGACGGGTGTTGCTCATGACAGTTGGGGTCCTCCTCAGCATCAGTCTTGACATGGCTGCAACTGGGGAGTCCTCAGGATCCTCCCAGAATCTCTCACTCGGCATCTGGCTTGTGATAAGGTTTCAGGTGTCTTGATGGTATCCAAATCAGCTGTTGATTCGGTCCTGGAGAAACATAAGCATAACCTCTACCCCAAGTTATTTTTACCTATTTCCCAATTTTTGTTATCGGAGCTCTCCACCAAACTAGTTGTTCTGCTTCTGTCTTTGCAGCTGGTTTCTGTAGACACTGCTCAACTGCTCATAACATCTGGACTTTAGGCAGGCTCAAACAATTTAAAGTTAATAATGCTAGATTCAATTGCATATGGGGTGTCCTATAGTCCCTATTTCTCCCCCTTTTTTGTTTTTGTAACTGCTGTTTCAGGGAGCAATTTGTTCTTTCCACTATGGCTTGTCCTTGAGACTGATATGGGATACCAGTAATGTGTTTAATATTCCACATACAGAAAAATGTAGCTAGAGCTTGGCTAGGATAGCCTGAGGCATTATCTGTTTTATAGAAGCTGGAATGCCAATCACCACAAAACACTGCTAAAGGTGATGTTTAACACAGGCAGAAGACTCTCCTGATTGGCATGTAGCCCAGACGAAGTGAGAAAAGGTGTCCACACACACATGTACATAAGCTAGTCTCCCAGATGAGGGAACATGTGTAACATCCATTTGCCAAAGAGAATTAGGTTCCAATCCTCGAGGATTAACTCCTCCTGTAAAATATGAGGAATGCACCATTTGGCAAGTTGGGCATTGCTGGATAATAGCTTTAGCTTCTTTCCAGGTAATGCTGTATCTGCATTTGAGACCAGAGGCATTAACATGGGTTAAATTGTGAAAGTGTCTAGCATTAGGTATTGCATTAGCAAATAGGCAATCAGCCATTTGATTCCCTTCAGTTAAAGGCCCTGGAAGAGGTGTATAAGCCCTAATGTGAGTGACATAAAAAGAGTGCATTCTACTCCTGACTGCTGTTTGCAATTGGGTAAGTAAAATCATCAGTTGTTCATCTGTATGAAATCATAACTGAGCATTTTCAATCAATTGCATGGAATAAACCACATGTGAAGAATCAGGAATCACATTAATAGGCATATTAAAAGCAGTCAATACCTCAATTACAGCTATAAGCTCTGCTTTTTGAGCTGAAGTATAGGGCATCTGAAAAACTTTACCTTTCGAGCCAGAATAAGAAACTTTACCATTACTAGACCCATCTGTGAAAACACTTTCAGTACCTTCAATTGGTTTCAATTTAGTTATTTTAGGGAGAATTTAATTAGTTACTTTCAAAAATTGAAACAGTCTTGTTTTAGGAAAATGGTTATCCAGAATACCCACAAAGTCAGCTAAATGGGTTTGCCAAGTAAGACTATTTATAAAAGCTTGCTCTATTTGTGCCTTTGTGAGAGGGACAATAATTTTTCCAGGATCATATCCACGTAATTTAACAATCTGAGTTCTCTCATTACCTATCACACTAGCAATTTGATCCAAATAAGGAGTCCATGAATTAGTATGTGGAAGAAAAAGCCACTCTACAAGATCTTGCTCTTGAACGATACCACCAGTAGGTGAATGCTGAGTTGGAAAAGTTAGCAAATCTAGAGTCTTCTCTGGATCTATTCTATTTATTTAAGCTTTATGGACTTGCTTTTCAATCAGCTGTAACTCTGCCTCAGCTTTTTTGTTAATTGATGAGGGCTAGTGAGACTAGGATCTCCTCTAAGGATAGAAAACAGATTACTCATAGCGTAGGTAGGAATGCCTAGAGCAGGTCGTATCCAATTAATGTCCCCTAGTAATTTTTAAAAGTCATTTAATGTTTTCAATTGATCCCTATGTATGGTTACTTTCTGTGGCACATGGTAATGTCATTTACTAAGGTCCCCAAGTAGGAGTAAGGAGTAGTAGTCTGAATTTTGTCCAGAGCTATAATTAAACCAGCATGAGAAATCAAATTTTGCAAGTGATCATAACATTGGAGTAATATTTCTCGAGTGGGGACAGCACAAAGTATATCATCCATATAATGAGTAATGTAACACTGTGAAAATTTTTTACAAGTAGGTTCAATTGCTTGCCCTACATAAGTCTGGTAAATCGTTGGACTGCTTAACATGCCTCATGGCAACACTTTCCAATGAAAACGCTTAGCAGGCTGCAGGTTGTTTACTGCAGGAATTGTAAGTGCAAACCATTCACAGTCTTGCTCAGCTAAGGGGATAGTAAAGAAACAGTCTTTTAAATCTATGACTATTAAGGGCCAATTTTTTGGAATCATAGCAGGAGAAGGCAATCCTGGCTGTAATGCTCCCACAGGTTGTATAACTGAATTAATGGCTCTAAGATCTGTCAACATTCTCCATTTACTGTATTTTTTCTTAAATACAAAAACTGGAGAATTCCAAGGGGAAAATGTTGGAGCTATGTGTCCGCTTTCTTTTTTTTTCTTTTTTTTTTATTATACTTTAAGTTCTAGGGTACATGTGCACAATGTGAAGGCTTGTTACATATGTATACATGTGCCATGTTGGTGTGCTGTACCCGTTAACTCGTCATTTACATTAGGTACACCTCCTAGTGCTTTCCCTCCCCCAAGCCCACAACATGCCCCGGTGTGTGATGTTCCCCTTCCTGTCTCCAAGTGTTCTCATTGTTCAATTCCCACCTATGCGTGAGAACATGCGGTGTTTGGTTTTTTGTTCTTGAGATAGTTTGCTGAGAATGATGGTTTCCAGCTTCATACATGTCCTGACAAAGGACATGAACTCATCCTTTTTATGGCTGCATAGTATTCCATGGTGTATATGTGCCACATTTTCTTAATCCAGTCTATCACTGATGGACATTTGGGTTGGTTCCAAGTCTTTGCTATTGTGAATAGTGCCGCAATAAACATACATGTGCATGTGCCTTTATAGCAGCATGATTTATAATCCTTTGGGTATATACCCAGTAATGGGATGGCTGGGTCAAATGATATTTCTAGTTCTAGATCCTTGAGGAATCACCACACTGTCTTCCACAATGGTTGAACTAGTTTACTGTCCCACCAACAGTGTAAAAGTGTTCCTGTTTCTCCACATCCTCTCCAGTACCTCTTCTTTCCTGACTTTTTAATGATCGCCATTCTAACTGGTGTGAGATGGTATCTCATTGTGGTTTTGATTTGCATTTCTCTGATGGCCAGTGGTGATGAGCATTTTTTCATGTGTCTGTTGGCTGCATAAATGTCTTCTTTTGAGAAGTGTCTGTTCATAACCTTTGCCCACTTTTTGATGGGGTTGTTTTTTTCTTGTAAGTTTGTTTGAGTTCTTTGTGGATTCTGGATATTAGCCTTTTGTCAAATGAGTAGATTGCAAAAATTTTCTCCCATTATGTAGGTTGCCTGTTCACTCTGATGGTAGTTTCTTTTGCTGTGCAGAAGCTCTTTAGTTTAATTAGATCCCATTTGTCAATTTTAGCTTTTGTTGCCATTGCTTTTGGTGTTTTAGATATGAAGTCCTTGCCCATGCCTATGTCCTGAATGGTATTGCCTAGGTTTTCTTCTAGGGTTTTTATGGTTTTAGGTCTAACATTTAAGTCTTTAATCCATCTTGAATTAATTTTTGTATAAGGTGTAAGAAAGGGATCCAGTTTCAGCTTTCTACATATGGCTAGCCAGTTTTCCCAGCACCATTTATTAAATAGGGAATCCTTCCCCATTTCTTGTTTTTGTCAGGTTTGTCAAAGATCAGATGGCTGTAGACATGTGGTACTATTTCTGAGGGCTCTGTTCTGTTCCATTGATTTATATCTCTGTTTTGGTACCGGTACCATGCTGTTTGGGTTACTGTAGCCTTGTAGCATAGTTTGAAGTCAGGTAGCATGATGTCTCCAGCTTTGTTCTTTTGGCTTAGGATTGTCTTGGCAATGCGGGCTCTGTTTTGGTTCCATATGAACTTTAAAGTAGTTTTTTCCAATTCTGTAAATAAAGTCATTGGTAGCTTGATGGGGATGGCACTGAATCTATAAATTACCTTGGGCAGTATGGCCATTTTCATGATATTGATTCTTCCTATCCACGAGCATGGAATGTTCTTCCATTTGTTTGTATCCTCTTTTATTTCGTTGAGCAGTGGTTTGTAGTTCTCCTTGAAGAGGTCCTTCACATCCCTTGTAAGTTGGATTCCTAGGTATTTTATTCTCTTTGAAGCAATTGTGAATGGGAGTTCACTCATGATTTGGCTCTCAGTTTGTCTGTTATTGGTGTATAAGAATGCTTGTGATTTTTGCACATTGATTTTGTATCCTGAGACTTTGCAGAAGTTGCTTATCAGCTTAAGGAGATTTTGGGCTGAGACAATGGGGTTTTCTAAATATACAATCATGTCATCTGCAAACAGGGACAATTTGATTTCCTCTTTTCCTAATTGAATACCCTTTATTTCTTTCTCCTGCCTGATTGCCCCGGCCAGAACTTCCAACACTATGTTGAATAGGAGTGGTGAGAGAGGGCATCCCATTTCAAAGGGAATGCTTCCAGTTTTTGCCCATTCAGTATGATATTGTTTCTGAGTTTGTCATAAATAGCTCTTACTATTTCGAGATACGTCCCATCAATACCTAATTTATTGAGAGTTTTTAGCATGAAGGGCTGCTGAATTTTGTTGAAGACCTTTTCTGCATCTACTGAGATAATCATGTGGTTTTTCTCTTTGGTTCTGTTTATATGCTGGATTACATTTATTGATTTGTGTATGTTGAACCAACTTTGCATCCCAGGGATGAAGCCGACTTGATCATATGGATAAGCTTTTTGATGAGCTGCTGGATTTGGTTTGCCAGTATCTTATTGAGGATTTTTGTATCAATGTTCATCAGGGATATTGGTCTAAAATTCCCTTTTTTTGTTGTGTCTCGGCCAGGCTTTGGTATCAGGATGATACTGGCCTCATAAAATGAGTTAGGGAGGATTCCCTCTTTTTCTATTGATTGGAATAGTTTCAGAAGGAATGATACCTGCTCCTCCTTGTACCTCTGGTAGAATTTGGCTATGAATCCTTCTGGTCCTGGACTTTTTTTGGTTGGTAGGCTATTAATTATTGCCTCAATTTCAGAACATGTTATTGGTCTATTCAGGGATGCAACTTCTTCCTGGTTTGGTCTTGGGAGGGTGTATGTGTCCAGGAATTTATCCATTTCTTCTAGATTTTCTAGTTTATTTGCGTAGAGGTGTTTATAGTATTCTCTGACGGTAGTTTGTATTTCTGTGGGATTGGTGGTGATATCCCCATTATCATTTTTTATTGCATCTATTTGATTCTTCTCTCTTTTCTTCTTTATTAGTCTTGCTAGTGATCTATCAATTTTGTTGATCTTTTCAAAAAACCAGCTCCTGGATTCAATGATTTTTTGAAGGGTTTTTTGTGTCTCTATCGCCTTCAGTTCCTCTGTGATCTCAGTTATTTCTTGCCTTCTGCTAGCTTTTGAATGAGTTTGCTCTTGCTTTTGTAGTTCTTTTAATTGTGATGTTAGGGTGTCAATTTTACATCTTTCCTGCTTTCTCTTGTGTGCATTTAGTGCTATAAATTTCCCCTACACACTGCTTTAAATGTGTCCCAGAGATTCTGGTATGTTGTGTCTTTGTTCTCATTGGTTTCAAAGAACATCTTTACTTCTGCCTTCATTTTGTTATGTACCCAGTAGTCACTCAGGAGCAGGTTGTTCAGTTTCCATGTAGTTGAGCAGTTTTGAGTGAGTTTCTTAATCCTGAGTTCTAGTTTGATTGCACTGTGGTCTGAGAGACAGGTTGTTATAATTTCTGTTCTTTCACATTTGCTGAGGAGTGCTTTACTTCCAACTATGTGGTCAATTTTGGAACAAGTGCAATGTGGTGCTCAGAAGAAGGTATATTCTGTTGATTTGGGGTGGAGAGTTCTATAGATGTCTATTAGGTACACTTGGTGAAGTGCTGAGTTCAATTCCTGGATATCCTTGTTAACTTTCTGTCTCATTGATCTGTCTAATGTTTACAGTGGGGTTTTAAAGTCTCCCGTTATTACTGTGTGGGAGTCTAAGTCTCTTTGTAGATCTCTAAGGACTTGCTTTATGAATCTGGGTGCTCCTGTATTGGGTGCATATATATTTAAGATAGTTAGCTCTTCTCGTTGAATTGATCCCTTTACCATTATGTAATGGCCTTCTTTGTCTCTTTTGATCTTCGTTGGTTTAAACTCTGTTTTATCAGAGACTAGGATTGCAACCCCTGCTTTTTTTTTGTTTTCCATTTCCTTGGTAGATCTTCCTCCGTCCCTTTATTTTGATTCTACGTATGTCTCTGCATGTGAGATGGGTTTCCTGAATACAACACACTGATGGGTCTTGACTGTTTATTCAATTTGACAGTCTGTGTCTTTTAATTGGAGAATTTAGCCCATTTACATTTAAGGTTAATATTGTTATGTGTGAATCTGATCCTGTCATTATGATGTTAGCTGGTTATTTTGCTCATTAGTTGATACTGTTTCTTCCTAGCATCAATGTTCTTTACAATTTGTCATATTTTTGCAGTGGCTGGTACCAGTTGTTCCTTTCCATGTTTAGTGCTTCCTTCAGGAGTTCTTGTAGTGCAGGCCTGGTGGTGACAAAATCTCTCAGCATTTGCTTGTCTCTAAAGGATGTTATTTCTCCTTCACTTATGAAGCTTAGTTTGGCTGGATATGAAATTCTGGGTTGAAAATTCTTTTCTTTAAGAATGTTGAATGTTGGCCCCCACTCTCTTCTGGCTTGCAGAGTTTCTGCCAAGAGATCTGCTGTTAGTCTGATGGGCTTCCCTTTGTGTGTAACCTGATCTTTCTCTCTGGCTGCCCTTAAAATTTTTTCTTTCATTTCAACTTTGGTGAATCTGACAATTATGTGTCTTGGAGTTGCTCTTCTCGAGGAGTATCTTTGTGGTGTTCTCTGTATTTCCTGAATCTGAATGTTGGCCTGCCTTGCTAGATTGGGGAAGTTCTCCTGGATGATATCCTGCAGAGTGTTTTCCAACTTGGTTCTATTCTCCCTGCCACTTTCGGGTACACCAATCAGACGTAGATTTGGTCTTTTCACATAGTGCCATATTTCTTGGAGACTTTGTTCATTTGTTTTTACTCTTTTTTCTCTAAACTTCTCTTCTTGCTTCATTTCATTCATTTGATCTTCAATCACTGATACCCTTCTTCCAGTTGGTTGAATCGGCTACTGAAGCTTGTGCATTCATCTCGTAGTTCTCGTGCAATGGTTTTCAGCTCCATCAGGTTATTCTAGTTAGCCATTTGTCTAATCTTTTTTCAAGGTTTTCAGCTTCTTTGCATTGAGTTTGAACTTCCTCCTTTAGCTCAGAGAAGTTTGATCGTCTGAAGCCTTCTTCTCTCAACTCATCAAAGTCATTCTCCATCCAGCTTTGTTCCATTGCTGGTGAGGAGCTGTGTTCCTTTGGAGGGGGAGAGGTGCTCTGATTTTTAGAATTTTCAGCTTTTCTTCTCTTTTTTTTTCCCCATCTTTGTGGTTTTATCTACTTTTGGTCTTTGGTGATGGTGACGTACAGATGGGGGTTTGGGGTGGATGTCCTTTCTGTTTGTTAGTTTTCCTTCTAACAGTCAGGACCCTCAGCTGCAGGTCTGTTGGAGTTTGCGGGAGGTCCACTCCAGACCCTGTTTGCCTGGGTATCAGCAGTGGAGGCTGCAGAACAGCGAATATTGCTGAACAGCAAATGTTGCTGCCTGATTTTTCCTCTGGAAGCTTTGTCTCAGAGGGGTACCCAGACATGTGAGGTGCCAGTCTGCCCCTACTGGAGGGTGCCTCCCAGTTAGGCTACTCAGGGATCAGGGACCCACTTGAGGAGGCACTCTATCTGTTCTCAGATCTCAAACTCCGTGCTGGGAGAACCACTACTCTCTTCAAAGCTGTCAGACAGGGACATTTAAGTCTGCAGAAGTTTCTGCTGCCTTTTGTTTGGCTATGCCCTGCCCCCAGAGGTGGAGTCTACAGAGGCAGGCAGGCCTCCTTGAGCTACGATGGTATCCACCCAGTTCGAGCTCCCTGACTGCTTTGTTTACCTACTCAAGCCTCAGCAATGGTGGGTGCCCCTCCCCAAGACTTGCTGCCACCTTGCAGTTTGATCTCAGACTGCTGTGCTTGCAATGAGCAAGGCTCCGTGGGCATGGGACCCTCCGAGCCAGGTGCGGGATATAATCTCCTGGTGTGCCATTTGCTAAGACTGTTGGAAAAGCGCAGTATTAGGGTGGGAGTGACCCGACTTTCCAGGTGCCATCTGTCACCCCTTTCCTTGGCTAGGAAAGGGAATTCCCTGACCCCTTGCACTTCCTGGGTGAGGCGATGCCTCGCCCTGCTTTGGCTCACACTCGGTGGGCTGTACCCACTGTCCTGCCCCCACTGTCGGACGAGCCCCAGTGAGATGAACCTGGTAGCTCAGTTGGAAATGCAGAAATCACACGTCTTCTGTGTCACTCACACTGGGAGCTGTAGCCTGTAGCTGTTCCTATTCGGCCATCTTGGAACTGCCTATGTGTCTGGTTTTTAATTGTTCAGTAAGTAATTCCTCTAAAGCCTCCAGTTTCTCTTTACTTAGCAGCCATTGTTCTATCCAAATTGGCTTATCTGTTAACCATTCTAAAGGTGTAAGTTCTGGAGGCTTAACAATGGCCACCATCAAAAATGGTATCCTAAACCTTGGCGAGAACTCCGTCTTTCCTCTTGAAGTGGTTCCTTCAAACTCTGTAAATTTTTCCTAGTCCCATACCAGGGACATATCCCATTTCATGCATCATATGTTGACTTTGAGGGCTATATAATTGTTCTGGAATTAGAACTTGTGCTCCCCATTGTAATAAATCTCTTCCCCTTATATCTATAGGTACAGAAGTTACAATTGGTTGAATAGTCCCAGGTTGTCCATTGGGCCCTTAACAATGCAAAATATAACTACTTTGATATACTTCAGGGGCTTTACAAGTCCAATTATGTTAAATTGAGCAGGTTGAATTGGCCACGCGGACAGCCAGTGCTGTAGAGAAATGATTGAAATGTCTACTCCTATATCTACCAAACCTTTAAATTTCTTTCCCTGAATAGTTATTTCACAGGTAGGACATTTATCAGTAATTTGATTCACCCAATAAGCTGCTTTGCCTTGTTTATTTGTGCTTCCAAATCCTCCTGTTCATTTAATTTCACTTTTCCCCATTTCCACATATGGCATAATCAGGGGCTGTGCTATACGCTCTCCTGGTTCTGCTTTCCAGGGAACAGAAGTGGATATAACAATTTGAATTTCCCCATTGTAATCTGAATCAATGACTCCTGTTTGTACTTGTATCCCTTTTAAATTTAAACTAGACCTTCCTAGAAGGAATCCTATCGTCCCCGCTGGCAAGGGTCCACAGACTCCTGTTGGGACCTTTTGCGGGGGTTCCCCAGGCAGAAGGCTCACAGCTTTTGTGCAGCATAAATCTACTGTGGCACTACTGGCTGTGATGGGGACAGATATTGTACAGGGATGAGGGAATGGCCTGAGCTGGAAATGCCCCGTTTGGAATGGGGCCCAGGATGGGCCCCTCATGTCGTTTCCCGAAATCAGGTTCCCATCTTTATCAAACTTAGAGTGACAATGACTAGCCCAATGTTTTCCTTTTTTACATTTTGGACATATTTCAGGCTCAGCAGTTTTCTTTTTTCCCTTATCTGGTGGCCTGACTCGCTGATTGTTTCTACATTCTTTTTTAGTATAACCATGCTTCCCACAGTTAAAACAAGCTCCAGGAAATGGAGTATTCCTTTACCCACTCTCACTCCTGCCATTACCTGGGCTAGCAGAGTAGCCTTATGCAGATTATCTCCAATACCATCACAGGCCTTGATATAATCAACTAAATGTGCTTTCCCTCTGATAGGTCGCAGAGCAGCCTGGCAATCGGGATTAGCATTGTCGAAAGCTAATAACCACAACACTATATCCTGAGCAGCTGAATCTGCAATCACCTTTTTAAGAGACTCCTGTAACCAAGCTATAAAATCCGTGTATGGTTCTCTTGGTCCCTGTTTTACAATGCTAAAGGAAGGGTATTGTTCTTCACCCGAAGTGACTTTTTTCCCAAGCTCTAATGCACACTCCTCTAAGCTGTTCTATGGCATAGTCCTGCATGACCACTTGTGCATCTAAACCAGCCCAGCTGCCGACCCCTAAAAGTTGGTCTGCAGTCATATTAATTTGAGGTTGGGCCTGGGCATTGTGAGGAGCCTGAATGGAAGCTTCATCTGCCCACCAAGTTTTAAATTGTAAGAAGTGAGCAGGATTTAGACAAGCTCAAGTAAGAGCATCCCAGTTGGTAGGAATCATCGACTGGAAAGAGCAACATTCTTTACAGTCCCATTACAGAAGGAGAACCTGGTCCATATTGACTAATAGCTTGTCTAAATTCTTTGAGTAATTTAAAAGGAAAAGACTCAAATGTAGCTATAACATTTCCCTGTTGATCTGTGGGGTGTATTCTAGCAGGGAACTGCCAAGCCTCTAAATCACCCTCTCTTCTAGCTTGCTGAATTCCTGCCTGAACAGAGCTGAGAGTGGTCGCTCGAGGTGCTGCTCGAACAGTCACTAGGGCAACAACTTTCACCCAGTGTCCTCCGGAAAAGAAAGATCTGGAGGGTCAGGACACTCTTTTTCTTCAAAATAATGAGGGGGTGCAGAAGAGTAGGGATGAACCTCTTCCTCCTTTGCCACTTTAGCTTTAGTTGGCAAACAAACCTGCTCTGTTACTTCTTCTGTTACTTCCTTATACTTTCCTTCTTCTTCATCATCAGTGTGAAAAGGTTCCAAGGTGGAACGAACCAGAGCCCACACTAGTCCCATTGTTACCCTGATGCTTCCGAGCTCCCCTCTTACTCACCACAGGGATTGCTTAAGAGTACTCGGGTGTACTCCAGCTTAGTTCCACATTCTCCAACCATCACTCTGGTGACCCTTCGACCTGGGTTCGAGCCTCCATGTTGGGCACCTCTTGCTGGGACCAGCTCAGTCGTGGAGACCCTAACACAGCAGCGCTAGAGGAATTGAAGACACACACAGAAATATAGAGGCGTGGAGTGGGAAATCAGGGGTCCTCACAGCCTTCAGAGCTGAGAGCCTCGAACAGAGATTTACCCACATATTTACTGACAGCAAATCAGTGATAAGCATTGTTTCTATAGATTGTAGATTAACTGAAAGTATTTCTTACAGGAAACAAAGGGATGGGCCAAAATTAAGGGATGGGTCTGGCTAGTTATCTGCAGTGGGAACATGTCCTTAAGGTGCAGATTGCTCATGCTATTGTTTGTGGTTCAGGAACACCTTTAAGCAGTTTTCCACCCTGGGTGGGCCAGATGTTCCTTGCCCTCATTCCAGTAAACCCACAACCTTCAGTGTGGGCATCATGGCCATTATGAACATGTCACAGTGCTGCAGAGATTTTCTTTATGGCCAGTTTTGGGGCCAGTTTATGGCCAGATTTGGGGGCCTGTTCCCAGCGTAATAGCAAATTCAAGGTTCAGTGTGGGGTCAGGCACGGTGGCTCATGCCTATAATGCCAGCAGTTTAGGAGGCCAAGGCAGGTGGATCACTTGAAGTCAGGAGTTTGAGACCAGCCTGACTAACATAGCAAAACCCAGTCTCTACTAAAAATACAAAAATTAGCTGGGCGTGGCAGCGCACACCTGTAATCCCAGCTACTCGGGAGGCTGAGGCAGGAAAATCACTTGAACCTGAGAGGTGGAGGTTGCAGTGAGCCAAGAGTGCACTACTCCACTGCAGCCTGGTGATGGAGTGAGACTCTGTCTCAAAAAAAAAAAAAAAAAAAAAAAAAAAAAGTTCATTGTGAATGAGATGTATCATAAAATGGTTCCTCTAAAATCTTACCTTCTACAGAGCTTATATTCTAAGACACTCAAATAAAAACCATTTATTGAATATGGTTTTTGAATAGCACCTATGGCCAAGTGCTATTAATTAATTCAACAATTTATTAAGTGTATATTGTGTGCCAGTTGCTACTCAGTGTGCAGAGATAGGTACTCCAGACACAAAGATTAAAGAATATCAAAACACAGGAGGGGAAAGGGCACTCTAGGAAGGCATCTAGATTTAAATTTTATATTACTATTTACTAGCTGTCTGATATTGGATACATTTCCTAACCATTTTCAGCTCCAGTTGTCTTATCTGTAAAAGGGGATAATAAACATACTTCTTATACTATAGGGCTTTCTGAAGATTGTTCTGGTCATTATATGGAGAGTGGATAGTAAGGAGGCAACACAGGCAGGAAGAAGGGAGAGTTAGGGAGCTATTGCAATGGTACTGGGAGAGTCCAGGGTCATGACAGGAGTGGTGGGAAATCAGCAATCAGGATATATTTGGGAATTAGAACCAGTATGATCTAATGGGTGGTGGTTAATTTGATGTGGCATATGAGGGAGAGTGGAATCAAGGATAACTACTAGTGTTTTGGCCAAAGCAACTGCATTAATGATGGAGTCATTTGATTGGACTGGTAAGACTGGAGATTTCTAGGAGAAAATTGGGTTCTATTTTGTATATGTTATATCTGAGTTACCTATTAGACATCCAAGTAGACTCCAAATAGGCATTTGAACATATAGATTTAAACTCAAGGGAGAATCTGGAGCTAAAGGCCTAAATACAAGAAACGGCAATGTATTGATCGGTATTATACCATGAGATAAAATTAATTGATTAGATGGAGAAAGTAGAGAGAACAAAGATGACTAAGGACCCAGCTCTGGATAACACCAATAATCCAAGCTCTGGTATAAGGGAGGAGTCAGCAAGGGAAACAGAAGAGTAGTGAAGTCAGAGGAAAACTAGGAGCATGCGGTGTCCTATTTAAAAAATTGAGGATAAACGAATAATTTATAATCTCAAATTCTCCTGAAAGTTTGAGGAAAATAAGTCCTCAGATTTAACCATTGGTTTTGATTAGATGGGGGTCACTGTTGGCTTTGACAATAGTAGTTTCAGTGGAGTAATACATGTATCAGCCTGACTGAAGTATTGAGGAGAGAATGGGAAAGAAGAGGAAGTGGAGGTGAGTAGAGACAGCTCTTTTTTGTGGTGGTTCACACTTGCAGTCCCAGCTATTAGGGAAGCTAAGGCAGGAGAATTGCTTGAGGCCAAGAATCTGAGACCAGCCTGGGTAACACAGCAAGACCCCCTGCTCTACATGAATGAATAAATAAATAAATAAATAAATAAATAAATAAGGCAGCTCTTTTTATAAATTTTGCTATAAAGGGAAACAGAGAAAGAGGTCTTGGGCCAAGTGAGTACTTTCAAAGATGGTGGTGATATCTATATTCTGATGGAAATAATCCAAAAAGCAAAGCAAAAATTGACGATGCAGGAGGAAGGAGCTCAATGAAGGAGAAAAATCTTAAATAGGCTAGAGGATATGGGATCCCACACACAAACTGAAGAATAGAGTTTAAACAGAAACCAGGACGTTCAATCATTTAAGGAGAGAAAGCAGATTGCAGAAATAAGGGCAGGGAGCTGGTAATTTGCGGGTTGGAAAGATGGGGAAGTCCTCTTCTGTTTGTTTCTATATCCTGAGTAAAGTAAGAATCACAGCTTAGAGTGATGGGAAAGGGAGAGATATCCTGATTTCTAGATACTTTTTCTCCCTGGGGGTCTGGGTCACTTCATGATCGTGTGACCTGTGCAACAGCAGAGGGCTCTGCACCCTGAACGGGCCCATGCTTGGTTTAGAGCTCTGCTGTTTCCAGCTTCAAGTTCTTAATCACTTTTGAACAAGGAGCCTCCATATTTTGATTTTGTGCTGGGATGAACAAATTATGTAGCTACTCCTGCTGGAAGCTTTTGAATCTTTGTCATCAGCATACTAGAATTTCATCAAGTACCTTGCTATGGGTCTTTTTCAATCATTGCACTGAATCCAAAATTGGTCTTTTTCAAAGAGTAATTAATGTCCTTCCACACTAAGAAACTTTCTTGAACTCCTTCATTGATAATTTCCTCCTTTTCTTTTTATCTTTCTGCAAATCCTATATTCTGGATATTACAGCTCTTGTACAAATTCTCTAGTTTTCTTAAAATTTTCCTCCCATTACCCTCCTATTTTCTATGTCTTTGTATTTTTGTTCTACTTCCTGGGCAATTTCCTTATCTTCCAACTCAAATTCTGTCAAATTTTTTCTTCTGTCATATTTTTGTTTTACTTTTTATTTCTTAGGTAACCATTCATGTTTCTAAAGCGTCCTGTTTTTGATTCATAGATTCTGTGATATTTAAGATTAACTGTAAATTTTTGTTTTTGTTTTGTTTTCTTTTGCTACTAGCCTTTTCTGTTTCTTTTGAATTTTGTTTCTATGTTGTTTTGTTCTCCATCTCCAGCGTAAAAGACTCCTCTCTAATGTCTAGTGATCCTTGATTTTGCATACATACTTAAAAAGAAGACAGTAAATGTTATTTGAAAACTTTGTAAGCTGTGTGAAACTTATTGACTGTGGGCTTTGCTGCAGGATGAGTAGAATTCAGATATTTTATTGTTTTTACAGAGTTTCACTGGTTTCCTCAAAAAGTAAGTTTCCCTAATTGGCTGCTTAGATATATATAAGTCTGGTAGCCAATGTTCTGGAGATCAGCGGAGAAAAGGGAACTGACATCTCACTATTTAAAATACTGACTTTATTTATCTTCCCTATTTTCAATATGACGACTCGTTTTTCTTCCTCCTGAGTCCAGAGATGTTTCTGGTTCAACAACTTTATTGAATAAATCTTGTTTCCTGCTGTAGTAAGGGAAGGGTTGTCACCTAGAGGCACAGAATTGAAGGAAGATCTGAAGAGCTAACTGCTCTTTTATTATCACTTAATCCTTCAGTTATCCCTATCATCTTTCATATTCACCTATAAAGTTACCAGTTTCTCCCAGTCCTGATGATATACTAAATTTCATGGCATATATCAGTTGAATTCTTATCGGAGTCTATATTAGTTTGCTAGGGCTGCCATAATAAGGTACCAAAAACTGGATGGCTTAAAACAACTGAAATTTATTCTCACAGCTCTGGAGGCCAGAAGTCCAAAATCAACATGTCAGCAGGACCATGCTCTCTTTGAAGGTTCTAGTGCAGGATCTGTTCCAGGCCTCTCTCCTGGCTTCTGGTAGCCTCAGACATTTCCTGGCTTGTAGATGCTTCATTCCAGTCCTCCATTTTCACATGGTGTTCTCGCTGTGCTTCTTCACATCATCTTCTCTTGGTGCTTGTCTGTCTCTGTACCCAAATTTCTTCCTTTATGAAGACATCAGTTATATTGGATTAAGGCCCACCTAATGACTTCATGTTAACATGACTAAATCTGCAAAGACTCTTGTTCTAAATAAGGTCATGTTCTGAGGTAGCAGAGGTTAGGACCACAACACATCATCTTTTAGGGGACACAATTCAACCTATAACAGCCTCTCTCTCCCCCACTTCTCTTAGGTTTCAACTTTCTCTAGTCTGTTAAATCTGTTAGGTCTTTTCTATATTTCTAGATTTCAAAATGTTGTTGAATACTTCTTCCGCGTTGTGACTTCCTTTCTAGTTCTCTTTGTCTTTATATGTTTATTGCACAAAAGATAAATATGTATGCTCAATATGCTACACTTAATTTCCAGAATATTTTAAAACTTAAATCATATTACATTAATGCCCACCTCAACCATCCAATGTTTTCACATGACACTGAGAATAAAATCCTAAATCTCTATCATCGCCCACAAGGATCAGCCCCAGCCTAACTCTCTGAAGGCATCTCCTAACTCTCTGCCTTCACATGCCCCACTCCAGCCACATGGCCTTCTTGCTATTCTTTAAAATTGCCAAGTATGTTCCCACCTCAAGCCCTTTGGATTTGTTAGTTTCTCCTCCTTCAAATATTCCTGAGGCTTACTCCCTCACAAGATTCAGGTTTCTATTCAAAAGGCTCTCATGGAGAAATAAACTTGCTTGACCATTGTCTTGGTTTGGTTTCTTCCAAAACCAACTCTAAAACCAGAATTGGGTAGAAAGAGTCTATTTGGAAGGCAATCCCTGAAAGCAGAGTAAGGAAATAAGAAGATGAGGCAAGGAAGAGAAGAAAGCCAATTAAGAGTGTGCTGATAGGTGGGTCACTACTGTGGGCACCTGAGACTTCACACCACTGGAGACACTTAAGAACTATCACCAGCTCCATCTCTCACTAGTTGAAGAGATTGCTTCTGGGGACATTAGTTCCCAGTCTGCCCATGTGTTGTCAGAGCTGGTACTTGAGGCAGAGAACATAATAGGCTCCCAATGAACATTTGTTAAATGAATAAATGGAATGTGTAGAACTTTCTGGAGATACCAGGTAGAATACGTATAAAAAAGAAATCCAGAAAAAGATGTTAAAGCTTATTATTGATTTTTAAAAACTATCTACTTAGTAATTGAAATTAATGGTAAAAAAAAAAAAAAAACAGACAAACAAAAACAAGCTGGGCACGGTGGCTCATATCTGTAATCCAACAAGTTTAGGAGGTTGAGGCAGGAAGATTGCTTGAGGCCAGGAGTTCAAAACCAGTCCTGGCAACATAGCCAGACCCTATATCTACAAAAAAATTAGAAAGTTAGTCGGGCATGGCAGCATGCACCTGTAGCCCCAGCTACTCAGGAGACTCAGGCAGGAGGATTGCCTGAGCCCAGGAGTTGAGGCTGCAGTGAGCTATGATCACACCACTGCACTCCAGCCTGGGCAACAGAGTGAGACCATTTTTTTAAAGGGAAAAAAAAGAGAAAATAAGATAGAAGATAGTACTATAGAATGCTTCTGTTCGTTTTCGGTTTTTAAAAATATATTTATGTATAATATTATTTATGGTACGAATCCTCTGTCACAAAAAGGCTTCAAAATACAGTAGCTTAAATAAGATTCAAATGTATTTTCCTGTAATGTTACATCCAGATACAAGCAGTCTGAGACTGATAGGGCAGCTATCCTTGACATGATAATACCTATCTCTAGATTCAAAATAGCTGTTCCGCTCTCTCCACCCGCTAGCTAGTGAAAAGAGGGGAAAATTCTAGGGGAAAAAAAAATAGGCCCGTTCCTTGTTGTGTTTTTTTGAGACAGAGTCTGGTTCTGTCACCCAGGCTGGAGTGCAGTGGCGCAATCTCGGCTCACTGCAACCTCCACTTCCCAGGTTCAAAGTATTCTCCTGCCTCAGCCTCCTGAGTGGCTGGGACTACAGGCACGCACCACCACGCCCAGCTAATTTTTGTATTTTTTGTAGAGATGGGGTTTCACCACGTTGGCCAGGATGATCTTGATCTTGACCTCATGATCCGCCCTCCTTGGCCTCCCGAAGTGCTGAGATTACAGGTGTGAGCCACCGCGCCCAGCCAGGGCCTTTCCTTTTAAAGAAATAACCCAGAAGAGGCACGCATTATTTTTACTCATCCCATTGAGTAGAACAGTCTCATAGCCAAACCTAGATCCAAGGGAGCCTAGAAATGCAATCATTCACTAGATGTGCCTAGATAAAACTAGGGAGTCGATGCTTAAAGGAAGAATGGAGAATGGTGATTGGTGGGTAAGTAACAGTCTCTCTCACACATAAATATACTTGAACATAAACAATTTTGGAAGAATAAGAATTTCTGGGAAGTTAGAATGAACTCCCAGAGGTCTGGATTAGAGAATGGCTTACCTATTTGGTAAATCATTTTGTATTATTTGGAATAATTGCCGAGTATGTATATGCTACAGTTCGATGTTTTCTCCCCCAAAACTTTTGTTGAAATGTGGTCTCCTGTGTTGGAGGTGAGGCCTGATGAGAGATGTTTTGGGTCAGGAGGGTAGATCACTTATGAATGCCTTGATGCCATTCTTGAAGTAATGAGTAAGTTCTTCCTCTGTTAGTTCCCAAGAGTCGGTTGTTTAAAACAGCTTGGCACCTCCCCACCCCTTGCTTTCTCTCTCACCATGTGATCTCTCCCCTTCACCTTCTGCCATGAATGGTAGCAGCCTGAGGTTTTCACCAGATGCCCAATCTTACAGCCAGCAGAGTCGTGAACCAAATAAACCTTTTTGCTTTATAAATCACCCAGCCTCAGGTTTTCTTTTACAGCAACACAAATGCATTAAGACAGAATATTACTTTGGTGGCATTAAAAATTTATTCTCGCCACTGTCAGATGCATGATAAAAGTTTAGCTTTTTGTTTACCATAACTGGTCACACATTCTCTCCCCACTGAGTAGCAGGAAAAGGGATAAAATTTTAATTTTTGAATTATGGTATCTTTCTCTCTCAGACTCTCAAAAGAGTGCGAAAATTCAGTCTTTTTTGTTTTATTTTGTTTAAATGTCTACTTTCAAGTCACTCCCACCTTTAGAAACTTTTGCTGAGTGGCATGAAGCTACATGGATGGCGAGGGCTCATGTGCTCTCATGGCACTGTGGAAAGTGGCAGGTATACACTAGTGCTTGTCTTCAGATGTGTACTGCTCCTGAAGCGTGGTTGGTAAGGACCCATGTCAGACAATTTACTGTCTGTCACAGATTTTGGAGAAGAATGTTCAGGAGTGTGAAAGACACCCTGTCTCTGCACATTCACATTGTTCCACCTATTTATTCTGTCGGGGCTGCCCCATACAGCTCTCCCTGCAAAGTGGTTAACACTCAGCACACCAAAGGAATGGGGCAAACACCCCTCTGCCCTCAACATCCACTCACCAGAATAAATGTTCCCATGTCCTCAACTGATTTAGCACTTCTTTCCCCCAGGATTTCAGCATGAAGAGAAGCAGTCAAGACATGTGTATCTCATTGCTTTCTTACTCTCTCCCCTTATCATTCTCCTGGGGACAGAACAGACAGATTCAGGCTTTCTTCTTTCTTCCAATCCCTCTTTTCCCCTAGAATAGCAAACTTCATGGCCTAGCCATCATCCTTAGAGGCAGTACCATTTCAAAGCTGGGAAAAAATGCAACAACCTAAGTTCCCAGACCTGGTTCTTGGTATGTTAATGGGAGCTACACAATTGGAAATTCTTTTTCTTTCTCCACTAAGACTAGATTTCAAGATTATTATAAGAAATCCTTTTTGGTAGTTGGGAGTGGCACCACTGTATTTTTTTTTTTTTTTTACTTTTTATTTAAAATTTGCAAAACTACACAATAGTAAAGAAAAATTTTTAAATATGCATCATACAGATGCATATAATTGTTTCATCTATAACTCACCTTTTTCTGCTGGACTTTTTTTAAAAATAATTTCCACTTTTATTTTAGATTCGGGGGCACATGTGCAGTTTTGTTACATGAGTATATTGCATAACGCTGAGGTTTAGAGTATGATTAATCCCATGACCCAGCTTGTGAGCATGGTACCCATAGGTAGTTTTTCAGACCCTTGCTCTTTTCTCTTATTCCCCCCTCTAGTAGTCTCCAGTGTCTATTGTTGCCATCTTTATGTCCATGAGTACCCAGTGTTTAGCTCCTACTTATAAGTGAGAGTATATACTATTCAGTTTCCTGCTCCTACAATAATTCACTTAGGATAGTGGCCTCCAGCTGTATCCATGTTTCTGCAAAGGACATAATTTTGTCCTTTTCCATGTCTGCACAGTATTCTATGGTGTATATGTATGTACATTTTCTTTATCCAGTCCACCATTGATGGACACCTAGGTTGACTCTATCTCTTTGCTATTGTAAATAGTGCTGTGATGAACATATGAATACATGTGTCTTTTTGGTAGAATAATTTGCTTTTCTTTGAGAATATACCCAGTCATGAGATTGCTGGGTCAAATGGTAGTTCAATTTCTAGTCCTATCAGAAATCTCCAAATTGTTTTCCACAGTGGCTGAACTGATTGACATTCCCACCAACAGTGTATAAACATTCCCTTTTCTCTGCAGTCTCACCAGCATCTGTTATTTTTTGACTTCTTAGTAATAGCTATTTTGACTGGTGTGAGATGGTATTTCATTGTGGTTTTTTGATTTGCATGTCTCTGGTGATTAGTGATGTTGAGCATTTTTTCATACATTTGTTGGACACTTCCATGTCTTCTTTTGAGAAGTGTCTGTTCATGTCTTCTTTTGCTTGTTGAATTAAGTTCCTTCTAGATTCTGGATATTAGACCCTTTGTTGGATGCATAGTTTGTGAATATTTTGTCCTATTCTGTAGGTCCCAGCTACTTGGGAGTTTGAGGCAAGAGGATTGCTTAAGCCCAGAAGTTGGAGCTTCAGTGAACTATGAACAGCCACTGCATTCCAGCCTAGGTGACAGAGTGAGACCCTGTCTTTAAAATATATACATAGATAAAATTTAAAGATTCATGGTTTTCATAGTTAAATGCTTTGCATTAAAAAAATGCTTTTTTCATTTGGAAAAGTAAATATTATCTTATAATTATTTTCTTTCTTTAGTTCAACAACTGAAAAGTCTTTCACAGTTAAAACTGTCCTTATTTAGTGACAGATTTATAATTGACTCACATTTTTATTATTTTTAAAAGTATTTCAAAATTTAACTTTTTCTTTTGAATTTTCTAGTTGAAAATATAGTGCTTACGTTATCATAGTAAAGAATCAGAATATATTCACTGTATATATAATTATATTTTTAAAAAATAGATATAATGGGGTGTGGGTATAAACTAGAAGAAAAAACATTGTAATGTGATAACATCTGTAAAACTGAACCAACAATTTTCCCCCTTGAAGTTACCAGATAGTCTATAATGTAGCTATAGCAATCCTCTAGAGAAATAGTGTTTTTAAAACAGACAAAAATAGATCCTATAGATTTTCTTAATGTAATTTTCTGATCTTTTTCTTCCATCTGGTGGTCTCAAATTACAAATTATTTCCAATGTTTACTCAGTTACACAACTGTATACCAAGAGTTCCAGATGGCTTTTTACAACAAAGTTAAAGAAATGTTTCTGCTAAACACATTTTATGAAGGACTTCAAAAGACAAATGATGCAAATACATTTTGACAGAGAGACCTAACACTTTGGAATATGTAAATCTTTGTTCCTCTCTGGAGTATGTGGGAATGCTCTGTAACACTATTTAAATGATGACAAAATAATGTTGGGTATACAAACATAGTAGGGAATAAGAGAACTTGAATTCTAATCTCTCTTCTGCTCTAAATTGCTCTGCAATTTGAACAGTTTCTTAACCTATCTGAGCCTGTTGTCAGATGCAAAACCTGGAGAGCATGTTTCTCTCTCACATCACATTGCTGTTAGGCAAAGTTAAGGACTGCATTAATTAATGTTATTTTAACATTATTGGTTTTGAATCAGTAGCTAACCATCCAAAGAGAACTAGAATGTTAATTTGAAAAGTGTCTTATTAGCAGCAATATTAAAATGACCTAATTCAGTTGCACAAGTTTAATGGAAATTAGAATTGGAGAGAAAAGCAGCAAGTTCAAAAAGAAAGTAATAAAAAGAAGAAAATAAGTTGAAAAATACCACAGACTATTCAAAAGAAAGGCTCAGAGTTATTCAGAAATATTAGCTTTAATTAACCATAAAATGTATATACTAATTATCTATTAGGAAATTGTGCAGTGCAATAGGCTTGTCCAGATAATATCTACCCCTTCTAAGGATCTGCAAGCGAATTTTCTAAAATTCATGTATTCAAATAACTAATCTTTTGTAAAACAGTAATAATAATGCCACAGGTTTTTTGTTGTTCTTTTTTGTTTGTTTTTGTTTTGTTTTGTTTTGTTTTGTTTTGAGAGGGGGTTTCACTCTTGTTGCCCAGGCTGTAGTGCAATGGCACGATCTTGGCTCACTGCAACCTCCGCCTCCCGGGTTCAAGTGATTCCCCTGCCTCAGCCTCCCAAGTAGCTGGGATTACAGGCACGCACCACCACTCCCAGCTAATGTTTTGTAGTTTTAGTAGAGACAGGGTTTCGCCATATTGGTCAGGCAGGTCTCAAACTCCTGACCTCAGGTGATCCGCCCGCCTCGGCCTCCCGAAGTGCTGGGATTACAGGCGTGAGCCACCACGCCTAGCCCACAGTTTTTTTTAAAGTATTACTTAAAGTCTTACAAAAAGTGTTGCTATTGTAATCAGATTGAGAATGTGTTTTTGGAGGCTTAACAGGCATCTAGCATATTGCTGTCATTCTTTTACTAAGACAATATCATTAACAGTGGCTTAAGTTGATATGGTCTGCTATCTTTTTCTATTCATACATAAACATGCAGCCTTTTGTTCATGGATGCCCGTTCTGTTAGCCTGTTGTAAGATCCCAATTTATGTTCGTGGAACTGAATTGAGCTAACTATACAGATCTTTGACTACCACTTAGTACAGAGGCTTGTGCATAGAAAGCTATCCAGTTTAAATACGGGCCAAAAGTCCTGCAGAATTGCTGCTGCTTCTTGCAGACAATTATTTAAACATCGAATGCGTTTTAAATGGTGTATAACTTATAAGGCAAGAAATTTATAAGTAATACAATTTCTATAAAAGAGAAAATATCACTGTAAAAAATTTTTTTCTTCTACTTGTAGGAATCAGAAATGTCTCAAACTGAGTATAACCCACACAGTTACTATTGAGGAAAAAAATTCCAATTCTTAGGTACTTTAGAAAGAAATTAAAGGTGAAGATATTATATATCTAGAGAGTGTGTTTTGCATTACCTTTGTGCACCATTAAGCAACCCAAATTATTTTTGTCAACCAGTCAACATTTCAACCATATCTGGCTTCTTGGTGTTATCCAAATGTTTGTTTTTTTACATCATGTTGACTCCACAGCCACAGTAATTTTTAAACACTCGGTTCCTCTACCTTTGGACTTCAGGGCACTAATATATGGCAGGCATTTCAACAATGTTTTATATGACAGAAAAAGTATTCCACAGTGGTTTAATATGGAAAATTATAATAAACAGCTAGCATTTACTGAGCACTTATCTTGTGCCAGGCACTAGGTTTCACACGTATTATTTTATTTTACCCTCAGGGCAAAAAAGAAAACTGAGCGTTGGAGAGGTTAGGTAACTTATCCAAGGCCATAGGCTTAGTTAATAAATAAGCCGGGACTCAAATCCAGATCTAACTTAATCACTTATCTCTCAACACTCAACATCCTGTTATTGCAAGAGCAGTTCATTAAATGTTACAAGAAATTCAGTGTTTCAAGAATGCAGTACATGCTGACAAAGACATGGATACCATAGCTTCTTCATTCTTCTATAGATAACCATTATTTTATCTGTGTTCAGAGCTATAACTGAAGAAGTGGGAGAAGGAGGAAAAAGAAGGGGAAGAGAAAAACAGCAAGAACAAAATGAACAAGAACAGGAAGAAAGAAAGAAAAAATTAATTTAATATTTTTCCCTTGGAAAATAAAAGCTAAATTCCAAGAATATATCATTTGGATCATATTGGTTAGTTCTTAAGTTACTGTCTCTCTGATCTAAACCCATCCTTCTTTTCTTTATTTTGTAAAGTTGGGACAGAAACTTTGAGAATTGCGTTTCCCCTTTGTCAGTTAATTCCTGTTAAAATCTGCCAAAGACAGCTGCAGAAGAAGATTATAAAGCAGGAGGAAGACCAATATATTTTAGAAAGAAATAATATGGATAACAGCAGCAGTAGATAAACTGGGAAAAAAAAGAGGCAACAGAGAAATTCATTAAACAAATAAAATAAATCTTTAAAAATATTAATAAAATTTGAAAACTTCTGGCACAATTGATCAAGAAAAAAAGAGAAGCCACAAAAAAAATTGAACTGAATAAAAGGAATAGAGAAGTAGAGCTACAACAGAAATGAAGAAAGAATACTGAGGGTTTCTGCCTCAAGGAATGGCAGATAATTTATCTCTTATGAATACTCTGACTCCCAGTGGAAAATGGAATAGAGACAAAGTAGAAATGTGGGATTATTGGAACATATAATAAAGAAAACTTCCAACATAAACAAAATGGATTAGTATAATGAATCGTGAAAGAAGTCGGAACTTAAACATTGGAGGACAGAACACTACCATAGCTGCAGGTATTTCTGGGATGGCAAAATAAGGCTAGTTCTGGGAATATATAAAGAAAATGGAAATTGGAACCAAATGCTTCTTCAACATAAAAAGCCATTGCTAGGGTGAAGCTGACACAAACAGCCAGCTAACAGAAAGGAGCAAACAAAATTGGAAAATATTCAAAATACATAATGCATAGTGATAGTGCAAGTGTGTGCCAAACGTGCCCTCATACACTGTTTATGGTAATATTAATAGTATACAACCTTTCTGAAGGCAATGTGGCAATATGTTTCAATACCATAAAAATGTACATACTGTTTCATAAGGTGATCCACATTTGGTAGTTTGTTTAAAGACAAGATTCAGAGATGTGCCTCAAAATTTGCATTCCTAATGGTAATAAAATACATTCAACATGGGAATAGAGACCAAACAATTAAGCTGAGCAAGGATTATGCCCAAATCACCTCCTCCAGGAAGCCTTTCAGACAATCTATAAGGTGAAGTAGCTACCTCATCTGTGAGCTCCCATTGTCCCCTGCACTTCCCCCTAATTCACCACGCTTACAGTAGGCCATAAGGTGATGGTTTGATTATTTCTCTTATCCCCATCTGATGGTGTCTTTATCTCTGTATCTTCAGCACCTGCTCAAAGAAGGATTCAATAAATATTAATTGAATAAATTAAAGAAAAAAATAGGAAGAAAGGATACTTTTCATGAAAAAGGCATTGATCTGTAGACATGACAAATATGTGTAGGGATAAATTCATATTTCTTTTAATTAAAAAAAATCAATAGCCGAGTCTTCCACTTTATGAACAACGTAAGGCCTGTGCTGAGTTTCTTTCATTCACTTCGCCAGATCCACACCACACCCTTCTCCACCCTGGTCTGTGCTACAGGAAACTGACCTGCATGGACCGTGTCTACTGAATCCCTTGCCCTCTAGGTTCCATGAGGTTCTGTCAGTGGGAAGCCTGGTGGCAGATTGGGGTTGATAGGAGAATGAGGTAAGACTGTTAATTTCCTTGCTCCCTGCCTGCTGGGTCATTGTGAATCATTTGGTCTCTCTTTGGGAAGCTTCAGCTCTGGTTGGGCAGTTATCTCCAAACAGCCACCCACTCTGTGTTACAGTATCTGCTCTCTCCCCTTGCTTCTTCAGGCCTAGAAATAATACGGTCTCTCAGGCTGGGTGCAGTGGCTTACACCTGTAATCCCAGTACTTTGGGAGACCGAGGCAGACAGATCACTAGGTCAGGAGTTCGAAACCAGCCTGGCCAGCATGGTGAAACCTCATCTATACTAAAAGTACAAAAATTAGCCAGGCATGGTGGCACATGCCTGTAATCCCAGCTACTTGGGAGGCTGAGGCAGGAGAATTGTTTGACCCCGGGAGGCGGAGGTTGCAGTGAGCCGATATCGAACAACTGCCCTCCAGCCTGAGTGACAGAGTGAGACTTCTTCTCAAAAAAAAAAAAAAAAAAAAAAAAAGAAAAGAAAACAAAAAAGAAAAGAAAAGAAACGAAAAGAAAAGAAATAATACTGTCTCTCCATCTTGCTAGATCTGGCATAGTTGGGTTTTCTAAACTCTGCCTGCAGGTTTGTAAAAAAGTCCTCTTCTCAAATTACCTGGTTCGAATGGGCCCTCGGATTCTTGCCAGAACCCTGACTATTAAAAGGCCTTCATTCACAATTCTGAATAAGATCTTGAAAAGGGGACAAATTTTATGGTTGACCTTAGTATCCTCTAGTGTTTTTTTAATCCAAAGATATAATGATGAATATCAATAGGATCCTTTAAGGCAGTGTTAATTAGCAGAAATGTGCTAACAGTTTTACTATGGGCAAGCATTAATGCTTTTTAAAATCAATAATATAAACTATAGTTAGAAAATAGCATAAAACAAGCTGTTTCATAGCAGAAAAAAAGCTGTAAACCAGGAAAAACATTATCAGTTTTCTCTCCAAAGCAACGATGCAATTTAATCTTAAAATTCTAAAGAACAATAAATATTAAGAATCACTAGACAATAGGTGTCTCCATTATGCTATCCATTTTTATGTCCTATACTTTCAGTGTTTAGAACAGCACCTTGTACATGAGGACTGAGAAACTACTTATTCAACTAACTAATCAGGAAGCATACTGTAAACAAAACATAAAATATCATCTGTATAAAAAGGAAGATTTTACACTGAGAATATGAAGTGACAGTCTGGTTATTAATAAAGACATAAGTGACCAAAAGATCTAGAAAATAGTAAATACCCATAAATAAATACATAAAAATGATTGATATGTACATAGACTAAAACTATTGGACTTGTATGAAAACAGTAGATACCATTTGTTAAGTGAATACATCTATTAAGTACTTCACATATACTATTAATAGCTTCAATGCGCACATTCCTGTTACGTGGAGGTAATTAAGGAAGGCCTAGGAGGGGGTGATAGCTGTGTTAACCCAGAAAGAAGGAACAGGAATTGTCCAAGAAGATGAAAGGAGAAAGAAAGTTCCAGGTAGAACACCAACTTGTGCAAAATCACAGAGACAAGAGAGAAGGATGCATTTCAGGAACTTCAGACATTTCAGTCCTGAAGAAGGGGTGAAAGTTGCCAGGAGACAAAGCAGGATTTTATCATGAAGACCATGGGAAGCCATTATTTCTACATAGAAATATCATTATCTAACATTTGTTTTAGGCAAGTGTATGGCAAAGCAGTGTAAAGATGATTGTTATTAAGACTAAAATGAATAATAAGGGCAAGTAATAAATATACTGTAAAGCACAGACACTCGTTCTTATCTTTCTTAGGTTTTTGCTACGCTGCTTTTTGCACCCCTGCATTATTATACCAGTCTACATTCTAAGAAAAGTCACCTTTGGCTTTGTGCCCCCCAGTCAGCTGTTCAGTCTGTCCGGCAGATCCCCATTGGCGTTTATACCAACCAAATCTTTTGGAGTTGTACATCCTTTGCCTAATGCCCTAACAAGGCTCTACAGCACTCACTGGGACAAGAGCACCACCTTGTGTTGCATCACTGATTGTTCACAATTCTCAACATGCTTTGTTTTTGCTTGAGCTAGAGCTACTTGTGGCTGAGGCCTTTGAAGCTTCCTCCCAGGAGTAGCATAGAATAGAAAATTGTTAACAAATATTTTTCCAAATATAAAAAAAATGGAGCCCAAGCCCTTTTTTCAATACAGTAATAGTGCCAATGCCTAACATTAGTATATTGGTTACTACATGCTGGAAAATGCTTAGCTTATGTCCTCTGAACTCTTGCTATTTACTATTGTTTTTAACAGATTTATGCTTTAAAAAATGTTTTTAATACAACTCAAATTATGCTCTAGGAGCTAAAAGTCAGTTAAATGTAAACTTACCCTGTTCTGTCTTATAGAATCCCACAGTCAGTAAGTTTTTTAAAAGGATTCCAAGGAGTTCTTAGAAAGTACATTCCTTGATGTCTGCAAGCCTTTGCAAGCAGATCAACTATTTAAACTATTTTAAAAGAATTACTGTAGAAAGAAGTTTTCTTAAATTCCTGGAGAAGGAACATGCATAGATTCTTTCTGCCTCCTCCTCATTACACCACTCCACAGGCAGTTTTGCCTTACTTTTCTATTGTTCTGGCTTTATTTCTTTCTCATATTTATTGCAAAATAAGCTCCAAATAAGTAGAAGTTTATTAGTATTTTCTTAGAGCAGAAGCCAATATACCACCACTAAAAACACCACTGAACACACATGATGAACATGCAATACAAATTGAAAAGTCCATTAATGTATTATTGTTCCCATTTCAAGATGGGAAACTGAAGCTGAGGGAGGATTATAGAAGTTCATACATCTAGTAAGTGGTACAGTCATTTCAAATCCAGGTCTCTTGGACTCAGCACTTGTGACCAAAACCATTATGCTTTATTGTCTCTAACCATAGCATTCCAAATCATAAGCACATATTAATACCAAACATCTGTTAAGTATAATCCAAACAAATTATGTGCAAATGTCAAAACTGATACAAATTTGGAAAAAAGTTGATCATTCAAAACTTACTGCAAAACTACAGTAACCAAGGTGGCTGGCAAGATGGCCAGCTAAGAACAGCTCCAGTCTGCAGCTCCCAGAAAGATCAATGCAGAAAGTGGGTGATTTCTGCATTTCCAACTGAGGTACCCAGCTCATCTCATTGGGACTAGTTAAACAGTGGGTGCAGCCCACGGAGGGCGAGCTGAAGCAGGGTGGGCCGTCGCCTCACCTGGGAAGTGCAAGGGGTCAGAGAACTCCCTTGGAACTGGGTAACAGGCAGAGGCTGGAACAGTTTGGAGGACTCAGAAGACAGAAAAGTGTGGGAAAGTTTGAAACTCCTAGAGATTTGTTGAATGGCTTTGACAAAAATGCTGATGATGATATGAACAGTAAGGTCCAGGCTGAGTTGGTTGCAGATGGAGATGAGGAACTTATTGGAAACTGGAGCAAAAGTGACTCTCGTTAGGTTTTAGCAAAGAGACTGGCGGAATTTTGCCCCTGCCCTAGAGATTTGTGGGACTTTGAACTTGAGACAGATGATTTAGAGTATCTTGCAGAATAAATTTCTAAGCAGCATAGCATTCTACAGATGACTTGGATGCTGTTAGAAGCATTCAGTTTTAAAAGGGAAACAGAGCTTAAAAGTTTGAAAAATTTGCAGCCTAACAATGCAATAGAAAAGAAAATCTCATTTTCTGAGGAGAAATTCAAGCCAGCTGCAGAAATTTGCATAAGTAACGAGAAGCCAAATATTAATCTCCAAGACAATGGGGAGAATGTCTCCAGGGCATGTCAGAGACCTTTGCAGGAGCTTCTCCCATCACAGACCTGGAGGTTTAGGAGGAAAAAAATGGTTTCATGGGCAGGGCCCAGGGTCCCTGTGCTACGTGTAGTCTAGGGACTTGGTGCCCTGCGTCCCAGCTGCTCCAGTCATGGCTGAAATGGCCAACACAGAGCTCGAGCCATGTCTTCAGAGGGTGCAAGCCCCAAGCATTAGCAGCCTCCACATGCTGCTGAGCCTGCAGGTTCACAGAAGTCAAGAATTGGGGTTTGGGAACCTCCGCCTAGATTTCAGAAGATGTATGGGAATGCCTGAATGGCCAGGCAGAAGTTTGCTGCAGGGACAGGGCTCTCATGGAGAACCTCTGCTAGGACAGTGCAGAAGGGAAATGTGGGGTTGGCTCTCTGCGTGGGGTTGGGCCCTCTTGCATCAGTGTGACCTGGATGTGAGACCTGGAGTCAAAGGAGATTATTTTGGAGCTTTAAAATTTGACTGCCCCACTGGATTTTGGACTTGCATGGGCCCTGTAACTGTTTTGTTTTGGCCAATTTCTCCCATTTGGAACAACTGTATTTACCCAATACCTGTACCCCCATTGTATCTAGGAAGTAACTAGCTTGCTTTTGATTTTACAGGCTCATAGGCAGAAGGGACTTGTCTTGTCTCAGATGAGACTTTTTACTGTGGACTTCTGGGTTAATGCTAAAATGAGTTAAGACTTTGGGGGACTGTTGGGAAGGCGTGATTAGTTTTGAAATGTGAGGACATGAGATTTGGAGGGGCCAGGGGTGGAATGATATGGTTTGGCTCTGTGTCCCCACCCAAATCTCATCTTGAATTGTAATCCCATAATTCCCACATGCGGTGAGAGGGACCCAGTGGAAGATAATTTGAATCATGGGGGCAGTTTCTCCCATACTGTTCTTGTGGTAGGTTAATAAGTCTCATGAGATCTGATGGTTTTATCAGGATTTCCCCTTTTACATCTTTGTCATTTTTCTCTTGCCGCCACCATGTAAGAAGTGCCTTTTATCCCTCGCCATGATTCTGAGGCCTCCCCAGCCATGTGGAACTGTAAGTTCCTAATTAAACCTCTTTTTCTTCCCAGTCTCAGGTATGTCTTTATCAGCAGCATGAAAATGGACTAATACAATAGCCCAATTTAAAAATGGGCAAAGGAAGTGAATAGATAGTTCTCCAAAAAGGATATACAAATGGTCAATAAGCACTTGAAAAGATGATCAACATTATTAGCCACCAGGGAAATGAAAATCAAAACCACCAGATGTCATTTCACACCCAATAAGATGACTACCTGAAAAAAGATAGACAATAACAAATGTTAGCAAGAATGTGGAGATATTCAAATTCTCATATATTGCTCATGGGACTGTAAAATGGTGGTAGCCACTTTGGAAAATAGTCTGACAGTTTCTCAAAGGGTTAAACAGAGTTACCACATGATCCAGCAATTCCACTCCTAGGTATATACCCAAGAAAAATAAAAACGTATCTACACAAAAACGCACACACAAATGTTCATAGCAGCAGTATTCATAATAGCATAAAAGAGAAACCACCCAAATGTCCATCAATTGATGAACGGATAAACAAAATGTAGTATATTTATACAATGAAATATTGTTTAATAATAAAAAGAAATGAAGTAATGATACATGCCACTACATGCATAAACCTTGAAAACACGTTAAGTGAAAAACCTATCACAAAGGACCACATATTCCATGATTTCATTTATATGAATTTTCAAGAGTGGGAAAATTACAGAAAGTAGATTGGCAGTTGCCTGATGCTGGAGAGGAAAAGGAGATTGTAGGGTGATGGCTAGGGAATGTGGGTTTTTTGGAGGGGGTAATGACAATGTACTAAAATTGTGTTGATGGATGCATAACTCTGTGAATATACTAAAAACCCTTGAATTGTACACTTTAAGTGGGTGAATCATATGGCATGTGAATTATATCTTTAAAAACCATAATAAATTTACTTGTGATGGTCATTCAGGAATATTTTACTTTGCACACAGAAGCACAGGGGCATGTGATGATGCCGAGACAAAATCTTAGGTCAGACATAAATATGAAAACTGCAAGTCTCTAAAGCCTCATGTAGCTGCTCCTCAGAAACATATTTAAGACATAATTGGTTTCAAAAACAAGAAAGTTAGTGAACAAACAAAAGAAAAGCATATAAAGTAGTAAAACTGCTGCAAAGATTACCTTGATGATATTAAAGACATAAGTTCATGGGAATAAGTCACTGCCATAGGCAAAGAGAACTTACTTTCAGGTTCTCTTTGCTACAGTGAGCAGAGAGAAAAATGAATCAATGTTCTTGTGCCATAAATGAAGTATGGATAAACTTAGACACTTTTTAGCTTCTTTAACCAGGCTTAAAATGACAAAAAGCAATATATAGTCAAAACATTACTTCTGGAGAAGCCCTACTCTTGAATTTATCTTTGGAAATTAAGAATTGCCAAGGAATATTGCCATTTGGGGGTAGGCATGCAATATTGTAATAATTAATTTCTTTTGAAAAATATCCATTTTTACTTAGAAGAACCATTCAGTAATTCAAGGCAGAAATTTCTTTTTAATATTTAATTTTAATTTTTGTGGGTACATAGTAAGTGTATACAATTATGGGGTACATGAGATGTTTTAATGCAGGCATGCAATGTTTAATAATCACATCATGTAAAATGGGGTATCCATCCCCTCAAGAATTTATCCTTTGTGTTATAAACAATCCAATTATATTCTTTTTATTATTTTTAATGTACTATCGAGTTATTATTGACTATAAAAAGTGACCCTATTGTGCTATCGATTACTAGGTCTAACTCTTTCTATTTTTTCTGTACCCATTAACCATTGTCCCCAGCCCCCCACTACTTTTCCCAGCCTCTGGTAACCATCCTTCTACTCTCTATGTCCGTGAATTCAATTGTTTTGATTCTTAGATCCCACAAATAAATCAGAACATGTGAAGTTTGTCTTTTCTGTGCCTGGCTTATTTCACTTGGCATAATGACCTCCAGTTCCATCCATGTTGTGGCAAATGACAGGATCCCATTCTTTTTATGACTCAGTAGTACTCCATTGTGTATAAGCACCACACTTTATCCATTCATCTGTTGATGGACACTTACATTGCTTTTAAATTTGGGCTATTGTGAACAGTGCTGCAACAAATATGGGAGTGCAGATATCTCTTCGATATACTGTTTTCCTTTCTTTTGGGTATATACCCAGCAGTGGGATTTCTGGATCATATGGTAGCTCAATTTTTGGTTTTTTGAGGAACCTTCAAACTGTTTTCCATAGTGGTTGTACTAATTTACATTCCCACCAATAGTGTACAAGGGTTTCCTTTTCTTCACCTCTTCGACAGCATTTGTTACTGTCAAGGCAAAAATTTCAAGGAATGTTGTGCATACATATTTAGGTCAATTTCTTCAACATAAATTTTATTCTTATGTTTTATTTTAAAGTTGCTTTACAATTTATTTCTATAATGTCTATATATATTACTTATATGTTTATGAATTTTAGACGAAATTTTAATTGGAAATTATTACTTTTAAAATTTTATTGATGAATTCAATTATTGATGACTTCATATACTAACCAGGTCTTGCAAAATTATGATGCAGTAACAAAAATCCATCCTCTCAGGGATTACAACAACAAATATCTTGTTACTTTACATGTCAGTGGGAGGTTGCCTGTGTGTTCCACCTTCTTTTCCATTTGTGATTTAGGTAGAGTAGCAGTCTTCATGTGGAGCTTTGTCATTGTTGTGGCAGTGGGAAAAGAGAAGGCAGAGCCACAGATGGCCCTTAGTGCTGCTGGTCAGTAATAGCAGACATCATTTCTGCTTAGAGTCCATTAGCTAAAGCAAGTCATTTAGCAAAGCCTGACATCGCTAAACCTCTGAAGTGCACAGAAAAAAACACCATTGGTCGGTGAAGCCTGCCATCACAGAATGGAGAATTATCAGCCTTTCACAGGATAAACGGCAAACATGTAAAAACAGTAATCTGTCATCACCATGAATAACAGAGTCTGAAGGAAACATTAGAGATAATCTAATTCAATCTCACAAGTTTATAGATGAGAAATCAGAGGCCTAGAAAGGGAAAGTGATTTACTATAACTAATCAGGATGAAATATCTGACAGTCTCACACCATAGTAGAATTCACCTTTTTGTTTATAGGAACAATTGATAAGTGAAAAAGTAATACGGTAGGCCAACTTAACTATGTATCTGCACACACATCAAAACATACAAACATACATATACAGCAAGAGTAATAATTTTCAGCCAGCAAATTCATATTTATGCTACTAACTGATAAATATCATGTATATCTAACAAGGTACTTAGAAAAAGAGAAATTACTCCTGTTTATTTTTGGAAACACTACAAATCAAGCCTTGATTTCTTGTTTTGATAATAGACAAGAAAAGCATGGAGAAAATGTTAATAATGCAGATTAAAGTGTGTCATGTTATGTCATATTGTAAGTAGCACCAAAAAATTGGAGAAATATTCTCCCAGTATTTGAAAACTCACCTAATTCAGCAAAAAAGTCACACACATAATTGACAAACAAGTGATGTTTTAACATCAGTCTTTTCTTTTTCACTTCGTTCTTACTAGTTAATGTAAACAAATGTTATCAACCAACATTCATGATTAACCACATCATGTTCATCAACTACAACCATAGGGAAACTATGGATACAGGAGGCTGGTAAAAAAAAAAAAAAAAACTCAAAAAGAATTCTGTGAGAATCAATTGGCTATATTAAAAGCACTATATATTTTATTATTATTTCTAAGTTGTGCTACACATTGTATGTATCAATAAACTTTATAATAAACATATACATACATGCATACTTTTTTTAGAAAGCTGCTTGTTAAACATTTACCAGTAAGCACTACGAATAGAGATATTCATCAAATATCTCTCAAAGTTTCTGATATTATCAATGTCTACAGGAGCAATGAGGAAATAAAAGCTTTCACTATTTATCGATGCTTTTATGTTCATGCATTTAAGTACCTACAAAGTGTAAGGACCTGTTTCTAATTGCTGTGTTAAATACAAAGATGTAGTCTCCTCAAGGAGTTAAAAATACAACAGAGGAAATAATTGACATAAACCTTACTATAATGCGAAGCAGTATGAGCAACACCACCCCCACCACAGACACACACAAAAAGTAGGAAACATAGTAACAAAGTAACGTGCCAGTGCACTTTAGTAAGAAATGTCAAATCTGGAATTAGAAATGGTTTACATACATTCCTAAACACTCTAAAAGTTTTACTACAAACTAATAATTAGAATAGTGTTTGTCATAGTGCTTTGTGCATAGCAAATTATCAACATTATGTCATCAACATTATGTCTCTTGAATTGTACTAAAGGTAAATCTGGCTGGGCACAATGGTTCATGCTTGTAATCCCAGCATTTTGGGATCTGAGGCAGGTGGATCACTTGAGGTCAGGAGTTAGAGACCAGCCTGGCCAACATGGAGAAACCCCGTCTCTACTAAAAATACAAAAATTAGCTGGGCGTGGTGGTGTGTGCCTATAAAATCCCAGCTACTAGGGAGGCTGAGGCACAAGAATCGCTTGAACCTGGGAAGGTGGAGGTTGCAGTGAGCCGAGATCACCACACTGCACTCCAGCCTAGGCGACAGAGTAAGATGCTGTCTCAAAAATAAATAAATAAATAAAAATAAAATAAAAGGAAAGGAAAGGAAGAGAAAAAGAAAAAGAAAAGAAAAAACTGGCAAGGATTGGGTCAAAGAAGAGGCCCTCTGATTAGGCAAAAAAAAAAGTAGCAAGGAGGGAAGGATACATTCTAATAGACACAACTGCAGTGAGATAGTGAGGCCACAGATGGCATTTGGCATCCTCAGAAGCTCTTGAAACTTGGCTCTTGCTTGAACAGTCTCCTCAAAGGAACTGAGTTGAGGGCAAAGGAAGAAAGAACTCAATATATTCTGGTTCTGCATTTCGAGTTACTAAAGACAAACTCCAGGCTTCTTTCTGGGGGTTTTGGTTTCATATGCTTCCTGAGGTCTCAGGGGCCTCACTGACTCTCACCTTAATATATTCTCACCTCTTGCAGATACTTTTAAAACTCACAAAGAGGCCGGGCGCGGTGGCTCACACCTGTAATCCCAGCACTTTGGGAGGCCGAGGCGGGCAGATCACGAGGTCAGGATATCGAGACCATCCTGGCTAACATGGTGAAACCCCATCTCTACTAAAAATAGAAAAATTAGCTGGGCGTGGTGGCGGGCACCTGTAGTCCCAGCTACTCAGGAGGCTGAGGCAGGAGAATGGTGTGAACCCTGAGGCGGAGCTTGCAGTGAGCTGAGATCGCGCCACTCCACTCCAGCCTGGGAGACACAGTGAGACTCCATGTCAAAAAAATAATAATAAAATAAAAAATAAAACTCACAAAGAATAGAATTTAAACGCAGATAGATGATTAAAATGCAAATTAGCTTCAGATTAAATGTAATCAGACAGCAAGTGAGTATCAATGATAGATTCTCAGATTTTTCCTGGTTTTGGTGACATTAATAAAGAGAAGAAAGCTTAAAGAACTCAAAGAAAGGAAAACACTGCAAAAAGAATAATCTAGGAATGAGACAAAACTCTGAGCCATCACGTCTTTGACCCTGAAAAAAACTGTAGTCTAAGATATTTTGTGACATAACAGCAATGACAGCTGAGGTTGTATGCAAGTTTTTGTTTTGTATCATTTTTCTAAACTGAGAAACTTAACTGAGGTATCAAAATACATAGATTGATTTCATTTCCTTTGTTGCCACATCAGAATAATTTATCTATTGTTTTATTTAATAATGTGGTACACAAAAATAAGATACAGTATCTACAATCTACTGATTTTGAAAGTCTAACTTATATAGTTGGTTAGCTCAGTTTTTTAGAGTGTGGTGTTAATAAATGATTAATTTACATAAACAAAAGAATTTTTTAACTTGTGAAAATGAACAATAAAAATGACAGTTAAAAATAAAGTAAACTACCGTATACTAAAACCTGGGGGTGGGGGGGTGCACCCAGAGTACATCTAGAGTAGCAGTCCCCAATGTTTTTGGCACCAGGGACTGGTTTTGTGGAAGACAAGTTTTCTATGGACCAGGGTCAGGGGTGTGGTTTTGGGATGATTCAAGCACGTTACATTTATTGTGCACTTTATTTCATTATTATTACATTGTAATATATAATTAAATAAGTATACAACTCATCATAATGTAGAATCAGTATGAGCCCTGAGCTTGTTTTCCTGCAACTAGACAGTCCCATCTGGGAGTGATGGGAGACAGTGACAGTTCATCAGGCATTAGATTCTCATAAAGAGTACACAACCTAAATCCCTCACATGCGCAGTTCACAATAGGATTTGTGCTCCTGTGAGAATCTAATGCTGCCACTGATCTGACAGGAGGTGGAGCTCAGGTGGTAATGCAAGTGATGGGGAGCGGCTATAAATACAGATGATGCTTCACTCACTCTCCTGCCACTCACCTCCTGCTGTGAGAAATGGTTCCTAACAGGCCATGGACCAATAGTGGAACCCCTGATATAGAAGAAAATTTAAAGTCTTAACTGCATTTAAGGGAAGTATGAGGCAGGGGAAGGAGAACTACATTTGTTAAGTAAGTATACAAATTAGAGAGTGAGAAAACCCAACAAAGTAGCAGACAGAAAATAATAAAGCTACACCCAGAAACTGAAGAAATAGCAAACAAGCAGCAGAAAAGAATAGAGAATCTGGGCCAGGCACAGTGGCTCACGCCTGTAATCCCAGCACTTTGGGAGGCCGAGGTGAGCAGATCACCTGAGGTCAGGAGTTTAAGACCAGCCTGGCCAACATGGTGAAACCCCATCTCTACTAAAAATACAAAAAAAAAATTAGCCAGGCGTGGTGGTAGGTGCCTGTAATTCCAGCTACTCAGGAGGCTGAGGCAGGAGAATTGCTTGAACCCGGGAGGCGGGGGTTGCAGTGAGCCGAGATCACGCCATTGCACTCCAGCCTGGGCAACGAGAGCGAAACTCCGTCTCAAAAAAATAAAAAATAAAAGAATAGAGAATCTTAAAGCTAGCGTTCAAAAAGTTTAACAAAATAAGTAAGCTGTTAGCAATCAAGGCAAAAAAAGGATAAAAGAAAGAAGTCACAAAAATAAGCAATATTAGGTCCGAGCACAGTGGCTCATGCCTCTAATCCCAGCACTTTGGGAGGCCGAGGTGGGAAGATCACCTGAGGTCAGGTGAAACCTGTCTCTACTAAAAATATAAAAATTAGCCAGGTGTGGTGGCACACCCCTGTAATCCCAGCTACTAGGGAGGTTGAGGCAGGAGGATCACTTGAACCTGGGAGGCTGAGGTTGTAGTGAGCCGAGATTGCACCACTGCACTCCAGCCTGGGTGACAGAGCGAGACTCTGTCTCAAAAAAGAAAAAGAAAAAAAAAAAGCAGTATTAGGAATGAAAAGGGGAGCCTAAGCAGAAATAAGGAAATCCTTAAAATCATAAAATAATAGTGTAAGTTTTAGTCCATACTTTTCATTTTTACATATTTTATTTTGTTAATTTCAAAAGATGGTACATTCCCATGGGTTAAATTTAAACTACTCCAAATGATTATACTAAAAACTTTTTCTCATCTCTCCTCCAACTACCCAATATCTCTCTCAAAGGCAGTCCAATGGTTTCATTAACTCATGAGTACTTCCAAAGACATTTTATTCATTTATAGGTTAATACAAATATGACTTCTCTTACCACCTTTCTCACAAATAAAATAACTGGTAGGTTTTAAAGATTCTCCTGGACAAAAATGTATAGGTATACTTCACAAAACTTTCAAGAAAAAGATAATTTGTATCTCATACAAGTTGCTTCAGGTAATAGAAAAATGAAGGAGCTTCCACATAGCTGAACACGTGGAGGTTCAGAGGGTGGCTCATACCTTGCTTCCCCCATACCTCGCCCTACGCCTTTCTTCATCAATATCCTTTATAATAAACTAGTAAACACAGTGTTTTCCTGAGTTCTGTGAGCTTCTTCAGCAAATTAGTCAAACCCAATGACGGGGTCACAGGAACCCCAACCTGAAGCCGGTCAGTCAGAAGTTCCATAGGCCGGGACTTGGGACTGGTGGGTAGGGGGCAGTCTTGGAGACTGAGGCCTCAACCTGTGGGATCTGACATTATCTCTGGGTAAAGAGTGTCAGAACTGAATTAGAGGACACCCAGCTGGTGTCCACTGCTTGATATGTAGGAAAACCCTCCACACAATTGGTCACAGAAGTCTCCTGTTTTGACGATTGTTGTGGTGTGAGAGTAAAGGAAAAGCACAGTTTGAGGAGAGTATTCCCTACACATATTGGTGTCAGTAAAATGGAATTTGCTCGAATTGTCTTTGACTCATGGAAACATGTGGTTTGGGAAGAGAAAGGATAAAAGGGTGGGGGATGAGGAACTTTTGATTCCTGAGTGGCCATGTGGTCACCTGTCATATGAAGCCAGTAGCTGTACTGAGATCAGTTACTAAAGGTGAACGTTACCAGTGGAATCTCGAGATGGATTCAACTCCCCAGGAACTGGTTCAGTGGTGGATGCCTAAGAAAATGCAAACTAATAAGAGATAAAGCAAAATATTCAATCCCTTGGTTACTATTATCTATCCTGGCTAAAATGAAAGTAAAAGAAGGTGCTGGTTCAGGACTCCAGGCTGGACTAAGCTCAGATGTAGGTCTGTCTGAGCACAGGCCACTAGCCTCAAAGTCACCCACAAAAGAGAAAATTGTGCAGTGACAACAGAAAGTAGCCCTGAAACCTATGATTACCAATAACATAATCAAACGCAAAACCAGGTAACAGTTGAAACCAGAGGATATAATGTGAAGGAATTGTTCCATTTTGTAGATTGATATCAACTTCCTGAGAAACTTTTACTAAAATGGACTATGAGAGTATCAAATTTAGGGGCAGTAGCTTTGATTTTAAATGCTGCAGAGTGGAATAGCATGTCTGGGTTTATGTAAGACCCACAACTCACCATTGAACAATCGCAGATGGGTGTATACAATCCAGATACACAGGAGGTAATTCCTCAGTGAATAGCCAGCCTGGTGGACTGGATAAAATCCACTGTAACGTCTGTTTACCCTGAAAAGGGGAACTGTCCAACTCTACCTATAAATGCCAAGTGGAGCACCCCAGATGAGGCAGTTGATATGTTTTTTATGTAAGCCATGTGGGACTGGCTTTATGATGACGGGGATATTCACCACTGAATATGCCCATTACGCAGGTTATGGTAAATGTTGTGGTTAAAGAGGCCCCTTCTACCTGGGCATCCCACATGACATTACTCCTGCAGAAGAGGGCCCCTTAAAATCATTACCTGGTTTTATTATGGGAATGAACATTGTATCTGATTGGGGAATGTTTCCCCTACCTGGTACTGTAAAACAGAAGGCATGTAAGTCAAACAATATTTCTAGAAGCCTTATCAAATTTTCTGTCTCAGTTTCCGCTCATGGGTCTTACAGATGCTAATAAAAACATTAGGTTAATTAGACCAGGCACAGTGGCTCACACCTATAATCCCAGCACTTTGGGAGGCCAAGGCAGGTGGATCACTTGAGGTCAGGAGTTCTAGACCAGCCTAGACAACATGGCAAAACTCTGTCTCTACCAAAAAATACAAAAAAAAAAAAAAAAAAAAATTAGCTGACCATCGTGGCACATGCCTGTAATCCCAGTTACTCAGGATGCTGAGGCACAAGAATCTATTGAACTTGGGAGATGGAGGTTGCAGTGAGCCGAGATTGTGCCACTGCACTCCAGCCTGGGTGACAGAATGAGACTGTCTCAAAAAAGAAAAAAAAATTAGGTTAATTAATAAGAGAATGGTGAAAGGCAAAAGGGAGAGTCAAAGGACTCATCCCAGGAAGGTGGAAATTTTTAAAAGGTTATTAAGAAATAAGGTGAATAAAAAAAACATTGATGAGGTGAAACTAGAAGAAAAAGAAAGGGGAGAGTCATGGGACTCATCCCAGCAGGGTGGAAATCTTTAGACGGTTATTAAGAAATGGAAATGAGTAAGATGGAAATTGATGGGGTTATAACAAAGGTCTTAATATAATACTATCGAAGACTGGGTGGGCCAAAGGGAACCCCTTCTGGACCCCCAACACTAAAAGGCCCCAAACCAGTTTGAAGAAACTCAAAAAGCTAGAAGGCAGAGGTTACAATAAAAAATCTGATCTGAAACTGCCGGTGGCAATAATTGGGCAGAGTAATCAAGACAAATGTTGACAAAAGGGCCAGGGTCCTTTGGCTTAATCCTTGGCTGGGGATTTTTGCACAAAGCTTTTTGCACACAAGAAGGTAAAATAGTCTGAAGGTGGAGAAGCTACTGAAACTAGAAAATTAAAAATGCAAAAGTTGATGGGCTTCTGAAAGTTGATGTATTTGAACATTGTATCTGATTAGATGTTTCCCCCACCTGGTACTGTAAAACAGATGGCATGTAAATCTGCCCTTCAAGCAGTATTAATTGGACATGCTAAATGAGAACCAGTAAAACTTTCAAAGTCTGCACAGTACAGAGTAGAAGCTAGAGTGACAGTAGGGATAAATTCTTCCCTTGATAACCTTCTGTGAAGCATTCCCTAGGCCTTATGGCAAAAGCCTCCGAGCACCTCCCAGCAAAATCTACTGGGACTTTGGACTAGAGAATTTCCACTTGAGAGGGCTTGCTATGAAATGTTAGCTGAAGCTACCCCTGTGACACCTGAGATACCCATGTTGTCTTGGGTGGTGTCAGAGAAATAGTCTAATGGGGATGGTAGTGCCCAGGAGAGTTCCATAATAAAATGGACATGGTTTATAGAGGATCATGCTACCCGGGAAATGCCAGGAAGGGATACTCTTGAGCAGGGTGTTTCCTTTCCCCTAAGACTGAATCTGGAACTGTGTGAGAAACTGCTGGATTCTACAGTGCCTGATAAACAGCTCTCGATTGACTAACCAACAGCCACTTGGTTTGTGGATGCAATTCCAGGGTAAATGGACACCACCTATTTGGAAGGCAGCTACTTTGGTCAAGAAGGTAAAAACAGGTCTGCTCAGTGGGCTGAATTGCATGCTGTTTTTCTAACAGTGATGGAAGAATTGATCAGTGGTAAAAACCCCTGAGTTTGGGTGTTTACTGACCCATGGCCAGTGACCCATGGCCTGGCCATTACACTCAGGCAAGATGGCCATGGAAATCTGGCCTATTAAATGGATGCACATATGGAGGATGGTCCTGTGGAGAATTTGAGGGGTGTATTAAAGAAGAACAAGTCAATGCTCATCTGAAGAACTCCCTTCCAGGTTCAGAAAGTGACCGGAATCGACAAGCAGATATCCCCATGTACTCCCTTGAAGTGGCCACCTGGGTCCTTGAAATGAGTGGATATGGGGGTATTGTAACAGAGCAGAGACGGGCTGAATGTAGACATGTTTCTTTTGCACCTTCTCAGGCACAAAATGCCAGAAAGAACTGTTGTTTCTCAGCAAGAGAGACAGTGACTGCTGATGGCTATGGGACAGATTCTCTGTTGGGAAGGCCCTGAACATAGCTGGAAAGTGAGACAGATGCTAGTAGCCCTGGGGGACTACAAATGAGTCTTGACAGGAATAGACACTGGCTATGGAGTGGGCTTTGCGTATCCAACTGAAGACGAAAATGCTCCAAGTGCCATTAAAAAAAAAAAAAACCGAATAGAATATATTGCATGGATATGGATGGCTAGCCATCATTTTCCAAGACCAAGGAATACACTGTATAGCCTATAATATCCAACAATAGGCACAGATCCTCCTTAGAGTAATAGTTTGATAGAGAAGTAGAGCAAGCAATGGAAACACTGGTTGTCTAAATCAGGGGGAAATAAAAGCATGAAGAGCTGACTTACACACCTTCAAGAGTCTGCTCACACTCATGGTCAGTAGGACTAGAGTGTCCCTGCTAGATTTTTTTCTGTTTTTCTGGTGATCTGGGGAAGAGGGGCCGGGGAGCATGCTGGTATGACTATGCAGTTCTTGCCAAGCGAGGCATATACTGATACAATGACTATAATTTTTTCTTTCTTCCCCAAATCACCTCAGAAAAAATAAAAAATATTTTTTCTCCCTACCTGATGCAGTGGTCCTAGTGTGTCTGGAATTGGATCCTTCCAGTGTGTTCTTGGTCTCACTGAGTTCAAGAATGAAGCTGCGGACCCTCGCGGTGAGTGTTACAGTTCTTAAAGATGGTGTATCCGGAATTCGTTCCTTCAGATGTTCAGATGTGTCCAGAGTTTCTTCCTTCTGGTGGGTTCGTGGTCTCACTTGACTTCAGGTGTGAGGCTGCAGACCTTTACAGTGAGTGTTACAGCTCTAAAAGGTGGAGCGTCGGGAGTTGTTTGTTCCTCCCGGTGGGTTCGTGGTGTCACTGACTTCAGGAGTGAAGCCTCAGACCTTCCTAGTAAGTTTTACAGCTCATAAAGGTAGTGTGGACGAAAAGACTGAGCAGCAGCAAGATTTATTGTGAAGAGCAGAAGAACAAATCCTCCAAGGTATGTAAGGTGACCCCATCAGGTTGCAGCTGCTGGCTCGGGTGGCCAGCTTTTATTCCCTTATTTGGCCCCGCCCACATCCTGCTGATTGGTCCATTTTACAGAGTGCTGATTGGTCCGTTTTTACAGAGTGCTGATTGGTGCGTTTACAATCCTTTAGCTAGACAGAACAGTTCTCCAAGTCCCCACCAGACTCAGAAGCCCAGCTGGATTCACCTCTCACTAGGACCAGAACTGCCACTGCAAGTGGTGGAACAGCAGGGAAATTTCTGAGCAAAAACTGTAACTATGTTTTTAACCTTCTGTCAAAATTCCTAAGGGCACATGGGTGAGTTGTGCCTTCTCTCCATCTACCAAAACTGGGGCTAACAGTGAATGCAGCTATATTGCCTGGTAGTAAAAATAGCTCACTCATTCTGCACCTACATAACATTACCCTGTCTGAATGCCTGTGGACTGAGGAGCAGCTGCTTGCTGCACTTGTATTGCTACCTGCAATAAAGACCCCAGCACAGTGGTGATTCTAATGTTCCTTCCAAAGGTGAAAAAGTTTGGATATTAATGGAAAGAAAGAGAAATTGTAGCAGATAGTAAAGAAATAAATATATGGGTTATTTATTAAGGAAAATTCAATATTACATTAACAATTCAAGACTCTCAGAGCAAGAAGATATTGTCTCTTAGATCAGTTATCCCAGATGCCTGAATGGGTGAAGCTGTATCTTGTTTTTTTTTTTTCCTATCCAATGAGTATTTTTTTTTAATTATACTTTAAGATTTAGGGTACATGTGCACAACGTGTAGGTTTGTTACATATGTATACATGTACCATGTTGGTGTGCTGCACCCATTAACTCATCATTTACATTAGGTATATCTCCTAATGCTATCCCTCCCTCCTCCCCCCACCCCACAACAGGCCCCAGTGTGTGATGTTCCCCTTCCTGTGTCCAGTTGTTCTCATTGTTCAATTCCCACCTATGAGTGAGAACATGCGGTGTTTGGTTTTTTGTCCTTGTGATAGTTTGCTGAGAATGATGGTTTCCAGCTTCATCCATGTCCCTACAAAGGACATGAACTCATCCTTTTTTATGGCTGCATAGTGTTCCATGGTGTATATGTGCCACATTTTCTTAATCCGGTCTATCATTATTGGACATTTGGGTTGGTTCCAAGTCTTTGCTATTGTGAATAGTGCCACAATAAACATATGTGTGCATGTGTCTTTATAGCAGCATGATTTATAATCCTTTGGGTATATACCCAGTAATGGGATGGCTGGGTCAAATGGTATTTCTAGTTCTAGATCCTTGAGGAATCACCACACTGACTTCCACAATGGTTGAACTAGTTTACACTCCCACCAACAGTGTAAAAGTGTTCCTATGTCTCCACATCCTCTCCAGCACCTGTTGTTTCCTGATTTTTTAATGATCGCCATTCTAACTGGTGTGAGATGGTATCTCATTGTGGTTTTGATTTGCATTTCTCTGATGGCCAGTGATGATGAGCATTTTTTCATGTGTCTGCTGGCTGCATAAATGTCTTCTTTTAAGAAGTGTCTGTTCATATCCTTCCCCCACTCGTTGATGGGGTTGTATGTATTTTTCTTGTACATTTGTTTGAGTTATTTGTAGATTCTGGATATTAGCCCTTTGTCAAATGAGTAGATTGCAAAAATTTTCTCCCATTCTGTAGGTTGCCTGTTCACTCTGATGGTAGTTTCTTTTGATGTGCAGAAGCTCTTTAGTTTAATTAGATCCCATTTGTCAATTTTGGCTTTTCTTGCCACTGCTTTTGGTGTTTTAGACATGAAGTCCTAGCCCATGCCTATGACCTGAATGGTATTGCCTAGGTTTTCTTCAGGGTTTTTATGGTCTTAGGTCTAACATTTAAGTCTTTAATCCATCTTGAATTAATTTTTGTATAAGGTGTAAGAAAGGGATCCAGTTTCAGCTTTCTACATATGGCTAGCCAGTTTTCCCAGCACCATTTATTAAACAGGGAATCCTTTCCCCATTTCTTGTTTTTGTCAGGTTTGTCAAAGATCAGATGGTTGTAGATGTGTGATATTATTTCTGAGGGCTCTGTTCTGTTCCATTGGTCTATATCTCTGTTTTGGTACCAGTACCATGCTATTTTGAATACTGTAACCTTGTAGTATAGTTTGAAGTCAGGTAGTGTGATGCCTCCAGCTTTGTTCTTTTGGCTTAGGATTGACTTGCCAATGCGGGCTCTTTTTTGGTTCCATATGAACCTTAAAGTAGTTTTTTCCAATTCTGTGAAGAAAGTCATTGGTAGCTTGATGGGGATGCCACTGAATCTATCAATTACCTTGGGCAGTATGGCCATTTTCACGATATTGATTCTTTCTACCCATGAACATGGAATGTTCTTCCATTTGTTTGTATCCTCTTTTATTTTGTTGAGCAGTGGTTTGTAGTTCTCCTTGAAGAGGTCCTTCACATCCCTTGTAAGTTGGATTCCTAGGTATTTTATTCTCTTTGAAGCAATTGTGAATGGGAGTTCACTCATGATTTGGCTCTCTGTTTGTTATTGGTGTATAAGAATGCTTGTGATTTTTGCACATTGATTTTGTATCCTGAGACTTTGCTGAAGTTGCTTATCAGCTTAAGGAGATTTTGGACTGAGACAATGGGGTTTTCTAAATAAACAATCATGTTATCTGCAAACAGGGACAATTTGACTTCCTCTTTCCCTAATTGAATACCCTTTATTTCTTTCTCCTGCCTGATTGTGCTGGCCAGAACTTCCAACACTATGTTGAAAAGGAGTGGTGAGAGAGGGCATCCCTGTCTTGTGCCAGTTTTCAAAGGGAATGCTTCCAGTTTTTGTCCATTCAGTATGATATTGGCTGTGGGTTTGTCATGAATAGCTCTTATTATTTTGAGATATGTCCTATCAATACCTAATTTATTGAGAGTTTTTAGCATGAAGCGCTGTTGAATTTTGTCAAAGGTCTTTTCTGAATCTATTGGGATAATCATGTGGTTTTTGTCTTTGCTGCTGTTTATATGCTGGATTACATTTATTGACTTGCATATGTTGAACCAGCCTTGCATCCCAGGGATGAAGCCCACTTGATCATGGTGGATAAGCTTTTTGATGTGTTGCTGGATTTGGTTTGCCAGTATCTTATTGAGGATTTTTGCATCAATGTTCATCAGGGATATTGGTCTAAAATTCTCTTTCTTTGTTGTGTCTCTGCCAGGCTTTGGTATCAGGATGATGCTGGCCTCATAAAATGAGTTAGGGAGGATTCTCTCTTTTTCTATTGATTGGAATAGTTTCAGAAGGAATGATAACAGCTCCCCCTTATACCTCTGGTAGAATTCGGCAGTGAATCCGTCTGGTCCTGGACTTTTTTTGTTTGGTAGGCTATTAATTATTGTCTCAATTTCAGAGCCTATTATGGGTCACTTCAGGGATTTAACTTCTTCCTGATTTAGTCTTGGGATGGTGTATGTGTCCAGGAATTTATCCATTTCTTCTAGATTTTCTCATTTATTTGCGTAGAGGTGTTTATAGTATTCTCTGATGGTAGTTTCTATTTCTGTGGGATTGGTGGTGATATCCCCTTTATTATTTTTACATTTGCTGAGGAGTGTTTTACTTCCAACTATGTGGTCAATTTTGGAATAAGTGCGGTGTGGTGCTGAGAAGAATGTATATTCTGCTGATTTGCGGTGGAGAGTTCTGCAGATGTCTACTAGGTCCGCTTGGTGCAGAGCTGAGTTCAATTCCTGGATATGCTTGTTAACTTTCTGTCTCATTGATCTGTCTAATATTGACAGTGGGGTGTTAAAGTCTCCCGTTATTATTGCATCGGCGTCTAAGTCTCTTTGTAGGTTTCTAAGGACTTGCTTTATGAATCTGAGTGCTCCTGTATTGGGTGCATATATATTTAGGACAGTTAGCTCTTCCTGTTGAATTGATCCCTTTACCATTATGTAATGGCCTTCTTTGTCTCTTTTGATCTTTGTTGGTTTAAACTCTGTTATATCAGAGACTAGGATTGCAACCCTTGCCTTTTTTTGCTTTCCATTTGTTTGGTAGATCTTCCTCCATCCCTTTATTTTGAGCCTATGTGTGTCTCTGCACATGAGATGGGTTTCCTGAATACAGCACACTGATGGGTCTTGACTCTTTATCCAATTTGCCAGTCTGTGTCTTTTAATTGGAGCATTTAGCCCGTTTACATTTAAGGTTAATATTGTGATGTGTGAACTTGATCCTGTCATTATGATGTTAGCTGGTTATTTTGCTCGTTAGTTGATGCGGTTTCTTCCAGGCCTCGATGGTCTTTACAATTTGACATGTTTTTGCAGTGGCTGGCACCAGTTGTTCCTTTCCATGTTTAGTGCTTCCTTCAGGAGCTCTTGTTGGGCAGGCCTGGTGGTGACAAAGTAGCTCAGAATTTGCTTGTCTGTAAAGTATTTTATTTCTCCTTCACTTATGAAGCTTAGTTTGGCTGGATATGAAATTCTGGGTTGAAAATTCTTTTCTTTAAGAATGTCAAATATTGGCCCCCACTCTCTTCTGGCTTGTAGAGTTTCGGCCGAGAGATCTGCTGTTAGTCTGATGGGCTTCCCTTTGTGGGTAACCCGACCTTTCTCTCTGCCTGCCCTTCACGTTTTTTCCTTCATTTCAACTTTGGTGAATCTGACAATTATGTGTCTTGGAGTGGCTCTTCTTGAGGAGGATCTTTGTGGCGTTCTCTGTATTTCCTGAATTTGAATGCTTGCCTGCCTTGCTAGATTGGGGAAGGTCTCCTGGATAATATCTTGCAGAGTGTTTTCCAACTTGGTTCCATTCTCCCCGTCACTTTCAGGCACACCAATCCCACGTAGATTTGTTCTTTTCACATAGTCCCATGTTTCTTGGAGGCTTCATTCATTTCTTTTTATTCTTTTTTTTTTTTGAGACGGAATTTCACTCTTGTTGCCCAGGCTGGAGTGCAATAGCACGATCTCAGCTCACCACAACCTCCACCTCCTGGGTTGAAGTGATTCTCCTGCCTCAGCCCCCTGAGAAGGTGGGATTACAGGCACACACCACCACACACGGCTAATTTTGTATTTTTTAGTAGAGATGAGGTTTCTCCATGTTAGTCAGGCTGGCCTCGAACTCTCGAACTCAGGTGATCCGCCCACCTCAGCCTCCCAAAGTCCTGGGATTACAGGCATGAGCCACCGCTCCCAGCCTCTTTTTATTCTTTTTTCTCTAAACTTCTCTTCTTGCTTCATTTCATTCATTTGATCTTCTGTCACTGATACCCTTTCTTTCAGTTGATCAAATCAGCTACTGAAGCTTGTGCATTCATCACGTAGTTCTCATGCCATGGTTTTCAGCTCCATCAGGTCCTTTAAAGACTTCCCTGCATTGGTTATTCTAGCTAGCCATTCGTCTAATCTTTTTTCAAGGTTTTTAACTTCTTTGCCATGGGTTCGAACTTCCTTCTTTAGCTCGGAGAAGTTTGATCGTCTGAAGCCTTCTTCTCTCAACTCGTCAAAGTCATTCTCCATCCAGCTTTGTTCTGTTGCTGGTGAGGAGCTGCGTTTCTTTGGAGGACGAGAGGTGCTCTGATTTTTAGAATTTTCAGTTTTTTGCTTTGTTTTTTCCCCATCTTTGTGGTTTTATCTACCTTTGGTCTTTGATGATGGTGACATACAGATGGGGTGTGGATGTCCTTTCTGTTTGTTAGTTTTCCCTCTAACAGTGAGGACCCTCAGCTGCAGGTCTGTTGGAGTTTGCCAGAGGTCCACTCCAGACCCTGTTTGCCTGGGTATCAGCAGCAGAGGCTGCAGAACAGCGAATATTGCTGAACAGCAAATGTTGCTGCCTGATCATTCCTCTGGAAGTTTTGTCTCAGAGGGGTACCCAGCCATGTGAGGTGTCAGTCTGCCCCTACTGAGGGGTGCCTACCAGTTAGGCTACTCAGGGGTCAGGGACCCAATTGAGGAGGCAGTCTGTCCGTTCTCAGATCTCAAGCTGTGTGCTGGGAGAACCACTACTGTCTTCCAAGCTGTCAGACAGGAACATTTAAGTCTGCAGTAAGTCTGCAGAGTTTTCTGCTGCCTTTTGTTTGGCTATGCCCTGCCCCCAGAGGTGGAGTTTACAGAGGCAGGCAGACCTCCTTGAGCTGCGGTGGGCTCCACCCTGTTCGAGCTTCCCGGCTGCTCAAGTCTCTACAATGGTGGGCGCCCCTACCCCAGCCCCACTGCTGCCTTGCAGTTTGATCTCAGACTGCTGCACTCGCAATGAATGAGGCTCTGTGGGTGTAGGACCCTCCGAGCCAGGTGAGGGATATAATCTCCTGGTGTGCTGTTTGCTAAGACCATTGGAGAAGCGCAGTATTAGGGTGGGAGTGACCCGATTTTCCAGGTGCCATCTGTCACTCCTTTCCTTGGCTAGGAAAGGGAATTCCCTGACCCCTTGTGCTTCCCGGGCGAGGTGATGCCTTTCCCTGCTTCGGCTCATACTCAGTGGGCTGCACCCACTGTCCTGCACCCACTGTCCGACAATCCCCAGTGAGATGAACCCAGTACCTCAGTTGGAAATGCAGAAATCAACTGTCTTCTGCATTGCTCACACTGGGAGCTGTAGACTGGAGCTGTTCCTATTCGGCCATCTTGGAACCACCCCGAAGCTGTATCTTTATGAAGGTCACTCCTGCTTTTGAAACCTGACAAGATTGAGAAGAAATCTGCAAACCTGAGTGGCCTCATCTTGGGTGACATTCATACAATATGATGGACTGGATTAATTATTAATTGTGTGTGTAGATGATAAGAGATAGGTAGGTAGATAGATGATAGATAGATATAAAGGTTCTCTAGTCAAAATACCGGGGGTGGCTGTGGTGTTATGATATATATTGATTTTTGTCCATGGTTCCTGGCTCATAACTCACATAGCCCTTGTTACAGTCTTTTGTTATAATGTGGAGTATGTTAGGCCTCAGGGGCAGGCCTCTGACCTTCTCCTGCCCTCCTTTCACTCTAATGTTCCTCTCATGAGAGGGTCCCACCCTATACCCTGCAGGAAAAAATGCTAATGTCATGAAGCTTCCTCCATAAACACCCAAGAGGACATGGTTCAGAGAGCTTCCAGATAGCTGAACATGTGGAAGTTCCTGTAGGGTGGTGCACCCAGAGAAGGCATGGAAGCTCCAGATCCCTTCCCGCATACCTCACCCTACAGGTCTCTTTATCTACATCCTTTGCAATATCCTTTATCAGCTTTGCAATACCCTTTGTCAGAAAGAAATAAGAAAGAAAGAGAGAGAAAGAAAGAAAGAAAGAAAGAAAGAAAGAGAGAAAGAGAGAAAGAGAGAGAGAGAAAGAAAGAAAGAAAGAAAGAAAGAAAGAAAGAAAGAAAGAAAGAAAGAAAGAAAGAGAGAAAGAAATGAGGGAGACCCCTATGGGCATCAATGCTAATTGGCTCATACAACACCTATTCCAGCTCCGCAGAGCAGGCAGAAGCCATATAAAACATTGTATTTCCCAGAATCTCTTTTGCTCAGATACCAAATGTGATTTGAGCTCTGCTATCAAACTTTACCCATTTGAAACTTTAATTTGGAAGTGAATCAAATGGGAAGAGGTTTAGGACGCAGGGCATCCATTTTGCTGTGGGGGCTGGTGACACAGCTGGGCATTGGGGTCCTGACTGCAGATACCTTCCTGATTAGCAGAAGTGATGTGATTCTGGAGCTGCCAACTAGAGCAGCTTCTGTATCCTGATTTGGAGACAGCATAAGTTCCTGATTCAGTGGCTTCCTGATCGTGGAAGATATGGCATCTTCATAATGTTTCAAATTCTTGATTATAACACTGGCAGTATCTTCCCTGGGGGCTCAGTTCTGCTATACGGATTTAGTCACAGTTCCTGGAAATGCAAATAAGTCTCTTTCTTCAGTTCTCAAAACATGTCTGTAAGTAATCCATTTAGCACCTCACAGGATAAATCCTTTTTTTTTCAGGATGGAATCTGTTATCTTAAACTGAACCCTGACTAACATACTACCCAATTTACCTTAAAATTGAAACCAAGGATAATACAAGATAAGGATAATAAAAGGATAATACAAGAATGAAAAATGGTGTGTGAATGTCATTTATAGATACAGATTTAAAAACTGAAATAAAATATTAATGAATCAAATCCAGCGCAGGAGATGAACATAGAAGGGATCAAGTGGGTTTTATTTCAGAAACTCCAAAATGTCTGAAACACAGAAAACCAATTGATGTGATTCACCACATTTATAAATTAAATGAGCAACATAATTAGTTTAGTTAATGAAAAATGCATAAGAAAAAAATGCAACATACATTCATGAGTTTTTTTTTTGTAAAGCATACCAAGAATAGAAGAAAATGGGCGTATAGATCCTGAGACAAAAGTTGAAGTTTTTTTCTTTTTAAAAAAAAAGAAAGAAAAAGAAGGAAATGGACTTAACTGTCATCTTTTTAAACCTCACAAACATCTTATGTAATGATAAAATGCTAGAAATACTCTCTTTAGAGTCATAATACACAGATGTCCATTATAGACATCGCTTTTCAGTAATGTACTAGTGCTCTCAGATAATAAAATCTGAAAAGGAAAATAAATAAGAATTATAAATACTATAAATAATGAAGGATTTTATCCATATTTTTCTTTGCCCTCACTGTGTAGCAATACACCTATTGCTCTTCATGAATAGAATCAATCACCTCTGCCAACACCTGAATTCCCTTTTGGTCTGGTTTGTCCAGTGGCATCAATTATTCAAAACAGCCAGTTGGCAGTGGCCACTGTCGATACAGTTGAACTTTGCTTGTGTCTCTTGGTGGTTACAGGAAATCTCTTTTAGATATTAAGTAATATCTCTTAGACATTAAGATCTCTGAACCAGTAAAAACTCATGTTCTGAAGACATGATGCAAAAAAATGTATAAGTAGGCATTTGGTGTAATTTTATGAGCCACCACTTATAGTCATTGCTTCCCAAATCTACACATTCTGTTTATGAGGAAAACAGCCCATGTACTGATTACCAGTTCAGAGCATATAATACTTTATGCAAGACAACATCCTGACCTCCCAAGAAATTGCTTTCCTGCCTGGCACTATAGGTGCTAGTCTTCAGTACGACATTTCGACAATCTATAAAGCAGGTGGTAAGGGATAAATTGTAAACTGTAAAATAATTCCTTGGAGACAATGCTGTGTGGGATGCAATGACTGTGAATAAGACACTCAAAAATTCCAAGAAATAGTGCTGCAAACAAAAGCATGGCAGGCAGAGAAATCCAGCTGAAATCCTTTCTAGGTACCTGCTCTCTACTTGCCCTAGTCCAGTTTATGGTACTGTGGCAGAAAGACCTACGAGTGGCCCTTGCAATTCTCACCTCCTCGTATTTACGTCCTCCTATAGTCCCCTTCCCTTGAGTATGGTAGGGACCTATGACGTGCTTCTAACCAGTAGACAGTAGCAAAGGTGATATCACTCTTATGATTACATTATATGGCAAAGATGATGGATGTAATTCTTGTGATTAGATTATGTTACCAAAGTCTCCATCTTAGCAGACTGGAGCTAGAAACTCTCCTTGCAGATTGCACTAGCTACATAATTTGTGGGGCCCACTGCAAAAGCAAAACCTGGGGCTCCTTTTTTCAAAAATTACTAAGAATTTCAAAACAGCTACAAAAGAGCCTTAAACCAAGTGTGGGGCCTTCTAAGCACAGGGATATGTGACAGCATAGGATGTGTGCCCATAAAGCCAGCTTGGCTTGTATGTTTGATGAAGTAAGTGGCCATGTACTAAAAGACTATGTGTCAAGGGGCTGTGGGCAGCCTCCAGACAAAAGCTAGCAAAAAGTCAGGGCCTTCAATCATATAGCCAAAAACTATGAATTAACTTAGAATTGGACTCTCCCCTAATGAAGCCTCCAGACAAGAATGCCAGTATGGCCAGCACCTTGATTACAGTCTTCCGAGAACCTGTGCAAAGAACTCAGCTAAGCCATGTCCAGACTTGTGATACGTGGAAACTGTGAAGTAATAAATGCGTTTTGTTACCAATGGCTAATTTTGTGATAATTTTTATGCAGCAATAGAAAACGAATGGAGATGTCACATAAAAGATTGAGGATAAGTTCCTGCTGTTGGCAAGCCTTCAGGAGTAAAAATTGATGTTGTTGAGTCCATGCATGGCCTCCATCCCTGCAAGATTGGTATTTTTTAATGAGCCTATTAAGAAAGCAATGGTATGGTCATAGATAGAGGCTAACTGCCAGCCTCTTTGATTATTAAGAGCTTCTTCCATGGTAAAGACTTTTTGACACGCTTTCATTTGGGACAATATTCTCATATTCTGGATCCATAGGAAGACATCTATCCTTGTATTTTACTTTTCAAACTCCTTGTTTCTAAGACTCTAATCTTCCTCCTTCTAGTTCCACTAGCCAGTCACCATAAATGGGCATAGATTCTTGATTCAGGCTATGGTTTTCATAACTGGAAAATTACCTGGGATACTCAAAATTCTACCTATCAAGAGGAATTCATTTTTCATGGTCCTTAAGAGCTAACCCTGATTAGATTTGTAGGGAGGTGGTAGTCTACTTTCACCTAGTGCCAGCAAATTATGTTGACTCATCTGTTAACCAAGGTCAGAGATTTAGGTCATAGGTAACTTGCCATGAGGTCATAAATGAAGTTGAGAGAAAAATGACAACGAAGCAGAAGTAGCACACTCAGAATATGAATCATAAACACATGTATCCTTCTTGTGCCTCTAGATATTCTCCGGCTCAGTTCCACATATATTACTTCCTTTTTATAGTGGACTGCTACTAGGCATGACTAACTTGGTACTTTAATGGATAACATGTGGTTCATCATGATCAGCTCAGATCAAGTAGTTATCCAGACTAATGGTCAGGAATTTATGGTCTATAATTATGGTAATCACGCCAATTTGCCTTAGTAATTAAGTACTCTAATTTCTGTCAACCTAGGATCTTCACATTCTCACTGAAATTAAGGGTGCCCTCAAGAGGCATTCCTAATTCATTTGTTTTCTACTTTTTCTTTCTTTTTTTTTTCTTTTTTCTTTTTTTTTCTTTTTTTTGAGACAGTGTCTTGTTTTGTTGCCTAAGCTGGAAGGCAATGTCACAATCTTGGCTCACTGCAACCTCAACCTCCTGGGCTCAAGTGATCCTCCTGCCTCAGCTTCTCAAGTAGCTGAGACCACAGGTACAAGCCACCATGCCCAGCTAATTTTATATTTTTCATAGAGATGGGGGACTTGCTATGTTGCCTAGGCTGGTCTCAAACTCCTGGCCTCAAGCAATCCTCCTGCTTCGGCCTCCCAAAGTGCTGGGATTATAGGTATGAGCCACAATGCCCATGTAATGTATTTCTTGTTGTTGCTTATTGGGCAGCTACCTGAGCCACAGGTAGCTCAGAAAGACTCTCAAATTGTTTGTTTGTTTTTTAAAACAGAAACAAGGTTTTACTATATTGTCCAAACTGACCTCAAGCTCTTGGCCTCAAGTGATCCTGCTGCTTTGGCCTCCTAAAGTGCTGGGATTACAGAAGTGGGCCACTGCACCCAGACTACTGTCTAATCTATTTCTAACAGATTTGGTGAAGAGGTTATCTCTTGAACCCTCTTGAGGGATTTTATTAGGAGTGAGGAGAGCAGAATGCAAACAACAAATTAATCCACTACTTCTACCTTAAGATTTCTACCCAAGTCTTTTAACTCTTGTATTAATATCTTTTCTTCTCTAGAGCAGGTCCATTTCTGTTCATATGAGCTATGGTCTGGATTTCAGTCAACCAAACAAGAAAACAATTAAAACTACTCCCATATGTTTAAGCTAGGATATTAAAAGACTAATTTCTGACAAGGTTACCCATACTGGTAACTTCAGTTACGTCTTAAAATACATTCCTCCCTTATTTATATGTATACATTAACCAAATCTTCTTTTCATCACTGAACTAAAATAATATTTTTCTTAAACTATTTTAAAGTACAAGCTTTATCATCCTGGGGGTTATGCTATAATATCACTCCCCTAATACAAGTTCAAGCTGAGGATCTGGTTTTCATTATTGGTCTAGACATAATAAGTGTTAAGAGTAGAGCAAGAAGAGGACTGGCTTCCTCCTGCAATATGACTTCCTTACGTAAAGTTGTGACAGGGTTGTAAAGCAAGGTAAGAACAATCTCATGAGTCAAATGAAGGTAAGCGCTCCTGGAGGCAAGGGAGTCTCTATGAAGAGGAATCAGTATTTTCTGAGTCAATCAAATTAAATCCTTTCATGTATCCCATTTTAGTTTGGGGGGACACTACTCTTTCATTATCAAACTCTTACTTTCACATACTACACAAGACTGTGAATTCAGCTGAGTTTGGAATTTGGAAACCTATATAATTAAACTTTGAATTTGATCTTTGACTATCTCAACCCTGTGGCTGCAAGAAAGGAGATATTCTTTTAGCTGGTTTTCAATCTATGCCCTAAATTAGAATTTTGAGAATGTCATTCCTTTTTTATTTAGCTGTTCAGCGTCTTTAGAAACAACACCTCCAGCCCATTCCTGATACCAATTTATAAGAGTCAGGATTTTTAGCTAGAAACAAAAAATAACCAAGTTCAACTGATGAAGCAGAATAGGACATTATTACAAGGATTTGGGGGTAGTTCATAGAATCATTAGGAATCCTAGACAATTAGGGACAGGGCTTTGCACCAAAAACTATGCTCAAAATCACACCATAGAAATGATCTAATGAGAACCCCACTGTGGCCTTCACCAAACAAAAGTTGTTGCAACCTGCACTGCACACAGAACTGGCTCTGTGTACTAAATGCCACTAATAGCATAGCTTCCATTACTGATACAAAGTTTAGTCCTGCTGCAACAATCAACACAGCTGTGCAGAGTCCTCTCTTCTGATGCATTGGCTCTCAATTTCAAGCAGAGAAACAAGACCATGTGCCCACATCCTAGGTGCAAAGGAAGCTCACGAAGCAAGTATTTGGCATTTTCAGTGTTTATAGTGGAAAACAGGGTCGGCCTCCCACCATACTCATAAAATGGAAAGTTCCCAAAACATAGGCATATTAGTTGACGAGCAGCCAAAATGAATGACAAATGTCAAGTGTGATTAAAATTGTGTGCACCATATGTACCCTATTATGCATAAATTTGATCTCTAGAATTTCTAATGCAATTCTCACACACGTGCAAGACAAAAACAAAGACTTTTTTGAAGCATTGTATGTAAAAGCAAACATGTGAAAAGAAATCAAATGTCATCGGTAGAGGATTAGATAAATAGCTTGTGATATGCTAATATGATTTTTTTTATTTAGGTATTGAGAAACTGAGAGTTTTATATATGATTTTTTTTTTTTTTCTGAGGCGAAGTCTCGCTCTGTTGCCCAGGCTGGAGTGCAGTGGTGCAATCTCAGCTCACTGCAAGCTCCACCTCCTGGGTCCATGCCATCCCCCTGCCTCAGCCTCCTGAGTAGCTGGGACTACAGGCGCCCTCCACCACACCCGGTTAATTTTTTTTGAATTTATTTTTAGTAGAGACGGGGTTTCACCGTGTTAGCTAGGATGGTCTCGATCTCCTGACCTCGTGATCCGCCCGCCTCGGCCTCCCAAAGTGCTAGGATTACAGGCATGAGCCACCGCGGCCGGCTCCATATATGAATTTTTAAAAGACTGCCTTTGAAGTGCTCCCAAAGGAGAGTGAAGATAAACACAAATGTATATCATTAGGACATGTATAATGTATCAAAGCCTCAAATGGTATGGGACTGAGGTGGTACTGTTAGAAGAATCTGCCTGTGCTTGTGGAAGGGACATCACAGAGGAAAAAGATACATATGTAAGTTAGGATTTAAAAGATACACAGGAATGTATGATGTAAAAGAGGAGGGGTACATTCCAGGCAATACAAATTATGTTTTTAAAGTCACTAAAGCTTGTTATAGCACACTATTTTTCTGAAAAGTAAGTGTTTGTCATGTTTGATATTAAACAAACAGGACTTCATGGCAGTGTTGTAGCATGAGGGAGGACCTCCAGGAAGAAATTTTAAGTTTCTAGGAACTTCCCTTCAACCTCAAACTAAAGTAAAACAAAAATTAAATGAAATAGCAGATAACACTCCAATTTTTGTCCCACTTGAAACTGCTATGGTCACATTACATCATGTCACTGAAAAATCTTCCTACAAATAACAGTTATATTTGGCAAATCAAAGATAAATAATTTCTTCACAGAAAACTAGTCACTAATACTGTGGAGTTACTTTTCCACCTTAAGTAAAAAGAAAAACAAAATTTGCAAATATTGCCATCTAGTGGCTTCAAACTGAAAAAAAATTAACTATACTTTATGTGAATCATTCAACCATGTTTCCTAGGAAAAGTTTCCTTAGCAGTTCTTAAATAAACAAATATTACATTTGTGTCTCTGCTTGAAAAGAAAGGGCTCAATTTAGGCTACTAGGCTTCAAACTTTTGCTTCATCATTTACTAGCTGGATGACCACAGGCAAGTTGCTTAATCTCTGTAAAATGCACATAATAATAGTACCTACCTGCCAGAGTTGTTAAGAAGAATTAACGAGAAGATCGTAATACAGTTGTTTAGTGCAGCATGTCACTCATATTATACACCCAATGGGTAGTAATAATTATATTGCTTAAGGGGGAAAGAGTTGCAAAACGTAGGTTGTTAGATTGAAGTTTGAGTGACACAGCATTTAAAATGACAGTACTTTTGTTGGCAGTTTGGGTTAGAGCATTATACTTTTTTTTTTGAAGTAGTAGAAACATTGTAATGGTATATTGTTGCTATCTAGATAGCAGCTATCAATAACTGGTATTCTCTAATTTTGAAAGATCCTTGAATCAAATTATGATTGCGATTTACTGTTACAATATTTGTAAAGTCCAATTCATCCCTGATTTGATCTCTTAAGAAAATATACATCTTTCTATAAAAGCATATATGGAAGTGGAGGAAAAGGCAGCTTTACCAGTTGGTTAAAAAAATTGAGGCTCATATAGGATGCAAACAGTCTTAAAACTTCCTGTCATGGAGACAAGGCAGATAAAACTGGTTCTCTCTATTTATGACATTATTTGAGCTATAGTACTGCTATGACTTATTTTATTCTTCAAGACAGTCCTTGAGACTCAGTTTAACTTAATTTCACCTGTCCAGTGAAGCAGAAACAGCATGATTGTTAAAATGAATTTGACAAAAATGTCTCTTAAGATTTCCAAGGATATGATGACAAAATGTTTATGATAGCACCACTGAGAATTTGCAGTTAGGCAATCAGCAATATTCATAGTATTAATGGACTGGAATCAATCTTGGGGGAAAAAAAGCATGCCACAAAAGTCAGTCATGAACACCCCTTCTTGGATGTTTTTATCAAAAACTTGGACAAATTGAAAACTTGTTTCTTCTAAGTTGTATAATATTTTGGGTGGATAGGTTTTGTAGGCAGCCTTTAAGATGGCTCCAGTCATTCTTGCCATTCCAGTATTCACACCTTTGTGAAATCCCCTCCCCTTGTGTGTGAACTGCACCTAGGAACTCACTTCTAATCAATATAATGCAGCATGAGTGATGGGCGTCACTTCTGAAATTAGGTTACAAAAAGTCTGTGGCTTCCATCTTGCAAGTTCTTTTTTCTTCCTCTTGCTGACCAACTGTGATGTAATCTAGTTACCAAGTTGTGAACTGCCCACCTGGCAAGGAAGCAAGGGGGGACCTCTGGCCAACAGTCCGTTAGGGACTGTATCCTGCCAATAACTACATGAGAAACTCAGAAGCAGATTCTATTTCAGTCAAGTCTTCTGATGAGACTGCAGCCCAAGCCAACTGCTTTATTATATCCTGGGAAAGAACTCAAGGCAGAGGTACCCAGACAAATCAATGCCGTGGATTCCAGAACCACAATTTAGATAAAATATTTTGTATTTTAAGCCACTAAATGGTAGGGCTATTTGTTACACAGCAACAGATAACTAATACAGTTCACCAGAGGTTGGCAAATTACAACCTGTGGGCCAGATCTGGTCTGAGGCTTGTCATTGTATGGCCCTTGAGCTAAGAATGGTTTTTACAACTAAAAGAATTGTTTGTATTTTATTTAATAAAAGAAAAGGAATACTATATAAAAAAGATCCATAGCCCACAAAGCCTAACATATTTACTAGCTTTTTACAGAGAAAGTTTTATAATTCCTGCAGTAAATAATATGACCAATGACAGCCAAGATTCAAAATGATTGCCTCAACTGACTAGAATAAAGAAGTGAAGTAAATGAGATAAAACTTGGCAGTCATTAATAAAAAGTTCCATTCTTAGGTTCAAAAATTCAATCTCAGAGTTATAGGATAACGATTATGTGACAAAGATTGGCAGATTTTAGTGGATTCCAGGCTCACAAAGAACTAAAATATAATGTGATGCTTAAAATAAAAGTTAATATAATCTAACTTTGCATTAACATCCAGCTGATAAAAGAATGTTAGCTCAAGACTATCTATATGAGTCAGAGCATATGTGAAGTATTTTAACATGAATCATTTAAAAACTGTTTAGAGACAGTGGAAACGGTTTTTGTATAAGGCTCCTCAAATGTATTTCCTTAACTTATTGCAAAATGCATTTTTTTTCCATCAACTTGGTAGGTGAAACCACTGGTATCCAAAATTATGCATTTTATCGGTAGCAATCTCTGTATTTTTAAACTCAGCTCTTCCTTTGATACCTATTTGTGTTTTACAACAGGTTTATATTTTTCTTTCTTTTTGTTTTCTTTACATGTATTCCCAAAAAAGTAGGGGTAAAGGAAAGACAACCAAGGACGTGCATGTATTTGAGAATGGAGGTGGGAGGTTGGTATATTTAAGAGTGTTTTGTCCTACATATCTTCTTTAATCTCTTGAGATTTGGTCTATCTCTGTCTATTTATGTTGGCCTATGCTATACACATGTGTATATATATATATATATATATATATATATATATATCCCTGCAAATAAATCCCAGAGCTTTGAGGTAAAACTCACTGCACAATAAAATGTTTCTAGAAACAAGCAAAAAGCAGACAATCTTCACTAATTCTGAATTCACATTTTTGCATGTTATGAATGAGGAGCATAGAAACTAACCAAATGTTACAGCTTATTTGAGTTCAAAGTGTTTTGAAGGTTGACTGGAGATATGATGTACCCATAGACACAATTAGCAACATTCATTCCTTATTTCATGCCTTATTTACTGTCTCCTCACTTTTCTAGAGAGCTGCTTCAGTTTATTTTAACTTCCTAGGTCACAATTCTCTGTTGTTTACTGTTATCTCAGAGAAATTGTTCTAAATGTGTCAAGCAGAGCCTGACTCAGATTCAGTGGCTTCTTCAGCTTCCATGCCAGCCGGTAGGACAAAGAGGACTGCTGACAAAAATAGAATTTGGTGCTGAACCCTGAAAAGCAGAACTGTGGAGGCACTAATCAAGTTCCTCTGAGGAAGAGTATTTCTGCCTCAAAATGTGAAAAGTGACTGCTATTTTCATACTCTAGAGGGAGGTGCAGACTAGCACTAAACTGACTCAGTATGGTGAAAAGACAAGAGAGATTAGAAGAAAAGATGGAACACACAAAGGAGAGCAGAGAATCGCAGTGATAACGCTTCTGCTTATATTAAATCACTATTTGAGTGAAATTACTTAAATACTTAAGGTTAAAATTTAAATCTCGAATCTTTATTTGGGTAATACTCACATTTGACTTTCTTTTGTACTACAAGTCCAACACTGGTAGTCCTAAACAAAAAATTCCTTTTTTACATTTAAATCATATATCATGATACTCTATAAAAACCTTTAACCACCAAGGGTTTAGGTGGAAATCATAATGTGTTAAGCCTCTTAATTATAAGCGCCTCCATAAGAAATTTATTTCTTATAAATTTGAATTTGGTTGCTAGGAGATGCAAGGGGAAAAAAGGTTTTTTAAGTTACTCTAATAGTTTAGTAAAAAGAAACAGGAAAACAGTAAGTCAATAGATTGGTCTGCTTGTTAGAAAGAAAATTGAAAACATAGATGGCCATTGTATTTGTTGATTTATTACAAAGTAACTTAACAGAGATTATTTGAAGTCTTCAATATGTTTAGAAGATGACTCAATGCTCAATACGATTTCACTTGTCCAAGAATTGGAAAGCCACGGGTCCAGAAAATACTCTTTTGGGCATGAGATATATAGTTATGTGGCTATTGCATCTTCATTTTAAATGAGTTTTCTCAGCTACCATGTACTAGCCATAACAGATTCATGGGCCAATTAGAGATGAAATACTTCCAAAATTACTATTGCTTAATGTCTATTTTATCATTCAATTATTATTACAAATATGCTATTATTTGTATTAATTTATATTATTAAATATCATTATTATAAAATTTTATATCCATATAACACTGAATTTGCCTTTATTCTTCTGATTTTTATGAAGTAAACAAACAAAATGGCAGTAAAGAAAAAGAAATATGATTGGCATGCCCATCACTAACTCAATCACTATTTCTTTTCCCTTGTTTCCTTATTATTGTGCCCATATTCATGCGTAGTTGAAATTATTGCTTTCATAATAGACAAAATGTTATGCTTTAGCTTTTTCACTAAAATTATACCAAAAATGCTTTTCTACTTGCCGCATGGATGCATAATTAACATCTCAATGTACAGACATTCAGAGACTATAAATGAGAAAGTGTATCACCTGCGGAAGGCCAGGTGCCATACACAAGGTGCCACTTACCTTGGCAAATTCCTCGCTGTCCCTCCATCCTTACAGAACACAATTTGTTCTCTGTCCCAGAATTGATAGAACTCATGGATATCAATTTTAGCAAGCCTCAAAGAGACTGAAAAACGATGAAACTAAAACAGCAATTTATAAATTTACATTGATAAGTATGCCCATCAAGCTTACCTCCCTGTGTTTGCTTTGACCTATCACATTTTCTCCCTCTAGGCAAGCCACATGGATGTCTAATAATAAGGAGGTTGGCTGATCAATTTGGCCTCCAAACAAAAGGAGTCTCTAATATAATTTGAATGCCTATTCCCATAATATCTTCAAGCACTTCAAAGCAAGATAAAGTCCTAGTCAGTGCTGGATGGGCACACCTGTTTTGTCTTAAAGACTTCTTTTTTGTTGTTGTTGTTTCCACTGTTTGGCAACCTTGTCCTTAATTGACACATTCTTTCACTGAATGTGCCAGTAAATTCATTCTGGTTACAGTTTTATACTTTGTGCTTGGGAGCCATTCTCTCTTTTCTACCTTAATCCACCAGTATGCTTTGATTTTACTGCCTCCCTCTTGCAAAAAAAAAAAAAAAAAAAAAAAAAAAGTATATATATGATTTTTCTTAAAACTTAGTTATTGAGAAACACCCCACTTTTTTTTTTTTTTTTTTTTTTTTTTTGGAGACAGAGTCTTGCTTTGTCACCTAGGCTGGAGTACAGAGGCACGATCTCGGCTCACTGCAGCAACCTCCTCCTCCCAGGTTCAAGCAACCCTCATGCCTCAGCTTCCCGAGTAGCTGGGACTACATGCAAGCACCACCACGACCAGCTAATTTTTTGTATTTTTAGTAAAGCTGGGGTTTTGCCATGTTGGTGAGAGAGGTCTGAACTTCTGGCCTCAAGTGTTCTGCCATCTTCAGCCTTCCAAAGTGCTAGGATTACAGGCATGAGCCACCACACCCAGCCAAACACCTCTGTTGTCCTTCATGTATCCAAATATTACAGGCATGAGCCATCATACCCAGCCAAACACCACTGTGCTTCATGTATCCCAAATATTTCCTACAAATGGCAGCATAATATTCCATTGAGTTTCTGCATCACAATTTATTTAAGCAATTCTCTATTATTGGCCATTTATAATTTTCCTTCCCCATCCTATGAAATAATAATGTATATATTTTTTCTTCTTTGACATTTTTCACAAGAATTTATATAATTCCCATATTAGAAAATCAAAGGGAGAGGATCCTGTGTAACTATTTATATTTACTGCCTAATAACTTCACAGATGGTTTGAGCAGTCTATACTGACGTCAGTAAATATAACAATTTCATATTAACCTCATTATTAGTCATTTTATTTTTCTGAAATATTTGCTATGTTAATAGGAATAAAAGTATCTTATTTTAAACTATATTTTAATTACTATTGAAACTGAACATTATTAATCTCATTATTAACTTTTTGTTAAATAAATCAAATAGTCTGTTATTTTTTAAGACGGTATTAAGCTAATCACTTTGTATGAACTCTTTTATGACATAGATATTGTTTCTGTCAATACTGAGGCTAATATTTTTTCAATTAATTATTTTAATTTAAAATATTCAGATTTTTAATGTCATAAACCTTTTCAAATTGTGGACAAACCATTTAATTTTTTTATATTTATTTTTTAAATATCTTCCTCATTAAAATACCAGATTTGTAATATATTAAAATAAAGTATTACATATAGTCAGCTTCCCTCTCCAGTGTTCCATAGTAGATTTTTCAACCATCCTGAATAATGAATCAAGCCCTATTACCTCATATTCTACTATTATACTACATAGAGTTGTCCTTGAAAGAAGCAGCTCAATTTATAACCAATGCTTAAAATCAAAACTTCCTCTTTTATGAATTTTGATTGATGCTTACATTCAAAACTATTATCTGTTTTCTCTGTTCATTGGGTTTTAATATGCATAGTCTGTCTATCCCTATTGAAGTAGCACAGCTCAATTTTAGTTGTTGTAGGGAATTATTGGCTATCTCTTTGAAGTGCTCTCCACAGGACTCTCCAAAGTTATTTATGTAGACTGGATCTTTATAGGCTTCTTCTTCTGAATATATATCATATCATATCATAATATATATTACATTTGGAGGCCGGGCGCGGTGGCTCACGCTTGTAATTCCAGCACTTTGGGAGGCCGAGGCGGGTGGATCACGAGGTCAGGAGATCGAGACCCTGGTGAAACCCCGTCTCTACTAAAAATACAAAAAATTGGCCGGGCGTGGTAGCGGGCGCCTGTAGTCCCAGCTACTCGGAGAGGCTGAGGCAGGAGAATGGCGTGAACCCGGGAGGCGGAGCTTGCAGTGAGCCCAGATCGCGCCACTGCACTCCAGCCTGGGCGACAGAGCCTCTGTCTCAAAAAAAAAAAAAAAAAAAAAAAAAAAAATATATATATATATATATAACATTTTGGTTGCTTAAATTATTTTGCATCTCAGTGTTATCCCTAAACTAGGCCTGGTGCAACGGCTCACAGCTGTAATCCCAGCACTTTGAGAGGCCAAGGCGGGTGGATCACTTGTGGTCCGGAGTTCAAGACCAGCTTGGCCAACATTGTGAAATTTAGTTTCTACTAAAAATACAAAAATTAGCTGGGTGTGGTGGTGCGTGCCTGTAATCCCAGCTACTCGGGAGGCTGAGGCAGGAGAATCACTTGAAGGGAGCGGGGAACAGGGGGTGGAGGCTGCTGTGAGCGAAGACCATGCCATTGCACTCCAGCCTGGGCAACAGAGTGACTCTGTTTCGAAAAAAGTTATATATATATATATATATAAAATTATCCCCAAACTAAAATTAGACATATTGAAATATGTTAAAGATAATATTCTTGAAAGGGTGGTAAATTCTTTCTATTACTTGTATCACCTATCAAACTCTACATATAGAAAAATCGGGGGAGGGAGAGAAGAAGAGAGGGAACAAGAGATAATGAGAATAAAACAGTCATATAACTTTTTATAGCATATAAATGAAAACATAAATTGCATTTCTTGTATTATAGGTAAATGACTACTGTTTTCACTTCCAAGATAGAAGACGCTCTACCATTTCAGATAAAAAACTCTATGCTACGTTCTGATCAAACTTAAGACATTCTGCAGTGTAAGGTATGATTTTGTATATCTTCCGATCCTTGTATTCCCATGTTCTAAAAACAGGAATGTATAGATTTAGATATATGCTGCCCAGGGCAACAAAGAGAGTCTTTCAACTATGCAGGCAAGTCTTTTCCTGTTAGTCTGGTTTCTTCTATGTCACTAAAACTCATGCTTGTCTCTAAGTTGTCACAATGTGCATAAGTGGCATAGTTCATGTCTGCAGAAAAGGTAAGTGAGAAAAATACACGATACAATAACAAGAGACCCTAAACTCTAAAATAATTAAGGCACTTTGGGGTGAGAATTTAAAAAGGGAGATATTACTGCAATTTATCACTCTTTAGAGTAATAGGAGTAAAAATGGGGTTGAGCCTGGGAGGTGGAAAAAGAAGTGAAATATTATGATGTCTACAATATTATTGAGTCTAACTGTGACTATGTTTAAATAATCCCTGGAATTTACCCAGTGTAGCCAAATCACCTTGGAGGGCAATGATTTTTAAGTCTGGACCATCCTCAACATAGTTAAAGGTGGAATTTCACACCTAGAGATAAACAATATAGTTTTTCAGTAAGTTGTTTGGGCCAATAGATGGCTTTGTTTGCAACAAAAAGTACTGCAGTCATGCCCCTTGTAACATTTTGGTCAACAATGAACCTCATATATCATAGTGGTCCCATAAGATAATAATACTATATTTTTACTGTAGCTGTTCTATGTTTACATATGTTTAGATACACACAAATACTTACCACTGTGTTACAATTGCCTACAACATTCATGTACAGAAACATGCTGTACAGGTTTGTAGTCTTGAAGCTATAGGCTGTACCATATATCCTAGGTGTGTAGTAGGCTATACCACCTAAATTTGTGTAAGTACACTCTATTATGTTTGTACAATGACAAAAATCACATTTCTCAGAATGTCTCCTTGTTGTTAAGATGTATAACTGTATTTGCCTTGTGAACATGGAACCAGCAGAAAGCATTACAAGTTACTGATTGACATAGTTGATTTTCTTATTTTGGGTTTTACACAATCCCTAAAACCCTGATTGAAGAAAAGATTTTTAAAAGAGAAATCTGCCAAAAAAAAATTAAAAGAGTTTTGATAAAGCACCTGTAACTTAAATTCTCAATAAGACATGATTTGCCCCTAAATATCCTGTGGAAAGTAAGTCATTTTTTAAACATCTATTCTTGTTTTTAAAATATAAAATCTTAATGGTCATGCCATAAAATTATCTGAAAAAATATACACTTTTTGTTATTTATGAATATATGATCTTCAGTTAAAAAAAATTTCAGCCTTTAAAGTTTATGCATTAAAATAATATTTTTTCATAAATGTTTCATTGTGCCCTTTTCTACATATTCTATTTTCAAGTTGAAGGTTGAGATAGAAAGAGCTGTGTAGAAGTTATACGAACTGTTGCCAATCTAATCTTCTTTAAAAAATGTTATCAATGATGAATCCCTATTCCCAGCCACCTCCAGTCTAAACTACTTCTCAGGGTCCTAGAGTCTCCATATCTGGGCCTAACTTTCCTACTTTGTTTCCAATAATCCTGAGTGCTCCTCTTCTATCCTGGTTAGGTTTACCAAATTCATTCATTCAATAAATGTCTGTTAAATCCTTACCATGTGGCAAGCACGACAATGGAATGATGGTGCAGGCTCCAGAATCAGGCAGATCAGGTTAAAATATGAGTTTTATCCCTTACTGTGAGGTTCCTTAACCTGCATTTGCCTCTGTTTCTTATCTGTCAAAAAGGAACAATAAAGCATCATAGGTTTGTTGTAAAGATTAAAGGAAAGAATGCATGTCAAGTGCATAAAACAGTTTCTGGCACATGGCCCTCCACAAATGTTAGATGTTGCTATTAGGGAGCTTACACTGCAACAGGAAAACGAAAAATTAAAACAAAATCGGGTGCTATTCCAGGGGAAGTTCAGGATGTTATGAAAGGGACAAAAGAGGCAACTACATTATCAGAAACAGTTTCCTAGAAGAAGAAACCCTAAAATGTAAGTAGAAGTCAGCTTGGTGATAGGAGAAAGGAGCGGTCTACAGAAGAAGAGCTATGTGTGAAAAGGCCCAGGAATACATTAGCATGATAATTATGGGAAACAGAGAAATTCAATATAGCTGAGGAATGAGAGATAAGGCCAGAGAAAAGGAGCAGGATCCAGGTCAAAAGATTCTTTAAGAAATTTTTTTGTTTATTTATTTTAGAGACAGAGTCTCTGTCCCCCCAGGCTGGAATGCAGTGCCTCGATCATAGCGCACTGCAGCCTCAAACTCCTGGGCTCAAGGGATCCCCCACCTCAGACTCTTGAATAGCTGGGACTACAGGTGTGCACCACTCTGCTTGGCTAATGTTTTAAAAAATTTTTGTAGAGACAGGGTCTTATATGTTGCCCAGGCTGGTCTTAAACTCCTGTCCTCATGTGATCCTCCTGATCGCTTGAGGAGGCCTCAGCCTCCCAAAGCATTGGGGTCACAGGCATGAGCTACTGCGCCTGGCTTCTTTAAGGAATTTTCAACCTCATACCAGGAGAAATGAAAAGCAGTTTGAGGATTTTAAGAAGAAAAGCAATTGGATTCTGCTCAGGTTTGAAAATACGTGGCTGTTGGCCAGACGTGGTGGCTCATGCCTGTAATCCCAGCACTTTGGGAGGCCAAGGCAGGCAGATCACTTGAGGTCAAGAGTTCAAGACCAGCCTGGCCAACATGGTGAAACCCTGTCTCTACTAAAAATACAAAAATTAGCCAGGCATGGTGGCAGGCGCCTGTAATCCCAGCTACTTGGGTGACTGAGGCAGGAGGATTGCTTGAACCTGGGAGGCGGAGGTGCAATGATCCCAGATGGTGCCACTGCATTCCAGCCTGGGCAACAGAAGGAGACTCTGTCTCAAAAAAAAGAAGAAGAAGAAGAAAAAGAAAAGAAAAAGAACAGAAAAAAAAAAGAAAAGAAAAATATGTGGCTGCAGAAAAGAGATAGGATTATAGAAAAAAAAAAAAAAGAGAGAGAGAGAGAATAGAAACATTTCTTGTGTCCTACCATCATGATATGCCCTACCAGCCTTCAAAGGCCAGATAAATACCATAGTCTTTGTCAAGCTGTTCTTTACTGTCCAATCTTTTAGTTTAATTTTCTATTGATGCATAGGAGGTATATACTTTTTTCAGGATGCATGTGAAAATTTAATACATTCATATAATTTTTAAAGAGCAAATCAGTGTAATTAGAAGATGTATCATCTTAAATATGTCTTTTCTTTAGGCTAGAAACATTCAAATTGTTCTCTTCTAGCTATTTTAAAATATACAACAAATTATTTTAAACTGTCACCCTACTGATATATCAAACACTAGGTCTTATTTCTCCTATCAAATCGACCCATTATCAACCTCTCTCCTTCCTCTTCTCCTCACTACCCTTCCTAGCTTCTAGTAACCATCAATCTGTTCTCTATCTTTATGAGATCAACTTTTTTAGCTCCCAAATATGAGCCAGAACATGTGATATCTGTCTTTCTGTACTTGGCTTGTTTCACTTAATATGATTTCCAGTCTATTCATGTTGCTGCAAATGACAAGATTTCATTTTCTTATGGCTGAATAATATTCCATTGTGTGTGTATATATATATACACACACACACACACCCCATTTTCTTTATCCATTTATCCACTGAAGAACACTCAGGTTGAGTCCATAATTTGGGTATTGTGAACAGTGCTGCAATAAACATGGGAATGCAGGTATCTCTTGGATATATTGATTTCCTTTCTTTTGAGTATGTTACAGGATTCCTTTGTGCGCTTCACCAGCCAGAAATCTGCGGCTGCCGTGACCTCTGCCCAGGGACTGGCTCGGGCCTGCAGGCCTCACTCTGCCCCCTCAGCTCGCAGGCTGCATTTGGCTCACACATCCCACACCTGAACAGGAACTCCGCAATCAGCCTACAGCTGGACCGGGAGTGCCGTGGAAGGTTTTCACGTTGGTTGCCGGAGTCTGGCTGAGGGGAATCTGGTGGTGTCCAAAAGCTCAGCGATGCTGGCAACCACGGAGCCCCAAGGGGCATTACAGCTTTTGCCCGGGGAGTCCTGAGGTCTGAGCCCCCAAGAAATGTTGTAGGTTTTGTATTAACAGTTCGGCGAGCCAGCCAGGAGGGAATGGCGCCTAACTGCTTCGCTTCTTCACGCCTGCAGCTACTCAAACAGGGGCATGTTATAGCTCTCTCCACTGCCCGCAGCTTGGTGGATGGGGGCATGTAACAGCTCTCCCTGCAGCCCACAGCTAGGTGAATGGAGGCTAGTTATAGCTCTCCCCGCTGCCCACAGCTTGGAGGACAGGGGCGTGTTACAGCATATTCGTTTCTGCTGCCTGCAGTTCGGCAAACTAGGGTGTGTGATGCCCAGCAGTCTTTTCACACCCCTAGTTCGATGAGCAGGAGTGCGTGTTACAGCTCTTTTTGTACCCACCATTTGATGAGTTCCAGGTTCTTGTCCTGAGACCAAGAGGAATAAGGTAGGTGGACACCGGAGAGTGAGCAAGGCAGAGAATAATTTTATTGAGCAACAGAAAAGCTCTCAACACGAGCGGACCCAAAGTGGGTAGCCCTCTGTGTGAGAAGGGGCCCAAAGCGGGTAGCCATTTGTGAGACTGAGTCCAGGGTTTTTATGGGTTCAGAATGGGGGAGTGCATGCTGATTGATCCATGGGCAGGCCTGGAAAAAGCACCATTCCAGTTGGCCAAAAGGCATTGAGGACGTTTTCACTCTGGTGGTGGACTCTACCCAGACCTAGCAGCTCAGTTTTCAGGCTTCAGGTTGTCCTTGGCTTGAAGGTCAGGTTTCACCAGGGACCCATCCTTGTCTGCCTAGGAACTTTGCCTGTCTCCTGTTGCTATCAATTACATACCCAGTAGTAGACTTGCTGGATCATATAGTAGTTCTATTTTTAGTTTCTTGAGGAACCTCTATACAGATTTCCATAGTGATTATACTAATTTGCTTTCCCACCAACAGTGTACAAGGATTCCCCTTTTTGCACATCCTCACCAGCATCTGCTATTCCCTGTCATTTGATAAAATGCATTCTAACTGGAATGAGATATCTCATTGTGGTTTTGATTTGCATTTCTCTGATGATTAGTGATGTTCAGCATTTTTTATATACTGTTGGCTATTAGTATATCTTCTTTTGAGAAATATCTCTTAGAAACTTTTGCCCATTTTTAAATCAGATTTTTTTTCTGTTGAGTTGTTTGAGCTCCTTATACATTCTGGTTATTAATCCCTTGTCAGGTGGATAGTTTGTAAATATTTTCTCCCATTCTGTGGGTCGTTTCTTTACTTTGTTGACTGTTTCCTTTGCTGTGCAGAAGTGTTTTAGCTTAATGTGACCCCATGTATTTTTGCTTTGGTTGCCTATGCTTTTGATATCTTACACAAAAAAATTTTTTATCCAGACCAATCTCCTGGAGCATTTCTCCAATGTTTTTTGAATAGAAGGTTCATAGTCTCAAGTCTTGAATTTAAGTCTTTAATTCATTTTGATTTTTGTATATGTTGGAGTGTGTCTAGTTTCATTCCTCTGCATATGGTTATCCAGTTTTCCCAACACCATTTATTGAAGTAACTGTCTGTTCTCTGTCATATGTTCTTGCAACCTCTTTGGAAAATGCATTGGCTGTAAATTCATGGATTGATATCCGGGTTGTCTATTACATTCCATTGGCCTGTGTGTCTGTTTTTATACCAATGCCATGATGATTTGGTTACTATAGCTTTGTAGTACTATTAATTTTTCTGAGACAGGGTCTTGCTCTGTTGCCCAAGCTAAAAAGGAGTGGCATGATCATAGTTCACTACAGCCTTGAACTCCTGGGCTCAAGCAATTCTCTTGCCTCAGCCTCATGAGTAGCTGGGACTATAGATACATGCCACAGTGCCTGGCTAATTTTTCTTGTATTTCATTTTTTGTAGTGATGGGATCTTGCTATATTTCCCAGGCTGTTCTAGAACTGCTGGCCTCAAGCAATCCTCCTGCCTCAACCTCCTATAGTGTTGGGATTACAGGCATGAGCTGCCACACCTAGTCAGATGAGGACTTATTATAGCTTCAATCTCATTACTTGTTATTGGTTGTTGAAGTTTTCTATTTCTTCATAGCTCAATCTTAGTAAGTTGGTTGTATGCAGAAATTTATCCATTTATTCTAGGTTTTCCAATTTGTTGGCACCTAGTTGCTCATAATAGTCTCTAATGATTCTTTGTATTTCCGTGATATCAGTTGTTATGTCTCCTTTTTCATTTCTGATTTTGTATCTTCTCTTTTTTCAGTCTGACTAAAGGCTTGTCAATTTTATCTATCTTTTCAGAAAAACAACTTTTTGATTCATTGATCTTCTGTATTGTTTTTTAGTCTCACTTTCATTTATTTCTGCCTGATCATTATTCTTTTCTTCTATTAATTTTGGGTTTGGTTTTCTCTTGCTTTTCTAGTTCCTTGAAGTGCGTTGTTTTGTTGTTTATTTGAAGTCTTTCTACCTTTTTGATATAGGTGTTTATTGCCATAAACTTCCCTCTTAGTACGACTTTTGCTGTATCCCATAGATTTTAGTATAATATAATCCTATTTTGTTACAATAAATTTTTTAGCTGCTTCTTAATTTCTTCATTGGTCCAGTGGTCATTCAGGAGCATGTTGTTTAATTTCCATGTGTTTGTGTAGTTTCCAAGGGTCCTCTTATTATCGATTTCAAGTTTTATTTCATTCTGATCAGAAAAGATATCTGATATGATTTCCACTTTTTTAAGTTTGTTGAGATTTGTTTTGTGGATGAAGATATAATCTATTTTGGAGAATGTTCCATTACTCATGAAAAGAATGTGTATTTTGTAGCAGTTGGGTAAAATAGTCTGTAAATGTCAATTAGGTGTTTAGAGTCTAGTGTGTAGTTTAACTCTAATGTTTTTGTTGATTTTCTTTTTTTTTATTTGAAGATATTTATGCAGAGCTAAATATGAGTGATCATAGCCATGACACAGCCCTCAAGAGGTCCCGAGAACATGTGCCTAAGCTGGTCAGGGCACAGCTTGGTTTTATACATTTTAAGGAGACACGAGACTTCAATCAAATACATTTAAGAAATATGCTGGTTTGGTTCAGAAAAGTGGGAACACTCGAAGGGTGGGGGCTTCCAGCTTATAGGCAGATTTAAAAATTTTCTGGTTAACAATTGGTTGAGTTTATCTAAAGACCTGGGATCAATAGAAAGAAATGTCTGGGTTAAGATAAGGGGTTGTAGAGACCGAAGTTTAATTATGCAGATGAGGCCTCCAGGTAGCAGGCTTCAGAGAGAATAGATTGTAAATGATTCTTATCAGACTTAAAGATCTGTGTTGATGTTAATGCTGGAGAGGTATAATGAGGTATGTCTGACCCCCACTTCCCATGATGGCCTGAAACAGTCTCTCAGGGTAAATTTTTTTTTTTTTTTTGAGACGGAGTTTCATTCTTGTTGTCCATGTTGGACTGCAATGGTGAGATCTCAGCTCACTGCAACCTCTGCCTCCCGGGTTCAGGCAATTCTCCTGTCTCAGCCTCCCGAGTAGCTGGGATTACAGGCATGCTCCACCATGACCGGCTAGTTTTGTATTTTTAGTAGAAACAGTGTTTCTCCATGTTGGTCAGGCTGGTCTCAAACTCCCAAGCTCAGGTGATCCGCCCACCTTGGCCTCCCAAAGTGCGGGGATTACAGGCGTGAGCCACCGCGCCCGGCCTCTCAGGTTAACTTTTAAAAGAGTACCCTTGCCAAGGAGAAAATCCATTCAGATGGTTGAGGGTCCTTAGAATTTAATTTTTGGTTTACATTTTCCCCCTTCTGGCCAAGATTTGCCAGAGGCAACATCAAAGGCCAGCAAATCTTTATTTTGACCCATAGTGGCACCAGGGTGGCATGGCTGCCTGCCCCAGGTCCATCTTGGCCCTCAGTGGGACTCCCTACGGCCAAGGGCCTTAAGAGTCAAAAGACTTATAGCCAATTAATTGTTCTAGGCCAGATAGCAATGGATGTGGACAGGCATACAATACCTCTTAAAATTATTATTTTAAGTAAAAAGCCAACAAACAAAAACCAAAAGGAAAAGTTACAAAACTAATTTATTTTTAACTTCTACGTATTGAGCTACTGTAAGCTTGTTTTAGTTACAGACTTATAGTAATTTGCTATACCAAACATAAGCATACAAAAATTAGCCAGGCGTTGTGGCGCATGCCTGTAATCCCAGCTATTTGCGAGACTTGAGGCATGAGAATTGCTTGAACCCGAGAGGCAGAGGTTGCAGTGAGGCAAGATCAGCCACTGCACTCCAGCCTGGGTGACAGAGTGAGACTCTGTCTCAAAACAAAAAACAAAAAAAACAAACAAAATAAGCATTGTTCTGAAAAAAAAATTTTTAGATAGATAGATAGACAGATCTTAGCAAGCTCATAACTGAGAGCATTATACCCAGGAGGCTTTGTTATAAGATATCTTTATCCCATCAATAAATATTTTCATTTAATTTTACAGGAAGCAGAAAACTCTTTACGGTTGGGGTAGATGCAAAAGGGACACATAATAGCTTAGTCTTGTTTTACCAGCCTTCTTGATTTGGAGGGTCTTACCTTGACCTAATTCTATCCCTCAAAACTGGCCCTTAGATTCTCATGTGCCCACCTCTTCCATGACAGTCCCTGGGCCTAGAGGGAGAGTGCTTGTATAGATTTAGGAGCAGAGCACTCGCAGCAAAAAACAGATCTGGGCCAGTGGGATGCCAAATGAGGGAGATTAGCATCTCTGGTCTTCAGAATACCATAATTTTGGTTTCCTTGGAAGTAAAACAAGACTAGATAAATAACATTTATATTTTGACAATCAAAAGAGTAATTGTGTGTTAGAACTGAAAAAGAAACCTATTTCAGTAGGGTACCAACTAAAAATATGAAGAAAAATTATAAACTGGGGTACTCTGTAGAGGATTATTGTAGCCAAGAAATAATGATTTGATCTGCACTCAAAAAAACAAAAGTTAGGGCTGAAATCTATTATCAAGTGTTACACTTTTCCTCTGAAACAATTTCTCTTTCTCTAGCCTTCCTTTTCTATTAAAGAGAAATTATAGTAAGACCAATTTGTGTGCAAAACAAGTTTTAGGCTTATTATACTTGGCCTGATTATTTGCATAAAATGCAGCAATAATTAATTGGCCATATAGGCTTCTTTTAAGTTAGCTTTGCTGGAACTTTACCTAAAAATGTACTATTTTAGTTAAAGTCTTGGTAAAGGAATCAGTGTCTCTAATTGTTCTGTTTAAAAGACTCTTATTGAACTTATGCAAATAACTATATTGTCATAAAATCACAATCGAATTTTGGAGAACTCAGAGAGAAAGGTAAATTTGCTACAAAAACATACTTCACCCAAACAACTCAAAGGAAAAAGATTTTTCTTGACCCTTCTTTAACCAGAACAACAGCTTTCAAGCAAGATGTTTGTTTACCTTGGAAATGCCATTCACAAGCCAAACAGCTCATGGGAGCTGTCTATCAGGCACTGTAGAATCTAGTAGCTCCTCACACAGAAATTTTCCTAGGGAAGAAAGAGGCTCCCTGCTTATGAGTATCTCCTCCTTGTATCTCTAGGTAGCAAGATCCTATGTAAACCATTTTTATTTTATCATAGAACTCCTTGGGGCACCATTATTACTATTAGCATAGGGGTAGCTTTAGTTAACATTCTATAGCAGTGCAGTAAATGCCCCTCAAGTGGAAATTTTCTAGTCCAGTCATTGTCATTGGGAAGTACTACTCATAGTTTTTTGCCCTCAGCCCCAGTAAATGCTCCACAAAGGGGTATGAAGTGGAGCTTCGTACTCCAGCTTCTACCCTATACTTTGTGGGCTCAGGTGATCTTACTAGGTCCTATTTGGCATGTCTGATTAACATTTCTCTTCAGTTTTATAGTACTAGATAGGGGAAACAACCCCCTGTTAGATATAATACCCATTTTCATAAGACATTTAGGTAAAGGGGTTACAACTACCTTACATAAAGCCTGTTTAAACATCTTAAATTTCATAATATTTTTAATGTGCATTATTTTTATGTTCTGGTCACAGGAAATTATTTCTTCTCCCCAGGCCATTTTACCTTTTCTGTTGGAAAAGGGTTTGGGTTCCCAGCAGGGAGTTGCATCTGTAATACCCATGAGGGATAGAAAATTTGATAAGCCTTCTGAAAGACCCATGTAAAAGGGGCTCCTTTCACCCCAAAATTTACCATGACCTGGATAATAGGTATATTTGGTGGGAGGATATCCCAGTTATTATAAAGCCAGTCCCACATGGCTCACATATGAAGCATATTAACTGCTTCATCTGGTGTGCTCCACTTGGTATTTTAGAGGGAGAGTTGGGGAATTCCCTTTTCAGGGCAAACAGACCTGACAGTGACATTTATCTGGTCCACTAGGCTGATGGTTCTCTCAGGAATAACCTCCTGTGCATTTGGATCACATATACTCATCAGTGATTATTCAACAGTAAGCTGTGGCTCCTGCCTCAACCCAAATAAGCCCTTACATTCTGTAGTATTTAAAATTAAGAATTCTGTTCTTAAAGTGGTTATTTTTACAATCCACTACATAGATATTTTAAGAAACTGATAATACCAATCTACAAAATGGAAAAATTTCTTTACATTATTCCCTCTGGCTTTAATAGTTATTTGGTTTGGAGGGAGGTTCCAAGATGGCTGAACAGGAACAGCCCTAGTCTACAGCTCCCAGTGTGAGTAACGCAGAAGTTGGTGATTTCTGGATTTCCAACTGAGGTACCGGGTTCATCTCACTGGGGCTTGTCAGACAGTGAGTGCGGCCCATGGAGCATGAGCCAAAGCAGGGCAGGGCATTACCTCACCCAGGAAGCACAAGAGGTCGGGGAATTCACTTTCCTAGCCAAGGGAAGCTGTAACAGACGGTACCTGGAAAATTGGGACACTCCCACCCTAATACAGTGCTTTTCCAATGGTCATAGCAAATGGCACACCAGGAGATTATATCCCGCGCCTGGCTCGGAGGGGCCCACGCCCATGGAGCCTCGCTCACTGCTAGCACAGCAGTCTGAGATCAAACTGTGAGGTGGGAGTGAGGCTGTGGGAGGGGCATCTGCCATTGCTGAGGCTTGAGTAGGTAAACAAAGCAGCCAGGAAGCTCGAACTGGGCGGAGCCCACCACAGCTCAAGGAGGCCTGCCTGCATCTCTAGACTCCACCTCTGGGGGCAGGGCATAGCTGAACAAAAGGCAGCAGAAACTTCTGCAGACTTACATGTCCCTGTCTGACAGCTTTGAAGAGAGTAGTGGTTCTCCCAGCATGGAGTTTGAGATCTGAGAATGGACAGACTGCTTCCTCAAGTGGGTCCCTGACCCCCAAGTAGACTAACTGGGAGGCACCTGCCAGTAGGGGCCGATTGACACCTCATATGGCCAGGTGCCCCTCTGAGACGAAGCTTCCAGAGGAAGGATCAGGCAGCAACATTTGCTGTTCTGCAATAATTGCTGTTCTGCAGCTGCCACTGGTGATACCCAGGCAAACATGGTCTGCAGTGGACCTCCAGCAAACTCCAACAGACCTGCAGCTGAGGGTCCTGACTGTTAGAAGGAAAACTAACAAACAGAAAGGACATCCACATCAAAACCCCATCTGTACGTCACCATCATCAAAGACCAAAGGTAGATAAAACCACGAAGATGGGGAGAAACCAGAGCAGAAAAGGTGAAAATTCTAAAAATCAGAGCTCCTCTCCTCCTCCAAAGGAACACAGCTCCTCGCCAGCAATGGAACAAAGCTGGATGGAGAATGACTTTGACAAGTTAAGAGAAGAAGGCTTCAGATGATCGGTAATAAGAAACTTCTCTGAACTAAAGGAGGATGTTCGAATCTATTGCAAAGAAGCTAAAAACTTTGAAAAAAGATTAGATGAATGGCTAACTAGAATAAACAGCATAGAGAAAACCTTAAATGATGTGATGGAGCTGAAAACCATGGCACGAGAACTACGTGATGCATGCACAAGCTTCAGTAGCCAATTTGATCAAGTGGAAGAAAGGGTATCAATGATTGAAGATCAAATGAATGAAATGAAGCGAGAAGAGAAGATTAGAGAAAAAAGAGTAAAAAGAAACGAACAAAGCCTCTAAGAAATATGGGACTACGTGAAAAGACCAAATCTACGTGTGATTGGTGTACCTGAAAGTGACAGGGAAAATGGAACCAAGTTGGAAAACACACTTCAGGATATTATCCAGGAGAATGTCCCCAACCTAGCAAGGCAGGCCACCATTTAAATTCAGGAAATACAGAGAGCACCACAAAGATACCCCTCAAGAATGGCAACTCCAAGACGCATAATTGCCAGATTCACCAAAGTTGAAATGAAGGAAAAAATGTTAAGGGCAGCCAGAGAGAAAGGTTGGGTTACCCACAAAGGGGAGTCCATCAGACTAACAGCTGATGTCTCGGCAGAAACTCTATAAGCCAGAAGAGAGTGGGGGCCAATATTCAACATTCTTAAAAAAAAGAATTTTCAACCCAGAATTTCATATCCAGCCAAATTAAGCTTCATAAGTGAAGGAGAAATAAAATCCTTTACAGACAAGCAAATGCTGAGAGATTTTGTTACCACCAGGCCTGCCTTCCAAGAGCTCTGGAAGGAAGCACTAAACATGGAAAGGAACAACCAGTACTAGCCACTGCAAAAACATGCCAAATTGTAAAGACTATTGACACTATGAAGAAACTGCATCAACTAATGAGCAAAATAACCAGCTAACATCATAATGACAGGATCAAATTCACACATAACAATATTAACCTTAAATATAAATGGGCTTAATGCTCCAATTAAAAGTCACAGACTGGCAAATTGGATAAAGAGTCAAGACCCATCAGTGTGCTGTATTCAGGAAACCCATCTCACGTGCAGAGACACACATAGGCTCAAAATAAAGGGATGGAGGAAGATCTACCAAGCAAATGGAAAACAAAAAAAGGCAGGGGTTGCAGTCCTAGTCTCGGATAAAACAGACTTTAAACCAACAAAGATCAAAAGAGACAAAGAAGGTCATTACATAATGGTAAAGGGATCAATTCAACAGGAAGAGCTAACTATCCTAAATAAATATGCACCCAATATAGGAGCAACTGGATTCATAAAGCAAGTCCTTAGAGACCTACAAAGAGAATTAGACTCCCACAGAATAATAATGGGAGATTTTAACACCCCACTGTCAATATTAGACAGATCAGTGAGACAGAAAGTTAACAAGGATATCCAGGAATTGAACTCAGCTCTACACCAAGCGGACCTAATAGACATCTACAGAACTCTCCACCCCAAGTCAACAGAATATACATTCTTCTCAGCACCACACCACACTTATTCCAAAATTGACCACATAGTTGGAAGTAAAGCACTCCTCAGTAAATGTAAAAGAACAGAAATTATAACAAACTGTCTCTCAGACTACAGTGCAATCAAACTAGAACTCAGGATTAAGAAACTCGCTCAAAACCACTCAACTACATGGAAATTGAACAACCTGCTCCTGAATGACTACTGGGTACATAACGAAATGGAGGCAGAAATAAAGATGTTCTTTGAAACCGACGAGAACAAAGACACAACATACCAGAATCTCTGGGACACATTTAAAGCAGTGTGTAGAGGGAAATTTATAGCACTAAATGCCCACAAGAGAAAGCAGGAAAGATCTAAAATTGGCACCCTAACATCACAATTAAAGGAACTAGAGAAGCAATAGCAAACACATTCAAAAGCTAGCAGAAGGCAATAAATAACTAAGATCAGAGCAGAACTGAAGGAGATAGAGACATCATCACTGGTCATTAGAGAAATGCAAATTAAAATCACAATGAGATGCTATCTCACTCCAGTTAGAATGGCGACCATTAAAAAGTCAGGAAACAACAGATGCTGGAAAGGATGTGGAGAAATAGGGACACTTTTACACTGTTGGTGGGAGTGTAAATTAGTTCAGCCATTGTGAAAGACTGTGGCAATTCCTTAAGGATCTAGAACTAGAAATACCATTTGACCCAGCAATCCTATTACTGGGTATATACCCAAAGGATTATAAATAATTCTATTACAAAGACACATGCACACATATGTTTATTGTGGCACTAACTCACAATAGCAAAGACTTGGAACCAACCGAAATGTCCATCAATAATAGACTGGATAAAGAAAATGTGGCACATATACACCATGGAATGCCATGCAGCCATAAAAAAAGATGAGTTCATGTCCTTTGCAGGGACATGGATGAAGCTGGAAACCATCATTCTCAGCAAACTATCACAACAACAGAAAGCCAAACACTGCATGTTCTCACTTATAAGTGGTAGTTGAACAATGAGAACATATGGATGTAGGGAGGGGAACATTACACATTGTGGCCTGTCGGGGGCTGGGGGACTAGGGGAGGGATAACATTAGGAGAAGTACCTAATGTAGGTTTGATGGGTGTAGCAAACCATCATGGCATATGTATACCTGTGTAACAAAACTGCACATTCTGCACATGTACCCCAGAACTTAAAGTATAATAATAATAATAATAAAGAGAGCTTATTACAGTTATTTTCTTGCTTCTTTTCAGGTTGCTTTTTGTAATTCCTCTTTTCTTCCTTACAACCTTCCTTTTACTTCCTTTATGAGAGTGATATGGGTAGTACATTTTAATTTGTCACTTTTTATTTTTAGTGACTCTATTATAGGATTTGCATAGTGGTTACCATAAGGCTTACAAAAAATATCTTACAAATATAACCAATTATTTTCAAAAGATGACAACTTATCTCAGGTCACAAAGAATAGAAACAAAGTAACAAAGAAAAAAATTTTAAAACCCTCTACACTTTAACCACATCCATCCCACATTTTGACTTTATATTGTCTCATTTTACATATTTTTATATTGCCTATCTCTTAACAGGTTGTTGTAGGCAATATTGTCTGGATAGATTTGTTTTGGGGCTTCATATTAGCATTATGAGTGAATTACACAGCACAGTTACAGTATTAGATGATTCTGGATTTGTCCACGTACTTAATTTTACCAGTGGGTTTTATAATTTCCACTGTTTTCATTTTGCACATTAGTGGCTTTTTACTCATTTTGCACATTAGTGGCTTTTCTATTGAAGAACTCCCTTTAGCATTTCTTGTAAGATCTGTTGATGGTGAATTATTTCAGCTTTTGTTTTTCTGGGAAAGACTGAATATCTCCATACTTAAAGGACAGCTTTTCTGGATACAGTTTTTTTGGATGATGGTTTTTTTGTTTTCCTCTCTCTCTTTCAGCACTTTGAAAATGTCCACCCATTCCCTCCTGGCCTGTATGTTGGGTTGCCAGACAAGTTGGGGCTCCTTTATATGCTATTTGTTTCTTTTCTCTAGCTGCTTTTAAGATCCTCTCTTTGTCCTTGACCCTTGAGAGTTTGACTATTATATGCCTTGGGGTAATCTTATTTTGGTCAAATCTTTTTGGTGCTCTTGGACCTTTCTGTACCTGGATATTTATCTCTTTCTTGAGTTTGGAAAGTTTTCTGCCATTATTTCTTTGAATAAGCTTTATACTCCTTGATCTTGTTAACTCTCTCTTGAACACCACTAATTCTTAAGCTTTCAGGTAATTTTCTCTATCTTAAAAAATATATAGAAATCTTCGTTCCTTTTCATTCTTTTTTTCTTTTTTCTGTTCTATGTATTTTCTGTTCTATGTATTCCCTTAAAACTGCTTTTTTCTGTTCTATGTGTTTTCAAATAGCCTGTCTTTGTGCTCACTAATTCTTTCCTCTGCTTGATTTATTCTGCTGTTGAGAGCCTCTAATGAATTTTTCAGTTTGGCAAATGTTTTTCTCGGTACAAAGATTTATGTTTGATTTTTTAAATTATTATTTCAATCTCTTAGTTAAATTTATCTGATAAACTTCTGAATTACTTTTCTGTATTCTCTTGGATATCACTGAGTTCCCTTAAAACTGCTATTTTTGAATTCTTGGTCAAAGAGTTCATATATCACCATCTTGTTAAGGTCGGTTGTTAGGGCCCTTATTTTGTCTGTTTGAGGAGATTATGGTTCCCTGTCTTTTGTTGTTTCTTTTTTTTTTTTTTTTTTTCCGAAATGGAGTCTTGCTCTGTCACCCAGGCTGGAGTACAGTGGCGTGCTCTTGGCTCACTGCAACGTCCGCCTCCTGGGTTCAAGCAATTCTCCTGCCTCAGCCTCCTGAGTAGCTGGGATTACAGGCCCCTGCCACCACACCCAGCTAATTTTTGTATTTTTAGTAGAGAGGGGTTTCACCACGTTGGCCAGGCTGGTTTCGAACTCCTGACCTTGTGATCCGCCCACCTTGGCCTCCCAAAGTGCTGGTATTACAGGCATGAGCCACTGTGCCTGGCTTGCTGTTGTTTCTTATGGATGAACATGTATGTCTTTTCATTGAGGGATCAGCTATTTATTCTAGTCTTCTCTGTCTGGCTAGTATTGGTTTTTATTAGCTATGTTTGTTCAGAAATTCTTTGTAATTTAGCGATTATTTCTTTTATTTTTTTTTCTCTAGGTCACTGCCTCCTTTTCAGTACTAGATGGTTGGTGCCTTAAGCCCAGGTTAGCACTGGTTTTAGTAAATGATCAGAGTGCCACCCATCCTGAATGGGAGAGGTCCCAAAGAGGATATCCCAGTAGTGTGGGAAGGCCAGCCAGGGGTTTTTACCCAGGGGACCTGTGAGATGAAACTCTTACTGTGTGGTGCTGCTAAACAGCCACTTTGATTTGGCGTCTCCTTTGGCCAAGATATAGAGCAGAGTTTCCAGAGATAAGGATGGTATTTCTACCTCACCACTTTGTCTCTGGCTTTCCTCAGGGATATTCTCCCTTCTGGTACTCTCAACACTTCTTGTGCATTGAGGCAGGGAAAGATTTCTCACCAGAAAACTCAAGATTGTGGAGAAGCTGGTTGTTCACCTCAGTCTCACTTTTTCCACTGTAGAAACTGTGAGTTGGGGGGAAATTTTCCACACACTTGGTGTCAGGCACACTGGGGAAAAGGATATCATGAATATGGAAGTTTGATTCTCTTACTGTCTTCTTGGTGATTTTTTACTTCTCTGTGGCCCCACGAACTGTCTTATCATAATATTTGAGTTCTGGGATATTGTTGGTGATAATCTTGGCAGTATGTATTTGTTTGGTTTTCTGTGTAGAGGAGTGAAGCCAGAAATACTACCATTTTGGAACCTGCAAGCTCTTATTGATCACTTTCTTCCTTCTAAACTCTAATCACACATATTGTCTTTACTCTGACAGTGTATCTTTAATCCATAACCTCACCACAGGGCTAGTACCTGAGGAGAGGAAGGCAAAATGGAAGATTAGGCATCTGTCTTTCCAAGCATAGCTCTAACAAAGATTTTTACAGCTATAAAGGTGTTGTAGGTGGGATTTCCAGAAAGTAGACTTTGAGTTTAGTTCATCATGGAACTAAGGAATATCCATGGGATCAGTATCTGTGGAAGGGAGAGAAAGGAGGCAGGAGTCGGAAGAGTGAGGAGTCAAACAACAGACTCAGCCAACCCACTGGAAGCCCTGGAGCTAGAATAACCTTTCACATGGCAAGGCCTTTATACCCCACATAGTTATTGGGTGTGGGTTGGATGTGAGACTTCCCATGCACATCACAGTGTTGTCTACTACCCTGGGATGAGCTAGTTTGAACTGCTCATCCAAGAAACCTAACCAAGTTCATCGAAAGCTTCATCAGACTTCATACACAGTCACATACTCATACCTCCTAGTAGCTATGGCCTCCTTCTCAGTAAAAGGACGGATGAATTTTCAGTGTAGACTGACAGGTAGAAAGGACAGTGGAAGAGAAGCAGCAGCAGCAACAGCAACTGAATTTGTGCTGAACTCTGAACTGAACTAGAACATTTTGGGAGAACATGTCCAGGCATATATGTTAGATAGGAACCTACTGTTCAAGAGCTATTACATCAACTAACTAGAGACACACAATGCTGTGAACTCCAGGAACATTTAAGACACTGAACCTCACCTGAGCCCAGAATTCTCTTGGGCCATAGGGTAACTACTTTACTAGATGTTCCCATTCTTGAGGCTCCTATAAGTTATATTTTGCCTATTAAATGGTGTTCTTGAAAAAGGAAGCAAATATTAACTGTGAATAAACAGACGACTGCATGATCTACTTTGCATCTGTGGCTCAAATCCAAACAAATAAAAAACAGAAATGTACTTTGCTCTTAGATTATGCCTTTGAAATTATATGGATGAAATATCTGTGGCAATCCTTCAACCTTCTTTCCTTCTTTGCTAGGGCCCTGGTACTTCTTAAGAGAAGAATAAGAAACTCCAATTCTCATCATCCTCCCTCTCCTCTGCATTCAACTTATCTTCCTAGCTGCTGGCCCTGCTGACCAACAATGACCCCAGATCCTCAACCAAATGCTTGACTGTGGACTGATAGAGGCAGTAGCTTCATGAAGGCAACTTCCCATAGACCTTGCCACAAATCCTGTCTTTGCTGTTGCACTTCAACAGTCTGAAGTACTTGGATTTTTGCTTTTCCCTGCAAGATTTGCCTGTGAGACAGGTGGAGAGTATTGGTTGGTGATGATTTTTCTGAATCTCTAACTCCCTTCTTCCAGACCTTTATTTCTACAGTTCCATTCAGAGTTAATAAGTCACATATTCTGATAATTTTTATAGTGGCTCTATTGTCCTGATAGAATCCTGAATGATATTCTTTCTAGACAAGTAAGTTAGAGAAACCAGATATGACATAATTGGTTTACAAATGGTCATTACCTTTCGAGAATTACCTTCTTCATCTCAACCTTAATCATACCACTCCATTCATCTCCTCCCTTCTTCACAGAGAGGCCTCTGTGAAGGAATTCCTGCCATAGGGTTTCAGGTCAAGATGAACTCTGCCTGTCCACTTATTTCCAGAGAAAGTTGTCTATGGCAATAATTAATTGAACAACATATGAGACTGTTCACTGTAAACACTGCCTTTAAAGCCTGGATATACTAACTTGAGAGGCCTTAGAACTTTCCCATGACCTGATGTTCTTAACGAAGAACAGCAGAATGACAAGAGAGCTAGGCACAGTTCAGATGTAATCTGTCATATTCTTATGTAGAGTCAAATTCACATCATGTATACAGGAGGTATGAGGAATCTATGAATTTATTTATGGGCAAGTTCGTTCATGCCTGAGGGTCTTTACTTAAAGACTGACATGGCCCTATAACTACTGCTGGAAGTAAAAGGTTTCATCATGGGGCAACAATAGGCAGACACTTGGGACAAACAGTATCTGAGGGAGTTTCAGAATTATTGGAAGCAATTCTGAAAAATCAAGATGTTGCTTTACTTAAAGTGAATCCCAAACAAGTGTGTTAAGCTCCTATTAGAACATTGACTTGGCTGGATACGAAGGTCTACTCAAGACCCTGAATATGACCCACTAGGCTGTCTGGCAATCTTTTATGTATTTATTTAATTTTTTGAGACAGAGTCTTGCTATGTCGCCCAGGCTGGAGTGCAGTGGTGCAATCTCAGCTCACTGCAACCTCTACCTCCCCAGTTCAAGTGATTATCCTGCCTCAGCCTACTGAGTAGCTGGAATTACAAGTGCCTGCCATCATGTCTGGCTAATTTTTGTATTTTTTAAATAGAGACAGGGTTTCACCATGTTGGCCAGGCTGGTCTTGAACTCCTGGCCTCAGGTGATCCACCTGCCTCGACCTCCCAAGGTGCTGGTAATCTTTTTGTCTGACAAAACTTTCTGATGTATGCTACTGCTTGAAGTATTTGCATCTTTAACCAAAGCAGGCTCAGGATGCTCCAGAAAAAATTATACCCTGATCCCTCAGGATAAATTAAGAAACTTAACTGTTACATGATTTGCCCTAGCCCTTCTCCTTTGTAAGTATTTAACACAATTCTCAATATTTTCACCAAGATGGTACACCCTTTACATTGGATCATATTCTGCTCTCTTGCTGATTAGGGAGGTGTTTCATCTCTATAACTACCTGAAAACTTAAAGTGAGACCATGTATTACAATTAGACTTGTGTTTCTAGAGTGCAGCCCTCAAAGCCTTCCAGGTCTGAATTGACCCACTCTCCTATTCACTGTCCACAAATGATGGTTAAAAAGAATGATCAACCAAATACAGAAAGAAGATTACCATGACCACATATCAAATAAACAATATGACTAGGTCATCCATCTCACAACAGAGAAGTTTGACTATAAGCATTTTTCTATATCCCTTATATGACAAACATGGATTCCGGTCCTTCTGCTTTCCTTCACGCCTAGTACAACATTACCTTTGCTACAGGTCAGTTTCTGGAGGAGATCCAAAACAATCCAAAGGAACTATGGACATTGCCTGATTCCAGTCTTCTGTGGTTTTCTTATCCACCAGGCCCTGAAGCATGTGAGTCTTCGGTTTCTATATCCAGCATTGTCCAAACCTTCTCACATGCAGGTTGTCAACATCTGTGTCTACAACCACCCTGGTCAAATTATCTTGCCACCTCCCATTGTCTGCCTCCCTCAGAGAAATTGACCATGCCTTTTACCCATGCTTCTGTTGTGTGACAGATTGAATGGTCATCTATCCTTTACCTCACTATCATCAATGTAACTCTTTTCATTTGCTTTGTTTCAAGTCAGTCCCCTCCCCTTCCTTGCCTTCCAAACCTCAGTGAAGGGCCCAATAAAAGAGCCAATACTTGTCCAGAAGACTCCCTTATATCCTTAAAAACTTCTCTGAGCTCTCACTCTACTCCCTTGCTTTAACTGAAATCTGACTGTTCCCTGAAGACATCACTTTCTCTAAGCCCCTCTTAAGTTCATGTTCACTGGCAGGTAAATTAGGGAGTTCTTGTCAGATGGCTTCTATTTTCTTAGTAAAATAGGAGATGAGATCATCTTCTAAAAGTGATCCAGGAGGTGAGAGGTCAGAGATTTGAGGAAAATGTTATCTTTCATTTCCAATTAATCAGCAAGTTCCATTTACTTTTATTTCAAAATTTATCTTAAATCCAACCATTTCTAGCTATCTCCACCACTACCACAGTGGTCTGAGCCAGCATTATGTCTTTCCTGGATCTACCAAATCAGCCTTCTGATTTGTCTTCTTGCATCCTTTTGGCCTACTCCACGTAAGCAACAAGGATGATCTTTTCAACACATAAATCATAGCACTATCCAGCTTACCTCACTTTAATAGCATCCCATCTTTCTTTAGATAAAGACAGAAATCCAAAGGAAGGGATAAGGTGGCCAACTAAATGTAGCCAGGAAACACCTCTCCCACCTAGGGAAATCAAAATATAGAGTAAGCCATCACCCTCTGAACAGCTATTTTGAGAGAAAACACTGAAAGTCAATAGAGAGATGACGTAGACATTGAGGTTGAAGAGAGAGGAAGCTGGGACAACTGTATGGAGTCATCGAGCACCAGGACCAGCTTCTGGTCCTGAACAGGTGCTCAGGAAAGGGTGTGTGAAGGAACTCTGGGGCACCACACTGCCACCACAGGACTCTGGGATCCTAGCTACAAGAGATCCGATTCCCCTCTAGACATTTGAATTGGCAAGGGGAACTCCCCGGAGATTAGGCAGAGGCAGAGTTCAAACCTGCACAGAGCCCAGAAGGTTTCACAGCCTATGGGGCAGCTGCAGCAAAACGTGACCACAGGCACCCATGCCCCAGGCTTTTCCATCTTGCTCTGGGTGACGGCAGCCACTGCTAACTGTCAGGCCAGAGAGAGGAGAACTCTTTTTCAAAGGATTGCGGTGGATCTGATCCATATGCCCCCTTGACTCTGACCCCTCCCAAGGCCATCTGCCAGACTGCTCCTGAAAGTGGGTACACACAGCACAGCCTCCTGAGTGCCTCATCTGAGTGTTTTGCTGGCAGACTGTGAGCAGTTCAGTCCCCCAGCACAGCCGGTGAAGGAGCCAGAGTACAAAGTCGTGAGCCCAGTTCCCAATTTCCAGGGTTCGAGCACACTGTCCAGGGGTATTGAGCTGAGATCTGTAGCCAGAGCTTGAGCAGGGGAGAAGCCCCCACTATCAGGACAAAGAGAAAGTGGGGCATGGGTTCATGTGCTGATGTGGGAAGTAGGTGTCTTTCCCTCTGCAAGACCAGTCTGGGAAAGGTGTTGCCTGTTGGCCAGCTCAGCTTCGGCCTGAGGGATTCCCATGGGGCAGAATAGCTGGAACAGCCAAGCAATCTGGGCACAAAAGGCTTGGAACAAAACTAGCTGGTTTGGCCAGCTCCTGGGGCAGAAATTGGAGGAAGACCCAGTTGGGAAAGTGTCAGCTGCGCAGACTCAACAGTCACCTGCTGGGCTAAAAACCCTGGTCCATGGAGGTATACCAACTGCATACTTGTGGCACCACAGCCCTGCTCCAGAATCCTCTGCCTTTGATCCACTGCATCACCAGACATACCCCACAATTCACTCCGATTTTGCCAAGCTCAGAGGACCAGCAGGTCCCCTGGGAATTGCAGGTCTCCTGGTGACTTAACAAGTACTTCTCAACCTACAAAAAGACTTAGCCACACAATAATACTGGTAAACTTCAATACCCCACTGACAGCATTAGACAGATCCCTGAGGCAGAAAACTCACAAAGAAATTTTGGACTTAAATTTGACACTTGACCAATTGGACGTCTACAGAATCACAGAATATACATTCCATCAGCACATGAAACATACTCTAAGATCAACCACATGCTTGGCCGTAAAGTAAGTCTCAATAAATTTAAAAAAATCAAAATCTTACCAACCATACTCCTGGACCACAGTGGAATAAAAATGGAAATCAATACCAGGAATATCTATGAAAACCACACAATTACATGGAAACTAAACAACTTGCTCCTCAATGACTTTTAGGTAAACAATGAAATTAAGGCAGAAATCAAAAAATTCTTTGAAATAAATGAAAACAGAAACACACTATGCCAGAATCTCTGGGATGCAGCAAAAGCAGTGTTAAAAACAAAGTTTATAGTGCTAAATGCCTACCTCAAGAAGTTAGAAAGATCACAAATTGAACCTAGAGGAAGTAGAAGAACAATAAACTCACCCCAAAACTAGCAGAAGAAAAGAAATACTAAAATTGGACCAGAAATGAATGAAATTGAGACCCCAAAATCCATACAAACAATATATGAAGCCAAATTTGTTTCTTTGAAATGATAAACAAGATCAATGGATCACTAGCTAGATTAACAAACTACAAAAGAGAGAAAATCTAAAGAAGCACAATCAGAAATGACAAAGGTGAAATTACAACTGATCCCAAACAAATACAAAAGAGCCTCAGAGCCCAGGTGCGGTGTCTCACGCCTGTAATCCCAGCACTTTGGGAGACTGAGGTGGGCGGATCACCTGAAGCCAGGAGATCAAGACCAGCCTGGCCAACATGGCGAAACCCTGTCTTTACTAAAAATACAACAATTAGTCGGGCGTGGTGGCGCATGCCTGTAATCCCAGCTACACAGGAGACAGACAGAAGAACTGCTTGAACCCAGAAGGTGGAGGTTGCAGTGAGCTGAGATCATGCCACCGCACTCCAGCCTGGGTGACACAGTGAGACTCTGTCTCAAAAATAAAAAGAAAAAAGTTAAAAAAAAAAAAGATCCTTAGAGACTACAATGAACACCTCTATTCACAGAAACTAGAAAATCTAGAGGAAATGGATAAATTCCTAGAAAAACACACACCCTACCAAGATTGAATCAGGAAGAAATTGAAACCCTGAATAGACCAATAACAAGTTCCAAAATTGAATCAGTAATAACAAAAACTACCAACCAAAAAATGCCTTGGATCAAATGGATTCACAGCCAAATTCTACTAGATATACAAAGAAGAGCTGGTATCAATTCTACAGAAAATAATCCAAAACACTGAGGAGGAGGAACTCCTCCCTAACTCATTCTATGAAGCTAGCATCATTCTAATACCAAAATTTGGCAAAGAAACAATGAAAAAAGAAAGTTACAGGCCAATATTCCTCATATACACGGAAGCAAAAATCCTCAACAGAAGACTAGCAAACCAAATCCAGCAGCACATCAAAAGTTAATTCACCATGATCAAGTAGGTTTCATTCCTGGGATGCAAAGCTGGTTCAACATACACAAATCAATAAATGTGATTGCTCACATAAACACAATTAAAAATTAAAACTATATGATCATCTCAATAGACATAGAAAAAGCCTTTGATAAAAATCCAACATCCCTGCATGAAAAAAACCCTCAGCAAATTTGGAATAGAAGGACAATATCTCAAAATAATAAGAGCTATCTATGGCAAACCCACAGCCAATATCATGTTGAACCAGTAAAAGCTGGAAGGATTCTCCTTAAGAACTACAGCAAGACAAGAATGCCAAGTCTCACCACTCCTGTTCAACAGAGTAGTGGAAGTCCTAGCCAGAGCAATCAGGCAAGAGAAAGAAATAAAAGGCATCCAAACAGGAAAAGAAGAAGTCAAATTATCTCTCTTCACTCACAATATGATTCTATATCTACAAAACCCTAAATATGATACCAAAAGTCTCTTTGAACTGATAAGCAACATCAGTAACATTTCAGGAAACAAAATCAGTGTACAAAATCAGTGGCATTTCTATACAGCAATAGCATTAATGCTGACAGCCAAATAAAGAATGCAATCCCATTTACAATAACCACCCAAAAAATAAAATACCTAGAAATACATCTAACCAAGGAGGTGAAAGACCTCTACAAGGAGTACCACAAAACACTGCTGAAAGAAACCATAGATGACACAAGCAAATGGAGAAACATTCTCTTATCATGGACTGGAAGATCAATATCATTAAAAGGGCTATACTGGCCAAAGCAATCTACACATTTAACATTATTCCTATCAAACTACCAATGCCATTTTTTCACATAATTAGAAAAAACTATTCTAAAATTCATATGGAACCAAAAAGACCCTGAATAGCCAAAACTATTCAAAGCAAGAACAAAGCCAGATGTATCATATTATCTGACTTCAAACTATACTACAAGGGTATAATAACCAAAACAGCATGGTACTGGTACAATAAAAGACACATAGACCAAAGGAACAGAATAGAGAACCCAGAAATAAATAAAGCTGCACACCTACAATCAACTGATCTTTGTTAAAGTTGACAAAAATAAGCAATGAGGAAAGGACCCTCTATTCAATAAATGATGCTGGGTAACTGGCTATCCATAGGCAGAAGAATGAAACTGAACTTGTACCTATCACCATATACAAAAATTAACTCGAGATGGATTAAATACTTCAATGTAAGACCTAAAACTATAAAAATCCTAGACAAAAACTTAGGAAATATTTTTCTGGACATCAGCTTTGGCAAAGAATTTCTGACTAAGTCCTCAAAAGTAATTGCAACAAAAACAAAAATTCACACATGGGACCTACTTAAACTCTAGAGCTTCTGCACAGGGTAAGAAACTATCAACAGAGTAAACAGACAACCTTCAGAATGGGAGAAAATATTCACAAACTATACATCGGACAGGGTCTAATGTGCAGAATTTAGAAGAAACTTAAAGAATTCAACAAGCAAAAAAAACCAAATATCCCCATTAAAAAGTGGGCAACAGATATGAACAGACACTTCTCAAAAGAAGGCATACAAGAGGCCAACAGACATACGAAAAAATACTCAGCATCATTAATCATTAGAGAAATGCAAATCAAAACCACAATGAGGACAGGCGCAGTGGCTCACGCCTGTAATCGCAGCACTTTGGGAGGCCAAAGCAGGTAGATCTCTTAAGGCCAGGAGTTCAAGATCAGCCCGGCCAACACGGCAAAACCCTGTCTCTACCTAAAATACAAAAATTAGCCAAGCATGGTGGCACACGCCTGTAATCCCAGCTACTACTCGGAGGCTGAGGCATGAGAATCACTTGAACCTGGGAGGTGGACATTGCAGTGAGCCAAGATTGCACCACTGCATTCCAGCCTGGGTGATAGAGTGAGACCCTGTCTCAAATAATAATAATAACAATATTAAAAAACACAGTGAGATACCATCTCACACCAGTCAGAATGGCTATTATTAAAAAGTCAAACAATAACAGATGCTGGAGAGGCTGAAGAGTAAAGGAAACACATACAACTGTTGGTGGGAATGTAAATTAGTTCAGCCACTGTGGAAAGCAGTTTGGAGATTTCTCAAAGAACTAAAAATAGAACTACCTTTTGACCCTGCAGTCCTATCATTGAGTATATACTCAAAGGAAAATAAATCATTCTACCAAAAAGACACATGCATGCATATGTTAGTCACAGCACTATTGACAATAGCAAAGGCATGGTATCAAGCTAGGTATCCATCAATGGTGGATTGAATAAAGAAAATGTGGTACATATACAACATGGAATACTATGCAGCCTGGAAAAGAAGAAAATCATGTCCCTTGCAGCAACACAGATGCAGCTGGAGGCTGTTGTCCTAAGTAAATTAATGCAGAAACAGAAAACCAAACATCTCATGTTCTCACTTATACGTGGGAGCTAAACACTGAGTACACATGGACATAAAGATGGCAACAATAGACACTGGAGATTACTAGAGATGGGAGGCAGGGAGAGGGACAAGGGTTGAGACACTACCTATTGGGCATTATGCTCACTACCTGGGTGACGGATTAATCATACTTCAAACCTCAGCATCACACAGTATGCCCATGTGACAAGGCTGCATATGTATCCATTGAACCTAAAATAAAAGTTGAAATAAAAAGATTTAAAAGGACAGAAATTCGGCCGGGCACTGAGGTGGCTCATGCCTATAATCCCAGCACTTCGGGAGGCCGAGGAGGGTGGATCACAAGGTCAAGAGATTGAGACCATCCTGGCCAACCAACATGGTGAAACCTCATCTCTACTAAAAATACAAAAATTGGCCAGGCGCAGTGGCTCACGCCTGTAATCCTAGCACTTTGGGAGGCCGAGACGGGCAGATCATGAGGTCAGGAGATCGAGACCATCCTGGCTAACACGGTGAAACCCCGTCTCTACTAAAAACACAAAAAATTAGTCGGGCATGGTGGCAGGCACCTGTAGTCCCAGCTACTCCGGAGGCTGAGGCAGGAGAATGGCATGAACCCGGGAGGCAGAGTTCGCAGTGAGTCGAGATCACGCCAGGGCACTCCAGGCTGGGCTGCACTCGAGCCTGACAGAGCAAGATTCCGTCTCAAAAAAATAAAATAAAATAAAAAATTTTAAAAATACAAAAATTAGCTGGGTGTAGTGGCGCACGCCTGTAGTCCCAGCTACTCGGGAGGCTGAGGCAGGAGAATGGCATGAACCCGGGAGGCGGAGCTTGCAGTGAGCCGAGATCGTGCCACTGCACTCCAGGCTGGGCGACAGAGTGAGACTCCTCAAAAAAAAAAAACAAAAAAAAAAACCCAGAAATTCTTCTTCTAATGACCCTCTATGATTAGTCTTTACCCACTTCTACTTCTTAAACTCATCTGGCAACATGCCTTTCATAACTCTCTAACACAATGGAAACAATAGACTTCTTTCAACTCTGAAACCACGATTTTTCTTTAACCTCAGGTACTTGCATAGCTATACTTCATCCTTTCTTCAGCTAGTTAACTCCTACTCTCTCTTAAGTTCTCAGTTTGACCATAATATCCCAGGAAAGCACTATTACACTGTTTAATAGTACTATGCACTTCTTCCTTATAGCACTAACATAGTTATAATTTTCTATTAATTATAGTTATGTTATTATATTTAGACTTGGTTATATAACCAGTTATATTATTATATTGTATTTAGCAATAATTTTCATTAAATAATTTTTAGATTAATGTATAACATCTTTGCCCCACTTAGCTTGTAAGCTCAGTAACAGTGGAGGCCATGCCTGTTTTTGCTCATCATTATATCCCAAAGTTCTAGCCTAGCACCTAATGCATACATGGTAGGTGCTCAATAAGTGTTAAATAAATGAAAGTTTAAGCTGACAGTCTTAATTACTAAGAGAGACAATACAGAGAGCAGACTCTGTGGCTTTTCTCACAATAGATATGTCCCACTCATCACTACTTTCTCACCTATATATAAACAAGTCTCCTGAACCATAAAGTAGGGGTGGAGGCCTTCCACTTCCAGGTTTACCATTCATGCATCCCAAATTCATTTTAACTGGTCCCTGTGCAAATGGCCTTAGAACTCCACTTGTAACCCAATATCTTTGCAACTCACTCCAACTGCGAGAGACAAGAAGCCAAAATACACAACAGGGAATGATCTGGACTTTGCCATTATTGTAGCTAGCCTTGGCACTTCAGCTGGTAGGGACAGTATTTGTAGAAGAAAACCATATGAACAACCACTGATGTGAATCCCTGTGTAAAGTCCAGTGTTTTTTATTAAGGCACTGGTCCATGACCAAAAATGGGGCTTGGGTGCCTACAGAATAATGAAAGTGAAGTAGTTTGAAGTAGAAATGATAATTAGTACAGTTTTTTTTTTTTTTTTTTTTTTTTTTTTTTTTTTTTTGTGGCAGCAGGCCAAGAGTCAGAAATAGGAAACCAAATACTAAAGTCTAGTACGAAGGACAGGAGCAGAACTATAAAATGGGAATGGAGCCAGAGTCAGAAGCCAGATGGACTATGGAGTGAGTGCAGATCTGGAACCAGGGAATCATGTACATAATCATCATAGTGAACAGATCAGGGCAGGCAAATTTCTGGAACCATGGCCATGTTCGGTTAATTTAAGGCACAGAGCTGGAAGAGAACCTCCTACCAAAGAGAAGTGATAGCTTCCAGGGGAAGCCTGAGTAATTGTGTGGGGCCAGAGGGAAAATCTTCCCTAACCAGTTACCCTTTAACTTGAGCCCCCTCACATATTCACCATGTGACTCACAGACAATAACAGCGAGCTTCAGGTAATTCACCCCTCCTCATATCTAGAGTGCTACATTCTCCAGCCTTATTGCCCATCTTGCTTCTTTCTCCCACTGCATTCTTGTGTTGACACAACTCATGACTTCTGATTTGTCCTCTGGCTTTTTACGTAACATTCATTCCTTACATCTGACAACAGATTAAGTTTCATCCTTTTTTTTTTTTTTTGTCCTGTGGGCAATTCTTTGTACTTATCCTTTCCTTCCTTTTACTTCTAGCTGCTCTAGATAATAAACTAACCTACCTAATTAGATACCTCTATCTCTGGGGTCCCTTCTCTAACTTAAACTTGAGTGGCTGGTGTAACTACCCAACGTTTCCTAATCCTTCCTACTCTCAGAATTGCAAGTGCAGGACTTAAGGAATAAACACTTTAAAATGCATTCTGTTATCTTTTAAAAAATGGCCAATATCTTGTTTTCTGTATGCAAGTTTTATCTCACTAAATAAATCTTATGTTTCTTGAGGAATGGATTGACTCTGTATTACTTCTCTAGTCTTTATACTACTGACTACCTAATCAATATACTGAATTTGAAAATAATTGTAGGTGAGGTACTGTGTGTATGGCAATACTTAACTTTATTTAAAGAAGTCTTTCTGAGAATTTAAATGCTACTAGATCCCATTCAATACATTTATAATGTAATTTATTAAAATACAATAGTCTTAATAAGTAAGATATTTTACAAAATGATGTTTTTTGAAGAGTACGTACTATATCATAGAAATTTACAATGGGAAAGAAAGACCCTCGAATTATTTAACATAACACCCTGTTATATTACAGAGTATCTCCTTAAAATTAGTGTTGATTTCCAAGCCTATGGGGACAATCATAACAAACATGACTTATTGAGGAAGCCAAGGACGGTTTCCCTGAGAAAATGACATTCAAGATAAACTCTGAAGAACAGGTATAGGACACCTCTGTGAATAGGGGAGCACATGGCCGGGCGCGGTGCCTCACGCCTGTAATCTCAGCACTTTGGGAGGCCGAGGCGGGCGAATCACGAGGTCAGGAGATCAAGACCATCCTGGCTAACACGGTGAAACCCCGTCTTTACTAAAAATACAAAAAAATTAGCTGGGTGTGGTGATGGGCGCCTGTAGTCCCAACTACTCCAGAGGCTAAGGCAGGAGAATGGCGTGAACCCGGGAGGCGGAGCTTGCAGTGAGCCGAGATCGCACCACTGCACTCCCGCCTGGGCGACAGGGTGAGACTCCGTCTCAAAAACAACAACAACAACAACAACAACAACAACAACAAACAACATGTCGAATTATCTATCTTTCTTAATAGGATCTAAGTTCTCAAAAAAAAAAAAAAGTCGGGGGAGCACAAAATATGAGGTGAATTCTTGAGAGGAGGGACAGGTAGAAGTGTCTGCTGAGTTTGAGCAACTGAAAAGTTTGTGTTGCTGAAACAGAATTAATAAGGGAGAGCATGGGACAAGAGGAGCAAGGGGCGACGAGTTCTGAAGCCTTGGTAAGGATTATGGACTTTATCCTGAGAACAGTGATAAACCATTGACAGGTTTTGAGAGGAGCATAATATGAAAAGATTTGTGTATTTTTTTTTTTAAGTCCCTTTGGACATTTGTTTCTGGTCATAATGAAAAACTGGAACTGAATTTATCCTTCCATCTGAAACAACTAGAAAACTAGACAAAATTTATAAAGCAATGGCTTTCAAGACATTGGTTATCAGGCAATGAAAAACAGTCATCCTGTCATATGGGAACAAATGAGATAAGTTATACCATAGCCCCAACTTACTGGAAGAAGTTTCCTGGATGCAATGTAAGGAGGGGAAACCCTGAGTCAAAACCCTGAGCTGACAGTCTGAGGAAGTTGAAGAGGCTAGAGTTGGCAGGGCAGATTCTGGAAAGGGGGAACTATACAGATGAGAACTCTAGAGATCTGAAGGGAATGTCCTTGGATGTTCAGTTGAGTATTGATCAGAACATGCATGTGAAGAAACTACCCAGAACTGGGGAAAGAATCACACACAGGGATTAGAGGAAAGAGTATTTGTAGCTCATATATGGACAGGGATAGTGCCTGTTCCCAACAGCCAGATTGGAAAACCACATAATTTAGAAGACATCAGACATTTTTTTTTTTAGGATTCTAAGAAGAATCTTCCCTCAGTGGTGGGTAAGATTTAATCCTAGAGGTTGGGCACGGTGATTCACGCCTGTAATCCCAGCACTTTGTGAGGCCAAGGTGGGTGGCTCACCTGAAGTCAGGAGTTCAAGACCAGCCTGGCCAATACGGTGAAACTCCGTCTCTACTAAAAACACAAAATTAGCTAGGTGTGATGGCACACACTTGTAGTCCCAGCTACTCAGGAGGCAGAGACAGGAGGATCACTAGAACCCAGGAGGTGAAGGCTGCAGTGAGCTGAGATCATGCCACTGCTCTTCAGCCTGGGCAAGACAGAGCAAGACTCTGTCTCAAAAAAAAAAAAAAAAAGATTTAATCCTAGACTAAATGCTTTTTGGTCTTTTCTAGCGCAGCTTAAAAGCAAAATTTCCTAGAACCAGTGATAAAGAAACAGTGATTAAATCAACCAAAGGAAAAATATACATGATATAAAGAGGGCCAAAGGTAAAGATGAGAGATTTCTTATCAGAAGCAATGCAAACTAGAAGAGAGTAAAGCAATATCCTGAAAGTACTGAAAGAAAAAAAAAAACTTATCAATCTAGAATTTTTTACCCAGTGGAAATATCTTTCAAAAACAAAGATGAAATAAGGATATTTTCAGATATTAAAAGAAGCTGAAATAATTCATCACAAGCAGACCAGCACTGTAAGAAATAGTAAAGGAAAATTTGGTATTTTTTTCTTTTGCTTTTCCTTCAAGCAAAAGGAAAATAATACCAAATGAAAACCTAAATAAAAGAATGGAGAGCATCAGAAATGGTAACAACATGAACAAATATAAATACATTTTTATTATTTAAATGTCTTTAAAAGATAACTGACTCTTGAAAGAAACAACAAATATAATGATAATGTACTATGGCAGGGGTCCCCCAACACCCAGGCTGCAGATCAGTACTGGAGGTGAGTGGTGGGCAATCGAGCATTACTGCCTGAACTCTGCCTCCTGTCAGATCAGGAGCAGCAGGCATCAGATTCTCATAGGAGCACAAATGGTATTGTGAACTGCACATGCAAGGGATCCAGGTTGTGCACTCCTTATGAGAATCTAATGCTTGACGATCTGAGATGGAACAGTTTCATCTCAAAACCGTCCACCCCACAATGGTCTGTGGAAAAACTGCCTTCCACAAAACTGGTCCTTGATGCCAAAAAGGTTGGGGACCACTGTACTATGTGGTTTATAAAATATATAGAAGTAAAATGTAAGGCAAAATAGTACAAAGGTCAGGAGGGGAAAATAGAATTGTACTATTTTAAGGTTCTTGCGGTATATGTTAAGTAATGTAATACCACTTGAAGGTAGAACATAACAAATATGTATAATATAAACCCTAAATCAATAACTTAAACTTTATGTCCTATTACTGTGAATTATAAAGAATTATAGCTAATAAAACTTTATATATCGTTATTGTGAATTAAAAAGAATTATAACTAGTAAGCCAACAAGGGTGATAAAATGGAATAAATATTACACAGTTTTTCTAAAAGAAGGCAAAAAAGGAAAGGGGGAAGAAGAAAAGATGGAACAAACAGAATACAAATAGAACCAAAATTATCAATAATTAAATTAGATGTAAATAGTCTAAACTCTCTCATTTAAAAACCAGAGATTATTAAGATTGGATAAAAATGCAAGATTCAACCATGCTTAACATACAGCTTAAAAATTAAGGGAAGAAAAAAATATACCATCCTAATACTAATCAAAAGAAAGCAGACAAAATAGATTTCAGAGCAAATAATATTACCAGAGATAAGGAACATAAAATGGACAAATTATTTGAAAGATACAAACTACCAAAACGCATTCAAGAACAAATAGATAACATAAATAACTCTACATCTATTAAAGAAATTGAATTTGTACTTACAAACCTTCCCACAAAGAAAACACTGGGTCCATATGGCTTCATTGGTAAATTCTATCAAACATTTAAGCAGAAAATAACACCAATTCTACAAAAACTCTTCCAGAAAATTGATAAGGGAATATTTTCTAATTCATTCTGTGAGGGCAGCATTACTTGATACCAAAACCAGACAATGACATTACAAGAAAAGACAACTACAGACCAGTATGTGTCATAAAAATACATGTAAAAATTCTTAGCAAACTTTGGGAGGCCAAGGCGGGCAGATCACGAGGTCAGGAGATTGAAACCATCCTGGTGAACATGGTGAAACCCCGTCTCTACTAAAAATACAAAAAGATTAGCCGAGAGTGGTGGCAGGTGCCTGTAGTCCCAGCTACTCGGGAGGCTGAGGCAGGAGAATGGCGTGAACCTGGGAGGCGGAGCTTGCAGTGTGCCGAGATCGCGCCACTGCACTCCACAGCCTGGGACAGAGCCAGACCCCGGATCAAAAAAAAAAAAAAAAAAAAAAAAAAAAAAAATTGTCAGCAAAATTTTAGCAGAGCTAATACAATAATATACAAAAAGGATAATACATCATGACCAAGTGGGGTTTATCTCAAAAATACAAGGTTGGTTTGATATTCAAAAGTTAATCAGTGTAACTCATTGTAAAAACAAGAAAGAAAAATCCTATGATTATCTCAACAAATACAGAAACAGTATTTGAAAATACAAAATACATGCCTGACAAAAACTGTCAGAAAACAGAGAACAGAAGAGAACTTCCTTATATTGATAAACAGTATATGTGAAAAATCTACAGTTAACATCACACTTACGATCAGGAACAAGGAAAGGATATCGATCTTACCACTTCTAATCAGCATTGTAGTAGTGGTTCTAGCCAGTGAAGTCATGCAAGAAAAATAAAATCTCCATTTGGAAAATAAGAAGTATAACTCCCTTCATTCACAGACGGCATGATTTCTGTGAAGAAAATCCTATGGAGTGCATAAATAAGTTACTAGAACTAATACAGGAGTTTAGCAAGGTTCCAAGATACCAGATCGATATATAAAGTTAATTATATTTCTGTATATAGTAGAGCATCATTTCATATGTTTATTTTCCAGCCATATAGCTTACTTAGTGAATTGTCTATTCAAATATTTTGCCCACTTTTAAAAAGGTAAACATGTATCTATCATGTGACCCAGCAATCATATGAAAGCATGCCTGGTCGCAATCTTTTTTTTTTTTTTTTTGAGACAGAGTCTCGCTCTGTCGCCCAGGCTGGAGTGCAGTGCCGCGATCTCGGCTCACTGCAAGCTCTGCCTCCTGGGTTCACGCCATTCTCCTGCCTCAGCCTCTCCGAGTAGCTGGGACTACAGGCGCCCGCCACCGCGCCCGGCTAATTTTTTTTGTATTTTCAGTAGGGACGGGGTTTCACCATGGTCTCGATCTCCTGACCTCGCGATCGGCCCGCCTCGGCCTCCCAAAGTGCTGGGATTACAGGCGTGAGCCACCTCGCCCGGCTGCATGCCTGGTCACAATCTAATCTCGGGATGAATATGTGACCATACATGGCAAAGAGACTTTGCAGATATGATTAAGACAAGACTCTTGAGATGGGAAAGTTATCCTGCATTATGCAGGCAGACCTAATGTCATCACAAGGGGCTTTAAAAGATGGAAGAGGAAGGCGGAAGAGTCAGAGACAAAGTTATGATGGAAGCAGAGATTGCAGTGATGCGCTGTAAGATGGAGGCAGATGCCATCAGCCAAGGAATGCTGGTAACATCCAGGATCCAGAAAAAGTAAAAAGAATCAGCCCTGGAGTCTAGATAAGGAGTGCAATCCTGTCAACACCTTGATTTAAGCCAGTGGAATCCATTTCAGACTTCTGACCTCCAGAACTGTAAGATTATAAATTTGTGTTGTTTTAAGCCACTATCATGCAATTTATTGCAACAGCAACAGGAAATAAATACTGTTGACTTCTGAGAAGATTCTTTTGTGGAGCTTCTATTTTTACTTGGATAAATTTATATTCAGTACCAGAATGTAAAAAAAATGCCTATTATTATTCATTATCAAATTTATATAAATTTCATAAAAGGCCAGGCGTGGTAGCTCACACCTGTAATCTCAGCATTTTGGGAGGCCAAGGCAGGCGGATCACTTAAGGCCAGGAGTTTGAGACCAGCCTGGCCAATGTGGTGAAAACCCATCTCTACTAAAAATATAAAAATGTACTGGATGTGGTAGTGCATGCCTGTAATGCCAGCTACTCAGGAGGCTGAGGCACGAGAATCGCTTCATCCTGGGAGGGGGAGGTTGCAGTGAGCTGAGACCGTGCCACTGCACTCCAGCCTGGGTGACACAGCAAGACTCTGTCTCAAATACATACATATATACATACATACATTTGATATAACATTTAAGGAATCATAAAACAGAGATAACTTAATGAGCTTTGTCTTATAAAAATATTTGTCAAAGATCCTCTAAGTGGAGGCAAAAAAGACAATAACTGAAAACATTTGAGCTGAAATATTTAAATATTTAATAAGATAAAATCAGAATTGGGAATATACTCCATTTGGTATAATTTGCTCTGAGTTTACCAGATACCTATATTAACCTGTAGAGAGAGTATGTTCCAAAATTAAAATACTGAGGTAACTGAGAAGAGTCAGTTGAGGGCATCAGCAATTTTAAATTCATTAGCTGTAAAATGAAATGTGGAAGTTTAGAGATACTTTTATTAAAAATTATAATCATATAAAAATATATTCTTCAGAAGTAAAATATACCTGTAACATGACATGAGACAGATACAGTTAAGACAATGATTAAAATACATGAATATGTACAGAATTTATTATGGTTGTAACTTTTTAATGTATTGATAATCAGTATTAAGCAGTTTGTTTTCAATTTTCTCTAGTGTACCCAGATTTATTTTTGAAAATATTTTATTTAATTAATTAATTAATTAATTTTTGAGACAGAGTCTTGTTCTGTCATCCAGGCTGGAATGCAGTGGTGTGATCTAGGCTCACTGCAACCTCCGCCTCCCAGGTTCAAGTGATTTTCCTGCCTCAGCCTCCCAAGCAGCTGGGAATACAGGTGTGCACCATGACACCCGGCTAATTTTTGTATTTTTGGTAGAGATTGGGTTCCACCATGTTAGCCAGGCCAGTCTCAACTTCTGGCCTCAAGTGATCCACCCGCATTGGCCTCCCAGATTGCTGGGATTACAGGCATGCGCTGCTGTGCCCACCCTTGAAAATATTTTTTAAACAGAACTATCTTATAGGTTCACCAATATAATAAAACCAATTTGTCAACTCATACATATTATTAAACATTATGTATATTTGATTGATGCTTCATTTTATTCTTAAAGGTATCTCCATTTGGACAATAAATCATGTAGTCAATTATATAGTCAACCTGGGCATTAGGTCTAATAGTAATAGGTACATACACTGCACCTACATTGTTCTTGGACCTACGTATTCTGTTTACTAGGAGAAATGGACTCTGATTCCTGTAGGCCAGTACTTCCCAACCTGCAACTGGCATCGTAACTGAGTTCACTTTGTGAGTATGCTATACTAGTCCTACTGGAAGTATAGTTCACAAAGGTATGAGGGCTCCTCTATGACTGGGTTTCCCTGGAGTTTTTGACTCTCAGGCTTGTCCACAGTGAGCCTTCAGCATTTCATCAATTACAGTTCAGGTTTTCCTACCCCAGCACTGGTTCCCAGAGGTTTCTGCTCTGGTTATGATTTCCTGTATCTTCCTATCTGTCTCTCCAATTTTGAGGGCAGCAGTTTTCCCTGTGTCCTCATTTCTGATGAAGTTAAGAAGAGTTGTTGATTTTTGTTTGTTCAGCTTTTTACTTGTTATTAGGATGCAGTGGCAAGTTCTAAGCCCCTTATATGAGACTAGAAGCTCTGCCTGCTTTCAAAATTCATTGCTGTGTAAAAATATCAGTTTGCTTATGCTTTATTTTCTGGATTAAGTTACATGATATAAAACGTGCACATCTGAGGATCTGAGAAGATCTCTAGGTGAATTCCTGTATTTCAAGGGACTATTATACTACTTATTCCTTGCACAAAAGATATTCAGAGTTAAGCAGTTTGTAAGCTATACCCAGTGCCCTAAATAGTACTGTAGGTGCTGTATAAATACCATAGATACTTAATAAACATTTGTGGAATAATCTACAAATGAATGAATGAAAGATTTCCCTGGAACTCCTTGGATTCTTTCCAGTTTCACCAGATCACTCCCTAGTTTTCTAATAAACTCGATTTGTCCTGAGAAAGATAGAGGAAAGGAATTGTTCTAACTTTTAATATTGTTATTAGTTGTTAATATACTAACTTGGTCTGAATATGAACCTTGAAAATGTTTCTCCTGATTTTCAATTTGAAAGTACAAAATTCAGAAACTTGCAAATCTCTGTGTAAGGAGTTGTTCTATGCAATAACCACTCTAAGTCTTCCAAACAGTGACAAAAATTGCTAAACTGACAAACATAAAACAAAACAGAAAACTAAAATGTGGGTAGCTTATTTGTTTAGTAACAAGAGTTAAGTGCATTATTTTGTTGTAGATTATCTTTTGCATACTTTTATTCTCAAGCTGTCTTTCTCTGTTATCCAGGAATCTCTACGTTTCCCCATTCCCTTGTTCCCTTCTTTACCCAACCTAGGAGTACATGCAGAAAAACAATACTAATTTTAATTTCAAACTAAACGAATTTTAAGAGGTGAGATATATATTTGGGCAAATTTAACATGAGGGACATATTACCCAAATAACATTTAGTTGACTTTAAATGGATTTATTTAGGTAGCAGCTCTGTTCTACTAATGTGCCCAGTAGTTAATTACTATTTGTGCTAGACTGCCATCCCCAGCCTTCAGCTTAACTAATTTTTACTGGGCTCTGGTTCCAGAGCAGTGGACTAAGAAAATTATTAATGCTAGAGAAGGGTAGTAAGAGGGTGAAGGGGATTTCGAAATCATGCCATATAAGGAGTGATTAAAAAGAGAAGGATGTTTCCCTAAGGAAAAGAAGACTAGGGTAGATTCTTTATCAACATGTATCTCAAAACCCTTAGCATGGTCCACAGGCCCTGAATCATCTGTCTTCCACTTACTTCTCCAGCCTCATCTTGCAAACATTCTCACTTTCAGTGTTTCAGCTCTTTTGGCACAGTTTGATACCTCCTTTTTTAGGCCTTTTGCATATACATTCCTTTGGCTAGGAAGATTCTTCTCTGCTTTTTGGCCTATTTCCTACTATAGATCTCTGTTCACATATTACTTCCTCAGGGAAGCCCCAAAACAAAACAAAAGTTTCTAGCTCAGGTTTCCCTTGCAGCAGTTATTTCATTTGTGTGTCTCTCATGCTAGACCATAAGCTTCAAGATAGAAAGAACCGTGTTTGTTTTGCTAACCATTTTCTCACCTAACCCAGTGCCTGGTATGTAGCAGGTAGGCAACAAATACTAAGTGAATGAACATCCATGCTTATTCTGGCTAAATTGCTGTTTTCAACTCAAATGTCAAAAATTTCTTAAAAGCCCACACCGAAACAGTAACAACAACAAAAAAAGATAGGTGACATGAGTGAATAAGGACTGGGCATAATAGGAATTTATGGAAACTGTAGAGAATTGAAGACAGCATGCATTGTATAAAGGCATTCAAAAGTCAAACAACTCTGAAATGCTGTAATGACAAAGTATATAGCATGTTCATATATCACATTTGGCTATAGGCTGCCAGTTTGCAACACCTGTCTTAAGTAAATTGATATATTAATTATATATAATATTGTAGAGGGCATTTAATTCCATGAGAAAATGCTCACATATACTAAGTTTAAAAAAAAAAAAAAGCATGCTCCGGGATATCTTACTGGTGGATTGAAAAATAAAAATAAATAAAAAATTTTAAAAAGCATGCTAAATACAACAGTGGCATTCTCATTTAAAAATACACAGAGAAAACAACTGTGTAAAGGTTTGTACTAAAATGTCAACAGTGGATATCTCTAGATGATAGAATTGCATGTTCTGGTATGTGTGCTTTTTTGTATTTTCTTAGTATTTTACAATGAACATGTAGTGTTTTTGTACTCAGAAATAAATTGTTTTTACAAGGTAGAGAAGTAACTCAGGTGTCAATGTGGAGGATAAAGTAGAGTATAATAGGATCAGAGGCAGGGAGATTGACTATTGCAATAATGTGGGTGAAAACTCATGAAAGCCTAATTAAGGCAGTGGCTGGGAGGACAGTGGTTATCAATGTTACCTGGTCCTCTCTGCTTAAACATATGCTTCAATTTCTACTTGATTATAATTGCTTATGTTGGGCAAACTTTCAGGTGGAAAGCAGAGCACAAGCCACTGGCTCGCTGTTTTGTCTATTTTTTTATTTTTTAGCATTTGTTGGCATTTAGTGAACCTCTTTCCCTATGGCTTCAAGCCACCAGGACAAAGGTCCTCCCCACCACCGTCTTAATCTTTTTCCAAGCTCTTCTGCTACATAATTTGGCCTTCATGATGACAGACTGCTTTAGGAGATTTTCCTTCCCTAGCACTTTGTAGTAGCTCTAGAACAGAGAAAATAACTTACACTGTGGAAGGTACCAACTCCTTGATGGGAATGAGGAAAGATGCCTGCCAACCTACTTTCTAAAACCAAGGTACAGTATGTTTCTGCCCGGACACTTAAGGGGACACTGGTTGCCCCCATCAGTGAATCAAGACCAGCAGATGCTGAGGACTCCAGCACATTGGAGAAGAGCCGTGTCAGGATGTGACTCTAGTCTCAGAGAGCTCCTCTTTTGAATTCCCAAGTCTTCCTGGCAGTATCTATCCCTTACCTCTTGGAATTTCAATCGAGTAGAAACCCAGGAAATATTTCTCAATTCATGGGATATCTTCCCCTTCTGCAGTATCATTGAGACTGCCTCTGTTTCCCTGTAAGATTTCATTCTTAGGCAGGTTCACTCGACATGATGACCAAAGGCCAGATGTAGCTTGTGTTTTTTTTTTTTTTTTTTTTTGCTTATTCCAGAAGCAGGTGTCTTTTTCTTGATAGTGCTAGCCCAAATGATAAGACTATCTCTGATTAACTTCAGTTTTGTTAATCTGCCCATTCCTGAACTAATCACTATGGCTGAATGATAGGATACTTTGGCTAGCCTGATTTGTGGGCCTACTCCTGTGGTATAAAAATTAGAATTAGGTAATGAACGATTGCATCTGGAGAAAGAGGGACAGGTCTTTATTAGGGCACGCTCTGAAATCTCAGTGGCCTAACACAAAAGAATGCGTATGAGCTGTAGCACAAGTGTCCCTAATTGGCAAGCAAGTATCCTCCCAGTGAAGAGTCAGGAAACTCTAGCACAAGTGTCTCTAATTGGGAAGCAAGTATCCTCCAAGTGAAGATTCAGGAAACCAGGAGTCCTATCTTGCGGCTTTGCCATCTTTAACACATAGTTTCCAGTGCAAATTTGCTCATCTGCCTCAAGTTGATGGGGAGTGGGATATATTGGATTGCTCATGTGATGTTTCCATAGGCCAGAGCTGGAATAGGAGTGCATCACTTCTCACATTCCACTGGTTAGAACCTAATCAGCACACCTAACCCATATACCTAATTGCAAGAGAGGCATGGAAATATAGCTGTGTGGCCAGAAGAATTTAGCATTTGCAAGAATCTACTATTCTGATCACTAAACATGTATTTTACCTGTCTTTCCACACACAGAACATACCCTGTCCCAAAGGAGACAATCTAAAGTTTTAACCAGTTACTGGAACAGGCTCAAAGTCTAGGATTTTCAGAAAATGTGCAGTTCTCTTCATTAGGTACAGATGTGACCTAAGAACTAAAAAGACAAATTATCTTTATTGTCACCCCCATCCCTGCAAACCCAATATATAGTGGTAACTCAGGGACAGATAACTATAATACATTCTCTCATTCAGAAAAAAAATGTGATACTGAGCAATACTATTCATGTATAATAATGATGAAATACTGCATAAACATTTTGCGGCCCATCTCCTTGAAACTGAAGAAAGTTCTGATGAAACTCCAATTCTAGTCTTCAGGAGAAACTCCCTGTCCAGTCTTTAGTACAGCTCCTTATACGAGCTTCTGAAATGTTCTTTTTTTGTCCATCATTCTCCATGGCCACATCCTGTGTGGGTACTGGGGAGCTGTTAAGGTTTTATGCTCTATTTTTCTACTTATGCAAGCTTGGGGTTGGACAGTTACCCTCTGTTTTAACACCCGAACAATGATATTTGAGCCAGATTTAGTATGATTAATAAAATTCCTCTAAAAATGTAGTCTTCTGATTGATTTGCTTCTGGTAACTACACCCAAAGTTCTTTCTTACATAATTATCAAGCCTAATTTACTGCTTTGCTGCCTTGCTCCTATGCCAGTTCCTTTAGACCTTTATCGTAGCTATCTTGAAGCCATCTAAAATAATGACTTTGAATGGAAAGACCAAACCCTTTTCCTGATCTTTGTTGCAGGACTTAATCTCAAGGGTAACTATACTCAAGACCTCTTCTAGTTTTTTTTTTTTTTTTATTAGAAGTCTTATAAAAGTCAACTTTTCCAACCCTTCCTGAGAAATATTCCTGTACACTCTCACTTCTGTGAAGTATTTCCTGAGTTTCTCTCTTTAGTAAAACCTTACTAAAAGTAAAATGTAAAATTCAACACAGTATTACTTTTGCTCTTTTCAATCATTTCCTCTGGAGCTAATCTAAACAGATAGGTGATCTGATTTTGAATTATTTCAGGTGACAGTTTTACTAATTACTTTGCCACTGCAAACATGGGCCTCCTTTTTCTAGCCTCCAAATCACATTCTCTACCACCTGCTGCATCATAAATAAGCTGATGTAACATATTTTAGGTTATTGTTTTAGCAGTACTCCACTTCTTGTACCAATTTCTGGACTAGCTATGGTCATTCTAGCTCCTATACATATAAATTCTCAAATCTCAATTTTTTCTCTTACAGTAAGTGCAAAAAGGGGTGTTTCTAATTGGGGTGGCTGTCTTCCAAGTACTGTTTCAGCCACTCATTCTTCTCTTTTCTGGCTTTGGCATCTCCAATACATAGTTTTGAAGGTCACCATGCTCAAAGGCATCAAGTTGACGAAGAAAGAGTAAGGGAGAATAGGAGGACTTCATTAACCCTAAAAATGAGCACATCATTTCCATTCATATTTAATTGGCTAGAAGTTAATCACGGCCAGGCTCGGTGGCTCACGCCCGTAATCCCAGCACTTTGAAAGCCGAGGTGGGGGAATCACCTGAGGTCGGGAGTTCGAGACCAGCCTGACCAACATGGAGAAACCGTGTCTCTACTAAAAATACAAAATTAGCCGGGTGTGATGGCACATGCCTGTAATCCCAGCTACTTGGGAGGCTGAGGCAGGAGAATCGCTTGAACACGGGAGGCGGAGGTTGCGGTGAGCTGAGATTGTGCCATTGCATTCCAGCCTGAGCAACAAGAGCTAAACTCTGTCTCAAAAAAAGAAGTTCATCACATGACTATAACCAACTACAAGGAAAGCTGTGAAATTTAGTTTAGCTGTGTGCCCGGGAAGAAGAAATAAGTTTCATGGGCTAGTCAGTCCCTGCCAGAGGTTCTAACGGGGGGAAAAAAAGATAAAAATAAAAGAAAGTGACTTTACATGCCTTGTCCATTTTAATAGTTTTGAACCTTATCCTACTAGTGAAACAGGATCATCATTTCACTATTATATTAAAGAACAAAAAACTCATTTTCTTCCAAACAATGAGATTACTTTAAAGAGAGCATTTTTGGTAGCACAGCACGATAGACACAGAGACTAGACTGCAGAGGGCTGACAAGTCAATTTCAGAAAACAAAAAAGACACTGATTGTAGACACTTTTTTTTTGAGATGGAGTCTCGCTCTGTCGCCCAAGCTAGAGTGCAGTAGCAGGATCTCAGCTCACTGCAAACTCCGCCTCGCAGGTTCAAGCGATTCTCCTGCTTCAGCCTCCTGAGTATAGAATACTTTTTAAAGAAAGAAAGTTTGCTTGTGAAGGAAATAATTGAAAGCTACAGAAGAATTAGCTAAGGAACCAGAATTTGTAGAAGGTTGACAACAGAAAAGATAATAAATGCATGAGAAAGAGGGGTATTGGAACTAGAATATGTATGAAGAGTTTATCTCATATATGAACAGGGAGTCTCTCATTCGTTGATACTGGAGAAAAGGCAATCTCAGGAAATTTCTAGCACTTGGAAAATTGTGAAGTCTAAGTTAAAAGTCATATAATAAAATGGGCTGGGATTTAAAGATTGCGAAAAGTATTCAAGTGGAAAGGGAGAAAAAGATGCTGAAGAATATACAAAGTAGGAGGGAGGGATGCAGCTGAAATTATAAAATCTAAATCAGTAGTGGTGAGATACACAATGCAGTGCTCTGTTCTACACTGGAACTCAGCAACGACTGTAGGAGAGGAATAGGCAGATGGTTACCACTCCGTATATATATTTACTATAGCACTTATTACACTGTAAAGCCCCTGGAAACAAGAGACTTTGATTCCACAAATTATGCGCACAGTAGGCACATGATGAATTTTTGTTTGAATGAATTGATTTAGTCATTGCCAATTCTGCCTTGGTACTCTGTAGAGTACTGGCAACTGCCCACATTTCATATGGTATGCCAATGCTAAAAAGAAAAAAAATGCTAAAAAAAAAAAAAATCCAGGCATATTCAGCTAAACTAAGCAGTCTTAAAATGGCAACTATGTCAGCTGAGACATACTTTTAATCTTGTGCCAGTACATCTGTCTTTGATGTTTGCTTCATTTTCCGTATGCCACTATACTCCTACTAGACCAGAAAGGGATAATTCTGAGTTCAATGGGCTCCACTATCATTTCAAAAGTCCTGAAACTTCTTCAGACACCTAAAAATGAACCCACAACTCCCATAACAGCATTCCTTCCGAGAGAAGTATACAGACAACAATCACTATTTATGCTTGCTTCCAAGCTGAATCGAAGAGGGCCGGAAGAGCTAAATCAGGGTCATTCAGTGAATCGTCTACAAAGTCTGGCACAGACCACGCATCCTTCCCGTGTCTTCCTCCCCTTGGAAACTTGAGGTGTAAGTAATGATCTTAGACATCTCCTAATCGACTGCCTTCATATTACACACGTGTAAACTCAGGTAGAGGATGTCTATGAGCCGAGCTTAAACTCAGGTAAAGAAGGCTCTTTTCCCAACACGACGCCATCTCTCATGATCCAAAGCTCTATCTCTCGATTTGGCGGTGGAAAAAAATGACCAGGAATAAAACTACGTACAGCAGTCCAGAACGAGGCCCCACCTCCCGGATCTGGCGGACCGGCCTCCCGTCAGCAAAGTGTCTGGACCGCGCTTCCGCACCTCACACTGCCCGGGGCCGGCTCCTCTCCAGCCTCCCCGTACTCCCCACACGCCGCAGCACTGCGCGCCCGCGGGGCCCCAGACCCGGCCCTTGAAATCTCACTTTCGCCTTTCGGCCACCCGCGCGCCACGGCTCAGGCGACGGCTGATGGCGTCACTGCACTTCCGCCTGCGGCTGCGTTCTAATCACAAGCCAGGAAGGAAGAAGGGAGGGCTGCAGGGCTGTGTGTGCGGGAAATAGCGAGGAAAGAGAAGAAATCCGGGAGCTCGCGGGCGCTCTGGTTGCAATCGCGCCCCCCTCATCTGTCCCCGCCGTTCCCCTTCGGAAGCTGCCCCAGGCACACTTCCCCGCTTCTTTCCAGTCTCCTCTCCTCTGGTTCTCCCGACACCCGGTCTCCCTGTTACGCCTCACCCTCCTTCCCTTGCTCCCTCCCTCTCCCTCCCTCCCTCCCTCCCATCGTCAGGCTCCCCGCCCTTAGTATCGCGAGACGAGGTGAGAGCTGGCGGAGCGGCGGCGGCGGCGGCGGCAGTAGAGGTGACCGAGGCGGTGGCGGCGGAGGCGGCACCGATTGCTGTGTCGGCCCCAGTGCGGCCGAAGTCGCGGTAGAGCGTAGCCCCACGCCCCTCCCCCGTCCGCGCCCTCCCTCTTTCCCTGGGGATGGAGAAGGCGACGGTTCCGGTGGCGGCGGCGACGGCTGCAGAAGGAGAAGGGAGCCCCCCGGCGGTGGCGGCTGTGGCGGGCCCCCCCGCGGCGGCGGAGGTCGGCGGCGGCGTTGGCGGCAGCAGCAGAGCTCGCTCGGCCTCGTCTCCTCGTGGGATGGTGCGAGTCTGCGACCTGCTCCTGAAGAAGAAGCCGCCGCAGCAGCAGCACCACAAGGCCAAGCGTAACCGGACTTGCCGACCCCCCAGCAGCAGCGAAAGCAGCAGCGACAGCGACAACAGCGGCGGCGGTGGAGGCGGCGGTGGAGGCGGAGGTGGCGGCGGCGGCACCAGCAGTAACAACAGCGAGGAAGAAGAGGACGACGACGACGAGGAAGAGGAGGTTTCTGAGGCAAGGGCCTGGTTTCAAAGGAAGGAGGGAGGAAGGGACTGTAAGGGATAGGGGCCGAAGGTGGGAGGGGATTTGGAGTGGGACAGATTCCAGTGGGTTGATCTCTTAGGGGCCAGGCTTTCGACTGCCCCCTTTCTTCCCTCGGCCTAAATCGTGAGGTGTGGGAATGTGGGGGAGGGTAGCTGACACGTGGGGGTGGGAGGACCACGGAGTTCACAGAGTTGGTGAACAGCCTGTTATCATGGGATGGCTCACTTGGTTAAGGATGGAGGGAATTGGTTAGATTCCCTGTTTGCACGCCGGGGGGTGGGGGGGTGGTCTGCCTGGGGCCAGTAGGGCCACCTTAGTCTGAGGCGGGATCGGGATCAAAGCGGGAGGAGTAAAATAATGGGTAAATGAGTCTCTTGGGGACCAACTAGGAGGTTGATCAACTTCTCCCAGTTGTGAGGTGGAGGGGAGCAGTTTGAGGGGGGACGTAAGGTTGTAATGGACTCAGAGCTAAGTGTTTGTGTATGTGAGGGACACGTGAGAAGCTGTACTTTTCCATACTGTTCTGCAGGGTTTTTCGTAACTATCCTGGCTGCTGAAGTAACTTCATTTCCTCGATCTCCCAGGGATTTTCGATGAACTGATGCTGTATTTGTATAAATTTATCAGTAACTTTAAATAATTACAAATGACCATATACATTTGTAAGTGGATGAAAAATATATTTGATCCTTACACGTACATACATACATGCCTTCGAATGTTTCCTTAGTGAGTTAGAATTAAGCTAGGACCTGTTGTCCCGTAATATGGGACAGCCAAAGGGTAGGCTTTGGAGCCAGGCCTGGTTGTGGTGAGTTGGAATAGGAAGGCCTCTCGGTTTGTCCTAGTGATCTGGTTTCATAATAACTTTATAATTTTTCCTGGGTCCACAGACAGGCGGCGTTGCAGGACCTTATTCCTCACAGAAGCCCTTACAACCCAAAGGCTCAGTAAAACATACCATACTGACAACCAACTGAGAGTTAGCTTTACTAGTTATTAGCTGTTTTACCACTCTCTTGTCTCCTTCCTGAAATAGAATCTAGAAAAATCTTTATTTGGAGAGGGAAATCTTTATCAGCAGAGGGAAAACAGCTTTAAAGGCTGATTTTAAACTTAGTTCTAAGAGGAGACCAAGTGATTCATCTAAAAGTACCACTTACTATTTATTCTCTTCCACAAACATGGAACTTATTTTGATGCAAGTCTGGTTTTCCGAAAATTGGAATTATTGAATCCTGGTCTCTGTTGAAATAGAGAAGTACCTTTTAAAGGATTTGACACATGTCTATTTGTAGAAGACCAGATTCTCTTTTATCTCAGACTGGATGAAGTTGTATAGGTAGAGATATTAAGTGCTGAAGTATGTATGACAAAAATATGCCAGTCCTTGTTTTTATTCCCTTTTAGCCTGTTGGATTCTGAGAATAGGTTTGTATTGATAGACTTATATTGGCCTACTTGGATGTTTAGGATAGTGTGTTGCTCTGGCGGCATTTGAAACAAGGAAGAGAAAGATGTAATGGGGTCCTTATCCCTAATAAAATTTGTTATGGTACTTAGAATCATTCAATTGTATGATTCTTCTCAAAGGTGAGAAACATTTTACAGGTAATTCAGCCCTTTATTTTAAAAAGGAGGAAAACAAGGTTTAGAGGAAAGTGGTTGTGGTGGGTAGTAGCAAAAGTACAAATCAAAGTTTTCTAATGTCTCAGACCTGTACACTTTTTAATAATAATTTATTTCCTTTTATCACCCTCCTGATATCATTCAGAAAAATAGTTACTGAATAGCAAGGTAACACAATCATGCAGCTATAGGCAAAATACCATTACTTAAAATTTTAAATTCTCGTGAAACTATTAAGCTCTGGTTTAGAGCAAGGTTATGATAGTTGAATGCAGTACTTACTGGGATATTCTGCTGCAAACTTAACATACCTAGGTAGTTTTGTCCATTGGAATGCGGCCTAATAAGCAGAACTTTTAGTAATTCCTTAAATCATGAAGAATGGCTGTAAGTTTGTAGGTATGTTTATTTTGTGGGTCAGGTTTGTTTTCCTTTTGTAATATAGGAATGGTTATGTTGACTTTCACCAACTATGGTAGTATTTCTATGTTTTTAACATACCTTATCCTGTCTTTTACATGGTGTTAAACAATGGGTTTGTCATTTATGAAGATGAGTCAGGAGAAATACGTGTAAGAAAGTGTGCCCATTGGCCGGGCGTGGTAGCTCACGCCTGTAATCCCAGCACTTTGGGAGACCGAGGCGGGCGGATCACCTGAGGTCAGGAGTTTGAGACCAGCCTGGCCAACATGGTGAAACCCCATCTCTACTAAAAATACAAAAAAATTAGCCGAGTGTGGTGGCAGATGCCTGTAATCTCAGCTACTTGGGAGGCTGAGGCAGGAGAATTGCTTGAACCCGGGAGGTGGAGGTTGCAGTGAGCTGAGATTGCACCATTGCAGTCCAGCCTGGGCAACAAGAACGAGACTCTGTCTCAAAAAAAAAAAAGTGTACCCATTTAAAAAATCTATACAGATGAGGGATGAGCAGACAAAAAGGAGTACAGATTGTCTCTGCCCCATCTTCATCTTTTGATCAAAGTAAAGACAAATAAAACTGTAAGCTAAATGGGTGAGTTGTGTAATGTTTTTCTCTTAATTACCATTTTACTGACATGTCAGCAGAAGCCTAACTTTCTGGAGCTAGGAAGTCTTGTGGCTAAAATCACAGTGTTGTCTTTTCTCTAATTCATTCTGTTATAGGCTACACAATAAAAAAAAGTAGATAAAATGATCTTTAAAATTATCCTTCCAGTAAAAATCATCAAAAGATTAAAAAGGAATGTGAAAGGTTATGGTTTTGTGGTATTTAACCTGAAAGGATAACTTTAATTTAACAAAAATACATAGCTTTGCTATAAAGAAATGCTATCTGAATAATCTCTGTATCTGCCAAAAGAGGAAAAATGGAAGGAAACGAGAATCAATTCAAATAAGAGCTTCATTTAATTGTTGAACAATAAGAATATAATTTCTAGACATTGGAGTAGGTTATTGAGAATAGGATTTTACTTTAAAGTATTTCAGAATAGGGTAATCACGTCTTAGATAATTTGCATAACTTCGGGTATACCTGGAAACAAATAAGACCAAGAGCTACTTGCCTCCCTCTCCCCATCTATTTGACACAAAATCTTACATTTAAAATTGAAAATGCATAATTTTCTTGGTTTTCAGTGAGTGACTGACCAATATGGAAAATACAAATATATTTTCTAACATAAAAGCCATGATGCTCTTTCAAATTAGTGGACAAAATTAATTAAATTGCTTTTGACTATTACAAGAAAAAAATCTTATAATTTCAAGAGTTGATACTTTATTTTAGAAATAACATTGCATTCTATTGAATGCATTTTTGAATATGACTGAATGATCTTAGTATTTTTTCTTTCTTTTTTTTTTTTTGGAGACGGAGTTTCGCTCTTGTTGCCCAGGCTGGAGTGCAACAGTCTGATCTCGGCTCACTGCAACTTCCACCTCCCGGGTTCAAATGATTTTCCTGCCTCAGCTTCCCGAGTAGCTGGAATTACAGGCATCCGCCACCAGGCCTGGCTAATTTTTGTATTTTTATTAGAGACAGGGTTTCACCATGTTGGCCAGGGTAGTCTTGAACTCCTGACCTCAGGTGATCCACTGGCCTCAGCCTCCCAGAGTGCTGAGATTACAGGTCTGAGCCACACTGCGCACTGCAATCTTAGTATTTTCTAAGGCAGAATTCAAAGGGGGAGAAACATTTTTGTTGAAGATGCTTAAAGTATAAATACAGTAGGAGTTGATCAGAATTTCATCTGTTTTTGTAAGTAACCTGTGACTAAATCAAGAGATAAACCTAGTGAAGAAATTTTAGACAAAGGGAGCCGGTAAATAAATTAGTACTGACTTAGTATTGAAAGGATTTGCAAGGCCAGGGAGGATCTGTTTACAGACAGAAAAAGAGAGTTGAAAATGAGGGAGAAAGAAAAAATATTTCAGAATTAGGCTGTGTTCAGCTTCATTTGGAAATATTCTTGTTTGTTTTTTATTGGAAAAGTGCTATCTAAATTCCTTTTTTGTAATGCTTAGAATCCTAGATTAGCCCAGAGAAGCTTGCTTGTTTCATCTCTTAATTGATGTAGCAGTATTTGTAAACTAGATTTTAAGATCTTTGAAGCAGTAGTCTGTCTTAATTATAATTTATCTTGTCTTCTCTCCTGCTTAAGCACAGTACTAGAAAAAAACAAAACATTTTTAGTGAATAACTAGTACTTAGGGAGGATTCAGCATTCATTTAGGGAAAGAAGAGAAGGAATGGAAATTCTTCCCTTCTTGGATCCAGGGCTTCTGAATAGCTGAAGTTCAGATTTCAACATTTTCCAATTTCTTAATTCCTTTTCGTAGTGATGATGATCTTCTCTAAGTATTAAGGGGAGAGCCAGTTAAACTAATAGGAATTGATGAATGCCTGGTAAGTACCTTAAGCCTCCTAAAATTTTTAAAGAGTAAATAAAAATGAATACTTATTCAGTACCTACTGTTTGTGAAGTCTAGGTAAAGGTTAAAAGTATGGATTTTGGAGCTTGGATTTAAATCCTTGATCCATCATTTACTAGCATTGTGACCTTGGCCGAGTTTTTAAATCTCTACTGCAATTTCCTCATGTAAATGGTATAAATGGTAATGATAGTAGATTCTACCTTATAACATTGTTATGAGAGTTAAATGAGTTAATACAATTTTCTCGTATTCTCATTTTATTCTTGCCATAACCCTATGAAGTAGGTGCTGCTATATTTCTTTCATTATTCAATAAATGTTTGGAGTTCCTACTATGTGCTAGGTATTGTGCTGTACTGCGTGAGCAATGGTGAACAAAACTTGTAAGTCACCTTGATTTAAAAATACACCAATGAATAAATATTATAAGTTTGGGGAGGTGTGAGAGTGAGCTTAAGTGGTTAAATGTACATCTTGAATAATGTGTGAGTTTCAAAGTATACAAATGTTGGCAGGGAGCATTCATTTTACAGGTAAACATACTGGCATAGAAGGATTTTAGGCAACCTCATCAGGGTCACATAGCTAATAAATGTCAGAATGGGATTGAACCTGGGACTGTTAGATTCTACGCCTCCTCATTCATTCATTTATTCTCTCACTCATTCACATGCTCTGTTATGCTGTATGGTGTTGAGTACCATATTTCAGATATTGGCACATTCGGCTTGTATAAGGGGAGACGCTTTTTTGCAGTTGGACGGCCATTGAAGACAAGTTGGTCACCCCAAGTTTTCTTTCCAGTTCTTCTGAAAAACTCACTAAAGAAAAAGAAAGCAAGAAATACAGAAAAGTATAGAAAAATAATCCATATTCCCACCACCTAGAATTAAGTTGTTAACAAGATGAAAACTTCATACTGAAAAACCACCCTTTCTAGAGGCGATTTACCACTTATTCCTTGCCTTTCAAAATATTTACTTTTCAAGGTAATCTCTCCTTATTAATTTGAAAAAAAAAATGTTTCTTTTAAATAGAGATTGTTAACTTGGGGTCTGGCTAGGCTGTGAATCCTCTGATATTAAACAAAAGATTTTGTTGAAGGTGCTTATAAGGCTTTATTTTTCTTCCTTTCTGCTCTAGCCCCATATGTGCAGGATTTTCATTAGATCCTCAAAGAGTTCTGTGACCCCCACCCTCTCCCTCCTACCTTGTTACTTTGAAACATTCTCACTACAGATTTAGTGGGGAATTTGGTCATTTATTTGGATTATTAAGAGTTTGGAAACTGCTTCTAACTAAGCAGATGATGTGGTAACAAAGAAGGCTTATTTGTGAAATAGTGGGTCCAAGATTGATCACATCTTTCTGGTAAACCAGCCTTATGCCTACTCTCTTTTCTCTTATATCTTCATGTTTTGCCCTTTAATTAATGAAGCAGTTTACATTGTGTGCTGTGGACTGTCATATCTGAAAGCAAAAGCCTTGTCTTACTCATCTGTATATCTCCTGCTATACAGTACCATGTGTCTTATGTAAGTCTTTGTATCTCTGCTAGGTTCTCATGAAGTCCCATCTCTGTAGTAAGAATAACTCATAAATATTTCTTTATTAGCCACCTACTGTGGGAAATCTTTGGGACTTCAAGTCTTGAGGTAACAGAACTTGGTTGCAGCTATTATTTACAGTAGATCCCTGTGGGATGTTTTAATTGAACCATTATTTTTAGTTTAGTCATTTTTAACCTCACCAACTTAACTGGAGTTAGTATTGTGAAAGTTTTCAGTGTTTAATAAGCATCAAAGTAGCATATTTTGACTCTCGGAAATTCACTAGACTATCTGTTTCTGCTGTTACCTGATTATGCCATCTAGTTGATTAGGAAAACAGTTTTTAGGTCCTTGAGGCAGTGCAGTTGCATTTATGACAGTAGTTTATCTGAATTTTTATAAGGATAATTTAATGGGTTAAAAAATGTGGATTTAATGAGGACCTTCATAATTTTTCCATACTTGACCACAGATGAAAGGGAATTTTTACTTCACATTGGTATGCGAAGTAGTGCCTGCTGGTACCACTTATATTTTTGTTAGGACCAGTAGGAGGCACCAACATCCATGGTGTAACCTACACCAAACCTAACTTTTTTCAGCTTTCATCTTTTCAAAAAAAAAAAAAAGTAAGTCATTAGGGAATTGAAGGTGGTGGGTAAATACGAATACCCTTCTAGTCCCTTGAATCTTACCTATCTGGTACAGTTATGTCCATCCACTTCTTACCCAGAAGCAAAATACCCTTTCTGACTTAACAGTGCTTCACTTCTTAACATTTTTTTGTCTTTAGAAATTATTATTATTCATTCCTGAAGGGATGTAGAGTTGTGGGACAATATAGGTATCATTTTTATAATGATTTATAATTTGGGGTTTCAGTTATTGAAAAGGGAAATGTTAACTGTTATTTTCCCCAAGCATGCTATGAAACTTCAAATAATATAGCTCTAATTATTGAAAGCATAACTTAGACTGCCTTCTGTCCTGTGAAACTCATAAACATTACATGATCTTTTAAAGGAGTCAACTTTTTGTGTGTGTGTAGAGATGGCGTCTCACTTTGTTGCCCAGGCTGGTCTTGAACTCCTGGCTTCAAGTGATCCTCCTGCCGCAGGCTCCCAAAATGCTGTGGGATTATAGGCGTGAGCTACTGCATCCAGCCTGGGGTTAGTTTTTAAGTTTACTTCTGAGTGAGACTAGAGATAAAAGAGAGTGGGGAGAAGGAAATGTAAAGATTTTACATTTGAAACATCAGAGTGCTAAAAATAGAAAAATTAGTCGGGCGTAGTGGCTCCCGCCAGTAAGTCCCAGCTACTTGGGAGGCTGAGGCAGGAGAATTGCTTTAACCTGGGAGGCAGAGGTTGCAGTGAGCAGAGATCGCGCCCTTGCACTCCAGTCTGGGCGACAGAGTGAGACTCTGTCTCAAGCAACAACAACAACAACAACAACAACAACAACAAAAACCGTTACAGTACTTGAGGAATTCCTATTGGAGCCATTATTAGTGTCTTTAAAAACAACTCTTTTTTTCTGTTTTTTTTTTTTTTTTTTTTTTTTTTGAGACAAGGTCATCTATGCTGGAGTGCAGTGGCGTGCTCTCGGCTCACTGCAACCTCCACCTCCCGGGTTCAAGCAATTCTCATCTCACCTTCCTGAGTATCTGGAGTTGCAGCGTGAGCCACTGCGCCTGGCTAATTGTTTTGTATTTTTATTAGAGTTAGGGTTTCACCATGTTTGCCCGGCTGGTCGCAAACTCCCGGCTCCAAGTGATCCGCCCGCCTTGGCCCCCAAAGTGCTGGGCTTGCAGATGTGAGCTACTGTGCGCAGCCTTTATAAACAATTTTGATATATGGTGAAATTTCTCAAAGCTTGCTGATCATAGTGAATTATGCTGATAAGAATGGGAAACAAGATTATTGGGAATAAATTGAAAAATATTAAATAGGTTTTTATGCGTCAAGGGTAAAAAAAATGTGTTTTGAGTAAATGATCTGAAATACAGCATGCTTTTTTGGTAAAAGCTTAGTATAATGTAGGGTGAAGTTAAGGCGTTGGCGATAACCAGAATCATAATTCTCATTTTAAATAATGCTATGCTACATCTGCACAAAATAGATTATGTATATTTTTGGCTGCTGTACCATGAAAATGATGACTAAAACGAGGTCTAGAGAGGGATAGTTTAAAAATGATGGTAGGGCTAGAGATGGAATCCATGATTGAGGAGGACTGTAGATTTTACTTAACTATATTCTTTCTTTTTAATTTATTTTTATTTTATTTTATTTTTTTTGAGACGAAGTCTCGCTCTGTCTCCCAGGCTGGAGTGCAGTGGCGCCATGCCGTCTCACTGCAACCTCCGCATTCCAGATTCAAGTGATTCTTCTGCCTCAGCCTCCCAGGTAGCTGGGGCTACAGGCGCCGGCGCCACCACGCCCGGCTAATTTTTGTATTTTTAGTAGAGACGAAGTTTCACCATGTTAGTCAGGCTGGTCTCGAACTCCTGACCTTGGATCCGCCCCCCTCGGCCTTCCAAAGTGCTGGGATTATAGGCGTGAGCCACAGCACCCGGCCGATTTTACTTAAGTATATTCTTATTGCTTATTACTTCATACTCAAACTGACTTATAAGGTAGAGAAAATCATAATGTGTACCAGATAGTGCTATTTCAGTTTAGAAAATAAATTCATTTTTTATTTCTTGAGATTATTTGAAAGTACATTGTAGAAATGGCACATTTATGGAACTGCTTTATGGCTGTGCCTCTCTTGCAGGGAATTTTGCCTCCCCCTTTCCTTTTCCCAAAAATACTATTAGCTTGCCTAATTTAACCTTTCACTTTTTTTATCCCCATCTTCCCCCACAAAAGAAAGGAATAGAAAAGAAAAATACGAAAGTGAAGAAATAAGAACCTGCTCTAAAGTTATTTCTTGGTCTGGGTTTCTTTATGGATCATCTCTTAATTAGCTTAAAAACATTTGATTGAAACCTATTTTGGAAGTATCTATGGAAAGGTTGGTTCCATTAGTTTGGAATTTAGAATAAATATATGTTACCATAGAGATCTATTTTCCTTTCCCTCTTTTCCTGTCAACCTAAATGTGAAGATTGACAAGAAAAGGAAGCCCACCTGTTTGTGTTACAGTTAGTGTTAGAAATGCCTTTGACCCCATTGTTGTCTCTTTCTTTCTCTGTGCCATGTTTATTTTTTTAATGGCATTAATAATGAAAACAGTCTTGTTTCAAAGCCTCTAGTATAGCACATACTAGAATTAACTCCTACAGGAGTTAATTCTTTTACCTGACAAACATTTATTATCTCCTATGTGTGGCTGTTTTCATTGTCTAATCTGAACTATTTCCTTCCCAGTGAATATGAAAAAAAATTATATTTAAAATTATAGCTGTATATGTTAAATATGAATAAGTTAATTTGTACATATTGTAGTTAGTAAAACTTACATACATTGAAACTTAGCACAATGATAGAATTCAGTTTTCCACGTGATTATTAGCTATTATCTAATCTTATTAGCTATGATTATTAGCTAATAGTTTTATCACTATTAGTATACTCTCTGAACTAAATTTATTTAAGAAGCATTATTAACATCTAGCAAAATTACCTAGGTATTATAAGGGTTTTGAAGAAATGGGGACATTATTTCTAGATTCATAAAATTTAAATTTTGTTGAGATAAAACTAGTAATAATTTAAAACTGTGAAGATGATTTTAGCCCCGTATAAATCCTATACTTTTTTGGGGCATCTATGTTCATTTTTGGTGTAACTGTGTGCCTTATGATCATAGGGATCATTTTGTTTTGGTTTTTGAATACTAGTAGGGTAGACTTTATATCTTTTATGAGTGTCTCCTGGAATACTCAGTGATTTTTGATATTTTGTTTGTTCTTAAGATGAGGTCTGTATGTACGATTTTTCTAGAGTGTCCTTGACAACTAGATTATACTAAAGAGTCATCCATTCTAATTTTACCTTGAAGGTTTTATAGTAAGAAAGGAGAGTATCTATATTAATATACTTGTGATTGATGCAGGTGGAGATATGTTAAAATATGAAGATTGAATTACAAGACAGTGTAGGATGAAAATTCTTAAGATTTTAAATATAGCGTTACATATAATTAAATGTTATTCATTAATTTATACCTATTTGTAGAAACACATATTTGCAGAAAACTTGACAAACTCAAAAAGATCTAAAGAATAGAAAAATCACCTATTATTCTGTCTTCAGAATTAATCATTACCTGAAATACGTCTTTTCATTCTTTTTCCTTGTTATGTTGTAGTGAAATTATCACAAAGAGCAGAGGTACCACTTAGAAATTTTGCTTGCTGAAATTTTTATTGATGAGCTTTCTTCAAATATATCAATTGAAGAGATGAGTCTTCAGATTATGATTTTTATATATTTAAAAATAAAAACTAATGACGGTATTTATACTTACAAAAATGTCTTCTAGTATATAGGGCTTTTTATTCCATTCTTAGAGTAAATGCTGCTAACAGTTGGTGTATATCAAATGTTTGTTTCTTTCTTGAGACTGAGTGCGTGTGTGTGTGTGTTAGAGTATGTTAATATTTGCCACATTATTCTCATTTACTTATGAATGTTCCATAATATAAATGTTCATAATTTATTTGATCTTTTATTTTGGTAGACATTTAGATTGTTTTCACTACATTGCTATTAGTGAAGTGAACATCCTTGTACAGTTATTTTTGAGTATGAAACTATTTCTTTGGGATGGATTCCTGGAAATGGAATTGTTGGGCTAGAGTATGCACATGTTAAATTTGATAAATACTCTCAAGTTTTGCTTGCATCAGCAGTGTATGAGAATGTTCCTAGATGTGGTTAATTTACTTAGTTTTAAAAATCTGTTAAACAAAAAATGGTGTTTTGTTTTCATTTTTCTGATTACTGTCAACATTGAGTATAAGTTTTTTAATCTTTGTTTTTCATTTGGATGTCTTGAAAATTTCCTGGTTTATCCTTTACCTATTTTTCTATTAGGATTGTCTTGTTGTTTTCTTATTGATTTGTTGATAGTATTTATAGTATTAATTTTTCATAGTGTTATGTGTTACAGTATTCTCCCTTGACATTGTTTTCACAACATGGAAAAATTTATTGTTTAGTAAAATGTATTATTCTTTTATGACTTCTGGAGAACTTCCTCACTCCAGTATTTAACAATTCTTAGAAATTTTTCTTTGTACTTTGTTTTTCAAAGATACATGGATCTCTTTTTGGATATAGTATTTAATTCTTGTGTCTGTTTCTTATTTACTCCTTTTTATAGCAGTTGACTGATTCTTGCTTCTTAAAATGTAATCCTCTCTTCCTCATGTAATACCACCTTCTCCTGTTTGTACCTCACTGTTTTTTGTTGGTCATCTTGCTTCCTTTTACCCCGCACAGCAAACATACTTTGATTATTTACCTCATTGGACCCTTTTCTGTTTTGTGTCTGGTCTCATTTAGATGATTTTAACTATTGTGTCGTTACATATCTATATACCAGTGACTATCAGGTTTACAGCTCCAACCTAAACCTTTGTTTTTTTTGAGAATTGGGCTCACCCTTCTGGCCACCTACCATTTGTGCAAACCTTTCTTCCAACACCTAATTGTTTCTTTCCTCAAGAGAATCAATTCAAAGTCCCATCCAGTTACTACATACAGCTCCAAGTGAAAGATATATACAAAATGCTTTTCCTCCTAATTCAGAGAATTCTAGTGATCTATAAAGCAATAAACAACTATCTCTCCCTCTTTTCACCCAACCCATTGTGTAGTAGTGAGTAGGAATAGGATAATCATAATGAAAACTCTTCTAGAGAAGGGAAGAATAGGAAGTACACAGCAGTCATTGGTACATATTAATAATGAAATCCTTCGGGGGAGGAGTTGTGACAACTTTGCTCTGGCTACTGAGTAATTTTCTTGGTTATACTGATTTTCCTCTATGAGAGGAATGCTCTTTTCACTGCTGTCTGTTTCCTTTGCTTAGTTCTTTAGATGATTCTTTCTTGTTTGTTATCTTCCTTAGCCACATTTGAAGTAGTAGGCATTGGAGGGTGTGACATCCCTAGGAAGTGTACAACTTTTGTAGCCCCCTACCTGTTGGTATAGATGCAGGGCCGGTAGGGTTACTTAAAGTTCAAGTGTAAGATTTTTAGGCCAGTAATGTAGTTTGTTGGTAAAACTCTTTCAAAAACATAATAGATTTCTTTTCTGTTTTTCTTAGATCGGGACTATGTAACAATAACTATAGCAAAATATCTCTTAGTCCTAAGTTTTGGAAACCAGCTGATTCTCTTATTTACTGGTCTCTGTGCTAGGCTAGCTCCTCTCTCCCTTAGGTTTCCTGGCTACCTCGAGAGGATCTGAAATAATAGTCTTGGATGATGTATCAGTAAGGGTTTAACCAGAGAAGCAGAGCAAGTAGATTTATATATGATTGTTATGTATTAAGAGATTTATTACAAGGAATTTGGCTTACATGATTGTGAGGGCTGGCTAAGCAAGTGTGAAATCTGTACGGCAGGCAGTTAGTGGGAGAAGATTGTGGGCAAGGTGGAATCCATGGGCTTAGGCTGAAGCTGTTCTCCATAGGCAGTCAGGAAGGGAAGATACAGCGAAGAGAGAACAATTGTAGACTCAGCTGCTGTTTGGAGTCTCATTTGCTCGGAAGAACCTGATCTCTTTTAAGAGCTCACCTGACTAGGTCAGGCTCACTGAGGATGATCACCCTGGCTTAAAGTCAGTTGATTAGGAACTTCAATTACATCTGCAAAATCCCCTCACAGCAGTACCTAGATTAGCATTTGACTGAATAATTGAGAGAAGGTATTTGTGCTACAAAATGTCTGCTGTCCTGTCTTCTTTCTAAGAAGAAACCATTACAGGTGGAAAAGCAACACTCTTAACTTGATCTTTGCTACTACCTGACAGAGAACCCTTGAACTCACAAAGTTATTTCCTGGTATTTAGAGCACAGAAGCAGCTGCCTTTTCCATCCTGGGAGGCCCCAAATTACTGGACTCTTGTAGGTCGGAGTTTGCCACTGAGAAAGCTTCTTTTTAGTAGCACTGTTTTCATGTCTGTCTCTGCTTGCAAACTGCTTTATAGGTGAATTGATCTTTCTTGTTGATCTTTAAATAGCCAACACACCATATTTCGAGTTTTTCTAACTGCTTTTCTTAGAACTACAAACTTAGTAGGCATATGATGTGCCCTTCCAATTATTGCAGGCAAGAGTTTTACTAAATGTTCTGCAACTGTATAGCACAGATCATTAGATCTCCAGCCTGAGATGTTTCCTTGCTACCTGTTCTCTAAGCCTTACCAGAGATTTTAGGAGTTTGTTAGAGCAGCGTGTCATTTCCAATTAACTGTATTAGTTAAGGTATAGGATGGATCATTTGAACAAAGAGACTCCAGAACACATCAGGCAAGATAGAAGTTTGTTATTCTTTTATGTGCTACTCCAGAGGTAGACCTTCAGGTTATTCACACATCTAAGTATCTGCTGTCTTGCACTTGATACACCATCCCTTAATCAGTGCTGTCCAATACTGTAGCCACTAGCCACAGGTTGCTGCTGAGCTCTTGAAATGTGGCTAGCGCATCTAAGGATTTGAGTTAAATTTTTTTTAATTTTTAATTTAAATATTACATGTAGCTAGTGGCTACCATATTGGAGAGTGCATATGTAGAATATTTCCATCACAGAAAGTTTTATTGGACAGCTCTGCTTTGGAGTGTTCATCTACAAGATCTACTGTGGCTCACTAGCATCATGTCCATGTTTCAGCCTGTTATGGGCTGAACTGTGTGTCCCCAACATTAATATTAATATTTTGAAGCCCTAACCCCAAGTATTTCAGAATGTGATTGTACTTGGAGATAAGTCCTTTAAAAATGTAATTAAGGTTCAATCAGGTCATATGAGTGGGCCTTAATCCATCTGACTGATGTACTTATAAAAAGAGGACATTTGAACACAGGACACCGGAGATACATGCCCACAGAGAAAAGGCCATGTGGGGATACAGCAAGAAGGTGGTCATCTGTAAGCCAAGGAGAGAGGCCTCAGGAGAAACAAATCTGCAGACACCCAGATCTTGGACTTACAGTCTCCAGAACTGTGAGAAAATAAATATCTGTTGTTTAAACTACCCAGTCTATGGTATTTTGTTATGGTAGCGCTAGTAAACTAATACTGGAGAAATAAGAAACAGAAAGGTCAGCATAGGTAACTTCCTTTTGAGGAATTGACCAACAAGTTGCCAACGTCATTTTCCATTATATCCCATTGACCAGAAATTTCTTACGCAGCCATATCTAAGACTCAGCTCTTGCTGAGTGGCCATGTACCCAGGTAAAACTTGTGGAGAAGTAGTCTTTTGCTAAAAGAAGGGGACTGTGGATATTGGAGGGTAATTAATGTTTTATATTGATACAATTCTATGATTATATTGTCCTTATGACTACCAAAACAAGAATGAAAGTCATTCCTGGTTCCTGAAATAATCTTGTGGGCCAAGCTTTGGTCATGTGTCCATTCTTGAACCAGCCACTATCACTAAGGAAAAAGATGCTTTGTTTAGGACTAGGTCATGTTTCTCCACCCTATGTAGGAGGTAGACTAGGAGAGGTCCATTCTACCTCCAAAATATGTCTTGAATTTTTCTCCTTCTCTCCTTCTCCACTACCATCGCCTTAACCCTGGCTATTTTCTTACTTGAACTTCATAGTAGCCTCCTAATTTGATCTCCTGGCTTTTTCTCCTGAATCCCCATTCTTCATTCATTCTTCACGTAGCATTAGGCTAATCTTTCTGAAATGTCATTGTTATTTGATTTCTCATTGCTTTTAGAATAAAATCCAAACTCCTAACTTGCCCCACAGAACTTTGTATGGCTGCTCCTTGTTGTTCCAGCCCTTCTAGTTCCTTGACTGTCGTCTAGTAGCACTGACCCTCCTTGTTTTGAAACATGCAGACTTTCTAGCTAGGGTCTTTTTACTTTCTTCCTAGTGTGGTGTTCCCCTGGTTCTTTGTTTTTTCTCATCCTTTAGTTTTCAGCTTAGATATCCTTCTTCGTCCAGTATTGTTAGAGGGAACTTTCTCCCCTTACACCACTTCTTCTTTTACCTCCCTTTTAGTTTTTTGCCTTAACTGAGTAAGTTGCACTGTAGTGAAACATAGGAAAGAGCCCTGTTGGTTTTTCACCAAGCTTTATTAGTATTAAATATTTAGTAAACTCTTATGTCTGTTTCTTACTACGTGGAAAGAAGTTTGTGGGTGGAAGTGGGGTGGGAGACTTTGAGTGAATTTCACAGTTGAACCTTGGCGAAATTATTTTTATAAGCCACAAGTCATTGAATATCTGGTTTCATATGATTCAGCCTAATATGTTAGCATGGTTTGGTATCTTAGAAGGCAGTTCTCACTCATTGAGCTTCTTTCTCAAGAGTTTTGGATATTGTTCATTTAACATGTCAGACATGCTTTAGAATCATCTTTTGTACGTGACCATGAAATATTCTCAGATTATACATTGAAATTTGTGTTAATTTTGGAGAGAAATATATGTATAATACTGAATATTCCCATTCGGAAACATGGCATACTTATGTATTTTCAGGCCCTTCATCTGTCTTTAATAAAATTTTAGTTTTTGTATAGATTTTACACATTTCTTGTGGAATTTATTTCAGATTATTTTATAGTTCTTCCTGCTATCATGTATGGTATATTTTATTCCATTATACTTTCTTAATTAGTTATTGTTGGAATATAGGAAGCTATTGATTGGCATATTTTAATCTTGTATATGGCCACTAAACTGAATTCTTGTATTCAGTTTATTCTGTTGAATTTTCTGACTCAAATGTCATATTGATTCCAGTAAATTATTTTTTCTCTCATTTCCAGTATTTGTCCCTTGTGTTTGTTTTTGTTCTCTTATTGCGTGAGTTTTGAACCACCCCCAAAATGTTGAATGTCAGTGGTAACAGAGGTTATACTTGTCTTTCTCTTATTTTTAATGGAAGTGCTGTTGTTTTACTACTAAGTATAATGCAGATATCTTTTATCAATTTAGGGTACATCACTTTTTCTTAAATTACTTAAGTTTTATTAGAAATAATGTACTAAATTTTATCAAATGCATTTTTGGCATCTTTTGAAATGGTCAGTTCTTTTTCTGCCCCTTCAGTATGTCCATATGGTGAATTGTAATAAAAGATTTCCTAATTTTAATTGTGTTTTGAATACTTGGTATGATGAATTATTTTAATGCACTGTTGGTTTAGTTTCATTAATATTTTAATTTATATTTTCTATGAAGATTATTCATGTTAGTTTTTCAAATTTATTTGAAGAAACTGTAAATATTTTTTCCTTACATCAGTTTTGTAAAGATACTCATTTTACAGATTCAGTTTATGTGCATCCTTTTTCCTTTTAGTCTTATATGTTGTGTTTTTAACCTTATTGGCCACTGAAATGTTAGAAAGAAGTTAGAGTAAGTGGTTTATTTGATCTTTTTATAGTTTAGTAATTTTTTAAAAAGTGGCTTTAAGTAATTTAGTACATACCTCTTTTTAAAAATAATAACTTACTAGTTAGTTAATATACTATTCTCGAGGTTCATTTATGTTGTAGCATGTGACTGGATTTCCTTTTAAATATTCCATTGTATGTATAGATCACATTTTATTTATCCATTCATTAGTTAATGGACCGTTTGGGTTGCTTCCATCTCTTGGCTAGTGTGCCTCTTAACTTTTACATTTTATTCATTTATTTCAAATTTATATGGGTTCATTGAGGGGAATAGGAACTTAATCTTGTATTTCCAAATAGTTAATCAGTTGACTTATCTGTTTCATAGTCTGTCCTCATTATTTGAATAATGCCTTTATTTTATGTATTTCCACAATACAACAATAAACCAAATATCTGCTCAGTATATACATCTTTATAAGTACTGAATTTGGGCCGGGCACGGTGGCTCACATCTGTAATCCTAGCACTTTGGGAAGCCGAGGTGGGCGGGTTGCCTGAGCTCAGGAGTTCAAGACCAGCCTGGGGAACATGGTGAAACCCCGTCTCTATTAAAATACAAAAAAAATTAGCTGGGTGTGGTGGCATGCTCCTGTAGTCCCAGCTACTCGGGAGGCTGAGGCAGGAGAATTGCTTGAACCCGGGAGGCGGAGGTTGCAGTGAGCCGAGATTGTGCCACTGCACGCCAACCTGGGTGTCAGAGCAAGACTCATCTCCAAAAAAAAAAAAAAAAAAAAGAATAAGTACTGAATTTATATAAGCTGAAGGCCTGAATACTAAAATTGGCTACTTGTACTAAGCAGTTTCCTGTGTTTGTTAAGTAGCTAACATCTGTGTGGGGTTTTATGGTTAAAGGAATTTTAGATGTTTTCCACTTAATCAAGTCAGTTATGTGTTTTTTTAAATTCTAATTTTTTTAGGCACAGGGTCTTGCTCTGTTGCATAGGCTGGAGGGCAGTGGCATGATCATAGCTCACTGCCGCCTCGAAATCCTGGGCTCAAGTGTTCCTCCCACCTCAGCCTCCCAAGTATCTGGGACTACAGGTGCATGCCACCATGCCTAGCTAATTTTTTTTTTTTTTTTTGTAGAGATAGTCTTGCTGTGTTGCCCAAGTTATTCTAGAACTCCTGGGCTCAGGTGATCCTCCTGCCTTGGCCTCTCAAAGTGCTAGTATTCCAGGCATGAGCCCATGTGCCCAGCCAAGTCAGTGATCTTTTGAAGCAATTTTTCTTCTTTTATTGCTTAAACCTCTAAACAGGCTTGACATTTTTTTTTCTTTTCTCTTTCCCTCCCTTACAGATTCTAGTACAGAAGTACTTTTATGAAGAAAATATAAGCAATGCCAGCATCTATATAGTGTTCTTACTGATTTGATGATGCCCTTAGGTTGTCTTTGAACTTGAAAATCTCTATACATTATTATTGCAGGACCTATAAACTATGACTGTTGTGTAGTTCTCTTGCACTATCTTTCCAATGTTCTTTGAAGAACTGTTTCACTGTTTATTTTATCTATTTCAAATGAACTAGGAGTAATTTAAAACTTACATAGTTGCTGTTCAGAAAATGTCAAAAAAGAAGAGCTTGTATAAGATACAATGTAGATAAATTTAATTCTATTGAGGGGGTAATATCCTTTTAAGATACAATGTAGATAAATTTAATTCTATTGAGGGGGTAATATCCTTTAAACCAAACTTGTCTAAAGTTTTCACCAAATGTTAAACTGTGAGTAATGTTTTCTTTTTATTTATCCATTTGATTTTTTTATATTGGAGGAATCTTAAAATTGCAGTATCTTTTTCCACTTTTATTAAATCATATAGTAACTGTGAACTGAAAATTTAAACAGTAGAGGAAGATACAGAGTAAGAGTTGAAGATTTTTTATATCCCTAGGTGTAAATTGTAAGTGTATGTAATCCTATGCCTTTTTCTGTGCATTTTCACACATATACAGATATATCTATGTAATTTTGTTTTGCATAAATGAGATCATTATAAAAATATTGTTTGAAACTTTCTTTTTAAATTAATATTCCATCATAGATTTTCACGTTAATACACATATAGTTATCTTAGTCCTTTAAATGGCTGTGAGTATTCCCTTGTCAGGTATCAGGACTTAATTGCTTTCCAGTTTATGGAAATTTTGGTTGTATCCAAAGTTCTGCTGTTACAAACAATACTGAAGTGGACTTTTTGATATTGTTTCTGTATTGTGGTAAGATATATTCCAGAGGTAAAACTGCTAGACCAAAGGTATGGGAATCTATTTCTGTAACTGACATTTTATTGTGTGTCAGCACTGTATTTTAAAAACTAGTGATTTTGTAGTGGTATAGGATCTGATAGGTCAAACATCAGCTTTCAAGCCCTGTTCATCTCTGTTCTTTCTGGATATCCCTCTCTGTTGACTACTTTATCCATAAAAGGGCCAGATCATATATCACCTCTTTCCTGAAGGTGTTTATAACACCTAGAACATTGAATAATTTTAACCCCAGTAATAGTTTAGTGAGTGCTTACTGTGTGCCAGCCACAATTCTAATTGGTTTATGTGTATTACACTGCTGTATATCATTTAATCTTCCCAGTTCTAAGAGGTACATAGTATCTACACTTTGTAGTTGAAAAAATCAAGGTAAAGAATAAGTAACTTGTTCAAGGTCACAGTAAGTGATGGAAATGGAATATAAACATGGGTAGTCTCACATGAAAGTCTGCTTTCTTAACTCTCATATTGTACTGCCTTCTTACCATCCTTTTATGGCCTCCCTAGTAATTGCTCAAGAAATATGTTTTGTATGCATTGTAGAGTTCACTAGCCATTTCATCTTGCTTCTAAGTCCTCTTTACAGATCTGTATGAATACCGTCTTACTCAAATTTATGTATAGTGACCTATCCCCAAGTAGGATAACCAGAGAGAAATGATGGAGTAAGGAGGGTTATGGAAGACCTCCTTACTCCAAAACACTTTACCTGAATGTAGCTAGTTAATACTGCTCTGTTTTATTTCATCTTGTTTCCCTAACTCCTGTCTTGGGAACATTCATGGATTAATCTTGGGATGGATTTCATAGGTGGAATAAATGGGAATGTCACTCTTCAATATTTCTGAAACATCAAATCAAAATACATACCTTGTAGATTACCTCTTACAGTAAGTGCTCAAAATGTGAAGTGGGAAGAATGCTGTTTTAGACCCTCCTATACCTCTTAATTCATGCTGTTAGGTAAGTGTGACATGTAAAAATTAAATATCTCAGTCTCTCATAAAAGGGGCCTGGTAATACTTTCTTTTGAGGGAGGTTAGGTGACCTAATGTTTGTGAAAATATTTGTGACCTATAAGGATTTTCATAAATTAATTGTTAAAACTGAAGTATGAATAAAAATAGAGAGTCTTATGAAAATTCTGACTACTGAGATGGTTGGTTTTTTTTTTTTTTAATTTAGGAGAATCCCTTATTTTAAATTTCTAATTCTATTAAATTTGGTTATCTTATTGAATTTATAGATTGCTAGTAAATATTTTCAGTTCTAATTGTACATTTTGGTTAATTGTTTTAGGTGGAGCTGATAGTAGATAGGTTAAGGGGTTGGGATTCTGTAATGAACAGTTCACAAAATAATGGTTGTATTCTGAATTTGTTAAGTTTTTAGAATTTATGTAGAATATGTTCTTAAATTCCTTGAGAACTTAAAAATTTGTAGTACTTTATCATACTGTTAATAAAGAGGGAGAGATAAGGGTTATGGGAAATGCACATCCTTTTCTGACTCTTAAGTCCTTTTCTGGGAATATGAAAGCAAACCATATGCCTATGGCGTCTCTGCTATAGGCTTAGCAGATAATACTAGGGTTCTAGATAAAATGAAAAGTATGAAGGCAAAGATTTGATCATGCTGTTTTCTAAATCTCAGGACCTTTAGAATGTATCTCTAACTCACTTTGTGGACTCCTTTCACTTGTACCTTTTCTTCCTTTTCTTACTCTGCATCCAGATCCCCACCTCACAGTCCAAGATCCTCTCTACCACTCAGTCCAGCTTTCTGGCTGCCACCTAAACTTCAGTACCTGGCTTCTCTTGGCCAGATCGAAGGACTGTAATATGATTTAAGTTGTGAATATGCCTTAGTATGTGAGATGTCTTTTCATATGAGGGAGTTCTTAACCTACTTTAGCTTAATCACCAGATCCTTTTGTCTTTTATGCTAACACATAAAAAACACAGGCTTGGTATTACAGCTTTTTGTCTTCTATGCATGAGCAGTTTTGTTTTGTATCCCAGGGATCCCAGAAGAACAGCTTTGCTTGGCCAGGGTACCCATTCATTGGCTTAGGCAACCTAGAATGTTAAGATTCATATATCTTAATCAAATACGAAGGTCTTCCTGACCTCACTACCATAAGCAGAAGTTTTTCTGAAAACTTTGATCAGAGAGCAAGTAGGAAGAAGGGCCAGATTCCAGTTTCATTAAACCACAGGCATATGAATACTTCACAGTTTCTGTGCTTGACAAAAATTACATTTAATTCTGAAATAACCCAATGCCTTTGTATTTCTTTTCTTACACTATTTCTCCAGGAAAAAAGCATGATATGGAAAGAGTTTGAAATCAAGTTGAGCCACTTGCTTTTGAATCCTGCTTTAACACTGTGTGATTTGGGGACAGTTACTACTTAACCTTGTTGTCTTCATCTACCTTAGGGCTAATGATTTATTTTTAACAGAGTTTTTCTAAAGAATGGAGGTAATCTACATTATTTAGCACACTATACTACCTTCTGTGTTGGAGGTAATTTATTACTTATTTTGACATTTTACTGGATTTAATTCTTATATACTATTTTGGAATGAAGTTGTCATTTTTTTTTTCCCAGTCAGGATCAATTTTCTTTACCTTTTTTAGGTCATGGACTTTAGTTAGATTATAATGAAAAATGTAGACCTATTCTCCTCCAACATTTACTTAAATACATCATACAACATTTTGCCAGTTGTTTCTGGGATATAGAGTTTTTGAGGCATAGGTATTTGAGGTGTGAACCATACAATATGAACCTTAGCTCAAGAGGACTGGATTTCAGGCTGGTTGCAGTGACTCACATCTGTAATGACAGCCCTTTGGGAGGCCAGGAGGATTGCTTGAGGCTGGGAGTTTGAGACTCTCCTGGTCAACATAGCAGTAACCATCTCTACAAAAATTTAAAAATTAGGTGGGTGTGGTGGCACGTACTGGTAGTCCTAGCTACTTGGGAGGCTGAGGCAGTAGGATTGCTTAAGCCCAGGAATTTAAGGTTACAGTGGCAATGATGGAACCACTGCACTCCAGTCTAGGTGATGGAGTGAAACCCTGTCTGAAAAAGGAGTACTGGATTTTGTTTTTTATCCATTGAGGAGTTATTGACCATCCTTTTTCCCTACTCTGTCCCCAGTAATCACAACAGTAGCTACAGAATTTTTCTTTGAAAGGTTTCTGTCATATAAGAGAGCTTTAAAAAATAATAATTTGCTAGAAAATTTTAAATTATGGTTGGGCGTGGTGGCTCATGCCTGTAATCCCAGTACTTTGGGAGGCTGAGGCAAGAGGATTGCATGAGCTCAGGAGTTCGAAACCAGCCTGGGAAACATAGTGAGACCCTGTCTCTATTAAAACCAAAAAAAAAAAGAAAAAATTTTAAATCATTACGAACCTTCCCTTCTTCCTTCTTTTTCTTTCTGAAACTATTGGAATCCTGACTTAGAAGAAAACTAGTAAAGAGATAATTGGTTTTTATATCTGCCTTTTTTCCCTCTGAGGGTGGAAAGATAAGATGTACTAAATAAAGTTTATAGCTATTTCCTTATTGTATGTTTAACAAATTTTAAAAGTATAACTCTATTTATCCGGGCTTATTTTAGTTATTGACTGAAATTTTTAAAAAATGGTGGATTTAGTACATTCCTTTAATTTCTTTTCAGTGTCCCACTGATATTGTTTAAAGATTGAATTAAGTCATAATTCTGAAAAGCGGGAACAGATGTTATTATATTAGTCAAACTACCCTTAAGAGGAACAAAAGGACCTCATTAGCTCTATAACTTTAATGTGTACTTGGGTGTATGTGGGGAGAGAGGTAAGAAACTACAACTTAGGTGCATAGATGGATCTAAACTTGAATAGTGTTAGTAGTATGGCTGCAACCCTGTTACTGTCTCAACATTTTTGGTCTGCGTTTCCTTCTGTATCAGCTTTATTTTCAGCCAAAGATGACTGTCACTCAAAGGAGATGGGAATGGGATATTCTAGCCAGACCTAGGTATAGTGGCCACTCCTGTGGTGACTGGGAAGGCTCACCTCTACCCAAAGCACATGAATACATTCCCCATAAAAAAGAGGGATGATGTTGTTAGCAAAAGGGGTCAGGGAGAAAACATGTTGAACAGTAAAATTACAGTTCACAGTCCACTACAGGTACCATCAGAGGACCAAGAAATTTTGAAGAAGATAGAAAGTTCATGGAATCGGATTGACAGCAAAATCCCAGAGGAAACTGGAACCCAAGATAACAGAGGTAAGCTCAGGTTTTCCCAGGGAAACCTTGGAATGGCTCCAAACTTGGAGTCAACAAACACCAATCAGTAGTAGTGGGCAGTTGGGTAATACTTAAGAATTTTCTTAAGACTTCTTTTCCACAGTGCTAGGTCAGTTGGGCTTCCCTCCTACCCTTTCTCCAGCCTAAACAACTATGATGCCCACTCTTAGGCCTGAAGTTTCAGAATCATTCTCTTAAGAAAGTAGGTCAGCAGTTTAGTATGGGCATCTACTTAGGTGTTAGAACCTGAGAGAGAAGTGGAGGCACTGTGCTACCCCAGGAGAAAAACAGTTTTGTCTGTTCCCAGCCAACTTGACTTCCTATCCAGGTACCTTTTTGGGGTACCTGCGTATACGCGTGCCCTACCTGCTTAAATTGTACTGTTCTTCCATTTAAAGGAGAAGCCACTTAGGAAAACAAACCCAAATAACCTCAGGGAAAGCTCTTACACTCTATATACTCTAAAGTAATCTTTCATTTGCAAATATAAACAGACAGGGATAATCAGACAATTGAGGACAATCAAGAGGATGAAAGAAGATTAAAATGAATAAAAGAACAACCAACCTCAGCTATAATTCAGAAGAATACTTCAAAGTGTAATTAGTATTTTATTTAAAATTTAAGAATACGTAATGTTTAATCATAGTTGCATTTAAAAGGGGGCATAGAACTAGAAAAGGTTTTGAAAATTATAAAAATTTTAATTGAAGAGATAAAATTTCAGCATGAATCAAGACTCAATTGTTGATTTTGGAATTAAGAGGAGGAACTGTCTGCATATGTAAATCAAAAGAGAAAATAATCTGGAAAAACTTGAGGGAAAATTAAAGAAGCATGGAAAATATATCACAGTTTTTCACATCCATAAGTATGAGTTCTCAGAGCAAGAGATTTAGGAACCATGGGAAGGATAGAATAATGAAAGAAATAATTGAAGAAAATTTCCTGAGCTGTAGAAACGTAATGAATTTTCAGATTGAAAGAGCCCATCTAGTAACCAAAATGAATGGAAAAAGATCCACAATTTTAGAACTCTTAAGGACAAGAAGATCCCAAAATTATTGCCAGAGAGAGGGAAAAAATACGGAAAATCAAATAACTAAGTTCTTAGCAGCTGTGTTGAATGCTTGAAGGCAGTGGAACAGTGACTTCACTGTTTGAGAGACAATAGATTTTGACCTATGTTTTCTCTACCCAGCCCCTCTATTTTATCATGTGAGGACAATTGCATTTTCTATACTGGGAAAAAACGATGCACTTTGTATGAACATATTTGAGATACAGTAGCACAGAGAAAAAAATAATCCCAAGGTAGAGGATATGGTGGTAGTGGGGGGATGGGAGGGTGAGTGGGAAGAAATAGCTGCTGTGGCAATCTTGGGCCTTCAAAAAGAACTGAAGAAAGCTAGAAGGAAATTCAAGTTCTATTAGTCTGGAATACATGAACATTTCTTCAAGTAGTAATGTCTAAACAACATAAAATTAAATTTCCTTTAGTGACTAGTATTTATATAATCACATTGTAAGTACACTTTATTGATTTTCTGTTTTAGAATCAACCTAGAAAATGTATAAAATGGGCTTAATTATAGTTATGGAGTAGAATGCTTTATAAACCTTTATAATATAAAAATAATATCTATAAATTTAGGAGATGGAGGGCAACAAACGAAGGGGTCAGTGCTCGTTTTTTCGGTGGACAGTCAGTAGATAACAAGCATATAAAATTTGGTGAATCAAGATATGAAAGCAAAATGGCATTAAAGTTAAACTGGTAACTGTGCTAGAAGTCTATTAATGATGTAACATGTATTTTGCCATTTTGATGCAGGAGGGTAACAAGACTTATGGTTCGTCTTGTGCCTTTGTAGCCTTTGAATTTCTTAAAAACCCTAAGTGGATGCATCACATTTATAATGTTAAAAAGATTGCAAGGCTGGGCACAGAGGCTCATGCTTATAATCCCAGCACTTTGGGAGGCCAAGGCGGGTGGATCACTTGAGGTTAGGAGTTCGAGACCAGCCTGGCCAACATGGTGAAATCCTGTCTCTACTAAAAATACAAAAATTAGCTGGGCGTGGTAGCTGCGCCTGTAATCCCAGCTACTTGGGAGGCCGAGGCAGGAGAATTGCTTGAACCTGGGAGGTGGAGGTTTCAGGGAGTTGAGATCATATCACTGAACTGTAGCCTGGGCAAGAGAGTGAGGCTCTGTCTCAAAAAATAAAAAGGGGGGGTATTGCAGACATGTGGTGGCCTCTACCTAGTTGTTTAATACTGCTCTTTATGAAGTAAATATGTTCTCGGGCCAAGTGATTTTCGGAAATTGTCTGAGGTACAAATAGAAGACACAGGGATTAATTCTAGGAAATTAGAAAGTTGTGTAGAATACAAATGTGACTCTTTTAATGTAAGATGCCTAATTCTTTCTTGACTGGCTTACATGCTCGATTTTGAGTGTTAATTTCTGATCCCTTTCCATGAAATTTGACAGGAAACTCTTTTTAAAAAACAAATGTTTATTGTGAAAAATTCGGAAGTACAAAAAATTGGAAAATTCTGAGGCCTACTTCCTTCCAGTGCCTCTAAATAAGATGACATTTTATCCGATGGACTAAGGACCAAGTATAGAAACTAGTTTGTCCTTAAGGTGGAAGTCATGTGATCAAGGAGAGCTACAACTACTGGAGGCAAGGTATGTCTCCTGGAAGAGCTAGAAGAAGGAAGGTGGAAATAGAAATTGCCTTTTTCTCCCCCTTCCTTCTAAAGACGTGGCTGATCTTATATACTTAGCCCTCTCATCTTTGCTGAGGACCCATTGTGTGTCCCATGGCCTATAAATCAGGGTTCTCATGATCCCCTTCTTGAGTTTGATTAATTTACTGAGCAGCTCACAGAACTCAGGGAAACACTTATGTTTAATACATTTTATTGTAAAAGATATTACAAAGGATACAGCTGAAGAGATGCATAGGGTAAGGTATGGGACAAGGGGCATGGAAATTCTGCCCTCTCTGGGCGTGCCACCCTCCAGTAACTTCCACTGTGTTCTGTTCTCTGAAAGCCCTTCACGCCCTGTCCTTATAGGCGTTTATGGAGACTTTATTACATAGGCATGATTGATTAAACTATCAGCCGTTGGGGATCGATTTCACTTTTATTCTCCCCTTTTTGGAGTATGGGAGTTGGGGCTGAAAATCCCAACCATTTAATCTTCCCCTGGTCTTTCTGCTAAAACCAACCCTTATTCTGAAGCTACCTAGGGCCTGTCAGTCTTCAGTCAAATCTTAGCATATAGGAAGCCACATAACCACTTTGAAGATTCTAAGGATTATAGGAGTGTATGCCAGGAAACTGGTCTAAGACCAGAGACCAAATGTATATTTCATGATATCACAGGCAGTCTTTTGGTACTTTAAATAATTGCTTGCAAAAGTTACATCTTTAAATAATTGCTTGCAGGCAAACCATTCAAGGTTTGTTATGAATAGATTAGGCTGGAAATAGCAGAGCGCAGAGTGGTAACAGATATCTTGAGACCAGACTGATTGGAGCTTGTCAGGGACCCCAGACCATTAAGGAACCAGAGGAGAGCCAGTGATAGCAATGAGATTCCATGGTTACTTGGGTAGTTTTTACTTCCTGATTATTTTCCATGCCCTTGATGCTATCTTGAGTTACTTGGAACTGTTTCTTCATTCCCCCAGAGTGGTAGAAACCGGTGACTCAAGAAAATTGTCTTTAGATTTAAGCTTTTTCTTGTAATTTAAATTTTTATCCCCAGGTCCCCTAGACCTCCATTTTGTGTCTGTGTGTGTGTGGTGTGTATTTCTTTCTGTTGGTAGATATTTGCTTTCAAGTGGAGGACAAATGTGTTGCTGACGAGGTTGAAAGTGCTGTATCATCAATAGATTTAACCTATTTAAAATCAAAAACATTGAAATAAGTAATTTCTGTTATGTATGCACTTGTTTTTATTTTCATTTGAAAATGTACAATTCAGACAAATGGGAGGGTTGATTGTAAACAATAAATATTTTATCAGTTTTGTGTACATAGAACCTATTGTGAAATGCTGGAAAAAGAATGAATTCATGGTGTGACCCACCATGGGTAGAGACAACAAATGCGAGTGTCCAACAGACACAACTATTACTGGGGATGTGAAAAGAGGCAGCATTGCTTTGTTTCTTACTTTGTTTAGTACATTACTTACGTTGGGACAAGACTATGCTTGTATTTCATTCTGTACATAGGACACATCTGGATGAAGCGTTTTGTATCTAATATAATTCTCTTCTGTACTTTTCTAGGTTGAATTTCAGATTTCATTTATTAGTTGGATTAGAGAAGAATGGGAAGGGGACCAATTAGAGAAAAAAATCATTGAAGTTTTTAGTATTAAACATTGTCAAGAATCAGGATTGTGTTCTAGATTATAGCCTCTTGGAGGTGGACTAATTTTATTTGCCATTCTGTCTCCAGTGTATATAGTATAAACCCTGCCACCTAGTAAGTACTCAGTAAATGTTTGTTTAAATGAATGATCAAAATGCTAATGATGATCTTACAAAACAATTGTACTGGGGCTTTTTATAGTATGAGCCTTGAGAAAAATGTTTAAGCAAAAAAAAAATCTTTAATTATTTGAATATTACAAAGTAGTACATACCCTCCCTACCATTCCTTATATTTAGAATATACTACTGGATACTATGTTGCATTATTTTATTTATAATGTTACAATTTTATGTATCTTTAACTTAGTCCTTTCTTACATATATCCTTTAGATATTCTTCTACATTTCTCGAAGCATGTTCAACTGTCTTATTTTGGCAGTTCTGGTGAAGGCTTAATCATTCTTATTTTTAAATGTAATCATCAAAATTAGACCTGGAATCTATGCCAAGAAACTGAGATAGAAACTGTTTAGTGCTTTTTATGTTCATAAAAATTGTTTATGTGTGGCCCTGTATTCTTGTACATTAGATTTTTTTAATATGATGGATTACTTTAGAATTTCATGCTTTAAAAAGAGTAATTTGAACATAAATGTAGAAGGCAAAGAAATAAATGTATCCAGCAGTATTTTATTTAGTGAGAATATACCCAAATATTTCCCAAACAATTCTGGGTCTTTAAAATACTAAATTCTGGCAGAAGCATCTTTTCACAACTTACTACCAGGTTAAAAAACCCATTAAATATTGGGGGGAATTTGTATTTTATCAGAAGGAGATTTTTTTTTAAAGGGTAGATCATTGGACTCCCCATTCTTCTCTCTTCTCCACCTGTATATCAGCTGTATATATATATATAGACTCTGCATTGTGGTTGGGTTTTTTTTTTTTAAATAATCAATTGAAGTTCTTAATTTGTTGGAGAATTTATGTGTTTTTTTTGATAAGGATTTTTTAAATTTTTTTTGAAGTTAGATGAGAGGAGGTGTAACTTTGATTTGTGATTCTTGAAAAGTAGAAATGATGAACTAAGAATAAATCTGGATACATGATTTAAAACTAATATTGATTTCAGATCTGGATTTTTAGTAGACTTGTGTCAGTAACACTTTATATTTGTAGGGAAGCAGGCAGTCTCACTCACTGTCAGTATAAATTAGTTCAACTTTTTTAGAAGGCAGTTAATTGGGTAACATCTAAACTTTTATTTTATTTTATTATACTTTAAGTTCTAGGGTACATGTGCACAACGTGCAGGTTTGTTACATATGTATACATGTGCCATGTTGGTGTGCTGCACCCATTAACTCGTCATTTACATTAGGTATATCTCCTAATGCTTTCCCTCCTCCCTCCCCCTACCCCACAACAGGCCCTGGTGTGTGATGTTCCCCTTCCTGTGTCCAAGTGTTCTCATTGTTCAATTCCCACCTATGAGTGAGAACATGCAGTGTTCGGTTTTTTGTTCTTGCGATAGTTTGCTGAGAATGATGGTTTCCAGCTTCATCCGTGTCCCTACAAAGGACATGAACTCATCCTTTTTTATGGCTGCATAGTATTCCATGGTGTATACGTGCCACATTTTCTTAATCCAGTCTATCATTGTTGGACATTTGGGTTGGTTCCAAGTCTTTGCTGTTGTGAATAGTGCTGCAGTAAACATACGTGTGCATGTGCCTTTATAGCAGCATGATTTATAATCCTTTGGGTATGAACGTTAGAAACAAGATAAATGCCTGCTGGACTGGTTAAATACATTATGCAGTTCTGCAATGAAAATTTGAGCAGCTGTCAAAAATCAAAGATAAATATTTATGTACTAATCTGAAACAATTATGGAGTATTAAATATTAAAATTGGGATACAGAAAGTATGCATAATAGTATCCATCTGTATAAAAAATAATGTTACCCTAAGATGTGCTTGAAATATGTAGGTTATTTCTGGAAGGATACAATAACTGGTTGTGTCTCTTAGGATGGCTTGGTAAGAGGTAGGTTTGCTTTTCTCTTAAACCGTGAATGCTTTCCATGTACATGTATTACTTTTACATAAAAATCATAGTTAATAAAGAAGAAAATAAACTATAGTGGTAATAAAAAGAATATTACTTTTTATTCTTTATTTTGTGCTACATTAGACATATATCTAGATTCCTCAGTCATTTTATAGCATGAGTAGTTTAGGAGAAATAAAAGGTAAAATCATGAGAATGTGTTGTTTTAATAATGTATGGACTTTCAGAAATCTTACCAAATCGTATTAGCCTTTTAACTTAAATTCTGTTTTAATATCTTTCACTTATACTTGGTTTAGGCTCTTTCACACTTGGGTTTCATACTTATGCTTTACTATAATTTACACAGTAGAAAAGAGAAAAAGAGAGATACTATAAAGTAATGATTAAATTTAATAATTTTAAGAGGTAGAATTGTTTTAGTTTTTTTTCTAGTAGTTTATGTGAGTGGGCAAAATCATTAAATTTTTCCTACCACCAGTTGTCAGTCCTTGTTTTGTTTGAATATATAGATTTTGAAGCCTCACCATTCCCTAAGTTAAAAAATTGATAGGAATGAAACTCCTTTACAAGGAGTTTTCTATTAAAGTTTTACATGAAGGGAACAAACAACAAAGTGTTAAGTCATGCAAAACAGAGTTGCTTGCTTGTCAGCACATTTCTACATATTTTTTTGTTTTGATTTTCTTTTTCCTTCTTCAAGGAAACCAATGCTGGTCCTAAATAAAATTGTCAATTTTGGAAGATTCTTTCATTCAATCTAGGTATTTACTGAGCTTTTTTGTCCTTTACCTTCTTTTTATGAGAGGTTTCACTCTTCATTTTGGATATTTGAACATTTTCAGTCAATATTTTCTTTTATTATTTTAAATTATTTTTATATGTTTACATTTGTTTGCATAGCTTAATATGTTAATTGCTATTTACACTTTAATACTTCTGTTGGCAAAATAATGAAAAGTCTTGTGCCATTGAAATCCATTTTAGATAAATGGGAAGACAATTTTCTTGCCTATAAAATTAGGTTGAGGCTGGGTGCGGTGGCTCACACCTGTAATCCCAGCACTTTGGGAGGCCAAGGCAGGCGGTCACTTGAGGTCAGGAGTTCGAGAGCACCCTGGCCAACATGATGAAACCCCGTCTCTACTAAAAATGCAAAAATGAGCCAGGCGTGGTGGTGGGCGCCTGTAATCCCAGCTACTCGGGAGGCTGAGGCAGGAGAATCACTTGAACCCGGGAGGCAGAGGTTGCAGTGAGCTGAAACTGCGCCACTGCACTCCAACCTGGAGTGCAAAGCAAGACTCCGTCTCAAAAATAAAATTAGGTTGAACTGGAAGGTGGCTTGTTTTTAGGATGACAGGTTTTAGACAAATATGTATAAATTTCTCTTTATATCCTTTTGCCCATGGTATCCTGCAGTGACATAGGTAATCATATTGATGAAAAGGACTGGAAAACAGAATTAAAGGGGATACATTATTTTGCTATGTAACAAATAACTGCAGAAAATCTGAAATTTAGATTCTGTTTATATTCAATACTTCTAATATCTTATTTCAGTGATCCAGTGACCTAAAGATAGAGTAAAAGAACAAATGCTTTTGTTAGAAATTGTGGCACGTGCCTGTAGTCCCAGCTACTGGGGAGGCTGAGGCAGGAGAATCACTTGAGCCCAGGAGGTGGAGGTTGCAAGTTAGCCGAGATTGCGCCACTGCATTCCAGCCTGGGCGACAGAGCGAGACTCCACCTCAAAAAAGAAAAAGAAAGAATAAAGAAATTACTACTATTGGGCCAGGTGCGGTGGCTCACGCCTGTAATCCCAGCACTTTGGGAGTCTGAGGCGGGTGAATTACGAGGTCAGGAATTCAAGACCAGCCTGGTCAACATGGTGAAACCCCGTCTCTACTAAAAATACGAGAAATTAGCTGGGCATGGTGGCAGGCGCCTGTAATCCCAGCCGCTCTGGTGGCTGAGGCAGGAGAATTGCTTGAATCCAGAGGCGGAGGTTGCAGTGAGCCGGGGTTGCACCACTGCACTCCACCCCAGGCGACAGTGCGAGACTCCGTCTCAAAAAAAAAAAAAAAAAAAAAAACAGAAGAAAAGAAATTATTACTATTAGTAGCAATAATTTAAAAGGTATTAGGATACTGTAGTGGATATCAGACAATTCTCTTATCTGTGAATTTGTTCATTTAATCAAAAAATGCTGGCGGGCGCGGTGGCTCACGCCTGTTATCCCAGCACTTTGGGTGGCTGAGGCAGGCAGATCACTAGGTCAGGAGATGGAGACCATCCTGGCTAACACGGTGAAACCCCGTTTCTACTAAAAATACTAAAAGTTAGATGGGCGTGGTGGCACGCGCCTGTAGTCCCAGCTACTCGGGAAGCTGAGGCAGGAGAATTGCTTGAACCTGGGAGACGGAGGTTGCTGTGAGCCGAGATTGTGCCAGTGCACTCCAACCTGGGCAACAGAGCGAGACTCCGCCTCAAAAAAAAAAAAAAAAAAAAGCTTAAGAGCCTGCTCTATGCCAGAGTGCTGGCTCTAGGTATGCATTGGTGAATAAAGTGTTGCCTAATTTCTTTTTTCTTTTCTTTCTTTTTTTTTTTTTTTTTTTTTTTTGAGACAGAGTCTTGCCCTGTTGCCCAAGCTGGAGTGCAGTGGCGTGATCTCGACTCACTGCAACCTCCACCTCCCGGGTTCAAGCGATTCTCCTGCCTCAGCCTCCCAAGTAGCTGGGATTACAGGCGCCCACCACTACAGCCAACTTATTGTTTTTGTATTTTTAGTAGAGACAGGGTTTCACCATGTTAGTCAGACTCTTCTCGAACTCCTGACCTCAGGTGATCTGCCCGCCTGGGCCTCCCAGAGTGCTGGGATTACAGGACAGGCATGAGCCACCGCGCCTGGCCAAAGTATTGCCTGCTTTCAACAGTGTTGCCTGCTTTTTTCTAGTCTTTAAGGGAGACAGATAATAAATGATAGCCATAATTCTGTGAGAAAGCCATAATCACATATGTATTGTTAAAAACAACAGTAAATGTCAGAAAACAGAAGCACCCCATAATCCTAGAATGGAAGAGAAGGGGAGAGTGAAAGGTTTTATTAACTTTAGTCTTAGGGGCCCCCATTTCTTGTCAGATAAAGGATTTGGAAGGCCTATTCTTGGTTTATGGAAAAGGAGAGTGTTCCAGCATACGTTCCTTGAACTCAAACCTATCATTGCTTGATAGCATTAGAGGAAAATTTGAGGAAGGGAAACTTTGTTGACGACTTGTTTTAAGTCTAAAGATGGAGCAGTTTATTTGAAGCATAGAAAGAATTGACCTGGGAGGCAGGAAATAACAAAAGCCAGTTTGTAGTTTCTGTTTAAGCCAGGTCTCAACAATGTAAATTACTTTGAGCAGCCTTTAAATGCCAGGCATACCCATACCTAAATGTAAACACTAGGTATGGTATGAGGTAAAACATAGTGTCATTTGTTTGCCATTAATTCCACATACCCTTTGCAATCAGTTCTGGATTTGCATCTGGATTTGACTCTGCATATAACTGTGTGCCCTGTCTGATACTTGGTTCCCTTATTCGTAAAATGAGATTATCACAGGGAAGAAGTATAGTTGATGATTCTGGATATGGACTCCAGTCTGGTGCAAACTGCCTGAATTCAGATCTCAACTCTTCAACTTAATTAGCTTAGCTTGAAATAATTGGGCAAGTTGCTTAACCTCTTTTTGTCCCATTTCCACATACGTAAAATGGGGATAATAATAATATGTTTTAGGATTACTGTGAAAATTAAATGAGTTAATATATAAAAAGCATTTAAAATGGCATATAGTAAGCAAAATGTAGTTTAAAAATATGACATAGCTGGGTTGTTATGAGGATAAATAATATGTTTATTTTTTTAAAAAAAGAAATCATATATTGCTTGACACAGTATGGGTATTTCTTAAATACCAGAAACCGTGTAGTAGGTACTTTATATCATTTAATCTTCATATAAACTGTTAAGAAACCATAATCTGTCTAGTTGACTGCACCTAGAGCAGTTTCTGATATTTCAAGTTGAATGAATATTATCCCATTTCATGATTAATAAATTGAGGCCCAAGAGTACTCCAAAATCACCACTAAAACATGACATCACTTTGAGGAGATAGTACCAGCAATGTCATGCACATCATCACATCACTTTTCTCAGTTTAGAGCATAAAACATTGTTCCTTTTTGTTTTTGGAGACAGTCTCGCTCTGTTGCCCAGGCTAGGGTGCCAGTGGCACAATGGCAACATCCACCTCCCGGGTTCACGTGATTCTCATGCAGCCACCTGAGTAGCTGGGATTACAGGCATGCACTACCACGCCCAGCTAATTTTTGTATTTTTAGTAGAGACGGGGTTTCACCATGTTGGCCAGGCTGGTCTTGATCGAACTCCTGGCCTCAAATGATCTGCTCGCCTCAGCCTCCCCAAGTGCTGGGATTACAGGTGTGAGCCACTGCGCTCGGCCCATTGTTCCTTTTTCAGTGCATTTTTTCATATTCAAAGTTGTATAAGGAAGAAATTTGACAATCTAACAAGTTTTACTAAATGGAAGATCAATTACAGGAATGAATATAATATATATTGGCTCCACTGTCACTCACTCACTTTATTTGCTGTTTGATGATCCAGATTTGGTGTCTCTAAATTTCATTTATCTAGGATATTTTAGTCTCTTAGAGTATTTATTGTAAGAGAAAAAGGCCATTTCTTTGGTTAGTAAATGAAGTTAAAGGCACTACTAGAAAATGCATATATCAAATATTATAGCTTGCTTCAGTAACTGTAAATTAGTTGAATGTTAACCTGGTTCTCATAAGTATTTACAAGCAGATTAGTTTATAAAAACCAATTTACTATTAAAAAATCTACATTAGGATAATTATTTTTGAAACCCTGAAGTCAACTGTAATATGTATGTTATATAATACATTTGCCTGATGTAGCAAATTTCTAACTTGGCATTATCATGCCTCCTTCTTTGCGTCTTTAATACAACCATTAATCTCACTACAAGGCTTTACTAAGGATAAATTGCTGCGTAACCCACTTCAACCTCTTTTGTTCAACCAGGAAGCCAGACGTGTTAAATAGCTTTTTAAAAAATATGTTATTTCTTTTTTGAAATTTTAGGATTTTAAAAATTGAAGTGGTAAAATAAGAGACTTTATTTTGTCTGTTAAAATTACTTGACAGAAGTTTGCTTTGGAATAGAGCTTCTGTATCTTTAAAAAATACACAGTGAGTCACCCCCTGCTCTTTTGGTAGATGCCTGGCTAGTGAACAGCTAAGCTGCTTTAGGCATGTAATAGAACATTCCATTTCCTGTTCCCTTGCTGACACAGAGGAGTGTTCCTGCTGGCAATGATCTAATCATAGTGCAGTAAGAAACATGGCAGTTTGATAAAACATGGTGGAGACAGCGGCTGAAATGGAAGCATATGTTCTAGAAGACATTCTTGAGGTAGGGCTAGGTTTGTAAGTGAAATGAAAGTTGAAATCTGAACAAAGAAATCTTATCTGCCGGAATTATTTTACAGATGAATAGATTAGAGGAGAGAGCAAAGAGAAGCAGAGCATAAAAGCAAGACACGGTCAGACCTATTCCGTGTGAGAATGTTTCAGACTGGTTCACATGATTACTATAGACGTCTATAATTATTTTGTTTAAACTTCATGTTTCATAAATTGTAGATATATGTTTGTTAGGGAAAAAGGGGAGACTCAGGCTTAATAAAAAGCCTTGTGCTGGTGGTGACCTTTAGATTAACTCATTAGAAGGTGGGGTCTGCAAAGCAGCTTTGAGTAAGGTTTAGTATCATATGTCTTAGAATTCATTTACATATCTAAGCCTAAAGCTTTGCTGCAGTTAACTATTAAAAACGGTTATTTTAGCTTTAAACTAAGCATGTTTATATCAATCTGATTGCTTAATTTAGCTGGTATACTCTGGTCCTAGATTTTTCATGTGACTTTGATTATTATAAAACAAATTATTAAATTAAAAATATTAAAACCCTGAAATTTAGGGCACTGATGCTAGAGAGACATCAATACAAAATTACTATAATTTGAATCATGAACATTTTAAATTATATTTTCTCTTTTCTGGTTGTAAAAATTTTATAAGATCCTATTTGAGTATAAATCAGTCCAAGGAAATACATGTCAAAGTGAAACTATAATTGCTTTTGGCATTGAATGTAGTATACTATTAGAAATTTGTATTTATAGGTATAGGTATTTAAATCTCATATTCTTATCTGTGGGATTGTGTAGGGTTTTTCTTTTTTTTCCTCATTAGATAAAACCTGGGTAATTCAGATAAAGAGGCTTTATGGTGGTGAGTGGTATTCCTAATACTTAGACTGTTGAGATAATTTATTAACTATTTCACATCTTCAGGAAGATTATTTTACTGTGGGGAGAGGGCTTGGGAGAAGAAGCTGCAAAGGGAAGCTAGGCGGGGTTAGCAGGAGAAAAAAGCCTATGCGCATTATAAAGTGCTGCATGATCAATGAGTATTTTCTGGAGTCCCTCAGTGTGTGCTTGGAGCTGACATTGCAGCAAGTCTCATGGTTGTTCTGCAGAATGAAAACTGATTCCATTTATTACCTACCTCCTTGCAGACACCTGCCAATGTGCTCTTTTCCCCTTTCCTAAAAGCTGTTAGGTCTAAGTTGAATTGTGGTTAATTTTTATTCTTTTCTCTTTTATTTTTTACTTTGTTTCTATTAGTGAGTTTCCTTAAAAATGTGTGGTAAAATTATCTACTTAGAAATAGTAGTATAAACTTTCATCAAAGGAGTTTAGTAATTACAAGTGGCCACATGACTTTTTAGTGGTTCAGTTTAAATAAGCCTAATTAGATTACAGAGTTCTAGTGTTACATTTTAATTTGCTTTTAAAATTTTTTGGTTTGGATTTTAAAGAAGTGTGCTTTGGAGATTTTGATAAATCTATTTGACAATTTTTCTTAGCCATTTAAAACTTCAGCATATAACAGATTTTAGAAGTCTTATTTATGTTCTGAGGAAATCCTACTTGAGCACTGTTTTGTGCTTTATGCATAGGTTTTTTTAATGCTACCTGAACAACTGGCTTTTTATTATCTCAATTGTTTAATACCATGTTAAGATTTCATGTTACCTTATTTATTCAATGTTGCTAGTTATTAAAACAACCTCTGCAATTTTAGTTTTCCTAATTCTCAATTTATCTTAATTTAGTTTCTATGTACCTGTTGCATCCTATCATACTAAATAAGTAGCTTTTTCTCTTTATTTAAAATATCATTTGACTTAAATATTTGTCAATCTTGGTAACATTTTCTAAGTAGTAATAAAAGAGCCTTATCCAAAGTTATAAGTACTCATAATGACACAGTGCTAAAAATACAGAGTGCAAAGAATAAATTTGCTAACTTTGCAGATAAATGTACCATTTTCTAAAGCACCTCATATTGCAAGTAAACAGATATTTATTACATAATGAGCTTTCCAGAAAAATATATTCCCTAGCCCTCTACCCCCCACAGGGATAACTCCTTGAATAAATGTCCAGTAATGGATAATGAAGTTCATCTGTATACCACAGTGACAGTTTTATTATTGTACTTAATATTGAGCTACTTGAAGTTCATTACCGTAATTTTCACCTTTGTGATTTTATTTATTGAACATACGGAATTTTATGTAGATTATGCTTATTTGCATTGAATAAATATTAGACTCTTTTTTTCCTGTCTTTGTAACTTGATCTTTTGAATCATAAACTTCTTAAAGGTACTCTTATTGAATATTAGTTAACAAAAGTCAATATCATTAGTGAACATAACACAAATGATTTCTCATAATACTATGGCTTACCTTTTAAACTGTGATTACTGATTATATATGCCCACATATATTTAAGTTGACTATTTAGACCTTTAAAATCTTAAGTAAAATACTCTCTAAAATGTATAATAAAATTAGAAAAGGTGGATTTCAACTTACATCATTGCTTTTCAACAGTCCAAGGTAAGGGATTAAATAGAGTGTCTTGGCTATTTCATTTATTCAAATAATCCAGGCAGTAATTTTCTTCTCCAAACCAAAGGCATCAAAGTATTTCCGTTCCTTCTGCCTACCTTCTGTAAAAGGAACTAATACTCAGGAAAGTAGCCATATACAGATGGCAGAAAAAGGGCTGACAGCTCATATAAATACCTCTTTTCTTGTTCTGTTTATGTTTTCCTGAGACATGATTATAATTTTAGAATTTTGATGACCTTCCTGTAAAATTATGTGTAACAATAGATTGTACTACTTAGAATGATCAATAAGAGGAAAAATGTCTTCCAATTTTATATCCCAAATTTACATGGCCAAGGGCTGTGTATATAAACCTGTGGTTTATATGTTGGCTTTTTTATATGAAAACATGAAACAACTGAGAGATCATTTCAGAAACTTGGTTACTGTATATTTAGTGTTATTATTTATAATTGAGCCAGTTTTAGGAGTCTTAGTAATAAGAAATCTTCACAGATATTTCCATCCTTTAATTTTGATTAAGTTCAGATTGTTCTGGGTATAGTATTTGATATATTTTTGCTTTAAGAAAGTAGGAAATTTTATGAAAATAAAAATGTTTATATTGTTAAGTGTAATAATAACTCTCATACCCGTTCTTATTCTTTTGTCATCTAAAGCCAGGATGTCCAGCTTCATCTGTACTTGATGTTATAGGTTGTGGTATATAAAATAAAAGTGCCAACTCTCTATGGTTCTGTCTATGGACAGTGGGTTGAGGATTTGACTGAACCCTTTAGGTTGGAACTGAATTAAGGTTCAGATTTAAGCAAAGTAAGTAGGTTTATTATGGAAGCTTTTCTTGCTCTGTATTTATCTTAGCTGTTTTTGTTTTTTAAATAAAATTGAAAGAGTCTCAAGGAAGGCATCATTTCCTTTTGATTGCCAAGATTGTGGACTAATGGTAAATAGTGAATTCTAGGTCAAACAAGGGAAATCCACTTGCTATTTACCATAAAAATTATTTTTGGTAATGATATCAAATCTCCATGTGGTAGACTTTTTTTGACAGATACGTGTTATATTTCTTTTTATTCTGTAAGGCACATTGTTATATGTAATGCACATCATTTCTATACTATACCAGTAAGTCTTTCATAGATTTCTAAAGTAACCATGGTGACATTTTTCACTAGGAAAAGTTGTAGTAACTCTTAGAACCTAAATTGGTCTAGTGACTGAAAAGTTTAGATAAATATGTAAATCATTAAGAGTTGATAAAAGTAATATTTTCCATTCATCAAGAAGTTTTGGAATCAAGTTGAGAAATGTTGGACAGATATGGGTTTGGTTTGTTTGTTTGAGACGGAATCTTGCTGTGTTGCCAGGCTGGAGTGCAGTGACTCTTATCTCAGCTCACTGCAACCTCTGCCTCCTGGGTTCAAGTGATTCTCCTGCCTCAGCCTCCCGAGTAGCTGGGATTACAGGTGCATGCCACCACACCCAGCTAATTTTTGTATTGTTAGTAGAGACGGGGTTTCACTATGTTGGCCAGGATGGTCTCAATCTCTTGACCTCGTGATCCGCATGCCTCAGCCTCTCAAAGTGTGGGATTACAGGCGTGAGCCACTGCATTTATTGAGTACCTTCAGTGTGAGGCACTTGAAATTCAATGAGGTTAGTCCAGCTAATTTTGTCTCACAGAGGTGGAAGTGCAGAAGTAGAAGAAGATGAAGAAGAAATGTCTGCCATTGGTATCTTTTTTTTTTTTTTTTTTTTTGAGACAGAGTCTCACTCTGTCACCCAGGCTAGAGTGCAGTGGCATGACCTTGGCTCACTGCAACCTCCCCCTCAGGGGTTGAAGCGATTCTCTTGTCTCAGCCTCTGGAGTAGCTGGGATTACAGGCATGCGCCACCATGCCTGGCAATTTTTTGTGTTTTTAGTAGAGATGGGGTTTCTCCATGTTGGCCAGGCTGGTCACTAACTCCTGATCTCAGGTGATCTGCCTGCCTCGGCCTCCCAAAGTGCTCAGTAATGGCTTGAGCCACTGCAGCCGGCCTCTGCCATTGGTATCTTAAACAGTCTTGAATTTAGGATGCATAGATACATATTTTAATACTAGTATTTTACTTCATTGATTCCATCTGAATAGTTTGAAACTCATGTTTTCAGCAGTGGACTTAAAAAGCGGATATCCCTTATGCATTCTGAATTTTTCAGTAAGCAGATATTTTTCTTTATCTGGACACCTTTATGTTGTCACTTTTATGCAAATCTTTTTGTTATATGTATTTATGAATGTGGTGCTGACAAGAACATCCACTGGTTCTCATTTTTACCTATAAACCAGCATACGCGTGTGTATACACATACCTACAATACATATATTCACATTTATACTTACATATACTCCACACACACACAAACATACACACACATACTCATACACTCATGTTCTGCTTTAGGTGGAATATTTCTTATCTAAAATGTTTGGGACCAGAAGTGTTTGGAGTTTGGATTTTTTCAGGTTTTGGAATATTTGCGTATATGTAAAGATAACTTGGGGATGGGACCCACATGAGATTTACTTATGTTTTATATATACCTTATACACATAGTCCGAATGTAGTTTTATGCAATTTTTTTTAGTAGTTTCGTGCATGAAAACAAAGTTTTGATTGATCTGTCACACGAGGTCAAATGCAGAAGTTTTCACTTGTGGCATTATGTCAGTGCTCAAAAAATTACTGATCTTTGGCTAGGTGCAGTGAGTGGCTCGTGCCTGTAATCACAGCAATTCGGGAGGCTGAAGCAAGAGGATCGCTTGAGCCCAGGAGTTCAAGACCAGCCTAAGCAACATAGTGAGACCCTATGTCTACAAAAAAGTAAAAATTAAAAAAAAAAAGTTTTGGATTTTGGAGCATTTCAGATTTTGAATTTTCAGATTAGGGATGATCAACCTGTATATTTTGCAGTGAGGATACTCTTATTTGGAAGTCCAATTTTTCATGTAAGGGTGGGGTTGATGTTATAACATTGCTTTCATATGCCAATTTTGGGAGAATTAATGGGGAAGTAGTATAAGATACACTTATGTTAGTTAATCCCTGTAAAGAAGAATGATATTTTAGTGGAATATGGAGGCTCCAAATAGCTTGTGGAAAGGTAGTATAACTAGAAGTATGTGAATCAATGTATTACTCTTATATGAAAGTAAAGGCACGGTTGTCCAATGAACCACTAGTTTCCCACTGATCCATCGTAGTCTGGTAATTAGTGCATGTTATGGAGCATTAATTAGAAAAGGTCTACATCATATATTATCCATTTATAGAGGCAACAACATTGGCCCTTTACTGGTTCTGAATTGTGAGAGGCCTTTGTTTTGACACTTGATAACAGCTCATTCTGATATGAAGTCACTTGATCACTACAAAGTTGGTGAGCAGCACAGTCTTGTTAACCATTGGTTTGGTTTAGTATATATCTTCCAAATTTGCCAAACCAATGGCTTTTCACAAGGTGTTTATAATTGTTAAATGCCTATGAGGTGATAACTTTCATGTGTGGTTGGATTAATACTGGCCATTAATAATTTAGTCTTGGATGGAATCAGAACTCTAACTAGTTGGATATGTGTTGTAAGTAGGATAGCACATAGTTTTATGGTGGCAACAGTAATTGGCACATTAGCTACCCTTTATTGAGTATTTAAATTATATATAGAGAGGGAGTGTGCCAGGTACTACATAAGCATTGTTTTATTTAATCCTCTGAATGATTCTGTGAGGAGGTAGGTACCCACTTCATAAGCAGCTTATAAGGAATAAATGAAGTAATCTGCATAAACATTTAGCACAGCATTTAGTTACATAGTTAACCCTTAACTGTTAACCCTTTTTTAACCCTCATCTTCTATCCTTATGCTGTCACCCCCGCCATTTGACAGGAAAATTTGAGCGTCAGGGATTATTAGAGCAATAGTTTTAAATTCTTTTGGTCTTAGGTCTCTTTTTCACTGTTAAAAATTATTGAGAACTCAAAAGTTTTTTGTTTCTGAGAGTTATATCTATCACTATTTACTATATTAGAAATTATAGTTTAAAGAAAATTAAAATTAAAGTTGAAAGAAAAATTTAAAAACATTTACATATTTATTCATTTAAAAAAATGATAAACCATTGCATGTTAACATGCTTTTATAAAAAAATAATTATTTTCCAAAAGAAAAAATTTGTGAGAGTGGCATTGTTTTACATTTTTATAAATATCTTTAACATCTGACTTAATGGAAGATAACTAGACTCTCATATCTTCTTTATTAATTTAATTTAACTTTTATTTTAGAGTTGAGGTCTCATTACGTTGCCCAGGCTGGAGTGCAGTGGCTGTTCACAGGTACAGTCATAATGCACTTTAGCCTTGAACTCCTGGGCTGAGCAGTCATTCTGCCTCAGCCTCCTGAGTAGCTGAGACTACAGGTGCCAGCCACCATGCCCATCATATCTGCTGTCATATTCAGTCTATTGTGATACATTATTTGGTCGAAGTCTCTAAAGAAATTTAGTGTCACATTGTTAGGAGGATAAAAAAACAAAAACTATTTTCATAGCCCTTTCAGATAATTGTGGATAATCTTCTTTAAAACCATTCCTAAACTCCACAAGTGGTAGTTTCTTAAAGGTTAGTTGCAGTGTGGAATCTGAAACAATTACCGGTGAACTTTCTGAACTTTGTTAGATTAAAACTCACTGGCTTATTGTGCACTTTGAATTTATCAAAACCATGTATGATTTTTATAATATTGGTCATAGTAAAATACTGGTTTCTTTTATTCTGCAATATTTTTAAAAATCACATTTTCAGCCAGGCGCAGTGGCCCACACCTATAATCCCAGCACTTTGGGAGGCTGAGATGGGTGGATCACAAGGTCAAGAGATCAAAACCATCCTGGCCAACATGGTGAAACCCTGTCTCTACTAAAAATACAAAAATTAGCTGGGTGTAGTGGCATGCGCCTGTAGTCCCAGCTACTCGGCAGGCTGAGGCAGGAGAATCACTTGAACCCGCGAGGCGGAGGTTGCAGTGAGCCGAGATAGCACCACTGAACTCAAGCCTGGCGACAGAGCAAGACTCCATCTCAAAAAAAAAAAAATCACATTTTCTAACAGCATCAGTGTTCTCAGAAAAGTCAAAAACTGGGAAGCTGTCACGTGTCAGATATAAGATCTCCAAAATTCTAATTTTGCTTGGAAGTTTGAATTTTATTATTGATGACAAATCATTTGAATTGTTTTTCTTGAAATGACAGGCTCATATCATTCGTTCTTGAGAAAATGTCTGCCAAATTAGTGAATAATTATAGTATGTCTTAAGAAAAGATGGTATTCTATGAAAAAAAGTTGGCTACCATTTGCAGTTTGCACAAGTGTTTTTCTTGAGACAGCTACCGTACTTTGGGTATGTAATAGAAGTGCTTTCTGTTTTATCACACAGAATATTAAAGTAATATATTCAAGACTGAAAAAATTTCTTTTTCTTTTCTTTCTTGCTTTTTTTTTTTTTTTTTTTTTAATAGAGACGAAATCTCACTCTGTTGGCCAGGTTGGTCTTGAACTCCTGGCTTCAAGCAGTCCTGTTTTAGGAGTCTCAGGCTCCTAAAGCGCTAGCATTACAGGCGTGAGCGACTGCACCTGGCCTAAGATTGAAAATGTTTAAGAATGATATTTTCTACTGCTTCATGAAGGAAACTGGGTTTTTCTTTTTCTCTCTTTTTTTTTTAATACAAAATTGTGAGTGCATGCAGAGAAGAATATGATAACTACTAACTAGTACAGATTGGTATCATGGCCTTGATCGATGTTAAGAAACTAGCAGGTTTACCCACCATTGCTTTTGTGTCATCAGTGCAAGTGTCAACACAGTGCAACAGGCAAATAACCATCTTAGTTGTTTAAAAATAATTTTGACCTCACAGACTCTTTAAGAGTCTTGGAGATTCTCATAGATCCCATGGACCACACTTGCACAACTGCTGTTTTACAGTATATTGCCCAGTTTACAAGTTTACACTCATTAAGGGAGTAAAAGTAAGATTTAGACAAGTCTGCTTGATTCAAATGTATTCTTTACTATTTTATAAAATTTATTAATTAATCACATAGTACCAACTTCTCCAGTCTCTTTGACACACCCTGTAGGTCACTCTATCCTTTAACTACAATATAGCAATTTTAAAGAGCCGGAGAAAAACCTTGTGTGGAAATCTGTGTGGGAATTTGAATATTGCTTTAAAATTATCAGTCCAAGATTAGTCATTCAGAATTTCAGGAAGTCAGGAGTTTGAGGATTCCTGAAGGAAGTAGTGAATGCAAAGAGAAGCTATTAATAGAAATAAGTAGAAAAATATTTTGCTTGTGGAGTAATATTAAGTGGTAAGTGAAACAGATATATGAAATATTTGTCAAATTTGAGTATTTTTTTTGAAGGCTATAAAGTGTCTTTCCTATCCTTCCCTTCTTTCACAGGTATCACTTTGGTTTTCATCTGGTCAAGAGAAGTTCTTTCTCTTATTTTATATAGTCTATGAAAATGAAAAATAAAATTCAGATAATGTAGATCTTCCTCTATTTAAAAACTAAGGTTTTTCAAATTTCTTCATATAGAGGTAAAATTGAGTCATTTAAGATTTACTTCTCACCTTCTTTTGTTTATATAAATATCAATGTTTATATATACCATATTTTTGCAACAATTTATTTTTGATATTAGCTTTGGAACAAATAATGTTTTCACTGGGAAAGAGAAAGGTCAGTAACATCTGTACATCTCTGTCTTTCTCATTCTCAAATTCCATATCTTCCCACCACCATAAAATTTTGAGGAACTGCTTGAGGTGAGAAATACAGTGTTAGGTTCAGTGTTAAAAGTGTTTTTGGTGTTCTGTGCTGTCTGGATTCTTTGCTGTCCTGAGCTTTTGTCATTTAACCTCTTTCTCTCAGTTTTGGTAATACTGCCTACTTAATCATGATTTCTTTTTCTTGCTGCAGGTTGTCCAGATATTTATCCTGAACTCAGTGTTTGAATATTGCTGCCAGCCTAACTCTTTGATTTCACACAGACCTTCTCACTTCTTGACCTTATTCATCTAACTAGTGTTTATCCTTACCTGGTTCTAACCTTGAATCTGTCCTGTTGCCACTTGCCTAGTCCTTGTCATATGTTCAGCATTTGTAATTTATGCACTGTCATCATAAGACCAACATATATTTGTGTGACATGCTTAAGTTTGAGAAACTAAACCTCAATTTGGCTTTGAATTATATATTATTTGACTTGATTCTATCCACTCAGCTTCTAAATTCTTATATTTCTTTTTTTTTTTTTTTTCCCCTGAAACGGAGTCTTGCTTTGTCTCCCAAGCTGGAGTGCAGTGGTGTGATCTTGGCTCACTGCAACCTCCACCTCCCAGGTTCAAGCATTTCTCCTGTCTCCGCCTCCCGAGTAGCTGGAATTACAGGCACACACCACCACTCTGCGCTAATTTTTTTTTTTTTTGTATTTTTTTAGTAGAGACGGGGTTTCACAATGTTGGCCAGGCTGGTCTCGAACTCCTGATCTTAGGTGATCCCCGTGCCTTGGCCTCCCAAAGTGCCGGTATTACAGGCGTGAGCCACTGTGCTGGCCTAAATTCTTATATTTCACAAAGAAATAACTAGTTAAGATTTTCCAAAAACATGTGGTGGGTTTAAATGTTCACACATATCAGAAAGTTTTCGTTTTTAAGATTTTGTATCACATCTGCACAAGTACTTTTTTTTTTTAATATCTTTCTCAGTTTCTCTGTTCTATTATTTTTTAGTTTTCTCCATGAAATAAAGTCAAGGGAGATAGCTCTAGATAGAAATATGCTCTCTTCTGAAAACTTTCATTAGACAACCAGAATGTTAAGATTAAGCCCTACATATATCATTTAAAAAATAATCTTGGCAGGTGGATCGTTTCGTAAATGTTTTATGAATTATGGAAGAATATATCTTTTATAAAGTGTTAGGTAAATGGAAATGCTGAATTATGTTGACAGTGATTTTAAGTATTTCTAGACATTTAATGGGTTTCCTTTTTCATTGTCTTGAGCTTTTAGTGTTATAGTCTGATTTTCTGTGAATAGCTTTGTTGTTGGTATCTTCAGTGACTCAACATTGTACTTAGAACATAGTAAATGCTGGTTTTTCATTTTGAGTTATTCTTGTACAGTGAAAGAATCGCCACCCTCTTTCCCTCTGCCCAACCCACACCTTGGGAGTGTGTTTAGACTCTCCTTGGCTTTGGTTAGGTGTATATATTGTATAAAGAAGAACTAAAAGTAATTCATATTAACTCAGATCAATCCAGGTGATCAGTAGGTTGGGATTTTAAGGATAATAAGCTTTGTACATCATTTGAAATACTATACATTTTTCTTTATTCCTGTGTTTTTTAATCTCTAAAATTTAGTTGTACCATATAGTTTCTCTTAAGACCCCTTCTGCTTATGAAAGCTTACAATTAGATTTTTTTTTTTTTTTTTTTTTGAGACAGAGTTTTGCTCTTGTTGCCTAGGTTGGAGTACAATGGCACCATCTCAGCTCACTGCGACCTCTGCCTCCCGGGTTCAAGTGATTCTCCTGCCTCAGCCTCCCACGTAGCTGGGATTACAGGCACCTGCCACCACGCCCAGCTAATTTTTGTATTTTTAGTAGAGATGGGGTTTCACCATGTTGGCCAGACTAGTCTCGAACTCCTGACCTCAGGTGATCCACCTGCCTCGGCCTCCCAAAGTGCTGAGATTACAGGCATGAGCCACCACACCTGGCCGACAATTAGATTTCTTAAGGTAGTGGCTCCAATAACTACTAAACAAAAAGTTTGAGATGATAGTGTGTATCTCCTATATATGTCAAAGCCTTTGTAACCTGTTTTACTGTGTTATTTTACATTTAAGAATCAAACTAAAGCTCAGTTTGGCTTTGAACTATACATTATATGACTTCATTCTATCCACTCAACTTTATCTTTACAACACTTAATCTCAACCGTTTGCCTTTACATTGTATCCTAATACCCTGTTATTACCCATGTTGTCTACCTGCTACCCTCTTTATCTTCATTATTCAGAGCTCCACCTAGATCCTACCTCTTCTCTAGGGTTTTCCCACCCTAGTCTTCTTTTCACATTCTTTAGCTCCTACTATTTTCTGCTCTGTAAAAGTAATGTGAGACCATATACATTTAAAATATTTTATGGTCTGTATTATGTGCTTGACTATATGGTTAATTTTTAGCGACCCTGACTCTTTAAGTTAAAAAAAAGTCATCTATGTATTTAGGTAAAAGATATTTCATCCCCCAAAATGATTTGAAGTAGTTTAGAGTATATACTCTAAAAAAATAAAAATACAAAGGTAGAATTAGTAAATTAAGACCAAAGGAAAATGGATTATACAGAAAAATGTATGTAATATACAGTTATTAAACTTAGATTCAGTTAACTAGCAACCAGAGCCAAATTTGGAAACTTGATGAATTTTGAGATTTGCATAGTCCATAGCTTCATAGGTATACTAGATGATTTGGAGGACTCATATTTTCTGAAATTGAGATCTGAGAAAAAATTTCTTTTGGGCCCTCATAATGGAGATACTCCAGGTAGTAGATAACTTTTTCAGCATTTCTAAAATATACCCTTCACATTGTTTATACAGAGTATAAACTAAAGATTTGCTAATAAAATGCAATTTGGTTGAAAACAATAATGTAGTGTAAGTACTAGGTTTTCTGATGGTCTTGTTTGTTTCAACAATAAAATTTAGAACATCTAGGGCAAAGGTTCCAAACTTGTGGCTTCTTGGCCATATCAGACTTAGAACTGTGTTTTGTGTAGTTCATATAACATTGGCCCACACAGTGAGCATGACACATATACACACACACTCATTTATTTATATTTTCTTTAATTTCTCTCAGCACTGTTGTATAGTTTTCACTGTTCAGGTCTTATAAATATTTCATGAAATTTGTTCCTAGGTGTTTTAGGTTTTTGATATTATTGTAACTGCTAATTCTTTTTATTTTGCAATTGTTTGTTGTTCATATGTAGGAATACAGTGGATATTTGTGGGCTTAAATTCACTTAGTTCTACTAGGGTTTTTTTTATTTGTTTGTTTTTTTGGTAGATCTTAGGATTTTCTATCTACTTGGATCATATGTACAAATAAAGTCAGTTTCTACCTTCATCTCCCATGGTTATGCCTTTTAATTCTCTTATTTTCAATATTCTACCTTATTGCCTTAAGTAGGGCCTCCATAAAATGTTAAATAGAACTGGTGACTATGGGCTTCTTTGCCTTGTTTCTGATTTTAGGGAGATAAGTATTCAGTCTTTCACCATTAAGTATTCTGTTACCTGTAGTTTTTTTCTTGATTCCTTTATCTGGTTGAGGATGTTCCCTTTTATTCCTAGTTTGCTAAGGATTTTTATCATCAAAGGGTATTGAATTTTGTCAGGTGCTTTAATCTGCATCTTTTTAGGTGATCCTGTGATTTTCCACTGTTCTGTTATTGTATGAATTATATTAATTGACTTTTGCATTTTAAACCAACTTTGTATTCTTGGGATAAACTCCACTTGGTCACAATGTGTGACTCCTTTTGTATATGGCAGCATTTGACTTACTAATATCTTGTTAAGGATTTTAAGGCATAGTGCTCTTTATTTTTCTTGTAATATATTTGATCTTTTTTGCGTAAGGGAAATGCAAGCCTCGTAAAAAAAATTGGGAGTATATCCTTCTTTTCTGTTTTCCGAAAGTTTGGGTCGATTGCATTGACCAGTGAAGCTATCTGCACCTAGGGTTTTGTTTTTGGGAATGTTTTCAATTAAACATTGAATTTCTTTAGTAGATATAGGGCTGTTTAGATTTTTTTTCTGTCAGATTTGATAAATTGTGATTTGCAAGGACTTTGTCAATTTCAGTCTGTGGTGTTGAATTAATTGACAGAGTTGTTCGTAATAGTCCTATACTGTTTAGATAATGACAGGATTTGTGATAGTGTTTCCTCTTTCACTGGCAATTCACATTTTCTCTTTTCAATAAATTTTCAGTTGATTTTCATTTTGTGTCACTGATTATTTTCTATTTTGTTTTTCTTTGTTTTGTTTTGTTTTTTGTTTTTGACCCAGAGTCTCGTTCTGTCACCCAGACTGGAGTGCAGTGGCACGATCTTGGCTCACTACAACCTCCACCTTCTGGGTTCAAATAATTCTCCTGCCTCAGCCTCCTGAGTAGCTGGGATTATAGGCACGCACCACCATGCCCAGCTAATTTTTGTATTTTTTAGTAGAGGGGAGTTTCGCCATGTTGACCATGCTGGTTTCGAACTCCTGACCTTAGGTGATCTGCCCACCCCCGGAAGTGCTGGGATTGCAGGCATGAGCCACCGCGCCCAGCCTATTTTGTTCATTTTTTGTTTAATTGATTTCTGCTCTTATTTTTTCCCTTTTTTGAATTCAGTTTGTCCCTCTTTCTAGTTTTATGTGGAAGCTTAGGTTATTATTTGTAATCTTTCTTCTTTTCTACTACTAATATTAAACACTATAAGTTTCCCTCTATGCACTGCATTAGCTGTATACTACAAATGTTGATATCTTTTATTTTTATTAGCATTTAGTTCTAAATGTTTTCTAATTTCCCCTGGATTTCTTTGACTCATTCTGCCTGTCTTAACTGGGGTTTCCTTGGAGGATTGATCTCTAATGCCTAAGGCTGTTAGTCACTCTATTCTCTCCTGTGCTTGTGCTGTATTATGGTACTATTTATATAACATTTTTAGGAGAACTGAGAAAGTAGTCACTCAAATTATTTTTGGCCATCCATGGTTCATATAAGGAACCCTTTTGGGGAAAGGCTATGTGGGTTATTTAAAAGTTGGTTATTTCATTTCTAAATATGTTGGCATATTATAGGCTTCCCATTTAATTATGTGTGGTCAGAGAATGTACTGTACTCTTAATTTTAGTTTTTAAAAATGTATTGAAGCTTGTTTTATGCCCCAGAATATGGTTTATTTTGTTGAATGAGTTTTTTATGGGCATTAGAAAAGAATATGTTCTCTGAAGTTGTTGTGTTGAATGTTCCATAAATGACCAATAAGTTAATAATGTTCAAGTTTTTTTTTTTTTTTTTTTTTTTTGAGACGGAGTCTCGCTGTGTCGCCCAGGCTGGAGTGCAGTGGCCCGATCTCTGCTCACTGCAAGCTCCGCCTCCCGGGCTCACGCCATTCTCCTGCCTCAGCCTCCGGAGTAGCTGGGACTACAGGCGCCCACCACCACGCCTGGAGAATTTTTTTGTATTTTTAGTGGAAACGGGGTTTCACCGTGTTAGCCAGGATGGTCTCGATCTCCTGACCTCGTGATCCACCTGCCTCGGCCTCCCAAAGTGCTGGGATTACAGGCGTGAGCCACTGTGCCCGGCCTCAAGTTTTTTTAATACCCTTACTGATTTTTCTGTCTACTTGTTTTGCCAAATCTGAGAGAGGAATGTTGAAATCTCCAAAATATAATTGTAGAGAGTCCCATTCTTCCTTTCCGATTTGTCAGTTTTTGCTTCATGTATTTTGGAGCTTCCTCATGAGGTACATACACATTTAGAGTTACTATGTCTTCTTGCTGAATTAATCCTTTTATTGTTTCAAAATATTTCTCTTTGGCTTTGTTAATATTTGTTGTTTTGCTGAAGTGTACAGTATGTGAAATTGATAATAGCTCTACCAGCATTTCTATGATTAATGTTTGCATGGTATATCTTTCTCCATTCTTTTAACCTATCTCTGTCTTTATATTTAAAGTATGTTTCTTGTAGACAGCATGTCGATAGCTCTTGCCTTTTTATACAAACTGTCAATATCTGCCCTTTAATTAGTATATTTAATCCATTTTCACTTAGTATAATTAGCAATATTTTATATTTCATTCCACCATCTTGCTAATTGTTTCCCACTTCTCCCATTTGTTATGGCTTCTTTTTTCCCTTTGTTCATGCCTTTTATTAGGTTGAGTTTTTTATTTGTTTTTCATATATCTTTAATCTGACTTTACTTTTATTTAAATTGACAAATATTATATATATTTTTGGTGTACAACATGATATTTGAAATATGTATACATTGTGAAATGGCTACATTGAGCTAATTAACATATGTATTACCTCATATACTTATGTTTATTTGTGGTGAGATCACTTAAAAATCTACTCTCTTGGCTGGGCACGGTGGCTCATGCCTGTAATCCTAGCACTTTGGGAGGCTGAGGTGGGTGGATCGCCTGAGGTCAGGAGTTCAAAATAAGCCTGGCCAACATGGCGAAACCCTGTCTCCACTAAAAATACAAAAATTAGCCAGGCTTGGTGGCAGGCTCCTGTAATCCCAGCTATTCGGGAGGCTGAGGCTGGAGAATCACTTGAACCCCGTGGGGTGGAGGTTGCAGTCAGCCGAGATCACGCCCCTTCACTCCAGCCTGGGGGTAAGAGTGAAACTCTGTCTTGGGGGAAAAAAAAATCTATTCTCTTAGCAAATTTCAAGTGTACAGTACATTGTTATTAACTCTAGTTACCATGCTGTAAATAGATCTCTTGAACTTCTTCTTCTTCTTAACTGAAAATTTCTGTCCTTTGACCAACATCTTTCTGGTCCACCCTCCTGACCCCTCACCTTCCCTGTCAATCCCTGGTAACCACCATTTTACTCACTGCTTCTATGAATTCAGCTTTTTTAGATTCTACATATAAGTGACATCATGCAGTGCTTGCATTTCTGTGCCTGGCTTGTTTCATTGAGCACAGTGTTCTCCAGGTTCCTCCATGTTGTTGCAAGAGACAAGATTTCTTTCTATCTTTCCCTCCCTCCCTGCCTGCCTCCCTTTCTCTTTATCTCTCTCTCTCTCTCTCTCTCTCTCTCTCACTTTCTTTCTCTCTCTCTCTTTCTTTCTGTTCTATTGTGTATATAGGCCACATTTTTCTTATCCATTCATCCATTGATGGATACTCCGGTTTATTCCGTATCTTGGTGGTTGTGAACAATGGTGCCGTGAACATGGGTGGGAGTGCAGATATTCCTTCAGTATGACTGATTTCATTTTCTTTGAATATGTGTCCAGAAGTGGGATTGCTGGATCATATGGTAGTTCTGTTTTCAATTTTTTGAGGAACCTCTGTACTGTTTTCCATAATGGCTATATTAATTTACCTTCCTACTAATAGTGTACAGGTGTTTCCTTTTCTCCACATCCTTACCAATCCTTGCTATCTTTTGTCTTTTTCTTCATAGCTGTTCAAACCCCTGAATGGTAGTGTCTCACTGTGGTTTTAATTTGCATTTCTCTAATTATTAGTGATGTTGAGCATTTTTTCCACATCCATTGGCCATGTGTATGTTTTCTTTGGAGAAATGTCTATTCAGGTCCTTAGCCCATTTTTTTAAAAAAATCAGGTTGTTTTCTTGCCACTAAGATTTTTATGTGTTTTTGGCATTAACCCCTAATCAGATATATGTTTAAAAATATTTTCTCCCATTTCATAGATTTATCTCCTCACTCTGTTGATTGTTTCCTTGGCTGTATAAAAGCTTGTTAGCTTGATGTAATCCCATTCATCTATTTTTACTTTTGTTATTTGAGCTTTTGGAGTCATATCCAAAAATTCATTGCCCAACCAGTGTCATGGAGCTTTTCCCCTGTATTTTCTTCTAGTAGTTTTGCAGTTTCAGTGCTTATGTTTAAGTCTTTAATCCATTGTGAGTTGAGTTTTGTATTTGTTGTGAGATAGGATGTAATTGCATTTTTTTGCATGTCAGTATCTAGTTCTCCCAGCACTACTTATTGAAATTACTGTTCTTTTCACATTGTGTTCTTGGCATCTTTGTCAAAAATCAATTGACCATAAAATGGGTAGATTGATTTCTGGGTTCTTTATTCTGTTCCATTGGTCTGTGTTTTTTTGCTAGTGTCATGCAGTTTTGGTTATTACTGCTTTGTTTTTTAAATTTTTTATTTTGCTAAAAAATTTTTTTTAGAAATGGTCTTACTCTGTCACCCAGGCTGGAGTGCAGTGGCATGACCATGGCTCACTGTAGCCTGGGCACAAGCGATCCTCTCACCTCAGCCTTCTGAGTAGCTGCAACTATAGGCTGTGTGCCACCACACTTGGCTAAATTTTAATTCTTTAAATTTTTTTATTGTAGAGGTGGTGTCTTGCTTTCTTGCCCATGCTGGTCTTTAACTCCTAGCTTCAAGCTATCCTCCCACCTTGACCTCCCAAAGTGCTGGGATTACAAGCATGAGCCACCCTGCCTGGGCTGCTTTGTAGTATATTTTGAAATCAGGTAGTGTGATGCATTCAGCTTTGTACTTTTTGCTGAAGATTGGTTTGGCCATTCTTTTGTGAGTATTTTTACTCACAAAAAAAGTATTTTGTGAGTATTTTTAGTATTCCTTTTTGTCCCTTTTATTGGTGTATTACCTGTTTTTATTATTTTATTTGTGATTGTTCTAGTGCTTGTAATATATATGTGTTAGCTAATAATTGTTGTCACATATAATACCACTTCCCGAAAATATTAAGAACCTTACGACAGTATATTTCATTCCTTCTCTTATGTCTCTGGTCTGAATATTGTCATGTATCTTATTTCTACCTATGTTGTGAATCGCCAGAATAGATTCTTATTATTTAAAGATATTTTCTTAAATGAGGAAAAAGAAGATATCCATTTTATGCCATTTCTAGTGCTCTTTATTACTTTGGGTGGATCCAGTTTTATTAGGTATCATTTTCTATCCACTTGAAGAATTTACTTTAAAAAAATTTTTTATAGTGCTTGTCTGCTGGCAACAAATTCCTTCAGATTTTGTTTGAGAATATCTATTTTCCCTTATTTTTGAAGCATATTTTTACTGCATATTGAAAACTTTGTTGAAAGAAAGATTGTTTTTCTTTTCTTTTCTTTTCTTTTTTTTTTTTTTTTTTTTTGACGGAGTCTCACTTTGTCGCCCAGGCTGGACTGCAATGACGTGATCTCGGCTCACTGCAAGCTCCGCCTCTCGGGTTCACGCCATTCTCCCGCCTCAGCCTCTTGAGTAGCTGGGACTACAGGAGCCCGCCACCACGCCTGGCTAATTTTGTTTTTGTATTTTTAGTAGAGACGGGTTTTCACTGTGTTACCAGGATGGTCTCAGTGACCTGACCTCGTGATCGCCCGCCTGTGCCTCCCAAAGTGCTGGTATTACAGGCGTGAGCCACCGCGCCCGTACAAGATTGTTTATCTTTTAGCACTTTAAAGGTCTTTTTCATGTGATTTCTGGTTTTCCTTCTTTTGAATAAGAAGTCAGCAGTCATTCTTATCTTCCTTTCTGTGCACATGATGGTTTTTTCCCCCCCATGGCTGTTTTTAAGAGTTTTTTCATTGTTGTTGATTTTTAGTAGTTTCATTGTGATGTGCCTTGGTGCACTTTTCTTCGTGTTTTTCTTGAAGACTGTGGAACGTATTGGATTTGTAAGGTTATATTTTTCTATCCAATTTTGAGAATTTTCAGACATTATTTCTTTTTCTTTTTTTTTTTTTTTTTTTTTGAGACGGAGTCTCGCTCTGTCGCCCAGGCTGGAGTGCAGTGGCGTGATCTCGACTCACTGCAAGCTCCGCCTCCTGGGTTCACACCATTCTCCCTGCCTCAGCCTCCCGAGTAGCTGGGACTACAGGCATCAGCCACCAAGCCCGGCTAATTTTTTCGTATTTTTAGTAGAGACGGGGTTTCACCATGTTAGCCAGGATGGTCTCGATCTCCTGACCTCGTGATCCGCCCGCCTGGGCCTCCCAAAGTGCTGGGATTACAGGTGTGAGCCATCGCGCCCAGCCCACATTATTTCTTTAAATGTTTTTTCTACCCTCCTTCTCTCTTTCTGGAATTCCAGTTACACGTTTTTAGATATTTTGATATTGTCCTAAAAATAACATTGCCTCTGTACATCTTTTTTCAGCTGTTTTTCTCTTTATTGTTTAGTTTTGCCATTTGTTATTATAATTTAGTTCAAGACACAAAGATGAGGGTTTGGAGAAACTGAGGCATTTTCTACTAAAAAGTAGGGGCAGAAAACTGGGAAAGGGAAAACTGGGAAAAGAAGTGTTGGGGAGCTGTAAACTAAACAAACATAGAAACTCCCACAGGGTTGGTTGAGAAACATCAAGATCTAACCAACCAGAGGAAATAAGCCTATAGTTTTGCTATTTATATTTGCTATTATAAATTCTACTGCTATCTTGATGTTCACTGATCTTTTTTTGTGCAATGTCTAAATTAACTGTGACAGATCATCCAGTGAATTTTTATTTCAAATATTGTATTTTTCAGCTCTAGAAATTCTATTTGATCTTTCAGTTTTATAGACTTCATTTCTCTCATTGTTTCACATTTTCTTTAAATCATTGAGCACTTGCAAAAGGACTGTCTTAAAGTTATTGTTTGCTAATTCTACATCTGTTTCTGTTTACCTTTTTCCCTCCTAATTATGAGACACCTTTTCTTGCTCCTTTGCAAGTCTACTGATTTTTATTAGATGCTGGATGTTGTGATATTATATTGTTGAATGTCTGGATTGTATTGTCCTCTTTTAAAGAGTATTTATATTTGGCTGTAAGGTTACTTGAAAATCAGCTTTATCCTTTTAAGGCTTGTTTTGAAGCATTGTTAGATCATCTTTCTAGTAGTCTGTACTCTAAAGTTAGAATAGCCCTACTGGTATGTGTAGCCTTTCTGGATTTTCTGCTAAATACCTATGTGTTCAATGAAATCTCTCTCCTCTGGCTGGTTAGATTTTGATATTTCTCCACCAATCTTTTGGAGTTTCTATAATTGTTTAGTTTACAGCTCCTCAATAGTTCTTTTCCCAATTCTCCCTAGTTTTCTGCCCCCACGTTTTAGCTGCATTAATTTCTCTAAACTCTGATCTTTTTCTCCTGAACTAAGTAAGACTTCAGTTCTGTGCCTTTTTTTTTTTTTTTTTTTTTTTTTTTTTAATCCTGTTCCTGCCTTGGGTTTGGTAAATACTGCTAGGTTTGACAGAAAGATGGGAAGGAGTAGGACTGACTTCATCGTTTCTTTTCAGTGGGTCATACTCTTTTATGCCTGTTCATTGTCTGAAAAGAGGTGGGAAGTCTTTCCAAGTCCCAATTGCTCTGTTGTGCCTATAAGCCACATCGTACTGTATTTGAACTACTGATTGGTGGAGAGAATTATGCTAAAGTAGACCTACTGTGCTGTGGCAAATTTGCAGTGAAAAATCTTTCATGGCTAATAAAGTGCCACATCTTAGTCTTTGTAGCCCTTTCTGTTTAGTTGTGAAGTCATTTCATTTTGTGTAATATGTACTCAATAGAAATAGTGTCAGTGCAGTGCCATTGTAGATGCTTTTGCCACAGATGACTGCCAGATAGTGTCCATGTTTGTATAGCAGCATCTAATATGTTTATGTTTCACAGTATGTCTTAAGGAAACCTAAACATTTTTAGTGAGAAAGCCTGAAAATTGCTCCAAGCAGCTTATGTTTAGAAAAGTGAATACATTTTAAAGCAATTTAAAATAAACTGTTTCAGGTTATTCCTAATGGCAATTACTATATTATTAGCTCTTTAGGAATGACATGGAAAACTTAATTACAAAATCTCATAGAAAACTTGGAAAACATAAAAAGGTTCAAAGAGAATTATAAGCCTGTGTTAGAAAAATTAATGGTGTTATATTTTGATACATTTCCTTTCAGTTCATTCTCTGTGCAAATACAGATATATACACATTTTTAATATATTGGGACTGTATTATTTAAAAATATTTGTTTCTTGCTTTTTTTCCTCACGCACTGTTTACATTTTCCTGTAGTTTTTTTTTCTATTTTATTAATTTTTCTGAAAATCATTATTTTGGTGATTGTATAATATTCTAGCTTGGGAATATAACTTACTGTGCATTTGTGTTGTTGCATAACTGGGTTATTTCCAATTTCCCTATAGTAAAAAAAGTTTATAGATACCCTTTAGCCATTTTGCTAATGAGATGTGACTTTATTTTTCTAGAGAATTTTTGTATATTGATGTGAATCTTTGTCAAGTGTGATAAACATTTTTTTTCTGACTGTTATTTACATTTTTTGGTTTGGGATATTTTTTGCATACATTTTAAATAAATGTGTCTTTTCTTATTCTTTGTGACTTTTTATGTCTTTTGTTCTCCTGTAATTCAGGTAATATTACTCTATATGGCATTTTATTTAGTCTTGCTAGAATTTATTTTAAAATTTATATTGTAATACATGCAGTATTGTGATGAGATTAAGAATCTCCCCCCCCCCCCGCCCATACTGTTTAAGCAGGTGATTAATTCATAAAGCTATACCTTTTTTATTCTGGGTATCTAAGTTCAGCCTTTGTTGGAAAGGAGAGAGTGAACATAGTGGTGATTGAGGTGGAGGCATCTGAAAGGTGGAGGGAAATGACTGATTACAAGAGTACAGGGATCTGGTTCTTCAGTGCCTAGCACAGTATTGAGAAATTACAGGTTTTTTGATAAGCATTTGTTTAATAACTGACAGAAAGGATGGGAAAGAAGAATTCTGATTTTTTATGTGACTTATAAATTGGCAGTTTTTGAATATCAACAAAAACTAATGGCATTTAGAATGACTAAATGCCTTTCAGTCAAGATAGGTTATTATAATCTTTATATAATAAACTACTTTCATAATGGAGTTATTAATTTTAATCTTTTAAGCAGTGGTTTAACCTTCACCTGGTATTAGTATCACCTGGGGAGCTATAAAAAATCCCTATGCCCAGGCCACTCCCCAAAACTATTAAATCATAGTATCTGAGAACGTGGCCCAGGCTTAGTTTTGTTGTTGTTGTTTTAAAGAGACAGGATCTTACTATGTTACTCAGGCTCGTCTTACACTTTTGGGCTTAAATGATCCTCCTGCCTTAACCTTCCAAGTACCTTGGACTGTAAGTATGTACCCCGATGACAATTTTTATTTATTTATTGATAATTCTAGTGTGCAGCTAAAGTAGAGAACCACTGTTCTGAGACAAAGAGGATTTAAAGCAATGTGCCTGAAAACTCTCCAAGAGAGTAAAGATTTATTTACTAAATACTGAATGGAAGCAGACATTTGAATTGCCTGGTACTTTATAAAAAATTTCAGATGGGGAGATTTATGGTCTGTCATGGTAGACTTTTTCAATATTTAAGAAATTTAGACAAAATGTTTCCTCCTGTATAATTTTATTTTGTAATCTAAATCCATTTTGTTCCATAATCAGTGTTTATAGAGACAAAAGCTCTTCTGTGTTTCCTTTTTTGCTTGTATCTGTAAAACAGAATTCACATGAAATTTGAGCTGGATAAAAAATATAAGAAAATCTCTGTTAGAATAAGAGCACTTTTAGCATTTAATGTCTTTCTAGTTTCAGAAAGGACATATACTAATGTAATATTCATTTAACAAATGTTTATTGACTGCCCTCTAGGTGTCCTGCACTGTTCTTGGTTCAAACTACAACAAAAAGACAGATGAAGTTATTACTCATATTGAGCTTTCGTTGTCGTTGGAAAGACTGACAACTACAATACTTGGATAAGAAAATAAATACTACAGTTTTATATAGTCATTAGTACTACTAAATAATAAAGCCAGGATAATGGGGCAGACCGTGACTGAGGGGAGGAGGTATTCATAAGGACTTAGGAGTGACACATTTAAGCAAAGACCTGAATGTTGAGAAGCAGCTAGCCATTTGAAGATCTTCATGAATTCCAGGTAGAAGGAACTGTAATTGTTAAATTTCTGAGGTATGCCTCTACAGTTGATGTTTTGAAGGCAATTGAGAGAAGATGAAATTAATAGGGGTACTCTATATAAAGTAATGGGAAATTGAGACAATGTTTTTCTCAGCTAAATTCTTGCTGGGAGGTTGATGAATGAAAGGTGCTTGGCATCTCGCCTTTCTCTTTGTCTTTCTGGCTGGCTTTTTTTCCCTCCTTTTTTGTTCTTTTACTTTCCTTGTTTTCCCCTTCCCTCCTCCCAACACACACACACACACACACACACACACACACACACAGCCAAACTGTATGTTTTCGCAGCCTGTTAGGGTAGCAGTTCTGATTAGCCATGAAGAAAGGCTCAGGGCACTCATGGAGATGACTTTTATAACAGTAACATGATTGCTGATGTCTTGTCTTCATAATCTTGAGGTATAATTTGAGCCCATGACTAGAATGAAATGTATTGGGAAGAGTGGGAAAATTTAGAATTTTAGCATACTATAGAAGTTTTCTCTTGAATTTGTTCCCAAAGAGTAGTTTAAGTTTTTGATGCTATACTCTTCAAACTCTTGAATATCTTTTTATGTGTTACAAGTTTTACGTCACCTTCCTTACCCAGAATATTTAACCTTCACAATTCCTGACATTTGTAGTTTATTTTGTTTGGGCTCATCTAATTTATCATACAATTCATGGGAGAATGTCTTTGAGTATCATTAAGGGAAAGGATAGCTTTGATTTTGTTGGGATCTGTGGTGGGGGCCAGATGTCCAGTGAAAGGAATATTTATAATTTTGATTTAATCTCCTTTGTGACTTTGGGCAAAGCTGTAGTATAGTAAGAGTAAGTTATCTTTTAATTTTTTTCTTTTTGCTCTCATACTAGACTGTTTATACTAAGAATTCTTGAAATAGTAATGTTGAGTCATGACTAATAACATTTAATTTTTCTTTCTCCTTTTACAAAATTATGGGTTTTGGATGAAATTTTGCATATACATATTTCATTCATTTTGCCAGCATACCATATAGACAAGTTACCCAAATTTCTTGGAGATTTTTGAGTGTCAAGTAGACCTATCCTTATATAACCTAATTCTTTATCAAGTGAAACACAGAGCCATTGGGTATACAAATTTGTTAAGTATACTTTGCAGTATACCAAATTTTTCATTTTCGTTGAGAAACTAAATTTGTTTGGATAATTTAAAAGTCTCATTATATAGTCTTAAATATTTATATTGCCAATTAAATGATGATTATTTTATCACTAGGTAATGGGTCAAAGTCAGTGATATTTTAGTAAAACTATTCTGTATTTAATGCTTCTATAATGTGAATACTTGCAGACAATTAGCAGGTAGATGGAGTAGCCACATGTTTTAATTTGTTTGGGACAATTCTAGTATATACCTATTTTCCTGGCATAATTTTTTTAAAAAGTTTTTAGATTGTATGTATGGAGACTCTAAAGTTAGAGGAATGATGGTGGTTTAAATCTGAAGTTACAATCATTTATACATAGTTTTCCTGAATATTTATAAGTTTTGTAGCACCAAATGAAATCAACTGAATATAAAGTATACTAACATAGTTGAATACAAGCCAAAAACATATATTTAATACAATGTTCATTTACCTGAATTTCTTCAGTTTAGCTCAATGTTCTCTCTTGAAAGTACGTTTTCGTTTTTGTTTTTTTGAGATAGGCTCTTGCTCTGTTGCCCAACCTCGAGTGCAGTGGTTGATCACAGCTCATTGCAGCCTCAAACTCCTGGGCACAGTCCCCTGAGTAGCTGGGACTATAGGAGCATGCTCGTATGCCCGGCTGATTAAAAAAAAAATTTTTTTAATAGAGATGGGTCTTGCTATGTTGCTCAAGCTAGTCTCAAACTTCTGGCCTCAAGTTTATCCTTCCACCTCAGCTTCCCAAAGTGCAGGGATTACAGACATGAGCCATGGCACCTGGCCTTGAAAGTGCTTTTTACAGGATTCTCTTCTTTTAAAAGTGAAGACTTGGAATTTAATATGTCTTAAGTGTGCTAGTATTTGTATTACAATTGCTGTTTCTTTCTCTCAGAGTTCTGACTACAGAGTTGCGTAAGTATTGAGTAGAATGTCCCCAGCTCTGTTTTCTCCCTAAACTATATTATTTTAATGTGGTGTTTTACAGATTGGGAGGTTTATCACATTGCATTTATTGCATGATAGCACAGTTATCTGTATTGCTGTAAACATCACATAAGCCTTGATTTTCATAATGCAGACAGTATTCTCTATATGGCTGTAGGAATATAAGACTTCAGTGGTGTTTGCATAGTAACTCCTTTTTCACCTTCTACTACAAGAGCCCCTCTTGTAGCTGGGGAGTGCACCCACAAGATCTAACAGCTGTTTCAGAGCTGCTCATTTTAGAGTGATTGGTAGGGAGTTGGTGGCTCAGAGGTCCTAATCAGAATGTGTCCTGGGTTCTGAATGACTAGCAGACTATCATTAACCAAATAAATTATGGGATTTTGTCTTAATTATATACATATACATATACACACACATACACATACACATACATGTGTATATATTCCCTAAAACTTAATAAAGCTCAAATAATAAAATCAGATTTCTTAAGTATTCCAATTCCCTTTAAAATGTAAATCAGATTTTATAATTCTTTTGTTCAAAACTGTCCATTGGCTCCCATTTCACTTAAATCAAAAGCTAGTTTTTACAATAAGCTAAGATAGCAAACATTATTATCTATTTACTTATGAGTTACTTATGTAACTCAGCATCCAATAACACTGTAGGTGCTCAATAAAATAGTTGCTGAATGGATAACTTTCACTATTTGGATGAGATCCAACAGAAAAGAATACTCTTAGCTTGACAAACAATGGTAAACAGAAGTAACATTAGAACACTAGATCCTTGCTCACTTAAAATCAGACATAAGTATATGTTTGTGTGTGTGTGTAAATATAAACGTATATATGTATATAAACATACACATACGTGTATATATGGTACATATTTGAATTAAATGAAATATATCAGAATTTGTGGTACACGATTAAAGCTTAGGTCAGAAAAGAAGAAAGTTTTCAAATCAGCGATATAATAATTTCCAACTTAAGAAACTAGAAGAGCAAATTGAACCAAAGCAGGCAGAATGGAAGAAAGAATAAGATAAGAAAATCAATGAAATTAAAAGCAACAGAAACTAAGGCCAGGTGCAGTGGCTCATGCCTGTAATCCCAACACTTCGGGAGGCCGAGGTGGGCAGGTCACGTGAGGTCAGGAGTTTGAGACCAGCCTAACCATCATGGCAAAACCATCTCTACTAAAAATACAAAAATAAGCTGGGCATGGTGGCAGGCACCAGTAATCCCAGCTACTCGGGAGACTGAGGCAGAAGAATCACTCTGGGAGGCAGAGGCTGTAGTGAGCTGAGATTGCCACTGCACTCTAGCCTGGGCTACAGAGTGAGACTCCATCTCAAAAAAAAAAAAAAAAAAAAGAAACATGGTTCTTCGAAAGAATCATTAAATCTGCTAAAGCTCTAATCATACTAACAGAGGGAGAGAACATACAAATTATTAACACTGGCAGTGAAAAAATGTAATGTTGCCTCCCATCCCACCCATATACACTAAAAGGCTAACAGGGACTAATATCTGTTAGAGAAATTGTATTTCACATGAAAAATTCTTCAGCAGGCTGGGCACGGTGGCTCATGCCTGTAATCCCAGCACTTTGGGAGGCCAAGGTGGGCAGATCACGAGGTCAGGGGATTGAGACCATCCTGGCCAACATGGTGAAACCCCCTGTCTACTAAAAATGCAAAAATTAGCTGGGTGTGGTGGTATGCGCCTGTAGTCTCAGCTACTCGGGAGGCTGAAGCAGGAGAATAGCTTGAACCCGGGAGGCAGAGGTTGCAGTGAGCCGAGATTGTACCACTGCACGCCAGCCTGGTGACAGAGTGAGACTCTGTCTCAAAGAAAAAAAAAATCTTCAGCAAAGAAAACTCTTAAGTCTACATGACTTCGTGCACATATTACATGATATGTTAAAGGTAAAAATAATACTAATTCTTCACAAACTTTTACAGAAAATATATGATGAGGGATTACATTTCCACTCACATTATGAGACCAGCATTACCCTGATACCAAGACCAAGCAAAGATATTATAAGAAAAGAAAATTAAAACCAATATATATCATGAACATAGATAAAAAATCCTAATAGAATATTAGCAAACAGTCCAACAATATGTAAACAAGATAGCTCATCACCAAATGGTGTGTATCCTAGGAATATAAAGTTGGTTTAAATTGTTTAACGTTTACTGATCCATCAATGTAATTCACTATCAGCACACTCAAGAAAAAAAATTATAATCACAGTAGATACAGAAAAGGAACTTGACAAAATTCATCATCCACTGATAACAAAAAATTCTTAGCAAACTAGGAATATAAGAGAGTTACAATAATTAATCAGTGAGTTTAGCAACGTTTTCCATTCCTATATATTAGAAATGAACATTTGGAAAATGAAATTTTAAAAACGCACCAATTCTAATTGCACCAAAAAACATGAAACACTTAGGCATATATCTAATAAAGTATGTATGTAGTTTTTGTGCTGAAAACTAAAAAAAACAGTTAATGAGAGAAATAAAAAATGACCTAAATACATGAAAAAATATGTAGTATCTAGGCTTATGATTTATTTCAGGTTAATTTTTGCCTATGGTGGAAGGAGTAGGTTAAAGTCCCAAGCAATAGGTTGATAGCCAGATGTTTCAGCTGTATTACAGTATATGATATATACTACAATGTATAGTATATATATTTCCATGTATTTTTAAAAGTCAATACTGTTAAATGTAAATTCCCCCGAAAACAAGAGTATCAATGCAATCCCAATCAAAATCCCACCAGATCCTCTCCTTTTTTTAATTTACAAGCTTTTTAGTATCTATATAGAAAAGGCCCTATAATAACCAAAACGGTTTTGAAAAGCAAGAACTAAGTTGGAGAATTTAAAGATTTATTATAAAGCTAATCAAAACAGTGTGGCACATATATTAATGGATCAGAATAGTCTAGGGAAGATACATAATACTTGACAGAGATGCCAAGGCAATTCAATAGAGAAAATGTAGTCTTCTCAACAAATGATGCTGAAACGTTTGACTGTCAACCTATGTTTTGGAACTTCAACCTATTCCTTGGCACTATGTGCAAAAATTATCCTGACATTAATCATATGCCTCAATGTAAACAATGCAACTTCTAGAAGAGAACATAGAAAATCTGTGACTTTGGGTTAGATAGAAGTATTTTATATATGGCAAAAAACCACAAACATAAAATAACCCCCGATAATTTGGATTTCATTGAAATTAAAAACTTTTGTTCTTCAGAAGATACTAAAAAGAAAATAAAAAGACAAACTACTGGCTTGCAGAAAATATTTGCAAGCCATGTGTTTGATAAAGGACTTGTTTGGTATATATTAAGAATTCTCACAAATCAATATTGAGAAAACCCAATAAAAAGATGATTTTTTTGTTGTTGTTTTTGAGACAAGGTTTCACTCTGTCACCCAGGCTAGAGTGCAGTGTCGCAATCATGGGTCACTGCAGCCTCAACCTCCTGGGCTCAAAGGATCCTCCTGCCCCAGCCCCGAGTACTTGGGACCACAGGTGTGCACCACCACGCCTGGCTAGTTTTTGTATTTTTTGTGGAGATGGGATTTTGCCACGTTGACCAGGGCTGTTGCAGAACTCCTAGGCTCAAGCAATCAGCCCACCTTGACCTCCCAAAGTGCTCCAATTGCAGATGTGAGCCTCAGGGACCCAGCCAGGAAAAGGTTTTAACAGATACTTTATTGAAGATTTGCTGATGGCAAATAAACACAAGATAAAGGTGTTCAACACCATTAATTAGCCATTAGGGAAAAGCAGAGTAAAACTACAAAGGGGGGAAAAGCCAGAAGATACCAAAAGCTAGTGAGAATATGTAGCAACTGGAACTTTCATATATTGCAGGTAGGAATGTATAGTGGTGTCACGTAAAAGTCTGGCAGTATTTTATAAATTTAAACATACACTTCTCATATGACCTGTCCTCCTCTTATGTACGTATTTAAGAGAAGTGAAACCATGCCTGCATAAAGTAGTGTATTTAAATGTTCATTAGCTGGTGAATAACCAAACAAATTGTGATACATCCATATGATGAAGTACTGTTCACCATTAAAAAGAAATGAACTGATGCATGCTACAACATTTATGAATCTCACAAGCATTATGTGTTTGAGAAAGAAGCTACATTCAGAAACCTGTGATTCCATTCATTCTGGAAAGGAAAAAATGAAAGTAACAGAAAAGTCATGATTGTTAGAGGCAAAAGGTAGTGGTACATGATTGCCTACAAATGGACAGGACAAATTTTTGAGTGTTAAAATACTGTGTATCTTAATTGTAGATTATATATTTTTCAAAATTCGTAGATTTGTACCACGAAAAAAGGGTGAATTTTACTCTAAAGTATACTTCAATAAACCTGATTTTCAAAAGGAAGGAAAAAGAATTAAAAGAAAAAGAATTAAAAGAAGAGAACATAATATGTTCCTGATTTTACTTATCTTGAGAAAACGAGCAGTTGCTTTAACTAATTCTTACAATATTTTATTTTGTTGCCAAAACTTTTTCTTTCATTTAAAAAGAATGAGGTTGCATATGCATACTTTCAGATGAGTTACATGTACCAGCAAGTTAATCCTATATATCTCAAGACAATACAAATTGTTATGATAGCTCTTTCAGAATTTATTCTAGAAATATGTAAATGGTTGGGTGATTCTTTATATTTTTGTTTGAAAGTCTAAAGAAGTTGTTTTTTCTCATTAATTGTTTGCTAAAAATCACGGTAGAAAACTGCATTTTTTTTTTAAGGTAAGCAATATAGAAGGGTATGGAGTAAGTAAAAAGGTACAATTCTCTCTTTGATTTCATTCTTTGATTACCACTGTTAATAACTTGGGTTTACCCATCTTGAAATTTTTTGTGTACATTCTTGCACATGTGTATATGCTTTATTTTGCTTTTTAAGTCAACTTAAATAGGTACATACCATGTTTTTGTTTTTGTTTTTGTTTTTTTTGCTTCAGGCTGCTTTTTTCCACCTAACAATGTGAAGATCATTCTGCATCAATATTAATGTATCCATTTGGTAAATATTTTTTAAGTAGTTAATGTTTAAGGCACTATTCTAGATACAGGGGATAGAGCAAGGAACAAAATAGGTTCTTTGTCCAAGTGAACTTATATTCAAGTGAGAGGAAGACAATAAATTGGGGGGAAATGTCACTATTAATAAGTTCATGAAGATAAATAATGTAGGCAAAAGAGATGAGAGGTGATGGGACAAAATGAGCAGCACAGATAGTTGTGGTTTAGGCCTTTATGTGTAAATCTGCTTTATTCTTAAGGTAGCTATTATTCCATATATAATTTATTTAACCATAGTATTGATGGATATATGGGTTATTTATAGTCTTTCCTGTTAAAATAAAAAGAACTTCCATATACGTAGTTGGTTGCTTACATGTGCAAGTATTTTTATACTAAATTTCTAGAAAGAAAATTGTATTTTTAAATGTTGATTTTAGATTCTGAAAAATTATCCTTGAAAACATTAGATATTATCTGTCAATGGATGAAAAATATTTTATTTTAATTTATATTGCCTGATTCCCAGTGAAACTGGGCATTCGTATTTATCCTATGAATTGCCTACTCTGTAATATTTTGCCCATTGTGGTGTTTGTCTTTTTCTTACTAAAATTTAAAAATTTCTTTATAATCCTCTTTTTAATATGTACATTATATTTGTAATATTTTCTCCTAGCCTGTCAGTTTTTTTATTTTATGGCATCTTTGAATTTTTATTCTCATACTGTCCACATTTATTAGTCTTTTGTTTCCTAGTTTCTAGGTTTTGTGTCTTTCCAGAAAAGCTTTCTTGTCTACAAAATTATAGCAACAACATAATCTCTTATATTTTCTTCTACTACTTAGTTTTATTTATGTTTCTAGTAGATTTTCCTTTACATCTGGAGATACACACACACACACACACACACACACACACACACACACACACACATATATATTTTTTGGTAGGGGCCTATTTTTTCCAGCTTCATAGCTGTTCTCCCAAAATAGTTTGTTGAGCAGTATGTCTTTTTCCTACTGACTTGAAATCTTACCTTTATCACACTTTATAAGTCCCATATATATATGTTCTGGATTCAATACTCCACTGTTTTGGTTATTGTCATTTTATATTATATTTGACATCTGGTAGGGCATCCCTCCCCATTGTCTTTTTCAACAAATTTTTTTGGCAATTCTTGTGTATTTTCTCTTCCAGATAAACTTTAGAATCAACATGTCAAGTTCCATTAAAAATCCCTTTGGGATTTTGATTGGAAGTGCATTGAATTTACAGATTAATTTGGGGAAAATTGACATCTTTACACTATTGAATCTTCCCATCCAGGAACATGGTATGCCTCTCCATTTCTTCAGGTGTTTTTTTTGTTTTTGTTTTTGTTTTGTCCTTTAGTAAAGTTTTACAGTTTTTTTCCTGTAGGTCTTACACTTTTCTTGTTAGGTGTATTCCTGGATTTTTTTTGTTTTTGTTGTTGTGAATTACATTTTTTTCTTCCATTTTACATTTTATTTTCTCATGGGTTATTGCTGGTATGTAGGAAGGCTATTGATTTTTATGTTGATCTTACCATTTACTTAGTTTTCAGTTGCTTCTCTTGAAGTTTCTAGAAGGATGGCTGTATTTTCTGCAAATGATAGCATTTTGTCATTTCCTTTTCCTTTTTCTGTATGTGTTTACACCCTTACAGGTTTTTTTTGTTTTTTTTTTGTTTTGTTTTTTTTTTTGGAGGACATTTGTTTTGTTTTTCTGGTCTTACTACATTGGTTAGGTTTCCAGAATAGTTCATTACTAGTTTTGATTTGGGTATCTTGTCCCCGATTTAAATGGGATGCTTCTAAGTTTTAAACTTCTACAATAATATATATCTTAGATTTCTAGTAGAATATTTATTTATTTATTTATTGAGACGGAATCTCATCCCATCACCCAGGCTGGGGTGCAGTGGCGCAATCTCAGCTCACTGCAGCCTCTGCCTCCCGGGTTCAAGTGATTCTCCTGCCTCAGCCTCCCAAGTAGCTGGGATTACAGGCACATGCCACCACACCTGTCTGATTTTTGTACTCTTAGTAGAGACAAGATTTCGCCATGTTAGCCAGGCTGGTCTCGAACTCCTGACCTCAGGTGATCTGCCAGCCTCAGCCTCCCAACATGCTAGGATTACAGGTGTAAGCCACCGCGCCCAGCCCCAGAATACTTTATAAAGAATAAAAGTTTTCTTTTTGGCTTAATAAGTATTTTAATGAAAATGGATATTGTCTTTAATCACGTACTTTTGTTGAGATGATACATATTCTTTTTTACCTGTAATACCTCAATGTGGTGATTGCATTAATGTTAGTCATAATGTGTTCTATTTTTAATATTTATTCAGCAGATACCTGTTTGGTTATTGCATTGTGTCAGGAACTATGTCACACACTGGTGTTAGCACTAAGTCTGAAAGGTTCATTTTTTTTTATGGAGAAGAAATAATAAGCAAGTATCCAAGAACAAGATAATTTCAGGCTGTGGTAGTATTATGGAGGAAATAAAGAGGATGGTGTGGTAGAAAGATAAGGAGAGAAACTCCGTTGATAGTATCATCTGAGTAAGTAAAACATAAGCTAAGACCTGAAGAACGAAAGGGTTGGGAAAAGCATTCCAGACAGCTGAGTGCGATGGCTCACGCCTGTAATGCCAGCACTTTGGGTGGCTGAGGGGGCGGAATGGTAGCCAGGCATGGTGGTGACCGCCTGTAGTCCCAGCTGCTCAGGAGGCTGAGGTGGGAAAATAGCTTGAACCCAGGAAATGGAGGTTGCAGTGAACCAAGATGGCGCCACTGCACTCCAACAGAGTGGGACTCCGTTTCAAAAAAAAAAAAAAAAAAAACATTCCAGGCAGAGGAATATCACCGTATATGTATGATTAATTTTATTTGTGTGTGTGTGAGATTTGTGACAGAGAAACAGAAAAAAGAAAGGATTATATTTCTTAGTGTTCTCTATTATCCCCTTTCTTGTAGTTGTCTTTTATACTACTACTAAATTTAATTTGCTATTGGGTTTTTGTTGTTGTTGTTGTTATCTCGTTTAGGTTTGTTAATTGGCTATCTATAATGAACTAGAGAGTTTTTCCATCTGTTTTCTGGGCCTTGTAAATAAAAAAGTAGTGCTCTATTCCTTAAATGTTATAATAATGCTATGTAATTTTGATAGAAGTTGCCTCTAAATTCATTTGGGTTTAGGTGCCGTTTTGAAGGGTTAGATTTATCTGTCATTGACGTTGCTTCAGTGGACATATTCTACTTAGGTTGTCTACCATTTCTTGAGTTAATTTTGATTATCTTTCTTTCTAGAAAACCATCCATTTTGTTTAAGACTTTTAGATTTATTGATTCATAGATGTGCTCAACTTTCTGACTTTAATAACTCCTTATATTTTTCTCTGTCTCTCATTTTTCATAATCATTCTCGCCAAAGGCTTATATCCTCTTTCTAGACTTTACCCAAGAAACTGTGTTTGGTTTTATTAATGAAACTTTTACCTCTTCTCAATTTTCTCATTTTTGTTTTTTCATTATAAATTATGTTGATGCATTTTGATTTGTATTCTATTTTGAAGCTTTTCATTTATTTATTTTAAATCTCAGGTTCTAATGAATTTAATACATTTCAAGCTCTAAATTTTTCTTTTCTTTTTTGTTTTTTTTAGACGGAGTCTCACTCTGTCGCCCAGGCTGGAGTGCAGTGGCACAATCTCGGCTCACTGCAGCCTCTGCCTCCCGGGTTCAAGCAATTCTTCTGCCTCAGCCTCCTGAGTAGCGGGGACTACAGGCGCATACCACCATGCCCGGCTAATTTTTATATTTTTAGTAGAGATGAGGAGTCACCATATTGGCCAGGCTGGTCTCGAACCCCTGACCTCATGATCCGCCTACCTTGGCCTCCCAAAATGCTGGGATTACAGGTGTGAGCCACCATACCTGGCCTAAATTTTTCTTTAAAGATCGCTATGGCTAAATCCCATATGAAATAATATGCTTATAATTTTATTTTTCATTTACTCTGTATTCTGAGAGTTAATAGTAGGCTTTTTTTTTCCTTTTCTTTTTAAATTTTAAAGTAGTGTCGTCATCTTATAGCTAAGTTTTAGTTTCTTTCAACTTTATGGACCAAGAATGTGCCCTTGTATAATTTCTTCATTTTGAAATGTGTTGAGATTTTCTGTTTTGCTTAAGATATGATCAGGTTTTTGTTTTTAAAGACTTTTCTCTGTTTGTGATATACTAAGTTCTAGTTCACTATGAAATATAAGTATTACAGTTAATTACTTCTATTTCTAAATCCTCTTTATCCTGCCCCTGGAAAAATGGTCTTCCATGAAACTGGTCTCTGGTGTCAAAAAGGTTGGGGAGCACTGCCCTAGAACATAGGCTTTTGGCATTATTTCATTTGAATCCTGGCTTTCATATTTTCAAAATAATCAGAAATCTTTGTGATATATTTATGTTATATACTTCTGTTAACAGTGGAGGATGTCCAGGTTCTTGGCATCTGGAACAAAGAATTGGACAAAACACACAAACAAAGCAAGGAAGGAATGACGGGATTTATTGAAAATGGAAGTACACTCAACAGTGTGGGAGCAGGCCCAAGCATTGGTGCTCAAAGGCCTCCTTACAGAATTTTTGAGAGTTTAAGTCCCCTCTAGAGGATTCCATTGGTTACTTCAGTATGTCCTATGTAAATGGAGGAGATGAAGTAAAGTTACAAAGTCATTTATGGCATATACTCTAACAGAGAGGATATTTCCTGTTACAGCCGAAATGTGACTCGGCCTTATGTTCCCTGCCAACAGACCCCATTTTCCTGTCTCACTTCCACTTTTATAACTTTAGTGAATCATATATTAAGAATTACCTGAGATATTAAAAATACGTTGTATTATACTGGTTTCTTTTCTAGCTGCTTAGTCTTGCAATTCCAAGGCTGCCCCTTTCTTGGATGGGTTTTTCTTCTTGAAGTAATATTTTCTCTAAATTCAGAAAATGTTTGTGGCTTTTAAATTTCATAGTGTTTACATACCTAAAAAAATTTCATTATACAGTTTGGAATTTTACTTTCAAACTGTTCATCAGAACTTTTAATTGCACAGATATCTTCTAGCATCTGGTGCTGTATTTAGGAAGTCTGATGTCAGTCTGACCCCTAACAGGTCCCCACTGCTACCATCCTGGAAGTTTTCTAGACTTTATATCCTTAGAAGTTTGAAATGTCACCAGGCTTATGACTACAGGTTTTGTGGTGTGTATATATGTGTGTGTGTGTATCTGTGTGTGTTGTAAAGCCATCTTATAAGAATATTTATATTCTGCAGCTGCTTTTACAATAATTGATAAATGATAATTCCTGGAGCAGGCTAAATTCATAATTGAATTGCATCCTACTATTGATAAGTAATTTTGGGAGAATTTTTGACAAACCATATAACTTTAATTCTGTTACAGAAAAACCACTTAGAAACTCTAGATTTGAGAATTCCATAGAACTTTGTCTTATTTGAAATATTCATAATTTGTCCACTTTGTAAAGTTTATGTTAAAAATTTTATATTGAATTGTTAGTAATGTCATACTCAATTGTTGCAGGCAAATAGCAGTTTGAAGCATAAGAAGTCACGTTTTACGAAAGTGCTATAGAACAAAGCTGTGTTAACTGTTATATCACTGATTCCTAGATTATAGTAGCTGCTTAATATTTGTCAAATTGATAGACAAGTATGAATGAAAAAATATAAGAATAGATCAGTGGTTTATTCTGTAAATAGACTTTTTGAAAGGTAAATTATCTTTAATGAGGTTCACTTTAGTTTTATTTACTATAATCTCAGAATACCATAATGAATCATTGACCATTCTTTTTACAAGAAAGATTTTATTTCTTTAAGTGGGTTTTTATTTTCTTTCAACTTTTCAAATTTCAGTCTTATACTTGGATTAGTGTTCTGTGACATTACTGAAGATTTTGTCTTTGTATGTATAGAAAAAATATTTGAATTGTATTAATTTTGGAATAATTTACCCCATTAAGAATTGTGGTATTTTATCAAAGTTTACCCTTATTTAAGACTATAAAAAATACAGACAAAAGGAATTATTTCTGGGTCATGTTCAGAAGAGACTAAATTGTGATGACTTTACAATTATGAATACTTCTTATTTCTTATTTTATGTGTAAATCTGCTTATCAGTATTCAAAGAACTATAAGAGCAGATAGCCATATTTTTCCAGGCTTACTTGAGAGCCAGAAATTATTATAATTTCTTAATAAATTAAGAATTTATTCAGTCACTGTCATAAAATGATCATAAACTCAAGTTTCTTAATTTTTCTATTCACTTTTTAATATTCAGTTTTTAAAATATGTATTCATATGTAAAATGTATTTCATATTGATAAAACCAAAATTAAGACTGTTGTTGCCTTCAATTATGTTCACATAGCCTGTGCTTTGAATATCAGTGAATATGTTTTATATGTATGAGTTATATAATTCATCCCATAATGATAGCCGTAAGTCATTTCTAATGAACTTTTATTTTTTGTAGCCAAAGTGGTGTTAGTTATGGATTTATGTCTGTAAACCCATTTTATGTTACTGAAATGTCTAAATTGGTCCTAAAAATCAATCATTGACACTTACTAAAAGAAAAATTTAGAAAAAATATAAAATCTTTTTGGAGGGATTTTTCTGCATTGACTGGATTTATTAAGAGATCTTAAAATTTTAAGTATGGTAAATTTTTGACTGAAGATAACTTCTTTTCCTGGAATAAGTGTGGGGATTATTTGTTTTAAAATGCTTTTATAATATAGTCAAAATTTAGAACACCTTTTCTGAAATGTAGATTACTGGTTTAAAATTCAGATTACCAGCTTTTGAGATTCAGTGATAAATAGAGTATTTTCCAGAACAACAAAAACAATAATAAATATTTTTATTTATTACCAGCTTTTGAGATTCATTGATAAATAGGGTATTTTCCAGAACAACAAAAACAATAATAAATATTTTTTATTTATTTTTTAAATATTTTTTATTTATTATTATTTTTTCTTCGGAAAACATCAGATGGGGGATGGGGTTAGTGTTGAATGTAAAGAAGTCTAAATTTTGCGGTTGCCAGCATTTTACTTTTATAAAGTATGTTTATGCTTAGAGACTGGCCCTTTTTTCCATCTTCACCTCACATAATGCATTTGTTTTACTTAAGTTCGTAATTGGTTGTTTTGTCTCTGGTGTCACAGCTGTCTAAAATGATCTTTAACATGGTCTCTAATTATCTTTATTTTACCAGTTATTTGCCTTAATGCTTAAATCCTTCAGTAACTTAATATAAATTCTGAACGCAGCACAGTATTGAAAGGCGCCATCTTCCTGAAGCATCATTGCTTTTAGCACTCTCATTCATAATTGTTTTCTCATTTCTCTGCACAATCACTGTATTAGTATCTGTTTAGTACTTCTTTCAAACTTGTTTGATAGTTATTTGCACATAGAGTTGCCTTTCTTTATTGTGTATTTATGGAAGGTATTGATTATAACAAAATTATTTTTGTGTTTGTATAATCCAATGAGTAGCCTACTGCTTTGCACTTAGTATGTAATTTGTAGTTATTTGTTAAGTTGGAGTTTGTATGTATGGTATCAGTTAATTAAAATATACTAGTTTTCTTTTCTTTTTTTTTTTTTTTTTTTTTTTTTGAGAGGAAGTCTAGCTCTTGTCCCTCAGGCTGGGTGCAATGGCGCTATCTTGGCTCACAGCAACCTCTGCCTCCCAGATTCAAGTGATTCTCCTGTCTCAGCCTCCTGAGTAGCTAGGATTACAGGCACCTGCCACAACACCTGGCTAATTTTTGTATTTTAAATAGCAATAGGCTTTCACCATGTTGGCCAGGCTGGTCTCGAACTCCTGACCTCAGGTGATCTGCCCGCCTTGGCCTCCCAAAATGCTGGGATTAGGCGTGAGCCACCGCACCCGGCCAAAATATACTAATTTTCTTATCCTTTGGAATAAATACGAGTTTATTAAACTACAGAACGAACCATTCTTCTCTAGTATGGCAGTAATATTTCTAACTTGAGGAGTAGTTTGAAATGTAATGCTAACGATGACAGTTGGTCCAAATGACCCCGCATTACCAAATTTCCATGTGACTTTGTGTTTTGAGTGTAGAAGGATTTGAATTACCGTTAATGACAAACAAATTCATTCAGCTCTGACCATTGTTAAAAGACCTTGGTTTTCATTATTAAATATTTGTATTAAGTCAGACTTAATTTGGGGAGAAAGTGAAAAAGAATTCTAATTATCTTAGAAATCTAAGTAATATTACTGTTAAATAATAGTTTTTCTGTTTAAATAAAAGCAACTTCTACAGTGAAATGTCATCACCTTTAGTCTTTCAAAATTAAAAGGACTTAGCATGAACAAAAGTACAGAGACTCGTATAAAAAAAAACTCTATAGACCGGGTAAAAGTGGCTCACGCCTGTAATCCCAGCACTTTTGAGAGGCCGAAACTCACCTCTACCAAAATACACAAAACTTGTGTTTTGGTGAAAACTCATCTCTACCAAAATACACAAAAATCTAGGTGGGCCTGGTATCATGCGCCTGTATTTCCAGCTACTCCGGAGGCTGAAGGAAGAGAAGGAGGCTGAGGTGGGAGAATCGCTTGAACCCAGGAGGCCAGAGGCTGCAGTGAACCGAGATTCTGCCACTGCACTCCAGCCTGCGTGACAGAGTGAGACCCTGTCTCAAAAAAAACAAAACAAAACAAAAAAACCCTCTATATATCTATTTCTCAGATGCAACATTTTCAAGAATTTGCCATGAAGCTTTGTTTTCTTTAAGTATTTGATGACAAATTTCCGACACTATTCCTTCATACTTCAGTATGCATGTCTGAAAAACAAGGATATTTTCTTACATAACCAAAGTAATTCCTTTATATTATCTAATACCCAGTTCACATTCAGATTTCTTGTCTCAAAAATACTGTTTTTACAGTTGTCCTGTTTGAATAGGATTTAAGTAAGACCTATTATTTTGCTGGTTATATCTCTCGAGTCTCTGTAATTCAGAACAGTTCTTACTCTATTCAAAAAAGATTTTTTGCTCCCATTCTACTTACTTGAAGGAAATGGTCAGTTTTGCTGCAAAATGTTCCACATTTTAGACTTTCCTTTTTGGCTTATATTTAACCCAGTGATTCTCAACCTCTTTCTCCTTCATGATTTTTGTTGTTGTTGTTTTTAATTTTCTCTTCTAAGGGAACATTTAGCAATGTCTGGAGACATTTTTGGTTGTTACAACCTGAAGGAGTGTTGCTAACTGGCATTTAGTGAGTATAGGCCAGGGTTGCTGTTAAACATCCTAAATTACACAAGACAGCCCCAAACAACAAAGAATTATCTGGTCCAAAATGTTAATAGTGCTTTTACATTGAGAAACATTGATTTATCTTATTCCTGTATTTGCTTTACTAATTTTCATGTACTGGAAGTTATTTACACGTCTAAAAGTTCTAGTAGATTATTGTTTATTGGGGGGACAAGAATTCTTTATAGGAGGTGCTGTGTATTTTATGTTGCATAAATCGGGGGCATGTTAGGTTTGTTTGTCCCACTTTTAGTAATTAAACAATGGGTTCAGGTAGTTAACAGCCTGATCCCTAAATGTAAAATTTAAAGTCACCTTTCCCAGAGCAGTGTGAAAGTTCAACCCCTTATTATTCCAGCATTGTATTTGCTGGTGGAAAGTATATTGAGCTAGTTAATTGGATAACTGGTCTCTTGGTGCTAGGTATTTAGAAATCTCCTATTTAAATAAAGGTCCTTGTGTCTGGTTTTTTCATGTGTAAACACTGAATTGAACCTGGTGATTTCTACGCCTCTTGCATTTTGATGGTTCTTTATGCCTAAACATCATTTCATAAAATATCCAGCTGGTCAAAACAACACATTCAAACCACTTTAAATACAACTTTTAAAAAAGGCCAGTTGTAACTTTGATAACTTTTTTCCCCCCTTAGAGAATACATTTAGTAAGGACATTTCTTTCCTTTGTCTTCTCTCTTCATGGAAGTTATTTATATATTTCATTCAAATAAAATATTTTCGAATACTTTCTTTTAAATTTTTTTTTTTTTTTTTTTTTTTTTTTTTTTTTTTTTTTTTGGTGGGGACGGAGTCTTGCTCTGTCGCCCAGGCTGGAGTGCAGTGGCTCGATCTCGGCTCACTGCAACCTTCACCTCCCGGGTTTAAGTGATTCTCCTGCCTCAGCCTTCCAAGTAGCTGGGATTATAGGAGTGCACCACCATGCCTGGCTAATTTTTGTATTTTTAGTAGAGACAGGGTTTCACCATGTTGGCCAGGCTGGTCTCGAACTCCCAACCCCAGGCAATGCACCCGCCTCGGCCTCCCAAAGTGCTGGGGTTACAGGCGTGAGCCACCGTGCCCAGCTCAAATACTTATTTTAATTTCTTATTTGGACCATTTTTAATGTTTGTTATGTTCCAGAAGTTGGTTGTGATTCAAAATGATTTTTTTTCTGTAGAATAATATAATAAAAATGCGATAGGTTTCAGAGGGAAAATTCATTTTAGTTTTTAATCTGAACTGTCTCAGCTGGGGATGTGGTATGGCAGAGAGGTGTATGCCCATAATTTAATAAAGGAATACTTATTTTTGTATGTTTATAAGATTGCATCTCTTTATGCCAGTCTCTCTTCACTTGTTTTGTAATGTAACGCGAGCTCTTTCTAGTTGGAAAAAGAGGAACTGGAATTAAAGGAGGAAGTTCTCTTTTTCCTCGCTGAACTTTTATACCTCTTTTTCTTTCTCATTACCTTATGCACTTTCTATCCTGTATTATGGTTCATTTTTACACACACTCATTAAAGAAGTAGGGTCCTACATAGCAAGGCTGGTATCATGCATTTCTTTATCTCCCATAGTATTAAACAGTATTTTTTACACATAGAATGTTTGCAATAAATGTGTGTGTAATAAATCAATGAAGATAGCATTTTGCACCACCTACTACCTAATGTAAGATTCTGTATCTCCTCTAAGATCTATAAAATATACCTTTAGATGTATTTATTGTGATTACCCCTTTGTTCTCCAAATACACTAGAGCCTTTTAGAATCTGAAAGGGAAGAATACCAAAATCATCTGGTAAATTTCACCTTCTTTACAGATTCTGACTTATTCAATAGTTGCTTGAATCCTGACAGTGAGTTAGACACATTTCTAATTGCTGGGTGTACATGACTAAACCAAAAAAAGTGTTTGTTTTTACAGAGCTTAGAAAGACTGTATGTATAATATTCATGTGTGATAAATCTATGAAAAAATTAAGCAGAATTGGGGGTCTAAAGTTATAGATGGCTGAGAGAGAGACTTGGTTAGGTCACATAGGTAACAGCTAAAGCAATTCTGGTACTTAGGCCTTCATATTTTAGCAGTGTCCTTGAAAGTAGCTCCTTCATTAATCATAAATGAGGGATAGGGAGGAAATAATAAATATTCATTCCTGTTCTTTTCTGTCATTTTGATAGCCCCTCTCTTTTCTAAAGCTGTCTATAAGAATTTCATAGTCATTTGAATTTACAGTTTTTTAAGTTACCAAGTTTTGCATATAGTGAGAATAGTGGGCCTAAGAATAACATAAGAACTTTTGTGGAGAAGCTTAAAGTCAGTAGAAAGTAAATGTTTCTGTGTTTATTATATCTCATCAAGAGATGGAAATGCAATTTTCCTAGTAAGTTTTCACCAGGCTAGTTAGGATATCTGTGGCATAGGGGACTTTGTGTAAGACAGTCGCTTCTGATTGAAATTTGATATCTTCTGTGATCTAACTTCTAACCTATCTTTTCAAACCTACAGTAAAACCCTGTGTAAAACCCTGTGTTCTATCACATAGAAATTTTTTACTTGCCAGTCCATGTTCCTTCTTTCTCTTCTTTTATACAAATTAATTTTTTTGGTCAAAATCCTTTTATATTATTCTTTATGCATGCAGTGTCTCCTTTGAACATCTTTAGCACCTCTGATCTCTACCTTTGATTAATCAGTTAACTATATACTGCTTTTTGATGTCTTCTACTTTCTAAAATGTTCATTTAAAATATTGTATTATGGTATTTCATCTATTCATTTTACCTGTTCAATTTCATACATTTGTTTATTTGCTTTTATCTTTTCTTATTAAATTGAAATAATTGTAAATATTTTAATAAATTTCAGATATTAGAAAATTTCATTAGGAAACAGCTTTTTCTTTAGAAAGACTCATCTTCTGGACCTTTGACAATAAAACAAATTTTTTTACTGCTATAATTTTGAATCACTCTTTGCTGTGCCCAAAAATTTGCTTCCTAAAGTATAATACTTTAGTCAGCCTTTAAAATTCTTCCTTTCTCATACTTTTACTACTACCTTTAAAGATAACTTAAAATTAGCCAGGCCTGGTAGTGCATGCCTATAATCCCGTCCTTTGGGAGGCCAAAGTGGGAGGATCACTTGAGCCCAGGAATTCCACATCCTGTTGCTACAAAAATAAAAAATCAGCCAGGCGTGGTGTGTGCCTGTAATCCCAGCTACTTGGGAGGCCAAGGCAGGAGGATTACTTGATCCCAGGAGTTTGAGGCCAGCTTGGGCAACACAGTGAGACTATCCATGTCTCTTTAAAAAAAAAAAAAAAAATATATATATATATATATATATATATATATACACACACACACACACACACACATATATACATATATACACAGATATATATACACACACACATATATGCACACACATATATATATAATTTAAAATATATATAATTTTAAAAAATTGTTTTTGTATTTTTTATCTCCTTGCCATAAGGAGTTATAGATTAATTAAAGTTAATGTAGAACAAAATTTTATGAAATTTAAAAAATATTTACAGAATATTTTTAGAATGTTGTGTTTGTGTATAAAATATTTGAAATCTCAAATGTTATTCCACGTTAAACTGCTTTAGTTTAATGGAACTTTGTAGAGAAACATATTATTTCTTCCCAGATTTAAAATTTAGTATTAAATGTTTTGATTAATTATAGCAGTATTCCTGGTTACTTGATAGTTGACTTTTCAAGATGGAACAGTATCGTTTCTGAGGTTATGATGGTTAAGGATTTATTCCTTAAGTTGTCTTTTTTATTGTTGACCTTCTGGATACTAGGCATGAGCGTGATTGTATTCTAGCTTATTAGTTATTTTTACATCTATTTTGGTTATTGCAGTGTTAGTAGTACCTTAGATTTGTGAAATAAACTGATCATTTTAGTGATATTTTATATAATAATTACCAATTTTTATCACTAAGCAGAAAAGAATATGTTTTAGTACCTATTTGTAAGTAGCACTGTGATAGGGAATATCAAAACAAAACTTTACCCCTGTCTTAGGAGTTTGTTATTTTCTAATTCTTTAAATTTACTTGAATCGGCTAGACTTATATCAGTGTTTCTTAACACAGTAAATAGACCCCTCAGGGCCCAGAGACCATTTCAAGGTGTCCATGAGGTCAAAACTATTTTTATCATAATATTGAGATGTTACTTGACTTTTTTACTATGTTGACATTTACGATGATGGTGCAAAAACAGTGGTGGGTAAAACTTATGGACCCGAAGGCCATGGAAACAAACTGTACTGATATGATTGTATTCTTCACTACCACGTGCTTGAAGTTAAAAAAAAAAAATTAAATGCTAGTTTAAGAATATTCTTGATGAAGCGATAAAATTATTCATTTTATGAAAACTCCCCTTTTGAATGCATGTTCTTTCAATATTAGTGTGTGTAACAAAATGGGAAGTACACATAAAGCACTTTTGCTGCATATAAAAAGTATAGTGTTTGTCTGGAGGAAAAATAACTGCAATTTTTTTAGATGTGAGGTGAATTAGCCTTTTTTCCCCCATGAAATGTCATTTTTATGGTAAAGTACAAACGAAAAACTATAGTTATCAAACTTGGATATTTGGCAAATGCTCCTCTAAAAATGTTTGAAGTGAGTCTGTCACTTTAAGGAAAACAACAATACTTGTTGCCAATGATAAAGTTAAGCTTTGAAGCAAAAATTAGAATTTTGGAACTTGTTTGCCTAGGCTTGACAGCTTTCCAGTACTTAAAGACTTTTTGGATGAAATCAGTGGTGATATTAATGAATGTGATTTTTTGATAGTGATATTTGTTACTTAATTTCCAGTATGGTAAATATCAAGAAATACAGGGTTTATATAAAGTCCTTGGGAGTTCAGTACTTCATTGAGTCCTGAAAGCAAAACATTTAAAAACTGCTGATTTAGTTAGGTCTTCTATTCACAGTTAAAGTTTTCACAACCTAAGCATCACACTCAACCCTACATATACCTAATAACCAAATTAAAGTAGAAAAGAATATTAGTAAAGAAAATTAGGCTGCATATGAGAAATAAAGTTTTGAATTCTTCCACAAAAAAATTTCTTCTTTTGTTAATCAACAGGCTTAGATGTCATGTTGAACTTTTTAGGGTTGCACTGTGTTTACCATTGTTAATTATGTTAACATATTTTTTCCCTCCCCTGCTTTCTTTTTATTTCTCTCCCCTCTTTTCCTTTCGCTGTTCATTTCTCCCTTCCTCCCTCTTTTTGCATTTGTTTTATAGGTGGAGTCTTTCATTTTGGATCAGGATGATTTGGAAAATCCAATGCTGGAAACAGCTTCCAAGTTGCTCTTATCAGGTACTGCTGATGGTGCAGACCTCAGGACAGTAGATCCAGAAACACAGGCTAGACTGGAAGCTTTACTAGAAGCTGCAGGTATGTACTCTACATAGTAATAAGTCTACCTTGTTATGTAAAGTTGCACATCAATCTAATAAAAGCTCTTGTTAAAAATGAATGATATTGGGTATTTAGAATGATACTATTAATAAAGGTTAATTGATTACTTTCTGCTGAATTACATGGAGCGTTTTACTAAAGCATATTGTAATTTTCATTACCAGAGTAAAGTCCATGTGCTACAGTTGACCTTACAAAGAGAGATTTTTCAGTTGAGTTTGATTATTCGTGAATTATGTATTTGTGAATTTGCCTACCTGCAAAAATGCATTTTAACTTCAAAATCAGTACTAGCGGTCTTTCATAGGCATGTATAAAGTGGTGGAACATTTGAATCACCCTACATGCATGCTCCCAGTAGAAGTCGAACAAAGTGATGCTCTACATTCTTGTTTCAGCTCTCCTGCTATAAATAAGTGTCCTTTTGTGGCCTATTTAATGCCAGGTTTTACACATTTTTGTGATTTTTGTTGGTGTTAATTTTTTAATTTTTAATTTTTGTGGGTACATAGTAGGTGTAAGTATTTATGGGATACATGAGATATTTTGATACAGGCATGCAATGCATAATAATCACATCAGGGTAAATGGGCTATCCATCACCTAAAGCATTTATCCCTTGTGTTACAAACAACCCAGTTATACTTTTTTAGTTATTTTTAAGTGTACAATTAAATTATTTTTGACCATAGCCACTCTGTTGTGCTAGCACATACTAGGTCTTATTCATTTTTTCTAACTTTTTTTTTTTGATACTCATTAACCATCCCCACTGCCCCAACTACCCTCCCCAGCCTCTGGTATTCATCCTTCTACTCTATCTTGGCTATTGTGAATAGTGCTCTAATTAACATGGGAATGCAGATACCTCTTCAATATACTGATTTCCTTTCTTTTGGGTGTACACCTAGGAGTGGGATTGCTGGGTCATGTGGTAGCTCTATTTTTACTTTTGGGAGGGACTTCCAAACTGTTCTCCATATGGTTGTATTAATTTACATTCTCACCAATAGTATATGAGGATTCCCTTATCTCCACATCCTCTCCAGCATTTGTCATTGCCTGTCTTTTGGATAAGTCATTTTAACTGGTGTGAAATGATGTCTCATTATAGTTTTGATTTGCGTTTTTCTGATGATCAGTGATGTTGATACCTTTTCATATGTGTATTTGCCATTTATATGTCTTCTTTTGAGAAATGCTGTTCAAATCTTTGACCCATTTTTGGATCAGATTATTAGATTTTTTTTCCTATTGTTTGAGCTCCTTATATATTCTGGTTATCAATTCATTGTCAGCTGGGTAGTTTGCAAATATTTTCTCCCATTCTGTGGTTGTCACTTCAGTTTGTTGATTTTTTTTTTTTTCCTGTGCAGAAGCTTTTTAACTTGATGTGATCCCATTTGTCCTTATTTGCTTTAGGAGCCCATGCTTTTATGGTATTACTCAAGAAATCTTTGCCCATTCTAATGTCCTGGAGAGTTTCCCCAATGTTTCCTTTTAGTAGTTTCATAGTAGAGGTCTTATGTTTAAGTCTTGAATCCATTTTGATTCTATTTTTGTATATGGTGAGAGATCGGGGTCTAGTTTCATTCTTCTGCATATGGATATCCAGCTTTCCCAGCACCATTTATTGAAGAGACTGTTCTTTCCCCACTGGATGTTCTTGGCAACTTTGTCAAAAATGAGTTGGCTGTAGATGTATGGATTTATTCCTGGGTTTTCTATTGTATTCTAGTGGTCTATATGTGTACTTTTATGTGACAATCATGCCATTTTGGTTACTATAACTCTGTAGTATAATTTGAAATCAGGTAATGTGATTCTTTCTAGTCTTGTTCTTTTTGCTCAGGATATCTTTGGCTATTCTGGATCTTTTGAGGTTCCTTGTAAATTTTAGGATTGTGATATGGTTTGGCTCTGTGTCCCCACCAAAATCTTACCTTGAATTGTAATCCCCATTATCCCCATGTGTCAAGGGAGGAGCCCAGTGGGAGGTGATTGGATCATGGGGACAGTTTCCCCCATGCTGTTCTTGTAATAGTGAATGGGTTCTCACAAGATCTGATGGTTTTATAAGGGGCTCTTCCCCTTCCGCTCCTCACACTTCTCTCTCCTGCTGCCATGTGAAGAAGGTCCTTGATTCCTCTTCACCTTCTGCCATGATTGTAAGTTTCCTTAGGCCTCGCAGCCATGTGGAACTGTAGGTCAATTAAACCTCTTTTCTTGATAAATTACCCTGTCTCGGTTATTTATAGCAATGTGAAAACAGACCAATATAGATTGCTTTTTCTACTTCTGTAAATAATGTCATTAGTATTTTGATAGGAATTGCATTGACTCTGTAAGTTGCTTGGGGTAGTATGTACATTTTAACAGTATTGATTCTTCCAACCCATGAACATGGAATATTTTCCCATTTTTCTTGTGTCGTCTTCAATTTTTTGCAACAGTGTTTTATAGTTTCCCTTGTAGAGATCTTTCACTTCTTTGATTAAGTTCCTTCCTAGGTATTTTATTTTATTTGTAGCTATTGTAAATGGCATTAGTTTCTTGATTTGTTTTTCAGATTGTTAGTTCTTGGCATATAGACATGGTACTGAGTTTTGTATGTTGATTTGTTTCCTGCAACTTTGCTGAATTTATCAGTTTTAATAGTTTTTTTGCTGAAGTCTTTAGGTTTTTCCAAATATAAGATTATATTATCTGCAAGCAAGGATAATTTGACTTCTTCCTTATCAGTTTGGTTGTCTGTTTCTCTTGTCTGATTGCTCTGGCTAGGACTTGCAGTACTGTGTTGAATAGAAATAGTGAAAGTGGGCATCCAGATCTTGTTCCAGTTCTTGGGGGGATGCTTTCAACATTTTCCCATTTAGTGTAATGTTGGCTGTTGGTTTGTCATAGATGGCTTTTATTACCTTGAGATATGTCCCTTCTCTGCCAGTTTTGCTAAAGGTTTTAATGATAAAGGGATGGCTGGATTTCATCAAATGTTTTTTCTGCATCATTGAGATGATCATGCAATTTTTGTTTTTAATTCCTTTTATGTGATGTATCACATTTATTGACTTGCATGTGTTAAACCATCTCTGCATTCCTGGTGTGAAACCCATTTGATCAAGGTATATTATCTTTTTGCTATGCTGTTGGATTCTGTTAGCTAGTATTTTGTTGAGGATTTTTGCATCTATGTTCATCAGGGATCTGTAGTTTTCTTCCTTCCTTCCTTCCTTCCTTCCTTCCTTCCTTCCTTCCTTCCTTCTCCCCTCCCTTCCCTCGCCTTCCTTCTCCCTTCCCCTCCCCTCCCCTCCTCTCCTTTCTTGGTTTTGGTATTAGGGTGATACTGGCTTCATAGAATGATTTAGGGAGGATTCCCATTTACCCTGTGGGTTCTGCTGAAGAAAGTTTATGCCCAGTTGAAATTATTATGAAATTCAGTTGGAAGCTTTTTTCACCCTGTGACCCCTCCCTAATTCTGCTAGCTGCCTTCCCTGAGGGCCCTATCAGATGCAGTCAGGGATGGCTTCCCTGGGCTCGAGCTGGAGACTGGGTGTGCTTACAAGGCTCTTCCCACTGCTGCTTCTACCTTTATATTTCATGTGGCTCCCTGTATTCATTTTTGTTATAGGTGAGGTTAAATCCTTCTCCTGTGATCTGGATTTTCAGATTCCCCAGTGGACATGTGTGTTTGGAGACAGGTTTTCCTGCTCTTGTACTTTGGGAACTCACAGTTATTTGACTGTCTTGCAGAATTTGCAGCGATGTGTCACTTCTTTCAGAGAATCTGTGAATTATTTTGGTTTTCCTGGTAATGTTCCTGCAGTGGTTCTTAGAGCCGGAGTTTGTGGTGTGAGTCTCCACATGCTATTCTGCCCATCCAAGTGGGAGCTGCACATTAGCCCTGTCTCCTCTCCTCTCTGCCATCTTTCTTTCTAAGTCCAATGTTTCTTTGTTGATTTTCTCTGTGGAAGATCTGTCCAATGCTGAAAGTGGAATGTTAAAGTCTACAGCTATTTTTATATTGGGGTTCTATCTTTACCTTTAGCTCTAGTATTTATATAGCTTTGTGCTCCAGTGTTAGGTGCATATGTATTTAAAATTGTTATATCCTGTTGCTTAATTGACCCCTTTATAATTATATAATGATCTTGTCTCATATTTTTGTGTTGAAATCTATTTTGTGCAATGTAAGTATAGCTACTCTTGCGCTTTTTTGGTTTCCAGTGGCCTGGAATATCTTTTTCAATCCCTTTATTTTCACTCTGTGTGCATCTTTATAGGTAAAGTGTGTTTCTTGTAGGCAGCAGGTCATTGGGTCTTGTTTTTTATCCATTCAGCCTCTGCATGTGTTTTGGTTGTAGTCCTTTAAGTCCATTTACATTCAGTGTTGTTACTGATAAGTGAAGACTTACTCCTGTCATTTGGTTATTTGTTTTCAAGTTGTTTTGTATTGTTAACTTCCTTCTTTCCTTCCTGCCTTTCAGTGAAAGTGATTTTCTCTGGTGATATGTTTTAATTTCTTGCTTTTTATTTTTTGTATCTATTGTATGTTTTTTGATTTGAGGTTACCATGAGGCTTGCAAATACTATCTTATAACCCATTATTTTAAGCTGATAACAGCTTAACACCACTTCCATAAACAAATTTAACAAGGTAAAAGAAAACCAATGACTCGACACCTTAAGTTTGTCTGCTACTTTTTAACTTTTTGTCATTTCTGTTTATATCTTACTGTGCTGCATATGTCTTGAAAAGTTGTTGTAGTTATTATTTTTGATTTGTTAATCTTTCAGTGCTTCTACTTAAGGTAAGCGTTAACACACCACAGGTACAGTGTTATAATATTCTCTGTAGTTAATATTATCAGTCAGTTTGGTACCTTCAGATGATTTCTTTTTGCTCATTAACATTCTTTTCTTTCTGATTAAAGAAATCTCTTTAGTGTTTCTTGTAGGACAGAAGTGGCGATGATGAAATCTCTCAGCTTTTGTCTGGGAAAGTCCCTCTTTCTCCTTCATGTTTAAGGGATATATTTGCCAGATGTACTATTATAGGATAAAATTTTTTTGCCTTCAGTACTTTATGTCATGCCACTCTCTCCTGGGCTGTAAGGTTTCCACTGAAAAGTCTGCTGCTAGATGTATTGGAGCCCCATTGTATTTTATTTGTGTCTTTTTGTCTTGCTGCTTTTAGGATCCTTACCTCCTTGACCTTTGGAAGTTTGATTATTAAGTGCCTTGGGGTAGTCTTCTTTGGGTTAAATCTGCTTGGTGTTCTGTAACCTTCTTGTACTTAAATATTGGTATCTTTCTCTAGGTTTGGGAAGTTCTCTGTTACTATACCTTTACCTTATAAACTTTCTACCCCTATCACTTTCTTTACCTCCTCTTTAAGGCCAATAACTTTTAGATTTGCCATTTTGAGGCTGTTTTCTGGATCTTGTAGGCATGCTTCATTCTTTTTTATTCTTTTCTTTGTCTCCTTCAACTGTGTATTTTCAAATAGCCTGTCTGCAAGCTCACTAATTCTTTCTTCCGCTTGATCAATTCTGCTATTAAGAGACTCTGATGCATTCTTCACTGTGTCTGTTGCATTTTTCAGCTCCAATATTGCTGCTTGATTCTTTTCAGTTATTTCAGTCTCTTCGTTAAATTTATCTGATAGAATTCTGAATTCCTTCTCTGTGTTATCTTTAATTTCTTTGAGTGTCCTCAATACTGTTTTGATTTTTCTTTCTGAAAGGTCACATATCTGTGTTTCTCCAGAATTGGTCCCTGGTGCCTTATATAGTTCATTTGGTGAGGTCATGTTTTCTGATGGTCGTGATCCTTGCAGATGTTTGTTGGTGTCTGGGCATTGAAGAATTAGGTATTTATTATAGTCTTCACAGTCTGCACTTGTTTGTACCTGTCCTTCTTTGGAAGGCTTTCTAAGTAGTCGAAGGGACTTGGGTATTGTGATCTAAGCCATGTCTGCATTGGGGTGCACCCCAATCCCAGTATCGCTATGATTTTTTATGGATTCATAGAGGTACCACCTTGGTGGTTTTATTTAAGATCTAGAAGAATTATCTGGATTACCAAGTAGAGACTCTTCTTCTCTTTTCTTTCTCCCAAACAAATGGAGTCTCAGTCTCTCTCTCTCTCTCTCTCTCTCTCTCTCTCTCTCTCTCTCTCCCCCCTCTGAGCCATGTGGAGCTGGGGTTGGGGTGACACAAGTACCCCTGTGGTCACCACCACTGGGACTGTACTAGGTGAGACTTGAAGCCAGCAGAGCACTGGGTCTCACTCAATGCCCGTTGTGACTGCTACCTGGCTACCACCTATGTTTGCTGAAGGCCCTAGGGCTCTATAGTCAGCAGGTGGCAAAGCCAGCCAGACTTGTTTTTTTCCCCTTCAGGATGGCAGGTTCCCCTAGGCCCTGAGCTGATTCATAGATGCCATCTGGGAGCCAGGAACTGAGGTCAAAAACCTTAGAAATCTATCTAATGAGGGTCTATTGTACTGTATCTTTGCTGGCACTCAAACCACGATATACAGTCCTTCCCACTCTTCCTCTTTCCACAGGTAAGGAGTCTCAGCCCATGGCCGTCACCACCAGAGGCCCACAGGGAGTACTGCCAGGCTACCGCCAATGTGCAGTTAAAGCCCAAGGGCTCTTCAGTCAGCTTGTGATGAAAGCTGCCAGGCCTGAGACTCACCCTTCAGAACAGTGGGCCCCCTCTCTCCCAGGACAGCTCCAGAAATGTCATCTAAGTGCCAAGCCTTGGAATAGGAGACCCCGAGAGTCCACTTTCTACTTAACAGCCCCCCGCCCCCCGACCCCAACTGTGCTGTCACTGTTGCCACCATAGCTGGGAATGTGCTGGTTCTCACATGAAGCCAGCACATCTCAGAATCTCAACCAAGGCAGGTGGCATACTACTTGGGTGTCGCTGCTGGTTCTTCAGGGCCCAAGGGCTCTTTAGTCAGTAGGTGATGGATCCTTCCAGGGGTGGGTTCTTTTCTTCAAGGGAGCAGGTTCCCTTCTGGCACAGGGTGTGTGTAGAAAGATTGTCCAGGAGCTAGGGTCTGGAATGGGGGGCCTCACGAATCTGACTGGTGCCCTATCCTACTGTGGCTAAGCTTGTATCCAAGATGCAAGACCAAGTTGTCTCTGCTCTTTTCTCTCAAGCAGAAGGAAGGGGTCTCTTTTGGAGCCTTAAGCTGTGCTGCCTGAAGTTGGGAGAGGGGTGACTCAAGCACTCCCTTAGCCACCCAAGTGGTGGCTCAGGAAGTTGCCTGCTCCCCATCCCCAGTCCAGTGACTCCAAGTCCATCTTGGCACTAGGACTTGCCTAGGAATTGCAGTCCTGTGACTTAGACTGCCCCTCAGCTTCACTTAGGGCCCCAGAACACTGCAGCCCGTGTTGACAGGGCTTGCTGGAAGTCAAATTTGGACTGCTGGGATGGACAATTTCCTTGCGGCTATGCCTGGTCCAAAAGCTCCCTCCACGAGCAGGCATCAGCTGAGTTCAGCCTGTTTCTGCTCTCCGCTGTGACCGGGCAGCACTGAGTTCAATGCAAAGGCTCACAGTTGCTATGCTCTCCGTCTTACAGTTGCACAGTTCTTTGCACCATGTGGGGAGCTGCTAGGGGATTAGGGAGGGGTGTCATTGGCAATTCAAAACTGTCTTTTCTACCCTCTTTAATGCCTATTTCAGCAATGCGAAGTCAAAACCAGGCACTGTGTGTGCTCACCTGATTTTGGGTTCTTATGAAGATGCTCACTTTGTGTAGATAGTTGCCAAACTTGGGGAGGGGTGGGGAGATCACTAGAGCCCCCTTTTCAGCCATCTTACTCCATCTATCTCAGTGGTGAAGCCAGCCAGACTTTTTTTTTTCCCTTCAGGGTGGCTAGTTCCCCTAGGCCCTGAGTTGGTCTAGAGATGCCATCTGGGAGCCAGGGACTGAGGTCAAAAACCTTAGAAATCTGTCTGATATTCTATTGTACTGTGTCTTAGCTGGCACTCAAACCATGATGTACAGTCCCTCCCACTCACTGTTTAAAATGGCGCCCAAGCATAGTGCTGTCTAGTGTTCCTAAGTGTGAGAATGCTGTGATGTGCCTTTTGGGAAAAACATGTTTTAGGTTCAGGCATGAGTTTTACTGCTGTTGGCTGTGAGTTCAATGTTAATGAATCAACAACATATATTAAATAAGTTATATTTTACATCATGGAATACCATGCAGCCATAAAAAAGAATAAAATCATGTCCTTTGCAGCAACATGGATGCAGCTGGAGCCCATTATCCTAAGTGAATTAACGCAGGAACAAAAAAACAAATGCCACGTTATTACTTATAAGTGGGAGCTGAACATTGAGTACACATGGACACTAAGAAGGGAACAATAGGCACCAGGGCCTACTTGAGAATGGGAGGAAGGTGAGGATTGAAAAGTTACTTATCAGATACTATGCTCATTACCTCGGTGATGAAATAATCTGTACCCTGAACCCCCACAACATGCAGTTTACCCACATAACCAACTTGCATGTATACCCGCTGTACCTAAAATAAAAGTTGGAAGGACACACACAAAAAACGTACATTTAAACAGAAACACACGTAAAACAGGGTTATGTGCATTAATGACAATGCTGTGGCCAGGGGCTGGCTAACGCTATATTTCTCCCAGGAGCAGTGGTTGAGTGTAGTATTTGCTAATTCCGTGTTTCTAGCGACTTAACATAACTACTGTGAATAACTGAATAATGAGAATTGACAATATATAATTTTCCCCACTTGTTTGTTAGAGACTGTAGGCTGAAACCTCATGTGAATCATCGTGGTATTTTTGTGAAGTGGATCATTATATTATCCCCATAGGAACAATGTTTTAATTGAGGAGTGTATATATATATACACACACACAATCAAATATTTAGCACTATATATCATATCTTAAATATAAGGCAGTGATAATGAAATCTCTATAATCATTTTAAAGACATGATGTTTTCTTAGGTTTTGTAAAGTAGACATAAATACACTATGAACACTAATTGTTCATGGTTTAAGAACCCCAGTGCACTACCTATTATACATGCAATGCATGTAAACTGCTACTTTATTATAGCATAAAACTGACCTAATACTGTTCAATAATGCTTTCAGTAAACATCTTGTAATACAGTAAATTTTTTTTTTTTAATTTTTTTTTGAGACGGAGTCTCACTCTCCCCCAGGCTGGAGTACAGTGGTGGGATCTTGGCTCACTGCAAGCTCCGCCTCCCGGGTTCATGGCATTCTCCTGCTTCAGCCTCCTGCTGTAGCTGGGACTACAGGCGTCTGCCACCATGCCTGGCTAATTTTTTGTATTTTTAGTACAGACGGGGTTTCGCTGCGTTAGCCAGGATGGTGTCGATCTCCTGACCTCGTGATCCACCCACCTCAGCCTCCCAAAGTGCTGGGATTACAGACTTGAGCCACTGTGCCCAACCGGTATTTAAATATTTGAAGGATTCATGGTTAAACTTGATTTCCATCCAAGGTAAAATTCTAGAATGGATTATTAAAAGGATCTTAACCAAATAGACTTGGAAACATAATCAGGGCATGTGCACGGTCCTGTCTTGGAGTAAAGAAAACTATTTGTACAGAAGAGTAGAGACCTAATTTAGCATTTTCCGGCAATTTGACATTGCTCTAGAAGTTTATGAGAGAGAAATGCAGATTATGAAATTATTTAAAAATATACCTCAGAGGAGCAGGGAATGTTTCTCCTGAAGACAAGAAGACTCAGGTTGAATAAAGTGTTCTTCAAATGCTTAAGAGACTGTCATATAGATTTGTTTTCTGTGGCCCCAAGAGGCACAAGAAGATTCAAAGATGTTACACGGAAGTAGATTTTACATAAAAGCTGATTTTTGGAGATAAGATACCTTTTCATACGATGCAAATAGTTGCTTCATTTTTCTAAGTTGTGTAATTATTTCTATTTTTTATATTTTCTTTATGGTAGCTAACAAGCTAGCCTTCCCCCTACTTCCCTTTCTTTCTTTCTCCACCTCTCTTTCACTTTTCCTCTCCCTCACTCCTTTATTTCCTTCCCTTTTTAAATGGAAATTCTCACATACAAATCTAAGAGAATAGCGTAATGAAACCTGTGTATGTTTATCCATCATCCAGCTTCAGCAGCCTTCAGTGTACAGGCAGTCTTTTTTCATATCTGCCTATTACCACCTTGCTGACATTGCCACCTATGTTAATTTAAAGCAAATCTAAGCACCATACCATTTCATATATATAAATATTTTAGTATGTATCTGTAAATTAAGAGTGTTTAAAAAGAAATATAGCCATAATACTATTTCAGATTTAAAGGAAAAAAAAGTAATTCCTTAATATTGCCAGTATCCTGTCAATGTTGAGATTTCTTCAATTATTTTCTGTCTTTTTACAGTTGGTTTAAATCAGGATCCAAACCAGGTTTACATAGTTTTAATGTTAATTATTTTTCTTAAATATATACACATACTATGTACCCATGAAATTAAAAATTAAAAAAAATTGTTTTAAGTTTAATCATAACAGTTCCTCTTTTTTTTTTTTCTATTTATTTGTTGAAGAAATAGTCATTTCTCTCACTTTATGGATTTTGCCAGTTGTGCTTCTGTGTGTTGTATTTCCTATTTTAGATCCAGATACTTGATCAGATTCAGATTTATTCTGATTTTGACAAGAATAGTCATTCATAATGCTGTGTGTTTCCTTATGTATCACATAGGCACTGTCTGGTTGCTTCTCTTTTTGTGATGTTGAGATTGAACAAGGTTTAGGTATCCAATATATTTCTTGAGAAAGGATGCTTGAGAGGTAAAATTTTTTAGACTGTCTGAAAATGCCTTTCTTACTATCCTCATACTTGATAGTTTAGCTAGGTATAGAGTTCCAGTTTAAAAAACCACTCTCAGACCTTTAAAGTTACTAAACTTCTGGTGTTGCCAAACTTATTTATGACTTACCCTGTCTCTGTACCACTTGTCCCTATTCTCCTTCCCCAAAGCTTTATAATTTTGGCATTATAAAATTTCAGTCTCATTTTCAATACTTTGGTTGGCTTTTCATATTTAAGATTTTCTTCAGATGTCTGGTGATCCTTGGGTTCTGTTTTTAGTCTATAGCAATGCCATAAAAAGCTAAATTGGAAAGTCTGGATGCATGTTTTGTTGGTTCATTTCACTGTACAGCATGGATTAGTTTTCTATTGCAGCATAACAATTTACTATAAATATAGTGGTGTGAAACAACGCCCACTTATTATCTCTTAAATTTCTGTGAGCCAGACATCTGGGGACAGTGTGGCTGGATTCTCTTGCTTATGGTCTCAAGGCTGATATCAGCTATCCTATGTTCCTTATCTGTAGGCTGTGGGTGAACATTTACTTCCAAATTTATTGTTATTGGTAGCAGAATTTAGTTCCTTGCAATTGTAGAACCAAGATCCTGATTTTTTTTATGGGCTGTCATCTCCATAAGGTTGCCCACATTCTTTGACATGTGGCACCCTCCATCTTTAAGTCAGCAGTGGCAAGTAGAATCCTTCTTGTGCTTTTAATCTCTGACTTCCTTATCTCCAACCAGCCAAAGAAATCTCTGCCTTTCACAAGCTCATTTGATTGGGTCAGGCCCACCAGGATAACCTCGCTGTCTTTAGGTCAACAATGCTATATAACGTAACTTAATTTTGGGAGTAAAATCTGTCAAATTCACAGTCCCAAGGTTGTAGGATGTGTACATCAGGGACGGGTAACCTTAGGATCATTTTATTAGACACACACCTGCCAGTGTTTGTCTTCTGAATAATTAACCCAGCTACCATAATTCTGACAGTGGGAGCTGACAGTGGGAATGGGGCTGAGGATTTCACTACTTATCATGTAAACTTTCACTTAATGCTTTTATGTAGTACTTCATGTCATCCTCCTGTATACCTGATGTCTCCTAGTCCAGGGCCTTTCTAGTTTGGTTTCTTTAGAGAATAATCACCTGGCTGTTTAGTTTGGCAATGAAAACTTGTGTCTGATTACTCCTCACAAGTGTTCAGCTGGTCTCCCTTTTTTCTAACCAAAGCCTCACCCCTGTATCTGGTACATCTCATACCTGACTCCTGTTGGGCTAATGGTCTGTTTCTCTTTTGATAGTGGTGTTTCAGTTTATTCTGTTCTATAAGTTAGTTAGTTCTCTGGTTTACTTTGTCTTTATACATTTTAGCTTATATATTCAGCTTATATACAGATTTTTCCTAGTTTTACCATAGATGGAATTTCTCTTGCATTTTAGCCCTCTGAGTAAGTTCTGAGAGGAACATAATTACGCATTCAATTATCTTAAAATCAGATAATATTTAATAAGTTTAATAGTGTTAGTAATATTAATAATTTTATTATAAAATAATAATATAAATAATATTTTAATGTGCCCTCTATCTGAATTTCTATGGTTTTGTTGTTCAATTGATTAAATGAGAGCATTTGGAAATAATAATCTGGTCATTTTGTTCTTTTTTTTTTTTTCCTTTGGAGAGAGTCTCATTTTGTCGCCCAGCCTGGAGTGCAGTGGCACAATCTTGGCTCACTGCAACCTTCACCTCCCGGGTTCAAGTGATTCTCCTGCCTCAGCCTCCCAAGTAGCTGGGACTATAGGCGCATGCCACCATGTCCAGCTAATTTTGTGTATTTTTAGTAGAGACGGGGTTTCACCATGTTGCCCAGGCTGATCTCCAACTCCTGAGCTCAGGAAATCCACCCGCCAAGTAGTAGGATTACAGGCGTAAGCCACCACACCCAGCTCTTTTCTGTTTTTCGATCTTCACTTTAATATTCAATAGCTGGATAAGACCAGAAAAAAAAGAATCACCATAATTCAGGGTAGCTAGAATAAATTAATTTTTGATTACTGCTAATTAATTTGAAAGGTTACCATCTATGTCTTTGGTTTCTTCCTAGTTACATTTATTAAAATAGTTATCTTTACTTATGAAGATACAAGAAGTTCATAAAGATTTAAAGTGAGATTTTTTTAAAACAGTGGTTAGTTTTTACTGAGCCAGATCTGTCCTCTTGCCTAGTTGCTGTTGCTATCACTGACAAATATTTGTTATATAGTGATCTCAGATGGCTGAAAAATTGGAGCTAATTTTTTTCATGTGGAAATTCTTCTGTGATGTTGATCTCAATAGTGCCTTCATATATTTAACCGAAAGATGATCTATTAAATATTGTAGTAGATTCAGAATATAGTATGACTTTTAATATTAGTGACATAAATTATACAGTAGGTATCAGTCTTATCAGACCAAGACAGTTTTTATTCTTTATACATCTTAACTGTAGCAGATATGAAATTTGACTACTCTGAACATTTTTTTATGGCTATAATCATAAAGGCTTCTTGGCAGATTTATTTTTGGTTTTGTGAGATATAACATTTGCTATGTTAGTTTTTTTATTAAAGAAAAGCATAAAAATATATCTAAAAGTACTAATCTAAAAATCATTCAGGACGGCAACAGAAAAAAAATATTTTAAAGGCAGAGATGGTTAATAACCACCTGTATGAAACCTAATTGTTGCTTTTGCAGATATCGCTATAAAGCATGCTTACCCCTAACCTTTTTATTCTAACTCGGTGCTTAATCTAGGCTGCCTATTTTATTATAAAGTGCACTGTAAAAGTATACACTTTCAAAACTTTAAACATGAAACTTATGTGATATTATTGAACACCTTTCACTGTTACATACTTATCTGTGCAGATATATTTATTACCAAGTGAGTGGTCCTTTTTGTTTCTTAGTTAACTAGTTTGTTGTAAAACCTATAATAGCCTTTCTTTAATGTGCATTGGAATCATATGGGGATCTTTTTTAAAATGCAGGTTTTGGATCAGTACATCGTAGGGCCTGAGATTCTGCATTTCTGACAAGCTCCCAAGCGATAGCAGTGCTTCTATTCAGTGGACCACATGTTGGATAGCAGGGTTCTGTAATATCCATCATAACATTAGAGGTAAAGGTTTTTAATCCTAGCTGTTTATCAGAATTGCCTTAGAGCCTTTAAAATATGTAGGTGCCAGGCCCTGCTTTCTACTTACTGAATTGGATCCCCAGATGTAGAAAACCTCAGCATCTATATATTTGAAAACCACTACAGGGGGCTGGATCACACGTGTAAACCTAGCCCTTTGGGAGGCCAAGGCATGTGGATCACTTAAACTAGGAGTTCAAGACCAGCTTGGGCAACATAGTGAGACCCTGTCTCTAACAAAAAAAAAAAAAAAAGCAATTAGCCAGGCATGGTGACATGCGCCTGTGGTCGCAGGTGCTTAAGAGGCCAAAGTGGGGGATCACTTGAGCCCGGGAGGTCGAGGCTGCAGTGAACCATGATCATGCCACTGTACTTCAGCTTGGGCAACCAGGTGAGATCCTATCTTAAAACAAAAACAAAAACAAAAACAAAACAAAAAAGCACCACAAGTGATGCTGATGGGCAGCTTGGATTAAGCACCACTGAATTAAAATAATAAAGGTTAGGGGTAAGAATGCTGCATGCTTTATAGGGATATCTGAAAGAGCAACAGTTAGGTTTCATATAGATGGTTACTAACCATCTCTGCTTTTGAATTTTTTTTTTAATTTTGCAGTTCTGAATGGTTTTCAGATTAGTACTTTCAGATGATTTTAAGTATATGTGATAAGTTGTAGACATAACTCATTTATAGCTTATCTTTTATATATAGTCTAGAATGCCTTTTTAGGCCATATTTTGTTCACAGATGATAGCCCAGTAAACATTCTTAAGCAAAAATAGACATTGGCCCGATGAAGTAGTTTACACCTGTAATTGGGAGCACTTTGGGAGGCTGAAGTGGGAGGATCACTTGAGACTAGGAGATCTAAACTACCCTACACAACATAAATGAGACTCTACCTCTACAAGAAAGTTTAAAAATTAGCTGGGTGTCCTGCTGCGGTGGCTCACACCTATAATCCCAGTACTTTGGCATGCTGAGGCCGGAGGATTCCTTATGCCCAGGAGTTCGAGACCAGCCTGGGCAATGTAGTGGGACCCTGATTCCTCCAAAAAGTAAAATAATTAGCCAAGCATGGTAGTGCACACCTGTAGTCCCAGCTACTTGGGAGCCTGAGGCAGGAAGATTTTGAACCCAGGACGCTGAGGCTGCAGTAAACTGTAATCGTGGCATGCACCCAGCCTGGGTAACAGAGCAAGACCCTGTCTAAAAAAAAAAAAAAAGAGAGAGAGAAAAATCAGCCTAGTGTGGTGGTGTGAGCCTATAATTCCAGCTACTGGGAGGCTGAGTTGGGCGGATCACTTGAGCCCAAGAGTTCATGACTGCAGTGAGCTATGATCATGCCACCGTACTCCAGCTTGGGTGACAGAATAAGACCCTGTCTCGAAAAGAAATATATATAAATTAAAAAAAATAAAATGTAGACATTTCCCAAATCATAGAGATGGTGCTAGCTTCTGGCACTACTGGCGTCAATGAGTTAAAAATAATTTTATCAGGACTCTGTCCCCTTCTCTTTCTGTGTCTCTGTTCTCCTCTATGTTGACTTTATTTTGGGCAGTCTTTTTCTGTATGTGGTGACAAAAGTGGCTAAATAGCTTATGACTCACATCTTACCAATTTAGCAACCTTTGAATATACGTTCTTTCAGAGATATGACAGAGTCTAATTGTCCCATCATAGGCCAAAGACCCGTTTCTGGCACCAGAGGGTCACAGGATCAAGTACCTATGAACCACATGGAATGAATAAGATTATTAGAAAACTGGAGAAGAGTGATTTCTCAAAAGATGCTGGGCAGCCAATATATATGTCTACTCTACCATTTGGAGGTTATTTGTTAACATACACAGTATAGCTTTAAGTAACTTGAATTTTGCTTTGTTTCTCCTTTTGGGTGTGTCCATATTGGTGTGAAAATAATATAATAGGAATAGGAAAATTGTCCACGGCTGATGGTAAAGCCTTTGCAGATCCTGAAGTACTTCGGAGGTTGACATCGTCTGTTAGTTGTGCGTTGGATGAAGCTGCTGCTGCACTTACCCGTATGAGAGCTGAAAGCACAGCAAATGCAGGGCAGTCGGACAAGTAAGTACATTTTTGCTGCCATCAGTATGAAATCATTTTCTTAAAAATAATAACAAATAGCTAACATTTACTGAGCATTTATTTTGTGCCTGGCTGGCACTGTGCTAACCACTTAACATGTGATGTCTTATTTAGATTCACAAAAACTTTATAAGGTATAGATTTTGTTTTTACTCCCATTTTACAGATGAAAAGTTAAAGAGAGATGAGTAACTTAATCAAGATCAAATAGATAATAAGTGGCAGAGCACCAGTGTCTTTCCGACTGCAAGGCTGATGGCCTAGTCAATATGTTATAAAAGACTTTTTGCTTATTTAGATTTTTTTTAAAAATGTATTGGTGACAAAGAAGTAAATGTTTTACAATTAGGCCATTTTACAGTTCATTTGCGTAGTTCTGACCATTTTAAAGAGTAAGGCTTTTTATTTATTTATTTGCTTTCTGAAGTCTTAAAAGAAGTTATAGATCTAGTTCCTATAACTTGAATGTGAGTCCAGGGACTTTATTTTTTTATATCCTATAATTCCTTGTATATAGATAGCACTTTACAGTTAGTAAGGACTCAGTAAATGTTTTGTGACATGGCATTTTAAGCTGTTCTGATGATGTTATCCAATAAAAATCACACCATCTCATATATAAACACAATTATGGATGTATATTGAAAAATGGAAGCCAGGCATGGTAGCTCACGCCTGTAATCTCAGCACTTTGGAGGCCGAGGCGGGCGGATCACCTGAGGTCAGGAGTTCAAGACCAGCCTGAGCAACATGGAGAAACCCTGTCTCTACTAAGAACACAAAAATTAGCCGGGTGTGGTGGCGCACGCCTGCAATCCCCGCTACTCGGGAGGCTGAGGCGGGAGAATCGCTTGAACCTGGGAGGCAGAGGTTGCAGTGAGCCGAGATTGCGCCATTGCACTTTAGCCTGGGCAACAAGAGCGAAACTCCATCTCAAAAAAAAAAAAAAAAAAAAAAAAAGTGATAAGAAAAATGGATAGATACTTCAAGGAAGCAACTAGAAAAGAATCATTAATACATGTTACCATTTTCAACCGTTGGTGGCTTCTTTTTGCCTCCTCTAATAAAATGAAGCCATTTTATTTATTTTAGCAATTGCCTTAAAACAATTGAGAACATCTGAATATTCTATTTGGGTTTAGAGAGTAAATTATAGCATTTAAGAATTCTTTGTTGTCTAATGGTGTTTTCATACAACATTTTTAAGAGCATAAAAGAGAGGTTAGATAGTATTAACAAGGTCATGAATTTGCTGTTTCTCTTGGCTCTTTATTAGTGTTCATTCATCTAGATTTTTGTGTTTGTATTAACTTGCTTTACCATTCTTCTCATAGGTTGACTGACTCCCTTCTTTAGTTAACCTCGGTTTCTATTCCATAGTAAATGTTCAGTTTTACTAGCCTACAATATCATTGGTAATCTCCAAATATTTTTTAATGTGGTGCCTACTAAGATTGGCAAGAGAAAGAATTAAAACACCTTGAAGGGTATACTAAAACCAGTTCAAGCAGGAAATAGAATAGAAAAATAAAGTCACAAATGATTTTGCATTGAAAATACTGGAATTTAACAGCAAAAAAAATAGAACATATTTGTGAGAATTATATTTATTCAACAAAGTTTGAGAAAGATGGTGGACTTAAGTGCAGTGAGTACTATGTGCCACATTTTTATATTAGTTAAGGACAGTGCCATGTGCCAGGCTTAATATGCCCTTCGCCCACAAGTTCTTAAGTTCAGCTGTTGCTAGAGTAGATCCTGTAAGGTTGTTTTCAAGCTGGTATACACACATGGAAATTGAATGAAAAATTCAAATGATAATGTAAATTAGGGTATATGCATAAAGAAGTGAAAGAGACAGAGAGAGACTACTTTGAAAGAGAGAAAAGGTATGCTCTTATACAGGAAATGTCTTATGGGAAGGATTTGTTCTAAACATGCTTAAAAATGATAGCATTGAGTCTAGGGACTGTCAGTGTCCTGTGAAATGGGAAATCAGAAGAGATGTTTAAAAGACAAATTTATTTAGTACTGGTCGAGACTTTCACTTTGGTAAGGGGACAATACAATTAACATGTAAATAAAATATATAGTATTGCACATAATAATATAACTATGGGAAAAATTGAAAGGGAAGTGCTAAGACAGTGTTTGGGTTGGAGGTCATCTTGGTTCATTTTCTGTTGCGTGTAACAGGATTCCTGAAACTGGGCAAGAAAAGGAATTTATTTCTTACAATTATGGAGGCTGAGAAGTCCATGGTCAAGGGGCTGCATCTGGTGAGAGCCTTCTTGCTGGCAGGGACTCTGTGCAGAGCCCTGAGGCAGCACAGGCCATCACATGGCAAGTAGGCTAAGTGTGCTAGTTCAGGTTTCTCTTCCTTTTATAAAGCCTACCCAGTCTCACTCCATGATAAGTAATAGTTCATTTACCCATTAATCCATTAATTCATGAATGGATTAACCGATTCATGAAGACAAAGCCCCCATGACTCAGTCACCTCTTAAAGGCCTTACCTATCAGTATTGCCACATTTGGGGTTAAATTTCACATGAGTTTTGGAGAGGACAAATATGCAAACCATAGCAGAGGTCATATTACATTTTTTAATAGCGTGGTCAGAGAAGTCCTCACTTAAAATGGTGGCTTTCTAGGAAAGACCTGAAATAGGGAAGGGAGTGAGCCATGTCTGAGAGAGGAGCTGTCTTGGCACAGGAACAGCAAATGCAAATATTTGGAGGTTGGAGCTTATTTAGCATATTTGATGAACAGCAAGAAGACCAATGTGGCCAAAGTGGAAGGAATAAGGGTGAGAGGGTAGGAGATAAAGCCAGAGAAGTAAAAGGGAAGAGGAATATGGTATCCTGCCACTAGGCAGATCTTGTAAGGATTTCAGCTTTTACTGTGAGTGAGATTATAGGCCAGTGGAGGGTTCTGAGTAGAGGAATGACATGTTCTACTTTTCTTTCTTTCTTTCTCTCTCTTTCTTTCTTTCTTTCTTTCTTTCTTTCTTTCTTTTTCTTCCTTTCTTTCTTTCTCCTTCTTTCTTTCTCTCCTTCTTTCCTTCCTTTCTTTCCTTCAAGATGGAGTCTCACTCTGTCACACAGACTGGAGTGCAGTGGTGTGATCCTGGCTCACTGCAACCTCCACCTCCTGGGTTCAAGTGATTCTCCTGCCTCAGCCTCCCAAGTAGCTGGGACTATAGGCCACGCTGCCATGCCCGGCTAATTTTTTTTTGTATTTTTAGTAGAGACAGGGTTTCACCGTGTTAGCCAGGATGGTCTCGATCTCCTGACCTCATGATCCGCCCGCCTCGGCCTCCCAAAGTGCTGGGATTACAGGCGTGAGCCACTGTGCCCGGCGGACGTGTTCTACTTTTCTTTTAAAAAGATCTCTCTGGTTGCCTTGTTGAAAAGAGCCTGAAGGAGAGCAAGTAGTGTGAAGGCAAGGAGACTGGTTAGGAGGCTTTGCCATATCTGAGACAAAGATGTTGGTCTTAAATCTGGCTGATGGTAATAACAGGGCTATAGAAAAGTGATTATCTGTAGGTGCCTTTAGTATCTGAAATGAAAGGGCCATATTTTAAGAGGATAATAAAATAATTGAGTTATATTTGAAATAAAAAGAATATTAATAGCCCTGGATTTAGTTTTAGGATTATTTTATACGAAAGTGAGAATCTTTAGAAATGTCTACAATTGGAATTGTTTTGGGAAGTTTATGGGGCATACACTTTTCTCTCAGTTTAATTTTTTGTTACTCCACTTTTTCCACTCTCATTTTGCTTGAGTTTAGCTTTTTCTTTGCCTGGATTTGAAACTTCCCCCCAAATTTGATTGTATAAGTAAATACTTTCAAAACCAAAACCAAAAAAGGCTCATCAGTTATTCATTTATTAATATTACATTCTCCCATCTTTTCCGTCTGATTTCCCTTTACTTGATGGAAGGACTCACATAGATCTTTATAATTAGTGGAAGTTTTGCACATTTTATACTTTTTAATTAAATTTTATAAAAAATTTTCTACTGACCGAACAAAAGAAGTATAATTATGACCTGTTATTTGTATGTGATTTCTATAAACTTTTATGTTTTAAAATTTTATGTTCTTTCTCCACTTACCAGTAAATTAGACTTTATCCTTCAGTTGCATAACTGAAAACATTTTGGAATATTGATAATTTTAATTCAGTGCCATTAATATGTAGATTGTAAAAAACTCAATGAATTCAATCATTTTTGCCTTTTTGTTATGAATCATATTGAAATAATCATCCTTGTTGAGCACTAATGTTAGCATTAGTCTGTTCTCACTCTGCTATAAAGAACTACCTGAGACTGGATAATTTATGAAGAAAAGAGGTTTAATTGACTCACAGTTCCACAGGCTGTACAGGAAGCATAGCGAGGAGGTCTCAGAAAACTTACAATCATGGTGGAAGGCAAAGGGGAAGCAAGCATGTCTTACCATGGCACAGCAGGAGAGAGAGAGGGGAAGCAAGCATGTCTTACCATGGCGCAGTAGGAGAGAGAGAGAGAGCAAAGTGGGTAGTGCTACACACTTTTAAACAAACAGATATCATGAGAACTCACTCATTATCATGAGAACAGCAAGGGAGAAATCCACCCCCATGATCTAATCATCTCCCACCAGGTCCCTTCCCCAACACCGGTGATTACAATTTAACATGAGATTTGGGTGGGGACACAGAGCCAAACCATATTAACTGTCAAGATTTGACATAAAAATCCAATACTCTGGCTGGGTGTGGTTGTTCACATCTGTAATCCTAGTGCTTTGAGAGTCTGAAGCAGGAGGATTGCTTGAGGCCAGGAGTTTAAGGCTGCAGTGAGCTGATTGCATCACTGTACCCCCTCCTGGGTGACAGAGCAAGACTCCGTTTCTAAACAACAAAAAACAAAACAATCAAAAACAATATTTATGCTGTGCAATTTTTTAATATTCTTATATTCTGGTATTGTGATATTCTTTCCGTAATAGCCGCAGTTTGGCAGAAGCCTGTTCAGAAGGAGATGTAAATGCTGTGCGAAAGTTACTCATTGAAGGGCGAAGTGTAAATGAACACACAGAGGAAGGGGAGAGCCTCCTTTGTTTAGCTTGTTCTGCTGGATACTATGAGCTTGCACAGGTTCGTATTATCAAAATAAAGCTTATTTGTTGTTTTTTTAAAAACTGGCTTGCTTACTAAGGAAATAATAAAATAAATCCTTCCAACCATTAGGATTATTTCAACAAATAGTTTTGTTAGATAAATTTTGTGTGCTTATAGCTCTTTTACTATGACTAGGTAGACGTTATATAAATACGTGTTCAAAATTTTTTGACGATTATTTCCTAATATCTTTTTAAACTATTTTTCTCTCATAAGGTTTTGTTGGCAATGCATGCAAATGTGGAAGATAGGGGAATCAAAGGTGACATTACACCTTTAATGGCTGCTGCTAATGGAGGACATGTCAAAATTGTGAAGTTGCTGCTAGCTCATAAAGCAGATGTTAATGCACAGTCTTCAACAGGTCATGCCTATTTCTTTTTCAGTTTTACTACATAGTAACATCATTTGGTAATAATGATTTTGCATGAAAGTGATGTTTAGTGCTAATTTTTCAGTTCTCTTATTAGAAGTGCTACATATTCTCACACATCTGTGTATGAGTTTTGAAGTATATAGAATATATTTCAAATGATATTCTTCCTGTTTTGTTTATGAGGGCAATTGGCCTTTTAAGATTCTTTAAGATAAAAGTAAAACACTGACCCAGTTAGATGGACCACTCTCTTGGAAATTGAGAGGTGTGGGCCGTAGTGCTCAAATCCATGTTTCCAGTTTTTTAGGAGAGGAATGGGAAGATAGGGAGACCAAACAATTGTGGAACAAAAGGATAGTTCATTGTTTCCTACTGTTACTAAATTGTGGCCCACAGAAAAAAATATTGTGAAAACATTGTGTCCTGAAGAAGAGCATAACTTTAGTCTAAAATATATATTTTTTTCAAATTTGGGCCTAGATAGATTTGTGTAAAAATTCTAAAATTTCATGGAAATATTTTGTGCATTTCCTTCATTCAGATTTTTCAAATTTATTAAATTTTTTTTTTTTTTTTTTGAGACGGAGTCTCGCTCTGTCACCCAGGCTGGAGTGCAGTGGCGGGATCTCGGCTCACTGCAAGCTCCGCCTCCCGGGTTCACGCCATTCTCCTGCCTCAGCCTCCCAAGTAGCTGGGACTACAGGCGCCTGCCACTATGCCCGGCTAATTTTTTGTATTTTTAGTAGAGACGGGGTTTCACCGTTTTAGCCGGGATGGTCTCGATCTCCTGACCTCGTGATCCGCCCGCCTCGGCCTCCCAAAGTGCTGGGATTACAGGCGTGAGCCACCGCGCCCGGCCCGTTATTAAATGTTTTTTAAGGTCATGTTCTGATTTGAAGGGATTTTTAGAAATTCTTATTTTACCCAGAAGGTTGATTTTTCTTGTAACATGGGAAATTTTTATCAGCAGAAAAGAATGTTTTAGAAATTATTGAATTCAAATTCAAATTTAGAAATTTGAATTTGATCAGTTAACTGGTATTTGAAGTTGTAATGAAAACATATATGATTAAAAGGTATAGTATAAAGTATGTATATGATGAGTAATTTTAGGTTAGAAACATTAAAATTAAAAAAAAGCTTGTGAAGCATTTCTCTGATAAACATTAAAACAACTTTTTTCTCATCTTAAGGTAAAACTTAGCTCTGGGGCAGAGTTGCCCAGTTCTTTTACAACTCCCCAGTCTGGATAAGTGTATATGATTTTCCACATGTATTTGACTTTGGTTTTAAATGGAAAAGGAGAATAGGGAGTTGATTTCAGAAAGATAAAATGCAGTAGGAAAGGAATTTTATATATAGATATATATTTACATATATGTATATGTAATTTAATATTTATTATGGTTGTAGTCTTCTGTTTCCATTTTCTTAATGTAAATTAGCACTTTAATTTATTTTGGTATTTTATGTTAATGTCTTTTTATTTTTCCTAATTAAAATAGGCAATACAGCACTTACATATGCTTGTGCTGGAGGCTATGTAGATGTTGTAAAGGTGCTCTTGGAATCCGGTGCTAGTATTGAGGACCATAATGAAAATGGTCATACCCCTCTTATGGAAGCTGGAAGTGCTGGACATGTGGAAGTAGCCAGATTGCTGCTAGAAAATGGGGCTGGCATTAATACGCATTCTAATGAATTTAAAGAGAGTGCCCTTACCTTAGCTTGTTACAAAGGTACAGTATAAACCTTTCTTAAAACAAAGTTTTTAAATATGTGAAATTATAATTATTTTATGTAATCTTGTTTCTAAGTTAAAAAATAAAACAATGATAGTATATAGTATGTAATTAAAGGTTAAATAAGTGTTTGCAGTGTTGCAGTTTGTTTACTATTTAAATTTTTAAAATATAGATTTAACTATAAATATTGTCACTGAAAAATGAGTATTAATTGATCTAATTGTTTTATCAGAAACAGTTCTTTTAATATGAACTGTATAATAGCTTTGCATGTTGGGAAGATTTTGCTTGGTATGAAGGGGTACATGGTATTTTAAATGATGTCAATGAACCTGAAAATATTGATAGTACAGAAAATGCCCTCCTTTGGCAGACCGGACAATTGCCTAGAAAGATATTTTGTCTGTAGATAATTAATGTTCTATATTCTAGATTGTTAAAACACAGCCACAGAGCTGAACATTTTTTAGACTCCACATGTATGACAGATAAATGGCTGTAAAGTAAGGTGTTTTACTTTTTAAGAAAGTAAATTAAGAAAATTTTTTATTAAGGAAGTTTTTTATTAAAAAAAGTCATACAATTTTGTGTTTAGCCACTCATTTCTGTGTTTTATGTCATCTGTCTATATAGTTGTCCCATATTATTTACGTCATAAATTCTTGACCCCTAGGCATCAAGAAAAAGCTTTTGCAAAACCTAGTAAAAAATTTAAGGAGGCACTCATTCTCAGTGACTAACCTTTCACTTGCACAAGCTTACATGTGAGTGGCTCCTTAAATTTTGCACCCAGCACTTTGATTTCCTCACCCTAGTTCTGGCCCTGGTGTTGTTTTGTTCTATATAAGAGTAGCCAAGGTTGTATGATGCCTTTTGGAATAATTTCATTTATAAACATGAAAATAATCCTTATATATTTGGATTAATTGACTAAAATTTAACTTAAATTTGAAAAATATGGTTTATTTATAAAGTGCTTTTGATTATCTGATGTTAATAGATTTTCAGATAGGGAGCACAGCTGAGGTCCCTTAGTTCCCTTCCCCAATCCTGTTTATAATTAGGCAGAGGCTGATCTTCACTGGGAGGAGAGGAGGTAAGCCTTGGAGTGGGTTGATTGGGTGGCTCTCTCCCCTTCTCACAAATACTTTTGAACCCAGTACTGGCTGCATTTCACTACTGAGTCCCTGCTGGCTAGAGAGCTTTGAGATGGGGCTGCTTGTAACTACTCTGCCCTCTCGCCTTTGCTTGTAGCCCCACCCTGCTATCCAAAAGGGGGATCTGAGGTTGGGGCTTGCAGGCTTTAATTAGAAGCTGGATAGCAAACTGAGCTGGTGGAGAACATCTCTGCTACTTCCAGGTATCCATGGACCCCCTTCCCTTCCTCTCCTTCTGGTGAGGTTTTGTAGGATATAGACTGACAAGGAGGAGTTAGGGAAGAGAGACAAGTCAGGCTGAGACTGAGCACTAATGTGGATTTTGGGGAGGGGAGAATGACAGAGAGGAAAAGGGATGGTAGGTAGTTGACAAATATAAGACGCGGCAGATACTACACTTACTTATGGAAGTAAATTTTGTTTAATTGTTTACCTGTGACTCCACTATCTGTCCTTCTCCCGCCTCCCAGTTGAATAAGAATTGATTGTAGCTCATTCCAAATAAAGCTGGAAAAAATTAAATAATTTTTCTATTGTTTTTTGCATAGGATCTGAAGTCTTTTTTAAATTATAATTTGTCGTCTGCTTTTTAACCACTTGTATCTTTAAATGAACTGAAGCATATGGTTTATTTGAAACTGCATTAATGTGTGTACATGTTTATATTATAATTAAATATATAAATATAAATTAAATGGTGTGGTTTGAAGAATATTTTTATACATACAGTTCCCAGTTTATAAGCAGGTTTTTCCTAAAGTGTTTCTGAGTTAGGTATTGGAACTTTAAATACATTTTCTCACAGAAATAACTTGACTGATCATTATCTCAGGCTACTAGTTCATGAAAACTGATTTATTCCGTAGCATATATAACATAACTATATAACATGCCTGGGCTCTTAAAAGGTTGTAGAGGGAACATTTTGGGTGTTGGATTTTAATGGCATCTTTGTTCACCTCTAGCAGGGACTCTAGAAGCAGCAGTTTATAGGGCAGTAGGGTAAGGGGTAGAACAGCAAGATCACTTGTATAATTTGTGTTCTACAATTGAGGGTGGCTTCTAGTTGACTTTATTATGCTTATAAATTTAATGCTGTAAGTTAAATATAACTTTTCAAAATATTATAATTTTAAAAAATATTTTGGAATAATAAAATATTTTCAAGTAATCTTGTACACTTTTGGTTTAGGACACTTAGAGATGGTGCGATTTCTTTTGGAAGCAGGCGCGGATCAAGAGCATAAAACAGATGAAATGCACACTGCTCTGATGGAGGCTTGCATGGTAAGATTGGTGAAATATGTCAAATATGTTTATATATTAACCAGGGAGAGACAGAGTAGTATACAATGAATGCCTTTCCAATGGGTGCTATGATTCTGTTTGTCAGAACCTTATTGAATCAGTTGTACAACATTAACTTCTATTAAAGTTACTTTCTGAAGCTTTACAATGCTACCTGCATTTTCTTAGTCTCATATAACTATACCAAAGTCACTCTTGTAAAGATTGGTTGAGGATATGAAATAGGAAAATATGGCCAGGCATGGTGGCTTATGACTGTAATCTCGGCATTTTGGGAGACCAAGGTGGGAGGATTGGATTAACAAATTAAAATGGATGCCAGCAGTTCAAGACCAGCCTGGCCAACATACCAAGACCCCCTCTCTATTTAAAAAAATGTTAAAAAAAGAAAAAAGGAAATATAATTCAGAGTATGTACATTATTAATAAGCATAACATACCTCAAACCAATAAATTGACTAAACAAAAATTTAAAAGTAGGGCCTAATTTATGTTACATAATTTCCCCTCTCTCGAGGTCTTTTCTGAGCCCTAGATTGTCTTTTGAAGAGCTGCATTTTAGAGTTTGTATTCGGGAATGGCTCATAACAGTACTCTTAAACCTTTGTATCTTTGTTTATTTATGACACAGAAATGGGCCAAAATATCATAGAAAAATTTATGAGGAGAACAGGCCAGCGGTAGAAAGGGCCCCCAAAGAATCTGAAGTTTCTTGTCTCATCTTCCCTTCAGAGAGTAATTATTGAAAGGATGTTAAATTTTATTTACTATTTTTTAAAATATGAGGTAGCCATTTAAGACTTGAGTTATCTGTTGTTTTCCTTATTGCCATCTTAGTGTTTGCTTTAGCAAATTATTTTTTTTTAACAAATAAAAGTTTTTCTAAGCTTTTGAGTTCTTCATCTGTAAAATGAGGAAAATATCTTTCTCTGGAGTTGTGAGGATTAAATGAGATAATGGGCATAAAACACATTAATAGTATTAACAGTAACAGTTTTAAAAGTTCCCCATGATAAGGAAATTTAAACATTCTTGCCACCCCCTACTGAGGAAATGGCCTGTGTGTAGATTAAGAAATTAAAATGGAATAATCTGTAGGTCTAGCCAACATGCACTGGAAGTAAATATTATAAGTGAAAGATATTAGTAGGGGCCAGACATTTGAAAGACTTGCTATAATACTGAGTTTTTAAACTAGGATTTAAAGGAAATGTGGGAGTTCGCTATCGAGGAAGAAGATTCAGCACTGAAGAAATAGCAAAGTAATCAAACTAATAAGACATTAGAGTCTTCTCTACAAATTGAAATAGAAAAAAAAGTAGTAAGCCATTAAAATTGTGTAATGTGACAAGCATAGAGGCAAAAATAGGCATGGCATGTTTGAAAGAATATGTCTGGGAGATAACATATAGATGGAAAAAAATTACTGAAGGACAAAAAGAAGGGAAAAGAGGGCCTTGAAGTTGCCAGTAATTAGGAAAGCAGTGGGAAAAAGTGACCAGAAGACAGAATATAGAATTTTCTTTTCTTTTTTAATTCATTTTTGAGACAGGGTCTCACTCTGTTCCCAGGCTGGAGTGCAGTCGCATGATCATAGCTCACTATAGCCTCAACTTCCTGAGCTCAAATGATCCTCCCTCCTCAGCCTCTTGAGTAGCTGGGACGAAGTGCACACCACCACGCCTGGCTAATTTTTGTATTTTTTGTAGAAATGGGATCTCACCATTTTGCCCAGGCCTGGCTCAAACTCCTGGGCTCAAGCAATCCTCTCTCCTCAGCCACCCAAAGTCCTGAGATTACAGGCGTGAGCCACCACACCTGGCCCTTTTCTTAATTTCACTGGTACTTGGACGATGAACAATATAGAAAGTACCATGTACGCATTTGTGTTCCCCTAACACAGCATGTATCCTTCCCCCACTTCTCCAAAAAGGGTTCCATTTTTTTCTAACTAATCAAAAGTTTGCTTATCCTTAAAGATTCTTATGAAAATTCTTCTTTTCCTCTCTAAACTTTATCCTTTTAACATTTAAGTTTGTACCATATAGTGTTGATGTCTCACTATAGTCTCTTATTTCACATACTTACTGTTTTTTTTTCTAATGGTTAATAAGCTTCTTGATTGAAGGTATCATGTTTCTACTTATTTTATATTTTCAATCTCTATTTCCCTCTTCTATGTTAACAGAATATAGGCAGTGCATAATAAATACTGATTTACTCAACTGTTAAATGTAGCTCTATTCCTTTTTGAGTGGAGATAGATAAACTTCATTGTATAGTAATTGAGAAGTCTTCAAATTTTTCAAGATTTTTTTAATGGTGCTGATTTAATTTTTTAAATTGTATTATCATTAGGATGGCCATGTTGAAGTAGCTAGGTTACTTCTTGACAGCGGTGCCCAAGTGAACATGCCTGCTGATTCATTTGAGTCACCATTAACTTTGGCTGCATGTGGTGGGCATGTGGAACTTGCGGCTTTACTTATTGAAAGAGGAGCTAGCCTGGAAGAGGTCAATGATGAAGGTTATACACCATTGATGGAAGCAGCTCGAGAAGGACATGAAGAAATGGTGGCATTACTTCTTGGTCAAGGTAACCGTATCTATCAAGACACTAAAGTATAAATGTGTAAAACCTAAGAGTATAATTTTATAAAATTGGATTTTAGTATTTCACCTTTCTAGTAGAGTTGCAATGAGCTATTACACAAACCAGTGATAAAGTATTTACTGTGAAAATGGCTCCCATACTGTGTTAAAACAAAATCAAAGAAACTTCTTTCATATAGAGCTTTCAGAGACATCATGTGCTATATGTGAACGAAAAACAGAACTGGTGTTGGCAAGGCTTGTGAGTTAAATAGGGGAATATAAGAGCCAACATTTCTAAAGGTAATAGATCAAGAGAATGTATTCCTTTGGGGGCGGAATACCTACTAATAAGTATTTAATAGATCTAATGTTTTAAAAAACAGTATGGGAAACCACGCAGTAAAGACTAACTTGCTGAGAGTGCAAGAATGCGCACATATTAGAAGCTGCCAAGGGGCTCAGTACATAAACTTCTTTTTTGGGAAAAGTGAAACAATTACTTCAATATGTTAAGATATCTTCAGTTTAGAAGTAATCTCCCATCTCTGTATTTGTAGTGTGATTTTATTTTTCTTTCAGTAGTAAAGTTTTTGTCTGGACAAATTTAAGAGGAATGACACTTTTAAAAAAAACTTTTGTTTTTATTTAGAAGTAATGTTGACTATGATTTTTAAAGCGTAGGTTTTGGAGCAGACTTCTTAGGTTGAATCATAACTCCACTGCTTGCCAATTTTGTAACTTTAGGCAAGTTTCTAACCTTCTGTGCCTCAGTTTTCTCGTGTAGGGTTGTTGTGATAGTTAATACGTGTGTATAAAGCTAATAGAACAGTGCTTGTCATGTAGTGCCTGTTAAGTGCTAGCTATAGTGATGGTGGTAGTATTGATGACAATAATGTTGTGACCTTGTATAAGTTAAATAACCTCAGTTTCCTTAGCTGTAAAATGGAACTAATAATAATAATAATAATACCTAAATAAGTTGTAAAATGCTTTGATATTGCCTGGGAAATAGAGCTTATTGAATGTTAAGATTTTTATTATCATCATCATCATCATTATCACCAGTATCTTTATCATTTTTGAATCACTATAATGAGAGGATGTAGCTTATTTTTTTGAGTTCTTTTATCACCCGACTTGTACCTTCTGGCTGAGTAAATATTACTCCAGCTGTGGTACATCAAATCTGGGTGTGATTTTAATAGTTTTATTTATTTTTAGTTTTAACTGCCTTAGGAGTTAGGAGAGAGGCACTTTCTTATTTATTATAGTAATATAAATGTTCATTTTAAAGATTCAGTTTATTAAGAAACAATCATGTTTTTCATATCTCTGGAATAAGTTAATGACTTTCTTTAAATAATTAGAATCTTTATTTTAGGAGCAAATATCAATGCACAGACAGAAGAAACTCAAGAAACTGCCTTGACTCTGGCTTGCTGTGGAGGCTTTCTGGAAGTGGCAGACTTTCTAATTAAGGCAGGAGCCGATATAGAACTAGGGTGTTCTACCCCTTTAATGGAAGCTGCTCAAGAGGGTCATTTGGAGTTAGTTAAATACTTATTAGCTGCAGGTAGGCATTTTTGCATTTGGGAGAAGTTTTTTACATGATTTGTTTAAGTAAAAATGTCATAATGCAAATATTTTTATGATGCTATGATACACTGAATGTGTGAGTTTAAAAAAACGTGTGATATACCTTTGTATGTATTCTGAACAGTTTACCTTACTGCTGTTTGAAGTATCTGCAGCTTTAATTTCAACCAGTTTTGTTTGTAATTTTTTTAATGCCTACAATATTCTCTGTTTCTGGAAATGAGTGAAGTTTGAATTTGTTTAACTTGAGGAGGTATGACTTATCTAGAAGAAGTTTTTATTTTCGTCATATATGTCTTATGGCTCCTTTATTAAGTCTATGTATTATTTGTTGACTACTACAGGAGCTAACGTTCATGCAACAACAGCAACAGGGGATACAGCACTAACATATGCCTGTGAAAATGGTCATACTGATGTAGCAGATGTCTTACTTCAGGCAGGCGCAGATCTGGTAAGCTATGTTACTTTTTAAATCTTAATATTTAACAATAAGAAATTAATTTTAAATTATGGAGAGTCTAGACAAAAGGTATTTCTTTACCTTCAGTTTTATTGTTTTTTTTATTTTTATTTTTTTGCCATTCTTTCTCTCACTTAGTCACATTTTTTTCCACACTGTTTAGTGTCCATCCTTAATAGGGTTATTCACTGCATTATCCCTCATTTTCCATAGAAAAAGGAAATTTTTGTGTTACAGATATTAATGCAGACTGGTTTTCCCTTAGATATTAACTATTTTTAGAAGCTTTTCTGATTTGATATAAAAAGGCAAATGTGGCTTAGAGGAATTTCAGTATTGCTTAGGAAATAAATTATGCCTACAATATTCAGAACATTATTAAATAATAAAAGAGTTTAAAACATAAATAATAAACTTTTCCCTCAAGTACTTTATAATTTCAGAAAAAATAATAGGTGACAAATACTGAGGTTATTATAAGAGATGTTGTAGTGAAAATGCAGAGTAAAGAAGATCAGAAGGTAAAGCAGTCATCTGATGTATTATTTTGGGGATGGCTAAAGTTTAGAAAGATAGATATGGCAGTGTTGTGGCTAAAGAGATATTTCAATTGGAAAAAATGTTATGAGTGAAGCCTGAGGGGTAAGAAAGCATGAAGCAACTGTGTGTGGGTAGAATAGGTGGTCTTCCAGTCTAGCCTGCGGGGTAAAAGGAATAAGACATCCAAAGGCCCATTTTAGTTAAAATGTAAGCACCCATATATTTATGGCCCCGAGATTCTAAGATTAATAAGCAACTGTGCTCTTTCCTTCACAGTTTATGACAAATTCATGTGCAGGCAGCAACAAGCCCCCCTTCAGTAATTAATTTTATAAACTTAATAATTTATAATTTAATCTTTCTTTTGTCATTTATGAGAAGAGAATGTTGAATTAGATTATTGCTGGGGCCACTTAGTGTTAGCACTAAGTCTAACAAGGGAGACATAAGCACACAACTAACTAGAATAGAACGTATATAATAAGTGCTTCGAGCTTGTTAGACTTAGAGCTTCTTCAGTGTAAGAACTGTATTCCTAGTGTTTGCCACAATGGCTCTGAAACATACAGCAGTGAAATCTTTAGTACTTGGTTAGTTGATGGCAATTAGAAAAACCTAGGATATGGCTTAAGAGAAAAATCAGAAATTGTTCATCAGATGTGAAGGCTTTTTAAAAAAAGAAATAAAAAATGCCATACAAAAGATACTTTTTCTCAAATCTTTATTTTTTTAAGATTGAAAATTTCACCAGTAGTGTTCTTGATTACTTAGTAATCATAAGTATGCAGTAGAGTCTCCATCCTTTTGGGACCCAGAAAGCTCTTGTAACATCTTAGAGTTGATGGTTTTAGAAAAGTTTGTTATCATTTTTGTATAAGGGAAACTAGAGATAATAGGAAGTCTGTAAAGAGATGGTAATGATGTACTTACTAAAATTCATAGAGATGGGATACACTCATAAGAGGAAAATAACTTGGAGTGGATGAGGATAATGCTCATTATATTGATTGTTCGGAGAAGGCCATGCTAGAGTACCATACATGCATATTCAAGTACCGCAATTCATTGTGTAGAGAGAAGGACAAATTACTCAGATGCGTTTAGATGAGGGCATCATGATCACGTGACTATAACTTCAAATTTAAAATTATTTCCAGTGCTCACTTTGGCAGCACATATACTAAAATTATTTCCATAGAACATGTTTATGATTTGAGATTTTTTTTAAATTTAAAAGTATATTTCTTAATTTGCTTCAAAGCATTATATTTAAATATTTAGATTCAGAAATCAGTCCAATTATTTTCCTTTTGATTTCCATGAAAAAGAATACTTGTTCACTGGCAATTAAATGTCAAGTCTTTTTTTTTTTTTTTAAACAGGAACATGAATCTGAAGGTGGAAGAACTCCTTTAATGAAAGCTGCAAGAGCTGGTCATGTTTGTACTGTTCAGTTCTTAATTAGTAAAGGTAGGTTTGTATAAAACAGTTGTCTTTTTTTGAAAGGTATCTACCCCTGCCTTCATTTAGAGATTTAAGGGTAAAGGTCTTTTGAAGGCAAGAGGGTATCATATGAGGAGGGATGCTACTGACATTTAATGATTGAGTGGATAGTTGATAAACATCCTGCCATGCACAGACCAGCTTCAAACTAGAAATAATTGTCATACCAAGTAGCACACTTGTTGTGAAACGTATAAAGGAAAGGGAAATTTCTCTGTGTAAAAACTGAGGATTTAGGTAACAAACTCTGCTGTGTTCATGTACTATAGCACTTTCTTGAAACCTGGAATTTTATGATGTTTCTGCCACTAAAAAAGTTTGTGGCAAGTAACATTTCTACTATTTCCCTGCTTCTATGTTTCCTTTTTTATAAAATACAGGGAGCTGGTTATAAATATAGTACAAAAAATGTTCACAATAGAAATGTGACAAATATAGCAAATTGCATGAGGATTTTCATTCATGATCAGAAATTTTAGTTTGAATACCAAAGACCTTAATGACCAAATAAAATAAAAGGGAGTATATTATTACTTTCTTTAAATTGTTTCTTAACGTGCTTACTAGGAAAGTTCTAGTTGAGACAGTTTTCAATTCAGAGTTCATCATATTCTTAAGTATAAGAGATTACAGATTTTATTTTTGATTCTGCATTGATAAAAGAAAGAGGAAGCCAGGTGTGGTGGCTCACCCTTGTAATCTCAGCTCTTTGGGACCTCGAGTCAGGAGGGTCCTTTCAGTCTTGTAGTTCAAGACTAGCCTGGACAACACAGTGAGATTCTGTCTCTACAAAAAATTAAAAAATTAGCTGGGCATGGTGGCTTGCACCTGTAGTGCCAGCTAGTTGGGAGGCTGAGGTAGGAGAAGCACTTGGGCTCAGGAGTTCAAGATTATAGTGAGCTATGATTGTGCCACTGCACTCCAGCCAGGGTGACAGAGTGAGAACCTGTCTCAAAACAAAAAAAAGATGTAGGCCATATACAATTTTAAAAGGCAATAATATACCATTTTCTTCACATTATAATAATAGTAACGAAATCTCAAGTTTATAATTGTTTATAGGTAAAGAAAATTTGAAATAACTTACTGGCGAAATTACTTTCAACATTTTCCCATGCACTGGTGATATGCTTTAGAATACTGTTATGAATATATAGCATTATGTACATAATCGCTGTCCCCTCTCATTGGTTAATTTTAATGAGTTTGATTTCAGTTTCTTTCTGCTGTTTTATTTCCATTTCTCACATTACCTAGCACAGTAATCCAAATTAGGGATAGAGGTCAGGTGCAATGGCTCATGCCTGTAATTTCAGCATTTTGGCAGGCCAAGGTGGGAGGATCACTTGAGCCTAGGAGTTTGAGACTAGCCTAGGTAACATGCATGGCAAGACCCCATTTCTACGAAAACAACAAACGAATAAATTAGGGATACATTCCTATTTGGGAATAGGGGTGAATTATCTATTTTCCTTGTCAGGAATTTACTAATGGGAAAAAAAATGGTACTATTCTTTCTATTTAGTGTTTATTCTCTACATAAAGCCCATAGAGGGCAGTATAGTTTATTTTTATTCAGTCATCTTTTCTACTGAAGAACTTAAAATACAAATAAAACTTCATATTTTACTTTTAATACAGTTATTACATTAGGAGTAATGGGTACTTTGGTATCTTTTACTGGTGCATACTCAAACCTTTTCAAATTATATCGTGTTTGTCTGGGATTTATTTACTTTAGAATAATCCAAGATGGGAGAGGAGAATTAATGTAGGATATTTGTGAAATGAGATTGGCCTTGTGTTTATAATCATTAAAGCTCGGTAATGGGTATGTGGAGCCTCATAATACTATTTTCTCTACTCTTCATGATTTTTAAATTTACCATAATTTTAAGAAAAACCATTCTACTAATATGATTTTCCATGCCTTTTCTGTTTTAGGAGCGAATGTGAATAGAACCACAGCTAATAATGACCATACTGTACTGTCCCTGGCTTGTGCAGGGGGTCATCTGGCAGTGGTGGAACTACTTTTGGCTCATGGGGCAGATCCTACTCACCGTTTGAAAGTATGTAACTCAAATGTTTGTGCAGAATTGTGAATTAGTATTTCTCTCTTGGTCATTGTTACAACATATCATGTACAAGTTCCATTCATAATGGCATTCTAAGTGTAAATTTTCTCCTTTTTCACTTGAAGCGTTCTTTACCAAACCTATGATTTTAATGCGTCTGGGACCTGTTGGCTTTATCTTCCTAAGTGATTCTGTAAACTAACTTATTTTTCTTCACTTTTTTTCCCCTTCCATATTCACTCTTTTAGGATGGCTCAACTATGTTGATAGAAGCAGCAAAAGGTGGCCATACAAGTGTTGTTTGCTATCTCTTGGATTATCCTAATAACTTGCTTTCAGCCCCTCCACCAGATGTCACTCAGTTAACTCCCCCATCCCACGATTTAAATAGGGTAAGATTTTAAAAATTAAAGCATTTTATGGTATGTCTTCTTTATCCTAATTCTTTCACTTACAGTTTCTGTTTAAATTAGGGTTTTTTTTTGTTCTAATATGTAGTTCTGTTTGTAAATATGTACTTGATACAGTTAATGAACATCTGGTACAATATTCAGATCCTAGATGATATGATTATGCTTTAGCTTTTAAAGGTCACAACTTGAATTCAAAGCCTACTAAAAAATGTCGTGGTAAACAATTTGGTGCCAACATATTTTAAGTAAATATGTCATTGTCTAAGATGACATATTAAAAATATTGTCAAAAAATCTCTAATTTATTCTTTATTTAGAGCATATTACTTAATGGATTGTGTAGGACACTAATAGTCACTTAGTGTCCTTTGTCTTAGGCTCCTCGTGTACCAGTTCAAGCACTGCCCATGGTTGTTCCACCTCAGGAGCCTGACAAACCACCTGCCAATGTTGCCACCACTCTTCCCATCAGGAATAAAGGTCAGTTATACTTCTAAAGACTGTTTCTTACTTGGTGTCCAGGTAAAAATAAGATTACCAAAAAATAGACATTTCTACAAACAAAGAAGTTTACTAAGTTGGCATTACTAAATTTTTAACCCATGATAAAAGCATGTTATTGGGAGAAAAAAATAGTTAATAGCACTAATTTGTGCTACAATTAGAAGTTTTAGCATGAGAAATTCAGATGCTCATCTTTGATGCAGTTCTGATTATCCATGATTTCCTTTAATAGTAATTTTTATTCATGTAAAATGTTAAGCTGGGTATAGTTGAGCAATATTTTTATAAATTACTTACCTAAATCTCTGCAGTTATAAAGGCATAAATTAACAAGATGTATCAAATATTAGAAATTTATTTTAGAATGACTGGCTTAATATAGATTTTATATCTGATCTGGGATACCTTTTCTCAACCAATAATTCAGTTACTTGAGATATGCTTGTTTATTTCTCTAGAATTCTGAGGTCCATATTTGACTTGTGTATGTTACACCATGTGTGTTCTTAAGTAATGTCCCCAAACATTTTATACCTACCGGTTTGAATCAGTTTTTCTTTTTAAAAGTTTTACCTGAAGAAACAGTGCAGTTTTTATTTTTTGGTTTTTGGCTACGTATACTCTTTTATGAACAAGAATGCTAAGTATTTTCACCAGCTCTTTTCAGTCACTACTATCAACCTAGAGCCTTGGCACCTTTTTCAGTTGGTATAGCAAACAATTGATTGCTATACCTATAGCCAGATCTGTCTGTTCACCTGGCTGTCAGAAGATACAGTGGATGGCATAGTCCAGCATCTTTTCTTCCAGGGAAACTGAATCCCAATTCTCTACTGGCCAGATAGCTGTGTGAATATGTGAATTTATATCTTGCCTCTATTAGTCTTGAAGATGGTAGGCCCCAACAAAGACATATATTTTACTCAGATTTTAATTTCTTGTTACTTCTTAGTGGTTTGGGTACTTTTTGTGTGTATGTGTGTGTGTTTAAAAGGCACAGACTATGAAATGTGAAAAAACCTGACTTAGAGGTCTGTTTCCTCTTCACCCTAATAATTTAGCATTATTGTTCTGTTCTTATGATGAGTTTTAACATCTTTATGACCATATAAAATATCTACACATAGCCTTAGATGTTACTTTAATTGCACACTTAGATATCACAAACCTGCATTCCTCTATTGTCTAATTTAAGCCATGTGCTATTTTTAAGATTCTGAAATTAATTTACAAAGATTTTGCACATAAAATACATACATTTTATATTTGTGAAAAAGAAGGTGGATTTGTTTTTAATTTTTTAACAGTGCATTTTCACCTGTTATGGATATGATTACTTAGTGCATAACTGTTGGCACTAAACCTCCCAACAGTAACTCTGTAATGAGGATGCCATTCATGTGCACTTCTGAGGGGGTTTCTTTTTCACACAGCTGCTTCTAAACAAAAGTCCAGCAGCCATTTGCCAGCAAACAGCCAGGATGTACAGGGTTACATCACCAATCAGTCTCCAGAGAGCATTGTAGAAGAGGCTCAGGGAAAGTTAACAGAACTGGAACAGAGGATAAAAGAAGCCATAGAAAAGAATGCACAGCTGCAGTCCTTGGAACTGGCTCATGCTGACCAACTTACCAAGGAGAAGATCGAGGAGCTCAACAAAACAAGGGAGGAACAAATTCAGAAGAAACAAAAGATTTTGGAGGAACTACAGAAAGTAGAACGAGAGTTACAACTGAAAACTCAGCAGCAGCTAAAAAAGCAGTATCTAGAGGTTAAAGCTCAAAGAATTCAACTTCAGCAACAGCAGCAACAGTCTTGCCAACACCTGGGATTACTAACTCCTGTTGGAGTTGGAGAGCAGCTTTCTGAGGGAGACTATGCACGGTTACAGCAAGTGGATCCTGTTTTACTTAAAGATGAACCCCAGCAGACTGCTGCTCAGATGGGTTTTGCGCCAATCCAGCCTCTGGCGATGCCTCAAGCTTTGCCTCTGGCGGCAGGTCCCTTGCCTCCAGGGTCCATCGCAAATCTTACAGAACTGCAAGGAGTGATAGTTGGACAGCCAGTACTGGGCCAAGCACAGTTGGCAGGGCTGGGGCAAGGAATTCTGACAGAAACACAACAAGGGTTAATGGTAGCCAGCCCTGCTCAGACCCTCAATGACACGCTGGATGACATCATGGCAGGTGGGTTTATATTGTTATGAGCAGGTATCAAATATGATTTGCTTAAGGCGAGTAAGAATGTACCCAAATTTTTTGCCGTTACCCAACTTGAGAACTATTTTTGGACTGACTCATGTCTAGCTTTAGAAGTATTAGTTCAATCTCAGAAGTTCTCAGATGGATACAGGTCAAATTAAAGATTAGCTCATTCAGTACAAATGACTGAAGCTTTCTGGCTTAGCTTGGTAGCTTGAGAATCTAGGTTTTTCAGTAGTGGGGTTGATGTTTGATTTTTGTTTTTGTTTTCATTTTTTTCCTTTAAGTTCAGAATACTGAGATTGAATTTTGGCATTTTGCTTCTGTATTCACACCAATAAACTGGGAAATTGATAGAAGTTGAAGTGCAAAACTAGTAGGACACATCAGGAAGCTTATTTATGAACAGAAATACTTTATATCCTAATGGATCAGACTTCAAACCTGATGGATATTTAAAAAAAAAAACACTTTTACAAAATTAATAAAGTTCAAAACCAAATAGGGTTTAATTATACTGTATGTAAGTGATTTTGTCCCCTGTGAATGTTAATGTGTAGTCTCTTTCTAACTGTATCATGAGAAGGTGTGGCCCCCCTGAAAGTATCATAAATGATATATTTTTAGATGTGTAGCCAGATAAATTTTATTCGATTATAACTAGTTTCATTGACAAGAAGATACACTTTAGAAGACTGTTTTTATGCTTCTAGTTTTTGGTACTTATTTTTTGTGTTTTGTAACAAAGTAATGGGATGAGGTTTTATAGGGTTGTGAACCATAAGAATGCTGTACTGAGAAGGATAATTTGCTTCATTAAAAAAAGAAAATTTGAAAAGGAAGGAAAACAGAAAAATGAAAGGAATAAACAGTGGAATTTTGGTGACTTCCATCTGATCTCTTCCCCTTTTTTATTCATTCATCTGTACTTAGAGGATGATTGACTTTTTCTAATTTAAAAACTGTTTCAGTAGCATTAAATATGATGAGCTTATTTTTTTTTAAGTTTCATCTTTTAAATGGATAATAGGAAACTAAACTGTATAGTGTTTAGATATTTAGGTAACGTTCAGACACTAAGAATCCAGCTGAGATAGATTTTATACTTAAAAATATCTGTAAAGTTTGCTAGTCCGCCTTTAATAGCACCTCAGTAGTTATAACATGTGGAATGAAAATTTCTGCTAGTCTTAAGGGTTAAATAACCACATTGGAAAAATGCTAGTAATAATTACTAGTAAGAATTGTACGACTCTTATTGATGAGTGCAAAATTTTTCTATAGATTTGAAAGTCACTACTAATCATGACTAGCTGATTATAATAATTGAGAGTAAACTTTTAAAATTATTAAATATCCTGTGAAAGTTGGAGCACAGTAACCATTAACCCTAAATTTGATACTATGTCCATATGAATTCAGATCATAATAGTGCTCTATCATGTGAAACTACTAAAGGATGTATAGAGTTAAATATTACGTATCCACTTTAATGAAGAATAGGTATTACACAGTAATGGTTGTTTAAAAAAATTTTTTTTATATAATATCAGAGTTTACCTGATGTGCTTGGGCATGCATAGTTGTCAACAATGATTTGCTAGTTGTACAGTTTTGTATGCTGATCAGAATTATCAGAAGTTTGTAAAGTATCTTTTCTTTTGATTCATACATGAAACAAAAACAATTCTGTGTATTCTCAGTGTTCTGTATAAAAAAATTTTAAGTGCATATAACTTTTTAGGAAATATGACAGATGCTTGTCATAATACAAAAATATTTTACTTTTTTATTATGCTCATTTCTATGGGGAGAGAAACATAGCCAGAAGGAGGAAGAGTAGGATTGAAAACATTTGGCTACTTACCTGCAACTCATCCCTGACAACAGGCATGTGCACATTCACACACATGCACATATACTCATGCACTGACTTTTGCAGCCTCAATCTTAAATTTCTGTGGTAGGATGTATCCTTTCAGTTGCTTAATGATGATTTCCACTTCTTTCTTAGGGGTTTAAAGTATATTACAGCCTCATTAGTCTCATCGTCTTCTTTTCCTCCCTCTAGCACAGTCCCTGCTCTTTATTTCTTAGGCTTCATTTATTAGACTTCTACCATAAAATTTGCTGACCAAAATCGTCTGTCTTTCCTGTTCTTCACACTTGCCAAACCAGAATCAGCTCCCTGTTTAACCTGTCTCAACACCTTGCCTTTGCTATCATTTCAAGTTCCCTTTTTTCTATGCTGACATTAAAACTTTTCTGATGTGTGGTTCTCCCTCTCTAAATCTAACACTAAAATGAAGCCCCACATGTAAAGATTTTTACCAGAGTTCCTTCAGGTACCTACATATTTTACATTTGTTTCTTTTAGTTGTAGAGAATGGATGTGTGATTGACAGTCACCTAATTTTAGTAAACCAATTTTATAGGTACCCCGAAGGAAATGATGAGATAATTGATTTTTCCTGTCTCCTTTTAGATGAGGTGATAAGAACAACCAATTTGACTTAAAAAAAAAAAAAAAAAAAACTCTGTAATTTTGGTAGGTTCTTTAAAAGAAAATATTCCAGTTGAAATGTAAATTATAATTTAGTCATTTAACAATAAAACTTAGATTTTTTTTAACCTGTTTAGTATTATGAAATAAAATTTAGTGATTCGGACAGACTGGTGTTCATCCTGTTTAAGCTACTTTTTGTATTTAGCAGTTTTATTGTGAAAATCCAATCAAAGGAGATATGGAATCAATTTAAAGAGCTCTAGATTTTATATGATTTTGAAATGTATATCAACAATATGTACATTTAAATTATCTTGATCTTTTCGTAACATACAAAACTATCAATATGGAGTAACAATATCCAGATCGCTAGATTATCAATTTAATATATTAGTATATGCCCTTTTCTATTGGTCTGGATCCCTAAGGATTCAAACAGTGTTTTGTTTTGTTTTGTTTTGTTTTCTCCTTCGTTTTTCCTTTGGCTTTTAAGTGGACTTAAAAATGTATAATTATAGAATGTGTGTTGCTATAATGTATAGTGTATGTTTGTGCCTGAACTAAGGATTTCATGTAAAATAGATTTCTTAATTCATAATTATGTTTATAATTGTTATAATAAGATCAATTTCAGTTTTATTCTTGACAGGATCATAATCTCTTTTGCCTGGTTTCAGATCCAGTTGTGAATCATGATTGTTTTCTGTCTGATGTAGTTGATAACTACTTTGGTAATACACATCCACAGTACTGTTGACCAGTCAAAGATAAATGCCCATACTTTAATACTATAGCATTTTTAATGGGGTTGGGGGAGATGATGTTCACCTATCAACTCCAGAAATAAGGCAATGAGAGAATAAAGTACCCTCAGCTGAATCTACAGTATATCCTATGCCAGCATATTTGGAGTCCTCCCACCTCAAGTACTGATCAGAATAGCCTTTTCTTAAGTTGCATATTTTGGTGAAAATAATATCACAGCAACATCATACTTAGAATAATAGTAATCCATATTTGAAGAATGTTTGTGTGCATACATTTATTTCTACCCTAATCTTTTAATTTTGTCCTTAAGTCAGTGTGATTGCTGGATTCATTGGTGAGCATTTTAGCTCCCTCAGAATAATTCTTCACATGAGCAACTACACTTCTGTGTGAGGATAAATTTTTATATTTGAATATCCTGTCATTCCAGAGGGCTACAATGCAGAATATTACTATATCCCAGTCTGCAGTTAGTAAAACAGTATGGCGGTGTTTTAAATGATTGCATAGTGAGATTTCTCCCTCCCCGACAGTGATATTAATTTTACTAGTTCTAGAATATAAGGTGTGAAATTGGCAAGTAAAAACCACATATTCCCCCTTCTGATCTTGACTATTTTACCTTTGATCCCCTTTCTAATTAGGATATAATGGACAAGTTTCCATTTGCATTTATATTTAATACATAAACATTTTTGTTTTCAGGGTTATTTTGAATTAAGGTTTTACGACTGCTTATAACAGGGGAATTTGTTTTTCAGTTGGATTATTATTTAGAAAATGAGTTACTCAGTATACATTACAATTTTACACTGTCATCAGTGAATAATAACCAGGAAAATTAGTTATTAGTGCTATAGTAGTCTTCCTGTAGACATATTGTTTTAAGAAGTCTTTAAATATTTTTGAGTGAATATGTCTTAGTATTACTTAACAATGTTTCATCCTTATTAAGTGCAGTTATTTTGTTCAACAGCAGTCAGTGGAAGAGCATCTGCAATGTCAAACACTCCTACCCACAGTATTGCTGCATCCATTTCCCAACCTCAGACTCCAACTCCAAGTCCTATCATCTCTCCTTCAGCCATGCTTCCTATCTACCCTGCCATTGATATTGATGCACAGGTAAGTCCCAAACTTAAGAGAGATGGTTTTTTCATTGGAATTATGCCATAATTAAAAACATTAACTTTCAGAGATTTAAACCATGAAAGACTGCTTTGTCTCTAGGCAAAGTCTTGAGCCAGTTTTAAATTAATTAAAGTTCACATTTAAAAAATAAAATGCTAAATATAGATTATTAGTGATAATTATGTGATGGTCTGGTTTCCAAGGTCATCAGGTAACCTTTTTTTTAACTTTAGTTCACAAGAGGATATAAAAGAAAAATAATTTATTTAAGATTAGTGCATAACTTCTTCTAATAATAAATTAATAGAAGATATGGTTTGAAATATATAATGGATTGCATGTAAAAGAAAAAAGGTTCTAACATAAAATTATATTTTTGTATGTCATACACATGATTGATATCATATATCATCTTTGAAAATTCTCATCTTACTGATTGAAATATGTGGTGAGTCTGTGTCTGTATTTGTAAAATTTAGCTGTACGGGATTCCAGGCACTTTTTGAAGAAATAACATGGAGTGGGGGGAGGACACTGTTTAAGTTAAGCTTTAGAAAGTTTGAGAGCTATTAAGTATAATTTTTTATTAAAAAGTAGTTGACCATGAAATCTCAGGGCAAGGTGAGATTGGAGAGAATAGTGCGTGTTTTATCCTGAAGAAAAGTTAAGAGGTCTAGTTTAGAAGACTGCTGAATAAGGTCAAGAGTACATGGCCATCAGGACTAAGAAATGTTTGCAGTTTACTTAGTTTTTGTATTTTGATGGTACCTGGGGTGTGTACATTATAAAACTTTTAATTTTATATATGATTATTTCTTTATAATAAAGCCTGAATTTTAGCAGGGGTAACGTGGGGAGAAAGAGAGAGGAGTGAGTGTATGTGTGTTTGTGTTGGATGGACCATTAAGGGCATGTACTCTTAACCTATTAAAAATAAAGTTTCCTTTTTATTAAAATGATCCTCAGTAACACTATGAAAAAGGAATTTTATTTCTGCTCTTACTTGTTGGCCAAATGTCTGTTGTTTTTTATGTACTGACTTTTGTTGTTGTTGAGTACTTAAAATTGCCAGGGACTATTTTAAGGAATTGTCTCATCTAATCCTCAGACCACATACATGATGTAGCTACTCTTAATATCCATCTCCCTGAAGAAGACATTGTAGCTAAGAGAGAGGTTAAGCATTTTGTTTAGTCACTTCATTTAGGCTAAGAAGCGGCAGGGCTGGGAATCATTCAGCATGACTTCAAAGACACCATTCTTTTTTTCTTTTGTAATGGGTTCTTGCCATGCTGCCCAAGCTGGTCTCAAACTCCTGTCTCAGCCTCCTGAGTAGCTGGAATTACAGGTGTGCCACCATCCCCCAAAGACACTCTTAACTACCATCTACATAGCCTTTTAAAAAAAAATACGAGATGGCCGGGCGTGGTGGCTCACGCCTGTAATCCCAGCACTTTGGGAGGCTGAGGCGGGCGGATCACCTGAGGTCAGGAGTTTGAGACCAGCCTGGCCAACATGGTGAAACCCCATCTCTACTAAAAATACAAAAAAAATTAGCTGGGCATTGTGGCGCATGCCTGTAATCCCAGCTACTCGGGAGGCTGAGGCAGGAGAATCACTTTAATCCGGGAGATGGAGGTTGCAGTGAGCCGAGATCATGCCACTGCACTCCAGCCTGGGCAACAAGAGCGAAACTCTGTCTCAAAAAAAAAAAAAAAAAACACGAGACATTCATTTGATGAGCCATAGTTGTTTACATTTAATATTGATAGCATTGTAGAATTGGTTTGAACTTGGCATTGAATTTGCATTATTTTTCCCCAGTCTTTTTTGCTTTGAGGCTTTTTATTTTTTTTTTATTTTGAGACGGAGTCTCGCTCTGTCACCCAGGCTGGAGTGCAGTGGCAATCTTGGCTAACTGTAGCCTCCGCCTCCCAGGTTCAAGCGATTCTCCTGCCTCAGCCTCCTGAGTAGCTGGGATTACAGGCGCCCACCATCACGCCTGGCCAATTTTTTTGTATTTTTAGTAGAGATGGGGTTTCACCATGTTGGCCAGGCTGGTTTCAAACTCGTTGACCTCAGGTGATCTGCCTGCATTAGCCACCCAAAGTGCTGGGATTACAGGCGTGTGCCACCGCACACAGCTGAGACTATTATGTTTAGCAAGAGGTAGTTTTCTGATTTTTGTGGGCCCAAGAATTGATCCATTAGCAAAAATAAGTACTTCACCAAAATGTAAAAAGACTTCTTTATAAAAATGTTTTTAAACAGGCACAGAAAAGTTTGTCCAGTCATTGATTTTACTGAATATGAAATTACTGTAGTGATGGTGAAATGATTTTTCTGGGCTGTACCACTCACCAACTATCACCATGTTATAACTTAGTTCTGAGAAGTTACATGTAATTTTTTAATTAAAATTATTTTTAAACTTACATTTTAAACATAGTAGACATGCTTTTATAGAAAAATTTGACTATGACTCCTTAAAAATCTACTTTTTTTATCTGATCTCACATCAAGATTTGTCATTTGTTGGGTTAGCCAGACCTGAGTTAAACTACTCTCTGTGGAGTTTTACCATATGTGTTTAGTTAGAGATTAAAAAGTTCCTACCTTGGAAAAAAATACTGTTCAAAAATAATTGTTCACCATTTTTCTCCTTTAATTTTTGATGTTTGTTTTTAAAATTTACTAGTTTTGACCAGGTGTGGTGGCTCACGCCTGTAATGCCAGCGCTCTGGGAGGCCGAGGTGGATGGATCACCTGAGGTTAGGAGTTCGAGACCAGCCTGGCCAACATGATGAAACCCTGTCTCTACTAAAAATACAAAAATTAGCCGGGCATGGTGACACACACCTGTAATCCCACCTATTTGGGAGGCTGAGGCAGGAGAAGCACTTGAACCCAGAAGGCAGAGTGTTGGCCAGTGAGCCAAGATCATACCACTGCACTCCAGCCTGGGCGACAGAGTGAAACTCTGTCTCAAAAAAAAAAAAAACAACTAGTTTTTATATCAAGCAGGTAATTTAAGTGATTAAAAATGAAGATCCTTTTATACTCAATCAAACAAAAGCTCAAAGTTTTTGTTTTGATAAGAAAATAAAAATTTTGTGGGCTCTTACATAGTGGGTACTTTGATTATGTGTGATAATACTGTGCTGTGACAAATAATATAATGAAGAAATTAATACCAAGATTGCTATTCTGAAAGATTAAACATTCTTTAATACTTAGATCTTTCATCTGTTTATGTAACAAACCCTAACATACAGGCTTAATGCCTTGCAGATATTAACTTCTTTAACTTAATCTTTGTAACAGTCCCATGAAGTAGGTACTATTATTATTACATTTTCCATTTGAGGAATATAAGACATAAAGATATTAACTACCTTGCCCAACAGCTAATTAGTGGTGGAGCCTACTTTTGAACTCAGACACTCTGGCTCTAGACTCTTTTCTTTTATTAACCACTGCACTATGTTACATTGTTTTTTTATTTTTAACTTAAGTGTGTTAACCTTGAATTTGAATTATGTTGTATTAGCCTGGTAAGTGGGATCACAGAAACGTGTCCACTGCCTAGATGGTAAGAGATCATTTGTCTTTCATCTTTGCATACTTAACATCAAAATATAAGGAAGAACAAAGGAAATGTTAATCTTTTAAAGCCTCAAAGTATAACTCCTTTTAAAATGCTAATGATTCTGGAAAATGGTCAGACCTTTAACTGCTTTAGTTGAACATTTTAGACAGGAGCTAATATTTTTAACAAGGATTAGCAGGAATCATATGTTTTATTTCTGATCCTTGACAAATGCTGAAGAGTTTGCATTCTTCATAAGGGGCTTCAACTCTCTGCTACACAACTAGAACTCACTTGCCAAGGGTGTGCCACAGACTTTCCAACTCTCCAGTTTTACTGAATCAAATTTGTCTAGGTATTTTCAAAACTTTTAAGATGAATACCACATACTTTGCTGCTATCAAAATCTGTTTTAGGAAACCAATAAATAATAGTTTGAAGGAATTATTTGGGACTATTTTTATTACACCTTTTGATAGCATTGCTCTGACCTTTGTGTTTATTTTGCTTGAGTTTAAGTTGAGTTTATTTTGCTTAAGTTTGGTATAACCAAACTTATTTGTGGGTTCTGTACATACAGAAATGAGGAATTATGTAGAGATTTTTTAAAACCACAGGCTTTATGTGGAACAATAATTCTGACTTGAAGGTTAGAACTGAATACCACAAGTTAATTAAATATTTTTTGTATTTTATTGTGTAAAATATGATCGATTCTAGGAGCCACTACCAATGAGAAAGAACCAGTTGTTTTGTTCTTGGGCTATAAAAACTTGTTCCAGCCTCTTTTTTGTCACATGTCCTCCCTATATTCCTAAACTGCTTGTTGTTTTTATTCTGAGGCCGCTGAAGTCTTTTCTTGAACTTGGAGTACCTTATTCTAGTACATCTCAAAACTGAAAAAAAAAAAATAGATCTTTATAGAATTTTGCTTTCTTTCACTTTTTAATAATTAACATATATTCATTATTTTAAAGAAGGGTAGACATCAAATTTCACTTGTGACGTATCAAGACTGAAATTGTTAAGTATGTAAAATTATATTTTACCTTTAATGGTATAAGTATTATATGAATATTTTTCTCTATTCTTATTGGTTTTGCAATATAAAGAACAGTTTAATCACAGTGATTTAACATGAGAAATTAGAGAGGCCAGCAAAAATTAGTTAACAGTGATACATATATAATATGCTACCATTAAAGCATTCTGCTTTAAAATACATGCATTCTACTTGTTCATATGAACTGCTTTTAATAGGTTATTTATTTTACTGATTATTCTCATTTATTGAATACCTTGAAGTGCTATCCCACTTTTTAAGCTTACATGTAACCTGAGTGGGTTAGAGAATGAGATATTAAGGATTTTGAAGGTTGTGGAAGTGTAAAAAAAGTTCAGCTCTTTAAGTCCTAGTAGTTTTCAAGGTAATTTAATTATGTTAAGAGTAATTAATAGGCAGAGTGCAGTGGCTCACACCTGTAATCCCAGCACTTTGGGAGGCCAAGGTGGGAGGATCATGAGGTCAGGAGTTCGAGACCATCCTGGCTAACACCGTGAAACCTTGTCTCTACTAAAAATACAAAAAAAAATTAGCCAGGCGTGGTGGCAGGCACCTGTAGTCCCAGCTACTCGGGAGGCTGAGGCAGGAGAATGGCGCAAACCTGGGAGACGGAGCTTGCAGTGAGCTGAGTGAGCCACTGCACTCTAGCCTTGGCGACAGAGCAAGACTCTCTCTCTCAAAAAAAAAAAAAAAAAAAGTAATTAATAGATGTACTTTTTTGTTGTTGTTGTTGTTGTTGTTGAGACAGGGTCTCACTCTTGTCAGCCAGGTTGGAGTGCAGTGGCACCATCACAGCTTGCTGCAGCCATGAACTCCTGGGCTCAAATGATCCTCCTGCCCCAAACTCATGAGTAGCTATGAGTACAGGCATTGCACACCACTTCTGGCTAATTTTTTGCAGAGATGGGGTCTTGCCATGTTGCCCAGCTGTTCTCAAACTTCTGGCCTCAAGTGATCCTCCTGCCTCAGCCTCCCAAAGTGTTGGGATTACAGGCATGAGCCATTGTACCCAGCGTATTTCCTTTTTTAAAGACACTTCACACAGTTCAGTGCTTTTTCACCTGAATTTCAGCTCATTAAAAGTTGTCTTTCCTTCAGTATTGCCATCTGTGTTACTATTTCTTGTTTTTCATTCTGTACCACCATTATAAAATTGAATAGTCATGTTGATAACTTACAGAATATTTTTGCATTAAATATATTTTTTATCATTTTTTATAAGCCAGAATTCATCATAACAACCTCTATTAATGGTATAGAATGGTGTATATATTATGGCATCATGGGCTAACTGAAATTTTCTTTAGAATAGAAACCTGAATGAGCTCTTAAAGCTCTGGACATCTATCTCCTTTTTCAGGTTCGGGACTTTCTCTTAGATCTGTGACAAGGAATATAACTTCTTGACTAATGTAACTTTGTGCAATATAATTTGAATCTAAGGATTCTTCCTTTAATTGGTACTTTGCCTTCTACAAAATAGTCAGCTGTATTATAATTATTTCCATGATTAGCAGTATTTGAAACACCTGTTTTTTTCTTTACTTTGTCATTATTAATATTAACCCAAATTTCTATTTCAGTTCATTTGTTTATTGATGTATTCAGAAATAGAGTGATATTTCTGTCATGTTAGTTGGTTTAGTTTCTCTTAATGCAGAAATACAATGGAGTTGCCCACTTTTAACTTCATTTCCACAAGGAATTTAAAGCTGTTTTCTTAGCTTTAAATGTTTGTTTCTTGAAATCTCATAATATATTATTATGCTTGTCTCCTAGTTTGAACCTGAATTTGCCCTGTGTAGTAATCAGTAAGCTTCTTTGAGTCCTGTATTATCTTTGTCAACCCTCGAGCACTTAGTAGAGTGCTTTGAATATAAAAGGTGCTTAATAAATGTCAGTTGAATTTATGTTTTATAATATTGGAAAAAACATTTTACTGATCCACTAAAATTTTCCGTGCTTATCTTTTGCAAATTTTATGTACATCTCTTCATTTTCTATTTAAGCTTTCCTAAATTACTCTTTAAACCCTGGAAGAATTTTAGAAACCTTATAAACTTCATCATAAAATTGATTCTTCTGCTGATTGCATATGCACCAACGTAGAGTGGACATAAGACACATACACTTAACATTATATTCAGCACAATCTGCTTTGCCTTAGGGCCCCTCTGTGATATAGTGGGGAGAGCAGGATTTTGTTATCAAGATCTTCTTGGGTTTTTTAAAGCACATATCTACCAGTTGTTAGCTTATGTGGCCATCGGAAAGTTATTTATCAGAGCCTTTATCTCCTTTTCTCTGAAATCAGATATAATTTCTTCCTATAAACCTGAAATGAAGATCAAATAGTATAACACAGTCAGAGCTGTCACTCATTTAAGTTTCATGTCCTTCTCCATTGTTGTAGTTGGTGCATCTCTCCCTTGTGGCCATCCCTGATCTCTGCAGTCAGTAGCTCTGCTCTCTGCCAGCCTCTTCTGCAGAGCAGCTTTTGCCGTCTCCCTCTTCATCACTGACTAGTAGGCTTTTTCTTTTTTCTTAACTCTTACTGATTTTGCCTTTTGTCTTTTGTTTTTCATTTCTTATAATGGAATTTGGTCTGTAGAGTTATTTACATTCTGGGAGAATATGCTTTTCCTTTTTATAATTATTATGTACATTCTACAAATACAATGTGTAAATGTAATCAATGCTACATATATAGTCCCTTGCTTATTATGTTTATTAGTAACAGTTTTTGAATCTATGACCTTTTGCAGCTATTGCCATTCATTTTACTTAACTATCATTTATTATTTCCTAAGTAATTTATCACTACAGGTAGAAAATACAAACATGGATAAGACATGTTCCTTACCTCCCAGGAATTTATAGTCTCTGTGGGTGATAAACATATAAGGCAGATTGGTGATAAGTACTATAATAGAGATACATATGTGAAAGTGAGGGAAATGCTTAGAGCAACACTGTTCAGTTGAAAAATATGATGAGATTGTAATTTTAAATTCTCTAGTAGTCGCATTAAAAAATGTGAAAAGAAACAAATGGGATGAATTTTAAAATATATTTAATTTAATTTAATATATCCAAATATTGTTTTAACATGTCATGCAATCAATACACCACAATTGCTGAGATAATTTACATTTTTATTTCATACTAAAAGTCTTCAAAACTTGGGCATGTTAGACTTACAGCTGGAGTGATCAAATCATTTTGGTTTTCCTGGGACTTTCCTGTTTTAGCACCAGAAGTCCCTCATCCCAGAAACCCCCTCAGTCCCAGATTTGTCACCCTACTTAAAGTATATCTGAATTTGGATTTCATTGGAAATACTCAATTTGTATCTAGATTTAATTAAATGTGCAGTCGAAAAGTAGATTCATTTACTCAAATTGTTTGAGACATCCTAAATTTTCCAGTAACCAAATTGAATATCAGTTATTACATTTAAATTAAAGTTAAATACAATTTAAAATTCAGTTCCTCTGTTACACTAACCATATTTCAAATGCTAATAGTCACATGTTGCTTGTAGAGTACTAAAAGGTATCTAGCTGGGCGTGGTGGCAGACGCCTGTAAACCCAGCTACTCAGGAAGCTGAGGCAGGGAGCGTTGCGTGAACCCAGGAGGCAGAGATTGCAGACAGCCAAGATCGCGCCACTGCACTCCAGCCTGGGTGACAGCGAGACTCCATCTCAAAAATAAAAAATAAAATAAATAATAAAAGTATGAGAAATTAGATAGTTTGCTAGGTTAGCATTGAAACTATAACAGAGTATGAACACTGGTAAATCTAATATGTTGGTCATTATCATTAGCAGAAGGCAGAAGCAAACCATATGTAGATAGTGTCATGTCTCATTATAATAGTCTTTGTTTTTCAAAATACACAGTATATTTTGGATATTTGGTTCCTTTAAGTATTTTGGGGCTTTGTTCTCAAATACAGCTAAGTTACTTGGAAACAATTTTTTTTTTTTAAATTTCAAGGCCTACTTCTCAGTTTGTTAGGTGGGTCCACAACTGCTAATTTGGCCCTACTACTGAGGATTCTACTTGACATCCTGTGTGTTTTGAGGTCTTTCTACTCTGGCTGGTGGGAACCAAACTATTCCTGGCTCCGTGTGAGCCCTGGGTATTATTCAGCCTGACTCTCTCTGGTGGTCCTTTCCTGGCCTGGGATAATTTCCTCATGCACATGGACTGATCAAAACTCAGCTGAAGATTTGAGGGGAATCCTCTGCACATCTCCAGAGTACCCTTTCTGCAGTACTCTCCTCTTCAATAATCTGCTCCATGAATTCTAGCCACCTTGATCTCTCCAAATTCTGTCTTCTCAAGTTGGGGAGACTGCCAGGTTGTTTGGATACTTGCTCCTTGCACTATAGCCTGGAAACTCTCCAGGCAGTAAGTTGGGCTAATCATTTCTGTCTTCAGAGATCACTCTTCTGCACTGCCTGTCTAAACACCATCGTTTCAAAGAGGTTTTTTTTCTTTTTTAGTTATTTGAAATAGGAAAATAAATCTGATCTATGTTTCTCCATTAATGGCTGAAAGCAAAAGTTAATCCACAGTATTTCTTTCAATCACGTGATTGAAAGTCATACTTTATTTTTCTTGATGTTTGTAGCCTTTTTAAAAAACTCGCAAGTTGGCTGCTAATATGGAAACAAGTAAACCTTGCTTTTCTTTTCTTTTCTTTTTTTTTTTTTTTTTGAGACGGAGTCTCGCTTTGTCACCCAGGCTGGAGTGCAGTGGCGTGATCTTGGTTCACTGTAACCTCTGCCTCCCAGGTTCAAGCGATTCTTCTGCCTCAGCCTCCGAAGAAGCTGGGACTACAGGCACGCACCACCACACCCGGCTAATTTTTATATTTTCAGTCAAGATGGGGTTTCACCATGTTGGCCAGGATGGTCTCAATCTCTTGACCTCGTGATCTGCCCACCTCGGCCTCTCAAAGTGCTGGGATTACAGGCGTGAGCCACCACGCCCGTCCATAAACCTTGCTTTTCAAATGCTTGATATTGTAGAGTGGTACATATGTATTTGTGTGTATTTGATATGTTTGCATATTATGTATTTGATATTAACATCTTAAGTTATTTAATAAACTAACCAAAAAATAATTTCTTATAGACTGAGAGTAATCATGACACGGCACTAACACTTGCCTGTGCTGGTGGCCACGAGGAACTGGTACAAACACTGCTAGAGAGAGGAGCTAGTATAGAGCACCGAGACAAGAAAGGTAGGGCCTACTTTTGTTTTATTTTTTGGAATACTGGTCAAAAAATTTATTTAGGAACATTATTTTTTAGTCCTATTTTGAAGGTCAGATATTTTGTTCTTTTGCCTTAGCATGTAGTGAGAAGATCATTATTTTTCTCCAGGTTTTACTCCACTCATCTTGGCTGCCACAGCTGGTCATGTTGGTGTTGTGGAAATATTGCTGGACAATGGTGCAGACATTGAAGCCCAGTCTGAAAGAACCAAGGACACACCACTCTCCTTGGCTTGTTCTGGGGGAAGACAGGAGGTAATGTTTCCCCTTAGTGTAATTGTTTTCCTTTCTCTGTTTAGCAAATGTGTACTTTCACTTATATTATTTTTTCTATCAGAACAATGCTTTGACGTTTAGATTTCTCACAATAACTGAAACTATTATCTATTAACAAAAAGATGAGTATCATTGTTAGCATAAGCTATCTTGCCAGAAAAATCACACATTGTTTAGAATCCTGCTCATCTAAAAGTAGGAATGCCATGCATTTACGGTAGGAGAAAGACTATTCCAAGTCAAATCAGTAAGTTCCTAATGTACAGGGCCTATATTCACTCATCTTTGCCTGCCCTATAGTACATGGCATAGAAGGTACTTAATCACAGTCTCTGTTGCTGTCTGTAAGATTAGTAGGGAATTAAGAATATTCAATTTTTATGTGTTTTGAGAACTCTTGTCTTGCTTTGATTTTTCCCCACCCTTTCTCAACTCTGGAGGAAAGGTTCTCAGATAAGATGGTAAGATTATATGACCTTTTGTTTTTTTAAGGAAACTAGAACAACTGATAGAGATTAGCTAGGCTCAAGAAAATGTAGCTTTACACTCACTTATGTATCTTGTGGCATTTTATAATCAGCTAGATAACCTTTTTTTTTTTTTCAAATTCAGTCCTTTGTACAGGGGATATAAACCAGATGTGTTGTCTCCATAGATTCCCTTCTCTATCAAGGAATTATTGAATCTTAGATTTGGAAAGCACCTTAGGTCATTCAGATCAGTGTCTTAGCTTTAAAATCTTTTTTCTCTTATTCTTTTATAAGGTTTTCCTATTTATCAGGCCTGAAGTATGCCTTTTTTGTTTCCCCACAGTTCTTAGTTTTGTTCTTTAAACAAATAGAAAGAGGTTTAACCTTTTCTATCTTCAGATTTTTTTTTTCCTGAAGTCACCTATTCTTTGTGTGAAACAAGTCTTGTTTCGGTTGTTAGCCTAAGAATACCTTTTCCAATCCCTTCATCATCGTGACTGTTTCACCCTTTATGTCAGTATCCTTCTTAAAATATTATATGTAAAGGTATTCTGACGAGTGAACTGGGGAACTGTTACCTCCCATTTGAGCATCTTAAACTAGCTTTTCCCCCCACTTCCCCCCAGTCATAGCACATAAGGTTATATTGAGCTCTAGTTAGTTAAACCCACTAGATTTTTAAAATAAACTAATAAATAAACAATTTTAATAGATATAATAATTCCTATACAAAAGAATGGGAAATCTAATAAAATTATGTAAGTGCAGTAAGGGTAGGGCTTGGTCATCCTTCATTTTGTAAATTAAAAAGAACTGAAATCTATTAACAGTGATAATATAGGCATTTTTTTCCATAATTTTTGTTCCCTTATATTTGGAATAGATATTATATGAATGGATAGTTAGATACACTTATTACTAGAATACTCCACACAAGAGACAAGGAGCCTGGCCTGTCCCTACTGTTTTGTTTCTTCTACTTGTGTCACTTTTTTCTTCTATAATTCATAGTAGGGGCAATAGATAGGTTAAAAGTATTATAAGCCAAATATTAAGATAGTGAAAAATGAACCACTTAATTTGATAAATTATTTCTACTATTCCAGAAAAAGTAAAAATCCCCATAAATCCCGGAAAGCAAAATTTTGCCTTTCAATCATATTGCCTTTCAATCATTATTTAGCTTGAAAAAATACTTGCTTTATATAAGAACAGATTTTTTCAATATTGAGTCAAGAAGATATTAGTTGATTTTCTTTATTTAAAAGTAGTATTAAAGCCAATAGGGCACTGTAATTTTTATGAATTATGTATTTTTGTTAAAATATAACAGATTAGGTTATAACAATTGTTGAAGTATGTTAGGGTAACAATTTTGCCTATAAACACTTTGTTACTTTAATTTGGTGTCAATAGAAGAGGTAAGTATTTTGAAGTGATTAATAAAATGTTGGAAAGTCATTTTACTATAAAAATCATACATTTTTGTTGTATATTGGATGTTTTGGGAGCAGAAGAGTTCTCTGAAAGAATTGAGAAATATAATGGCATTGAGAAAACTTGAGAAATTTGATTAGAGTTTTCTACTATACTGTTTATAAAATAGCCTAACGCTATATTTTTTCTTGTTTTTATAACCTTGTCACTCGCTCTGAAAGCAAAAAGTGATGGAAAGAATGTGATATCTAAAATTGGACATAGCTTTGCTGAGATGCAAGATAAACCACTATTCATTAACATTTATTATTTGCCAGTTAGTATTTTAGGATATATTATTAATAGTAAGAGCAGGGGTAAGAGCTATGATCTTGAGCCAGTCTTGACTTCTCTATATCTTATTTATAAAATGAGAATGAATATTGTGTCAAAGGATTGTTTAGGCATTAAATGGCATAGTGGACAATGATCTGTGAATGGCCCATCAGTACTTAAATAAATGCTAAATATTTTTAGGTTTCAGGAAATGCAATTAAGATCCAGTGGGATACAACTACACATCCACTAGAATGGCTAAAATTGACGACTGGCAATAACAGATGTTGCCAAGACTCATGCTACTAGAACTCATGCATTATTGAAGGGAGTGTACATAGTACAACCACTTTAAGAATAGCCTGGCAATTTCTTACAAAACCATACACCCAGAAATTCTGCCAGTAGGTGGGACCTAAAATCTAGGTAGTGAATGTATATAAGGTTTTTTAATGTTATCTTAGAAAATTTTCATAATCTTGTGAAAATATAGGACCTTTTATACCATGCTTTTAAAATACTTACTGATTAAAAGGTTTAAAAATATGTTAAATACATTCACATGTATAATACGAAAAAATCTTGTCCCATATTACTCTATTTTACCGCTTTGTGGTGAAATAACAAATATTAATTTCCAAAGCATGTCACAAAATTTTCAGTCCAGACCTTTCATGAACACATTGTAGCATTTTAGTGGATTTCTACATGGGTTTTACTTGAGAAGGTATCTCTTTGTTGGCTTCTAAGACCTCCTGCTATCATTAGAGGCTGATTTTATGCAGAGCATGAAGGAAGAACTTTCCCCTTCTTTTATTGTACAGTATACCAGAAAAAGAAATTTAAAAATACACACTTTGGTAATTTGTCTCTCCATAAGAAAACATATTTTTTTCTATTTTATTTTCAGGTGGTGGAGCTATTGTTAGCTCGAGGGGCAAATAAAGAGCACAGGAATGTTTCTGATTACACACCTCTAAGTCTGGCTGCTTCTGGTGGCTATGTGAACATCATCAAAATATTACTAAATGCAGGAGCTGAGATTAACTCTAGGCAAGTTGTATTCCCTTTCTGTAAGCCCCTTATTTAGTAAGACTGTTATAGATATTTGTAGAACACCTATTTTTTAGTGCCAAATTTAGTAAATCCCTTTATTACAAATTTGGCATTCAAAGTGTTAGAGATTTTTGAGATGAACTTTATTTAAGTAATTAAAACTTGATATAGAGTTTGAAAAATATTGAGTACTGTTTCTTATGATACTAAATGTAAACATCTTAGAAGCTTTTATTAAGCAAGCTAATACATGCTTTAAGATTGAAAGTTTATCCTAATAACTTATTAATCACCTTCCAGCCTAAGTCATTATGTTGAGTGAAATACAAAAAATATTCTAATAAAACATTTCTAATGGAGTCTTGGTAGTATCTCAGAGACTTACTAAGGTTGAGAAAAATGGATATTTTAAACAATCCTTCAAAATAATCTTAGATTAGAATTATATATCATCTCCAATTTTTCTGTCATTTAAAATATATATTTTTCCATTTGTTTTCCCCATACCTGCACCCCTAGAACTGGTAGCAAATTGGGCATCTCTCCTCTGATGTTAGCAGCTATGAATGGGCATACAGCTGCTGTTAAGCTCCTGTTAGACATGGGCTCTGACATAAATGCTCAGATAGAAACCAATCGGAACACTGCCCTTACTTTAGCCTGCTTCCAAGGAAGAACTGAAGTGGTTAGTCTTCTGCTTGATAGAAAAGCAAATGTTGAACACAGAGCTAAGGTAAGAAAAAGTCTGAGATTTACACATGAATTTATTGCTTTGATATTTAAGATATATAGTAGCAACATGTTGATTATAATTTTAGTTCTTTCTAGTAACATTTATCTCCTATGTATATATTTAATTAGAAATCATTCTGTATAACTCAGTCAAACATTAACTCTTGAAAATACCTGAGTGATAAATTTTTATAGGCAACAATGACAGTAGGATTATCAGCTGAAAAAGAGAGACTATTTTGAAAAGGAAGGGAATGGAACATTTATTGAGTACCAGTTATATGCCAAGTGCTTGCATCTTAAACAGATTTTTTTTTCTTTCTTTCTTTTTTTTTTTTTTGCAATACCGTTGAGATTAGGTAGAATTATTTTCTTTTAATAGATCAGACTAACTCAAAGGAGCTAATAAGGGTCAGTGATTAAATTTAGTTGTGAATCTTGGTAACAGCTGTATCATATTCCTTCTTCAAGTTGTTATTCTTTACAATTTTAGATCTTTCCAGTCTCTTACGTGTCATTACTTTTAATTTTACACTAAACTTAGACTGGTCTCACACCACTAATGGAAGCTGCCTCTGGTGGATATGCGGAGGTGGGCCGAGTTCTTTTGGATAAAGGTGCTGATGTTAATGCCCCTCCAGTTCCCTCCTCAAGAGATACAGCTTTAACCATAGCAGCAGATAAAGGGCATTACAAATTCTGTGAGCTTCTTATTGGCAGGTATGTTGTTACCATACCCTTCATATATGAACACAAGTGTTACTAGTGGTTATCATTCTCTCTAGGCAATTAAACTATTTAAAAAATCAAATGTGATTATTTCTTCTTTTATAAACAAGTGCTTTTTCCCCCAAACCTACCCATTGTTTTCCAACCCTCCAGAGCTATGCTACATTGTCTGATTTGTTTCTGTGTAACCTAAAAATGTTTTTCTTTCATTCTTGTCTATATTACTTTTAACGTCTACAATAACAAGCTATTTGAACATCCATCTGTTATCAGACATACTTACATCCCCCACACACAAGTCTTAAAAGTCTGGCAGTGATCTAAGGCTTCATTGTCCATTTTCTTGTTCTTCACAGTAATTAAGGCTTTTAGGTGTGGTTATGGGACTATTTAAGATAAACAGACAGGATCCAAGGTACTTTCTACTTTCAGTCACGTAGAAGTTGCCTGCTAGTTTTCCAAAGATGCTTGTCTGTTTAACTTGTTTTCGTGCACTCTCAAAGACCTTTGCATGGTATTCTAAGCAGTAGTATTTGGCAGTAACTGCTGTTAACTCTTACTAACCATGGTTCTTCCCATCTACATCATGCCCACTGAATGAATGCTAAACCTGCATGTTATCTTTAACATAACTACAAAAACAGATTGAGTATCCCTAATTGGAAAAGCTCCAAAGTATGGAACTTTTTGAGCCCTGTTATGACACTCAAAGGAAATGCTCTTTGGAGCATTTCAGACTTCAGATACTGGATTTCAGATTAGGGATGGTCAAATTGTATATGAATACAAATAATCTGAAACGGTTACAGTTGCCTCATAGGATATTGTTTGTGTAGTATAATTCTGAGAGCAAGACATATTTACATCTTTGAATATTGAAAACAATTTTTATCTTTACAGAATATTTTCACATGTTGATAGTTGATTTTTGTTACTGTGTCATTTCATTCTATTTAAGACAATGCTAGGCTAGGTGTGGTGACAATGCCTATAATTCCAGCACTTTGAGAGGTTGAGGCAGGAGGATTACTTGAGCCCAGGAGTTCGAGACCAGCCTGGGTAACATAGGAAGACTCCATCTCCACAAGAAATTTAAAAATTAGCTGAGCGTGGTGGCATGGGACTGTAGTCCCAGCTACTCTGGAGGCTGAGGTAGGAGAATCATATGACCCCTGGAGGTGGAGGCTGCAGTGAGCCATGATCTCACCACTGCACTCCAGCCTGTGTGACAGAGCAAGACCCTGTATCAAAAAAAAAAAAAAAAAAAAAAAAGACAATGCTATCTGTGTCATTGGTTTTTAGGGGAGCTCATATTGATGTACGTAACAAGAAGGGGAACACTCCATTGTGGCTAGCAGCAAATGGTGGACACCTCGATGTGGTTCAGTTACTGGTGCAAGCAGGTGCAGATGTGGATGCAGCAGATAACCGCAAGATAACTCCTCTTATGGCAGCATTTAGAAAGGTATAAGTCTTTCATCCTCATTTACCTGGATGTTTTTTTACTTACACTAGGAAGTACATGGCTTAGTGATCACTAAAGACTCATTTTGTGCTTTTGCAGCTGTGATGAAAGCAATAATATGCAAATAATTACTCTTATGGCAACATTAAATGTAGATATATACAGGTTTTTCAGAAAAGCCATTAATTTTAACCTTATTGGACATCAGAGCTAAGTAAACTTTTAAAAAGCTGTTCTAAGTAATGTGTTCAAAATCTAGTTGCAGTCTTAATCTTCACAAAGTGTAAATCCAGTTAAGATACTTAAGTAAGTACCTCCAGTTAGTTACTCTTAGTGAGTGTTTTCTTGTATTACCACTACAGAGAAAAATATCACTTAAACTGGTTATTTTGCTGGGGGCGGGGGTTGTGCCACGCATGGTGGCTCATGCCTGTAATCTCAGCACTTTGGGAGGCCAAGGCAGGCAGATGTAGCGAAGCCCTGCCTCTACAAAAATTATAAAAATTAGCCGAGCGTGGTGACATGTGCTAATAGTCCCAGCTACTCAGGAGGCTGAGATAGGAGGATGGCTTGAGCCTGAGAGGCAAAGGTTGCAGTGAGCTGAGATTGCACCACCGCACTCCAGCCCGGGTGACAAGAGTACGACCCCGTCTCAAAAAAAATTTGTTTTCATTTCAATTATTGACTTTACTAGGAAAAAAAATGAATTAAATAATGAAAATGCCACTACCAGCATTTTAAACTACTAAGTTTCAAGTATATTACATTTAAAGGTAAAAATACAAATTCCGTGAAAGTAAAACAAACTTTCTCTTTCTGTACATAGCACAGAGCTGTGTGTAAGTAATTTGATTTAATGGTTTGTTTGATAATCCATTGATCTCTTAAATCCAGCTTTAGTTTGTTATTGGGAATATCAGATTACTGTTACAGGGATTATAATTTTGAGTTTTGTCATTTGGAGATATGTAGATAAAATTCCCTGTAGATGCCAAAATGTTGAAAATTTTTAATAAATAAATCACAATAAGCTATTTCTTCCTTTTTCTCTTATTATCTCTGACCGCTGTTCTTTATTCTACCTCTTCCCTAGATAATCTGGACTACCAGTGACTCTGTATTTTTGACTCTCTATATTTTTGTTTCTCAGCAATCCAACTTATTCCTTCTCACTGGCTAGCTGCCTCTTCTCCAAGCAAGCTAGCATATCATTATCAAGTTAATCTTTCTAACCACTCTACTATATTAGAGAACCTCTTCAAGAACCTTTCTGTGTCTCCCCAGTTTCTGAAATCATTTGAAATCCAATCTTAGTTTGGTATTCACAGCCACCACAATTTAGTGCTTGTAGATCTTATCTCCCATTAGAATCCTTAATGTGGAGAATTATCTTCTTGCTTGGTCTTTTCCTTGTTCCTATCTCTCACATCACCTTTGTTCTCATCTCATAGAATGCCCATGTCTTTCTTCATTTTTCCAAAGTTACTCATTCTTTAGTTATAGTTGAAGTCTCTCCTACCAAACTCTTCATCCTATTTGAGTTCACATCGAGATCTCTAATCTCTAGAGGTCGTACAAGTTTGACAGTGTTTATCATTCATTTGGAGAAATACATATTTTTATATGTTATTACTCTAACTATTAGAGTTGTTATTTTTATTAGTTATTACTCTAGTATCTAACATGCATATATCTTTCCAGATAGACTTATTGACTTCAGTTGAGCAGTGCTTATCTTTTATACTCTTATGTATTTGTTCCATTATTTCTTGAGTACCTAACATGTGCAACTGTGGGCTAGAGTACTATATTATATAGGGTGCAACATAGTATATGTTGTGTATATATGTCTATATACATTGTCTATATATGTATATACATATTGTCTATATATGTATATATAACATATACTATGTTATATAGGGTACAATATGGAAAGGTAAGATCCATACCCAAAGTTAGGTAACTGTTTGAGTTGTCCCATGTAAATAGTTTAAACACTGTAGAAGTATTAGAGAGATCCTTAGGGAATGATGCAAGTGGCATTTGAGCTATTCATTTAGAGAAAAGTTTAGAAACATGCAGTCTAAAAGGAAGAGATAGAGGCAATAGAAAAAATATACTAAAGATTAACAGCTGTTTATCCCGACTGGCTAACTTCAGATGTTGTGTCAGAAAGCAACAGTATGGGCTAGACAAAGTGGGAATGGCGTTTAAGAAGTAGGAAAGGGCAAGTCTAAAGATTTTGAACTTAGATACTAACTTGTGTTGCAGTGAATAATCATAGCTTATTCTTCATGAAAGTATATATTCTTTCACACTACCTAAGACAGTATTATACATTTGTTTTTTATCTGAAGGAATGAAAAAACAAAATTATTATTTTTGCCCTTTTAATCCTTAGAATTGAAACTAGACTCTCATATTTAGGGAGTTAGCAAAGAAAAAAATAAGAATCCCCACCCCCCACCACCCTTCAGACATATCCCCTACTCTTTGTATTGATTTTGGGATTATTGTTTTTTTTATTCAGAGTTGTTTAGAATTTTAGCTCATATTATTATGTACTTTTTTTGGAGGGTAGGATGAGAATGATCAATGTGGATTTAACTCACTGGAACCAAAGCCTGTCTCTTTTTCATTTATAGTGTAAATATGCAATTTAGTCTTTACTTTGTGGCCCTAATCTTAACTGTTAAAGTTAGTTCAGGCATAGATTTACTGAACTGTTAGAGTCTGTTTTCAATCTGACATTGATATCTATTTTTTAGGGTCATGTGAAGGTGGTGCGCTACTTAGTCAAAGAAGTCAATCAGTTTCCATCAGATTCTGAATGTATGAGATACATAGCAACCATCACTGATAAGGTAATATGTTGTTCACTATATGAGCAAGGGACTCTATTCGGTTAATATATCTTCCATTCTAAGAATTCCTAGTTTGAGTAGTAAAGTGTAATATGTAGCCATTTTCATTTATCTAGTATTTGGGAATGAAGTATGCGATTTAAGAGATTCTTGCAGATTATTTACTTACCTAATGAATCAATAAAACATCCTCTGCTATAGGATTACCTTATCTTTAAAAATAATACTTGAGGCCAGGTGCAGTGGCTCACCCTTGTAATCCCAGCAGTTTGGGAGGCCGAGGCAGGTGGATTGCATGAGCCCAGGAGTTCAAGACCAGCTTGGGCAACATGGGGAGACCCCATCTCTACAAAAATACAAAAATTAGCCTGGCATGTTGGCATGTGCCTATAATCCCAGCTACTTGGAAGGCTGAGGCACGAAAATCGCTTGAACCCGGAAGGTGGAGGTTGCAGTGAGCCAAGAGTGTGCCATTGTACTCCAGCCTGGGCATCAAAGCAAGACTCTTGTCTCAAAAAATAAAATAACAACAAAAAAATTCTTGAGCTAATTTAATTTTTATGTGAACACTAAGTAATTCAAAGCAACATGTTATTATTCATTAGGGCTGTCCTCTGTATATGTGTGTTTATCCAGACTGATACCTATATTGAGAAAGTAATGAGTCCAATAGATTTTTATTTCCTAGTAAAATGAACATACTACTTTTAATCATGAGCAAGAAGTCTTGAGCGTGATGTAAAAGTTAGGGTAACTAACTTTTAGTTTTAACTAAGTTTTAGAATGAATTGGCTAGGAATTTTGCAGGAAATGCAAATTTTGCAGGAAATTTTATGGAAGATAAAACTGAATCCTATTAGAGATCCTAATTGAGACCTTCTCCTGGAGACATACATTTTGATTTGGAGTTTACACTAACACTTGAATAAGATCCTAACACATGCCTCTGAAAACCAAAGAGGACAACAAATCTTAAAAATGTCTTCTTATGACGTTTACACAGTTGCTATTACATGATAGTGAACAGCTTTTCCCTATAAGTTTTAATTTAAACTAGCTAGGTCACTGTCTTTCCTAGCTCTAGACTTGTCCATGACAATTAACATTCCTATATATCACAGGTTTTTAGGGGCAGAGGGGGAGATTAAAAATAAATTATTTTTAATAATACTAAGAATAAGACTGGTTCAGTGGCACACAGCTGTAGTCTCAGGTACGCATTAGTCTCATGTACTTGGGAGGCTGAGGTGAGAGGATTGCTTGAGCCTAGGAGTTAAAGGATACAGTATACTATGATTATGCCTGTTAATAGCCACTGCATTTAAGCCTGGGCAACATGGCAAGCCCCTATCTCTAAAATTAAATAAATAAAAATTTTATAAAAATAAGGAAGTAGTGTTTTACTGTCCTAAAGTGTGACTTGAGAATGAAATCACTGAGAAAATTATGTAAGTACATGTATCTGATTCCTTTGTAAATGATTATTGTACACAAAATTGGAGCAACAAAGCTTAAATATTTGAGGACATTTCTTGAAAAATTTTCACATCTGTTTTCTTTGTTGACATTATTTCCTTTAGCCTGTTAACCAGCCAACATAAATTATTGTAGTTCTGTTTGCTGTACAATTTCTTATATTTAAATTAGAGGATAAATGACTTTAGTTTCTGAAGTGCCTGCTAAATGGATATTATTTTGAAGAATAGCAAAAGCTACTCTTTGATTCTTCATTTGTATATATTCCTAAATATACCATGTCAATTACGTTTTTATTTGCACACCTTTTTTCCCCCTTTCATGGATCTTTATTGCTTAGGTTTGAGTACCTTACTAAAGATCTTCGTGTTTTTAGGAATTTCTCTAAGTGAGAATTGTTCTGTGAGCCTGGAAAAATCTTAATTTTTCATTATAGGAGATGCTGAAGAAGTGTCATCTTTGTATGGAGTCAATAGTACAAGCCAAAGATAGACAGGCTGCTGAAGCAAACAAAAACGCCAGCATTTTGTTAGAGGAGTTAGACTTGGAAAAGGTAACAATAATCTTTACACATGAAAACTACCCACTTTTTTCCATCTTGTTTTCTCTTCTTTTGATTTGTAATCCGTCTTTTTGTTTTGTTTTGTTTGCTTTAAATTACGTACATGATTTCTTTCTACATTTGGCTCAAATCGTGGAGAGAATTATGAGTACATTGAACATCATTGAAAGCTTCTTTGTAACTAACAAAATTTTGTTATAGGAATTACATTGATCTGGAAGTCAGAAAACTTAGCTTCTAGTTCTGGATTTTAGTCTTATCTCAGCTAATGATCTCTTAATCCTCAACCACATCTGTTGTTTTTTGATCTTATAATTTATTGTTTTAGACCTTGTAATTTATTGCCAACAGGTTTATCACAAGTACCAAATGCACTACCAAGGCATAACCAACTAGTGAAATACAAATCTTGGAATGTCAAATGAGTACACTTTTTAAATGGGTGACTTCTCTTGTACTTTTCTCTTTCAGGCAGACTACAACATCATTCCCATCTATTCCCATGGGGAGTAAAATACACCAAAACAGCATATAGTTTGGACAGTCTTATAGCTTCTTCACTTCCCTTTTCTGCCACATTTTCCCCTATAATTCTGTACTCTAGAACTTAACTGAATAGTAATCATAGGAAAATAATTGGTTTGGCATTGAATATTATGGAACTGCCATATCTCATCTTTTATAAAAAGGTCAGTGGCTGGGCGCAGTAGCTCACGCCTGTATTCCCAGCACTTTGGGAGGCCGAGGCGGGCACATCACCTGAGGTCAGGAGCTTGAGACCAGCCTGGCCAACATGGCAAAACACCGTCTCTACCAAAAATACGAAAATTAGCCGGACGTGGTGGTGCATGCCTGTAATCCCATTTACTCTGGAGGCTGAGGCAGGAGAATCACTTGAACCTGGGAGGCGGAGGTTGCAGTGAGCCAAGATCACGCCACTGCACTCCAGCCTGGGCAACAGAGTGAGACTCCGTCTCAAAAAATAAATAAAATTTTTTTAAAAAGGTCAAAATGCTATAAAATTTAACATCTACTATTTAAATTTATAAAGGAGATGCAGTGATAATTATGCATATGCGTTTTTTGACTTGTTAGCTACATTCTTTTTTACTATACTTGCTTTCTTTATTAAGTTCTACATTTTGTCCTACATTAATATGAATCATTTGAAGTACTTTATTCTAATTTAAATTTGAAAATACTATTTTCTGAAAAAATGTATTTTATTTTGGAAGCTCTTCATTTTTAAAAATTTGTGGTTTATATTCTGAGCAAATTAAAAGTAGCTGTTTTGGCCATTTAAAAATGTTAAAAGAATATGAGTGCATTAAGAGATATAATGACCACTATAACTATTACTTGACCTGTTTTTATATTCACTACCTAACATTTATTTAATGCCTGCTAAATACAAGGCAGTATAATTGAGCCAGTTTGTGTGATAGAATATATATTTGATTCTTTAAATTTTTGTTTTTTTATTATAACAGTGTGCTCAGTTTAAACTGTGAAACAAAGACAAGAACAGCTGCCATCATTTTAAGATAACTGAAGTTAGAAATGTGATAATGGTTGTTTTAAAATCTTTACCTCTGCAATTACCTATAAGGCCTTTTAAGATCCTGTAATGATCTGCCTACCCACACCACTTCTTAAACCTCTCTGGCCTTGTTTTTTATTACTCTTTCTCTTAGTCACCTTGCTCTATCCATACTGACCATCCTCTTTTTGTTTGTGCTGTCAGCAGCATCTTCCATGAATGTCCCTTAGATGTCCTCATGTTTTAGTTTCCTCTTCACAAGCACTTTTCTGCTCTTCTCTGCTTTATTTTTCACTTTTCAACATTCTAAATATTGTATTCATTCAAAATACTTAATTATCTTGTTTGTCTCTATTACTAGAACATAAAATAGTGTCTGGCATATAGTAGGCACTCAATAAATATTTGTTGAATGAATAAATGTTCACACTGATTGTGATGGTGTACTTTTTTTAAAAAACAGAATCATGCAAACATATTACTCTAATACTTGCTTTCCCCTCTCTTAGTAACTGATGGATATTGTCATTTGATAGTGATTTTAAATAACTGCAGAATAGTCCATAATAAGTTTGTTTCCAGTTTTTTGTCACGACAAATAATATTGTAATAAACACCCTTATACATATTTTTTAAATATTTTGCTCCTTTTATTTTTATGAAATAAGTTCCTTCATGTGGGTCAACATATAGTAGTCCCTTTATTTGTGGTTTTGCTTTCCCTATGGTCTGAAAATATTAAATGGAAAATTCCAGAAATAAACAATTCATAAGTTTCATGTTGCATGCCGTTCTGAGTAGTGTGATGAAATTTTGCGCCGTCCTTTTCTGTCCCACCTGGGACATGAATCCTCCTTTTGTCTGGTGTATCCACTTAGTAGCCCTCAGTTATCAGATTGACTGTTGAGGTATCACAGTGCTTGTGTTCAAGAAACCCTAATTTTACTTAATAATGGCCCCAAAGTGCAAGAGTAGTGTTACTGGCATATTGTTATAATTGTTCTATTTTATTGCTATTGTTGCTTATCTTTCATTGTGCCTAATTTATAAATTAAATTTTATCATGGGTTTCTTTGAAAAAACATATATATACAGGGTCCAGTACTATCCAAGGTTTCAGGCATCTACCAGGGATCTTGGAATGTACTTACTCATCATGGATAAGGGGGCACTACTGTATTTTTAATTTAGTAGATACTTGCAGAATACTTTCCTAGTACCATTAGCAATACACCAATGTCATTTCCTTGTATTCTTGCCAGCGTTATTTAACCTTAATGTTTATACTTTCAAGAGCCTTAGTTTTAAGAGAAGTCAAGAGAAGCTTCTTTTAAATATCGTTGTATATTTTTCCATAATATTAAAACCAAAAGCTAATGAAGAATTCTTAATCATTAATCAATTCTATCTAAATTGATTCCTGCACATGCATTATATACTTTTATGTATAGTTTTGAGTGAACGTGGAACATATGTAAAATTTTTAATTATAGAGAAGCCACTTTTTTCCTGAACTACAGCCCATATTTTTATTTGAAAGATTATCACATTGGGATATTAGAGTTTGGCTCACTATTTTTTAATTATAATTTACATCTGGGAAAATGGACTTCTTTAGCCTTTTGAGATATATTACATTCTGGCTTCATCGCTGGAGTTGGTCTTGACTGGTCCAAGTTGAGATTCTCCATACGTAAGTTATTCCTCGTATAAAAGTGCTTCTTTGGTCAGTCTTTCTAATTTGGAAAATTTGGTTTATAAAAACTGCTGCAGAAAACTGGGCATGGTGGTACATGCTTGTAGTCCCAGCTACTCGGGAGGCTGAGCCCAGGAATTCAAATCCGGCCTGGCCAATGTAGTGAGACCCAGTCTCTACAAAAGAAAAAGAGATCAGTGGCCATTATGTTAAGGCCAGCAGATTTTTTAATACTTATTAAGTAAACATTTATTTATTGAGCATTTACTAAGTGGAAGAGTCCCTGCTCTGAAGTAGTTCCATCTGGTCAAGTTATGGAATCTTCTTAACAGTTAATTGCTTGCTCTCAGAACATTAACAACTAAGTTACGTTCTTGGCTGTTAGAATCCCTAGCAGATATTTTAAACTTACATTTTTGATATAATTATTTCACCCCCTTCACTTCATTTTAGTTTTTTTCCTCTACCTTTTTTTACCCCCTTCACTTCATTTTAGTTTTTTTCCTCTACCTTTTTTTTTTTTTTTTTTTTTTTTGGTAAACTTTTAGGGAGCTAGGTAATAGTATATTTTTCAAACACAACCTATCCCATTCTCGGTTTCACACATTTCATTCTCTGATTATTGCTTTCTATCTTTTCAACTTTACTCCCTCTAGAATTCTACTTTTAATAATCCTGCCAACACCACCGACCAATAAATGGTAAGAACCATTTATGTCATACTACCCTTTCATTGTTTCTTACTCCTTTCTTCTTATTCTCACATGAACCTCAGTAACTAAACGTGTCGAGAAAAAACAATCTTTATGACTAATTTTACTTGAAATGTGTGACAACGAACCCTTTTATGCTGACAGTAGCTTTACTAGATTTCCCTAGCCCTTTAATGCTGACCAGTAGTTAAAATGCTGCATTTCCTTAGTTTAATTTAGTCTTCCATTCATTTAGACCACTGTTTCTTACTTTCTCCCTTATCCTAGGAACTCCAGCACCACCTCTCTTTCACCTTCAGTAGGTGACCTTGCATCCTGAGAAAATTGAACTATCAGAAGAAAACTTGCAAAGACTTTACCTACACCATCTATCTGCCCACCAATACCTGCACCTCCTCTTCTTTACCTTTAATGAGAAAATGGAAGCATCAAAAGAAAACTTCCAAAGACTTTGCCTACCCTATCTATCCACCCACCAATATCTACACCCATATACTTCCTACCAGTGACTAGATAAAGTTTTTTTTTTTTTTTGAGACAGCGCCTCACTCTGTCACCCATGCTGCAGAGCAGTGGTGCGATCTCAGCTCACTGTGACCTCCACCTCACAGGTTGAAGTGATCCTTCTGCTTCACCCTCCCAAGTAGCTGGGATTACAGGTATGGGCCACCATGCCCTACTAATTTTTGTATTTTTGGTAGAGACTGGGTTTCACCATGTTAGCCAGGCTGGTCTCGAACTCCTGACCTCAGGCAATCTGCCCGCCTTGGCCTCCCAAAGTGCTGGGAATAACAGGCGTGAGCCATCATGCCCAGCCTAGATAAATTTTTGGTAACCAGTCCCTTCATTGTGTACCAGATCCTATATGGTTTCTCCTTCTCAACAGCACTGTCCGTAGCAATTCCTTTTCTTTCTCCTATTTTTTTCCCTCTCTTGAATCATTCTCATCAGCATACACACTTATTTCTCCAATCTTAAACACAGAAAACCTTTTGACTTCAACCCTCTTGCCTCAACCTTTTAGCTACAGACCCATTTCTCTGCCTCCCTTTGCGGTAAAGATCCCTGAACCGCCGCTTTCAGTCACCTCCATTTTTTCTTCCATTATCCTGAATCTGTTCCTGACAGGCTGGCTCTCAACTCCCACAACTCACTAAAATTATGCTTTTGTGGTTTCCAGTAACTTTCATATAGCTAAATCCAATGGTTACTTCTCCTCTCCATCTTTTATCTTACTGAACTAATAACATTTGATATACTCTCTTCACTTGGCTTTCATGCCACTACAGGCTCTTTTTTTCCTCCTACCTGTCTGGATGTTCCTGTGTCCTCTTGCTGGTTCCTCCTCTTCTCCCCTACCTTTTAGCGAAAAGCCTTTTGACTTGTTACATGGTCTTCTTTATCCACTGGTGGTCTTATCCTGCCCCCTAACTTTAAATGTACACCAGTTGATTCCAAATTTGTATCTCTAGCCCAGACTTCTTTGCTAAACTTCAGTCTCGTGTATTCAGCTAGCTATTCAACATGTCCATTTGAATACCTTATTAGGCATCTCACACTTGATGTGTCCAAATATGAACTCCTGATCCTTGCCCACCCCAAACCCACAACTCTTATTGCTCAGGCCAGAAACCTTGAAATCATCCTTAATTTCTCTCTATACTCCATCGCGTTGAAAAATCCCGTTACCTTTGCCTGAAAATTAGCTACTCAGGAGGTGGAGGTGGGAGGATCACCTGAGCCTGGGGAGGTCACTGCGGTGAGCTGTGATTGTGCTACTGTACTCCAGCTTAGGCAACAGTGTGAGACCTTCTCTCAAAATATAGATATATAATCTTAATCACTTCTCACCATGGTTCAAACAATTAATTTAATCTCATACCTGCATTAGTCATTTAACTGGTCTCCCTGATTCCATCATTGCTTGTAGTTTATGTAGCACCCTGATCCTCTTCAATTATCTAAATCAAATCATATCACACTTCTGTTCAGAGCCCGACAATGACTTTCCCTCTCAGTAAAAGACAGTCTTTAAAATGCTCTGCAAGGCCTTAGGTGATCAAGCCTCCTGATACTGTTCCCCGAAACTCATTTGCTACTGTTCTTAGCCACGCTAGCTTACTTGAATATACTGGGTCCAGTTCTAACTTAGAGCTTTTGTACTGGCTTTTCTCTTTGGCTGAAATATTTTATGTCCTTCAGGTGTTCACTTAACTTCATCTCATGAGGGGTACACTGATTACCCTATTTAAAAATCAAAACCCTCCATTTGTCTCCATACACACATTTTTCATCTCGCTGCTCTTTTCCCCTTTTTTACATTGCACTTATCACCTTTTAACAAACTATAATGTATGCATTCTATTTATCTGTATCCACCCTCCCCTAACCAACTAAATGTAAACTTGAAGACAGGGATGTTTTATCCGGTTTACTGATGAAACTAGAACCGTGCATAGCACATAGCAAGTTACCAGAAAATTTTTGTTGGATCTTTCCCCTACCTTCCTTTGAAACTTCTTGATCTCTTTCTGCTGTTGATATTACTACTCTTTATTGAGAAATGAAATCTTGATGCTACTTTTAGGTTCTCAATTATTTTTGCCTCCCATTCTTTACATCCAGTAAATGAATTAACTTGGTGAGTTAACTTAGACCAGTATCTGGCACATATTAGACCCTCTATATATTAGCTGTATCAGCACTGTCATCATGATTATTATCATCATCACTACCATCACCTTTTATTTAGCTTTGGCAGTCTCTGTGTCTGCCTTCTGTTCCATCCACTTCCTCTCTGAGTGATCACTTCTCACCCAAAATTTTGCATTTGGCTTCTTAAAAGTCTACCTGTATACATATCTGTGTCTCTCTCTTATCTTTTGTCTTCAGTATTCCTTTTCTGCTCCGGTGTAACTTTTACAGTTTCGCTTTTTTTTTTTTTTTTTTTTTTTTAAAGACGGAGTCTCACTCCATTGCCAGGCTGGAGGGCCATGGCGCAATCTCGGCTCACTGCAACCTCCGCCTCCTGGGTTCAAGCGATTCTCCTGCCTCAGCCTGCCGAGTAGCTGGGACTACAGGTGCGCACCACCACACCCAGCTAATTTTTGTATTTTTAGTAGAGATGGGGTTTCACCATATTGGCCAGAATGGTCTTGATCTCTTGACATCGTGATCTGCCCACCTTGGCCTCCCAAAGTGCTGGGATTACAGGCGTGAGCCACCGTGCCCAGCCCGCGTATTTTTTTAATACACAGGTGGGATGCCTTACTTTCTCCTCAGAAACCCTCAGTGCCTCTTCGTTGATTGCATGGGAAATTCTAAACATTCAGGTCTTCTCTCTTATTTCTCCAGGCTCATCTTTCACTATGGTTTGCTACTTCTCACATATCCCATTCACTTTCATATATCTAAATCTGCAGTATTTGTTTAGTCTGGACTGGCTTTCCCCAAGTCCTTAAATTCTTATCTTATAAAGCCTAACTCCCAAGTGTCACTTTGTTTCCTGAGCCCTCAATTAGAAATCATCAGTTGGGTTAGTGCCCTTTCCCATTCCACAGTGAAGTTATTTTTATTTATTTATTTTTTTTGAGACGGAGTCTTGCTCTGTTGCCCAGGCTGGAGTGCAGTGGCGCGATCTCGGCTCACTGCAAGCTCCGTCTCCCAGGTTCACGCCATTCTCCTGTCTAACTTGACCCTTTTTCTCAGAGCCTCTAACCTCCCCCACACACACTAACAAACATGACAGCAGTTCTCCAAGAAGTAAAATGAGATTTAGGCTTATGAGAGAAAGTGAGAGAAAATATAGAAAGTGAGACTGAATTTTTAGTTTTATTTTCTTATGCCTCTGGACGTATTTGAATCTTCATGGTTTAGTTACTCTTTCCATATGCTGTCTGGGATTTTCTATCAGTTATTAGCACCTCTCCCTATGCCTTTATCTTCAATTTCTACTGTTTTACTAACTCCTACCCACTACCTACAGCTTCAGTCAAGGCAGAGGTACAATCAGGGTAGCTCTATCCTAATGGAACTTTTTCTCAAATTTAGTATTTTGCCTTTCTTTTAATGCTTATAATAATCTCTATGTCTTATTAACTATTTTAAATTAAATCTTAGGTCTGAACCATGTGACCTCCTTCTCCAATAAACTAACTGTGGTGGAGGTAACCAATGGCATCTTAACTGACAAATCCTTCTTTTTTTTAAATTTTATTTTTTGTTTCTTTTCAGTTCACAAAGCACGCCAAATCCATTTACCTCTTTTCAGTTCTTATTGATGCCCACCACTTTTGTGAGGTTTACCAGTGTTGATCTGGCCTTCCTTTTCCCATTGGAGTTGCTTTCTCCTGTTTGTCTTCCTCTGATTATGCCTTTCAGAAGCCTCATTTGTTCTTCCTTTACCCCTTAGATATTCTGTCACACACACATATACATAAACTCTCTTTATATATGTATAATATCTATATATTTTATTATATATAGTAAAATAGTAGGTGTATGTGTGTATGTATACACACACACACAGTTACACCTTTTTCCTCTGGTTACCTCATTTGTTAGTTTCAGCTACCGCCTGCAAACTTATGATGCCTCTTAAATCCTGTATCTGTTGATCCACACTTGCTAATTCTGCTTACTTTTAGAGCTCCGTGCCATGTAAAGTTGGGTCATTTTGTAGCCATAACTTGGTATCTCCCCCCAGAAGGTTTCCCTAGGACCTCTGAATTAGTGCCCTACCTACTCTCAGTGAATTCAGAGGGTTAGTAAAATATATCAGATTATCAAAACGCCGGCTTTAAAACTTCAAAATTTAGAAACGAGCAAATACTTACCTCTTAGGGTTAAACTCTGAAGTTCGATAATCCAAACTCATATTACTCTTGCCAAAGGGCTACCCCTGACTGACTCTGCCAGCCCTGAGAAATTTACATATCTAAGACCCAGCCACACCCTATGACCTACCCAAACCTACCACCCCCATCAACATCTAGGACATATGGGCTTAAATGAAATCCTGCTTTCTGAATTAAAACTCTTATTCTTTTAAAAAAAATTCTCCACCCCCAAATCCCCCCCACCTCCCGCTTAAATAGCAGTCATAATTAGCTCCTGCTACCAGGTAAGTACAAAATTCCAGCAAAATGAACAACCCATCATGGATGAGCCAAAATTCTAAAACTTCATTTGCTGTTTTGATTCTCCCCCAAAGCATTCCTTTCCCAGGATTTTTCTGTCTATACAGATACGATACAGATAAAATATTGATTTTGTTATTCCTAATCCTGAAGTAGAGAGACTTAATACACACTTGTAGCCATAGCTGCTTTGATAATACGTTTTTCTGGTGCACGTTTCACCTTTGCTTTCACTCCTCCTCTCCCTCTTATACTTACTTACCTGTTCCACAAAATCAAAGCTAGACAGAACAAGCACACTTCTCCCTCCTTCACTGGGGTCCACGTGGAGAAAACACATAAGCAAGGCTCAAATGAGCTGAGTCACACATGCTCAGTTTCTTCTTTCAAACTCACCAATCAGATATTACTCCTCCCTTGTGGTGATCCAGGGAGTAAAGGTCACCAGTTACTGTTTTGTTCCTAATACTTCAGCAGGGGTAAAAGCTCCTCTACTGATCTTCAGACTGGAGCTTTCTGGGAGTCCAGCAGAAATTTCCAGGGTTACGATGCAGGCAGTTTCTGTATCTTTAGCTTTTAGATGCATTCTTTCCTAAAATCGATTTGCTGGAGAAAGTATGGGTATTCTACCTACAGGTTTTCCTTCACTGTTGCCCTTTTCAGGAACAAGACTTATCTCTCACCTAGCCTAAGGTAAGTATGTTGCATTACCGCAGGGTGTAAAAACCTGGTGGTGGGCCAAACTTTTCAAGAACCTAGCAGAGAGCTGGTTTGAGTGTCATGGGTTATCAGAACTTATTAACGTTAGTGTCACTAAAGTTGGTATACAACCCCCAGCTGCTAAATTTGGCTTAAAAAAAAAAAAAACCGGAGAGGGTTAATTTGAAAGGCAGGACAGAGAGTATCTAGCAAAAGCACAGCACTTAAAAGATGAAGTCAGACTTTTTTGAATGAAAACTAAATATTGTTTGGCTTATGAATTTATGAGGACTGGTTTTACATGTTGTAGGCTCCATGCCTTAACTGACATTGTTTTGACACATATTTAAAATACACATAAAATAATTCAGAATGCTAGATTATGGGTGGAGAATAGTTTTTAAAAAACATCTTTTAGATGACATGCAGACAGAGTTTGAAGATGATTTTCATACCTTTATGAGCCAAGAAAGAAAATTTAACAGTTAAAATAGTTTATTAAGATATATTTTTGGACTTTTAAACCTACAGTTAGTTTTTTGACTATGAAAGTAATAATGTACTCATTTTAACAAATAGAAACACTGTATAGTTATATAAAGTAAAATTGAAAGTCACCATCATTCTGCTATCCCTCCTCCTGTTCCACCCTCCAGAGGTAGTCTCTGTTACCCTTTTATTTATAACTTTTATGGTTTTTTTTTCTGTATTTATACAAATCGATGCACAAAGAGGGTTCTCTTCTCTCATAAAAGTGATTATTAGTCTTCAGTGTGCCTTTTTTTCTCCTAACAAATGTAAACTGGGAGCATTTTCCCAAGTACATATTTATAATACTTACGGTGCCTATCTAGTATTCTGTGAATATATACTGTTAATTTATTCCTTCCCATTGACAGACTTACCTTGTTTCCATGTATTGCCATTATAATCAATTTGCAAAGAAAATTGCTGAACCCTTGTTTTTTCACTAGAGATAGACATTTTATATAATAAGTTGTTGGGATAAGCAGTTTGTAATTTTTGTTAGGAAGCTTTCAAATTACTTTTTCTAAAATGTAAATATTCATGCCCGCAGCAGTACAGGAGAGAATTCAGTTTCTCAAACTTGTGCTGATATCTGATACCTTTTTAAATTTCGCCAAATTAATGATCAAAAAATGGTATTTTGTCGGTTCAACTTACATGTCCTTAATGATTAAAAGCTATGTATCTGTTTATTATTTACCCATTTTAAAATTAGTCTTATATTGTTAATTTGATCTTGATATTGTAAAAATATTGTCTCTTTAGAGTGGTTTGAATATGATCTTGATAAAACAATGAATTGAACTAGATGACTTTGAATTTTATGATATCATGGTTTCCTTATGATTAAATGATTATGTGACAACTTCTTCTCCAGGGTAAATTTCAACGTTATATTTCTGCTTTATTGATCTTTAACAGTTAAGGGAAGAAAGTCGGAGGCTGGCTTTGGCTGCGAAAAGAGAAAAAAGAAAAGAGAAGAGAAGGAAGAAAAAGGAAGAACAAAGAAGGAAACTAGAAGAAATTGAAGCCAAAAATAAAGAGAACTTTGAACTCCAAGCTGCTCAAGAAAAAGAAAAGCTTAAAGTTGAAGGTATTTTCTCTTAACAACCATCCCATTTGTTTTATATTCTAGTTAAAATTATATTTACTTGATTATCAGTCACTCTTGAAAATATGCTTTCAAGTTATTAACCCCTTAACATAGGCCAGGCACAGTGGCTCACGCCCGTAATCCCAGCATTTTATGGCAGGTCAAGGTGAGCGAGTCACTTGAGTCTAAGAGTTCAAGACCAGCCTGGGCAACAAAGTGAGACTGTCTATACAAAAAAAGGAAAAAAATTTTTTTTAATTATCTGGACACAGTAGCATACTCCTGTAGTCCCAGCTAGCTACTGGGGATTGGGGGGATGGGGAGGTAAGGTGGGAGGATCACTTCAGCCTGGGAGGTTGAGACTGTCATGAGCCATGATCTGGCACCACTGCACTCCAGCCTGGGTGACAGAGCAAGACCTTCTATCAAAAAAAAGAGAAAAGAAAAGATATATGCTTTTTTTTTGTTGACTGAATTCCTCCCTAACTTTATTATGAAAAGTTTCAAAACTACAGACAAGTTGACAGATGATAAAATGAATACCTGAATACATTCCACCTAGATTGACAAAATTGTTAAAATTTTACCATATTTGCTTTATTTTTCTCTTTAAGTACTTGTACATATTTTTTTCTGAGCCATCTAAAAGTAAATTGCAGAATTGCAGACATCCTGACATTGCGCCTATAAATCCTTTTTTTTTTTTTTTTTGAGACCGAGTCTTGGTCTGTTGCCCAGACTGGAGTGCAGTATTATGCTCTCGGTTCACTGCAACCTCCGTTTCCCGGGTTCAAGCTATTCTCCCACCTTAGCCTCCCAAGTAGCTGGGACTACAGGGACGTGCCACCATGTCCCCCTAATTTTTGTATTTTTAGTAGAGATGGGGTTTTGCCATGTTGGCCAGGCTAGCCTCTAACTCCTGATCTCAAGTGATCCCCCCTGCCTCAGCCACCCAAAGTACTGGGATTACAGGCATGAGCCACTGCGCCAGCCACCTATAAATAATTAAGCCCACATCCCAAGAATGACATTTGCTTACATCATCATAATACCATTTTAGGTATTATAAATGGTAATTTCATAATATCATCTACAATCCAGATCATCGATTTCTTCAAATGAAGGAATCATTTTTAACTAGGTTATAATCAAAAGGTTATTTGGGATGGAAGTATAGTAATCCTGTCCCTTTATATCCACAGGGGATGGTTTCCAGGACCCTCACGGATACCAAAATTCAGATACTCAAGTCTTTATATAACATGGTGTAATATTTGCATAAAAATTATGCACATTCTCCCATATACTTTAAATCATCTCTACATTACCTCTAATACCTAACGCAAATGCTATGTAAATAGTTGTTATACTGTATTTTTTAAATTCGTATTTGTTTTTTGTTTTGTTTTTTGAATACTTTCAATCTAGTGTTGGTTAAATCTATGGATAAAGAGGACTGACTGTATTGTGGGAAGGAACCATTGCCATGAAACCACCAAAAATATGTGCATGCAATGTGTGTATGTGTGTGTGTGTTTTGTTTTGTTTTGTTTTTAATTTCCCTTCTCCAGCATTTTATTTTGAAAATTTTCAAACTACAGAAAATTTTAAGGATTAATATGGTAAATACCTCTATGTCACCTACATTTTTAAAACATTTTGGCACACATGGGTTGTGTCTTCTCTTTTTTTGAGTTGTTTGAGGTAAGCTATACATATCATGTGAAATCACCCCCAGATACTTGATTATGTATCTCCCAGAAAGAGGACATTATTTTACATAACTGCAACGACATTAAGAAATTTAATAATTACATAATAATACGTAATATACAGTACATACTTATATTTTCCAAACTGTCCCCCCAATTTTTTTTTCTCCGAGAAAAGGATATATATATATATGTTTTTTTTTTTTATTCAAGTAACTGCAAATAGGAAACCAGAGGGAGAGCCCCAGGCTGGAACAAATCATGGCTACCCCTCCCCAACAGAACAGGGGGAGGGGGTGGTCCCTACACCCTTTATGGTCGATTCAGGCCCCCTTGCTCACTCTGCTGCAGCATCCTAGGGGCAGGGCCCCACCTTCCTTGGGACTGGGGTGGTCGGTCACCCAGCCTGCCATGTGCCAGCCCCTCTTCCCCACAAAGAGTATCTTAGGGGAGGGGATCGTGGCCAGAACAGGAGGCAATGAGGATGAACATTTGGTGCTGGTAGCGGCAGCAATAACGGATGTCGAAGAATGGAACACTGAACAAAAAACACCACCACTGTCCAGAGGTAGTTTGTGAACAGAGGAAAAATGGAACCAGAACCTTGGGGGGCAGGGAGGAGCAGGAGGGTTGGGAGCAGGCAGGGTGAGCTCCTTGTTATTGGTGCCCCTTCTGAGGAGGGGGAAATGGCTGAGTGGCAGAAGCAAAGTAAGTATGGGGGAGCGGCCCCAGCCCATCTCAGGTAGCCACAGGGCTTGTGGGCCTCACCTGGACAATAAATGACTGCATCTCCATCACCGCAATGTGTACTCAGATCCCAGGTGGAGGGCAACGGGGCTGGGGCCACAGTGAAGAGGAAGTAAGAGGCTCACACCCCTCCTGCCTTCCTGTAGCCAAAGGGGACTGTCCAACCTAGTGCAGGGACTAGGGGAGGTGGGAAAGGATGAAAAGTGTGAACCCCACATAGTGACAAACACAGTTTGGCTGGGGGAATCCTGGCGCCAGCACCCCCTCCATTGGCCACACCTGCTGCTAGGGCAGTGGAGTAGGGCATGCCAGGATGAGATGGGGCTTGGGCCCCTTTTAAGGCCAGGGGAATCCTCCCAGACCACACTATGGGAAGCCAGAGGGAACAGTGGAGGAGCAGAGAGGGTGCCCCCATCACCAGAGAGCAGTGTTGCTACTACTAAGGGAGTGGGGATGCAGCATGTGCAGGGTGTGGCTAAGTGGGATGTTAGCATTGTCCAGGAGGGTACGTGTGTATGTGTGGGTGGTTGCGGGGAGCTGGGAACTGAGGCCAGGGGAAAACTGCTTCCCACTCAGCCCATGGGGCCCCTGCAGTGGCTGGTGTGCTGTGTAGTGTGGTGGTGAGGGTGCAGGTGGAAGGATGGGGGTGGCAGCCGGAGGCAGTGGTGATGGTGAGCCTGGGAAAGGGGCGGGGGCGGTGGGAGCGGAGCAAAAGCTGTCCAGTCCCAGAAGGAAGCTGCTCCTTCAGTGAGGCACAGGCAGCACACACGGTCACTGCTCCTCCTCTGAGGACTCCTGCCAGATGCCCTCCTCTTCCTCCTTCTCCAGTTTTTTGGGTCTGCCCCTTGGTTTCCTTCCTGGAGTTGTGGTGGTTTTCCGGGTCTTGGCAGCTCCCTTGTTTTTGCTTCCCTTTGGTTGGCCCCAAGGTCTCTTAGGTGTTGGCACTTCACTGGGCTCCTTCTGACTCCCTACCAGTGCTGTCCCGGAACTCACCAGAGGCTGCTTGCGGGGCCTGCCCCGGCCCCGCTTCTCAGTGCTGTCCATTTCCTGCTTGGAGGCCAAGGGCTGGCTGGACTTCAAGCTCGACTCACTCATCTTCCCTTCTCTAAGGAGCAGGTGGAAGATTGATGGCTGGAATGGCCTTCCTGGAGCCACGCCAGCACCAGAAATGCCCCCCAAAATATTTTTTATAACTACCTGCTATTCTTTGAACAGAACGTGGGTACACAGAGTATATCAGTCCTATCCAGCTCATTACCGATGAATGTGAGAATAACTTACATGGCTAATAGTAGTAGAGTATCTCTCCTGGGTTTTTCTTTTCTTCAAGTGCTTATAGCTAAATACATTCTGGGAACACTTAGAACTTGCTAATTCAGTATTGCTACTTTTACAGATGAGCCTGAAGTCTTGACAGAACCTCCAAGTGCCACAACCACTACTACCATAGGTATATCTGCAACCTGGACAACTTTGGCAGGTTCTCATGGTAAAAGAAATAATACCATAACTACAACCAGTTCAAAGAGGAAAAACAGGAAAAATAAAATTACTCCAGAAAACGTTCAAATTATATTTGATGATCCACTACCAATTTCATACAGTCAGCCAGAGAAGGTGAATGGAGAGTCCAAGAGCAGCAGTACCAGCGAGAGTGGGGACAGTGATAACATGAGGATTTCCAGCTGCAGCGATGAAAGTAGTAACAGCAACAGCAGTCGTAAGAGTGACAATCATTCACCAGCTGTGGTCACTACCACTGTGAGCAGCAAAAAGCAGCCATCAGTTCTTGTTACATTTCCAAAGGAAGAGAGAAAATCTGTTTCTGGCAAGGCTTCAATAAAGTTAGTTCCAATTTTTATTTTCAATATTTATAGTGTCATCATGAAATACCTTATTACTGAATTTGTTGGTAAAGAAAGTAAATTTGCAACTTGCAAAATAGGATTTTTCTTTGTGCTAAAGAAGGTACTGTTTCAATTGAATTGAAGAATAAGCTTTTGTTTAGATTTTATATAATGAGACATCAAATTATTTTTACTATGTAATTTCTTTTTTTTTTGGTTGTTAAACTTAGCACATGAAAAATATGGATTGTGGTTTCCAAGGGATTATTACTGTGATTAAACTCTGCTAAATGTGTACCCTAGATAGTATCTTCTTAAAGTTGGCTCTTCAGGCTGGGTGCAATGGCTCATGCTTATAATAATAGCTCTTTGGGAGGCCAAAGTGGGAGGATTGTTTGGGCCCAGGAGTTCAACACCAGCCTGGACAACATAGGGAGACCCTGTCTCTACAAATAATTTTTTTTTTTAATTAGCCAATGTGATGGCATGCACCTGTGGTCCCAGCTACTCAGGAGGCTGAGGCAGAAGGATCACCTGAACCCGAGAGCTCAAGGCTGCAGTGAGCTGTGATTGCACTGTTGCGCTCCAGCCTGGGTAACAGAGCAAGACCTGTCTCAAAAAGAAAAAAAAAAAAAGGCTCTCTATATTATATGCTAAATATGAGGAGAAGTGAAAAATAAGGTCGTCATTTGTTATTTAAAAATAAATTTTTAAAAATTGGGTAGTAGACTACCTTTATCATTTAAAAATTCTACATCTGTTCCATATTTAATGTACTTTCCCTCTCTTTGTTAAAGATTGTCAGAAACTATCAGTGAAGGGACCAGTAATTCTCTATCTACTTGTACAAAATCTGGTCCATCTCCCCTTTCTTCTCCAAATGGGAAGTTAACAGTAGCAAGTCCTAAGCGTGGGCAAAAGAGGGAAGAAGGATGGAAAGAAGTTGTAAGAAGGTGAGTAATTGTTTTTGTCATTCTTTTTATGTGCTATATATCACAGTCAAGTGTTATCTACCTTATAATTAAATTCCTCCTACTCTTCTAAAGGTTGCAAACAAACTGATGGTTCAAGGCTAAATTTGACCAACAGAGAGAGCCTGTGCCATATTTTAGATGAAAAAAATTACGTGTTAATTTGGCCCCTCAAAAGTATTGGAGTTTGCTTTGAGAACTATTTTAGATTGTGTCTTTCTCAGCTTCGTTATCTCAAAGCCTTATATAATACAAAGAAGTATTATAAAAGCTACTTGTAAACATTTGATGAATTAGTAGGTATTGATGTTAAACTGTTGATCTAATCATAGTAACTGTTGTCTTTAAATCATAAGATAACTTTATTTTAAGGGTTTCAGGATAAAAATATTTTGTTTTGCATGGGATTTTAAAAATAATATGTATCCAAGAGTAAAAATACAATATCTCAGAAACGTAAAAGGAGGTAAGACACCTGAAATCCAGAAAGAATGTGATCCATTGTCACTCTTTGATAACTTATTTTAAAGAACTTTCCGGAAATTTCGTAAAAATTTAAACTTTTGGTTATCTGAAACAAAAGCTATAGTGAACCAAACTTAGTAACTACTGTTAATCCCTAAGTGCAGTATACAGGTTTTTGGCTTATTTCCTCCGTATTTTAGACCAAATCTTGTCCCCGTCATACCTATGTTTATTTCTGTCTCTATTTTCACACACTATACACACATTCTTTCTTTCACTCCTTCACATACACACTCTATTGGATTAATTGAAATCACATCATCAGAATATTCTCTATACACTAATAAGATAATTTGGTTTTTGTATATGCATTTAATACTGTGTTATACAGTTTGGAAATGATGATCACTGGCTGATTATCATGCTCTTTAGGTTAAAAAGAGTTGTTAGGTAACTTAGTTGTATATATAGAGAACAGGGATCATGCCCTTCCTTTTAGAAAATATGACAATTTTTAATACTTAACCATTCTCAATAAATAATTTGCTTGTTTATTGAACTATACTTGACTGCTTCTCTTTATTGAGAACTTTATACTGTATTTCTTTTAGAAATATTGTTTAATCAGCTTATCAGGAATTCGGGCCTGACACCTGTGGCTCATGTCTATAATCCCAGCATTTTGGGAGGCCAAGACAAGAGGATCACTTGAGACTATGAGTTCAAGACCAGCCTGGGCAACATAGCAAGACCCCATCTCTGCTAAAAACAAAATTAAAAAATTAGCTGGGCATGTGGTTTGTGCTTGTAATCTCAGCTACTTGGGAAAGGTGGGAGGATTGCTTATGCCCAGGAGTTTGAGGCTGCAGTGAGCTATGATCACACCACTGCATTCCAGCCTGGGTACAGAACGAGACTCTGTCAAAAAAAAAATAATAATAAAGGAAATCTATAATCTATATCTGAATGTTTAAAATTAAAATGTAATTTTGCAAGTATTAGATGGATATTGCTTTTTTTTTTTTTTTTTTGAGATGGAGTTTTACTCTTGTTGCCCAGGCTAGAATGCAATGGCGTGATCTCGGCTTGCTGCAACCTCTGCCTCCCAGGTTGAAGTGATTCTCCTGCCTCTGCCTCCCGAGTAGCTGGGATTACAGGTGCATGCCACCATGCCCGGGTAATTTTTTGTATTTTTAGTAGAGATGAGATTTCACCATGTTGGCCAGGCTGGTCTTGAACTCCTGACCTCAGGTGGACCACCCACCTTGGCTTCCCAAAGTGCTGGGATTACAGGCGTGAGCCACCGTGCCCGGCCTCAGATTTTGCTTTTTAAATTCTAGTAGGATTTTCTTTTTCCGGACATTATTAAAGATTTTTAGAAAGTTTTCATATTTGTGGATGGTCATTTTAATGCTACTATAAGAATACAGGGAAGTAATGAATATTTTTTCTTTTTTCCTGAGAAGGAGTTTCACTCTGTCACCCAGGCTGGAGTGCAGTGGTGCAATCTCAGTCCACAGCAACCTCCATCTCCCGGATTCAAGTGATTCTCCTGCCTCAGCCTCCTGAGTAGCTGGGATTACAGGTGCACACCACCATGCCTGGCTAATTTTTGTATTTTTTTCAGTAGAGACAGGATTTCACTATGTTGGCCAGGCTGGTCTCGAACTCCTGACATAAAGTGATCTGCCTGCCTTGGCCTCCCAAAGTGCTGGGATTACAGGCATGAGCCACCACTCCCAGTCATGAATTTTTAACATCACTCTTTGAGTTATGTATATTAGAGAATAAAAAGAAGCATATGAGTAAAGCACCAAAAGGGGCCCACAAGAAGTCTTTCTTGACTCTTGAGGCTAGATTAGATGCCCAACCAGTATATATACACACACACATATAATATATATATATACACATATATACATGTATATATTATACGTATATACATATATATGTCTATATATACATATATGTATATATAATACATTTGTGTGTGTGTACACACATACTATTGCAACACTCATGACATGGTGGTGTTTTCATAATTAGCGTGTAGATAGTCAATATATGTGGGCAGAAACCCATGTCTGTCTTATTTACCGTTAGTATTTGCATTAGCACAGCACGTGTCTACATAGTATGTGCTTTACCGATACAAGTGAAGAATGATAATCAACAAAGCAAACAATCTTTGATAGTGAGATGAGAAGCTATAATAAAGCTTATCTGTCTGTTGCTCCTGATTGCCTTTTCTCTGTTCATCTAGAGTAAGAGTAAATAGAAGAGGCTTATTCAACAATATTCTGTATTTATAGAAAGACATTTTAGTAATACTCTTTCCTCTTTTAAAAATTACAATAACTATTGTTAATGACTAATCTTAATTTATATATACAACTTTTAAACAGGTCAAAGAAAGTATCTGTTCCATCAACTGTGATATCCAGAGTGATTGGAAGAGGAGGCTGTAATATCAATGCTATTCGGGAGTTTACTGGTGCACACATAGATATTGATAAACAGAAAGACAAGACTGGAGACCGGATAATCACTATAAGGCAAAACTTTGTCTCTTACATTTTCTTCCTTTATTTTATTGCACTATAGCTTAATGAAATACAGCCATATGAGTTTTCAGTGGAACTTTGTGTTACATAGTATACTTTTTAAAATGGGAATTTTATTAGTGTTTGAGAAGATAAATTTTATAGTTTTCTTTTTTCCTAGGTAATACACTTTTGTGAAGTGTTTCAGAGACTTTTATAGGAATTTGTATGCATGTGTAGCAAAGGTTTAAATAAATAATTTCTGTACATAAACTGTTTATATGACATTCTTAAAAATTTGTTCTGAGACTTTTAGGGAGCGCATTTCTAACATTTTAAGCAGTGGGTTTTTGTCTTTCTCAAATAACCTTTGAGATTTGTTATTCTGAGATTGTGTCTTTAGAATTTGAGTTCTTGGGCTGGGCACGGTGGCTCACGCCTGTAATCCCAGCACTTTGGGAGGCTGAGGCGGGCGGATCACCTGAGGTCAGGAGTTCGAGACCAGCCTCAACATGGGGAAACCCCGTCTCTACTAAAAATACAAAATTAGCCGGGCATAGTGGTGCATGCTTGTAATCTCAGCTACTCGGGAGGCTGAGGCAGGAGAATTGCTTGAACCTGGGAGGCAGAGGTTGCGGTGAGCCGAGATCGAGCCATTGGACTCCAGCCTGGGCAACAAGAGTGAAACTCCCTCAAAAAAAAAAAAAAAAAAAAGAATTTGAGTTCAGATTTGAATCTGAAGTGAAGATATAACTTATCTTGAATAACTCGTCGAATATGTCTATGCCTGAATATTCTTAAAATAAAAGTGATGTTCTAAGAAATCATAAGAATGTAGGAAGCTATATTTAATTACTTTAAAGTAAATTCATGTTCCTTTGAAAAAGAGTTTTATATTTTTTACATGGCAGATATAAGTTTGTATGAGGCAGATGCCCCTTTGCATTATATAGGAGAGCTAATAGTTACATCATACCTCAAAAATAAGAAAGCAAGTAGCCATCTCTATTTTATTCATCGTCCTCTCCTTCTGACTGGTTTTCCCCTGGGTATTTGGGTAGTCACAGCCTATCTTATCTAGAAAAGAGGGAACCAGATACCCTTTATTGGTAATTGCTCCCTTGAGTTTCCATAAATATCAAATATTTTCCTGAAGATCCAGCACTAAGGTTTTATATGGCTATTTTTGGCACTATCAGGATTCCTGCATCATTTTAAGACATCTTCCCAGAGGAGTTACAATAATTATCCTATTAATAGACAAACTACTAATGAATTTTTAGTAGACGGAGTCATCCCAGATACCAAGATTTAAAATAAAATACTGTTTTCTTACTCAGTTGTATTATTTTCCTTGTTTACTTCTATTATTTTTAGTGTTGATTAACTGTTTCAATATTTTTAGGATTAAATGTTTCAATAACATTGTGGATTACATAGGCTTTTATGTGCAGTGGTTTTTCTAACTGTAGTGTATTTTACAGTAGGAAAATGGTTTCTTAGTCTAAGGAAACAATAGTGAAATGTATTTTTGAAAAATAAGTCATTTACTATTCTTCTGAAAAATAAAAGTAGTAATTCAGGACAGTTTATTGCTTTGTTTGTAGAATACCTCAGGAATGGTAAGAAAATTGCTGCCCAGCTTTTGTTATCTGTCCTTTGTTTGTATGTGTGTATGTATATACACACAAAACTGTGTGTGTGTTTGTGTACATAAATACATATTAAAAACACTTTACATACTCAAAAGTAGGGAAAATTCTACCTAATTTTTTTTTCTCAATTTATAGGGGTGGCACTGAATCAACAAGACAAGCAACTCAATTGATTAATGCTTTGATCAAGGATCCAGACAAAGAAATTGATGAACTTATTCCAAAGAATCGTTTGAAAAGCTCCTCAGCAAATTCCAAAATAGGGTCATCAGCACCTACCACCACTGCTGCTAACACTTCCTTAATGGGAATTAAAATGACAACTGTAGCTCTGTCATCAACATCTCAAACTGCCACAGCACTCACTGTGCCTGCAATTTCTTCTGCATCCACTCACAAAACCATTAAGAACCCAGTGAATAATGTGAGGCCTGGTTTTCCAGTTTCTCTTCCATTAGCATATCCTCCTCCACAGTTTGCACATGCTTTGCTTGCTGCTCAGACTTTCCAGCAGATCCGTCCACCAAGGTTGCCCATGACCCACTTTGGAGGTACTTTTCCACCAGCTCAATCCACTTGGGGTCCGTTTCCTGTCAGGCCTTTGAGCCCTGCCAGAGCTACTAACTCGCCTAAGCCTCACATGGTGCCTCGCCATAGCAATCAGAATAGCAGTGGTTCTCAGGTGAATTCAGCAGGTTCTTTAACTTCAAGCCCAACAACTACAACCAGTTCATCAGCTTCAACGGTGCCTGGTACATCTACAAATGGCAGTCCAAGTTCACCTTCTGTCCGAAGGCAGCTTTTTGTCACAGTTGTGAAGACATCCAATGCCACCACAACAACAGTCACAACCACGGCAAGCAACAACAACACTGCACCCACAAATGCCACATATCCTATGCCTACTGCCAAAGAACACTATCCAGTATCATCCCCATCTTCCCCATCACCACCAGCCCAGCCAGGAGGGGTTTCTAGAAACAGCCCTTTGGATTGTGGATCAGCATCTCCAAATAAAGTGGCATCTTCCTCCGAACAGGAAGCAGGTAGTCCACCAGTAGTAGAAACAACAAACACTAGACCTCCAAACAGCAGCAGTTCTTCTGGGAGTTCATCAGCTCATTCTAATCAGCAACAACCTCCGGGATCTGTTTCTCAGGAACCAAGACCACCTCTTCAGCAGTCTCAGGTTCCTCCCCCGGAAGTTAGAATGACTGTTCCTCCTTTAGCAACAAGTTCTGCTCCAGTGGCGGTGCCTTCTACTGCCCCAGTGACTTACCCTATGCCTCAGACACCAATGGGATGCCCCCAGCCTACTCCTAAAATGGAAACCCCTGCTATTAGACCACCCCCTCATGGCACAACTGCCCCTCACAAGAATTCAGCTTCAGTGCAAAATTCATCTGTTGCAGTCCTCAGTGTCAATCACATTAAAAGACCTCACAGTGTTCCCTCTTCTGTCCAGCTACCTTCGACCTTAAGTACACAAAGTGCTTGTCAGAATTCAGTACATCCAGCAAATAAGCCTATTGCTCCCAATTTCAGTGCCCCCTTACCATTTGGGCCCTTTAGCACATTGTTTGAAAACAGCCCTACTTCTGCTCATGCCTTCTGGGGAGGATCTGTTGTTTCATCTCAGTCAACACCAGAATCTATGCTATCAGGAAAATCCTCATATTTGCCAAATTCAGATCCTTTACATCAGTCTGATACTTCCAAAGCTCCAGGTTTTAGACCACCATTACAGAGACCTGCTCCAAGTCCCTCAGGTGAGTTTATATTTTCTGAGATTCTGCAGCTGTTCATTTGCACAAGTGATGTGAAAATTCTTGGTCATTTTCTAATATTTTTATTCTCTGGACGATATAGACAAAGATTGTTGGATTTAGTTAACTCAGATGCTGTTGTTTGTGTTTAGTATGGTGTTATTTTTAAAAATCTTTTTAAAAGCTACCATAGATTTTTATTTAATTTTCCATAAATAAGTCTTCTGATCAGGCGGGGTTTTTTTGTTTGTTTGCTTTTTGAGACAGAGTCTCGCTCTGTCACCCAGGCTGGAGTGCAGTGGCATGATCTCAGCTCACCGCAACCTCTGCCTCCCAGATTCAAGTGATTCTCCTGCCTCAGCCTCCCGAGTAGCTGGGATTACAGACGTGCACCACCATGCCTGGCTGATTTTTGTATTTTTAGTAGAGATGGGGTTTCACCATGTTGACCAAGCTGGTCTCGAACTCTCAACCTCAGGTGATTCACCCACCTTGGCCTCCCAAAGTGCTAGGATTACAGGCGTGAGCCACAGTTCCTGGCCTAGGCGTGTTTTTCTCTCTCAGAAGTCTTTCATGTTTTAATTTAATAAGGTACTGTCACCAAAAGTTTACATTTATTACAAATACAAAATAACAGATTTAAAAAATTGGGTTTCATTTCGCATTATCTTTTTTATTTCTAAAATAATTTTAAAAATAGAGCTACACAGTCTGATATGGTAGCCAATAACCATGTGTACTTTTTAAATTTAAATTAATGAAAATTTTAAAAATAAAAAAATTAGCTTCTTAGGCTACCCATATTTAAGTGCTTAAAAAACACTTGTGGCTGGTAGCTACCATATTGGACAGCAAAGATCTAGAACATTTCTATTATCCAAAATTCTACTGGGCAACACTGATATATGTAGAAGATACAAAGATCTCCTGATTGTAAGCTATTGCTTTTTTAAAAAAAACTTTTTACTTTAAAATATTTTTAGATTTATAGAAGAATTCTATAATTCCTCAGCTTCCCTTCATGTGACCATCTTACATAACCATGATACATTTCGAAACTAAAAAAATTAATATTGGTGTAGTACTACTAACTAGACTACAGATTTTAGGCAGATTTCACAAGTTTTTCAAGTAATATCCTTTTTCTATTGTAGGATCTAATCCAGGATGCCAGTTTCCATTTAAAGCTGTTGGGTTTTAATATAAGCATTTCAAGTAATTAAAGATAGTCCACGTAAGAGATGGACACACTATGGTCTATGGGCCAAATTTGGCCTGCTGCCTGTTTTTACATTTCTTAAATGTTTAAAAAAAAATTTTTTTTTTTAAGAATAGGCTTGGCACGGTGGCTTGTGCCCGTAATCCCAGCACTTTGGGAGGCTGAGGTGGGTCGATTGCTTAAGCCCAGGAGTTCCAGACCAGCCTGGGCTTAAGGGGAGACCCCATCTCTACAAAAATATAAAAATTAGCTGGGCATGGTGGTGCATACCTGTAGTCCCAGCTACTTGGGGGGCTGAGGTGGAAGGATGACTTGAGCCCTAGAGGCAGATGTTACAGTGAGCTGAGATCACACCTCTGCATTCCAGCCTGGGTGGAGACCCTGTCTCAAAAAAAAAAAAAAAAATTTAAAAAGAATAAACATGCAACACAAAATATGAAATTTTAATTTCAGTGTTTGTAGAGAAAGCTTTACTGAAACACAGCAATGCCCATTCATTTGCATATTGTATAAGGCTACTTTTATGCTACAATGACAGAATTGAGTAGCTGGGACAGAGACCATGTGACCTGCAAAGCCTAAAATATTTGGTATTTGGCTCTTGGTTGCCAACTCGTTATCTGTGTTATTGGAAATATGACATTCCGGGACAAAAATTTCCAAGTTTAATGGGAACTCAATGTTATTTTTACCTATTTCTGTAACATGTAAATAAAATTTAATGAAGGTGGTCAGTAAATATTCTTTGCTAAAAGTCAACTGAAATATTTATGTGTACTATGAAAAATAATTTATTTTATATTAAAACAATAGAATCAATATAATTAGATTTTAGATCATTATGTGCCAGTGCGTAGGAAATGCTTTAAGTTTGATTTTTATAGTAGTTGGAATTTAATACTTTACCTTTCCAAAAATGTGATAATCTAGGTGTGGGATTCAGAAAGGCTAAAATTAAGCTTTAGAGAACAAAAAAATAAATTCCTATTTTTTGAAAAGGTATAGAAGAAAGACCTCTGTAAGAAAGGTGAGGTTTTTAGGGAGTGTATAGTTGATGAGAGCCAAAATTAGCATTGAAGTTTAACTTACAAGTCAATTACCTAATTCAGGTCATTTTGAGTTAAAGATACTCCTTTTATTACATAGGAAGTATGTCCTTTTATTTTCTCCTAAACCTCTCTCAGATCCTAATTTTCACTTCTCTCTACTTCTTCCTAATTCATTTTGTGTTCCATATTTTTCTTCCTTTGTTTAACTTTTCTTATGTAAATAATTTGATTATTTGTATTTTAGACTCAGATCTGTTTTTATAGTTTGTATTTTGAAAAGTTATTTAAGTCACATAAAGATCTAAGGACAGAATAAGCAGCATAGTAAATACTTGGTATTTCCACATTTATTAATATATTCTCTGCTTGTTAACATCTTTTCAAACTCTCTCCCTCACTCCCCTCCCTTCCTCTCTCCCCTTTTCCTTCTTCCCTCCTTTTTTTTCCTCTCTTTTGCTGCTTCCTTTTCTTCCCCCTCTCTTGTCTTGTCTTACCTGTCTCTCCCCTTCTTCATCCTTCTTTCCTCCTTTTCCCCCTTTCTATCCTATCTCTATTTTCTTTTCTTCCCCATCTTTTGTCAAATCATGAGAAGATAACTTTCAAACATGATACTTTACCCCTAAATACTTTGATATGGATCTTCACAATGTTTGCCTTCACAGCTATGCCACTATTACTGCACCCAATAAAATGAGGATGAATTTGATAATAACACCCAACATAAAATGCCATTTTCCCAAATATATTCTTTCTGACTATGTGTGTCTCTTTTCCTTGCCATTTGATCCAAGACTCAATCAAGATTCACACATTACTTTTGGTTGTTATGTGTCTTTGGTCTCCCTCTGTCTAAAGTATTCTACTGCCTTCCTCTGTAATTCTTGACATTGACTCTGTGGGCAAGTTTAATTCAGTGATTATGTCAATCCATGATTAGATTCAGATCAAATATTTCAGGAAGGAGCATCATATAGGTGATGTTTTGAACCTCACACTGCATTTTATCAATGACAGATTGGCTGGATGTGGTGGCTCACACTTGTAATCCCAACACTTTGGGAGACTGAGACAAGAGGCTCATTTGAGGCCAGAAATTTAAGACCTGCCTGGGCAACATTGTGAGACCTTGCCTCTACAAAAATAAATAAAAAAGCTGGGTGTGGTGGCATGTACCTGTAATCCCACCTACTTGGGAGGCTGAGGCAGGAGGATCACTTGAGCCCAGTAGATGGAGGCTGGGGTGAGCTATGAGCAACAGAGCAATCTCCTGTCTCCTTAAAAAAAAAGAAAAAATGATAAATTGTTCCAGTATTGGCTGTGGAAAGCATGGCCGTGTGGTTAGTATGTAATTATCAGATCTCTTCATTGTAGAATTGTATCTACAGCCCTTTTTTGCCCTGTAGTTTTATACAACTCTTTGGTCCTTAAACCTATTTAAAATCCTACAGATATATATATATATATATATATATATATATATATTTTTTTTTTTTTTTTTTTTTTTGAGATGGAGTCTCACTCGGACGCCCAGGCTGGAGTGCAGTGGCACAATCTAGGCTCACTGCAACCTCCGCCTCCCAGGTTCAAGCATAAAATCCAATATTGACATGTGTTCTATAAAAGCTAATAAAAGGTAAAACAAAAATATAGCTAGGTGTAATGGTGAACACCTGTAGCCCCAGATACTCAGGAGGCTGAGGCAAGAGGGTTGCTTGAGCCCAAGAGTTTGTGGCTACCGTGAGCTATGATCACATGCCACTGCATTCCACCCTGAGCAACAGAGAAAGCTGTCTCCTAAATTAAAAAAAAAAATCGTTGACAATTATTTTCTTTCTTTTTTTTCTGTATTTTTAACCCGTTAGACTAAAATCAGATAGGTTACTTGTGTAATAGTTTAGTGTGTAAACATTTGTAATACTTTTTTAATGAACATATTTCAAAAACAAATGTGTACCTGTAAGAGAGAAAAAGAAGAGGAAGAGTAAATGTTTTATCTTTATCCCTAAAAATAAACATTTAAAAAAAAATGTTATCTAAAAATCCCTAAAGGTAAACGTTTATTCTTCCTCTTCTTTTTCTCTCTCACAAATACACATACATTCGTTTTTGAAATAGGAACATCTGGAAGTTTCACTTTCTGTTTTATATATGGTTTTTGGTTTTGGATTTTTTAAATAAGTTTGCATTAATTTTATGATCAATAAAGGCAACAAAAGTCCACTTTGACAGAAAGCCCATGTAAAGGAAAACTAATGATCCTTTTTAACTAAAACATTAATGCCCACTAGTGCTGAAAGTACTAAAATCAAGAATTAAATTTGTTCCCAGTAAATTATAATTTGAATTTAAGAGTATAATGTGATAATTGTTTCTTTTATAATTATCTACATAGTTTAGTTTTTTGTGTGTGTGAGACAGGGTCTCACTCTGTCACTCAGGCTGGCATGCAGTGGTGCCATCACAGCTCATTGCAGCCTTAACCTCCTGGGCTCAAGCAATCCTCCCACCTCAGCCTCCCAAGTAACTGGAACTACAAACACGCACCACCAAACTTGGCTAATTTTTTTTTTTTTTTAATTTTTTGTAGAGGCAGTCTATCCTGGCCTTGAACTCTGGGTTCAAGCAGTCCTCTCACTTTGGCCCCCCAAAGTGAGATTCATGCCTGGGATTATAGGCATGAACCACCACACCCAGCCAGGAACTTTTTTTTTTTTTTTTTGAGGTGGGGTCTCGATGTGTTGCCCAGACCAGTCTTGAATGCCTGGCCATAAGCAGTCCTCCCACCTTGGCCTCCCAAAGTGCTGGGATTACAGATGTGGGCCACCACTCCCAGCCGGGATTTTTTTAATTATCTAAAATAGTTTTGAATATATTTAGGGCCTTTTAGAATTTTAAGGTATCTCTATTTCTTGCAGGAGTAACTATTATAAATTATGATGACCTTCTACATTATAGGTATTGTCAATATGGACTCGCCATATGGTTCTGTAACACCTTCTTCAACACATTTGGGAAACTTTGCTTCAAACATTTCAGGAGGTCAGATGTACGGACCTGGGGCACCCCTTGGAGGAGCACCCGCAGCTGCTAACTTTAACAGACAACATTTTTCCCCGCTTAGTTTGTTGACTCCGTGTTCATCAGCATCAAATGGTGAGTTTTATACACCGTAATTCCATAAGAATCTGCATATGTTTTCTTAAAAACAGCAGGTTTCAAACCTCATCATAATTTTAATACCATAAAAAGGTAATTTGTACTCTTAGAAGTCTGGAATTTCAAAAAAATTTCTAGGTATTTAAATGATTAGAATCAACCTAGGTTCTATCAAACCTAAAATATTGAAGTTTTTCTAAGAGGGATTTTTATTATTTTTTATTTTTATTAGAGACAGGCTCTCACTGTGTTGCCCTCGCTGGTTTCGTCAAACTCCTGGGCTGAAGCAGTCTTCCTGCCTTCCAAAGAGCTGGGATTACAGGTGTGAGCCACCACACCTGTCCTGAGGGATCATTTTTTGGGGGAAAAAAATTAATCCTTGTACCTGTTATTAATTTATGTTTACTTTTAGTTTTGAGAATACAGGTACCAAGGAGAAAGATTTCTACCCTTGAGTGAAAATTACATCCTTTTAGTCCACCTTTAAATCTCATCTAGGCTGGGCACAGTGGCATACACCTGTAATCCTAGCACTTTGGTAGGCCAAGGCGGGTGGATCACCTGAGGTCAGGAGTTCAAGACCAGCTCGGCCAACATGGCAAAACCCTGCCTCTACTAAAAATACAAAAATTAGCCAGGCGTTGTGGTGTGCACCTGTGATCCCAGCTACTTGGGAGGCTGAGGCAGGAGAATTGCTTGAACCCAGGAGGCGGAGGTTGCAGTGAGCCGAGATCACACCACTGCACTCCAGCCTGGGCAACAGAGCAAGACTTCATCTCAAAAAAAAAAAAAAATCTCATCTGCATTAACAACACAACAGATTTCACATTATCACATGTGTTTTTTAACTACAGGCAGACTTTTGAAGCAGTGATTAGATTTTCTTTCTTTCTTTTTTTTATTTGAAATGGAGTCTCACTCTGTCACCCAGGCTGTAGTGCAATGGCTCAAGCGATTCTCCCACCTCAGCCTCCTGAATAAATGGGACTACAGGCATGTGCTACCACACCTGGCTAATTTTTGTATTTTTAGTAGAGACAGTTTCACTACATTGGCCAGGCTGGTCTCAAACTCCTGATCTCATGATCTGCCCACCTCGGCTTCCCAAACTGCTGGGATTACAGGTGTGAGCCACCAGGCCTAGATTTTCAAACTAATGAAGATCAGTCAGCAATAGAGAATTCAACTCAACTAAGAGAATTCTGTAGTAAGGTTGGATATGTTTGTTTTCCAGGTAAAGATGTGAAATTGCTTATCCCTTAAGGAAGTTATAGTAAGACTTCGGTTTTTTTTTTTTTGTTTTGTTTTTTTTTTTAACTATCAAATTTCTTCTAACTAGCAATACTGGAATAAATAACAGTTAACCTAATTAACTTAATGAAAGAGTAAAGAGTTATAATTATTTTAGAGATACATGTCAGAGTACATTGCCAGTTAAAGCATGAGGTAAATTGTAGCCTGCAATGAATTTATATATTCATAGTTTTTCTTGTGTTTGTCAAATAGTGGCAGTCATATAGAATATTAATTATCCTTGCACAGCTCCCAAAGTGCTGGAATTACAGGCGTGTACCACCACACCACCCAGGTTAGGTTTTTTAATACATGCTTTTGAATATAGTGCTATATTGTAAATACAGAGTATCATTGAGGGCATTACAATTGCTTTTATTGTTGCCACATTCCAGTAACTATTTTGTTACAAAAAATTTCAGACCCATAGAAAAGTTAAAGAATAGTTCAAGGAATATCCATATTTCCTTCGCCTAAATTTCCCAATTATTTTGTTATATTTATTTTCTCTCTCTACTGTTTTGCTGAACCATTTGTAAATAAGGTGCAGATATGACACTTCAGACCTAAAAACATGCATCACTTAAGAATAAGGATATTTTCTTATGCAACCATGATACCATTGTCAAATACCTAATAGGTTAACATGAATTCAGTAAGAATTAATCAGTCCATATTCAGATATCTTCAATTATTCCAAAACGTTTTTTATAGATGTTTCTTTCTTGAACCAGGAACTACCACTCAAGGCTCACATATTGCATTTGATTATGTCTCTCAGATTTTGTAATTAATAATTTTAAACTTTCAAGAATACCACAAGGATCCCTTGTATATTTTTCCCAGATTCACCAATTAAACTGCATTACTTCCTTTCCTCATCATATATTCCTCTGTGTGTGTGTAAAATTATTTTATTCCTGAACTATTTTACAGTTAGTTGTAGACGTCAAGCCCTTTTGCCCCTAAATAACTTAGTTTCCTAAATATAAGAATGTTCCCTTCAACAACTATGATGCAGTGTTTAAATTCAGCAAACTTTACATTTTATATTATTATCTAATATATGGTGCATATTTACATTTCATCAGTTATCTCAATAACTTTATTATTTTCTCTCATCCAAGATTCTAATTAGGACTGCAAGTTACACTTAATTCCCATATCTCTTTAGTCTCAAATAATCTAGAACTGTTCTCTGAGTCTTTCTTTAACTTTCAAAGAAAGATTCATTTTATGAAGACTACAAGCCAGTTGTTTGCTAGAATGCCTTTTATTTTTATTTCCTACTATTTCTTCCTGATTAAATTCAGGGTATGTTTAATAAACACTGAACTAAACTGTGAGAAATGTGCAGTGTAATTTTACTGTAGGAGCACTTTTTGTTCTTCTCCTTTCTTTTCATGTAATTTTACTGTAGAAGCACTTTTTGTTCTCTCCTCTCTCCTCTCCTTTTCTTCTCACGAGTTCTGTCTCTGTCACCCAGGCTGGAATGCAGCAGTGTGTGACCATAGCTTACTGCAGCCTCAATCAAACTCCTAGGCTCAAGCAGTCCTCTTGCCTCAGCCTCCCAAGTAGCTGGGACTACAGGCACTTGCCATAGCACCCAGCTAATGTTTTTATTTTATTTTTATGTATTTATTTTTTGTAAGATGAGGTCTTACCATGTTGCCCAGACTGGACTTGAACTCCTGATCTCCAGAGATCCTCCCACTTTAGCCTCCCAAAATGCAGAGATGCTGAGATTACAGATGTGAGCCACCACGCTTGGCCCCCCTTTTTTTTTTTTTTTTTTTAAATAAAAAGATAATGTATCTCTCTGTTGCCCAGGCTGGAATGTAGTGGCACAATCTTGGCTCACTGTAACCTCCACCTTCTGGGCTCAAGCAATCTTCCTGCCTCAGCTTCTCAAGTAGCTGGGACTACAGGTGTGCACCACCATGCTTGGCTAATTTGTTAAATTTTTTTTTGTAGAGATGAGGTTTTACCACGTTGCCCAGCCTGATCTCAAACTCCTGGCCTCAAGTGATCTGCCCACCTGGGCCTCCCAAAGTGTTGGGATTGCAGGTGTGAGCCACCACACCCAGTGGCCCCACTTTTTGAATTTGTAAATCACATTGCTCTTTCAATTTTAACTCAGGACTCTGTTATCATTTCTAAACTGTGGTGAAGTTACCGTGGTATCAGTGAAACTTAAATCCTTAGGCCACTTCATTTTATGGGGTACTTCCAAGTGCTGTACATGATTTTTTTATTTGTAATTTTTCATTCTTCTAAAAAAGGTTCCCAAAATTTTGTAAGTTTAAGGCCCCACAAAACCTAGATCTGCCCCATCCTCTGAAACCTGTTTCTCTAATATATAAGCTGATGTTTTTAAATAACATGGCTCTGAATTAAATTTTGCTTTTTTTCTAATTGAAGTAATTATAATAATTAGAGATGTGAAAATTATTTTAGTTAGGTTCTTTTCATGAAAAGGAATATAGGCCCATCCAGGGACTCTCATGGAAAATGATGTTTATATAAGGCTATGCAGAACCATTTTCCAAACCGTCCAGGACTTAGGGATAGCTATTCTCTCTCTCTCTCTCTCTTAGAGGATTTGTGGTCTCTCACTCATGGTCTGTTTCTTGTCAGTTTCTTGCATTCTGCTCTCTTTACACCTAAACTTCTTCATAATCTTACCTTGTATATGCACATCAGTGGTTCAACTTCATAATTAATTAAACCAGTTAACCCTTTAATTCCCCATTCTTTGATGAGGAATGTGATTGGCTCAGCTCATATGTTCAAGTCAGACCATTTCAGTCAGATTACTGACTAGCCTAAAATAAAACTTGGATGGGTGCCTATCCTTAATCCAATAGTTGTGCAGAGAGGGAGCAGAAAACAGGGTCATCTGATAAAAACTATGACTAGAGGGGTGGCAGAATCTGTGCAGAGAGTAAACTTCTTAAATGGCGCAGCTCAGCGGGCAAGCCTAGTAATTCTGTTTATTAAAATAGAATGTGTAGGAGGCTGAGGTGGGAGGATGGCTTGAGGCCAGGAGTTTGAGGCTGCAGTGCACTGTGATTGTGCCTGTGAATAGTCACTGTACTTCAGTGTGGGCATCATAGTGAGACCGTCTCATAAAAAACAAAACAATGTGGAAGGTTGTTGTTATTTTGCTCTACTTTGGTTCTAGAAGGATACAGGAAATAAAAGGGAAACCAGAGTGAACACAGAGGTTAAGGTAGGCTCCCAGGGATGAACCTAGGGGAAAGCAGGATTCATTTGTTTATCCTTCTTTCCTTCCTGCCTGCCTGCCCTGACTATGTCTTGATGTTAGTTGTTCTGGGTTGATTTTTCCTAGAGGTTTAGGTGTGGCCTTTCAATATGTAGGTTTTTAAAAAACAAGCTTTTGTTATTTATCTTTGTGTTTACATTTACATGTCTGTGTATTCCTTGTAGTTTTTGTCTGTTTTCTACTGCATGTATAATTGCAGAATTTGGTTTTATTTGGTCTTTAGCTAAAATATTCTTTTACTTCTAACACTTTCCTGAGTTTTGTCATATTGTTTCCGTTTTACTAATTCTGAATTATGCTGTTCCTTCATATCATTTTCTTTTCGTTCATTTTTGAATTTTAGGTTATAGCTTTTTTTCTGGAGTGCTTTTATTGTCAACAGGAATGCTATAGGTCTTTCTCTTTTATCTTATATAATAGGCTTATTTGGAATTCAACTGCAGTTCTGTTGAATCTGCAGGTAACAGTTTTGATTTTTAAGCTTCAGACTCCTTTATTATTTATACCATTTTAGTTTAAATGTGCTTTAATATTTAAGCTTTTTTGGGAGGGGGAGGGGGGATGGAGTCATCTTGCTCTGTCACCCAGGCTGGAGTGCAGTGACACGATCTCGGCTCACTGCATCCTCCGCCTCCCGGGTTCAAGTGATTCGTCTGCCTCAGCCTCCTGAGTAGCTGGGACTACAGGCGCGTGCCACCACGCCCGGCTAATTTTTGTATTTTTAGTAGAGACAGGGTATCACCATATTGGCCCCTCGAACTCCTGATCCCATGATCCGCCCGCCTTGGCCTCCCAAAGTGCTGTGATTACAGGTGTGTGCCACCGCGCCCGGCCAATATTTAAGCTTTTCACATAAAATATAATTTTGGTTATTTTTGTTTTTTCTCAATAATGTATAGAGATTGAATCACTAATGAATAGTCTCAAATCAAGAAATCCACCTTGTTTGCATAAGTAAAAAAGATTCTCATTACCAAAAGCATGTTCTGTGAAGTACTCACAAGATAAAATAAAACAGACTTAGGCAATGATCCTCTTATTGGTATTTTATCAGTATATATAATGTTCTATAAACTTCAGTTCTAATTTGAAGAAACTTTTTTTTTTTAAACTGGACATGATGGCTCATCCCAGTAGTCCCAGCTGTTCAGGAGGTTGGGGTGGGAGGATCGCTTGAGCCCAAGAGTTTGAGGCTGCAGTGAGTTATGATCGAGCCTCTGCACTCTAGCCTGGACAATGGAGCAAGACTCTGTCTCCAAAAATACATAAATAAAATAAATAAAAAATGAATAAATAACAAAGAAACGTATTTCTTTTTCCTAGGCTAGGTTTTCCAAATTTATTAGATAGCTGAATCTCTTTTTCATCATAACACAAAGAGCAAGTATTCCCAGGGAATACAGTTTGGAGATTGCCACTACAGGCAGTGATTCTTACCCATCTCCATTCTGTTGTTGTTGGTTTGTTTTTTAATTTAAATGTCTTATTGCTTGCTACATTTTACTTAATGTCAAGGGTTAATTCATTTGAATATTATTTAATTTAATGGTTTATTACCTTTGTAGTTGAACATTTTGCAGCATTGACATCATATTCTACCTTGAAGTCATGGAACTTTAGCCAAATTTTAATATGCATCATTTTTAAGTATTATTTTTACACTTTGTTTTTCTGAGAATATATATTTAAAACATCTCCTGGTTTTAAGATTTGGTTTTATAAAATTACATGTTCTATAGATGACCTGTATTTTATTTCAAAATATCTCTTCTCTAGATTCTTCTGCACAGTCAGTATCCTCGGGAGTTCGTGCACCATCTCCTGCCCCATCATCAGTACCGTTAGGGTCAGAAAAGCCCAGCAATGTGTCTCAGGACAGGAAAGTTCCAGTCCCTATTGGGACTGAACGTTCTGCACGTATCAGGCAAACTGGAACGTCAGCTCCATCTGTTATTGGGAGCAATTTGTCTACATCAGTAGGACATAGTGGCATCTGGTCCTTTGAAGGGATTGGTGGCAATCAAGGTAGGATATTCTGTCCTGCTCTCTAGAAATTAACTTAATGCATTTAACTATAATGTAAACAGTATTTAACTTTAATAGTCATTTCCTTTTTTTTTTTCTTTTTTTGAGATGGAGTTTCACTTGTTGCTCAGGCTGGAGTGCAATGGGGTGATCTTGGTTCACTGCAACCTCCACCTCCCCGGTTCAAGCGATTCTCCTGCCACAGCCTCCCAAGTAGCTGGGATTACAGGCATGCGCCACCATGCCCAGCTAATTTTTTTTTTTTGAGACGGAGTCTCGCTCTGTAACCCAGGCCGGACTGCAGCGGCACAATCTCTGCTCACTGCAAGCTCCGCCTCCCGGGTTCATGCCATTCTCCTGCCTCATCCTCCCAAGTAGCTGAGACTACAGGCGCCCGCCACCACGCCCGGCTAATTTTTGTATTTTTAGTAGAGACGGGGTTTCACCGTGTTAGCCAGGATGGTCACGATCTCCTGACCTTGTGATCCGCCCGCCTCGGTCTCCCAAAGTGCTGGGATTACAGGCGTGAGCCACTGTGCCCCGCCTGTATTTTTAGTAGAGACAGGGTTTCACCATGTTGATCAGGCTGGTATCAAACTCCTGACTTCAAGTGACTCACCCACCTCAGCCTCCCAAAGTGCTGGCATTACAGGCATGAGCCACCACGCCCAGCCTCGTAGTCATTTCTAAAAGATCTGTATTCCTATTTTTTTTGTTATGTGAATATTTAATCACTTCTTTATGAGCTCTGTCCCCATGTGACCTTTCTCATTACATGTATTTATTACTGCTTTCAGAAAATATCTAATGCAAGCATGTTCTTTTCTTCCTTTCATCATATTAAGGACATAATAATATTTCCTTTCAGTCCCTTTAGGTTGTACTTAGGTTTTTTTCTTTTGTTTTATAACACCAAGTTTTTAGATTATTTCATTAAGCTATTATGTCACTACTTACAAACCATGGAAATATTGCTGTAAATATATAAAAGTAGGTCATTATATTGAAATAATTTACGGTTCAATGTGGAAAATATTAGAAAAACAAAATATTTGATTTTGATTTTAAATATTATCTATTTTTGTTTTGCCTCTTTGTTTGCCCTCAGACAAAGTAGACTGGTGTAACCCTGGGATGGGAAATCCTATGATCCACAGACCGATGTCTGACCCAGGAGTATTTTCACAACATCAAGCAATGGAGCGAGATAGTACAGGAATTGTAACTCCTTCTGGTACATTCCATCAGCATGTTCCTGCAGGCTACATGGACTTTCCTAAAGTTGGGGTAAAGTCCTGATTTTGTACTAGTTATTTAAGGGAGGATTTTCTGAGAAAATGTTTTGAATATAGTAGGCATATGTATAATCTAATGTTAAAATAAGTTATATAATGGGTAATAATTTTTAGATTTCTTAGATAAGTTACACATTCCCAGGATGAGGTGAACTTTCAAATATCAATTTTAAGGCTATTGATTATATTGGGAAAAATGAACAATGACTTGGATGTTAATGTGTGTGTTTTCCTTTTTTAAGGGTATGCCTTTTTCTGTGTATGGGAATGCAATGATTCCTCCAGTAGCACCTATCCCTGATGGTGCTGGAGGACCCATATTTAATGGCCCTCATGCTGCAGACCCTTCTTGGAACTCACTGATAAAGATGGTTTCCAGCTCCACGGAAAATAATGGCCCTCAAACGGTGAGGCTGATCATTCAGTGAATAAACAGTTGTTTTGTGTTTAAGAAATGCAAAGACAAATAGGATTCAGGTAACTCATGATAGCAAGAGAGTTTGGTGAATATGGGCAGTTGAGGAAATCTAATATAGCTGCAATATAGCAGAGGGCTGTGGGCAGTGGTACCAAAGGCAGGTTTGGGGCTAAAATTATGAAAGGTATTGTATATTCTACTGGGTAGCAGATAATAAATGAAAGATTTTAAGTTGCAAAGTGACTGTCATATGATTTTATACATTAAAGTTTACTAGTGGTGTGAAAAGACCATCTAAAGGTTATTTATTAAAGGTACTATAAATAACTCTGAGAATTCACATAAATGGTTGTATATTTTAGTTTAGTGTATGTTTAATATCTTTGATTTATTTTTCTTCCACAACCGTGAATCTATAAATGCTCAGGTAATGATTTTTTTTTTAAAGGTTGTAAATCAGATTCTGTTTGAGGGATAAGAGGTAGGAAAATAATAGAAAAAAGGTTTTTATCATTTTTTTCCATTAGTTCCTAGTATATTGCAAATTGAAGAGTACCTCCTTAGTTTTTTAAAAGTTTTATTTTAATAAAATATATGCTAGATATATATTTTGTAAAATGCATGCTCTATATTCATAGGTGTGGACTGGACCCTGGGCACCTCACATGAACAGTGTGCATATGAACCAGCTTGGCTGATGAGGATCAGCTTGTTAGCCTGCAGATTCCTTTTCATTTGGAGGAAATCACAAGTGGCCGAAAAAAAAAATTATGCTCCCAAATCATTCTACTGATGTGCTTGACTGAAGTGTGTAGGCTTTTTGCAGAAGATCTTACTAACTGACCTATTTTCTGTGAACATTTGTGACTGCCCATTCCCCATCATCATCCGTTTTACCTTAGTTAGCATTTTTCTTATCATTTTTCTTTTTTTCTTTCCCTCTTCCCCTTTGGACATAACTTTCTGTTGAAGCTGTTCTTTGGCTGGTTGGTTTTAGTACTGTAAACTGCTTCTGAGCAAACACGGAAATTTAGCAAAATTATGTAAACTTGATCCTGAAGTTTTAGAATGGCAAATAAATGTACAATTGTTTACATAACAGAAAAGGCTAAGCAGAAAGTAAATTTCAATATGTCAGTATAGAGGCTCTACTTTATGTAGACTTAAATTAATGTGAGATATGTACCTTCATATTCAGAAATCTGGATGTTTCCTTCATACATTAAACTATTAATAAGCATAACTTTTCTACTGGTGTAATTTAAGTATAAAGTAAAATAATGGGCATTATCATTGGATGTTTCCCCACATTGGCTTTTAAAATACCCATCTTGCTTTCTTTTTGGTTTATTTGTAGCAAGGCACATATAGAAGAAGAAATTTCTGGCTTTTCCATGTTGTTTTATTACCTTTTCTCACTTTTAAAACTAATACAGACTTATCTCCTCACTCCTTTTTCTCTCCTTACCTTTACCACTAATACCAGTAAAATTATCTTTCTGATAGTGAAAAGGTTCTGTCAAGATTTTCACTGTAATGGCTGCTACAGAGATGGACCATCTTCATCATCACCAGTGGTTTCTTCTAATTATAAAATGTTTAAACTTTCTGAGAATTTAAAAAGCCACCACTGTTCCCAGTCAGCATATACAAGCTCTTAATATTCTGTTTATTAAATAATTCAATGTACTATTTTATATTGGATGATATTGATTCTTAACATTGGCTTTTCAGTCATCAACAGTCAACATAAAAATTTCAATTTTCAGTAATTTAGTGGAAAATATCTTATTTCTTTTTTCAATTTTAAAGGCTTCCTGCTTTTTTACCCTTGTATATTATCAGTGAAAAGGATCAACAGTTAATTTGAGCCAAGTAATAAAAGAAATTCTGCATTTGTCACGAAGACAATTTATGGTAGACAGATAAATACACAGATTACAGTGTAAAGTCTCCATTTAACCTGTTTATAAAAGATACAAGGCCACACTAAACTACTCAGTGGGATTTATATATTCCATCCACTTGAAACAATAAACAGTAATGTATCCAAGAAGATTATGTGTCCTACCCTGTCTCATGGAAAAATTAATTATATGGTTGAAATGTAAAAGAAAGTAAGCATAAAAATCGAGTAATGTATATATCAATTTGTCTTCTTTTTTTTTAATTAGACATAAAATTTCACACTGGTAAAACATAAAAACTAACTAAAATTCATATAAATCACCTAGAGTTGATGATATTAACATGGTTCCTTGGTTGTCAAGTAAATCAAATGATTTCTTCCATCTGAGTAAAGAGTAAAGCCTGAGTAAAGAGTAAAAAGATGACTTCTCAAACATATCCAGAAATTTGTAAACAGTACACTCATATCTTTTAGTTTAAGAAGTGGTCTTAAAATATATAAATTTGTTTTTCCACCTATGTTTAATATGCCCAAATTTAAAGGGAGAGCTAAAAGACAGCCTACAAATAAATATAGCTATGAAATAAAATTATAGCACTTTACTAAAAAAGGGATGTAATAATGTTATTTAACGAAGTATTTTATATATGACTTGCCACTATTCTATACATAAAATTTTTTTTCTTAATTCTTTCCTGTGTTAACTAGGGTTATTTTCTATTTAAGGTAATCCTGCTGGAGAACAGATGCTATCCAATATTTATTACAACACATGAGTTGTGTTGTTTCACAATACTGAATTTCTTAGGTGAGGTATTTTATTTAAAAAGGAGGGGGAAAACTCCTATATTTTCTTGACTTCAAACCTGTGGGGCCAGGGGATATAGATTGAAATGCTCCGTATTTAGTCTTGGGGATCAGGCTTGTTTAGTACAATACCATGGTTTTAGAAGTCTGTACTAGGAACATTTTTAAAATACATTTTTTATATTTCAGATGTAATGCAGTGCACTTTTATTTGAACAATAAAAAAACCCATAACTTTTTGAGACCATGAAGGTCTTTTATTTTTTAATTTTGAAAATATGTGGTATGTGTATATGCAGACTACATCATTGTTTTAAGAAATGATTTAACTCTTGGACATTACACTTGGGTTAGTTCACACCTTAAATCCCCAAGTAGTTAATATCTCAATTATTGTATAATCAGTTTATACCATCCATTCCCAACAAAATTCCACATTTCATGCCTTTTCAACATACATTTCAACATAATCAACATATTTACAAACACTGACTTCACTGTTTATAAAGAAGAAATTTCCCCTCCTATTTCCCATTACTGAAAAGTCAAGTCATTTTTATTGATACATGAAAATTAATTTTTTTGTAAATGACTACGTATAGTCATTTTTCTCCTTTGGAAAAGGTAAATAGCTTATTAACTAATCCTGTCTTGTTCTTCACAAAAATAATAGTCCATCCGTGTTTTGACTCAAATAACCTAAATACACATTTTGTAAAAATTTTGTACCCTATATTACTTATTTTTAAAACAGTACAGTGTTAGACTAAACAGGAAAACTCAAAGTTATAAAATCTCTTCAGATCCTCTAGTTTATTAAATCTATTTTCATGTTGATGTTTTTCACAACACTTATTCCCACAGATCTGGCATTACAGAACATTTAAAGTGTACCAAAACATTGTTTTAATAACAGATTTTAAAATCAGGATTATTTCAAAATGATTAAAATAGCAAAGAACAACCAAGTCACTGCTTTTAATCACTATAAGCAGAAATTCAGTATTCCATTCTCAGTATATTTTACTTACGTAAATGAATCTATGCAGATATCTTACACTTTTAATGTTTGCTGTCCTTGACACTAAATTCCGAATGTTCCTTAATGTCTTTGGAAATACATATACTATTGATAAATGCTTGCTTAAGTCACAGCATTTGATTAACTCAGGTGACTGGAATTTAAGATGGGAGCATTATCAGTGCTTTAATAAGTCTTAATGTGTTGCACACCTTGATTGCAAAAATATCACTTGAATTTTGGATAAGTGTAAAAGAAAATGTGCTACTGTGGCTTTGACAGAATACCTTTGTAACGTAACAAAGTACAAACCTAATATCTGTGGTGTAGGAGGTTGCATATTATACTTCTGCTTTTAAATGGATTCACACTTCTGAAAAACAAAAGCCAACTTTGCATTTTCAATGCTTGAAAACCAATAATAAGAAAGATGGCAAGGGGATGTCTTTCAATAAAGAGAAAAAAGCCAATTCTAAATTAGGTAGCTTTGGTTTTGAGAAGTAGTGCCTTAAGTAAGAAAGAAAAACTGAAATCTTAATCTGATTCTAAGGGATCACTAACAATTGCTCATGGAAATAGTTTATTTCTTAAAGGTGTTTTGTTGTTGTTTTATATATACCCTAGTAAGCTACAGTCATTTAGTTTGACAAACATTTCAGAAGGCATATTTGGGAAAAGAGAAGACTAAATGATTACATGATAATTACACCCCATATTCAAATTTTCAGCACTTAATTCAGGCTACTACAACAAAAATACTGTTGACTGAGGAGATTAACAGAATGTGTTTCTCACAGTTCTGAGAGCTACAATGTCTAACGTCAACATGCCAGCCTTTATGGTTTCTGTTGAGGGCCTTTTCTCTGGTTTGCAGATGGCTGTTTCCTTTTCAGTTTCTTTGTGTAGGGCAGAAAAAGGTCATCTTGCTTTTGTCTTTTCCAAGAGACAGGATCTCTGTCACCCAGGCTGGAGTGCAGTGGCATGATCATAGCTCACTACAACCTCAAACTCCTAGGTTCATGTGATCCTCCCCACTCAGCTTCCCAAAGCACAGGGATTTACAGGTGTAAACCACCATGCCCAGCCTTGTTTCTTCCTATGAGGGCACTTACCCAATTCAAGAGCTCTACCCTTAAGACGAATTACCTCCAAATACCATCACCTTGGGGTTTCAAAAAAGAATCTGGGGAGGACAAAAATATTCAGTCCATAGCAAGCTCCATTCCTGTGTTTGGCACCATGATGGTTAAGAATTACAGAGACTGCAGAAAGAAAATGTAATACGTAGTCTCTTCTTAAGGAATTTAAAGTTGAGAAATTAACTGACATAACACTAATATCAAAGACTGGAATAAGCTAATTATAAATGTTGAACCTTTAAAAATGTTTTAATACATTGCACAAGTTCATTTGCAAAGAGGATTGACAAATGATTTCAGTTGGTCCACTCAATAGTTGTAGATCATTTTGTACTGTACTCTGAAACAAAAGATACAAAATAATCACAATGTTGTATAAACAGTACCTATACATTAGTAGTAACACTTTTCTTTTGCATTGGGCTTTAAAATTGACAACTACTTCCCCCAACATCCTCTACCAAGTAGATAGCAAGTTCTAGTCATCCCTGTTATATAGATTAAGAAATGTGTTTATACACATATATGAAATTAGCAGAAACTAAATATTCATAAATTTTATTTAGATCAATATTCAAACTTAAGGAAATACTTTTTAAAATAAGAATGTAATATATGAACACAATGTATAGCAAAAAATGTGTTCCAACACTGAAATCTCATTTGTGACCCCGATAGAACTCCACAAAATTAAATCTTAGGAATTGAAGAACAGCTTACAGCTTTTTTTTTTTCTTTTCTTGCTTTTTTTTTTTTTTTTTAAAGAGATGGGAATCTTGTTGCTACCCAGGCTGGAGTGCACTGGCTCGATCATTGCTCGCTGCAGCCTTGGACTCCGGGGGGCTCAAGCAATTCTCCCGCCTTAGCCTCCTGGTAGCTGAGACCACAGATGCAAGCCACCACATCTGGATGATTTTTGTATTTGTTGTAGAGATGAGGTCTTGCCATGTTGCCAAGGCTGATCTCTAACTTCTGCCCTTAAGGTATCCTCCCATCTTGGCCTCCCAAAGTGCTGGGATTACAGGCGTGATCCACTGTGTCTAGCAAAAATAACTTTAAAATTCTGTTCAGATTATGAACAGCTGAACAGTAGTCAGTAGCAACTGATGGCTTTTTTGTTAGCTTAATAAATGGATAAAGAAATAGATTGGTAGGTTTTTCTTTTAGAAAAAGTTTATATATAGTGTGTGTTGTGCTGTGTGTTTAAACACATTTAAAAATTCATGTATAGATTTATCAGTCAGTTTGGAAAGCAGATGAATTCCAGAATCCTGAGAAAGTTATCGTAGGGTACCCTTGGTTAGGTGCACAGTGAAGGGCAAACAATAGCTGGCGTTTGACATTACCCAACATTGTTGGAGGCTTCTTTTCCTAAGTAAGTAAATAAATAAATAAATAAAAATCAAGGTTTACTCCTCACAACATATTTTAGTCTGTAGTCTAGGGGTGACCCTTCGGTGAGGAAACTCCTCCACAACATTCCATTTTGTTGTTTCCAGGAACACAAAAGTTAAAACTATATAGTCCATGTAGATTCAACGTATTCCTTTAAACCAGAAGACAGCCAGTGCTGCTGTTCAGGCTCTTTAAAGCTTATATAGGATACAAGTAAACTCAAGGAATTCACCGTACTGCCAGTGATAGTTTCCCTTAAATAAAGAGATGATACTTTTACTATAAGATTTTTGCTGCTATTTATCATGGAAGACAAAACACCGAAGAAATTCAGTTTGCAGTTGGTGGTCCAAATACTAACTGGAACAGATGGGCCAATTAAATCTACAAGAGACTGAACTATCCCTCGTGCTTAACACTCAGAGTCAGCAAGAAACATGCGTCTCTCTACAAGCAGGTACTTTAGCAACGTGTGACTCTTGAGTATGATAATCTATCGTAATCGCTAACGGAAGCAATCAGGTGCACGTAAAGAGGTTGGGGATCAGCTTCTGGTCACAAAAAACCGAGCAAGGATAATTCCACTACAAATGACTATTAGCTTTAGTGAAAAAGAATGGTAAGTTACACGGTGTAGATGAACTTTACAAGGCGAGAGCTCCCTAAAGAACACCCAGCCTGGCGGAGGGCAGCAGGCTCCACCCATGTCTCTGCAGTTTTGGTCCGGCCTCGGACTAACTACACCCTAGCAGCGGGAAACTTTCGCGTGTGCGCAGTAGGCCTGTCCAGTGCCGCGTGGGAAAGGCGGGACTTTCCTATCTCTTGCGTCACATCCACTGCGACGCAAGACGTCACCGGCTTGACTGGGAAGGTCAATCGCGGCTGCAGGCAGGCGCGCATGCGCTTTATGCCCGCTGTTGCTGGCGCGTGCGCGTATCAGCCTTGGCTGGCCGGTGTATGTCCGCTGGATTGTGAGGCCCGGGATCTGGGCTCCGCCGTGGTGCAGAAATGCTGTGCCGGCTCGGCGGTCGGTGGCTGCGGCCGCTCCCTGCCCTGCAGCTTTGGGCTAGGGACCTGCCGCTTGCGCCGGTTCCTACGAGCGGCGCCAAGCGCCCCACTCTCCCAGTGTGGGCAGTGGCACCAGTCTCTGCAGTACATGCGAACGGCTGGTACGAGGCCCTGGCCGCGTCTTCGCCGGTGCGGGTTGCGGAGGAAGTACTGCTCGGCGTGCACGCCGCCACGGGCCTGCCCTGGTGGGGCAGCATTCTGCTCTCCACCGTGGCCTTACGGGGTGCTGTCACGCTGCCTTTGGCAGCCTACCAGCACTACATCCTGGCCAAGGTGAGGGGCGCCGAGCCGTGCGCGTACCCTGCGCTGCAACCCCTGCGGCGGAGGAAGGCCGACATTCACTCAGGGTTTTCGATCGCACGATGTTGCCTTCTGCAGTGCTTAGTGTTTAATCATCGTGACCATTTCATTGTGACCATTTTAGCGTTAAAAAAAATTGAACTAGCATTAGGTGTGTTAAATAAGATACTTTGTGACACGTGTACCTGTCATTTCTTTTGTCTTACTGGATTTGTGCTCCAAGCACAAGTGGTTACTATACTTGCTCTCGGGGAACGGAGACAAAGAAATCAGTCGCAGAAGAAATTGTGTTGGCGAAACCTACAAAATTTATGTCTTAAAAGTTTTAATAGCCAGTATGTCTGCAGTGTCTTTCGTCCCAAAGTATTCCAGCTGGTCTTTCTTATTAGGAAGAAACTACTAGACTAACAGTTTGCGAACTTGTTTCCTCTCCAGACCCGACTAAGACTGTGTCTGGTTGGTCGCAGTTACTTGACCTTTTAATGCTGAATCCTTTTTTCTGAGGAATCAGGCTAGCAGTACCTTCCTTGCCTACTTCACAGCGTTATCAGAGCAAGTCAGATAATACGGGTTAAAGTGCTTGATTATTCAAATGGGATATTTCAAAAATAGTGGCTTTCTTGTTTTCAGGTTGTGAGCATGGGGAAAAAAAACCGGAAACAAAACAGGAACGGAATCAGCAGCAACATTAAGGCAGTGAGCCATTTTACAGGAAGAATGAGCACAGGGCAGGAATAAATGCTATTTTTACTTTTGATTTGTGGCTATCACAGTGTATTAAAGGTTCTTAACAAACTGCTGTTTTCTCCGCTTACGTTACTAGGAAATGTAGAGATGGAACAGTAAAGCCCAGGGTGCAGTTCTTATCTAATATTTGTAACCCTGTGAAGTAGGTGCTGTTATATATTTTATATGTGAGGGAACATGATTTTAGAGGTTAAGTTACTTGCACAGGATCACATGGATAAGTATGCATTGTGAATTTGGTTGTGACTGAGGACATTTTAAGCAAATTAACATCTTGTGCTTAGAATTAAGATTTCTTGATATGATCAGTAAACTACATTTTTAAATGACTCGAGGGAATAATGTGAAAGATTATGAGTCATTATGAATAAAGATCCTTTATGTGCTCATAACAAAACCTATTTTTTAGCTAGGTGGAAAATTTGCAGCCAGAAATAAAAACTATTGCCAGGCATCTTAACCAAGAAGTTGCAGTTCGTGCAAATCAGTTGGGGTGGTCCAAAAGAGATGCCAGGTAAGCTAATTATATCCACGTAAGACCATACGCACACATACACACACACACACACACACACACACACACACACATACATAAATTGTGATGTTAATTATAAGTTTGAGTATTCTGTAGTTTTGGCAGTAAAGTATTTCTTTTTTTATATATATATATATATATATTTTTTTTTTTTTTTTTTTTTTTTGAGACGGAGTTTTGCTCTTGGTGCCCAGTCTGGAGTGCAATGGTGTGATCTCGGCTCATCACAACCTCTGCCTCCCAGGTTCAAGCGATTCTCCTCCCTCAGCCTCCCAGGTAGCTGGGATTAACAGGTAGGCACCACCATGCCTGGCTAATTTTGTATTTTTAGTAGAGATGGGGTTTCTCCATGTTGGTCAGGCTGGTCTGGAATCCTGACCTCAGGTGATCCACCCTCCTCGGCCTCCCAAAGTGCTGGGATTACAGGCGTGAGCCACCGTGCCCAGCCTACTCTTTTATATTTTCATAAGTTATTAATATGGCATGATAGTTTCATATGCTGGACTGAAAGCAAAGAAATAAATAGATAAAGATAAGAAGAGTATGTTCCTATTCTTTAGGGATTCCAGCCTATTGAAAAAGACAGACCTGTAATCAAATAATGATGTCAGTGAACTAACTGTTATATAAAGATGATGTACAAGGAGCTAGATCATCAAGGAAGGTCAGGGCAGGGTTCACAGGATGAAGGCACTTTGCCATTCTTTTGTGATATTGGTCAACAAATGACACAGGTTATTTACAATCTTGACCTTTTGGAAAAGATACAGCAGGTAATAGCCTACAGGAAAGAGGAGGTAGAAAACAAGTGCCACAGTAGAAACACTTTGATAGCTAAGATGCTGTCTATCCTTTGTGGTTATTCTGTGCAGTTGTCTGCCTGGGTTCTTGGAAAGTCCCAATCTAAGGGTGCTTGATTGCGCCCAAGGATGTCTGCATTCATTCACTGGGAACTTACAAGCCCTCTTGCTTCAATCAACTCCTCAATCAGTTTCCCAAACTCTAATCCTTACTAGACTGCGAAAAATTATTCTCCTTTTTACAGCAATGGAAAAAGGCCTTTGTGGTATCAATCTGTGTTATGTGTATATTATTAACCATATATTTTTATATAGTTGTACATTTCCCAACTATCTTTAATACGAGATTGTGTCCTATATTTAGTGTTAAAAAGATCTGACATTTTAAAAAATCGTGGTGATAGCTTAATGTCTTTATTTGGTAAAAATTAAAAGTTGACCTATAGGTTTGAAATTTTACTTATCAAAGAAGTCGAAAGCTTCAGCCATAGGCCAAAAGAACCAGATTAATAGCTGCTTGCCTGGGTTATCAACGCAGCCTAGATAAGACTTGTGGCACCTTGCTTAAGCAGTACTGGCAGGATGGTTGTGCAGATACAGCCTTACAGATGTTTCTTTCTAGGAGGAAACATCTGAGGGCTTCTGGCATTTTCTTTTCTTTTCTTTTCTTTTTTGTTTTTTTGAACAAGACAGAATCTCCCTGTGTTGTGCAGGCTGATCTCAAACTCCTGGCCTCAAGCAATCCTCCCACTTTGGCCTCCCAAGTAGCTGGAATTACAAGTGCAAGCCACAGTGTTGGCCAGCTTCCTGCATTTTCAATAGTATTGAGTCTTGAAGGGTAAAAGACGGTGTGTCAGATGGACAGCCAGGAAAGTGGGCTTTCCACACAGATGATATAATACAGTACTTCCAAAGGCATGCCTATGCGGAAGTCTGATTTGTTGGATGAACTAAAGTCATTCAGACCAGAATATGCAGGTGTCTAGAGGAGTAACGAGATAAAATTGGAAGAATAGGCAAATGTGAAATTATGGAGGACCTAGAATGTCTTTGTGTACTGTCTTATTATACACTATAATTTGACTAAATTCAGAAAAACTATTGAATGCCTCCTCTGTACAAAATATATGATACAGGAGATTTAAAGATGAATAAAATAGAACACTGTCCCCTAAACTAAGAATACTTTAGTTTTTGTTTTTTAACTCCTATTCTCTTGGACCTGAAGGAAGACTGTATTCTAAAAAGTAAAATTTCAGGAAAAAACAGTAGTAACTAATATGGTTAACAGAGAAACAGATTAAAAATATCTTTGTGAGATAGTTGATTGAAAAATGGAGACTATTTTGACAGGCCAAGAGCATACACAGTATAAAACCACATAGCTCCAAAAGGTATATTCAGGGATGAAGTGGTTAAGTTTGGCGGGAGTGGAGAGATTTGATTAAAGTTTGCTTTTAGCTTCCATATTTCCAATATTAATTGTAGTTATACCATGTCAGTAGTGAAATTTACCTTTAAAGCCTAATCAGCCAAAGACCACCAGAGACAAAGCCTGTAGTCTGACAATTTCAGATTGTTATGTAACTTGTGTACCATACTGTAGAAGTTTTGATAAAAGGCTTTATTTGCCTGTTGTTTAGGCAACTCCTTAACATGCCTGTGACAGCTGAAACCCTTATACAAATCCTTTAGCTAATAACTACAGCAGGCGCTATTTGTGCTATGGAAATAAAGCACGATTCTTAGATGACATTTTCTCTTTCCCCTTTTTTCCCCCTAACCTCAATCTAGGCTCACTTATCTAAAGAATATGAGGAGGCTAATTTCAGAGCTATATGTGCGAGATAACTGCCACCCTTTCAAAGCCACTGTGTTGGTTTGGATTCAGCTTCCAATGTGGATCTTCATGTCTTTTGCTCTCCGGAATTTAAGCACGGGGGCAGCACATTCAGAAGGTAATTATTGTATGTCTTCTCCCAAAGAAGTTCTCTAACATTGTCTTTGTACTAAAAAAAAAAAAAAAAAAAAAAAAGCATACTTTTCATAATTACGATATGTTTACTATCTTCCTTATAAGGGTATAGAATTTAAAGTCTTAAGTGTAAACAGATTGGTTGTGTTGTGAACATTTTGTATTGAGAAAAAATATATATATTGTGCGTGAAAAACTGGAATAAATCCAGTGCAGATCTTTCCTGTGAGGGACACCTTATTGGAATTGTCAGACTACTTATTTATGTCTTATATATTTTTCTCTGCTATTTTTAGGACTTCTATTGTTTTATTTATAAAACTGTTTTAGCAGGTTTTTCTGTTCAGGAACAGTTAGCTACTGGTGGAATTCTGTGGTTTCCTGACCTCACTGCACCCGACTCCACTTGGATTCTGCCTATCTCTGTTGGCGTCATCAATTTGTTAATAGTGGAGGTCAGTAGTTTTAAATGAAATTTGTTTGCCATTTATGGGGATTTTTGTTGCTGCTGTTTTGACTTCAAATCTGTTTTTGTTTGAGTTGGTGAAGATAGCTCTGAGTTAGAAGTGAGATCCCTTGGTTCCTGGTTCCACGTCAGGCATTGGCTTAGGCCTGTCCCTTAACCTCTCTGGGCCTCAGAACTCTCGAAATTAAAGTAAAAGCACTAGTATACTTCCAAGTCTCTTTCAGCTTCAAAATTATATGATTCTGATACATAGAATTTTGTGACTTGCTTTTGGCAAAAACAGTAATAAAGATGCCCAGTCAATCTGGTTGTATTCTTAAAATAGAGTGATGTTCCGTGTGTGTGTTTAATATGTGAATTTGTAGGCGGAGAACACAAGTCAGGCCCTGACTGCTATTTTCTTGCTTTATGACCTTAGAAAAGTCATTGAATGTCTTTATAAGATGAAATGGGAAAAACATACACATAGAAAATGTGACCTCTCAGTCATGTCTTTTTTTTTCTTTTTTTTTTGAGATGGAGTTTTGCTCTTGTTGCCCAGGCCGGAGTGTAATGGCGCAGTCTTGGCTCACTGCAACCTCTGCCTCCTGAGTAGCTGGGATTATAGGCGCACACCACCACACCCGGCTAATTTTTGTATTTTTAGTAGAGACAGGGTTTCACCATGTTTGCCAGGCTGGTCTCGAACTCCTGACCTCAGGTGATCCACCCGCCTTGGCCTTCCAAAGTGCTGGGATTACAGGCATGAGCCACTGTGCCCAGCCCTCTCAGTCATGTCTTAACCCTTATCACAGGCTGCTTTACTCAGCAGTTTAGGGAAAGCGTGCATATAATTTCATAAATTGTTCTCAGACTCTGAGTAGAACAGACTGGACTGGAAGAAATCTTAAAAATGATTTACCTCAGTAGAGATCTCCCAGACCTCATGACCTCTGATGCCTGTTTGTGAAATCTAATATACCCCTTATTCTTTCAGATGAGGAAAATGGAGATGATAGAATATAAGGTCTTAAGTGAAAGTTTCTTGAGGAAAGACTCTACCTGTAGTCCAAATATGTTTCCCTAAGAGCACTAGCACAGTCCCCTGTGGTTGGTGTTCAGTGAATATTTGGTAGAAAGAAGGAAGTGATAAGCACAAGGTTACAGTGAATCAATGTCAATCCCCTAGTCTTTTCCTCTATGTCATCTAAAGACTAATAAAGGTGTTTTCATAGCGGGGCATGGTGGCGTGCGCCTCTAGTTCCAGCTACTTGGAAGCTGAGTCAGGAGGATTGTTTGAGCCCAAGAGATGGAGGCTGCAGTGAGTTGTGATCCCACCACTGTACTCTAGCCTGGGCGACAGAGAGAAAGACCTCACCTCTAAAAGAAAAATAAAAGCTTATTAAAAGCTTATTCTTACTCAACATACACTATGTGCAAGGCATTGTGTTTTTTGTTTGTTTGTTTGTTTGTTTTTTTCTTGAGACAGAGTCTCACTCTGTTTCCTAGGCTGGAGTGCAGTGGTGTGATCTCCACTCACTGCAACCTCCACCTCCCAGGTTCAGGTGATTCTCTTGTCTCAGCCTCTCGAGTAGCTGGGATTACAGGCGCCCGCCAACACACCCAGCTAATTTTTTGTATTTTTAGTAGAGACTGGGTTTTACCATGTTGGCCAGGCTGGTCTGGAACTCCTGACCTCAAATGATCCGCCCGCCTCAGCCTCCCAAAGTGCTGGAATTACAGGTGTGAGCCACTGTGCCTGGCCATAGGCATTGTTATAAGCAATTTACATAAATCAACTCATTTACTTCTTGGAATAACCCTGTGAGCTAAATATTATCCTTTTTTAATGCAGAGAAAGTGAGGCATAAAAATGTAAAACTACGTAGTTTGGCTCTAGAGTCATAATTATGGAGAAGTCTTTTTTTTTTTTTCCTTCTTTTCTTTTTTTTGGAGACGGTCTTACTCTGTCACCCAGGCTGGAGTGCAGTGGCGTGATCTCAGCTCACTGCAACCTGTGCCTTCCAGGCTTAAGCGATCCTCCCACCTCAGCCTCCCTCCTGAATAGCTGGGACTGCAGACATGCCACCACGCCCAGCTAATTTTTGTATTTTCTGTAGAGATGGTTTCGCTATGTTGCCTAATTGCCTAGGCTGGTCTCAAACTCCTGAGCTCAAACAATCGGCCTGCCTGGGCCTCCCAGTTCTGGGATTACAGGCCCCCAGCCTTACGCAGAATTCTTAAGTGGAGCTTGAAGAATCCTGTGACAGTAGCTACCATATAAATCATTGTTAAGTGGAGCTTGAAGAATCCTGTGACAATAGCTACCATATAAATCATTGCCCTTGTTTTTTGGTACAAAGTGTCAAAAAACCTCCGTTTAAGAATTTGACATAATTAGTGTTTTTTTTTTGTTGTCGTTTTTTTTAAGAGACAGGATCTTGCTGTATTGCCCAGGCTGGAGTGCAGTGGCATGATTATAGCTCACTGTAGCCTCAAACTTCTGGACTAGAGTGATCCTTCCACCTAGGCCAGTTAAGATTTTTAAAAGATGGATGATCAAGCTGAGTGCAGTGGTTGGTGCATGCCTATTATCCCAGCTACTTGGGAGGAGGAGGCGGGAGGATCACTTGAGCCCAGGAGTTTGAGACCAGCCCTTAAACTGGTCTCAGTTTGATAGCAAGACAGGTCTCAAAAAATAAAAAGATGATCAGCCATATAAATTAATCAGTGTTTTGTGTGTATATATATAACTTTTATTAAAGTGTAGATGGAGGCCAGTGAAAAATCAGTTTATATTTTAAAGCTTGTCTGATTTAATATGCGTTTTAATAATCATTATGCATGTATATGTTCTACCCCTTCAGATTTGTGCTCTACAAAAAATTGGAATGTCTCGTTTTCAGACGTATATTACGTACTTTGTCCGTGCAATGTCGGTGTTGATGATACCAATTGCTGCAACGGTACCCTCAGTGAGTAAGCACCAATATTGTGTGTAGCATGTGCTAAATCCTCTCTGACTTTAGCTTAGACTGGCTGGGATCCTGCCTCTTCTTTTTTTTTTTTTTTTTTTTTTTGAGACGGAGTCTCGCTCTGTCACCCAGGCTGGAGTGCAGTGGCGCGATCTCGGCTCACTGCAAGCTCCGCCTCCTGGGTTCACGCCATTCTCCGGCCTCAGCGTCCTGAGTAGCTGGGACTACAGGCGCCTGCCACCACGCCTGGCTAATTTTTTGTATTTTTGGTAGAGACGGGGTTTCACCATATTAACCAGGATGGTCTCGATCTCCTGACCTTGTGATCCTCCCGCCTCGGCCTCCGAAAGTGCTGGGATTACAGGCGTGAGCCACCGCACCTGGCTGGGATCCTGCTTCTTCTGCTGAACTTCCTCTGACTACTTGATCCCTTACCAAATCAGTGTTTCTGTGGTAACTAATCTGTCTCTATTTCTTGCCTTTTTTTAAATTTTGCAACGTGTTTTGCATAATACCATGAATATGGTATTTCTTCCATTTGACTACTTGGTATATTGAATTAGTTCTGCCTATGTAGACTGGAGCAAAGAATTTAGCACTTAAAAAGAAACAAAACAAAATGCTAAGACCATTTGGGTTTGTGTATGGTATTATTTAATCTCATAACAACTCTATGAAATAGGTAAACTTGTCCCTGTATATACCTAATTAATCTTTATAGAAATAGAAAAAGAAATGGTTATGTTTGCAGTTAGTTCAGTCTTTTGCATGTTTCCCACAAATACTTTAGAAGTTTCTAAGGAGGCAAAAGCTGTGTTAGGTATATCTCCATGTTTACTCAGAGCTAACACATAAAGTCGAATTCAGTTGTTATTAATAGTTAGGGTGTAGCATATATAAAACTACCTCACAGTATTTTTTTTTTTTTTTTTTGAGATGGAGTCTTGCTCTGTCGCCCAGGCTGGAGTGCAGTGGCGCAATCTCAGCTCACTGCAACCTCCTCCTCCTGGGTTCAAGTGGTTCTCCTCCCTCAGCCTCCCTAGTACCTGGGATTACAGGCACACGCCACCACACTTGGCTAATTTTTGTATTTTTAGTAGAGGTGGGGTTTCGTCATGTTGGCCAGGCTGGTCTTGAACTCCTGACCCAGGTGATCCACCCGCCTCGGCCTCCCAAAGTGCTGGGATTACAGGTGTGAGCCACCATGCCTGGCCCACAATATTTTTTATAGGAATCTAAAACAGTATGTTTTTGCTATCAAAATCTATTTTTTAGGCTGTTACTGAACATAATACTGTCATTAATCCTATGCAGAATAAGTTTGTTCATCTCTAAAATAGATATCATAATGCCTGTGAGAATTAATGAAATGAGTGCCTATTAGAGAACTTTTTACATAAAGTAGTAGTGTTGTAAAATACCCTGTAAAAGTAGAACGGCACAGATTCACTACATTTCCACAGAGCAATCATACCAGCTATATACTGAAGAACGCCTCAGATAAAATAAAATACGAGCAGTTAAGTTTTAATGAGGGATTGAGTTCAAAATGAGTAACAAGAGATCTAAAACACAATGCCTTAAATACCCAAAATTTATCCTGTCAATTATAGGAAATCTGATTAAGCAGCTTAGGGATGATGAGACAAGTCCATGAAGATGAGAGACCCAGACTGCTGCTCTCTTTCTGCTTTGTTATCCACAGCCTGTGATTTCAAGGCTACACTACGGTCATGGCTGTTAGAGCTTGTTATCATGCAGGAATAGAAAAGGGTGCCTCAAGTGCAGTCAGCCCCTTTTAAGGAGACTTGCCAGATGTTCCACCAAACAGTTGTGTTAACATCTTAGTTTTATGACCACCCCTCACTGCAGAAGAGGCAAGGAAATATAGTCTTTTTTTTTTTTAGATGACAGCCTACTCAAATAAAAATTAAGATTTTGTTACTAAGGAAGAGGGGAGATTGATACTTAGCTGGCAACTTATAGACTGCTGTAGTTGGCCGCAGGTTCTTTTTCTTTTGGTGGATAAATCAGATAATGATGATAGCCAATATTTATTTAACACTGACTTTGTGCTAAGCACTGTTTTAAATGGTTTACATATTTTACCCCATGTAATTGTCCCAACAGCGCGACGATAAAGGTACTATTATAATCTTCACTTTGGTGATGAGGAAACTGAGGCACAGAGAAGTTAAGTAACTCATCCAAGGTCACTTAGCTATAAGTGATAGAGTCTTAACACACATCTAAGCAGTTTGGCTCCTCCTCTTAACTACTGTGCTAATCTACCTTTGAGGATGTGCTGCTTTCTGCCCCTAAAGACTGACTTTGGAACAAATAACAAATGTAAGTGCTGAATGTGGACCACATACTTGCATACCACTCTACATGAATTATCTCATTTATTCCTCACAGCAATCCTCTGAGGTAGATGCAGTTACTGTCCCCACTTTACAGATGAGGAAACTGGAACAGAAGGAAAATAACTTACTCAAAGTCAAATAGATGGCAAGTAGGATTCAAATTCAGGCAGTTTGCCTCCAGGACCTAGACTTAACAACTGCATGATTTTGTTTCTGGGGCCTGATTACCTTCTGATGCTAAAGAAAAGTTTGGAACAGGTGTAAGTATAGGAGTATTTCAGGAGGTTGTAGAACTTCGTATTGACCTAAATAAATGGTCACCCGGGGCCACAGACCAGTACTGGTCCATAGCCGATTAGGAGCCGGCTGACAGCAGGAGGTGAGTGGTGGGCAAGTGAGCCTTACCACCTGAGCTCCACCTCCTGTCAGATTAGCAGCATTAGATTCTCATAGCACGAACCCTATTGTGAACTGCACAGGTGAGGGATCTAGGGTGTACACTCCTTATGAGGATCTCATTCCTCATGATACGAGGAATGGAACAGTTTCATCCCAAAATCTTCCTCCTGTCCATGGAAAAATTGGCCCCTAGTGTCAAAAATGTTGGGGACCACTGCTCAAGATGGTAATACAAAAGAAATTTGGAGATAATGCTGAGGCTGTTTGTCTCAGAAGAAGGCAAAGAAAATGCATTCCTTACTACACTGAGAAACTGGCTGTTGGGAAACATTTGGAAGATAGATGACTGTATGGGGAAAATTAGGTGTAGGGAGGCTAAGTTTGCCATCATAAGTGCCACACTTCCAGCATTCTACCTTCAGTATGTAAGCAGTTGGACAGGACTTTTGGTGGGGAAAAAGTTATGTTCCATTGTCGAAGAAGGGAGATAAGATCTCTCTTGAGCCTCTGCCTAGGAGCTTCTCTCTTTTTACTTTCTACCCTAAATACTTCTCTTTTTCCTTTATTTTTGCTTTTTGGTCTGTCTGTAACCTTTTTTCCCTGTCTATTAAATCTATCCCAGGAATCTAGTAGCTGCTGCAAGTCTTGCTTAGTCTTGGCATACTTGTATTTACAAAGATTGTCATTTTATTTTTTATTGTCTGGACTGTGATGTCCTTGTAGAATTACAGATGCTAACATTTATGTCTTCTCTTTATAGTCAATTGTTCTCTACTGGTTATGCTCCAGCTTCGTGGGCCTTTCACAGAATTTGCTGCTGCGTTCTCCTGGATTTCGCCAACTTTGCCGAATACCATCGACCAAGTCAGATTCAGAAACTCCTTATAAAGACATATTTGCTGCCTTTAATACCAAGTTCATTTCAAGAAAATGACATATTTTCCAATAATTTTGAAACAGTTGCAGGAGTCACTATCATCTAAATGTATTTAGACTTAGAAATTCAGATGTTACTTGATTTCCTTTTATTTAAAATCATTAACTTCATGAAATATTGTAGGTTAAGATGTAATCCAGACCAGGCACAGTGGCTCATGCCTGTAATCCCAGCACTTTGGGAGGTCGAGGTGGGTGGATCACCTGAGGTCTGGAGTTTGAGACCAGCCTGGCCAACATGGTGAAACCCTGTCTGTACTAAAATAACAAAAAAATTAGCTGGGCTTAGTGGCAGGTGCCTGTAATCCCAGCTACTTGGGAGGCTGAGGCAGGAGAATCGCTTGAACCTGGAATACAGAGGTTTCAGTGAGCTGAGATCACCCCATTGCACTCCAGCCTGGACAACAAGAGTGAAACGCTATCAAAGAAAAAAAAAAGATGTAATCCAGATATATTTGACAGTAATTAAAATCTTTTAAATGTTATAAATGCAGTATGTTTGTGAAAGTATTAGAATAGAACCAAAGTGCCTGTCTCTGTTTATAAAGTTACAGTTTGTTAGAGCTACCAGAACTTTGGAGAATAGGGTTAGCTACTGAATGATGGCAAGTTAAACTAAACAATACTGCATATTACTGTTTTGTAAAATAAGAGGATCAGTGAGATGATTCATGTTTTTTTTTTTTGAGATGGAGTCTCACTGTGTCACCCAGGCTGGAGTGCAGTGGCGCAATCTCAGCTCACTGCAACCTCCATCTCCCGGATTCCAGTGATTTTCCTGCCTCAGCCTCCAAGTATCTGGGATTGCAGGTGCACACCACCACGCCCAGCTAATTTTTGTATTTTTAGTAGAGATGGGGTTTCACCATGTTGGACAGGCTGGTCTGGAACTGCTGACCTCAACTAATCCACCCTCCTTGGCCTCCCATAGTGCTGGGATTACAGGCATGAGCCACCTCACCCAGCATTTTTTTTTTTTAATTTTTTTAATGAGACAGAGTCTCTCTCTGTCACCTAGGCTGGAGTGCAGTGGCACGATCTCGGCTCACTGCAACCTCTGCCTCCCGTGTTCAAGCAATTCTCCTACCTCAGCCTACTGGGTAGCTGGGACTACAGGGGTGCACCACCATGCCCAGCTAAGTTTTGTATTTTTAGTAGAGATGGGATTTCACCATGTTGGCTAGGCTGGTCTTGAACTCCTGGCCTCAAGTGATCTGCCCACCTTGGCCTCCCAAAGTGCTGGGATTACAGGCGTGAGCCACTGTGCCCAGCTGAGATGTTTCTTATTATTTTGGAGGTGGAGAGGATTTTAGACCTCTTTGAGCATCTGAAAAAAGGCTATATATGTATGGTTTTCTCTTCAGAAAAATCTTAAGACTCACAATACGGGGACTTCCTTGTTACCAGGAAGATTTTCTGGCAATTCCTAGTTAATAAATCTTATTCTAATGGAACATACATTGATCTTGAGTTAATGCGTGGTTGAAAAAAAAAGCGGGGGCAACTTGAAATATATGCAGTAAAGTAGTCCATGCATACAAGTCCCTAACATGGTAGATGATGTTGCCTCCCGGCCCTGCTCAGAAAGAATACAAAAAGTGTACATTCCTTTTTCTATAATTTAAGAAGTCTGGAATACAGAGTGTAACACTGTGTACTGCTAGCACCCAAAGTGGAAAATCTTAAGCATTCAGATTGTTTAGTCAAAGAAGAAAACCAGAAGGGCAGTTGCCTATTGAGGTGATTTTAAACCTGTTTATTTGTAAGGATTAAGTACCCTAATAGGCTTAAACTATGATAGAGGTTTAATACAGAAAAAATTGACAGGTATTATAAATTGTGGATCCAGTTACTTGCTTATTTAATTTGTAAAGAGGTAAAATTAGCTCTGGTTGAGATATCAAGTATGGCAGGTATTTGAGAAGGCTATAAATCATAATTTTCATTTAGTTAAAATATGGACCTGATTCTGGGAAACCCTATCATTCCATCTCAATGTTTTACAATAAAATAAAAACTAAAGTGAAATTCATTAGTCATTTCTTTGATTGATGTCTCTTAAATTTTAGTTCACCTGCTTAATGAAGTTATGACATTTTTTAATAGAAAAAATGTACAGCATACAGAGGTAAGAATTCTGCTTCCCTGAGAATTTATTTTAGACATAGATGGTGGCAATTAAGACTAGGTTCTTTTTTCATACAAGTTCCTAGTCCTGGTTTCTGACTGTCCTATTGGGGCAATTGTGCTTTCCAACCACATTGAAGGAATTGAAATATCCTCATTATTTGTGGATTTTATATTTGTAAATTTGCCTCCTTGCTCAAATCTATCCATAACCCCAGAACCAGTACTTGCACAAGTGCTTTTGAGCCATTTGTAGGCAAAAATGTGAGTCACCTCCCAACAGAAGTGAAACAAATGGTACTCTGCCTTCTAGTTTCAGCTCTCATACCGTAAACATGTATCCTTTTTGAGTCTACTTAGTCCCATCTCTTCCTAATTTCTGTTCTTTTTGTTGGTGATTTTACTGTTTAAAATGGCCTCCAAATGCCCTGCTGGAGTGCTTTCTGATGTTCCTAAGCTCAGGAAGGCTTAGGAGAAAATAAGTATATTAGATAAGCTTCATTCATGCACAAGTTATAATGCTGTTGGCAGAGAGTTCAGTGTTACTGAATCAACAATATGTTGCATTGTTCTGTTGACAAAAACAAAGCTTGCAGAAACCTAACCCTGTATGTTTTCTAGGAGCAGTGATTTGGTATTCACTACTTCAGTGTTTGTGGACTTTATGGAACATAAGTACCACAAATAATGCAAATTGACTATATTTGCAGCGTGTACAATCAAGGATGCAGAGGCAGAAATGTGTGTGCAGCTTAGGTCATAGTAAAAAGAGGAAAGAATTTGAGGAAAATTTTGCCAGTTACATATTACCTCTGGAATAACTTTGCCTTTGCCGTGTGTGTTACTGTGTACACTCAGATATTTTTCTCATAATGGCCTTTGCCGTGTGTGTTACTGAGTGAGTACACTCAGATATTTTTCTCATAATGGCATGAGGGAAATCAGTCTCCTTTTCCCATTGTGTTTGTCACTTTTGCTGAGACGCAAAAAATAACGTGCTATGATATTGTGAAATATGTATTTGGTCTTTATCCCCAATCCCTGACATCCAGCGGAATCTGCAGAGTTAAGTGTCTTTTGTATGCTCATGTGATGACTGGTGGCTGGGGGCCCCTAGAAAGTTTCAGGATAGGGCAGATCCTTGTGGCCAGGAGTTCCAGATCAGCCTGGGCAACATAGTGAGACCTTGTCTGTACAAAAAAGAAAGTAGGAAAAAACATCTTTGGTTTTTCCTATCTCCAGATACTTCCTTTTCAAATAAATGAATCTTCTTTCATGTGCATAATTTACCTTGTTTACTGTGAGTCCCCTTGATTTCAAAATGTATATTTGTATCTTTACAAATGTATATTGTGCTTAGTTTCCTGTTGCTCTCCCATTGTCAAACTTTCAAACTTGAAATTTCTTTTCAAATATATACAGGAAGTTTGAGAATACAAGGCCCTTCCTCCAAGATCTCAAAATAATTTCTCACAAGTGGGGGTTGCTGGGATCTTGGGATAAACCCATGTATAAAGAAAACTGGTGTATTATGAACTGAAGTGAATCAGTTACCTGAACTTACCTGACTTCAGGATGGTAAATACTCTTGATTTTTTTCTTCAGGCAGATTTTTTTTAGTAAAGAGCAAAAAATCTGTATTGTATTTCAGAAAATTGCAAGTCTGTGGTCTTATTTCTAACAGTTTGTCATAGCCTGGAGCAGTTCCAGAACCTGAATGAAGTCAGGGCTACAGAACAGGGAATATGCATGCTCTTAAGACCCCTTGATGTCTTGCTGTCTGGCTTGCCTATATCCCCTCAGTTGCTGAGGCTCTGCGCTGGGCCCTGCAGAGTTCAGGAAGGTTTTTGTCTCCTTAGATGAGGACTGTAATGTTTGTGTTACCCTTCCCCACAGGGGTGTTACCCACCCTTCTCGTCCTTACAGGAGATCTGTTTTTCCTGTGGGTCTCATTTTTGTCTCTAGGCCAGATTCACTGTCTTAATGAATGCTTCTCATTTCAAGAGTCAGGAAGGGAGACTCACTCCTGGATCAATTTATAGTATTTATACCATTAGGATACCTGAGTTCAAAAGTATATTAATAGATAGAATTGGCGTATCTGAAATGATCCCAAATTACTTTTCCCTGGGACCGTTAGAAGAGAAAACTGAACAAATCCCATCCTAGTCAGATGTCCTAAGTGGGAAGATGAGGCTTACAAAGGAAAACCAAAATTCTTAATTGCCACCCTGACAGATAACCCAGGAGAAGGTGCAAAGCCTCATTAAGAACCTCGAGGGAAAAGCCAAACTTGGGGAGAAGACTTTTCAGGTACCTTTAACAGCACTTAAGAGCTAAAGACCATATCTTCATCTAAGAACCACCCATTTACCCGTCCAAACCGAAAGAACAGACTTGGAGACCTGAAGAACAGTGGAAGCAAGACTTTTAATGGCAGTCTTGCAAGATTGGGTGTCTGGTGGGCAGGCACACCTGGGGCAGTTACAGCAGGTAATTTATCTCCTAGCACACAAGTCCTTCCCCCAGTTTCTGATTGGTTAAGTACTATGGGATTACAGTCTTCCCAGACATCGCGTAAGTTTCATTATCCCCCTTGTAAGGTTATATACCCCATTCCCTTCCCCCCTTAAGTTTTGATTTCCCAATAACGAAACTTTCTTCCCTTTTATGGGCTGACTCCTCCTCTACATTCTGTTCGTTTATTGTGACCTTCTAGGTGCATGAGCAGTGCGGTTTGTTACATACCAAGGCTGGCTGCCAGTGCTTAGATTTATCATGCCTTGAAAATGGACCATTTAAAATGTTTTCCCACAGTTCACATCTCAGAGGAGGTACAGAGGTCCTCCTAGATGACATTGGGAAAATTGTAGTTAGTGTGAAAAAATGAGTGCCCAAAAAAACCTTGGTACCTTCTGTGTTTTGTTCCTATTTTTTTTTTATTGGACGCATAATCTGCTTATATTTTGCACCTATTCTTAAATCACACTTATACCTTCATATTTTATTCTTCTAAGAATCCCAGGAATCACCTTTTTTTTTTTTTTAGGAGTCACCTTTAAAATTGCCTATATGTCAGATTTAAGTCCCAGAAGCAGTAGGAATGCAGACCCTAGAAAAAAAATTAAAGAATGTAGTTTATTTTTTCCTCTGGGGTGTTAACTGCAGCTACTACAGAATGCAGACTTTGGAATTTCAGGCATAACATCTGAAACCATGCAAGAATTTAGATTTCTGTATTAAAGCTAAATCTTCATGTAAATATGGTGTAAAACAATGCATTATCATTATAAACACTGTGCCTTACGAGCTGGTTCAAGCAGAACCCAGATAATTGGAAATTATATGAATTTATAGATTTTCCATTTGAACCTTATTAGTGTTGTTTAAACTTGTAATAATGGATATTTTCTAGTTATCTGTTTTCTTTTTTTCATACACTGTGATGGTATTTTATGAAATCATTTGGTTTTGGGAAGTTGGAATTTCCTAAAGCCACAGCATTAAAGTCAGATAATTTTATTTACCCAAAAGTTTCTGGAACGCTGTGGTTCTGTACTGTGTATACAACTAAAATAAGAATATAAATTTATATAAAAATAAAAATACAACTATATAAGTAAGAATTTGATCTATGTACAGTTTAAGCAAAGCCCTGAAGACCCTGAATTTACGTGTATTCTTCTGCTAGTGATATGGAATATGAAGATTCAATATCTCCTTGATAACTCTTAAGAAAGTAAAAAGCGAATCGTTGAACCCAGGAGGTGGAGGTCGCAGTGAGCCGAGATCACGCCACTGCACTCCAGCCTGGGTGACAGAATGAGACTCTCTAAAAAAATATAATAATAATTAAAAACTACTAGTGTGATGCAGCTAATGCTAAGTGGGAGAATCCCTTAGATGGGTAAACCTTGATGGTACGGTTTGAATGTCTTTTTCAAAACTCATGTTGGAACTTGATCTCCAGTGTGGCAGTATTGAGAGGCATGGGGCCATTACATGGTGATTGGATCATGAGGGCTCTCTTCTCATAAATGGATCAATTGGCTTATGGATTAATGGGTTATAATGGGAGCAGAGCTGGTGTCTTTACAAGGAGAGGAAGAGAGACCTGAGCTAGCACTTAAGCATGCACATCCCCCTCACCATGTGGTACCAGGCACTGCCTCAGGGCTCTTCAGAGTCCCCACTAGCAAGAAGGCTCTCACTAGTTGTACCCCCTTGATCTTGGGCTTCTCAGCCTCCATAGCTATAAGAAATAAATTCATTTCCTTTATAAATTATCCAGTTTCAGATATTCTGTTAAAAGCAACAGAAAACACTTAGTATAACGAAACAAGATTAAGTTGATCTGAGAACCTTATAAAATTTAAAAGTTCATAGCTTAGAAAAAGCAAGTAATCCCAGCACTTTGGGAGGCCGAGGCGGGCGGATCACGAGGTCAGGAGATCGAGACCACGGTGAAACCCCGTCTCTACTAAAAATACAAAAAATTAGCCGGGCGCAGTGGCGGGCGCCTGTAGTCCCAGCTTACTCGGGAGGCTGAGGCAGGAGAATGGCTTGAACCCGGAAGGCGGAGCTTGCAGTGAGCGGAGATCGCGCCACAGCACTCCCGCCTGGGCGACAGAACGAGACTCCGTCTCAAAAAAAAAAAAAAAAAAAAAAAAAAAAAGAAAAAGCAAGATAAATTTAAAAAGCTTGCTCTTTGAAAAGCTTTGCTAAAGGATTTAGCAAATTTTAAGAACAATTACTGAGTATATGACAGTATATTTTAATCTTAATAGAAATTAAATCATAGGTGAAAAATTAATCAGCAAGAGAGCATGCGTGTGAATCCTGTTTATAATTATGTATTCAACATTCTAGATGGATCACATAGTTTCAAAATAAAATTGTACATAATTTTGAAGACAGCCATTTGGTTTTTTGTTTGTTGGTTTGTTTTTGAGTGGCGCAATCTTGGCTCACTGCACCCTCTGCCTCCCAGGTTCAAGCGATTCTCCTGCCTCAGCCTCCTGTGTAGCTGAGACCACAGGCATGCACCACCATGCCCAGCTAATTTTTGTATTTTTAGTAGAGACGGGGTTCCGCCATTTGGCCAGGCTGGTCTCAAACTCCTGACCTCAAGTGATCTGCCCACGTTGGCCCCCCCCAAAGTGCTGGGATTACAGGCGTTAGCCACCGCACTGGGCCTATTTGAGTGCTTTTTATCATCTCAAAATAGAGTAGACCCTCCTCTCTCCACACCTGAAAGCCATAATGTTGTAAGAGCTTCTAAATGACAGCTGCTAGGATGCCAACGAATAAAGCAAACTGAAACTGAACTAAACTGTTCATCAGGTAAGGACTAACAGCCACAGAGAGGGAGCTATTGGGTGACTCGTGAACAACCAATAGCTGAACCAACCACTGAAAACCATTAGTGGAATACAATCCAAAAGCAAAAGGAATTATTAGAAATTTTGAACTTTATGTAGTAATTATATTGCTGTTAATAATGCATTTTTAAAAAACTTTTAGTAAATAATTATGTTTAGTAGGTATATTAGTTTGCGCTGCTTATTACCACCAAGAGAAAGATATTGAAGAAATCTATTGGAGATATTTTACATCTTTTTGAAAATTTTCTTTTAAGATTGTGGAAATTAGGATCAACCCAAAGCCAAAATTTTGATAAACTAATTTTTTAATCTGGCTTTAGAGATTGCCCCTAAGGAAAAGGATTAGTTCCACCAAAAGAGGATCCTCTTTCTCCACAGTTCTCTATCCCCATGCTCAGAAAGCCTAGCCTTCATATCTGTTTCAACTAAGTCCCTCCACAATCCCAATTAAGAACTATATATAAGGCCGGGTGCGGTGGCTTACACCTGTAATCCCAGCACTTTGGGAGGCCGAGGCGGGCGGATCACGAGGTCAAGAGATGGAGACCATCCTGGCCAACATGGTGAAACCTCGTCTCTACTAAAAATACAAAAATTAGCCAGGCATGGTGGCACGTGCCTATAATCCCAGCTACTTGGGAGGCTGAGGTAGGAGAATTGCTTGAATCCGAGTGGCAGAGGTTGCATTGAGCCAAAATCATGCCACTGCACTCCAGCCTGGGCAAAAGAGTGAGACAATGTCTCAGAGAAAAAAAAAAAAAAACACTACGTATAAAAGCATTTTGATCCTGGTTGATATACATCCATAGGAACCACAAGGTTGGCAGGGTGCAGTGGCTCACTGCCTGTAATCCCAGCACTTTGGGAGGCTGAGGTGGGTGGATTACTTGAGGTCAGGAGTTCGAGACCAGCCTGGCCAAAATGGTGAAACACCATCTCTACTAAAAATACAAAAATAAGCCAGGTGTGGTGGCACATGCCTGTAATTCCAGCTACTCAGGAAGCTGATGTAGGAGAATCAATTGAACCTGGGAGGCAGAGATTGCAGTGAACCAGGTAACTCCAACTGCATTGCATTCCAGCCTGGACAACAGGAGTGAGACCCTGTCTTAAAAAAAAAGAACCACAAGGTCTGGCTGATAGCACAAGAAAAGGAAAAACAAATAGCAGGCAAGGAACAGCTAGAAAATTTTCAAGTTTTGTTAATCAACTATATTAAAACTAAGGAAGCACTTTCCTAACAGGCCTTGCCTACTTCTCACAACACTAAATTTTTGGAGGGCTGTAACTTGAACTTGAGGGAGACAAAACTTTACCCAAAGCGTGAGTAACAGAGGGACCATGTTTCCTTGTGTTCTACAACTGACTACCTTCTTTATTGACCGGTGTTTAGGTAAGTGTTGCAAGGTAGCCTTACTTTCAATTGCCTAGTCCTATACTGCTGGTTTTGTTTTATAAAATAAGGACTTTTTTTGTGTTTTAGAACAAACGCATCAATGGAAAGACCTGAAATAAAAATCAGTGCTTCAAGAAAGCAACCTCAACCATTCCTATTGAATTATTCTAAGGCAACAAAAGATAAATTTCTATCCTTTGTTTGTTTGTTTGTTTGTTTTTTGGAACACAGATTTTCACTTGGTCACCCAGGCTGGAGTGCTATGGTGCAGTTTTAGCTCACTGCAACTTTGAATTCCTGGGCTAAAGCAATCCTCCTGTCTCAGCCTCCTGAGTACCTGAGACTACAGGTGCATGCCACCATTCCCAGCTAATTTCTAAAATTTTTTGTAGAGATGGAGTCTTGCTACATTGTCCAGGCTGGTTTTGAACTCCTGTTCTGGCCCCAACACCTGGCCCAAATTTCTATCCTTGAAGATCTCTGCTAGAATTTCATTAGAAAGAGGCCACTTTGGAAAATGACCAATTTCTCTTTTCCATTTTGAGATTTCACAGGCATGCTTCCCTCTCTTTGTACCTCTGATGAGGCAATTCTTAATACATTTGTTTTGCCTTAACTGGGAATTGGGAAGGCAGTATTGTATTTAATTTAGCTTTGATTTTTGTCTTTTGGGAAAATTATAGCTCTGCAGGACAACATAAAAATGGAATATGAAATATACCTTACTATATTCATTTGATAGCATTTGTGTTTTTGTATATCTGCATGTTCCAACTGTTGCACAATTAATAATTTGAAGAATTTTTTTCTAATTATAAGCTTCTGTGAAAGGGCCACATGCACAAAGCAGCCCCCAAATGCAGAAGGACCCAAGGAACCAAAGAACAAGGCAGACAAAACCAGTTTGCAGTAAAGGATGATTTACTGGGGAACTTAGAGATGGAAGCATGGTCTTGGGCAGCAGCAAGACAGGTAGGCCTCTGCATCAATACTCCCCAGACCCAGGGCTTTTATACCATAAGGAAAGGGTGTACATGCTGTATAGAGACAGTTAAAGGCAAACCTCCAGAAGAGGCAAGACTGCTATGTGGTCATAGCCTATAATTTGTGTGATAACATCAAGGTTGCTTGGATCTAATGGCCGGCATGTTCTTACACTAAGGACAGTAAATAAAATAGGACTCAGGAGGCGTCTTTAGGACTGGGGTTAATTAGAAGTCAACATGGCAGATTAGCATCCAATATAGAGTCACTTTTATTGCCACAAACCTCAAGTTTCCTGGATTTTCAGTGAATGATGGATGCCTCTGAGGGTGGACATACTAAAAATATAAAATCTGTACCTATAGGGAGAATTTGCAGCTTCTTCTATGCTATTTAAAATTTATTTCGTGGGCTGCTAAAAGTAAGAAATTTTCTTCTTGTAAAGTTTATTATAGAAGCTTCAGTTATGCTTATCAATATTGTTTTTGAGTACAGATGTTAAATGTTCTGTTTTGTGGTCCAAACAAAAACAAGTTCCCATTTAAAATTAAACTCGCAACAAAATACAATCTTAAAATGAAATATCTTCTTCCTCATCTTTATTTCTAATCCCCTCCCCAACAGAGAGAAAGACTTACAGATGAATTATTGGAACTTATACTCTATATCTATGTGATAATGTGTTATTTTACTTAAAATGCAGTCAATCCTCATTATTTACATATTATAGGAGTGAGTTATAATGCTGTTGGCTGTGAGTTCCATGTTAATGAATTAATACATAGCTTTGTTCTTTGTGTGTTTCTATTTGAAGACGTTAATATATACATATATGCACATTTATATGTATAGTATCTATGTATGTTTATTTTATATACAGGCATACCTTATATTGCACTTTGCTTTCGTGTGTTTCACAGATATTGTGCTTTTTACACATTAAGGGATTGTGCCAACCCTGCTTCAAGCAAGTCTATCAGCCCCATTTTTTCCAGTATCATGTGCTCACTTTGTGTCTCTGTGTCACATTTTGGCAACTCTTGCAATATTTCACACTTTTTCATTATTATATCTGTTATGGTGATCTGTGATCAGAGATCTTAGTGTTTATTTTTTTATTTTTTAAAATAAACTATATATGTATATATATTTTTTGTAGCGATGGGGTCTCCCTATATTACCTGGACTGGTCTCCAAGTTGTGGCCTCAAGTGATCCTGCCACCTCAGCATCCTAAAGTGCTGGGAATACAGGTGTGGGCTACCATGTCTAGCTCGATCAGTGATCTTTGATATTACTATGATCATTGTTTTGTGGTGTCATGAAACATACCCCTATAAGACTAGTGAACTTAATCCATAAACGTCGTGTATGTTCTCACTGCCCCAGTACCGGCCATTCCCCCATCCCTTTCCCTCTCCTTGGGCCTCCTTATTCACTGAGACATAACAATGTTTAAATTAGGCCAATTAATAACCTTACAGTGGACTCTTAAGTGTTTAAGTGAAAGGAAGACCGACATATCTCATTTTAAATCGGAAGGCATGTCAAAACCCAAGATGAACTGAAAGCTAGACCTCTTGTGCCAAACAGCCACATTGTGAATGCAAAGGAAAGGTTCTTGAAGGACATTAAAAGTGCTACTCCAGTGAATGCACAAATGACAGGAAAGCAAAACAGCTGGATTGCTGACATGGAGAAAGTTTTAATGCTCTGGATAGAAGTTTAAACCAGCCACAACATTCCCTTAAACTAAAGCTTAATCTAGAGCAAGGCCCAACTCTCTTCAATTCTGTGAAGGCTGAGAGAGGTGAGAAAGCTGCAGAAGAAAACTTGGAAGCCAGCCGAGGTAGGTACATGAGGTTTAAGGAAAGAAGTCTCCATAACATAATAGTGCAAGTGCAGCAGCAAGTGCTAATGTAGAAACTGCAGCAAGTTCTCCAGAGTATCTACCTAAGATGACAGATGAAAGTGACTACACTGAACAAAAGATTTTCAATGTAGATAAAACAGCCTTCTAGTGGAAGAACGTGCCATCTAGGATTTTGATAGCCAGAGAGGAGAAGTCAATGCCTGGCTTCAAAGCGTCCAAGGACAGGCTGACTCATACTACGGACTAATGCAGCTGGTGACTTTCAGTTGAAGCCAACGCTGATGTACCATTCTGAAAAATCCTAAGCCCTTAAGAATGATGCTAAATCCATTCTGCCTGTGCTCTGTAAATGAAACAACGAAGCCGGTATGACAGCACATCTCTTTACAGCAGAGTTTACTATTTAAAGCCCATGGTTGAGACCTCGTGCTCAAAAAAAAGATTCCTTTCAAATATTATTGCTCTTTGACAGTGTACCTGCTCACCCAAGAGCTCTGATGGAGATGTACAAGGACATTAATGTTTTCATGCCTGCTAACACAGTATCCATTCTGTAGCCCATATATCAAGGAGTAATTTCAACTTTAAGTCATATTTAAGAGATACATTTTGTAAGGCTAAAGCTGCCATAGATAGTCATTCCTCTGATGGATCAGGGAAAAGTACATTTAAACCCTTCTGAAAAGAATTCACCATTCTTGATGCCAAAAAGAATATTTGTGATTCATGGGAGGAAGTCAAGATATAAACATTAACAGAAGTTTGGAAGAAATTGATTCTAATCCTCATGGGCGGCTTCAAGGGATTCAAACTTAAGTAGAGAAAGTCACTGCAAAAATGATGCAGAAATTGCCACAGCCACCCCAACCTTCAGCAACCGCCACCCTGAGGAATCAGCAGCCATCAACATCAAGGCAAGACCCTCTACCAGCAAAAAGATTACAACTCACTAAAGAGTCAGATGATTGTTAGCATTTTTGAGCAATAAATTGGGGTTTTTTTGTTTGTTTGTTTGTTTTTTGCTTTGAGACAGAGTCTCACTCTGTCGCCAGGCTGGAATGCAGTGCCGTGATCTCGGCTCACTGCAACCTCTGCCTCCTGGGTTCAAGCGATTCTCCTGCCTCAGCCTCCCGAGTAGCTGGGACTACAGGCACGCACCACCACCCCTAGCTATTTTTTGTATTTTTAGTAGAGACGGGGTTTCACCATGTTGGACAGGATGATCTCGATATCCTGACCTCATGATCTGCCCACCTCCACCTCCCAAAGTGTTGGGATTACAGGCATGAGCCACTGCCAGCCACAATAAAGTATTTTTAAATTAAAGTATGTTCATAGTTTTAAGACATACTGCAATTGCACATTTAATAGAGTCCAACATAGTGTAAACATAACTTTTATATAAATTGAGAAACCAAAACATTTATGTGACTTAATCGTGATATTCAGTTTATTGCCCTGGTCTGGCAATTACTTTTCCATAATTACCTCTCTTTGTTCAACCTAATATGTAAGCACTGTAGAGATAGGGTTTTACTATGTTTCCTAGGCTGGCCTAGATTTTGCCACCTCTTTGGGAGTTGCTGTGTACACGTAAAAATCCAAATGATTTTCTTCTGCCCATCTATCTTATGTCAATGTAACTCTCAGGCCCAGCCAAAGATCCTAAGAAAGGAGAGGTAAAGCTTTGCCTTCCCTATACAAGTAATGATCATAATTACCTCTATTCTAAAGAGCCTCCCACTGCGATGCAGCACAGCAATGAGGAGCAGATTCGCTCTGAAGAACAACCCGAGCCCATTGTTTACAAGAAATAGACCTGTATTAAGGCCTGTTGCTAAAGAGACAGAAATGGAGTCGGGACCCACAGACCATACCTCTGCCAACTTTCTGTCTTTGCTTGCCAGAGCATAGAATTGTGAAAAAGTGAATCAAGAAGCAGATGCTAAATTTTCAAGGTAAATACATTGCCACGGGAATCCCATGCCTGGATTACCAAGGCTCAGGACAGCTTAACTCCTGAGGTACCTCCTCGGCAGGAGAACCAGTACCAAGAGGAATTTGGTACAGCACCAGAAGTGGAAGCCTCCTCAGTGTCTATTTCACATGTGGCCATGAGCACAACATACTAAAACCTAATTTACTTCCAGGTCAGGGACCCCCCAGGATGTGTGTGTGCTATCGACTTGTCCCCTTCTTCCCTCTTCTGAATGCAAACTTTTGTTGTAATTTTTTGTTTCCTTCCACTATTTATTATTGGATTCTTATGTAGATTTCTTGCCATGTAGAATTTCATGGACCTGACTCAAAAGAATATGAATCACTCAAAGATCCTAGATGTAGTAGATTATACCACAATAAAACTGGGGAAATATGAAAAACAAGATTAAAGAGAACAGAGAACTTTTCATAGTTTTCAATAACCATTTACTGAACAAGTACCACTATAACAGTATTAATGGAAATCAAACATATTTCAAAATAAACTAAGAAAAACCTCTCCCAAAAAACCCACCATAGAAACCAATCTGCTTTCTTTTTCAACCTTTTTTATTTTAATCTTCATACACACACAACTGAGCAGGATATAATCTGAAAATTTTACATACATATATAATCTTGGAGCTTTATTGTAGATTCATGGAATGAAAAATTATGGATCTTGTCAAAAAAAAAAAAAAAAAAAAAGAAGGCTCTGGATTCAAAATGAATGCAGGACCTAAAGGATAATTTGGGCTGTCTGCTGTTGAGTAATAGTCACATTACGTTTTACATTTCATGTGTATAAAGGGCTGCTAGGCAGCTATAAGGAGTAGGGTGGAGAAGTCACGTATCGTTGAAGATCCATTCCACCCCAACACATCATTCATTTGGTTTCACTGGACTTAGCCCAACCCGGATTCAGGGATTGGTGTATATAACCCACACCAATGGACTACCTCTCACTCGCCACCACAATCAGAGCAGTTGGCTCAGGGAGGGGCAATCATCAAAGGTTGAATTACTTTCCTCTTGCTTTGGTAACAAATTACCACAAACTTAATGACTTAAAACAAAGCAACAAGTTTATTATTTTACAGTACTAGAGATCAATCTAAAATGGGTCCTTGGGGCTACGTTCATTCTGCAGACTCAAGGAGAGAATGTGTTTCTTTGCCTTTTACAGCTTCTAGGCCACCTGCATTCCTTGGCTCATGGCTCCCTTCTTCCATCCTCAAGTCCAACAGCATAGTACCTCTTCTCTTCTCTGACCTCCTGCCTTTCATCTATGATTACTTGGGGCCCACCTGGATAATCCAGGATAATGTCAAGAGGGGAGGTTATCTCAGTGAGGATCATCTCATCTCAAGAACCTTAACTTAATTACGTCTTCAAAGTTTCTTTTGTCATGTAAGGTAACAGACTCGCAGGTTCTGGGATGGGATGTGACATCTTTGGGGAGTCACTATTCCATCTATCACACAAGCCAATTATGTTCTTCCCTGGAACATTTGCTATAAGTAAAGCAAGCACTAACTGAAGGGATATTCTGAGCCTACATCTATTAGTAGCCTTATTTGTACTTGGAACTTAAGAATTAGACCAATCCAAAAGAAAGCAAAGTTGAACAATAAAGAAAAACAGTCCAGGCCGGGTGTGGTGGCTCACACCTGTAATCACAGTGCTTTGGGAGGCTGAGGTGGGCGACCTGAGGTTGGGAGTTCAAGACCAGCCTGACCAACATGGAGAAACCTCGTCTCTACTAAAAATACAAAATTAGCCAGGTGTGGTGGCGCATGCATGTAATCCCAGCTACTTGGGAGGCTGAGGCAGGAGAATCGCTTGAACCTGGGAGGTGGAGATTGCAGTGAGCTGAGGTCACGCCATTGCACTCCAGCAGCCTGGGCAACAAGAGCAAAACTCTGTCTCAAAAAAAGAAACAAAACACAAAGAAAACAATTGTCGTAGTCCAAAGAATATTGTGTAGTCTCCTAGGCTCACCCATGCCTAAAACCAACCTTACCCATAGACTTTGTGGTTATGTGAATAAATCTATTCCCTTTTTGCTTAACCTAGTTTGAATTTGGTAGTTTGTATTTTTTTTTTCTTGTCATCCAGGCTGGAATGCAATGGCGTGATATCAGCTCACTGCAACCTCCACCTCCTGGGTTCAAGTGATTCTCCTGTTTCGTCCTCCCAAGTAGGTGGGATTACAGGTGCCCACCACCACACCCAGCTAATTTTTTTATTTTTAGTAGAGATGGGGTTTCACCATGTTGGTCAGGCTGGTCTCAAACTCCTGACTTCAGGTAATCCACCCTCCTCAGCCTCCCAAAGTGCTGGGATTACAGGCATGAGCCACCACGCCCAGCTGGTAGTTGGTATTTTTTGTAATCAAAACAGGTCTTGTAATCAAATCAAGTGGTGGAAAAGCAAGATATAAGATGAAATTTATTTGTTCTCCATCATTGAATGAGATTTAAAATGTGTTAAATGTTTCCCTCAGGAGCAACCTGAGGAGGTGCTACCATGGCTTCAAGATGACTTGGGGATATTTTCTGGGAAGAAAAAACTCCTGTCCATATCCCTGACAACTGAGGAGGAGGCCTTGCCAAGTTCACCCAGGATGTTTTTCTTACATAATCCTGTTGCATGAGATTGATTGAACTCACCTGCAGATATACCTGCTAACCCAACTAGACTGAAAGATCAACAAGAATTTATTCACTTGTACATGGACAACACTTCCCAATGGGCCCAAGAACCCACCCACCCATAGAGCATAGTCCTGCCACTGCTAGCACCAGTTCAAGGCACCTGAAGGGTCAAGGATCAACCTGCTGTGACCTGATATTACTGGTGCTTGCATACACTACCCAGGGACCCAAGGATTGGCCCATTCAGCCCACCACTTCCACCAATGTGGCCCAAAGACCAGGCCCTCCTGGTGTCCCTGTCCCTAGCAAAGCTTCACCACAGCCTCCACTGAATACCATAGCCTAAGCCACTGAGGAACTCACAAACACCACTGCCACTAATTAGAGCCGAAGAAATAATACAGAGACGACACTATGGCATCCATCTAGAATCAAAGCCAAAGTACCCCATCCAATCAATGCTATAGATACATCTACAGAAAAAAAAGTATTTCCCTACAAAAACCAATTCATAAAATTGGAAGAAGTGATTATTATACCAGATGTGCAGATATCAATATAAAGACACAAGCAAAATTAAAAATATGATGCCTCCAAAGGAACACAAAAACTCTCCAGCAACAGATTGCAATGAAAAATATATCTACAGGCTGGGCGTGATGGCTCACGCCTGTAATCCTAGCACTTTGGGAGGCCGAGGCGGGCAGATCACGAAATCAGGAGATCGAGACCATCCTGGCCAACATGGTGAAACCCCGTCTCTACTAAAAATACAAAAAAAAAAAAAATTACCTGGGCATGGTGGCACGTGCCTGTAGTCCCAGCTACTCGGGAGGCTGAGGCAGGAGAATCGCTTGAACCCAGGAGGCAGAGGTTGCAGTGAGCCGATACCAAACCACTGCACTCCAGCCTGGGTGACAGAGTGAGAGACTCTGTCTCTAAAAAAAAAAAAAAAAAAAAGAAAGTACAATATATAAAATGCCTGAAAAGGAATTCAAAATAATAACATTAAAGAAGTTTGATGAGACAAAGACGTGCTAAAATAGCATGCAGACCATCTAAGAAAGAACACTGGAATTCAGCACAGAAATGATGGAAAACACCTAAAGCAAGGAAGGAGAGAAAGACAAGGCAGCTTGTCCAACTGGGATCAGCTGGCAGCTTAATATACCCTGCTAAAAAAAAAGAAACAACATTGCAATACAAAGCTCTCTGCTTTCTAGGAAGTATTCTAGAAAAACCATTTTATTATAGAAAATTACTCACTTGACCATATTAACTAAGTATTAATGTCATAATATTTGGAGTTTGGAATCCATCAAACTTAAGATACATATGAAATATGGCATGAGACAGTTTGTTAAAAATAGATCAGTTTTTCACATTGAAAATTTTAAATGTGGCTGGGTGTGGTGGTTCACGCCTGTAAGCCCAGCGCTTTGGGAGGCCAGGGTGGGCAAATCGCCTGAGGTCGGGAGTTCAAAACCAGCCTGACCAACCTGGAGAAACCCTGTCTCTACTAAAAATACAAAATTAGCTGGGCATAGTGTCACATGCCTGTAATCCCAGCTACTCAGGAGGCTGAGGCGGGAGAATCGCTTGAACTCGGGAGGCAGAGGTTGCTGTGAGCCGAGACCGTGCCATTGCACTCCAGCCTGGATAAAAAAAGTGAAACTCCGTCTCAAAAAAAAAAAAAAAAGAAAAATGTAAAATGCTCTACCTGCTGAGCCAGTGCTTAGTGGTGCTAGTGGTGTGTTGGTGATGATGGTAGTGGTTACATTGGTGGTGGTGGCTTTTTTAAATTTAATTTTTTTAATTTAAATTTTAATTTGTTTTTAATTTTACATTTTAAGTGGGTATTTTTCCAGAGGATTCATCCTGTTCTTATGGGAGATATTACCACAAAACGATGCTTCCTTCTCATGGAATCAGATGAATTAGTAGATTATGAACAGTATCTCTTGTTCTTCAACAATATATTGCAAGAATCTCTATGTTCCTTCTAAGAGTACATAATGCTAAAGGAAAGAGAATATGTAATGCTTCTAAAATCATTCTGAAATAGCCTTCTTTTTGTCTGTAAAATATGCTTGCTTGTCTTTTATATATAATATATAAATATGACATATAAAAAGATATGTAAATAATATATATACATCTTATATATTTTGCATATTAAAATATTTATTATATTAAAAATAACATAAGAGATTGTGAAGGACTAAGAATCTTCCACTGGGTTTCTGCAACTATTCCTCTCTACTCCCTTGTATACATGACCTCAGATCCCAGCTATTTTCCATTCCTGTTGAAAAAAATCGAAATTTCCCAAATCCTGGCTGCTAATCTGCACAAATTATTGGTAGGAGAAAATCCTTGACTAATTCTCCGAACTACGTAAACTTCAATTGACGCTGTTAAGCCACTATACAAATTTTGTTCTTCTTCCCCAGGTTAGCATTGTTGAATAAAATTTGCATAAAATTTATGCTAACAGAGCTCTGGGTAGTTATTGCCTACAGTGGAGAGAGAGAGAAAAAAAAAGACAAACACGTTCTCTTCAGTATACTGAAGGAGGAAAGAAAGTTTTGATTGACTAAATATCACCCTGAGTCTACAATTTCTTCCCCAAAGAAAGCAAGACAGAATACTTCCCTCCAGTGGATCATTGTTGTAGATGCAGGCAGAGACATGGCTAATGGTAGCTGATTTGTAATCTGACCTCTCTGACGGGTGTGGTGGCTCATGCCTGTAATCCCAGCACTTTGGGAGGCCAAGGCAGGCGGATCACCTGAGGTCGGGAGTTCAAGACCAGCCTGACCAACATGGAGAAACCCCGTCTCTACTAAAAATACAAAATTAGCTGGGTATGGTGGCATATGCCTGTAATCCTAGCTACTCAGGAGGCTGATGCCATTTTAGACCTATTTGAAGACACCTGCCTCAGACTCAGGGAAGTGAGCATGTAATATCTGAATATACTTGGGGGTAAAATGGAAGAAAAACCCTGTAGACCAGCCAATAGCAGTTTTATTTCAATAAAAATATTAAAACAAACAAAGAAAAGAAAATATCTAGCTTAGAAAAAAAAATTAGTCAACCCTACTTTAGGTGGAAGAAAAACACCAAGTCTAAAAGAAGCTGTGTCTCCGGGACCCCAGCTACCCCAGCAGTTGATATGGAGAGAATATCTGAAAATATAAATTCTTTGGACATAGTGGTGTATCCAGGCAATCTCATTATATTTGGTAAGTCTTTGGAAGAACAAGAGAAGAGACTTTAAAGCAGTGGGCACCTCAAAGAGGTAAATCTTAAACTTTCTCTTGACAATCCCCAATTGTACTGTAACCCTGTGAGGTATATGGGGCACAAGTATCTCAGCAAATACAGACCCTTGGAAGAATTCTGCTCAAACACTGCCTCTGTCCCATTCACTTAGAGAACTAGAGATGTTATGGGAGTTACATATTTTTTTGTTTGTTTGCTTGTTTGTTTGTTGTTTTTAAGGATTTGAATTTGGAGGATGAAGGCTCTCAAAGTGAATCATAAGATCCAATGACAGCTCCCCAGAGGGCAGAGAGAAGTCTATCCAGGACGTCAGTTAATTCATAAGGTACTGGGTGAGCCTGGAGAGGGAACATCCCATGAGGTTGGCTGCAGCACAGTGTGTGGTAACAATGCACTTGCCTTAGACACCACATGGTCCTCACTGCTAAGGTATTTCTTGTACTTTGTAATACTAAAAGAAGATCAGGTTTTCCCCAAACTTGTATAGCTACTCTAATTCTCCTTTTACTTTTCCTAACCTTGAGAAGCCTCTGGCTCCAGGAAGAGAGAGAGTATGTGTGTATCTGTATGTCTGTCTGTTTTGGTTTGGGGAATGGAATGGGCAGAGAAGCATGCCACATCCCTCATTAGTGGGCACCTCTCTACCCACCATAGAAAGGAAGTGAAGTATCAGTGGGCATGGGGAGACAAAGAGAAACACTTATAAATGGAACAGATTAGGTTTAAAAAGTTCCCATGGAAGGTGAGAGATAACTATCAACTCTGTAGGACTGCCAAGCAGACGTGAGAGTCTAGGCTGGAAGTCAGAACTGTATACCCGCCTAAGTGGTGTAATTTTCTCTAGCAGCCCTCAAGGGCACAAGTATAGGCATGAAGAAGGCAATTAGACAGATCTGGATTTAGAATTTTTCCAGTGGATGCAATTGAAGGGCAAGGGATCAATGGAGTGTTGCAGCTTTCCTACTTCCACTGTCCAGCGAGCGGGAGGGAGTGGTGCCCAGTGGCTTCTTCACTTCTGTATTTCGGCAAGTTGGAGGAAGTGTTACAGCCCTTTTAGTCCTGCCACCAGCAGCTCAGTGAGCTGGAGCACTACAGTTCCTGTGCTCCTGCAGTTTGGTGAGTTCTGGGTTCTTGTCCCATGACCAAGAAGAATAAGGCACATGGACACTGGAGAGTGTGTAAAGCAGAGTAGGATTTATCAAGCAACAGAAAAAGCTCACAGCAGAGAGGGGATCCAAAAGATGGTTGCTGGCTGCAGGGCTATGGTCAGGGTCTTTATGGACTGAGAAGGAAGGAGGAGTGTGCTGACTGGTCTGGGGGCTGTTTTGGAAAAAGCACCACTCAGAAAGAGAAACGATAGTGTAAAAAAACGTATTGAAGGCAGAAGTGAAGGCTCGGCCCACAACTGATTGGGGGCTGGAGTGACGTTTCACTCTATGCAAATGAACATTCGGCCCACAGCCAATCACAGAAAGATAGGTATATGTTGAAAGGTAAGGACCAATTGGAAAGAAGCATGCCAGATGGGAGTGGGAGTCCTCACTCTGGTCCGTGGATTCTATCCAGAACTGGCATCTCAGTTTTCAAGCCTTAGACTATCCTTGGCTTAAAGTTCTGACTTCCAGCCTAGTTCTGACATCCCTGCCTGCCTAGGAATTCACCTGCCTTCCACAGCTTTTAAGAGGAAAATATTGACAGTAAAAATTAAGTTTGTTTTGGATCAGGGAATGTAAGCTATGTAGAAAGAAAATAAAAAGGGAGAAAATAGAGAAAGCAGAGGCTGAAGGCTGTGGTGAGATCAAAGAGCAGATGTATCAGGAGAAACCAGGTGGGACATTTTGAAGAGTAAATGGCTTTGATAAGAGTGGGGTGTTTGAATTTATACTGTTAAAGGTGATTAGGGTAAAACATACTGTTCTCTCCACTCTTTGAAAATTTTTATAATTAAAAAATGATATATCAGGTGGAGCACTTTCTGATATTGAACTGAAACCTACCACATCCTTCATTAGTGGGGACCTCTCTACTCACCACAGAAAGGAAGTGAAGTATCAATGAGCATGGGAAGACAAAGAGAAACACTTATAAATGGAATAGATTAGGTTTAAAAAGTTCCTGTGGAAAGTGAGAGATAACTATCAACTCTCACTTTGGGTCTTGGTAAGAGCTATGAAAATGGGTGACTGAAGAGTGAAGCTGAAGGTCACTGGAGTTCTGTCTTTGAGAGTCTTAGAACAAGAAAAGAGCAGATACCCACTTAAGCTAATTTAACTGAAAACGGGGTAGAGTGGGCTGAACTGTGTCCCCAGAAGAGATATATTGATGTCCTAACCACCAATACCTGTGTGACGGTGACCCTATTTGGAAATAGGATCTTTGCAGATGTAATCAAGTTCAGATGAGGTCAGCCTGGATTAGGGTGGGCCATAAATTTACAACTCGTGTCTTTAAAAGAGAAAGAAGAGAATAGTGCTAATAGAGAGACACAGAGGACACACAGGGAAGAAGGTCATGTGAAGAACAGAGTTAGAAATTGAAATGATATAGCTACAAGCCAAAGAAATGCCAAGAATTACCTACAACCACCAGAAGCTAGAAGGCAGACACAGAACAGATGCTCCCTCAGAGACTCTAGAAAGAAAAAACCCTGGCCAGGCATGGTGGCTCACACTTGTAGTCCTAGAACTTTGGGACACTTTAAGGGGCCAAGGAGGGAGGATCACTTCAGGCCTGGAGTTTGAGACCAGTATAGTAAATACATAAGCCAGTAACATAGTCTTTTTTTTTTTTTTTTTTGAGACAGGGTCTTGCTGTGTTGTCCGGGCTAGAGTGTAGTGGTGTGATCACAGCTTACTGCAACCTCCACCTCCTGGGGCTCAAGTATCCTCCCAGCTCAGCCTTCTGAGTAGCTGGGACTACAGGCATGCACCACCACACCCAGGTATTTTCTTATTTTTTATTCTGTAGCGACAGGGTCTCACTATGTTGCCCTGGCTGGTCTCAAACTCCTGACCTCAAGTGATCCTCCATTCTCAGCTTCAGAAAGTGATGGGATTACAGGTGTGAGCCACCACACCTAGCCAAATATGTTTACATACACACATACTTACCATTGTTTTACCGTTGCCTACAATATTCAGTATAGTAACATGCTGTGCAGGTTTGTAGACTAAGAATGATAGGCTTTATCATATAGCCCAGGTGTGTAGTAGGCTATACCATTATAGGTTTGTGTAAGTACATCCTATGATGTTTGCACAATGAGGACATCAACTAATGCTGCATTTCTCAGAACAGATCCTTGTTGTTATGTAACACAAGACTGTACTTTTATATGACTGGTAGAGCAGTAGGTTTGTTTACACCAGCATGACCACAAACACTTGAGTAATGCCTTGCAGTATGATCTTACAAGGGCTACGATGCCACTAGGTGACAGAAAATTTTCAGCTCCATTAAAAATCCATGGGACCACTATAATACATGCAGTCTGTCATTGACCAAAACATTGTTATGTGGCGCATGACTGTATTACCATGTCATAGATTGAAATACATTTGGTTCTTTTTATTCATGGTAGTTTTGTTTCATAGTCATCAGGAACCCTAAATTAGTGAATGAAGAACCATTGTCCCTAGGGGAAATATGAGCCTTTCATCATAATATTTTTGTCAACCAATTAATAACATATAACATTTACACATATAAACATATATTTATAACATATATGGGCATACCTCGAGGATATTGAGAGTTCAATCCCAGACCACCACAATGAAGCAAATATCATAATAAAGCAAGTTACAAAAATTTTCCTGGTCTCTCAGTGCGTACAAAAGTTATTTTAAAAAGTACATACCTTAATTTAAAAATACTTCATTGCTAAAAAAATTGCTAACAATCATTTGAGCCTTCAGCGAGTCATAATCTTTTTGCTAGTGGAAGGTCTTGCATTAATATTAATGACTGCTGACTGATCAGTGTGGTGGAGGCTGAAATTGGTTTGGCTGTGGCAATTCCTCCAAATAAGACAACAATGAAGTTTGCCACATCAATTGACTCTTCCTTTCATGAAAGATTTTTCTGTGGCATGCTATGCTGTTTGATAGCATTTTACCCACAGTAGAACTTTAAAAATTGGAGTCAGTGGTAATTTGTTACCAAACCTAGAGGAAAGTAATTCAGCCAGTGATGATTACCCCTCCCTGAGCCAACTGCTTTAATCATGGTGGGGATGAGGGGTGCAGTCCATTGGCCAGGTGTAGGTTATATGAACCACTCCCAGAATCAGGACTGGGTAAGTCCAGTGAAACCAAATGATGTGTTGGGATGGAATGAATCTTCAAAGATACATGACTTCTCCATCCCACTCCTTAGCTGCTGAGAAGCCTTCCATATACATGAAATGTAAAACATAATGTGAGTATTCCTGAACTGGAGATAGCCCAAATTATCCTTTAGGACTTGCATTTACTCTGTCGCCCAGGCTGGAGTGCAATGGTGTGAATACAGCTCTCAGCAACCTTGACCTCTTGGGCTCAAGCAATCCTCTTACCTCAGAGCCTTTTAAGTCGCTAGAACCACAGGTGGGCACCACTGCACCTAATTAATTTTTTGTTTGTTTGTTTGTTTGTTTGTTTGTTTGTTTGTTTTTTGTGGAGACAGGATCTTACTATATTGCCCAGGCTGATCTTAAACTCCTGGGCTCAAGCAATCCTTCTGCCTTGGCCTCCCAAAGTGCTGGGATTATAAACGTGAGCCACCACCCATGGCCAGGACTTACATTCACTTTTGATCCAGGGTCTTTTTGGCTTTTTTGACAAAAACTATGATTTTTTTTAGCTCCAAGATTATATATATATGTGAAATTTTCAGATTATATCATGTTCAGTTGTGTATGCACAAAGACTAAAATCAGGAGGAAAGGTTGAGAAAGCAAAGCAGATTTGATTGTAGAGTTGGATTTTGGGGAGAGGGTTTTCTTATATAGTTTAATAATTTTGAAGTATGTTTGATTTTCATTAGTACTGTTATAATGGTACTTGTTAAAAAATGGTTATTAAAAACTACGAAAAATTCTCTTTTCTGTCCTTTTTTTTCTTTTTTCTTTATTTCTTTTTTTCAGTTTTCCTGTGGTGTAATTTACTACGTCCAGAATCTTTGAGTGATTTGTATTCTTTTGAGTCAGGTTCACAAAATTCTACATGGTAAGAAATCTACATAAGAATCCAATAATATACAGTAAAAGGGAAAAAATTACAATAAAAGTTCACATTCAGAATAGGGAAGAAAGGGAAAGCACATCATGGTTACAAGTTCCTAGTTCACACACAATCCTGGGACTCCCTGACCTGGTAGTAAACGAGGTTTCAGTCTGTTGTGCTCATGGCCGCATGTGAGAAAGACACCAGGAAGGGTTCCCCTTCTGGGTTGCACCAACCTCTTGTTGGTGCTGGTTCTCCTGCCTGGGTTGTACCTCAGGAGTTAGGCTGTCCTGAACCTTGGTGATCCAAGCTTGGTGTTCTTTTGCCAATGTATTTACCTAGAAACTTTAGCATCTGCTCCTTCAGTCATTTTTTTACAATTCTATGCTCTGGCAAGCAAAGACAGAGAGTTTGCGGAGGTATGGTCTGTGGGTCCTAACTCCATTTCTGTCTCTTCAGCAACAGACCTTAATACGGGTCTATTCCTCATAAATAATGGGCTCAGGTTGTTCTTCAGATAGAATCTGCTCCTCATTGCTGGGCTACATCTCAGTGGGTGGATCTTCAGAATGGAGGTAATTATGATCATTACTGGTGTAGGAAAAGCAAAATTTCACCTCTACTCCTTCAGGGTCTCTGGCTGGGCCTGAGAATTAAATTGATGTAAGACAGACTAGCAGCAGGAAAACATACAGATTTTTACATGTATGTGGGAACCCCCAAAGGAAAATGAAGGCCTGAAGAAGTGGCACAAGCTAAGTCTTTATATACTAGGTTGAACAAAGAGAAGCAATTGTGGAAATGTAAATGAAATAAAAGCCCATCTCAAAGATATGGTTTTAGTTCTGTACCAGTGCAATAAACCAAATGTCACAGTAAAGTCACATGAATTTTTTGATTTCCCAGTTTATATAACAGTTATATTTATGCTATATTGGAGTCTATTAAATGTGCAATTGCATTATGTCTTAAAAAACTATGTACAGGCCTGACATGATGGCTCACGCCTATAATCCCAGCACTTTGGGAGGCCAAGGTGGGCGGATCACTTGAGGTCAGGAGTTCGAGACCAGCCTGGCCAACATAGTAAAACCTCGTTCCTACTAAAAATACAAAATTTAGTAGGCCATGGTGCCGCACGCCTGTAATCCCAGCTAGTAGGGGGACTGAGGCAGGAGAATCGCTTGAACCCGGGAGGCGGAGGTTGCAGTGAGCCAAGATCAGGCCACTGCACTCCAGCCTGGGTGACAGAGTGAGACTTCATCCCCCCCCCACCAAAAAAAAAACCCAAAAAACCAAGTACATATTAGTTTTTTAGACTCTATATGATTGCACACTTAATAGATTACACCGTAGTGTAAACATAACTTTATATGCACTGGGAAACCAAAAAAATTTGCATGACTCATTTTATTTTGATATTTGCTTCATTGGGGTGGTCCAGAGATGAACCTGCAATGTTTTTGAGGTATGTTTTTACTTACGTATGTTGCATTAATTAAAATGAGCATGTATTACTTCTATAATTTAAAAAAAATTTACATTACCCAACTGCATAAAATAATTTAAACTAGTGTCTTTTAAAATCAAGGACCTAATTACATTTTCAATTTTTTTCTATAATTATTGGTTTACTTAAGGTCATCACTTATTCTTTTTTTTTTTTTTTTTTTTTTGAGACAGAGTCTCGCTATTGTTGCCCAGTCTGGAGTGCAATGGCACAATCTTGGCTCACTGCAACCTCCACCTCCCAGGTTCAAGGAATTCTGCCTCAGCCTCTGAGTAGCTGGAACAACAGGTGCCAACCACCACACCTGGCTAATTTTTGTATTTTTAGTAGAGACAGGGTTTCAGCACATTGGCCAGGTTGGTCTCGAAATCCTGGCCTCAAGTGATCTTCCCACCTTGGCCTCCCAGGTTCTGGGATTACACATGTGAGCCACTGTGCCCAGCCTTATTCTTTAAGCCAATTTTGGTAGTTTATATTTCTTAAAATAATTTTAGACAATTTTTTTATTTTTAAGTGTATTGGTATAAATAGATTATTCTTTTATAATATAAAATATTTTATATTATTTATTCCTATGGATTTATTATGTTTATTCTCTTTTGTTCAATTGTTTAGACTTGGCAAAGCTTATCTGATAATTTACTTATTAAAATAAATAGCTTTAGATTTTCTTTTTAACTTTACTATTATTTCTATTTCATTAAATTATATTTGAAAAATAAATGTGGCTAACTCTTGATAACTTCTGTTGACATAAACTTCTGTTGATAACTTCCTGAGTTGAAACTCTCTTTCATGTATTTTATAATAAATGAATTTGTGTTTAAGAAAACACTATGTACATACTTTAATTTAAAAAATACTTCGTTGCTCAAAATGCTAACAATTATCTGACCCTTTACCTTTAGTGAGTTGTAATCTTTTTGTTGGTAGAGGGTCTTGCATTGATGTTGATGGCTGCTGATTCGTCAGGGTGGCAGCTGCTTAAGGTTAGGGTAGCTGTGGCAATTTCTTCATCGTCTGCAATCATCTACACTTACTTCTACTAAAGTTTGAACATTTCAAAGCCACCCGTGAGGATTAGAATCAACTTCTTTCAAGCTTCTATTAGTGGTCTTTTGATTTCCTCCGTTGAATCACAAATGTTCTTAATGACATTGAGAATGGTGAATCCTTTCCAGAAGGGTTTCAATGTATTTTGCCCAGATCCATCAGAGGAATCACTAACCATGGCAGTAATTTCAACTTTAAGTCATGTTTAAGAAATATATTTTTCAAGGAAAAATTACTCCTTGAAATTATTTCTTGATCCATGGGCTACAAAATGGATACTATGTTAGCAGGCTTGAAAACAACATTAATTTCCTGGTATATCTCCATCAGAGCTCTTGGACGACCAAGTGCATTGTCAATGAGCAGTAAAATTTGAAGGAAATATTTTTTTCTAAGAAGTAGGTCTCAATAGTGGGCTTAAAATATTCAGTAAAGTATGCTGTAAAGAGATATGCTGGCATCCATGCTTTGTTGTTTCATTTACAGAGCACAGGCAGAATGGATTTAGCATCATTCTTAAGGGCTTAGGATTTTCAGAATGGTACATGAACATTGGCTTCAACTGAAAGTCACCAGCTGCATTAGTCCATAATATGAGTCAGCCTGTCCTTTGAAACTTTGAAGCCAGGCATTGACTTCTCCTCTCTAGCTATCAAAATCCTAAATGGCACATTCTTCCACTACAAGACTGTTTTGTCCACATTGAAAATCTTTTTTTCGGTATAGTCACTTTCATCAGTTATCGTAGCTAGATCTTCTGAAGAACTTGCTGTAGTTTCTACACGAGCACTTGCTGCTTCACCTTGCACTATTATGTTATGGAGACAACTTCTTTCCTTAAACCTCATGTATCAACCTCTGCTGGCCTCCGAGTTTTCTTTTGTAATTTGCTTACCTCTCTCAGCCTTCACAGAATTGAAGACGATTGGAGTCTTGCTTTGGTTTAGGCATTAGCTTAAGAGAATGTTGTGTTTGGTTTAATCTTCTATCTAAATCATGAAAACTTTATCCTTTTCAGCAATAAGGCTGTTTTGCTTTTGTATCCCTTGTGTCTTTAGTGAAGTAGCACTTTTCATGTCCTTCAATAACTTTTCGTTTGCATTCACAATTTGGCTAACTGTTTGGCACAAAAGGCCTAGCTTCTGGCCTACCTTGGCTTTTGACTTGCCTTACTCACTGAATGTAATCATTTCTAGTTTTTGATTTAAAGTGAGAGATGTGCAACTCTTTCTTTCATTTGAGCACTCACGAGTTCACTGTAGGGCTATTAATTGGCCTAATTTCAATATTGTTGTGTCTCAGAGAATAGGAAGGCCCAAGGAGGACAGAGATGGGGAACGGCTGGTCAGTGGAGGAGTTAGAATGCATACATTTATCTATTAAATTTACTGCCTTATATGGGCATGGTTCATGGTGCCCCTAAACAATTACAATAATAATATCAAGGACCACTGATCACTGTAACAGATATAATTATGAAAACATTTGAAATATTGTGAGAATTACCAAAATGTGACACAGAGACACCAAATGAGCACATGCCATCAGAAAATAGCACTAATACATTTGCTCAAAGGAGCATTGCCAAAAACCTTCAAGTTGTAAAAAATACAATATAGCAAAGTGCAATAAAGCAAAGCACTATAAAATGAGGGTTGCCTGTATATGGGGAAACGAAAGAAAGATAAGAGTTATTTTATGAAGGTCCTTTTGTACAAAATTCTCTCTGCCTCGACTCCCTGTGCCTGGTGATAAGGATATTTCTTTTCTTCTGGTATAAGGAGGGCATCTTTCACGTGGGCGTTTTGTCTCATGCTTTTGAAAAGAAAAGAGGAAGTCAGAATCCATCTTCCTGCACCTCTGGCTTCCAAACGCCTTTAATGCAAAGTAATTCTTATGCTGAAGTGGTATATATTGGGGTGGCATATTCTGCCATCCCCCATTAGACAGAAAGAACACTTCAGGAGGTACTTGGAGAAAGAGTTTGTTTTTTCCTCTCTCCTTTTTTTTTCTTTTATTTTTCCTTTTTTTTTTTCTTTTCCTCACAATAAACAAAAGTTTTCTGTTAGGTCTTATAGGTGAGAGTGAGCCATGCTTCTCATATAGTGACAGGAAAATAATAGAGACTGTCCAACTTAACCTGCAAGCTTTTCCTTGGATTTTACTTATCTTTAATTCCCCTAGTCTGGGGAAAACAGCCTGGCTGCATCAACACTCATGGCTTGAGGTAGCAGGGATCTGACAGGTATAAATTTGAACTCTATTCTAAATCAGTCCCAGCTTCCTTGGGTCTTTTCCAGTACTCAGATGGGATTTCCTAACAGTTTGCCATTGCATGCCCTCTTACCCACACATCAGAAGTAGAAAAATGTGTCTCCCTGAAGAAAAGAGCCCTCAACTCTCTCAGGAGTTCCTGCCGCAGAACACGGGGCACTGGTGCAGCTGCAAAAACTGCAACTAGATAACTAGTTGTGGTTCAGGCATCATGACTTAAAGTTAACTCAGGGAAATAGTCCTGGCTGCTCTATCCTTGTAGCTAGCAATTTTTTTTTTATTATACTTTAAGTTCCAGGGTACATGTGCACAACGTGCAGGTTTGTTACATATGTATACATGTTCCATATTGGTGTGCTGCACCCATTAACTCGTCATTTACATTAGGTATATCTCCCAATGCTATCTCTCCTCCCCTCCCCCCACCCTATGACAGGCCCCGGTGTGTGATGTCCCCCTTCCTGTGTCCAAGTGTTCTCATTGTTCAGTTCCCACCTATGAGTGAGAACATGCAGTGTTTGGTTTTTTGTGCCACATTTTCTTAATCCAGTCTATCACTGATGGACATTTGGGTTGGTTCCAAGTCTTTGCTATTGTGAACAGTGCCACAATAAACATACATGTGCATGTGTCTTTATAGCAGCATGATTTATAATCCTTTGGGTATATACCCAGTAATGGGATGGCTGGGTCAAATGGTATTTCTAGTTCTAGGTCCTTGAGGAATCACCACACTGTCTTCCACAATGCTTGAACTAGTTTACAGTCCCACCAACAGTGTAAAAGTGTTCCTATTTCTCCACATCCTCTCCAGCACCTGTTGTTTCCTGGCTTTTTAATGATTGACATTAAAAAGTCAGATGTGAGATGGTATCTCATTATGGTTTTGATTTGCATTTCTCTGATGGCCAGTGATGAGCATTTTTTCATGTGTCTTTTGGCTGCATAAATGTCTTCTTTTGAGAAGTGTCTGTTCATATCTTTTGCCCACTTTTTGATGGGGTTGTTTGTTTTTCTCTTGTAAATTTGTTTGAGTTCATTGTAGATTCTGGATGTTAGCCCTTTGTCAGATGAGTAGATTGCAAAACTTTTTTCCCATTCTGTAGGTTGCCTGTTCACTCTGATGGTAGTTTCTTTTGCTGTGCAGAAGCTCTTTAGTTTAATTAAATCCCGTTTGTCAATTTTGGCTTTTGTTGCCATTGCTTTTGGTGTTTTAGACATGAAGTCCTTGCCCATGCCTATGTCCTGAATGGTATTGCCTAGGTTTTCTTCTAGGGTTTTTATGGTTTTAGGTCTAACATTTAAGTCTTTAATCCATCTTGAATTAATTTTTGTGTAAAGTGTGAGGAAGGGATCCAGTTTTAGCTTTCTACATATGGCTAGCCAGTTTTCCCAGCACCATTTATTAAATAGGGAATCCTTTCCCCATTTCTTGTTTTTGTCAGGTTTGTCAAAGATCGGATGGTTGTAGATGTGTGGTATTATTTCGGAGGGCTCTGTTCTGTTCCATAAAAACGATGGTTGGATGCCACGAAGTAGGTGGCAATGCCTTAACCATATGCATGTTGTCAGGCCCAAGGGCCTCTTCCATCCTTGTCAAGGGGAGTGCTAACCTTCTCTCCTTTTGTACAACACTAGCTAGTAATTTTAAAAGAGCCTCAGCTGTTCCTTTTGCCACCCAGATAATCTGCACTAGTCCAGTGTGCAGCCAGAGGCTGGCTAATGTTCCCTCTGCTGTCAATGCTCACCGGCAACACTTGATGAGCAACATCTGGTGTCTTGTGTCTTCTTCCATGCTTCCTTTCTCTACCACCTTATATAACATTTCTATAATTTTGTGAAATAATTAGAAGTCTCTTTGGCCTCTCTTGTTAGGTGATAAAATGCTTGGTATAAAATTTCTCAATATTCTTTAGTCTTGCTTTAAGCTCACCAATCCATTGTGCATCAAGGCAAATGCATTTTCGGCATTTAACTTACATATCACATTGAAGATAGAGGTAGTAAATTTCCATAACCATTTTCTGTTTTATACTTTCTGATACATTTTATTCTTGCTCCATATTCTTACTCTCCACATTCTGCAGTTTAAATTTCTCCCACTTGGGAACCAGTTTTCACTCCTAACAAAGGTCTTTAGTTTTTTCTACCTAGTATTATTCAATGTAGGCAACAATACCTTTTCCCCTGATCATCACAGGGCATCACATTGGTTCTGATGCAGCCATTGTATGTGGTCAAGTTTTGCCCTACCAGCTCTGATGGGTCTTCCCTTTATAGAAGTGATCCAGACTTAAAACAATTATTGGACAAATAATTTATCCAATAATAGGGCTCTACATGCCACTGTCTGTATATTGTAGGGAAGCTCAATAAAGGAACTGACCTGTTGTGTTTGAAGAAGGCATGGTTCCAGTCTTCTTAACTGGCTGTAATGAGAAGATCACAAAATGATTTATACTGTTTCTCTCTCTTTCTGTCTGGATATCCTAAACCTCAAAACCACTTTCTCCTGGACCCACTTTTCTTGTTACCATCTTGTGACTAGTTAGGCTTCCATGATGGACTGTCCCTTAACTTAGTTTCAAATGTACTGGACACTCTGTTAGATACCTCTGGGAACACCCCAAGTAGGAGCCCCCAAATATAGCTTGGTGACTCTACCTCTTAACTTGGAGGTAGAAGGCTGTGGCAATCAGTAAGAGACACAGTAAAAGAAAGTTGGGCATTTTGTTCCAACACAAGTTGTTTTCCACTAGAAAACTTTAGACCTCTGCTGTTAATTGTTGGGGGAAAGCCCTACACTCTTTCTCAGCTGGAAAAACACACAACGCAGCTGCAAAGAAAGTCCATTCAGTTCTTACTTCAGGTTTGAGCTATCATTTAACTCATAATATCCATAAGGGGGTGAGAATTTAGGAAGGGCTTCCTTTACTCCCCATCTTATTCTCCACTCACGTGGGTCGGCTTTCATTTATAAACTCTCACGGGGCCCACATGGCCATCCCCTTCATCACAGAGCACCTCTTCTGGACTCTCCTCCTTGAGCCCTCCCACCATCCCTTGATCTTCTTAACTCCTCTTTTTCTCATCCTAATCCCAGTCTACTTTGTTGCAGGGGTCTCTGGAATAATTGTCCTTTTCTGTTCCCCAAGAATTCTGCTATTGGATAGGTCCAGAAGATAGGAAAGGAGGATAAAAGTGGTACTCTGAACTGAGAGTAGAAAAATCTTTTAAAAAGCTCAGGTATTGTAAAGGTTTATCTCCTGCTAACACATTCCTCTTCTTTGGTATCTCATTATGTTCAAAGACTGTCTTCTACTCATGATAGAAATCCTGTTTCTGTCACCTTAGATGTGGAAGCTTTCAGCCTCCAGGAAGGTAGGAATGAAAGAGGAAGAAAAACTCATCTCACCCATGTTAAAAAAAAATCACGTGGTAAATGTTAACTCTCTCAATTTCCTGACACCAATTTACAAACTTTATTCATATCCACTGTCTTTCCCCCCTGTTTCTCTCCTGGCACTATTCTATTGTCCAGTATGCTTCTCCTCCATCATTCAACACTCTTGAAATCTATATATGCCCAGTATTCCATGTCATTCTATCTCTCTTCTCTCATCTTTCTTCTAGTCCCAATTTAAGACAATTTAGGTTGTCTATACTAGCTGTCTCCACTCTCTCATTCTTTATTTCCTTCCACTTTCCATCAGTTTGACTTTGGAGCTGTGCTCTAGGTCACTCATTTGCCCATCAGCTGTGTCTATTCTTCAGCTCTGTCCACTTAGTTCTTCTACTCAGTTTTATTTCAGTTATAATATTTTTGTTTTAATTATTTCAAGCACTTCCTTTTTTGTTATATGATGTCCTTTTTAATGCTTGTGAAGATATTAATTATATTTCTTTTAAAGTCACTTTCAGTTTGCTGTATTTATTGTATTTCCTTAGGAAGTAGATCTTCTGTATATTTAGATGGATGCTCATATATCAAGGTGTTGGTTGTGCTGAACTATTTGGTGATTCTTGGTTGTGCTTTTGTCTTTGGTTTAACTTTCTCTGCTAGCATCTGTTATTGTAGCAGCCTGCAGTACCTGTGGGGAAAGGACGTGATGTGAGATGGAAGGACCCGCAAGTCTCCTTGTATAGGGAGGTGCTCCTTGTTCCTCTTGGGTGTACCTGGCCATCCAGGACACTGCTTTTTCTCTGCATTGCCCCGCCCCACCCTGCCCACACCCACCCAAGGGTTTCCATTCATTTTTCTTGTAGGGAACAGAGGATTCTGTGGCTATTCTTTGTCATAACCAGGATAAAGTGGTTGAATGGCCTCCAAAGCAGCCTGACCCTTGCCCTTGTTTCTGCCTACCTCCATGTCCACCAAACCCCCAAGTGTAGAGTGCCCTCAGAATTGTTCCCACCTCTTATCAAACTCCTTTTCTGAGTATGTCTTTGTCATCATTTCTATTGCATTGATGATGCCCCTCCTTGTCATCCAATGTTGTTATAGATTTATCCCTTAAAAAAAAATCTTCGGCCGGGCATGGTGGCTCATGCCTATAATCCCAGAACTTTGGGAAGCCAAGGCAGTAGGATCCCTTGAGCAACTTCCCAACCACTCTATGTCTGAACTATTTTTTCCAGGCCTTTTCACATGCCTAGGAACACTGCTTCTCTCTCTGCTTTAATCATCCGTCAGCTGAGGTATCACTCTTCTGGGAACTTTCCCTTGTCCCACACATGCGTGTTGAGTGGTGTGCAGCCATAGCTCTTGCACGATTCTACATGGCATGTATGATGCTGTTTTGTAACTGCCTGTGGATGTGCATCATCATTAGCACCTGCCCAATGTGGGGTGCAGGGTTTTACCCCTTAGGGCTAACACATAAAATGTGTTTAGTAGGTTCTTAAATCAATAAAATAATAATATTAATAACATAGTATCTATCACATACCTGTTGAACTGTACTTGTGTCAGCCCCTGTGCCGAATGCTTCTCATGCTTTAGCTCATTTCCTTCTTGCTTATTGGCTATTATAACCCCCAATTGACAAATGAGGACACTGAGTCTTAATGAGGTTAAATATCGTGCTCAAGGATACATAGTAAACAGTAATAAGGAACTCAGTCTGAATTTGCGCCCAAGTCTCTGATTTTAGCTAGATATTACTGAGTCCTAAAATGGAGAAGGAGGGAGGGAGGCTGGTGGCTGCAGAGGTTTATTAATCAAATTTGTGAGGGAATAGTAGATGGGATATATGGATCCCAGACATTTACTTATGGTTATTTTACAGTAACTTAAACCAAAGCATCTGAGTTGGTGAAAGTCACATTGAGAAAACTGACACCACCAGGTTTCTTCAAATATTGAAGGATCTACTTTTACCAGATCCCATAGCCAGAGAGTAATAAAGATGGGGCAAGAACCTAGGACTCTAGTGTCTCTAGCCAACATGATTTCTGCCAAGCTGAGCTGAATTCTAAATTAAGTTGCTCATATATTAGAAGTCCAGGTATTTGTCAAACATAGTCCTGAGCTGTGGATTCAGTTATGTGCAGGAAGCTCATAGCTACTTATTATTTTCAACTCTCCCTTAACTTTCCATGGTGATTTGTAATACCTTGAGTATACACAAGCCTTGGAATCTCAGAACTCTTTTTATTTACTCCAGCTAATGTTACGAAGATTAGATGTGCAGAAGATTAATTTGAAACATCATGCAGATATTTTGTTATTGCTGAGAGATAAAGCTGGCACATAAAGGTGGAACCTTCTGGAAACAAACTTCTTGTCCTTCACTGATAGCAGTTGGAACTGGCAGCATTTAATGTTACTTATTGCAGACATATTTTCTTTCTTTCTTTTTTGTTTTGAGATGGAGTCTTGCTCTGTCTCCCAGGCTGGAGTGCAGTGGCACAATCTCAGCTCAGTGCAACCTCAACCTCCCAGGCTCAAGTGATTCTCCTGACTAGCCTCCCAAGTAGCTGGGATTACAGGTGCGCCACCACAACCAGCTAATTTTTTGTATTTTCAGTGGAGACAGGGTTTCACCATGTTGGCCAGGCTGGTGTTGAACCACTGGCCTGAAGTGATCCACCCACCTTGGCCTCCCAAAGTGCTGAGATTATAGACGTGAGCCACCACGCTCAGCCTGCAGACATATTTTCATTGTCAAAATGGAATGTTATCTTTTTAGTTAAGGCTTACCTGGGATTTTTGTAGTTCTAGTTTATCTACTGACTCTCCAAAGTAGAACTATACCTTAATGTTATGCGTCTTTCTTGCTGTATAGGCAGCAAGTGGAATCACAAAGGTGTTAACAAATGAGATAGTGAGACAGATAAGTCTAATTATTTGACAGAATATGTATATTTGCATGTCTCCTTTTCATTTGGTCTTGCTCTGTTGCCCTGGAAGCTGAGAGATGGGAGTACTTTATTTGATTAACTAATTTTCAAGTCTGTGACTAGAGAGAGAACTCAACTGGATTTTGAACTGACTTATATGAGTTCCCTGAAATGAGAGTTAGAGATGATTAATGCCTCTAGGTGGTGCCTGTGACCTACATATGGAGAGGCAGCGGTAGGACACTGTAGAGAATAGCCTGATTTTTTTTTTCTTTTTTTTTTTTTTTTTTTTGGTATATGATTTTAACTTCCCAATTTCTATGAGAGAGGCAGTGTTAAAGACCAAAATAGTGAATTTGGGGGTCTGTACTTATTCATTTCTCATTTTTTTTCAATTTCCTTTGTTTTCTCCCTCCTTGGGCAGATAATTCAGAAAATTGACACAAGAGGGTAAAACCTCAGGGGGAAATTTAGCATTTTTAAAACTTATGACTAGCAGTTTATGTTTTTAGAAGTGATGAAACAACTGTTTCATGTACATATCAGCATATAATATTTGTGTAATAAGCAGACACAGAAGTCATTCTGTTAGAATTCTAATATCTTTCTCTGGATGCCTATACATAGCAAGTCTGTCCCTCTACCTTTTAGCTCAAGAGTATAAAGAATCTCTACTGTTTTTAGTTTGTCAAGTTTAATTTGATCACTCAAGTGTTTTTTTCCAAGTTGGCATCATGTGGGGTTGGAACCAAGGTGCATGTCCTTGTATTAGGCTAAAAAGCAGTGCTGGAAGGACCTTGAGAGATCAGCAAGTACAGGAATTTTGAGATCTGTGGTTTTCATGATCAATAACATTTCAATCACAAAGAGTCTAATTACATCTTGAATTAAGAGTCACTAAGCAAAGCACACATAAATCACACGGTCTGTAATTAACAGAGCCTGCAGTGAGGCCCTGGTCAACCTGTCTCTGGATTCCAACCTGCTCAGCTCTCCTCTCTCAGTAAGTTTCAGTAGCTCTTCAGTAATTTCATAGACTAAAAATCTGTGGGTCAGTTTAAGGTTGGTGATGTTTTTTACATGGTGAGACATTCAAGCCACCCTTCAAATCCAAACCATCAGTCACACCACCAGTGCTTCATAAAAAGGAATATTTGGCCGGGTGCGGTAGCTCACACCTGTAATCCCAGCACTTTGGGAGGCCGAGGCAGGTGGATCACCTGAGGTCAGGAGTTCAAGACCAGCCTGGCCAACATGATGAAACCCCGTCTCTACTAAAAACACAAAAAATTAGCTGGGCAGGGTGGTGGGCACCTGCAATCCCAGCTACTTGGAAGGCTGAGGCAGGAAAATCTCTTGAACCTCAGAGGCGGAGGTTGCAGTGAGCCGAGGTCACCTGCCATTGCACTCCAGCCTGGGCAACAAGAGTGTAACTCTGTCTCAAACAAAGGAATATTTGAGCACCAAATAGGTAAGAAATATTTAATCTCAGAATCGATGATAATCTTTTAATTTAGTAACTTCACTTTAGGTAAAACTCTATATTGTTCATCTCACCAAGGACAAATGAACTCTCTTAGTTTGCTGGTGTCCCACAAGCAAGGAGCAGAGAACTGAGTTCTTATTGGGTTCGATAGGTAGAAACTATGATAGTTCTAGTTTCTTCTCTCTTTTCAGTTGTTGCTAGTGAAGGATACACACAAAAACTAAGAGGCAGAATGCAATAGGCAGAAAATAGATTATTCCATAATGAAATTTTCAATTCTCCATCAGTATGGCATTTTAATTTTCTGAAAAATCTATTTTGTTTCTGAACCTTATTTAGAAATGTACCAGTAGTTATTCAAGGAAAAGAATAATGTTTACTGCTCCATGGCAGAAATTATGCTCGATGTTTTGCATACTTATTTAATCTTCACTACAACTCAGAAGCAGCCTCAAGGAAAATTAGTTTTTTTGCCTAAGTCTCACAGTGACGAGTGAGGTCCATATGCCTGCTTTCCATACCACTGATTTTCTTGATGTTTTGTTTGTTTTTTTTAGCCCACAACTAACATCATATGATTTTCATGATGTTTAGTATTTTCCTTAGAAATATGTAATAGCATTTTCTTACCATCTGGAATTAACCATATTATTGCCTATATCTACAAATTCTCCTGAGTTCATTTTACCATAGCTGTGGTGAAAGGAGGGGCTTTTTGGAAGCACCAAGCAAGTATTAGTGGAGGGGAAGAAATGGAAAAGAGCTACATTTGCTGGCCGATCAATGTAGGGGTAGTGTAGAAGAATTCAAGCCAATGATAACATTTCTTCTTTTGGAACCATTTCCCATGAAAAAAATAGTTAAAATTCCCCAAGAAACCAATCTTCACTAATATCACCACCAGGGGGCAATCAACACTGTCAGATTGTGGTGGTTCCAAATGCAGTAAAAATACAGCACCACCGGTTTTTTGTAATTATACCTTTTCTCTTTTTCCATTTTTTCTTTCCCAGAATAATGGGTACACTAGGCAGATATTTTGTTCTTTAATGTATCTCGACTTTGAATGCTTTTATAAGATTACATGGAAAATAAATAATTCTTGTATGATGTTTAACCATATATTATGTACGAAGGATTGATTGAACTTGCTAGTAACCGTGACCATTTCCTTTTAGGATAACTTTTCTAGAACCTTCCATGAAGATGATGCTGTAGGATAAATATGCCACTAGAATGCTCCCTGCCTCCCATCTCCAGTTCTCTCATTTTATTCAGTTCTAGTGTATTGTGAATTTCTTTCCCATTAATGAAAATTTTCTGGCCCCTTGGTTTTCAGATAATTTTCTTCTAAACTCTTACATAGGGAATTCCCTCTTACATAGGGAATTTTAGTGTCAATTCCCTATACCCCACTTAGTCCTGTACGACTTAACACCATTCACTTTTCAAGTGTTTCTTTATTTCTTTCACAACCGTAAAAGCTCCAGGGAGGACAATCAATTGAAAACTTTCTCCCCAGGCCACAATAGTCTAGGGTTGAAACTGGGGTCTCGATGACAATAATAAAACATATTTTCAGGTTCTTTCCTCACTCAATTTGTGAGAACTACAGGTCCCCCAGGTTTTTTCAAACTAATTCTGTGAGTCCGCCTTGGTTTTCTTCCATGCGCTGGTCCATCAGTCTGCGTGGCTGTCAGGATGGGTCAGTGCTTCCCTTTGCCCCAGCAGTGAGGCAGGTGGGGCTCCTGCTGGACAGCTGGCTCCTGCCAGTGCTGTCACCACCACCAGGGCTGCCCATCAATCTGGTTCCTCCCCAGCGCCTTCTGCAGAGGTAGCCTCTTCGACCTCACTCCTCAGGCCTCTGCACCGCAAAGGTGATCCAAAAAGGAGAATTATTAATCCTCTCTTGTGCTGTGTTCTATAGCATGACACCATGCAATATGAACTTGTGGTCATAAAATCTTACAGAATTTAGAAAAGTAGGAATTTTACTGTTGTGCACCTTTTATTTATCTTTTCCACCTTACAAACTATGTTTTAAATATTTTCTGATTTACAAAATCATTTCAAAGCCCTCAATGAGAAATTTTATAATACAAAAATGTTTCTCTGTGCCTGTTGTGGTGTAAGTATACGTGTACATGTGTATGCCTATGTGCATGTGTGTACACTTGATCTTAGGCACAAGCCTGAGATTTTGTGCATGTGTCTACACAAGATGTTTTGCTTTTACCAAACAGCATGTTATTGTGTAATTTAAATAATTTATTTGGTAAAAGCCTGTGTCTGCAAAATACAAACTCTTTCTGTTAAACATCCAAATCAAAATGGCTTGGGTACCAATCTGACAAAGAAGCACACAGTGCAGGCTTTTCCCTGGTTTCTTTGTTCCAAGTATCCTGAACACCTACACTCATACCTCAACTAATTCTTGTTGCTCTCCTCTGGCTGCCTTCTCAAACTTGAATGTAGCCCTGAGGGTCACAGGCTGCATCTCTTAACTCCCAGGAGAGTTCAGCCTTGGACTCAGTTACCCCTGGGCACTTTCTTCACTATGATGTCACAGCTGTTAGGGAAGTTCCTAATACCCTGCTTGCTGTTGTCCTTGCTCCTGGTAAAAATATCTATGGATCTGCAATTTGAGGTTTGAAGGAGATATTTCTCAGCATGATGCTTAGTTGAAGTGTCCACAGCAACATTGTCTGGTCCATGTAGACAACTTTTGATTCATGTATTTACTCATTGACTCCCTCATTTTTTCTTTCATTCAGGGAAAATATTCATTGAGTACTACATGCCAGGAACAATGCTAAGAGCTGCACAGAACTTTACTTCATGGTGTCACAGGGCCTGGGTGTGAGGAGCTGAGATAAAACAGGTTCCAGCATTAGATGTATGCTGATCCTGAAACCTGCATTCCCTTCAATGCCTAAGGCCCTGGATCTCAGTTCTGGTGATCGGCAGCCTAGTCTTTCTTATTTGGGTTTCCTTGTGGGACATAACGTTTTTGTTTATGTCTGCTTTGGCTTGGATATATCCACCCTCTCCCACACTAGTGAATCAGACAGATTTTTAAATCTTTAGATTCTCAAAATTATGGGCCATTTCATTTCTTATCAGGAGGCACCATTTACTGTGTATACATTTATATAAGCAGATGGTACTACTCAGCTCCACCAAATAGACCTAAGCTCTAAATGCAACTACTTTGTTGAAAAAGGTGACAATTCTTTTACCTATAGAATCTGAGCCCCCGTTCAGCTGTAATATCCTATAATAACTATGTATATAATTTGGAATTCTTCCCTCCTCCTCCTCGACCCCTTCATATTCTCAAACTTTATATATATAATAAATGCTAGCATATATCATTAAATATTCATTGAAAAAGATCTTTAATACCCACATAATCATCCATTATGTGAATGCACCATAAATTATTTCACCATATTACTGGATAATTTGTTTTTTTAAAATACATTTTTGTTGTTATATGAAATGCTATGATGAGAAATCTTGGATATAAATGTCAGCCTACATTTGATTATTTCTTTAGGAATAATTTCTAGGAGTAGAATTACTGGCTTTTATTAAACATGACTTTTTTTTTACAGCAACTTATGAGAAGCTATTCCACCATATCTTTGTTAACAAAAGTTTTAGCATTTATAATTTTGAAATGATAGATGCATTGTTTTAATTTACACTTTTGTAATTACCATTAAGACTGAACATTTTAGTATGTTTGTTGGGTTTTGTGTTTCTGTTAATTTCAATGCTTTTTATATTTATTTATAATCTTCCTTTATATGATCAACATAATGGCCTTTTGTTATATGTGTGCCAAGATCTTTTTCTTCATTGTGTAGTTTTTCAATTTTGGTTATAATATTTTAGCTATGTACAAACTTAAAACTTTTATGCACTCAAATCTTTTCATGTTTTTCTTTGTTATTTTCTAGCACTATCATTCATATTCAAGTAGCAGCAAAATATTTATATATATTTTCCTGTTTAATTGTTTTATCCAAAAACTATTTTAGGGACCTGTAAAGTTTAATATACTTTATAAAATAGCTTCAGCTGGGTGAGGTGGCTCACGCTTGTAATCCCAGCACTTTGGGAGGCCAAGGCAGGCAGATCACAAGGTCAGGAGATCGAGACCATCCTGGCTAACACGGCGAAACCCCGTCTCTACTAAAAATACAAAAAAAGTTAGCCAGGCATTGTGGCGGGTGCCTGTAGTCCCAGCTACTCGGGAGGCTGAGGCAGGAGAATGGCATGAACCCAGGAGGCAGAGCTTGCAGTGAGCCAAGATTGAGCCACTGCACTCCAGCCTGGGCAACAGAGCAAGACTCCGATTCAAAAATAAATACATACATAAATAAATAAAATAAATAATTAAAAAATAAATACAATAGCTTTTTTTTTCTCCCAAAAGTTTGTCAGTTTATCTTACATCCTTTGTTAACTAATGCTCGACTTTCTCCATTGTTTTATGATGTTGGCTATTTATATACTAGGTTATTCTATGAACTATGGTTATTTTGGGCTTGTCTATATTGTTTTATTATTCTGCCTGCCCCTAGACCAGTATAAAATTGACTTAATTACTGTGATTTCGAAATAAATGTTAATATTTGGTGAAGCAAGACAACTTTATTACTGCATTAAAAATATTTTATTATCTTTTCTAATTCCAAAATAAACTTGGAATAATTTTATCTAGTTGGGATTTTTCATTACATCATTAAACCAATATTGGTGGAGTCCTTCTGTGTGCCAGACATTCATTATTCCAGGTGCTGGGGAGTGAATGAGATGTCACTGTGTACAAGGCAGGTGGTCATTGCTCTCATGGGGTCCACATTCTCTTTGAAGAGACAGACAAGAGACAAAAACAGGAATGGATATACAGTGCAATGTCAGGTAGTGATAGGTGTGACAAAGAGAAAAAGTAGGGTACAGAAAGAAAATGAGGAGTATGATACTAATGATGTCCAATAATGTTTCTTTGAAGAGGTGGCCTTTGAATAAAGTAGCAGAGTGGGTGGGAAGGAATAGCTACAGGTGGAGGGAACACAGGTACAGAAGTCTTAATGTGGTAGAGAGCCTGGTGTTCTGGAGGAAGAGTGGGAAGGCCCTGTGGTTGGAGGCAGTAGGGGGTGAGTAGGTGATGAGGGCAGAGATGTAGTCGGCAGCTGGGGGCCAGACAATGCTGGATTCTGTAGGTCCTGAAAAATAATTTGGATTTTAGTCAGGTATTTTGATGAAAGTTGTGAAAATTTTATGAATTAATTTGGGAAAAAATGAAGAAAATATGTGTCTCTGAACATGTTTTGTTCTCTTTTACTCCCTTTCTCCTTCTTCTTTACATTTTATACCTTTTTCTCCTTCTTCTTTACATTTTATAGTAAAAAAAAAAAAAAGTGTCTTGTAGCCGGGCATGGTGGCTCACGCCTGTAATACCAGCACTTTGGGGGCCTAAAGTGGGAGGATCACCTGAGGTCAGGAGTTTGAGACCAGGTTGGTTTCGAGACATGGCAAAACCCAGTCTCTACTGAAAGTACAAAAATTAGCCAGGCATGGTAGCATGTGCCTGTAATCCCAGCTACTTGGGAGGCTGAGGCAGGAGAATTGCTTGAACCCGGGAGGCAGATGTTGCAGTGAGCTGAGACCGTGCTGTTGCACTTCAGCCTGGGCAAAAAGAGTGAAACTCTGTCTCAGGGAAAAAAAAAAAAAGTGTGTTTTTTTTTATATAGGTCCTTCACATTTTGTTTTTGGGTTATTTCTAGGAATTCTGTATATTTCTAGGAATTCTATATATGTGTAATGTTATTGTTAATGGAATATCTATTCTATTGTATTTTCTAACATATTTTATGATATAGAAGAAAGTGTGGATGTTTATGTATCTTACATTTGAATACTAAAATTGAAGAGATTTTCAATTAAATCTTTACGACTTTTGAGTAAACAATTTTAATTGTTTCCAATATAATATTGGAATATTCCAATATTGTCTTCCAATATAATGACAATTTGTCCTCTCCATTTGCATAGCTCTATCAGATCAAGAATGATTTTGGATATCTTCACTTATTTTTTGCTTATGGAAATCACTCTAAAGATTTACATGTAATGTCATTATTTTAGAATATTTATTTACTTGCATACTAAAAGAATTTTCTCTAGTTCTGGTTTTTGAAAGTTATTTACTTTTTCCTAATGAATAGATTATTAATTTTCAAATTCATTTTAGTATCTTTTGAGATAATTATATGGTTTTTGTCCTTTGACTTATTTATAGTATTAAGCAATTATTGCACTCCTGAAATCAATCCTACTTGATTATGGAAATGTTTGCTTCAGTCGGCTGCTTAATTTGCTCTATTCTTATTTTATTTTGTCCTTTCAAATTTACATTAGTAAGGTTGATTTACAGCTTTTGTATTTTGGACACTTTTTGGTCACTTTTGCTATTTTTGGTTATGCTAACTTCATAAAATGAACTGAATTGCTTCCCAGTAAAACTGTCTGGTTCTAAATCTTTTATTTGAGAAAATTAGTTGATAACTTTCAATTTCTTTCAATTTTATCAAACTTTTCATGTTTGATATTTTTCTTGAGTCAGTTTTGATTATCGATATTTTCTTGTTAATGTTTTATTTCATTGAGATTTTGAAATTCATTAGCATAAACATGTATGTAGTAATTATCTAATTTCAGAAAAATTTCCATTTCTTATTTTTCATTGTAAGGTTCTTCCTATCCCTGGGGCTTAAAAATGCGACCATAGAGGCAGGATTGAAAGACTACTTAAGAGATTGACGCTGGGCTCTACTCATTTGCCTGACTCTCATCATCTACAAACAAATATGTGATGTGTGAAAGGGTAGATTTTTAGTCACAAATTAAGTTATTATAGAAAAGTAGGTAGTTGACATCATCAGCTGTTTATAGATGATGGCTTCTGTCTGCTGCTTGTGACATAGCTTGCTCTTCTTTAGAAATAATGACTTCTTTTCCAGGCAGCTCTCTAGTTCCTCCTATAAATAACACCCTGATGGGTCTGTCCAGCCTGCAGGTCTCCAAACAATCCCAAGTATGTGTGAGTTTTAAAGTGTTATCTTTTTCATCAATATGGCACCAAATTGTGAAAAGGCCAGTGGGTAGAAACTTAAGGAGGTCGGATTTGGACTCAAAATAAGGAAGAATTTTTAATAAATTTTGTCCCAAGCTTGAATGGGATTCTTTACATGGTGGCCACCCCATCAATGGCGGTATCCAAAAATTGACTGAGTGTTCACTTAGTGAAAGTTTTTGAAAATATTCAGGGTATTGAGGGAAACAAGTCAACAGTGTAGTAGTCTCATTCTATTCCAAGTCTATCATTATGCTTTTCTTGAATCTCCCACAGTGCACAGTACTATGTCTTGTCACTGAGTGAACAAGCAGTCAAACGTAGTCTTATGGGATCACTTTTCTGGCTGGAAACCTCTGTGGCTGGTAGCACCTTTGCCCAAGTTTTGCTAGGGCCCACTGGGCTCGTTCCACCCACTTGGCCTGGCAGGCTGCACTTAGCTCACGCTACCTCCCTGGATTCCATGGCTCCAAGGGAGACTGTGAATCAGGTGTGGAGTGGCGAGGGGTGTGTGAGTGAATGTGGGGTATGGCCACTGTGCAGAGACACACCAGCTGCTGCCATTGGGTGGGCCACTCCAGGTGCTGGCATGGGCGCTAGCTCTCTGTGAGGCTGTGGCTGGACCAGGTGCAGCATAAGTTGCTTCCCCAGCTGGCACCAGGGTATGTGATGGTGCCTGGAAGCTTGGAGATACCAGGAAATGCAGGGCCCCAAAAAGGGAGTCACAGCCCTGACTTGGGGGAACTCCCAGGTCTGGGCTCTCCAAAGGGCTGCAGCTTTCCTCTTCTTCTCTTTGCCTGCAACATGGCAAGCAAGGGGCATGTTTCAGCCCTGTTCGTGTTACAGCTCTTTTAGTCTCACCATTCAGTGGGCCCCAAGTTCTTGTCCTGCAACCAGGAAGAATGAAGTACACAGAGAAGTGAAGGGTAAGCAAGACAAAGAGGAGCTTTATTGAGCAGTAGAACAGCTCAGAGGAGACCTGCAGTGGGCAGCTTCACTCTGTAGTCAGGGTGTCCAGATGAGTGTTCAGCTCTTAGCAGAGAGGGTAGTTCCTCTCTGCAGTTGGTCATCCCTCTGTCTCCTGAGCTCTCAGCAGAGGGGAGACCCTGGGATGGGCAGCTCCTTTCTGCATCTGGTCTCCCCATTGTCTCTTTCCTCAAGCCTGGCTGAGTCTGGGGTTTTTATGGGCCTCAGAGTGGAGGAAGTTGTGCTGATTGTTCCATGGGTGGCCATAGGTGGGCCCAGGGAAAAGCACCACAAGTTCCCCCTCTAGTCCAGGGGACTGGTGGCTGGGCCCCCAGGCTTCAGGCCCTCCCCAGCTTGAAGGTGGGGCTTCACCAGACTGGTCCCCTCCACCCAGAACCCTGTCTGCCTCCTCCCACAGCTCATGGAACCCAGGCTGTTTGTGCCAGGGCGTGCCTGCAGGCCAGCACCTGACTATCCTCAGCCCCTCCTCAACCTCCCTCCCTTACTTGTCAGCACCCCAAATCCGGAGGGGCCAAGAGGTGGCAGGAGGCTGGCATGTCAACATTGCTCTGAGTGTGTTCCCCCGCTGCCGTTGGGCTGTGACAGCACCTGGGCTCGGCCCTGATCTTGTTCCAAGATTGGAGCAGGAGCCAACAGCAGGGAGAAGCCAGGCAGCAGCAGCAGGCACCCTTGAGCCCACAGGAGACAGGGCTGCCTTTGTGGGCTCCCAAGAGTGCAAAGATACATGGATCCACAGCCTTGGCAGGGTGGCCACAGCTGCACCCAGGGAGTTCTTGCCCTGCCAACTCAGAAGGGGTGGGACTCCCATTTGTCCCTGGCTCCCACTGGCTTTGTGGAGCATGCAGCCCTGCCCACACCTCCTTGCAGTTTGGGGCAGGGGCTCCAGGTTCTCCCTGCACCCTGGCCATCATCTGGGGCAGGGGAGACATTGCTGTGAGTTCTTCCCATGGCCAGGTGCTCAGGGGTGGCCCAGGGCTCTCCCTCCCTTGGCTCCTGGCCCTGCCTGGGGAGAGACTCCAGGAGTGGATTGTGGGCCCCAGTCTTGGCCATCAGGAGGGTCAGGCTCTGCAGTCACTGTGATGTGGGGCAGACCCTAGGCATGTGGCCCTGGGCTACCCCACATACAGCATCCTCCCTAGGTGCAGGAACCTGGCACTGTTGTTGGGGTGGGCATGGTGGCTGGTCTGCTGGCCAGGTCCTTGAAGTGGGTGTGGCGCCCATTTCCTGGCCTGACCCCTGAAGCATGGCCCCAGCTCTGTGCCCTGGGCCAGCTGCCATGTTCCTTGTGCAGGTGCAGTACCACCACGGGTCCAGCTTTGTCTCGAGGCCCCTCTCTGCCCACCACTTTGTGCCTGACCATGCTGCTCCCTAGCTGGTAGGTGACTTGACCTCACCCCACTGCAGCAGCCCCCAGGGTGGTGGGCTCCTGGGAGCTTCCAGGGGAGGGCTCAGGGGACTGTTCACTTCTCTCCATGCCCTACCTGCAATGGCAATGGGCGAGAGTGGTGATGTGGGGCCAGGGTCTGGAGCAGCAGTGAATCTGGGCCTGGGGCCAGGTCATGCCTGGCTGTGTGAGATTGGGGGTGGCACAGTCAGCTGCCTCAGGGATATGGGGCACAGGGTATATAAGGCACAGGGGACCCACTGCTACCACTGCTGCTCCTGTCACAATGGCTGCTCCAGATGGCTTGCCACGGCCATCAGTAGTAAACGAAAAGTAATCTGCAAGAATATTTCATTGTTATCAGAAGCAGAGAAATGGACACGCATGGTGAATCTGGCCCAGGCTGCTCCTTGGTTATAGAGATCCCATGGAAATTGTGAACAAATGCTACCACTGATATTAATACCATGATGATCATGACTGCCATTAACTGAGCACCTAGCATGGTAATAGAGACTAGTAAACATTTTGTCTATGATGTTTCATTTATATTTCACAAGTACTCTATGAAGTAGACATCATTTATCCTGTTTTATGAACCAAAGCCCCATTTTTAAAGATAATAAAGCTGGGTAAGTTAGAGCGTGCTGAGAGTTGTGTTTGCAAATAGATTGTAGGACTACTCAGATGTTCTTAGCCCTGGCGATGGGTGGGATGGGCTTGGGGCTGTTGGATTCCCAAGCCAGTTACCTTTGACCAAGTGCTACTTTGACCCAGTGTGTTGTACAAATATTATAACTGTCTATGCCTAACAAGATGTGAAAATTGGCAGGCGCATTAAATTACTCATCTAAGGTGACAGTGCTCATATACAGCCCAATTAGGGATCTAAATCAAGGTCTGTGTAACACTAGAGGCCATTTCTTTTCACTATACTTCACTGTCTTTGAAGATCTGAGGAGTGATGTTTCAGAAACGTCATGTCCTTCATATGAAAGCAGAAAAAACAGCAGGAGGTGTTTAATTATGCAATATGGGTTTCACACAGAAGATGCAGATTCAAACACTTTAGTACCACTAGGGCTGGTACGTGATGTAGACTAGTGTGGGATTAAGATTGAGGGCTCTGTTGCATGTAGCTGGACTTCCTGGATTTAGAACCAGATTCCATCACTTACTAGCTGTTTGGCTTTGGGCAAATTACTCTGTTTTTTGTGCTTCAGGTTTCTATTTTGTGAAATGAAGATTAATTTGTTTGTTGATTTGACAAATATTTATTGAAGGTCTTCTATGTGTCAGGCACTGTTTTAGGATCTGCAAATGCAGCAGTGAACAATGTACCTGCTTTCTGAGTTTATCCAACTTGGAATTCATTGGGCTTCTTGGATGTGTAGATGAATGTTTTTTAAAAACGAAATTTGAGAAGTTATTGGTCATTATTTCTTAACAATTTTTTTACACCTTTCTCTTTCTTCTTTCCTTTTGGGACTCTGATTATGTGTATTCAGGTATCCTGATTGTTTCCTACAGGTGTCCAGCTCTGTTCATTTTCTTCATTAGTTTTTCTTTCTGTTTCTTTCCCTGGGTATTCTCAATTGACCTATCTTTTCTGTTTTCTGATCTTATCTTTTCTGTTTTCTGATCTGAATCTTATGCCAGTTCTGCTATGAAGAAGTGCTAGTGAGGAATGTTGAGATGAGCACTACTTTAGCTAGAGTGCATATGGAATGCCTCTTTGAGGAGACGACATTTGAATTGTTACCTTAATGAGACAACTTGTATATATCCAAGAAAAAGAACAGAAGTGTGAAGATGACCAATTTTACACAAGGAACAGAAAAAAGAACAGGGAGGGATATGAGAACAGAGAGGGGGACAGAACACCTAGAGTCAGGAGGCCCTGACAAGTAGTTTCGGACTTTTTTTTTTATTGCAAAGGAAAGACAATGAAGGGTTTTTAGTATGACATGTTGGGATCTGATTTAGACTTGAAAAAAATCAATTGATTTGTTTTTTGGAGAGTAGATTTTTGATCATCAGGGAGTAAGATTTGAGGCAGGGAGACTACCAATGAGAATATTATAAAATACTCCAGACCAGATATGATGGTGGCTTGGGTTGGCTGCATAGGGAGGAGATGGTGTGGAGCAGCTGGGTTTGGAATATAGTTTGGAAGTAAGGTTGATAGGATGTACTGATTGATTGGATGTGAGGTGTGGAGTAAAAAAAAGATGATTCCTAGGATTTAAGTGTAATCAATTGAATGAATTTCAGTGCCATTTACTGGGATGGGGTAGGCTTTGGGTATGAGCAGTGCAGAAAAATTTGAGAGAGATGTGAGAATAAATTGTACTTTGTAAGTGAATGTGAAAAAATGTTAAATGAATGTTTTATTTTTTTCTGTGATACTTTTTGAGGCTTAGCCCATTTTCTGCAGAATAGTCAGCTGCCTCTCTTGTTAGCTCATTGTGCTTTCTACAGGAATGCCTAAATATAGTACTGTTTGAGCTTTGATGAATAAGCTTGGTTTTTTTTTAATTACATTTTTTTCTCAGAGGTTGTGTTTATTTATTTATTTATTTATTCATTTACTGGTACAAGGTTGCAACCAAAGAACACTTTTAAAGCCCTATTGTTGAGAAAGGATGAGATTTTCTCTTTGATTGAGATTTAGATACTTAATACTTCCCTTTGTCATGGCAAAATATCTATTTGTTGAAGATGGTGGGCTATTCTCAGACTGAACTGCAAACTGTGCTCCCATGCGTTGGAGAAAGAGGTTGATCATTCCCTTGGTATCTCCATAAACCAGTTCATTTGGTGGAATTTTCTGTGTTTCTACCTGAGCTCTCTAGATTTGCAACACAAATAAATGTTCTAATTCTGAGAGCTTTATTTATTTATTTTTAAATGCACTGCCAATTGTTATAAAACACCCTGCATCTGCAAAATAATCTTTATTATTTAGGCAGACTTGAATTTTTTTCACAGAGAAGCGGGAAGACTTAATTATAGTTTCAACACACATTGGCATGCTTGGAGCAATTCAGAAGGAAGTCAGAGAATTTTGAGAATTTAGGCCATGCTACTTATTCCATCTTAATAAGATTGTGACTTGATGTTTATTTTACCAGCAAATAGTCCCATAAGTACCAGGTAATTGGGCTTTATTCTATGGCCTGAAGGCCAATATACTGCACTTGGTGAAACCAACTGAAAAAGTGAATTCCAAAGATGGAATTTCTCCATGGAAAATGTGTTGCTTACAGCCTTTGGTATTCACACCTAAGGCCTCTTGGCAGCTGTTCTTTGGACAGCTGAAACAGGCATGGTGGTACATAAAGGCAGTTTCTATGGAAACCTGAACCCAAATGATATTGGGGCTTGGAAGATCAAAGGCAACACCCTGAATTGTTTGGAGAGCCCAGTGAAGGTTTCAGAACTTTATTGTTCTCCTTAGAAAACACTACAGCCAAGGCTTTGGAATGCTTTCTTCTCCAGGTGCACTAGAACTATGTGCACAAAATAGAAGTTTGTAGTTTGTTGTGAATGTATCTGTTCTAATTATTTTACCAGCCCTTTTACAACATCCATCTCTGCCATAAAGAAAATTGTTGTCTTCCGTTTTTCCTTTCTCATCTTCATTTTAATAAATAGGTGAAACAATGAGGCACATGGAATATGCTAAGTTTGTAAATTTGATAGCAGATAATGGTTCCTTCTTTTCATAAATCATGGGTAATCTATTCAGTGCACTATTCTTCTCATTCATTTTTCTTAATATATACAAATGACTGTGTTGTCACGTGTCATGCAGCTGAATTTCAGTTCTGCCTATAAGGAAGGCTTTGACTACAATAGTGTTCCCTCATATGAGTGCAGTCTTTAAACTGGTTCCTTGTTTAGTATTTATGACACAAACCCCATTATCAAAATGTTAGCAGAAATTAAAATGTAAGAAAATATTTCCCATATATATGTCTCCCTAAAAATGCGTCTTCATTTTGTGGGTCTTAATTTAGATATGTTTCTTCTGAAAACTCCCACTTTATAAAAGTCTAAGCATCCTGACGAATGACAATGGGACAATGGGACATACTCTTCTTGGCTGATGGAGGTTGCCAAGATAAAAGACCTAAACATACTGTATTTTTCTGTGGGGATTTACATTCTTGGTTTTGAAAGACATATTGGAATCAGCCGGATGTATTATGGTGAGTCACGGTATTCAAAAAGCATCATATTCTCCACAAAGTAATGAAATGAAGACTGAGTGGCTTATACCAAGATTTATGATTATAGTAATCTGTGCATATGAAACATGGACAAGGAGAGAAGCATAATTTGGAGAAGCTCTCTATGAAAAATTTATTTTACTCTTCATAGCTTTTATTTCTCAGACTTCCAGAACCAAAGTAATCGAACTACCTAGGCTATATTTACTAGAATGTAGTTTTTGAACACTCTTGCGGGGAGAAGGTGATTCCTTTCCCCTCACGGGAACACCTTCTCTGCTTCTTCTCTCTGGGGGATTTCCATTTTGTCCCAGCCACATTTTCAGGCTAGTTCAACATATTATCTTTTCTTCTCACTTCTGCTTTTCTTTCTCACCTGTGAAGAATCAGGTGCACTCTTGCAAGAATTTTCTCTCTTATATCTCTATTTTCCCTCACCACCAAGACAGGACATTTGAGTTTGGATTGTGATATTACTTTGGAATTTTAACTTCTTTACATGCAAAGCATTGTGTTTAAGTAGTAAATTACAACCATGGTTTAAATCAAACTGGCAAACTGGCTGTTTGCCATTTAATTCAGAGAATCATAGGATGAAAATATATAGAAAGGACTTTGGAAAGCATTTATCAGTATTTTGCCATCATTTTGACGAAAGGACTTCTAACAGCAGAGGAAAAAGAGCATATTCACCAGATGTTTGGGGGCACAGAGAAAGTTCCACCCAGAATGAGCATACTATGTCTTTGATGTCTACTGTTTTTTCTTTAAAAATCTTGTAACTTTGGAAAACTCCAAGTTATATTCTTACTTATTTTGCACCTAGCACATGTGCATGTACCTTGAGAAGTGTGTGTACCCCAGTGCAAATAAACACAATCTTGGAAATTATGTTCTATGGTAGATGAGTGAACTGAGATCTAGAAATAAAAAGAGATGTGCTAAAGTTCACCATGGCAGAACCAGCATGAGAATTCAGGTCCAGTGGCTGCCAGCTCAATGGGTTTCCCATCAAACTCTGACATGTTTCAACCTGATGTCTTTTCCACATGGGTTTCTGGAAACAAAAGTTTCTGTAAGTCAGGAAAATTTTTGGAACCTGGCTGCCCCCATTTAACCTGGTTTCTGTAGTATATAAGCAAGGCTGGAAAACTACTGTAACTACTGATACATGCCTCTGACGGCAGCCTTGCTCAGGAGAGTTATATGAAGGCATGTGTTTGTGTGTGTGACAGTGGGTGAATGGGGGGTGAATAGTGTTGGTGGCAGCAATGGAGGATAACATTCAGTAGATCATCATATTTCCTCATATTTTCCCATCTTCTGAAATTACTACTCCTTCCTAAAAACCATTAGTCTGGTTTTGGCTTCAGGCTGCTGGAGGAAAGCATTATTTAGTGAGTGCTGCAGGGGCTGATTCTTGTGGAACTCATGAGATTTAGATCTGGCTAATGTTAAAATTTTCATAAAATTTTGGATTTTCGGAGGCATTTTGTACTCTACTTGTGAGCTTGATCTAAATAGTCCTGTTCTCTATATCTGGTGTAAAATTAATGGATAAAAAGAAGAACTTTATTTGTTCCATATGGAAGATATAAAATGTTTGAGTGACTGAATAGATGGATGAAATTTTGGGAATAATCATTGTTCAAGTTTACATTGCCATTTTCAGACAGGGCCAACCTTTAACTCCAAAGATATATCCAATTCTTCAGACCTTCATATACAAGGGAAAAAACTGTGCTATTCTAAACTAAATTGATGAGGAAAGAAAAGGTCATATTATATACTTGAAAGACTGTAATACAAATAAAATATGTATTCTAGCCAACCAGACAGAAATAAGGAAAAATCTTTATTTGCTCCTTTCATGGGTGAGATTAGAGAATCTTGGCTCTTCTCTTTGGTCAGATAAATTACTCATAGATATTGATTATGTGAATACTTTCATAAAATAAGCCTAGCCTTCTACTCAATGCCAGCCCCTCAAGTAGAAGTTTGGACCTACAAAAATGACTATGGTCAGTTGTGCCCCAAGTTTCTTATAGTCCACTGGAAAGACAGCTGCATGGATAACTAATCATAGTATAATATAATAAGCAATAATGCAAGTGATATAAACCAGAAGAAGGATTGTGTTAATTGATATTATCTTGGGGGAGGGAGTGTTAAGGAGAGTTGCACTGAAAAGCTAAGTTGAAATGTAAGGGGTTGTAAACATTTTTTTCCAGGTAAAAAGGGTTAAAAGGCATGGAAGGAGGAGAGACAAAGGCAAGGCGATGGAAATGGGAAAGTGTCATGATCCACTGGGGAAATGGCAAGGAGGTCAGACTGAGACTGAGACAGGTGTTCATGGCCTGAAAGGCAGGTGGGTGTGCCAGCCAAGAAATCGCTTGATTGAATATGGACTCTTTACAATTCTGTCTCTGATAGGAGCTTGTAGAACTGACTGCGTGGTGGGTGGTGGGAGAAGACTGGGGAGAAGGGAACCAGTGTTATCTAAGTCTGTAATTCCTTTTTTTAATACAGACTTTAAAATGCTGGTAAAAATAAAGGCAGGCTTTAGAAAAGCTGATTTTATCTCTGATAGGCAAGATGCCACAAAGAGAAAATGAAGTGGCATGCAATGAGAAGGAGAGGTGTTTGTGCAGGAATTATGTAAGAAAAGAATAAAAAGCCCTTTAAAATGAGACTTTCAGAAATAGTGATTTGCTCAAGATTGTATTGATGATGAATGCAGTTACAATAGGATCCCCCAGCCAACTAGAGAAGATTGAGAGCCCGGAGAAGCCACATTCCTGTTATGTATCCATTCCATATGATTTAATGTTAAAGTGAAAAAATATCCAGATATCAAACTTAAAAAAAATAGTCATACTGCTTCCCCCACATACCCACAGCCTTCCCCATTATCAAGAGCTGGCATCAGAGTAGTACCTTTGTTACAAGCAATGAAGCTACATTGATGCATTAATTATCACTCTGTCTTCATCTGTTTCTGGCTGTTAGAATACCATAGACTTAGTGGTTTATAAACAACAGAATTTTATTTCTCATTGTTGTGGAGGCTGGGAACTCCAAGATCAAGGCACTGGCAGATTTACTGTCTGGTGAGGACCCTTACCTGACCATCTATGGATGATTGCCTTCTTGCTGTGTCCTCGCATAGCGAAAGGGGTGATGGAGTTCCCTAGTATCTCTTTTATAAAGGCACTAATCCCAATCACGAGAGCTCCACCCTCATGACCTAATCGACTTTCAAAGGCCCCACCTTTTAATACTATCACCTTAGGAGTGAGGATTTCAACACATGAATTTTGGGGGGACATAAATAGTCAGTCTATAGCACACCCAAAGTCTGTAACTTACATTAGCGTTCATGCTTGGTGTTGTACATCCTGTGAATTTTGACAAATGTATAATGACATGTACATACCATTATTGTGTCCCACAGAAGAGTTTCACTGTTCCAAAAATCCTCTGCTCTGTAAAACTTTTAAATAATCATAACTTAAAATCTATATGTGAATGTATAAAAGATTAGAATTAAATTCAGCAGCATGTTTTAAGAGTGTTGATACTTGCTTATAAATTCAGATTTCCTGCTTGCTCAGAGGGTGCTGCTGTTCTTTCCTAAAATCTGGTCTTTTGTTAGATCACTCCAGGTCTGTCTTTCATGTTTGTATTATTAGACCCAAATAATGGTGAAATGGAATCACTTAGGCTAGAAGATAGTTCTTTTTTTGCAGGAAAATTTATAAAAACAATTAGATATGTGGGGGAAGAGGATCCACTTACCTTCATCTAAGAGCAGTGAAATAAATCTGTTAGGGATATACACATAGCTCCAAAAGATTCATCTTCATATTGAGGAGCGACGCACATTTGGAGCCCCAGATGCTCATATGATCCGTACTTTCAGACATTCCAGCAGTGGTATAAATGTGTTAAAAATCCTGGCAGGCCTGTTCTCTGCAAAGCTACCATGGTAGTGATGATGTGGTAGTGTGGAGAGAGCATAGATGTGAAGAATTGAGCTTTATAATTTGTTTTTAAATGTAGTTACATACATGGGAGCAAATAAATTAATGATAGCATTTTAAAGGGAGAAAAGGCTCAGGGAATGACATTCTGGGAAAAAATATCTAGCAATCTACAAAATAATGCCTGTTTCAGACTTTCTTGTTTTGTTCCTATTAATTTTGGAAATATGTTGGCTAGAGAAAGAAAAAATTAAAGAGGAAATATTGTTTGATTGTGAATGAGATTTAAAAATTTCCACAGCATTCCTTAAATAGGAATTATAGCTCTGTCTGAAGATAGACAGTTGTAAGATTACAGCTAGGATAAGCCAACTTCATAGATAGTTTCAGAAAATAAAAGGCTGATATTTTAATTAAATCCAGAATTTGAAGATTTAAAAAAAAGAGAGATGATTGTTTGTGTATTGTAGGGTAGAGGGCTCATTCTAAGAATGCTTTTTCTTTTCCCCATCACCACCCACTTTCCTGTGAATTACCTATAGGCACAACTGTCTTCTTCAAAACATTGGAATACCACCTTTTGGAATAATTCTTATGTTTTTATAGTGTTTAAATATGGACATGCTTAAGAAGGCAGAGAAGATTTGACTGTGTGGAAATTTACATCTGGCTGTGGATTCAGCATCTTTCCCTCTTGTTATTTGGAGGCAGTGGTGAGAAGGAGCACAGCATGGGGTAAATATGTGGATAGAAACATGAAAGGATTTCTTGGTCTGATGTGTGGCCAGTTCCCCTTGCCCCTTTTCTTTAGTTGACTGAAGTCCATTACAAACATGACTCTAGCGATCCATGCAGATTTCTCTTCTTTAGAGTATTGTGCATCGTGCCAATATGTATTCTATTCCTGAGATGCTTTTGTGTAAATAAGAAATGCTACTTAACCAAAATCAATACATACAAACTAAACAGCAAACTTTCAAAGTGTCTCCATGACATAGATTAGCAATGCTACCTCTAATTCATTATTTATGTAGTAAAAGTTTGTGGGAATATGTGTGAGAGGGAGTAGAGGAGCCTAGAGAATCTTCCTGCTCACATCAAAGATGTTAGGATATCAGGGACTGTTAGCAGGACTTCTTTCTGCAAAGGAGTCTCCAAGACTTCTGGAGAAAGAAAACTAACTAGGTAACTAACTAGTCAACTAATTAACCACACTGGACACTTGTGTTGTGTGTACCTTTCTGAATATATGCTATACTTAACAAAATTTACATAAAAAATTAACGGCAGGCGCCGAGGCCACTGGGGTTCAAGCAATTAAACAATAAAGGGAGACAAATATTGACTACTGGTTTCTGGCAGAAATATGACCCATATGTAGGAGCCTTAGCTGGAGATAGCTTACAGGTCCCAGAGCTTGGATATCGTTTGATTGCTATTGGAGAGAAATGTTGTTGAGGGCATCAGTAACAAATATTCTCTAACATAGCTATGCGTAAATGTGTCTCAAGTTTCATCAGGGAAAGAACCATAAAAATTGAAATAAACAATTATTTAGTGCTCAAGCAAATACTTCTATACACTTGGGGAATGGATGCTTGTTTGCTGGAAAGAGACCACCAACAAAAGTGAAATATGAGAATTGCTTAACAAGTTGGCCAGCAATGGTAGAAGCATGACTGCTGGAAGGAAGAATAGAAATGACAGTGGCAATAACAGAATTGGTTGGAAAACATAATCCAGGGAGAAATGATCCTCCAGGACTCAGTGAGACAGAGAAGTGTTATGGATTTTGAAGTTCAGGATTCAGTGTCAAAACACCACTGTGATTCTTACTGACGCCCTGTAACTTCCTCCTCCCCACGCTAGACCTTCTCTCACAAGTGACTGGGAAAACAGTTGTCATATTCTTATTGCCATTTGAATGTTCATCTCATCTTAGTTGTTTCCTAAACTGGAATGATTTCAGAAAATAAGGTTTATTTTTAAATTAAAATAGATAGTGTATAGATGGTGGACTTTGTTTAAAATATATCTTTGTGTAAATATAATTATGTAGGTATATTTAATCCTTTCTTGTGGCAATATTCAATACACATAGAGCTAATATGCAGCTCATTTATTTAGGGCATTGTATTAAGTGCTGACTTGGGTACCAAGAAGTTAAGAACCAGTCTTAGCTCTCAAAAACTTTAGTGACAGAACCGATAAAGTATAATATTAATCTGTTTCTAGGTTTTCAGTTTTAGGGCTAGGGTGTGGGTTTGTGGGATGAATTATTCAAGGTAGGCTAACTGCTGTAGAAAGAAAACATAACCAAACAAGTCCCAAATTGTACAGTTTATATATCACAATTTGTTGCAGGTTAGTGAAAGCGGAAGGGTCTATCCACTCCATGCAGAAATTTAGGGCCCTAGACTCCTTCCATTCCACGCCTCTACCATCTTATTGGGGTTTGGATTCCTCCATTAAATTCCCTGCATCTGGGCTTCAGTTGCAGACCAGGCCTGGAAGTGGCAAATGTCACGTCTCCGACATTCCGGTGGCCAGAACTAAGCTCCATGACCCACTGACTACGAGAACTGAGAAATGTAGTCTTCCTGTGTTCCCAGAGGAAAATGAATTGGGATCAACATGACACATAGCATGGTCTCTGCCATTAGAAGAGTTCTCTCAGGCTGACATTTTCTGATTTCTGGGAGCTTGAATTGAATTTGCTCATCAGATATTAAATTTCTCCATTTAAATAAGTAATGGAAGCAGGGAGTACAATGAAAACTTATGAAATACCTATGGTATATATTCATGATCTCAATTAGTCCTCAAACTGTGTACTTCAATGATTTCATTTATAGTTGCTGAGGCTAGGAGAAGCTAGGCAGGTTGCTTGAAGCCACTTCACTGGAGATTGGTGGAATAGGTATTTAGATCTGCAAGTCTGTTTTTAAGGCATTTGTTCTTTCATTATTCTCTGTAGGAGGGAGTTTGGCTCAGGATGAATAAATATTTGTTGAATGAATGAAAAAGATAAAAGAATTAAGTTATTCCAAAAGACAAAAGTAAGCAATTCAGAAAAATACAAGAAATATTAATGAGATTTAATAATGAATCAAAAAAGGACAGAAATTGTAAATGTATATTTTAGAATTATGAGAAGGTGCTCAGTGTTTAGTTTGTAGTTATTTCCCATCTTGAACCCAGAGAGCAGTGATTGGTTCCTTTTTTTGAACCATTCATTCATTCAACAACTATTTAATGAAAGCCAACCATATGTAAATCATGAGATGCAGTGATAAGACAGATACAGTTCTTTCCTTCGTGAAGCTTACACACATGGGAGAGAGATGAATAACCACTTTGGGTAGCTTTTGTTGGATTTGGGCAGCCCTTTCTCTTCTATATATGCTGCAGTTTAAATCTGCCTAATGATAGTTTTATTTTGTCTAGGCAGAGAAGAGAACTACTTCTTGTGAAGCAGTGTTTTGGGAATTCTTTTTGTGGTGAAGCAAAGTAATAAGAAAGTTGTTTCGGCCAGGCGCGGTGGCTCACGCCTGTAATCCCAGCACTTTGGGAGGCTGAGGAGGGCGGATCTCCTGAGGTCAGGAGTTTGAGACCAGCCTGACCAACATGGTGAAACCCTGTCTGTACTAAAAATACAAAATTAGCCAGGCATGGTGGTACATGCCTGTAATCCCAGCCACTGGGGAGGCTGAGGCAGGAGAATCACTTGAACCCAGGAGACAGAGGTTGCAGTGAGCTGAGATTGCACCATTTCACTCCAGCCTCAGCAACAACAGTGAAACTCTGTCTCAAAAAAAAAAAAAAAATTGTTTCTTGTGGCTGAAGGCTTTTAAGCATCAGTCTGCTTTTCTAGAAATTGTTGGATGACTTCTCCCAAACACAACAAGGACTCAACATTTAATTATAGTATACCAAATACACTTCATGTAGTGATATGGTTAAATAGATGCCAAAAAATTTAAAAGTTGCAACTTTTTAGCTCTGCAAAATCAGCCTTCTCTCAAGCTTATGTTCCTTCTTCTCACCTAAATCCTGTGACTTTGTACTTCCTGAATTGATCCGTGGCAGAAAGGAGACTGTCCTTAAAGCTGGGCATGTTGAAGAGAAAATGTCAGGTTCTGGGTGATACTTTTTCACTAACTGTATAGCTAGTGAGTCCCTGAGTGAAAATCAGACAAGTAAAAGAAAACATTATAGCAGAATCATGATTATTTGTTTATTTAAAAAATAAGAGTCCGCTTATAATTTAACATACATTTAGATGCTAAATTAATTTATAATATAATGTTTTAAGTCACATTAAGTTCTATGTATTCAATGGCCCATACAGATAATACTCCTGGATACACATTTGGCTTTCCATATCTGTGGGTTCTGCATGTATGGATTCAACCAACTGCAGAGAGAAAATATTTAGAAAAAATAAATAAATAGTCGTGTCTGTACTGAACATATACAGACTTTTTCTTGTCATTTTACCCTAAACAATGCAATGGAACAACTATTTACATAACTTTCACATTGTATTAGATATTATAAGTAATCTAGAAATAATTTAAAATATACAGGAGGATGTGTGTATGTTATATGCAAATAGCACACCATTTTATATAAGGGATTTGTGCATCATGGATTCTGGTATCCATGGGGCATCCTGGAACCAGTCCCCCATAGATACTGTGGGGATGACTGTATACTATCGCTTGCTGAAGTTTTCTTAAAATATTAGTTTGAGAAATCACCTTTCTCCTGTTGAAATGCTAATCAGATGTACTTAATTTTTGTAAATTATTAAATCCCATCAAAATTTCTTGAATTATTCCAGGATTACTCACCTTGGTCTTTTTATATAGCTAAATTATTGTTTTTAGTCTTGTTTTGGTCATTCAACAAATAGTTATTCATTATGTCCTATGTATCAGGCCCTATCCTAGGTGCTTGGGAACCATCTATGAGCCAACTGGAAAAAGTCTGTGGTCTTGACCTTTGTTGTTGCACAAGGAGATAGTGTAATAAGTCAATAATGGTTAGGGAGAGGGCCACCTGAGAAGGTGACATTGGAGCGAAGACTTGAAGGAGATGAGGGAGTAGCCCAGTGGGTACCTTGGGGAAGAGAATTCCAGGCAGCAGGAACACTCCTTGCAAAGGCCCTGAGGCAGGGCATGCTTGACATATTTGAGGAACAGCAAGGAGGTGAGTGTGGTTGGAGCTGTGCCAGGAGAGATGAGCTCAGAGCTGTGAAGTGGGCCAGACTGTGGGCACAGTGCGGGACATGGCAAAGAACTTGGCTTTCACTCTGAGGGAAATGAGAAACTACTGCAGGTTTTTGACCATAGTAGGGACATGGTCTTTGTCTCTGTTTTCCTTTGTTCGTATGCTCCTTTGCTTTTGGATATTTTGGTTATATTTATAATTGTGTTATTAGTAGTCTATAATCATGAGCAAGTTCAAATTTTTATCTCAACAAACAATTCTTCATTTGTGGATTCCATGTGTTCAAAGGATTTCAAATTCTCACTGTCTGCCTTTGCTTGTGACCCAGTTGGACCAAATATCAGCTTGGATGCACATTTACAGAGAGCAGGTTTTAGTAACCAATCTTACAGTGATGTGATGTTCGAACATTTTTCATTTTGTAACTTACCGGATCCTATTTCTTCTAGATGGATTTCTGAACTTTTCCATTTTCCCCTTTGCCCCAGAATGCATTCTGCTCGTACATGATGGCTCTAAACATGTTTGGAAATATAAGCAAGCATGGATTTACCCACTTCTATTCTGTGAATGGATTGTGTGACACTCACCTGCTATAAGGGAGTGTTCTGTGTTTTCCAGTTAGGTTAGGAGGGTGATTTTTGGGTCTTTCCCTAGGTCTGAAGAGGTTGTTGCCCAGTTTGCCCTGTTCACTTGAGACCATGGGTGTGAACTTTGTGAAGGGCCATGCATCTGACTTGGAGCAATGGGCCCATCTGAGAAATATCATTTAATATGCTGCTGTTTGCATGTAAAGAGGTGAGGGATTAGAGTATGAAACTTGTTGTTAGTTACTAGTAATAGAAGCAATTTTATTTGGTAGATGGTGAGGTGAAGTGGGTTGCTGACAGTCACCATAAACACCTGAGAAAAAAGAGTGAGAGAAGTTTCGGTCTGGTCGTGATACAGTCCCTTAGACAAGAGGGACAAAAGCACTACTTGAATTGCTCACATGGTTCAGCTCTCTCACCAAGGGCTCCATTGAGACTCCAGGGTAATGAGACAATTCTGCTCCTTTTCCTTGTTGTCTGTGCCCAAATCACTTTTCAGGCACTCAGTAGGGCTAAATCATGATTTTAATGGGCCTTAGGTACTATTGACTTTATTGACCCTCTTCCTCTATAAAAAGTATTAAAAATTATATTTTATGACGTGTTGGTGTAAGGACAAATATATTTATATTATTTTTAAATTTTTAGGACCTAAAATATTTTTCTCTTTGATCTTAAAAGAAATAAAAACATTTTCTGAACTTCTAAACATATTTTGGACACTAGACCCTGTAATGGATAAGTTGGTCTTGAGTCTCTGGGGGTGGCTGTAATTATGGAAGGAGGTTGAGGATTCAGGAATCCTAGTCTCAGCCAAGTATGAACTGATAATCAGTGAAAATCTGAGCTTGAGAAGAGTCTAAAACAAGGATTGAGCTTATATAGCTTGTTTAAAAAGTCTGAGTGGAGGCCAGGCACAGTGGCTCATGCCTGTAATCCTAGCACTTTGGGAGGCCGAGGCAGGCAGATTACAAGGTCAGGAGATTGAGACCATCCTGGCTAACATGGTGAAAACCCATCTCTATTAAAAATACAAAAAATTAGCTGGGCGTGGTGGCGGGCGTCTGTAATCCCAGCTACTTGGGAGGCTGAGGCAGGAGAATTGCTTGAACCTGGGAGGCAGAGGTTGTGGTGAGCCAAGCACCATTGCACCCCAGCCTTGGCAACAAGAGCAAAACTCCGTCTCAAAAAAAAAAAAGAAAGTCTGAGTGGCTGGGTGTGGTGGCTCACACCTGTACTTCCAGCAATTTGGGAGGCCAAGGTGAGAGTTTCTCTTGAGGCCAGAGTTTGTGACCATCTAGGCAACATAGCGAGACCCTGTCTCTACAAAAATTAAAAAAAAAATTGAAACACTCTGAGTCTTTTAACAACTGTGGAAGGAAAGAAAGTGGGGTTTTGTTGTTGTTGCTATTGTTTTTGAGACGAGTCTCACTGTGTCGCCCAGGCTGAAGTGCAGTGGTGCGATCTCGGCTCACTATAACTTCCATCTCCCAGGTTTGAGCGATTCTTGTGCCTCAGCCTCCCCAGTAGTTGAGACTACCGGCATGCGCCATTATTCCTGGCTAACTTTTTTTGGTATTTTTACTAGAGACAGGGTTTCACCATGTTGGCCAGGCTGGTCTCAAACCCCTGACCTCAAATGATCTGCCCACCTTGGCCTCCTGAAGTGCTGGAATTACAGGTGTGAGCCACCGCGCTCAGCCAGAAAGTGGTTTTGTTGGTGATGTTCATCTTTTATCCCACTGTTTCTTTTTATAAAATGGCTGCAGCTGAAATATAATGATCAAGGGTTACATAGAAAGATTGGGAACCAAAGACATGAACCAAAGACTTTTCTATCTCCACTATTGGAGCATGGGATATTTTAATTGAATAAATGACTGATCACATCAACAAATATTTACTGATCACCTATATGTTCAGGACACTGTGTGGTGCTAGGGTCCTAGTGCGCAAGATTGGCCTGCTGCTTGTTGTTGGAGTCAGTAGTCCCGAGTTAGGGTGGGCGGGTGTAAGAATAGGAGAGAGATGAGTGACCAGGAAGTTATAATACAGAAGGTTGCACCTGATCAAAGGGAAAACACAAGGTTCTGGGAAAGCTCATGGGAAGGGTGTTTAACACAGATTTGCAAGGCAAATAAGGCAGATAAGGCTTTCCAGAGTAACTGAAATTGACATTAAGGCCTGTAGGGTAAGTGGGAGTTAGCCAACTGACCATAAGACAAAAAAAGGGAGGAAGAGAAGGAGGAGGGGATGATAGTCTCAAGCAGCCTGAAGAGAGCTAAGGGTGGGGTGGAAGGCAAGAATTAGGACAGCAGACAAACAGGATGCATTAAAAGAACTACAAGGAACTGGGCATGGATGGAGCATAGAATGCATTTGGGAAGGAGAAGCTGTAGAATTAGGCAAAGGCCCTAGAAGCAAGGTTTTTAAAGCCATGGTGGGTGAGAGCTTGAACTTTAAGAGCAGGAGTATTTTAAGCAGTGGGAGTTTCCACTGTAGCGTTTTAAGCAGTGGGAGTGACATATTTGTGCTTGCATTTAAGAAAATCCTTTTAGGAAGTGTAACAAAGAGAAGCTGATTCAGGTGGGCCTAACAGACATTTGCAACTGAGACCCTGGTGTTTACAAGAAGGAGACAATATAAGCAGAGTTCCTCTTTGCGGATTGATATTGAATGCAGCCTATTCACATCTGGGTGTGATAACTCTATAAAATTGCTGCCTAATTTGGCCTTTCTTATGACCACATTCATGTAAGTACCACATCTTAGTAGACATTTACCTTCTCTTCTTATCCTTTTCCTCTGCCTTTTATCCTGTAATCCTCCAAATTTTTGCCTTAACTTCTATCCCTTTCTAGAAGAAATAGCTCAGGAATGCCAACCTCCTGGTAAGACTGCATTTCAGCAGTAGAGTCAGGACCAGCAGCCTCTGGCAGCACCTTGCTTTGGCTCTTGGATGAGAACTCTAGACAAAAATGTGCTGTAGTTTTTTTGGAAATCACCTGATTTTTGAATTGGCCAAGAAATGCCACTGCCTTAGCAATTTGCAGAGAAAAGCAGATTGTTAGTAAGTTGTCACCATTCAACCTCTAAAGCTGCCAAATTTGCCTCAAGCTGGACCAGAGGTGGTTCCATCTCTCAGGTTAATTTGGGGGAAAAAAATCCTGGAGTGGTGTGGAAGAGAAAGGTGGGTAGAAGTTTGAGGTGCAAGTCCTATCAGATGTTTCTTTTTTTCTTTTTTTTTTTAAACGCACACTCTCCATCTCCTCTAATTAAAAAGTCATGCAATCCACAGATGTTGGCTTGGCAAGTGTGAACAAGGCAGTCAGACAAATGAAGCAGCAGAGTGTTCAGTGTGCCAGGTACCGGGGCATGAGTTTTCACAGAAGCAACACCTTCCCAGTTCACTGGTGAACAGTAAAAACATTTTACTCTCTGTCCTCCTTTCTTCTTTGGGGTTTTAGAAAAACACAGGGTGGGGAAGTTGGGTGGGGCTGGTGAAAAGGGAGAAAGTACTGAAAGATGTTTTTCTATAGAACAGCTGGGCTCTCTGTACCCTATCTTGTGCTTGGTTTGGGTTTTATATGTCCACAGTTGAAATATATAAAAGCTAGGTACCAAAAGAATTGAAAAGTCATCTGGAATAAAGATGGGGGCTGAACATGACCTCATGGGAAGAATGTTGCTCAGTGGAGACAAGTGGGAAACTTACATAGATGTGGGGGGCTCACACACTGTTCCTTTCCAGGGAAGGGCTGGTCGGGGGCAGCATGCCAAATGCTGGTAAAATGTTTTGAAGGGCAAACCTAACATGGCCAGAGCATTTGGAATTTTTTTGTTGGCTTCTTTCTACTGCCGCATTTTCCAAGTCCTTCTTGGGCATAGGAAAGCTGTCTTCATTTCCTTGCAGGGTGTTAATTCCCTAATATGTAGGCCTTTGTCTCATTGACTAAATCCAAGCCAAAGATGAGAAAATTAGAAATATATTGTCTCACAGTTCTGTGAAGATTGAAGTTATTTATACTGCCACAAGCCAAAGAACTTCCAGAAGCTAGAAGAGAGGCTTGGAACAGATCCTCCCCTAGTGCCTTCAGAAGGGCATGGCCTGCTGACAACTTGGTCTCAAACTTCTAGCCTCCAGAACCATGAGACAATAAATTCCTGTTATTGAAGCCATTCAGTTTTTGGGACTTTGTTATGGCAGCCCTAGGAAACGAATATACCACCTTAACCCCTTTAACAAGGTGTCAGAATATATCTGCTCCTAATGAATATGTCCTTTATTTTAAAATAAGGAGAAACTGTTCTTTATGAGACTTGAAAAAATCCTTCTGCATTTTAAGAGGGATTTGAAAGACACTTAAATGTTCTCTACATTTAAATAACTGTTAGAATGAGTGTAATTAGGCAACTTCACGTAAATTACTTACCTCTCCAAATAACATGTATATTTCAAAATTGTTAGTAACTACAGTTTCCTGCTTACATCAAAGGGTTGCTTTAAAAAAACAAACTAAAGAGTGTGAAAATGCTTTGTGAACTATAAAATACTATAAACTTTTGTTGACATTAGTCAAATTTATGATTGTTGCTTTATTTGTGGTTTGCACTCTACTTGCTTTAAAAATGGATTTGAGACCTCTTATAATGAAATCTACAAACACTAAGAGGATTAAAACAGAAAAAAAATTATAAAACCACTTAGGAGAAACAGAGTACAAACATACCCCAAATTCTAAATTAAAATAGTGTGGCAGAGAGTGCCTTAGTCTAAATTAAAATAGTGTGGCAGAGGGTGCTTTAGCAAGCAGCTAGCCTACCGTTCCTAGACTTCCTTGCAGATAGATGTGGTCATGTGACTGCATCCTAATGAATGGAAGTGATGTGTGATATTTCCAGATCTGAGTCATATGCTATAATCCATTCACAAAGGATGGAATGGTGACATGAAAACCAAAATGATCTTGGAAGCCACATGTTGATTATGGCAGAGCTCTGTTAGCCTCGAGGGACTTTGAGGAGCTGATCCTTTCTCTCCTCCATAAAAGGCAATCATGAACATCAGACCTGGGCTGCATATGAGAGCATCATGAACCTTTTTTGTCATTACATTTTGAGTCTGTTTGTTATAGCAGTTTAATCTAACTACTCTCTCTCTCTCTCCACACACACACACACACAGACACACATAACCTGTATTTGAGTATTCAATTTAGCTTTCAACATTTCTGAATCACAAACTGCTAAAATTGGAGACACTTTAGAGATCTAGTCCACCTCATTTGTTTTTCAGGTTATTCTCTTTCTGTGTGTCAAATCCTTCAATGTCTCCAGATTGCCTTCATAATTAAATGCAAAATCTTTAATATGGCTCACAATACATGTTCCCATGTCTCTTTACTTTTTCACCTTGTTTCTTGTTATTCTCTTTCTCACAGACCCTTTTCCAGTTAAACAGAAAGACTTTCCTTTCTTTATCATTTTTATGTGTGTGTGTACTTGCTCTTTCTAGACTATTCTTTCTCTTTTTCTTGCCTATTTCAAGATTAGCTTAACTGTCACCTTCTCTGGAAAGCATTTCGTAGCTATCCCCTCTATCCTGACTGGTTTGATACCCTCCTTATAAGGATTTTTCAACTAACATTCATTGAGGCAGAAAACTTTCATTGAAATGCTTTGGTATCTCTAATGTCTAGCACAGTCTCTGAAATGTTTTTCAAATAAGTGAACAAATTATTTCAGCAAATATTTATTGAGTGCTCCTGGTGTACTAGGCACTTTGTTAAGTGCTGGGCATACAATGGTAACCAAGAACTGACAGAGCACTTGCTTTCATGGAGATATAGCCTAGAGGGGGAGACAGACATCAGTCAAATACACACACAAATAAAAATACGGTAACGATAAGTGCTGCATATACACAAATATCAGCCATTAGTTACTGTGAACTTTTTAGCACTTGAGCAGAAGAAAGTTATGGTTCAGCATTCAAAAATATTGCAGTTTCAGAACATGCAGGATTATGGAATACTATAAATAATATTCATAGCTATCATGTATTGAGCCTTTACTATGGGCAAAACGCTTTAAAAGGATTATCACATTAAGAGCTCACTGAGTCCTCATGAAACTGTAGCAGGCATAGAAAACTATTGTAGATAAATGAATGTGTAATTATGATCTTCAGATCAAATTCAGAATCAAAACTATTTGCAAACTATCAAAACTATCCCAAATGGACTGGGCAATTGATTTTTAGGAATGCCTCAGACCTAGCTCTGATGACACCCAGTGTTGCCTAGGAATTGACCTGCAATTCTTCACAGAGAGAATGAAAAAAAACAATTCTTCTCAGATCTGGGAAAACCTCACTCCAAATCAGTGGTACCATTGGCATCGGTATATTCTTGTGAGCAATAAGGGAGGCCTGGAAAAGTGTATCTCCACCTGAGAGTTTACAGTATGTTTCCTCGCTCCCTTTCTGTCCCTTTTCCTGCCTCCCTTCCTTTATGCCTTCCTCCCTTTCTCTCTCTTTCTGTTTTTTCTTTCCTTTTCCACCATTAGTCCTCTCCATTCAATCATTACTCCCATTTTTCAGATGGGAAAGTTGAGACTTAGAGGGATTATGTTGCAAAGATAATAAATAATAGAGCTAGGGGTGTTATGTGATCTACCTAAATTAAATTATAGAAAAATAAAGAAAGCTCTATTATCATGCATCTGATAATGAAAGGCTCTCAGACACAATAAGAAAAAAATAGGTTTATAACTTTAGCTATCTAAATAAAGGCAGCACTCAGGTTTTTCAGGTGAAGCATCTTTGACTCTTAATTATAGGAGGAATTGTGAATTTTATGATCATTCATTTATTCACAGATAGGAGTGAGAAGGTTACATAGGATATTGTTTTTGCTCTGCAGAAGAGTGAGGCAGATATACAAGCAAACATAGGACACAGTGCTAAGTGCTATGATAGAGGATCTGTTAAATGTTATAAAAATGCAAAGAAAGCAGGAACAAGATTTCCATGGATGATCAGGAATGACATTAATGAGGAGCTGGCATCTGATTTGGCCCTTTAATATGAGTGGAAATTCATGGAAAAGATAAAGAGGAGTGATATTGTAGGCAGAAGTACAGAATGTTCAAGAGCTAGGAGGTGTTACTGGGCATATAGGAGAAGGGTGAAGAGCTGAACGTGGTGGTCACAGAGGGCACTGGGAGTAGCTGGGGAGGAAAGTAGACCACATAATGAAAGGCCTTATAGGCCATGAATAGACATTTAGATATCATCTTGTACAAAATATAAAATGAGATTAATGAAGATGCTTAGGGCAGGGAAAGTAAATAAACAGATTGACATTTGCAAGTGGTACAGTGGCAATAGAAAAGAATGAGTGCTTTCAAAAGGATATTTCCCAAATAAATTTAGAAGATAGAAACCATGGGACATGGTGGCAAAAATAATTTAGGTGAGAGGAAAGACTATAGCTATGCTCTCCAACAGAATAGCCATATGTGGCTATTTAAATTTAAATTAGTTAACATTAAATATATTAAAAATTCAGTTCTCCATTCACACTAGCTCCATTTCAAGTGCTCCATAGCCACAGGTGGCTTGTACTACCATACTGGATTTCCGTCATCACTGGAAGTTCTATTTGACAATGTTGGACTAGAGAATTGCTCTGTTTAAATTTGGACAGTGAATGACAATTGCACATCAGAATAGGGAATATAAGAAAAAAATTTGAAAGAAAAAGAAACAAACTTCTATTTGGAGACATTGAATCTGAGATGTGATTGGGCATCCTGTTGAAGATGTCGATTGAAGCTGTGAGAAATTGGATTTGGAGCTCAAGAGAGAGGCAAGGGTTAGAGATAAATATTTCAAGAGTCTTCAACTTATAAGTATGAGCTAAAAAGCCAGGGAAGTGGGTATGAGAAGAGGAACAGGAATACCCATAGGCCTCCCTCATTTAAAGCGGGGCAGAGGAATAGTAAGTATAGTATGATAAAGCAATCCAGGGAGCAATCTGAAAAACCATAGAAGAATTCTAAGGGTCGATAACAAATTAGGAAAAGATGTCCAAAGCTTTGGAGCACCAAAACAGGATTTGTCCTGAAAAGACTCCTTAGGCTTTGGAGGTCAGGAAGTCATTAGTAATCTTGCCTGGAGTAGTTGCATGAAGTGATGGGAGAAGAAGCCAAATTGCAGCAGGGCTAGGATGAAATGGGCATGTGGGGCTGGGTAGGTGGTATAGGGGACACAACCTCTCCCTCCTTCAGGAATTTTGGCTGTGAGAGTGAGAAAGAGAGGTAATTAGCTTGAGAGACAGGCAGGGATGAGGGAAAGTTTTTATTTTTTAGAAAGTGTGAAATGTGAATTTTTTTAACTGTAAGGAAAGAGTGGGTGGAGTGGAAAAGTCATACATGACCTCAGAGTAAAGGTATAATTACTGAGCCAAGTGTGAGAGATAGTGGAAGAAAAGATGAGTGAGCCTTGGAGAGGAAAAGAGACACTTGTTTCTCAGAGCCAGGGTGGAAGGAGAGAATGATTAATACTTGGGGTGGAGGTAGAGAAATTTGGAACTGTTGACCTCTCAGTTTTCTAATATAATGCTTTAAACTATGATTTATAGGCTACATAGAAATATTATGTATATGGCTTATGTTGAACCCTGATGAAAGCTAAAGTCATGACACCAACATGTAACTCAACTCATGTAATTTGTAGTGTGGTAAGCTAATGAGGTTTAAATGTACAGTATTCCAGATTGGAATGTCTTGATAGTACATTCCTTAGGCTAGCTCCTCATATGTTGGACTTCTGAAGAGCAAGTTAATAATCATCAGCTTAAAGTTGAACTTAGTGATAAGTGAGAACTAAGGAGGACAAAACAGATAAATAAATCCATACCCGGAAACATCACAACCAAATTGCAAAGCATCATATGACAGCAATTAAAGAAAAATGGAAAAAAGAACAACGAAGAAAGAATATTGCCTGTGAAAGTAGGTACTTAGATGAACTTGACAAAAGACTTCTCAATGGCAACACTAGAGGTCAGAAGAAATAAGAAAGACATTCTTGAAATAATTTAATAGTTAGACATTCTCACTGAAAAAATTACACGAGGATGTACTTTAGGAATAAAAGCATTGAATGTAGAAGGGAATGAGATGGAAGAAGCAGTGTGACAAAAGAAAGTGATGAACGTGGAAATACATAATTAACACTATATAAAATAAAAATAATTCTGATTAAATTGGATGAAAACACAAAATGGAAATCAAATACTAGCCCATTATAACATGTAAAATAGGAGAGGAGTGATTGGAGTAAAAGATTTTGAAGACTTTTTATTATTTATTATTCAGGAAGAAGATAGATAAATTGTTTCCAATTTTAAGTCAAACTGTCCGTGTGGAAATTGCAAGGGTAACAACTAAAGTTATAGAAACAGAATATATGAAATTCAAGAAAATTCAAAATCTGAAAATAAAGAAGATAAAAGAAAACAAACCAAACAACAGAACAGGAAAGGAGAATTGTAGAGAAATTTTCACATTTTGGCTACAGGCTCTTTTTAATTTTAATGAAAAAAATTTTCTGTCAATTGAGTGATTCTGCATATATAGCTTGAAGGAAAAGGGAGAATATACAGTGTTCTTTCATGCCCACTAAAATGTCAATGAACATAGTGCTGTGTTAGTGTTATACAATATTAGTTCAGAGATGAAATGATCATATAAATTCCAATAGATTAAGAGAAAACTATTAGAAGTAAAAGAGATTAGCAAAGTTTTGGGTACAGGACGACTTATAAAAATCAATAGTATCTTCCCATATCAGCAATTATTAACTAGAAAATATAATAGAAATAATATGCTATTTATAATATTACTCCAAATGAATAAGTTTCTAGAAATCCACCTTACAAAGAAAGCCAGTCTCTTTCTGGAGAAATTTTAAAAACTCAATTAAAAATAGAAAAGATTTTTTTTTGAGACGGAGTTTCGCTCTTGTTGCCCAGGTTGGAGTCAATGGTGCGATCTCGGCTCACTGCAACCTCTGCCTCCCGGGTTCAAGAGATTCTCTTGCCTCAGTCTTCCGAGTAGCTGGGATTACAGGCACCCGCCACCATGCCCAGCTAATTTTTGTATTTTTAGTAGAGACAGGGTCTCACCATGTTGGCCAGCTGATCTTGAATGCCTGACCTTGGGTGATCCACCCAACTTGGTCTCCCAAAGTGCTGGGATTATAGGCATGAGCTACCGCTCTCAGCCCAAGAGATTTTAAATAAACAGACTGATTTAATGTAGCAAAGAAGTCAATTTACCTCAAAGGAATCTACAAACTCAATACAATTCTGGTCAAAATGTTATCAATATTTTTAAAAGAATTTAAAAAACTCTCTCTAAAATATGCTTGAAAAAATAAAAGTCCATGGATAGCTAAGCCATATTAGAAAACAAAGAGAAAGGAGAGCATTTACCATACCAGATATTAAGACACTCAACGATAATATGGTTAAAAAATATATTGGTTAAGGAGTGGACAAATAGATCAATGGAATAGAATAAAAAGCTCAGAAATTGACCTGTATATATGGAAAACTTTAAAAAATAGCTAAAAAATAAAGTAACACATTAAAAATAGTGAACAAAGTAATGATTTTAGCGATATTAGGAAAATTCTTGCTCATGAAGAAAAATAAGCTCAGTTCCCTACTTTAGACCGTATAGAGGCAATTCGGTATGAATTAAAGATATTTCTGCAAGCTAAAAATTATGAAGGTAATTGAATAAAATAGTTCTGTGCCTGAGTGTTGGTAAAAGGCCTTTTATATAAGAAACAAAAATACATAATAAGGAAAAATATTGTTCAGTTTGACCATATTAAAATGAAGAATTTCTTTTCAATAGACACCATACACAAAGTTAAAAGATGAATGAAAATACAAAAAGATAGAAAGATGCTACAGTGCCTGAAACTCAAAATGGACTAATATATAGAAAGGCATCAATTGCAACATTAATAAGAAAAAGACTAGAAAACTAATGAAAAAATTGGCTGAAGATATGAGAAAGCAATTTAAAGAGGAACATCTGAATGGTTAATAAGTTCATAAAGAGAGCTCAAATGCTGTAACCAGAGAAATTAAATTAAAGCTACAGTGAGATGCCATGTTAAGGCTATTGGGACAGCAACTGTTACAAATGTGCATAGGAAATGTTGGTCAGGACATGTGGTGATAGGTACTTTAATATTGTCCTGTGGTGTGTGAAGTGGTATGTTCACTGTTGTTATGCCCTATGGTCTAGCATATTCTTTGATGTTTATCCAAGAGAAATTCTTGTACAAGTCAGTGAAAGATCTGTTAAGTAATGTTAAAATGTGAAATAATGTGTGTGTTAGAACTGACAAAAGCATGAAATGTTTAAGACAGGAGAAGGTAGGACAGGCTGGTCAGGTACCTGTAACATTGTTATCCTCTCTCCTGGGTTTGAGTCTTGAGAGAAGTCCATAAAGCCATCCAGATAGCTATGGGTTATATGTGCAGGTCTTTATGCACATTGTTGCTTTTGGCTTAAGCCACATCTAACATGGTGTGAGGGAAAGAAACACAGGTGGAGGATGGAGAAATGAACCTGAGGTGTGCCTGATTCCACAGTGCAGGAGATGTGAAGACAGTGAGAACTAGAGACATGGGCTCAGCGCAATGAGGCAGCAATGTGTGGGGACTTCCTAAAAACAAGCCAATGGCTGGGCCCACTGACTTCAGCAGTGGATGTCTGCATGATGCTCCCATAGGGCCAGGAGTGACCAGCCACATGTCAATGGATGTCATCACAAATGCCCAGGGGCTAAACCTGACTTCACAACTTCAAAGACCCAGCTACGAGGAGATGCATAGAAGCCTACAGGTGAGAAACTTTATCAATCTTACTTAAAATCATGATTTCCCTCATATCAGCAGACAATATTTTAGAGAGGAGAAAGGTGAAGGGGAAGTATTCTAAGAGGACTGAGAACTTACTAAAAAAAAAAATTAACCTGAAAGAAATAGGAAGATATGGAGATGTCTTTAATTGGCATAAGAGTTAGATCAGCTTTAAAATAAAAGTTTTATTTCCCCCCTGTATATCTGAGTATAAAGTTTGAGGCACTACCTTGCCACATTGCCATATGCATTTTCATTGCACCTATTAAGTGTATGATTCACGCTTGACCTAAGCAGATGGAAACCTAATGGAGCCAAGGTACAGGACGGTTCAAAGCAGGAAGCACACTTTTCCAAGGAAACAAGAATCAGTAGGCCATGGTATTCGTGTGTAATGGGCTCACTCACAACCCAGTAAACAGGTCCTTGTGGGATAAAAGCAGGTTCTGTGACTTAATAGTTCTAACAAGCTGAGAAACTTGAGTCAGCTACACTCAGGTGATTTCAGGGCTCCAGTGGAGGCTGGTAATTCCCCCTGTGCCCACAATTTTTCTTATCTGCTGACAGATGCTATCTTTCACTTTTCAATTCTTGGCTAAAGCCGCCCTTCTTTTCCATCAAAATGCATGCATCATGATTTAACACGATTTTTTTTTGTTTGGTTATTTTTTGTTTGACTAGTTAGCATGATTTAACATTGATTTAAAGTAATTTTCTCCACCTTCTTTCGTCACCAAATCTTCCTCTAGTTATTTCTCCCTATTATGCTTTTCAGCGGTAACGTCTACCAACAAAAAGAATTTATTATAAGATAGCTGTTTTCTATTCTTGATTAATCAAAGAAATAGAACAGTTCAAATTAGAACTTCTGGTCTGCTTGAGCTAGCTACTTCTGCTTTACTGAGCTCTTGGTATATTTCAGGCCAAAGCTTCCTCTAGCTCCAGTGCTCACATTTGTCACTTCCAGGAACTCCAAAATGGAGACATAGTGGACAAGAAGCTAGTACAGTGCAGTTTTTGGGAAGGAACATGAGTGGTTCCTAAATCAGTTCACACCCTAGCTTTTTATTGTCATGTAGGTCATTCATTTCAAAGAGTTAATATGACCTCCTGCACTGCTTGGTGGAAATTTAGATGGTTATATTTACATAACAGTATTGTGTTTCAGTGTTTGTCATTGTTATTCTACTTTCAGGAATTCTTTACAAGAAAGTTATATAATACGTGGAAACGTTTATGTATACAGATCTATTCACTGCAGCATTATTTTTAAGTGCAAATAAAATAAGAAAAAGAAAAGGAAGCAAAGAGGTAGCTCTTTCTGACAACTTCTGATAACTCTCTGGCTCTACATTTTAAGTCTCAAAGTTTGACAATTATGAAGCTATGTCAACAGGTTCACCCACAAATTTGAAAATCTTTTTTTGAGTAGTTAATTTTCCCCTTAAGTTCATATAATTTTTCCCCGTCTATCCCATGCATCCTTACAAGTCTGTGGCCATGTCTGTGTCTTACGAACTAAGTTCTGACTATGCCAGACACTCACTGTGGTAAGGACTTTAGAATCTCTGTTGACTGTCAAGCCTGACAGTAGAATGATGACTGAGACTCTCTCTGTCTTCCCCCTTCCATCTCTCTTGTCCCCTATCTACCCTTCTTCTCACTTCTCAAATACACACAATCAAGTAAGCCTCAACTCACCCTTTAGCTTTGCCTTTATCGTCCCTGTTCTCCATCTATACAATCCCACACTTAGTTTTCTCCTGTCTCATGTATAAACTAAAGGATCTTTTAGTTTCATTCCCAGAACTCTTTACTTCTGGCCCCCATCTCCTTGATGTCCTGGAAGCTAAAGGGCAGGAGGCAGTAAGAATGTTAGGTCATAAATTTATGGATTTCTTACTCAGAACAGGAATCTCCCTTCGGTAGGAATAGAAGGATAAGGAAGATCAGCACTAGGGTGGGAGACTAGCCGTGGGTCTTTGGCATCTGACCACTGCTAGGATCCTTACTGGTACCATGACTCCAAGCATCTCTCAACCTCCCAGCTCAGTAGAATAGTTTTCAATGGCTAACACATCTTTTGGGGTCATTTGAATCTATAGAGAACTGCACCTTTCATTGTTTCTGAACTGTTTTACAACTCTTAATGTTGTAAAAAACTGATGGTAGTGCAAATGATTTCTGCTCATAGAAATGCAAACAGATTTTGTCCAGTGATGGTAAAATTGGTTCTGTCTTATGGAGGAGGCAAGCACACTATTGCACCTATTAGCAAATTTATTTCAGCATTCCTGATTGACTATGTGTTTATTCTGTGAATTCTTCTTTGAACAATTTTTTAATCTCTTACTAGTTCTTTCACTAATAAATAAATAAAAACCTTTGACACGTCCAGGCATGGGGGCTCACGCCTGTAATCCCAGCACTTTGGGAGGCCAAGGGCAGGCAGATCATCTGAGGTCAAAAGTTCGAGACCAGCCTGGCCAACATGGTGAAACCCCGTCTCTATTGAAAATACAGACATTAGCTGGGCATGGCAGCACATGCCTGTAATCCCAGCTACTCAGGAGGCTGAGGCAGGAGAATCGCTTGAACCTGGGAGGCAGAGGTTGTGGTGAGCCAAGAGCCATTGCACTCCAGCCTAGGCAACAAGAGTGAAACTCCGTCTCAAAAAAAAGCAAAAAAGCAAAAAAGCTTTGACACATATTCATTGAAATGTAAATGAGGGTCATAATTTTAGTCTTAAGAAATTATCCCTTTATAATTTCATGGGTCTCACTGAGATACCACCTAGATCCACCTGAAAAAGCCAGGTTGATAGCACTGCTGGAGAAGTAAGCCTCATGAGCAGATGAAGCCCAGGTGTGGGCAGATCAAGCTCTCTTCTTGGCTTATAGAGTGAATTTTAGAGACTCTGTTTTTGTAGGTTTTTTTTTTTCCCCGCTGATTTTGTGTTGTTTTTGTTTTTTTGTTTTTTGAGATGGAGTCTTGCTCTGTTGCCTAGGCCAGAGTGCACTGGTGCCATCTCGGCTCACTGCAAGCTCTGCCTCCTGGGTTCAAGCGATTCTCCTGCCTCAGTCTCCTGAGTAGCTGGGACTACAGGTGCCTGCCGCCACACCTGGCTAATTTTTTGTATTTTTAGTAGAGACGGGGTTTCACCATGTTAGCCAGGTTGGTCTCGATCTCCTGACCTCGTGATCCACCTGCCTCGGCCTCCCAAAGTGCTGGGATTACAGGCGTGAGCCACTGCGCCCGGCCTCTGTTTTTGGTTTTGATTTGAGCAGGGCCAATAATTTATTCCTTTTTCTAGTGGCAACAGTGATTGGGAATTTGATTTTTTGGTCTAATTATTTGTCAATATCTGTAAATAGATGATAGAAATCTATTCGCTATTGAGTGAGAGACAGTAGAGAATTCAATTGAGCTTTTATTTGTCTATGTTCTTTGCCTATTTTGAACTCAAATCAGACACTCTTACTGAGTCTCCTAACTTTTTATGACAATATAATTATTTGCATAGGTTTAGTAAGAATCCGCCTTTTTTTTTTTTTTTCAAAACCAAGATAGAGTTAGGCAAATCGATTGTGTAGCCAAGGCTTTATCTGCAGTATTGTATTGGAGAATGAATGATTCTATTCTCAGTTAATCATGTATGACCAGTCATACATGATTTAAGGTAGAAAGGTTGACTTTACTTTCACCACCAAAACGTACCTCCACTCTCCTTCCCAAAAACTGGCCTTGTATCTGGCTCCCAAAGTTCCAGGTTTTCAGATGGTAAGGAACATCACTTCTTCTCAGGTCAGCAACCTCACTAAATTTTGGGGACCTCAAGAAGAGAATAATGTAGCCAAATCTATAGATGCTGCTGTTGGAATATAATCAACACTCTTACAGCACTTATATAAATAACTAGACCAAAGTTGATGAGTCTTATTTTATGATCACAACAATATGAGATTATTATGATCATAGGGAAGAAATATTCCAGGAAAACTTGTGAAAGAGATTGAAATGGGTGAGAAGAGATTAGTGAAAATCTTTTCAGTGGGATGCTAGATGTTTAATGCATCCTTCTAGTTTACCTGATCCTATGAAAATTTGCACCTTCATTGCCTTTGAGCTACTTTATAATGCTTAGTTGTAGAAAATTGATGGTAGTTCCTGTTCCTAGAAATGCAGTGAAATGGCTCACGCCTGTAATCCCAACACTCTGGGAGGCTGAGGTGGGCAGTTCTCTTGAGCCCAGGAGTTTGAGAACAGCCTGTGTAACATGGCAAAACCGTGTTTCTACAAAAAATACAAAAAATTACCCAAACTTGGTGGCACGCAACTGTAGTCCCAACCACTTGAGAGGCTGAGGCGGGTGAATCATCTGAGCTCAAGAAAGTCAAGGCTGCAGTGAGCCATGATTATGCCACTGCACTCCAGCCTAAGTGATGGAATGAGGCCCTGTTTCAAAAAAAAAAGGTACAACTGATCTCACCTTATGCATCGATTAGAAAATTCATTTTAGTATACCTGATTACTTCTGTATCTATTTGAATTCTCTTTTGAAGCAGTTACTTTTGTATATTATTGATTCCCTCATTAATAAATCAGTTAAATATAATTTTGACATGTGTATTAATTTGTTCTCATACTGCTGTAATGTACTGCCTCGGACTGGGTAATTTGTAAAGGAAAGAGGTTTAATTGACTCACAGTTCCACATGGCTGAGGATGCCTCAGGAAACTTACAATTACAGTGGAAGGTGAAGGGGAAGCAAGGTACCTTCTTCACAAGGGAGCAGGAGGGAGAATGAACACAGAAGGAACTACCGAACACTTATAAAACCATCAGATCTTGTGAGAACTCACTATCATGAGAACAGCATGGGGGAAACTGCCCCCATGATCCAATTACTTCCACCTAGTCTCTCCCTTGACAAGAGGAGATTATGAGGATTATGGGGATTATAATTCAAGATGAGACTTGGGTGGGGACACAAAGCCTAACCATATCAACATGTGTTAACATTATATGAGAGTTATAACTTTATATGAGAGTCATGATCTTACTCTTAAAAAACTATCTCTTTACATAATCAGTGGGGAGGAGGAAGCTAAAATGTTTAATTTCCGATATGTAGGGTTGATTTTGCCCTAGTTTTATCTAACTTTAGTTCCTAAACAAGGAGACTGTAATTAGAGTAAAAAGTAAATAGTTATTTGATAAATTTTGGCAAATTCATTGTTGAAATTTCTCTCAGAAATTGAGAAAGTGAAACTCTAAAGTGGGTAACAAATATTTTTCAAAGTGAGCTAGTTTCATATTTGTTTAACAAATATGTCCGTTTGATAGATCATTACAGAAATTTCAGTGATAGATCACTGTGTTACTTTTATAGCACTTTTTCTTTTTTTTTTTGAGACAGAGTCTCGTTCTGTCGCCTAGGCTGGAGTGCAGTGGCGGGATCTTGGCTCACTGCAAGCTCCACCTCCTGGGTTCACACCATTCTCCTGCCTCAGCCTCCCAAGTAGCTGGGACTACAGGCGCCTGCCACCACGCCCAGCTAATTTTTTTTGTATTTTTAGTAGAGACAGGGTTTCACCATGTTAGCCAGGATGGTCTCGATCTCCTGACCTTGTGATCCACCTGCCTCCACCTCCCAAAGTGCTGGGATTACAGGTGTGAGCTACTGCACCCGGCCTCTTAAAATAGCACTTTTATAACAAAGTACCACAAACTGGGTTGCTTAAAACAATAGAAATTTATTGTTTCACAGTTCTAGAGTGTGAAAGTCTGAAATTGAGGTGTCAGCAGGGCTCCCTCTTGAGTCTGTAGGGGCGAATCCTTGCTTACCACTTTAGCTTCTGGCATTTGCTGGCAATCCTTGGTATTCCCTGGCTCGCACCACTCTTAATCTCTGCGTTTGTCATCACATGACTCTTGTGTGTCTTCACATCATTTTTCCTCAGTGAGTGTCTGTGTCCAAATGTCCCTCTTTTATAAGAGCACCAGTCATACTGGATGAGGGGCCCACCCTACTTCAGTATATCCTCATCTTAACCGGTTATACCTGCAACATCTCTATTTCCAAATAAGGTCACGTTCTGAGGTACTGGGGGTTAGAACTTCAACATATGAATTTGGGTAATGGTTAATACAATTCAACCATAACAAGGAGAAGCCAGAAATCTGGTGGAAAGAAATTACTAACTCATAGCCAGAGAATTGACCAAAAACCTTGATAATTTCACATGTTCTTCTCTGTTTTCTTTTGGGTTCTGAGTCAATACAAATTGAGGGTTCTACTGGGTCCCCAGGTACTCATCCCTGGTTGGAGAGCTATTTAGGAGGTAGGTCCATCAGAAGTGTAATTCTATTTCAAAGGTGACTTGGTGTGTGGAGCTCACCTGGGGTAAAGGCAGTGGTAATGTGTGGGTGAACAAAATGGCGAGGTAGACGAGTCCAGATACAAATTGAAAAGGACCTTTCTGCTCTGGATTCACTTCCCAACACATCACAGAAAGTAATTCCTACTGGACCTGGGTAAAGCGTCTTCTCTCCAAGTAGAATGTGACCCTCTCCTTCCAGAGTCACAGATTTATGAGTTTTCCTGTTGGTTTCTTTATTTTCGTCTCCCTAGTTGCCCAGAGGAAAATCAGGATAATTCTGAAAGTAGAACTTTCAACCCAAGCTCTTTTATTGCTCCTAGGTTTGTGGTTTTGAGTATTACTCATACATTTACACCCACAAAGTAAGCTTGAGCCGTTGAAGTGTGGTCATTAATTAATCAATTAACCTAAGTAAATCCTTCCCTGTTATGCATTTCTTGTCTCATCTTTCCAGGGAGTTTGAAACCAGGTTTCCAATCATTTCTGATGATGAAGGATCCTCTGGCTTAGGACTCGCAGTAGAAAAGTTCATGGAAAGCTTAGGGTGTTAACCTCTTTCCTGGTGGTGTTCCAGCTGGTTTTAAATCCGTCTGCTTACTTTGGCTTTCCCACATTACCTCTTTATGTGGCTGTTACAGGAACCTTCCTCTCAGTGTCCAATAAAACCCACCCCATCCCTTCTCAATCTTGCTACAAAAAGTTGGAAAAAACCGGATGGTGATCTTACTTTAATTGAAGGCCACAGGATAGACAGAGGCAATTAGGTACATGAACTTAGGAGTGGTCATTATTTTTCACACTGAACTGTTCCAGTGAGGAACAATCAGGAAAGAGTTCCTTGGAATCTCCCTTTACCTAATGAGCCCTCTGGAAGAAATTTGAGTCCCATGAGAATTTGAGGTTCACCTAGCAGTTTAAGAAAGGATTAGCAATTTATGTGTGCTAAGAGCCAATGGCAAAAGGAAAGTTGTTCTTGAGTTGTGGGTGGTCAAATGTCCATGGAGCTATGGAATTGTCTGAAGGCTGTATGTACAGCAATGAGGAAAAACACAAGGACATCTTCTTGGCAGACAGCTGTACTAGCCATCCAGGCAAGTGCTGAGCACTGATGAGGATGTTCAAATGTAGAGAGCAATACACTCAGAGCCCGGACATTGGGGTTCCTGTCTCTGTTCTTCCATTCGCCAGCTGGGGAATTGAGTGTAATCCCTTAGACTCTGAATCTCATTTGCTTTTTTAACGTTTCTTACCATGTGCTCTGGTTGAAGTAACTTTTCCACAGGTCTTTTCTGTTGCTTGAAGTCTCTTTTGACCAAAACTTTGTTAAAATACACATATATGTATTTGGGTATTATTAGTACTGTTATTGATATTGCTACTGGTATTGTGTAATGGTGGCAACTGTGGTGGGCACCTTAATTTGAGTGCTTTATATCTATTACTTTCCTTAATCCTCATAATGACTATATGAAGAGGTATTATCACTATTTACAGTTGGGAAACTAAACTTCAGGTAGGTTGTTAAAATATCCAAGTGGAAACAGATAGTTAAAAGGCACCTAGCCAGTGGGTAGGGCCAGTGAAAATGGGACACATAGGAATTTGAAGGATTGTAAAAGTGGGGTAAGTCTCTGAAGGGGTGTGCCAAAAGAGGCTCCCTTTTTTTTTTTTTTCTGAGATGGAGTCTCACTCTGTCACCCAGGCTGGAGTGCAGTGGCCCTATTTGTGCTCACTCCAACCTCCACCTCTGGGTTCCAGTGACTCTCCTGCCCCAGCCTCCCGAGTAGCTGGGACTACAGGCATATACCACCATGCGCAGCTAACTTTTGTATTTTTAGTACAGATGAGGTTTCACCATGTTGGCCAGGATGGTACTGATCTCTTGATCTCATGATCTGCCCACCTCGGCCTCCCAAAGTGCTGGGATTGCAGGGGTGAGCCACCGCACCCAGCCGAGGGGCTCCCTTTTTAAGGGAAGTGGCAGAGGGGTACAGAGGAGACTGCTGAGCATTTCCAAAAAAGCCCCCCCACCAAAAAACGTTAAAAAGTACAGAAAAGGAAGATGCTAGAAATAAGATTTTATTTATTGTTTAAGTTGTTTTTACCACTTTCTTCATAATTATCAAAATAACACATGCACATTAAAGAAAAATCAGGCTGTATAGAAAAATGTAAGGAACTGAAAAATATATATATAGACTTTCTACCATAATTACTTTATTATTGCATATTACCTCCTAGTTTTGGTCTGTTTAGTGATTTAATTTTTCTAAACTTGCAATCCGGTTCATAAATTATAAACATTTTTACATGTTGTTAAATGGTCTTTATCATTATCATTTTACAGGGTGACATAATTCACCATATGTATAGTAAGTCATTTCCCCATGGTTGAACATTGAGAGGCATGCACTTTTGTGGATAATTTGAACTTGATTCTTCATAAATGGTACTTTAATGCATTAAATTTAGGGGGGTGGAATATGGTTTCTAGAAACAACCATCTTGATTTTCATAGACATATAAATTTGTTAAAAATGAAAGTTACCCAATACCTATTCTACCAGCCATTTGTAGAAGATGAATATTGGAAAGTTGATAACATGAAATTAGATTTCTCTAAAAAAATTTTAAAAGGAGTGAAAAGTGCTCTTTGGATGTCAAGAAGAATCAAAGAGATATTTAAGGTGTTAATAGAGAGATTAGTGACTGTACTAATATATTTCTGTCTTCTAGATAAGAAGGCATTCACCATGTTCTATGCAAAATGGAGCCAGAATTTCAAGTAGAAATGCAATAACTTTAAGAAAACTTTTCTTGGCATTATATGCTTACACACGTACTTTTATATTCTACAAGGTTGAAAAAAAGTTAAAATTCTGAAGTATTGAGGCCACAGCTATGTAAAAAAATTAAGGTTTTAAACCAGATTTGTGAGGAAAAGAAAATATGTGTTATGGTATGTTAAATGCTATACAAAAAAAAAGTGCTATACAGCACTTTTTCATGCTGGCAAATGTTCTACTTCTGCCAATATGAACAATTGTTTTTGCTGGCAAGAACAGTTTAAATACAAACAGAAGCAAGCCACCATTTCTTAACACAGTGAAGTTGAACATTTCAAACATTTAATGGAAATTATTTACACAGTCATTTCATTGTTATTTAAAGGAAATAGTAGGAATTCCATGAAAACTTGTGTTTATGACAAAAGTAAATTGCTAAATTAAATTGTAAGGGTATTTTTAAGTTAGAAGTATAATAAATAGGAGATGAGTTAGAAAGAAACAAATATATCTACTTATGAAATATTATTATTGTTAGCTTTAACCTTCTCTGACCCTCAAGGACTAGGTAAGAGTCTGGAAAAGACAGGGCGAGTCATCTACCAAATATGTATTCACTTTTTCTTGTTTGAGAGACCGAATTCTTCTCAGTGCATCCATGGGCCCAGCTGAAGTACTTCTCCAGACCAGACTTGCTTGCAGTTAGGAGTAACTACATGACATTTTCAGCTGATAAAATAATTGAGAAAAAAAAAAATCCTGCCAGATTCTACTCCTTTACGCTTTCTTCCTTCTTGTTCTTGCTTGAAAAAAAGATAGTGAGGTTGAATGTAATAGTCCACTTGAGACCGTCCCACAGCTAAGATGAGAGGTTAAGTCCCATAATAAGAATGATAGAGTGACAAGGAAATAGATCGTGCGCCACTGCTGACACCATGACCCCACTGCACAGCTTTTCTCTGCACTTCCTTTTTATGGAAGGCAAATTATGCGAGGCTGTTTGGTTAAGCCGCTGTCATCAGATATCTGTTACATACAGTACACATAAATCCTAAATGGTGCAGAGCCCTTGACATGTCCTCATTTTGAATTCTGTACTTTATTTATGAGCTAGCCATTATGGTAATGATGTGCTTAGTGATTTTCTCCCTACAATCCTTTGAGCTATTAATTATATGAATGAATTAACATTTGTAATGCATTCTCTCTTTCTCATTATTGTATTTAATGACTAATAAGTTGTCTGACAATTGTGCACGTTTAATAAATATATATTTCTAGGTAACTGGAGAGTTGTTTTGACTCCAAAGTGTTACACACACACACACACACACACACACACACACCCCACACACACACAGACAGAGACACACCACACACATACACACATTTCTTTATATAATTGTATGTATGTGCAAACATCCTATATATTTGTAATGAATTTATAATGATGTTATGTGTTTTTAAATACTTGTTTGGTTTTAAAATACCCAGACATTAAATAATTACTACATGAGAGTAATTACCACTATTTCCTTTCTAGCTAGGATTTGTATATTGTTGTAGAAATGGACATTTATGTGTTTCAATGAACTCTACAATCTTAGGGAAACAAAAGAGAGCTGATGTGACTGAAAGGGAAATAAAGAAACTTAATGACTTTAGATTTCCTCCTGCAGGATTTTCCAGACCACCTGAACAAGCGTTTTGTAAAAGCAAAACAAAAACACACAACATTTTAAACTCAAATAACTTTGGGGAGTATAGCATGTTACACCATCTTTTTGGACCATGGGCACATTAAAGTTGCCTACAGTAGACAAATCTGTTTAACATTTTAAAATTCAGCATTCCCAGCCTTATATGATCATGAAACCCTTCTATTCAAATGAGGTCTATTAACACCCAGTGGAAATGCTGTTACATGATGCATATTCTGGTAAACCCTGCAATAGAGGGATTGGAAGCAAGAATTATCACCACTATTATTTAATGTTAATCTAAAATATCTAGTGTAATGAGATGGTAATCAGAAATAATATGTATGGCTTCTTAAAAGGAAAATAAAATTTCAGACATTTTACAGAAGACAGAAATTTGTATTTTACCATGAGAGGGAGATATTTATCTAGTTTCTTATTCTATCTCTGGCAGCCAGAGTACCTATGACTTATTTTAAATTTAAATTTATTTATTTATTTTTAGAGATGGGGTCTCATCATATTGCCCAAGCTATTCTCAGACTCCTGGCCTCAAGGAATCCTCCCACGTTGGCCTCCCAAAGCACTGAGATTACAAACGTGAGCCACTGCACCCAGCTGAGAATACCTATGTCTAAAACATAGGTACTCAATAAGTGCTTGTTGAAGGAAGGATGGTTTGATGGAAGGAAGGGAGGGAAGGAGAAAGGGAATCTCTCCTGGGAAACCAGGACTCCAGAGAAACATCCTGGACAAGCTGCCCAAGAGCCATGGTTTTATAAGCTTTCTGGAGACTTTGACATGCTTCATAAATTGCTTTTTCTCCAAATTCTCATTATTTGAACTTTTGTTTTTTTACTCTGATAGAAAATATGTGTATTTGATAGCTACTAATCAGAATCCTTATCAACATAGTACTCTAAGCAACTACTACCAATTAATTGTGGTAGGTGAGAGAGCTAAAACCTGATTGCCATCTCTAACATAAGCCTCTATCCTTTTCTCCTGGTCAAATAACTTAGGCTTATTTCATAATCACTAGCCTCATGTCTGTAGCATTATCTGAAGACAAATTATCTGCTTTTTAAAACAATCTCAAATACTGTTGTGATGATTTTTAAATGCCCCCAAATTATTTGACATTCTTCCCTTCAGTAGGTGGAAGATAATTCTCCTTACCTTGAGTGTGGGCTGGAGTAGGCTTAATGAATTTCTTCTAATGAAAATAATATAATGAAAGTGACAACATGAGACTTTGAAGATGATATAAAAGGCACTGTGGCTTACTGCTTACTCTGTCTCTCTGTCTCGTAATTCACTGTGGAAGAAGCTAGCAGCCATGCAGGACAAGCCCATGTGGCAAGCACCTGATGCCTCCTGCTAGCTTCCACGTGAATGATCAATCTGGAAGTTGCTTCTCCAGCCCCAGTCAACCCTTCACATGAGACTTTATCCCATGCCAACATCCTAACTGCAACTTTATGAGAGAATCTGAGCCAGGGCCACCCAAATAAGCCACTCTTGAATTCTTGACTCACAGAAACTGAATAATACACTTTTATTGTTTTAAACCACTAAGTTTTGGGGTAATTTTCAATGCATAAATGGATAAACAATGCTACTATATTAAAGGCTTTTAAACAAATACAGCTCATTTGCAACCCCTTTCAAAGCCCACCCCCTTTTCCAATCAATTTTACCACTTTGGTATGGCTGAGTTAGCTAGTTGTCCAGCAATACCTGATTTATTCTTTCCTCCAAAGTGAAGTCGGAAAAATGTTTTAAATAAAGGGCCAAATAATAAACATTTTAGGCTTTGTGGGCCATATGATGTCTGTCACAACTATTCAACTCTGCCATTGTAGCACAAAAGCAGCCATAGACAACATGTAAATGGACCATGGCTCCCTTCTAATAAAAATTTACGGTAGTCCCTCTGATCTGAAGGGGAGACATTCCAAGAGCCCCAAGCGTGTCTGAAACCATAGATAGTATTAACCCTATAAACACTATATTTTTATCCTATACATACCTATGATAAGATTTAATTTATAAATTAGACACAGTAAAAGATGAACAATAACTAAAAATAGAATAATTATAACAATATACTCTTCACAATTTCATCAATAGAAGGCCCATTCTTACTGTAGATCTTAGCACCGTCAGCATACAATTTGTTTTCTTTCCTGAGTCCAGAGCTTTTACCTTTTCATGTAAAGGAAGCACTTTACAGCTGATCTTTGGCACATCTGAATTGCCGGTATCACTACTCTTGTGCTTTGGGGCCATTACTAAGTAAAATAAGGATTACTTGAACAAAAGCACTGGGATACCACAAAATGGCCAGTTGATCTGATAACTGAGATGGCTACTAAGTGACTAATGAGTAATGTAGCATCTACAGTGCAGATACACTGGACAAAGGGATGATTCACATCCTGGGCAGGATGAAGCAGGGCAGCACAAGATTTCATCCTACTACTCAGTACAGCACACAATATAAAACTCACAAATTGCTTACTTCTGGAATTTTTTATTTAATATTTTCCCAGCACGGTTGAACGTAGGGTAACTGAAACCATGGAAGCAGAAACTGTGGATGAGTGGGTACTACTGTATTTATGGACACTGAAATTTGAGTTTCACATAATTTTCACATCACAAAATATTATTATTCTTTTGATTTTCTTTTAACCACTTAAAAATGTAAAAACTATTCTTAGCTTGCAGCTCACTTAAAACCAGATTTGGCTCATGGATATAGCTTGCCAATTCTTATGCTAAATCAATAGATTTCTTGATATTTAGCTGGCACATGGATGCCCAAAATAAAGAATATTTTTTCAGACTATGGCCACATGACCTTGTTATGGTTGGTGGAATGTAGGTGGGAATGATACGTGCAAATTTTCTTACAAGGAAGTGGTGAACTCTCCCTTTTTTTTTTCCTTTTTTCTACTTCTCTTGGCTGAAATGAAGATCATCTTAGACCATGCAGATGACAGAGATGTCCTTGGGATGGTGAAACAGATAGAAACAGCCAGAATTCTTGGCTCTGCATGGTGCGCAGTCATACCGTTATGAGAGTGAGAAAGAAACTAGTCTTTCCTCTGTTTTTAGGTCCTTTTCACACATTAACAAATCTATATTCTAACTAGTTCAACTGGTGAGTCTTTGGCTAACATCTCTTCTGAATGTCATGACAAGTCAATGTGTTGTAATTTCAAGAAGTGCTGTAGACAGTGATTAACAGCTTTGTGTAAAGTTAAAAAAATGATTCTTGGTTACTAGCCAGGTCAGGATAGTTTGAGTATAGGACAGCTTTAACATTTTCTAAAAACCAGAATTTCTAAAAAGTTGCAGGTATTTGCCTTTTCTTCTGAGTGTTGATTTCATTGGACTTGGAAGTGAACAAATGTGCCTTTTATTCCTTTTCTCCCATCACCATCACACTTACGACCAATGAAGGAAGAATATTAATTTGGAGAAACATAAATAAGCCACTTCTTATAATCTTTGAGGAAGAATTAATTCACATTGTCCTTTGGGGAGCTTATTTATATACATGAAAGGGTTTAAAAATCCACGCCCCCGCCTCTCCAAATATCTCATGGTCCTATGGGTGTTCATATTCATATGATAACAGAAAGAAATTGTAGTCATAATTGGCATATTTATCTTGTAAGTATTTCATATTTTCCACAGTAGAACTTGGGGGTCCCAGACTGTGTACAACAATGAGAAAAGATCCCACAGCCTCAAAATCTGAAAACCACTATGAGATTCATCAACCATCACTTGGCAGCCTCAGAGCACCAGGCATTGTCCAAACACGATTGTTTGAGTTTTTGTGCTGACACAAAGTGTTTCCCATTCATCTCTCTCCCCCTTTCTCTCCCTCTTTCTCTCCCTGCCAAAAACTCAACTTTCTTTAAGTAGGCACAGCCTTCCAAGTCCTGGCTGTTAGTGTCCCTGAGAGGTTTCAGGGAGAAGCAGTCTTGGCTGAGAGTTAGAGCTAGAGGCCAGCCAGTGAAGGGAACAATGTCTGGGTTTTGAGAACAGCTGGAGCTTTGGAGGGAGAAAAGCAGCTTGGTGAATGAGGAAAGAATGTGCTTGTCACTTCAAGAGGCAAGAAACATAGACTTCCCTCCTGCTTCTGCCAATAAGTGTTTATTGGAAAGGGCAGAGTGGTGGTGATGGCAGGTGACTTTTGGTTTGGATTTTTATGGAATTTTTCAGTTTATTTTACCTTTTCAAAGAGCAGATAAATGTACAAGTCCCACACCATAAGTATTTTCAATTCTGCTCATGTTTTTATTGGATACAAATGTTGTTCCTCAGAGTTATTTTTAAGAATGCCACCCCTGGCCTATTTTGAAACTCTGCTTGCTTTCCTTGCATGTAAGTTAATATTTGTTATAGGGATTTTGGAGAAAAGTATCAGAGGGTATTAAATGGAAAGCAAAGGCCTTAGGGGGAAAGGATCCTATTCTGAGAGCATGAGCTGAATTTACAGTTAGGAAGAATTGGGATGGCCTACTTAGACAAAATAAGGATGTTTTAGCTGAAACCAAAGGTAAACCTATGAAAATTCTGACAAAGTAGGTCAAAAAAGTTTATAAGATGTCACATTTCTTAGTCATGTTTTGATTTCTCTCTGATTTTCCTGGATTCTTATGGCAATAGACAGAATAACAGAGACGATATTCCCTTTCTGAATTCTATTTGCTAGACTTGGAAAGTATGACCTGATTTGAAGTGTCACTTATAAAATGAACAGAAAGATCAATATTAGTACTCAAGTAATAATAGCTGTTACCATTTTAAGACCTCTTTCCTTTCTCTCTTTCTTGACTCTCAACATTTTTGCCTGTTTCAGGATTGGAACAAACATTCTTGAGATCCAGCTGTGTGACAGGTCATGTACTAGATCCTTTCCTTGTAAGAACCTGTCAAAAAGGAATTATTACACCCATTTTCAATATGGAAGACTTGGGCTCAGTGAAGATCTTCATAAATTGTCTAGTATTCCCTGATATCCTATTAAATGGTAATTTTAACATCAATGAATCCTGATTTAAACATGATTTGGATTCCAAAGGCCATGCTATTTCTAATGCCCCATTTTGTCTATACAATAAAATATGGGTTGATTGTGTTCAAATTAAATAATCATTAAACATTGGTTGATCAGAAGAAACTTGTATATATTATTTAGTACTACTCTTTTGTTAGTATCTTGTGATTTTTTTAGTAATGGGACTTTAATGCAAGGATGCAATGGACCACAAAACCTTCAACTATCTAGTCACTTTGGGCTTCCAAATTTCCAAGACTGAAATTGATATTTCTGGAGAAAAAATAATTCATTTTTTTTTTAAAGATGAGTCTTGCTCTGTCGTCAGGCTGGAGTGCAGTGGCCCAATCTCGGCTCACTGCAACCTCCGCCTCCTGGGTTCAAGTGATTCTCCTGCCTCAGCCTCCCGAGTAGCTGGGATTACAGGTGGGTGCCACAATGCCCAGCTAAGTTTTGTATTTTTTAGTAGAGATGGGGTTTCACCATGTTGGCCAGGATGGTATCGATCTCTTGACCTTGTGATCCGCCTGCCTTGGCCTCCCAAAGTGCTGGGATTACAGGGGTGAGCCACTGCGCCCAGCCACAATTCATTTTTTGAGTGTCTACTTTGTGTTAATTACGGTGAGAATATTAAGAATGCATTTTAGGAATTGACAAAATTCTCAGGTCTCAGAGATCATCATTTTTCTTTGCTATATTTACTAATTCATTAAAGTCAACACAAATACTTCTTAAGGAGTGACTAAATCATTAAATAAATGTAAAAGGTTTTCTTATAATCCAGAATACTTAATCAGGATTCCTACTCCCATAAGCAATTTGGGTAATCAATATTTTCCTTTGTGAATTTCAGATGAAGAGTCATTTGTACTGTAATATAGAAGTTTCAATGGACTAATATTTGACAAAAATACTGACCTATTTCTCAGAAGGATCAAATAAATGGAAGCTTTATTTTACAACTACTTTTAAAAATAAGATACATGTAGAACCAATGCTGTGAGTATAATACAACCTTGTTATTGTCACCAGCATGCTACTTGTAGGGCAAAGTGGATCAGAAGAATTGTCTGGGGTGATACAAATCTACAGGTCCCAAATTGCTGTTGCCTTTATTGCCAACATTGAATATGTCTTTATAAACATACTTTTATGTGTCTAAAATGGAAAAACCTATTTACAGATATACTCAGATATTTTAGTGATTCATTAAATAAGTTATTGAATGAAAGAATATTTATTAAGAGGTCATTTTTTTAATAGATTTCCTAGTTTGGGCATGTTATTCCTAATATTTTAAAGATTCATAAATTTAACATTAAAGAACAACTAGATAGAAACACTGTCTGGGTATATCAGCTTGTCAACATACCAAGTCAGGGCTTATTTAAGACCCTGGGCTGTCACAGAAAATGGTCTGGCCCTCACTTTTTGGCCTAGAAACTTAGTTTTGTTAGTGCTTGAATTTGTCCAGCATCAGGAAGACTAAACAAAGCGTGGCAGACCAATAAAAGCTTTATGTGTAGCAATTTAGCAGAGAAATTAACCACACACGTGGCTGGAGACAGTCTGGTGAAGTTCTGGTTTTCCATTTTACTAGATCTTGACCTTGGTCAAGTTATCTGAACTCTGTGAGTCTCAGTGTCATTATCTGAAAAATTAGGATAGTAATAGTACCTCATAGGGAACTGTGAAGCTTAAATGAAATGATGCTTTTCAAGCACTTAGCCCAATTCCTGGCAATACTAACAGCTCAGTAAACATTAGATGTTACAGTTATTGTTTATGCTAATGTTACTTTTGTGGTTCTTCTTCTTATCATTAGTATTTTTATTATATAAACCCAAAAGTTAATATATAAATTTATAATTGAACATGGTATAATGCGTGGAATGCTTGTGTAACTTCTCAAGGCTACTTCATTTCTTAGTTTAAACATAATTTGGATATAGAACCAGTAATTAGAAAGCTGTCTGGGATAGAGACAGTGGCTCATATAATCCCAGCACTTTGGGGGGCCTTGATGGGAGAATTGCTTGAGTCCAGGAGTTCAAGACCAGCCTGGGAAACATGGCAAGACCCCATCTCCACAAAAATTACAAAAAAAGAAATCAGTCAGGTGTGGTGGCTCATGTCCATGGTCCCAGCTACTCAGGAGGCTGAGGCAGGAGGACTGCTTGAGCCCATGAGGTCGAAGCTGCAGTGAGTCATGTTTGTGCCACTGTGCTCCAGCCTAGGTGACAGAGCAGGACTCTGTCTCAAAAAGAAAACCAAAACCAAAAGCAAACCAAAATGAAACAACAACAACAAAGAAAGCTGTCTGGTTAATGAGGACAAAAGATTGGTTTACAGACAAGCATCTTTTAAAATTTTGCTTTTAGCTAGAATAAACTCATCTTAATATAGTAACCTCTGATTATCTTTGGTGATAGAATGCTGATTGGCCAGTATATTTATCTTTAATTCTTTCTATTGAGGTGAAATTCACATAAAATAAAATTAATCATTTTATAGCATTCAATTCATTGACAGTGCATTCACAACGTTGTACAATCACTTTCCGTATCTAGTTACAAAACCTTTTCATCACCTGAAATGAAACCCCATTCCCATTTAGCAGTCACTCTCAATTTCCTGCTCCCATTAGCCTCTGGCAAATACCATTCTGCTTTCTGTCTTTATGAATTTACCTATTATGGATATTTCATGAAGATAGACTCATGCAATATGTGACCTTTTATGTCTGGCTTTTTTTTCACATGGAATAATATTTTCAGGGCTCATCCACATTATAGCATGTATCAGTATGTCATTTCTTTTTACGGATAATATTCCATTGTATGCATATATCACATTTAAAAAATCCATTAATCTCTTGATGATCTTTGACTAATTTTTTTAATGGAAAATTACTTAATAAATATAGTCCATAGACAAATACTTCCTTTTTCAAAAATAAATTATTTTATATTAGATTCAGGACGCACATGTGCATGTTTATTGCATAGGTATATTGCATAATCATGGGGATTGGGCTTCGAGTGTACCTATTATCCAAATCGTGAAACATTGTACCCAATAGGTAATTTTTCAGCCCTTGCCCTTTCTCTCACCGCCCCCACCCCTTTTGGAATCCCCAGTGTTTATTATTTCCATCTTTATGTCCATGTGTACCCACTGCTTAGCTTCCACTTATAAGTGAGAACATGTGGTGTTTTATTTTCTGGTTCTAAGTTAGTTCACTTAGGATAATGGCCTCCACCCCCATCTATGTTGCTGCCAATGACATGAGTTCATTCTTTTTTATGGCTGGATGGTACTAGTTTTATAGAATGACTTAGAAAAAAATTGTTCCTGCTAGACTTTTTGGAATAGTTTCAGTGAGACTAGTACCAGCTCTTCTTTGTATGTCTGGTATTACATGGTGTATATGTACCACATTTTCTTTATCCAGTCAACTGTTGATGTACACTTAGGTTAGTTCCATGACTTTGCTATTGTGAATAGTGCCGTGATGAACATACAAATACAGGTGTCTTTTTTACGTAACGATTTTTTTTTCCTTTGGGTAGATGCTCAGTAGTGGGATTGCTGGATCAAATGTTAGTTCTATTTTTAGTTCTTTAATAAATCTCCATACTGTTTTCCATAGAGGTTGAACTAATTTACATTGTCACCAAGAGTGTATAAGTTTTCCCTTTTCTTTTTTCTGACTTTTATTATTATTATCATTACATTTTTTAAAAGATACAAAATTGATTACTTTTCTTATTTTTAGCAGGTTTTCATTTTTCCAAAAATTGCACCAAGGTAAAGCAAAGCTCTAGTTGATGCAGGTGTGTTGTGTACGCATTAGTAGTACTGCCCTCACTATGCACTGATTGGAAAGTAGTGCAATCCCAAGAAAAGGATGGTGTATTTGGCCATTTTCATGCTGCTGATAAAGACATACCTGAGACTGGGTAATTTACTGAAGAAAGACGTCTATTGGACTTACAGTTCCACATGGCTGGGGAGGCCTCACAATCATGGCTGAAGGCAAGGAGAGCAAGTCACATCTTACATGGATGACAGCAGGCAAAAAGAGAGAGTATGTGCAGGGGAACTCCTCTTGTTAAAACCATCAGATCTCGTGAGACTTATTCGCTATCATGAGAACAGCATGAGAAAGACCTGGCCCCATGATTCAATTACCTCCCACTGGTTCCCTCTCACAACACGTGGGAATTCAAGATGAGATTTGGGTAGGGGCACAGCCAAACCATATCAATGGTTCCTTTTTGACTTTTTAATAATAGCTATTCTAATTTGTGTAAAGAGATCTCATTGTGGTTTTAATTTGCATTTCTTTGATGACTAGTGATGTCAAGCAATATTTCCTATGTTTTTTGACCACTTGTATTTCTTCTTTTGAGAAATGCCTGATCATGTCCTTTGCCCACTCCTTAATGGGGTTGTTTTTTTCTTTGTTTGACTCCTTTGTAGATTCTGGATATTGGTCTTTGTCAGAGGTATAATTTGCATTTTATTTTTTCCCATTTGGTAGGTTGTTTACTCTTGATGATTTCTTTTGCTGAGCAGAGGTTTTTCTTTTTCTTTCTTTCTTTTTTTTTTGTATACTTAATTCCCATTTGACTATCTTTTGCTGTGCAGATTTTTTAAAAATTAAATTCCATTTGTCTATTTTTGATTTTGTTGCATTTGCTTTGGGCATCTTCAACATAAATTCTTTGCCTAGGCCAACGTCCAGAAGAGGATTTCCTAGGTTTTCTTCCAGGATTTTTATAGTTTCAGGTCTTACATTTAAGTCTGTAATCCACCTTGAGTTAATTTTTGTATATGGTGAGAGATGGGGTCCAGTTTTGTTTTTCTGCATATGAATTGCCAATTTTCCCAGCACCGCTTATTGAATAGGATGTCCTTTCCCCATTATTTACTTTTGTAGACTTTATTGAAGATAGTTGGTTGTAGGTATGTGTCTTTATTTCTGGGTTCCCTATTCTGTTACATTGATCTATGTGTCTATTTTTGTATCAGTACCAGGCTGTTTTTGTTACTATAGCCTTGCAGTATAATTTGAAGTCAGGCAATGTGGCATTTTTTTCTCCAGATTTGTTCTTTTTGCTTAGGATTGCTTTGGCTATCCTAAGTCCATATGAACTTTAGAATTATTTTTTTCTAATTATGGGAAAAATAAAGTTGGTAATTTGATAGAAATTACATTCAATATATAGATTGTTTTGGGCTGTATGGTCATTTTAACAATACTGATTCTTCCAGTCCATGATCATAGAATGTTTTCCATTTGTTTGTGTCATCTATGCTTTCTTTCATCCGCATTTTGTAGTTCTCCTTATAGGGATCTTTCATCTCCTTGGCTAAATACATTCTTAGGCATTTTATTTTTGGCTATTGTAAATGGGATTGAGATCTTGATTTGGTTCTCAGTTTACATGTTATGGGTATACAGAAATGCTACTGATTTTTGTATGTTGATCTTTTATCCTGAAATTGTTTTTTTTTTTTAATTTTGAGATGGAGTCTCGCTCTGTTGCCCAGGCTGGAGTGCAGTGGCACAATCTCAGCTCACTGCAAGCTCTACCTCCCAGGTTCATGCCATTCTCCTGCCTCAGCCTCCTGAGTAGCTGGGACTACAGGTGCCCACCACCACGCCCGGCTAATTTTTTGTATTTTTAGTAGAGACGGGGTTTCACTGTGTTATCCAGGATGGTCTCGATCTCCTGACCTCTTGATCTACCCGCCTTGGCCTCCTAAAGTGCTGGGATTACAGGCATGAGCCACTGTGCCCAGCCTATCCTGAAATTTTACTTGTTTATCAAGTTTAAGAGTCTTTTGGAAGAGTATTTAAGCGTTTCCAGGTATATAATCATGTCATTGGTGAACAGAAATAATTTGACTTCCTCTTTTCCAATTTGGATATCTTTTATTTCTTTCTCTTGCATGATTGCTCTTCTAGGACTTCCAGTACTATTCCAGTTGAATAGGAGTGGTGAGGGTGAACATCCTTGTCTTGTTCTAGTTCTTAGGGGGAATGCTTTCAGCTTTTCCTCATTCAGCATGATGTTGGTAGTGGGTTTGTCATACGACTCATTATTTTGAGGTATGTTCCTTCAATGCCTAATTTGTTGAGAATTTCCATCAAGAAGGGATGTTTGATTTTTATCTAATGCTTCTTCTGCATCTACTGAGATGATCATATGGTTTTAGTTTTTAGTTCCGTTTATGTACTGAATCATGTTTATTGATTTGCATATGTTCAACCATCCTTGCATTCTAGGAATAAAGCCCACTTGATTGTGGCAACTTAACTTTTTGATGTGCTTGTGGATTCAGTTTGCTAGTATTTCATTGAGGATTTTTGTGTCTATGTTCATCAGGGATATTGGCCTGTAGTTTTCTTTTGTTGTTGTGTCTTTGCAAGATTTTGGTATCAGGATGATACTAGTTTTGTAGAATGAGTTAGGAAAGAATCCCTCCTGCTAGAGTTTTTTGGAATAGTTTCAGTGAGACTAGTACCAGCTCTTCTTTGTTATGTCTGGTGAAATTTGGCTGTGAATTTGTCTAGTTCTGGCTCTTTATTTTTGTTTTTGGAAGTTTTTTTGTTACTGATTTGATTTCATTAAGTGTTATTGGTATGTTCAGGATTTCTGTTTCTTTCTGGTTCAATCTTGGGAGATTGTAGTTTTCCAGGAATTTATCCATTTCCTTTAGGTTTTCTAGTTTGTGCACATAGAGGTGCTCATAGTAGCCTCTGATCTTATCTCTGTGATATCAGTTGTAATGTTACCTTTATAATTTCTGATTGTACTTATTTGAATCTTCTTTTTTTTTTTGTTAATCTACCTTGTGGTCTATCAATCTCGTTTATCTTTCACATAACTAATGTTTTGTTTTTTTGACCTTTTGTATTATTTTCTTGTTGTCAGTCTCATTTAGTTCTGCTCTGATCTTTGTTAATTCTTTTTTTCTGCTAGTTTTGCCTTTGGCTTATTCTTGTTTTCCTAGTTCCTTGAGGTGTGACATTAGGTTGTTAATTTGAGATCTATCTTTTTGATGTAGGCATTTAATGTTATTAACATTTGTCTTAGCACTGCTTTTGCTGTATCACAGAGGTTTTGGTATGTTGTGTTTGTCTCTATTTTCATTTGTTTTGAAACATTTTTTGATTTCTGCCTCAATTTTGTTATTTGTCCAACGGTCATTCAGGAGCAAGTTGTTGAGTTTCCATGTCTTGTTTAGTTTTGAGAGTTCTGCTTGGTATTGATATCCAATTTTATTCAGTGTGGTCTGAGAAAATACTTGATATGACCTCAATTTTTTTGACTCTTTCGAGTCTTGCTTTATGGCTAAGTGTATGGTCAATTGGAGAATGTTCCATGCATGGATGAGAAGAACGTATATTCTGTGGTTGTTGGATAGAATGAATGTTCTATAAATGTCTATTACGTTTGTTTTTTCTATAGTCCAGTTTAAATCCAGAGTTTCTTTGTTGAGTTTCTATCCCAGTATCTATTTAGTGATGTCAGTGAGGTGTTAAAGTCCCCACTTATTGTATTGCTATCAATCTGTTTTCTTAGGTCTAGTAGTATTTGTTTTATGAATCTGGGTGTTCCGGTGTTGGGTGCACATATATTTAGAATAGTTACATCTTCTTTGTGTATTTAACCCTTTGTTATTATATAATGACCCTCTTTGTCTTTTTTTATTGTTGTTGGCTTAAAGTTTGTTTCATCTTATATAAGGATGGCTACTCCTGCTTGCTTTTGTTTTCCATTTTCATAATATATATTTTTCCACTTCTTTACTTTGAGTCTATAGCTGCCTTTAGCTAGTAGGTGGGTCTCTTGTAGTAGCAGTTGGTTGGGTCTTGTTCCTCACACTGTCCCCCCACCCCGCCCAATTTGCCGCTCTATATCTTTTAAGTAGAGCATGTAGGCCACTTAGATTCAAGGTTAATATTAATATGTGAGGTTTTGTTCCTGTCATAGTGTTATTAGCTGGTTGCCTTAGAGTTTCAATTATGTAATTGTTTTATAGGATCTGTGAACTCTGTACCTATGTGTCCTCTTATAATGGTGAGTATTGTCCTTTTCTTTCCATTTTAGAACTCCTGTGAGCATTTCTTGTAGGACTGGTCTAGTGGTGATGAATTCCCTTAGCATTTGTTTGGGAAAGATTTTACTTCACCTTTATTTATGAACCTTAGTTTGGCAGAATACAAAATTCTTGACTGACATTTTCTTTTTCTTTAAGGAGGCTAAAAATAGACTCGCAATCTTTTCTGACCTGAAGGTTTTTTCTGAGAAGTCCACCGTTAGTCTGATGGGATTTCCTTTGTGGGTAATTAGACAATTCTCTCTTGACACTTAGGATTTTTTCTTTTACATTGAATTTGGATAGTCTGATGACTAAATGCTTTGGTGAGGTTGTCTGGCAATGTATCTTTCAGGAGTTCTCTGAGCTTCTTGTACCTTGATGTCTAAATCCCTCTCAAGACCAAGGAAGTTTTCCTGATTTATTTCCTCAAATAAGATTTCTGTACTTTTCACTTTTTCATCTTCTTCCATTGGAACAAGTATAACTCACAGGTTTGGACACTTTATGTAACCTCATATTTTGCAAAGCCTTTGTTCATTAAAAAGTTTTTCTTAATTTATTTTTATCTGACTGGGTTAATTTGAAATACCTGTTTTCCAACTTTGAAAATCTTTCTTACACTTAGCCTAGTCTACTGTTATAGATTTCAGCTATATTTTGCATTTCTTTCAATGAATTTTTCATTTCCAGAAGTTCTGTTTGGTTTTTGAAAAATGATATGTCTCCTTTCATATCCTGAATTTTTTTGTTTTCTTTGTGTTGGTTTTCAACTTTTTCTTGAATATAATAGAGCTTTTTTAAAATCACTAATTTAAAATTATTTAGTATTTCAAATATTTCGTATTAGTTAGGATCCATTGCTAGAGCATGAGTGTGATCCTTTGGGGGTGGTTTTCTATCTGTCTATTCATACTTTCAGGTTGAGTATGAATTTTAATAAACCAGTATGTTTTTCTGGTTTATTGTCGTCTGGGTAAGCTATCTCTCTTTCTTATGTTTTGAATTTGCTTTCATTTGGATGAGGTTTTCCTCCCCTTGAGGAGGTGTCTATAATGTATGTTGTGTAGAGTCCTTTGGCTTTGGTTCTAGGTTCTTTCAGTGAACAGTATGTATAAGTTCCTTGATTGTAGATAGCATTTTTGGTGGCTTTCCCACATGCTGGTTGTAGTAGTGATGTACTGGCCATGTGAGTAGGCTCACTGCCTCCTGTGGGGCCAGAATGCAGAGGTGTCAGGAAACTTAGTCCAGTGCTGTGTACTTCTGTCAGCAGATTTTCTATTGTGCTGTGCAGTTTAATCTCCAGTCAGCGGATGGTGCTTATGGATAAGAGCTGGCTGCAGCCTACACAGTTGGGTATATACTTGATCCTTGTTTACTGGGAGAAGCTGTCTCTTGCTTCAGGCAATGTACTGTACTGATTTTTATCAGTAGAATGCCATCAATGGGACTGCTTGCCCGTCTTCTCCTCTGCAGGATCTGGGGCATGCTTCTCTATTCCAGTGGATTCCTGTTTTCCCTCTTGAATTAAAGCTAACAGAGTTGATCTTTACACACTATTTTGCTATTTCCGATTGACTGAGGCATGCTAAATGTCTGTAAATCATCATCTCAAAAAAAAATGGCAAATACTTTCAACATGGGATTTATAAGGGAAAATGTTAGGACCGTTAGACCTAAAATCTACATTTATCTAGCTACCACTGCATCTCCAATGACAAGCACAGAATGTGTCAGTCACATAGTCAGCACTCAATAGATATTTATTATATGAATGAATGAATAAATCGCTGTAAAATGATACTACAAATTTACCTAAAGATGGAATCAGTGCTCTTCACTGCACAAAACCAACTTAAAGGCAGAGGGCAAGAGATCCCACTGATAGAGTCCACATAGGTCAGCCCCTAAAGGCACAGAGCAAGATGGAGAAGGTGGATCTAGAGGGGAGAACAGACAAAGCCAACAAATGCACCAAGAGTCACTGAAGTCATGAGGAGGCAAGTGAGTAGTTGCATCTCTTATCTTATTCAGGGCCACATAAGAATGAGTGTTAAGTACCATAAACATATGCCCCATACTTTTACTCTCTCACCTGTTGAACTCACATTGTGGTTATACTTTAGGGAGTTAAAATGTCATATCAAAAACAATGATTTTGATTAGTGTACAGTTACATTTTTGGAAACAGCTGACATTTAAGACCTACAGAGTGACAATAATGTTAAACTTTAAGAAAAGTTGAAATTTGCCACACTGTGTATGTCAGATGCCCTAGATCAAATGGCAAAGAAGCAAAGTGAAATTAAAAACGTTGCCAGTTTAAGGAGCTGGGGAAATATGCTGTGCTGAAAGAACCCACCACACATTTGTAAACATAAGTCAACTTTAAGACATAGTTTTTCTTGGACATAATGGTTGAAGAATGAATTTTCTTTGTTAGCCTGTTTTATGAGCATAATCAGAATACATTCATCACCTAAAGCAACACTTCATTATTTGGAGGATTATAATGACTTTTCTCTGCTTCAGAATTGCTTGATGTTGCACATGCTGTAATTTTTAAGCAGGGAATAAATTTAATAATAATTTTATTTGGCTAGCTTGATTCAATATTTAAAAATAAATGCTTATGCTTATGGATAATTTTTGAACAATAGATTTGTGATTTATGGACTTGCCAGGAACTAGATGAAGTTTGTATACATAGAACTTTGACATATTTTATTGAGGAATATACAAAATTAAGAAGTTGGCAGAGAGAAGCATACACGAGTAAAGACAGGGCAACAAGAAAGATATATGAGAAATAGGCTGGGTGTGGTGGCTCACACCTGTAATCCCAGCACTTTGGGAGACCGAGGTGGGCGGATCACCTGAAGTCAGGAGTTCAAGACCAACCTGACCAACATGGAGAAACCCTGTCTCTACTAAAAATACAAAAATTAGCTGGGCGTGGTGGCACATGCCTGTAATCCCAGCTACTCAGGAGGCTGAGGCAGGAGAATCACTTGAGCCTGGGAGGCAGAGGTTGCAGTGAGCTGAGATCATACCATTGCACTCCAGTCTGGGCAACAAGAGCGAAACTCCATCTCAAAAAAAAAAAAAAGAAAAAAAAGAAAGAAAGATATAAGAGAAATAGATAAAGAAATGGATAGCTTCAAGAAAAGGGTATTTGAAGAATTATGTGGACAACACTGAGTAACTGGGTCTTTCTCTTTATTGAGGGCATGCAAAAATGAACTTAATAAATGTAAGTTAAGGTTGTGCATATTGGATTCAAAAAGACAGGTTACAGTATCCTTAATAGCTCCAAACACTTAATAGCAGTAGATAACTTCGGGCAGATTTCTTCATTCATCTGACCTTCAGTTTTCTCATATGAAGAATACAGATAATAGAAGTAATTACCTCATGAGGTGGTTGGGAGGATTAAATGAGCTCAGCTTTGCACTCTGATGCACAGTAAATGTCCAACAAATATAAGTTATTTTTGTTGTTTGAAGTCAAGGACATTTAAATATTGGAGTAGATCATCAAAAAAGTAGATTTTTCCCTTCCTGCCTTGAGACCACTGGGACTGTGACAGGATCACCCCTGCATGTAAATGATATTTTTCTTCAGATGATCCATTTATGTATATTTCTAGCCCACAATCCTAGAAGTAAAGTATAAATAAGGAGCAGCTATTCCAAAAATCCTTTTTACTCTGTCAGTGCTGGCTTGCTCTCTCTGGGAAGGGAATTTTTGCTATTCAAATTCCATGTTTGTCACTCTGCAGCAAGTTGAAATCAGAGCCTGGCTGCTGATTGGGCTACATCATGGTTTCCAATAGGGAGCCAACACCTGAGGTGTATGTTGCCCATTCCTCTCTTGAAGTGAAGGCTGGAGAAAGGCCAAGTCTGTATCTCTTTGATATTTTCTCCAAAGCCAAGTGTAGCTACTCTGTACATGCAGGTGGAAGAGCTGGGGAATGAACATTCTCCAGGAGCAGCTACCACTAATAACTATCTGGAAATTGAGGATAAATTTGTTAGCTGTTTAATCCCTTGAATGAGGAAATTCTCTTTTATAATGTTTTCCCACAGGAATCAGACCCAGTCACCCACATGGCAACTAACCCTTCATTGGCTGCCCTTTCTTTTCTCACTACCCCCCAACCACACACCCTCCCTTGTTTTGGGGATTACCTTCCAAATAAATTGCTTGCATTAAAAATCCTTGTTGCAGAATCTGCTTTTGGGGGAGCCAAACTGAGACAGGGTGTCAGTATCTAGCTTTCATGTTTTGTTTTGCTTTGTTTTTGAGAAGGAGTCTCGCTCTGTTGCCCAGGCTGGAGTGCAGTGGCACAATCTCGGCTCACTTCAAGCTCTGTCTCCCGGGTTCATGCCAATCTCCTGCCTCAGCCTCCCGAGTAGCTGGGATTACAGGTGCCCACCACCACGCCCAGCTAATTTTTTGTATTTTTAGTAGAGATGGGGTTTCACCGTGTTAGCCAGGATGGTCTCGATCTCCTGACCTTGTGATCTGCCTGCCTCAGCCTTCCAAAGTGCTGGGATTACAGGTGTGAGCCACTGCACCTGGCCTATCTTTCATGTTTTAAGGGCAATACACATCACAGTGGAGATTACAGGAGATTTGAGGCCACCGGGAAAGATAGAATTTATGGGGAAATAAGAAAGTTGAATGTCCATTTTAAGTATCAACATATCATTGAATGCTAAGTGCCAGGCACTGGGCTAAACTCTGGGGATATAAGCAATAGATCTTGTCTTGTAAAGACTCATATTCTTCTAGTAAAGAAAAACAGCAATTCATTCATTATCAAACTCCAAGGTGATCTGTAACTTAATAAAGTTGAGTGCAAAGTGCTGTGGGAATACAGACAAGAGAGGAGCTCAGAAGGCTGATAGAGGTATATTTCAAATTCACAAAATAAGTGATATTTGTGCTAAAGGATGAGCATGACTTTGTTGGAAATAGGGTGAGGAGAGCACTCTAGGCAGGGAAAACAACTTGCATAGAGGTTTGAAAATATTTGGAGTGTTTGGTTGGACAGTTGGAAGGAAGTTCATTTGGGGTGGAGAAGAGGCAGAAGATAAAGCTGAGAAAGAGGTCAGAGCCTGACTGTAAGAACTCTTGCCTCCAAAACTGTAGAACAGATGAGAAGAAGGACAAGAGCTTGATGCGTCAGAAAAAGGAAGTGCAGTGCCTCGCTTTCTTTCTTTCTTTTCTTTCTTTTTCTTTTTTTTCTTTATTCTTTTTTTTTTTTTTTTTTTTTTGAGACTCACTCTGTCTGTCTCCCAGGCTGGAGTGCAGTGGTACAATCTTGGCTCACCACAGCCTCCACCTCCCTGGTTCAAGTGATCCTCCTGCTTCAGCCTCCCGAGTAGCCAAGACTACAGGCGCCCACCACTACACCCAGCTAAGTTTTGTATCTTTAGTAGAGAAGGGGTTTCACCATGTTGGCTAGCCTGGTTTCAAACTCCTGACCTCAGGTGAGTTGCCTGCCTCGGCCTCCCAAAGTGCTGGGATTACAGGTGTGAGCCACTGCGCCTGGTCGTGCTTTCTTTTCTAAGTGTCTCCAGGGGAAGGAGAAAAGGAAGAAGAAAAGAGACTCATAAGTGAGGGTGCACATTTTCAACTACCATTCATGAGTCATTATTATGTCTTATACACTATGTGAAACCCTTTACAAACATGGTCCCATTTAACCCTCACATTAAGCCTGTGAGGTAGGACTATTGTTAGGCTCTTTTATTGATGAGAACATGAAAACTTAGAGGCTGCCTAGAAAATGTTAAGGTTTGGCGCTCACGTTTGCCTGATTCCAAAGCTCCTTAACCACTAAAGTATACTACTTTTCTTTTGGAAGAAGCAAATGTGGAGTGAACAGAAACTGCTGTGGTCATACTGCTTGGGTTGGGGGTGGCAATATGTGGAGGCCAGTGGAGGGAGAGGCCCACTTGCTGAGTTCTGCTTATTCAGGAACAACAGAATTTAGAAGAAACCACAAGGAGCAGTCATCATGTTGAAAGTCCTTTGTTTTTTGGTGAAATCTACAGAAGGTATTTTAAATATGGGAAGTTTTTGTTTTTGCTTTTGTTTCAATCAAATTTATTCTTAGCCACTACTAAATGATCCAACAGAGGAAGAGAGAATAAAAAGTTGCTTAAGCCACAGCAATGGCAATGATGGTTCCTTAGAGTGAATGGGTTTCAGCCTGTTATTCATTATTTCCTCTTGGAACCTCCATACAGCATCACTATAATTCCATAGCACTTCAAACTTCCCTTTTGCGATAGCCTTAAATAACTAAAATCCTAGCTTTCCTGCTATGCTCCCAGTATATTTGAACTATTTATTTGTTTTGAAGTTTAATATTTGTCTTCAGGACCTAATTACTTGAATGGAAAAGTTTGTCATTAAATTAACTGTTAACACTTAGGGGGAAAGTTGGGCATAGTTGGTATTACTTTTTAATTTTTTCTATAAACACCATTCTTAAATCCAGATAAGTGAAAAGTATAATTGGTATTATCCTTTGATAAATAAACAATGAAACTCCAGACATACAAATGCTTTTGAGAATTTTAAGCAGCTTGCATTTTTATGCCACACTGGAGTAGAACAGGGAGGGAGTAGAGGCAATCTGGGAAATGAGATGAAACCTTTTAAACATGTGACCAAAGTGTTAATGTAAAAGCTCTATAAATTCCAGAATAATCAATTATTAATCTTCTTCTAGGCTACTAATCTTATTTATAACAGAAATCTAATATAGTCAGCATAAAAACATTTTAAATTTTCAAATAAAACATTTCTGTAATAGATTTTAAAATACTTACATCTTTAGCTGCTACTAAAAGCTGCCATCCCAGAGTTATAGGAAGATCCGACAATATGGAGATCGGATGTTTTAAGCAGAGATTGTTTCAGGTAGTATCTTATAAGAAGCATTTAAGTCATTTGCCTGTGAGCTACTTGACCCAAGTCTTCCTTCTGGAACTGGAGCCATGCCTACTCTATAGCACAGACTTTAAATGGTCTCTGAGAAACAACCTGAAAAGTTAACTTGCTCTTCCTGGTGATGGCTGATGGTAATTCCTCTTTAGGCCGAAGAGGGAAAAAAATCTGATGCACTCATCTGAAAACTTTATTTGCTATGGGAACTTGCTTTGGCAAATGCAACTTTTAAGACCTGTTGGTTCACTCAAAGGTCAAGGAACATTTATGTAAGGGATCTTCAATAACATTCTTTCAGCTTGGCAAGCAGCAAATGCCCTGATGCCAACTTTTTTCCCCTCATTTGAGTATTAAATTTGTGTATGGCTTCATTTGACTTCCCACCAAATAGTGAAATTGTTTTCAAAATATGCAGATAACATTGTGTGAACTTAGAGACATTTATTTTACTTTTATTTCCTTTTTTAATGATTTTCTTTCTTGGTTTATCAAAAGCACTGCTTTTGAAATATTGACCATGACCAAAGCCACTGTGAAAAAATTTTAACCTGACAAGTCAATTTGCATTAATGATGCTCCCTAACACGATGTGTTTATCTGCATTTTCCAAAGTGTGTTCTTCAAACTTTTAATTCTGAATATTGGCTATTAGGATGGTAATAGGTGTCATTCAATGAGAATGTTCTGTGGTTAAATAAGTTTAGGTAATTCTAGGAATGTGGTGATCAGAATACAACTCCCTTTCTTCTACTTCAATTTGAAGCGACTAGACTCTCTTAAGCTAGGTATCTCTGGAGTCTGTGGGCCCTGGGGTGTGGTTGAGGCCTTACGCACTGTGGGATCCTTTTGGTGATAACTGGTGTGGGGCTTCCTTGGATTATGGAGTGAAAACCTGGGGCAATTAATCCTGGGAAAATCTTGAAGATATGCCCACCTTGATTCCAGGTGAGTGTGCTAGGTCCCTCCTTACTAAGTGTCCAGAGACCAGGAGACAGTGGATTGGCTAATTTGCCTCTGCCTTGTCATTCAGGGTAGGAGATTGCAGAAATATTTTGCAGTGCCTGGTACCCCACCTTTTCATCACAGGTCCCATATCCTAACAACCATTTGCCTCCAGTGTCCTTTATTCTATCTCATCAATAAAATCTAAGTCCCAAATAAGCTACAAAGAAAGACAACAGCTCACCTAAGAGTGTCCAGCTACCCCCAAGAGAAGAAACAGTTAAGCCATCAGAAAATGTGCCATGGTAATAAAGAAACAGAAGTACTGGGGAAGAGACAGATGAAAACTTCAATTAAATTGTGTACTTAGGGAGACCAAAGGGCTGCACAGAAAATACTTCCTGTCGTAAAAACATGACTTGAGTCCCAGTGCATTGGCTCACGCCTGTAATCCCAGCACTTTGGGAGGGTGAGGCAGGCGGATTACGAGGTCAGGAGTACAAGACCAGCCTAACCAATATGGTGAAACCCTGTCTCTACTAAAAATACAAAAATTAGCCGGGTGTGGTGGCATGTGCCTGTAATCCCAGCTACTCAGGAGGCTGAGGTGGAGGTTGAAGTGAGCCGAGATCGTGCCACTGCACTCCAGCCTGGGCAAAAGAGCGAGACTCCGTCTCAAAACAAAACAAAACAAAACAAAACAACAAAAAAAACTAAAAACATGACTTAAAAATTAATATATTCCGCACATGAAGTAATGGTCCCTTTTGAGACCCAAGTTAGTAGTCCCAAAGACCAAGTGCAAGAAATAATGTCAAACATAGAGCCAAAAGCTATATGGAAATTATAAGAGAAAGGATAAAAGATTGAAGGGTAAATCCAGGAAATTAAATATCTGGGCAATAAGTGAGGAGAAAAGAGAGCAGATACAGTAGAAGCAATAGATAAACAAATTCCAGGGAAACATTTCTCAGGCTGAACCTAGTCATGAGTCTGCATATTCAAAGTATTCACAGGGGTCCAGGCTAGACGGCTGAGAAAAGATAGTCATCCAGTTATTTGTAGGTAAAATTCTTAAAATCGAATAGATAAATAAAAACTTGTTATAACCTTCCAGAAGAGAGATTGCATTATCTACTGAGAAAAAATGAATCATAATGCCACTGGAATAACCATCTCTAAACATAAGAAACTAAAAGATGATAGAATGACATCAGAGAAAAAGGATAGCAACTCAAGAGTTCCATATCCAGCCAGGATATTAGTCACCTGAATAAAGATAGTCAAGTATAGGTAACAACTCAAAGTGTGAGTCATCCATGTAACCCCTCTGAGAAAAATACTTGAGACAGTCGAGATAAAATATAACTGAACCAAAAATAAGAACTCAAGCCAAAGAAAAGATAGAGTGAATAGAAAAAAAATAAACAATGAGCCTTGCCATACATACATATTAATTCATTCAATCAACAAATATTTATTGAATGCCTAATATATGCCAAACTTAGTTGTTGACAATGGGGATACTGCAGTGGATAAGATAGACAATAATTGAATCTTCATGAATGACTGCAAAATGTCTGCACATCAGCAACAGAATGTAAGAATTGCTGAAACACAGGAAACACATTATTATAAATATTTAAATAAATGCTAAAATATTTCAGCAAAACCTAAGTGAAAAGTGTAGGGAAGACTGAATTCATTCTAGAAGCCTCATGTGGTAGGAGAGGGAAATGACAGGCATTGGAATTTGGGGATGTGGAACTGAGTGTTCCAAAAGAGCCCTTTTTCTATTGGGGGAGAGTGGAAAATAGTTGTTTTAATTGCAGATGTCAACTGTGATGGGCCGAAATCTAAAGATGGCCCAACTGCTCTTGCCCTAATCCTCAAGACAAGAAACTGTGATTGTGATGGGATATCATGCCCATGATTATGTTATCTTAGATGGCAAAGGCATTTTGCAGATGTAAGTAAGGTTACTAATCAGTAAGCTTAGAATTAATCAAAAGGGGGATTTTCAGAGGAGGCCTAATATAGTTACATGAGTTCTTTAAAAGTGGAGAGCTTTCTCTGGCTGGTGGCAGATGAGAAAGTTAGATAGATTCAAAGCACAAGAAGGATTTGATGCACCACTCATGGCTTTAAAGACACATGCAAGAACTGGTGAGTGGCCTCCAGTTGCTTAGAGCATGTCTGGCCAACAGCCAGCAAAGAAATGAAGACCTCAGTTCTACAAATGCAAAGAACTAAACTCTCCCAACAATCTGAATGAGCTTGGAAGTCAATTCTCCCAGACCCTCCAGATAGGAGCCCAGCATGGCTGACACCTTGATTTTGGGGCTGTGAGACCCTAACACAGAGATTCCAGCTGACTTCACCCAGACCTCTGACATATAGAACTGTGAACTAATAAATGGTTATTATTTTATACTGCTGAATTTGTGGTAATTTGTTATGTATCAATAGAAAAACTAATACGTCTGCTTGACATATGGAAAAATGCTCAACATCACTAAGTATCAGGAAAATGCAAATTAAAACCACAATGTGATACCACCTCATCCCTGCAAGAATGGCCATAGTCAAAAAATCAAAAAATAATAGATGTTGGCATAGATACGGTAAAAAGGGAACACTTTTACACTGTTGGTGGGAATGTAAACTAGTACAACCACAATGGAAAACAGTGTGGAGATTCCCTAAAGAACTAAAAGCAGATCTGCTGTTTGATCCAGCAGTCCCATTACTAGGTATCTACCCAGAGGAAAAGAAGTCATCATTATATGAAAAGATACTTGCACGCACGTTTATAGCAGCAAAATTTGCAATTGTAAAAATATGGAAGCAGCCCAGATGCCCATCAATCAATGAGTGGATAAAGAGAATGTGATATATATATATATATATATATATATATATATATATATATATATATACACACACACACACACACACATAAAATGTGATACATATATATACACACACACACAAAATGTGATATATATATATGTGTATATACACACACACACACACACACACACACACCATGGAATACTACTCAGCCATAAAAAGGAATGAAATAATGGCATTCACAGCAACTTGGATGGAATTGAAGACTATTATTCCAAGTGAAGTAACTCAGGAGTGGAAAGCCAAACATTGTATGTTCTCACTCGTATATGGGAACCAAGCTATGAGGATGCAAAAGCATAAGAAAGATACATTGGACTTTGGGGACTTGGAGAAAAGTGTGGGGGTGGTGAGGGATAAAAGACTACACATTGGGTACAGTGTACACTGCTTGGGTGATGGGTGCACCAAAATCTCAGAAATCGCCAAAATAAGTTTTTCATGTAATCAAACACCATCTGTTCCTGAAAAACATATTGAAATAAAAAAATTGAAAATTAAAAAAAGAAAGTTGTAAAGAAAAAAAAGGAACTAATACATCAGCTTGTGAAAGTACTAATGAGACTTGATTTTTACATTTTTTATACTTTTGACTAATGACAATTTTATAATTTAAATTTAATAACAATTTACAAGCTAGTTTATAGTAAAGTAACAAAGATCTAAGCTAAAATAAACAAGGAAAACAATGTACTTAGAGGGCATTAGTAGACCATAATGTGGTATACACTCTATAGAAGTATATACTTTGCACATTAGGAGTGCATATAGATCATACTCTTTAATTTGCTGACTCTTCTTCCTCACTGAGACCCTGATTAAGTGTTAACTCAAGTAGAAAGTGGCTTTGAACTAAGTTAACATGGGGCTTTTTCACTGCAGACTTGTAATTAACACAGAAAAATGTGATGTGCCTTTTATAGCAGTTTGCCTGGTTACTAAATTTTCTCATACTTTATTACTGTAACCTTTTAGATTTAAATAATATATTTAATTATTTATATTTTTGTCATGTCAATTTCTTAGTATCTTCAGCTTTGTCCTCACTCATGGTTTATGCACTTCTCAACTTTTACAAATGCAAATAAATCATCTTATTATTCCCATCTTTGGAAATATAGCATTTCTTAAACAATGTAGATACAACTTCTAGATTTACCTAATTTCACAGTTTCTTAATTAGAAAACATTGTAAAGTTTACAAAGCTTGAGGGACAATGGGAAATAGCAAAAAGAATATTGTATTATATGAAAAGTAGGAGAACTGAGCTCAGTCTTCAAATTTCCAATACCTTGTACTGGGACCTTGGGCAGATCTTTTCCCTTTGCTTTCAGGATTTATCTTTTAACATCTGCAATTCAAGGGAGTGTTTGCATGCTGTAGAACTCTAGATCCTCCCTGGAAGTTCCAGATTTGCTCCAGTAATAAGAAGTCAAGAGTCAAAAACGGGGAGCTTTTGTATGCCTATTCCTGTTTTAATTAGTGTAGTTCTTTTATCTGTTTTATACAATGGGCTTCTGTATCATTTTTCATTTCAAAAAATAGCTGCATAGCTTTTACAAAATAAACACCAGGGGATTAGATGATTTCTAAGATTTATCCTGGTTCAAATATAGGTTCTCTTCACTACTTGTATTCTCCTTTCTGAATTTACTAACTGAATATATTCAGATAACAAGAAGTATATAAATATATATAATTACATATTTACTCCTTGTTATCTGAATTATATATAATTTGTGTTATTAATGTACTATAAACTGATTTTTAAATTGTTATTAAATTTAAATTATGAATATTATTTATATATTACACATAATAATTATTAATATATTATAGTATTTATATATTAAATACAAGTTATAACTAATATATTATTTATATATTATGTATTATATTATCCTAATATATATTAGGATTCTCCAGAGAAGCAGAACCAGTGAAGGCTTGGTAAATCCAAAATCTACAGGGTAAGCTGGCAGGCTGGAGATCCAGGAAGCGGTTGAAGTTCAAATCCAAATACAGTCTGCTGCAGATTCCTTCTTGCTCAGGGGAGGTATGCCTTTGTTCTGTTAAGAGCTTCAACTGATTGGATAAGACCCACCCACATTTTGGAGGGTAATTTGCTTTACTCAAAATCTTCTGATTTAAATGTTAATTTTATCCAAAAAATACCTTCACAGAAACATCAAGAATAATGTGTGACCAAATATATGGGCACCATGGCCTAGCCAAATTGACACATAAAATTAACCATCATAGACTCTGAAGAAAAAAATAGAACATTGTACTTAGATGGTTACTCTTTTGCCAATAGACAATGCAGAGGTACTATAAGATAAAATGTTGAGTGGATTTTATTTTACAGAAGATAACAGAATTAGAACATCAAAGTTTTGTTTGGAGAAGAAGTAAAACATGCTATTTTTGGAGGTTAAAGCTATTTTGGAGGTTAAAATGGCTTCCGATTTTTAAGTTAAATTGGTTGAAAAAAATGTCTCCCTTTTGAACAAATGCTGGGTATTCTGTTTCCCTGTTATTCCTTCCATCTTGTTCATTTGTTGCTATTGTCTTCAGCAACTTTTTTTATATTATGGTATTTTATAAGCAATAAATTAACATACTTCTAGTAGATTGTTTTTATGTAACTTTTATACATTTGTTCATTTGGTAATTGTCCTTAATGTAAAAGGAAAGGGCAAGATAAATTCATTTTACAGAACAACAGGAAAATTAAGCAGATGTTCTATTTTACTGATAAGTATAATGAATAGTAAAGATTCCCTTTCCTCTGAGGTCCAAATGAAATTTACATAATTTAGTAATGTATGTCATGGAATAGAGATAGTATGTGTAATGCTGTAGTTTCTCTTATATAAGTTCCTCCCCCACAGGATGACATCTTATTGCTTATTTAATTATTCTGTTTTCTGTACCTTAAGAATTTTAGAGATATCCAGATGCTACTGTGCCTTTTACAAAAACTGTTTCACTATGGAATGACATGCATAACATATTTGCTTATAATGACACTGTACTGCCAAATTCCCTAAGCAGCAACAACAGTTTCTCAAGTCCTCCTAACAGCTCATTTGTATTCTTCCAACCTGATACCTTTCCTAAGAACTGCTTCTTATGTTGGGCCAAAGTTATAACTGATTTATCTACTTTGCAGCCTCAGGAAGAGACTGATACTTTATCTCCTGGAAAAGAGATGATGGATGAGACTTTCAATAATATTTTTTAAGACTGAAAAGGTGTGATATAAAGTTCTGGACATGAGAGTAACAAAATAACTAAAAACTAGGAAAAAGGAGTCAGGGTGAGCAGTGAAGACAACAATCTGATGAGCAATAGTGCTGCCTCCATCTTTCAGAAGGCAGTCAAGGGCCAGCTCAAAACATTCACCAGCTTTTGAGAAAGATGCCACAGTCTGCAAACCAACCTGATTTAGGTTACTTTAGAAATGAGAATGATAAGCTCAAAATAATCTTTGAGATTGTTCTAGTTGACTTTGAGATAGGTGAAAAAAACATTTACCCATTTCCAGAGGATAAAGGAGAAAGGAACAGATTTTAAAAATGTGAATACAGTAATCTTCCCTTAGCTATAACCCCCAGTGAATGCCTGAAACCTCAACTAGTACTGAATTCTGTATATGTTTTTCCTATACATACATACTTTTGATAAAGCTTAATTTATAAATTAGGCACAGTGAGAGATTATCAGCAATAACTAACAATACAATAGAACAATCATAATGATAGCAACAGGAGACAGACAAATTCCTAGGTAGGCAGGGATGAGTCCCTGGGCAAAACCCAATCTTCAAACCAGGGAGAGTTTAAAGCCTGAAAACTCAGCTGCCAGTTCAGGGTAGAGTCCACAACCAGAGTGAGAACTTCTATGCCCGTCTTATCCACTCTCTCTCAATTGGTTCTTTCTGGATGATGCCTTTTAACCAGTTGAATGGTGCCTTTTCCAAGACTACTCATTGACCAATTCACATGCACTTCCCCATTCTAAGCCCATAAAAACCCCAGACTCAGCCTCACAGATGGCTACCCACTTTCAGGGTCCCCTCTGGCAGCTGTGAGCTTTCCTTCTGTCACTTGATAAAATTCTTCCCTGCCTTACTCACTCTCCAGTGCCTGCATACTTTATTCCTCTTGGTCATGGGAGAAGATCCCAGAACTCACTGAGCTACAGGTGGTGGGAACAAAAGAGCTGTAATGCTTACAGAGCTGCTGGTGGCACGAATGAAAGAGCTGTAACCCTCCCTCCTGATTGCCGAACTGTGAAAGGGATAGAGCTGTGATGATCCTGACCAGCTCACCAAGCTGCAGCCAGTGGGAATAAAAGAGCTGTAACCCTCTCGTTTGCTCACTGAAGTACAGGAACGAAGAAGCTGCTGGGCACCATTACTTCCCTCTCACCAAGCAACAGGAGAGAAAAAGCCTTTGGGTGTCATTCCCTCCCACTTGCCCAACGACAAAAGCCACAACAATAACAATATGCCAGCATCACTACTTTTGCACTTTGGAGTCACTATTAAATAAAATAAGGGTTACTTGAACACAAGCACTGTGATACTACAGCAGTCGATCTGATTGATCATCAAGATGGCTACTGTGAGTAACCAGTAAGTAGAGTAGACAGTATACTGGACAAATGGGTGATTCATGTCCAGATTCAACCCAGGCAGGTTGGAGAGGGATGGCATGGGATTTCATCATGATACGCAGGATGGCATGCAATTTGAAACTTATGAATTGTTTGTTTTTGGAAATTTCCATTTAATATTTTCAGACTACAGTTGGCCACAAGTAACTGAAGCCATGGAATTCAAAACTGCAAATAAGGGGAGGACTACTCTACAGTGTTTTATAGTTGAACTAGCATTGCTTTCTCTATGGAACATTTTCTTCCCTCCTGATTCTCCAAGTTTTGTTAAGACAAAGACTGTGTCTTATTTATTTGTGTCTCTCTGGAACCTCACACAGGTTTTGGAATGACATTAAATGCTCAAGAAACATTTGTTAAATTGAGCTAACTAAGTTGATTTCTCACTATTTTTATGTTGTTATTTCCAGTTTTTGCTTAAGTTGCTATTGTGGAATCTTAGGATTACTATTATTCACATCTTTTTTAAGGCCCAGAAAGAAGTAACTAAGCAGCAGTGACATGAATAGTAACATCACATATTTTTATGAATCAACACACAAAAGAAGAATTAGAGGCAAATTTTAGAATTAAATATATAACTTTGGTCTCTGTATTAAATTTAAGGCTACAAAAACCCTGATATCCTTTCAGTGTCTACCCGAAGAAGACAAATGTTAATTTCCAGTGAGTTCAACCCAGTTTAAATTCCCCAGAATTTTTTCCCTAAACTTTCCCCTAAAGTCAATCAAAAACTCCCCTGTGCCTACTCTGCATCAGTGTTCTGCTTCAACATTGGCATTTGCTTATTTCTAACACTGACCTCGGCACAGGGAGCTAGAATTAGAGATCGGAAGTTCCAAACTGATGATCTGCACCCAAATATGCCCCATGTAGTTGGTTCTATCTGGTATCTTAAACATTAGTGTTTCTATTTGGGGTTCCCTATGACCACACTTAGGTTTAATGATTAGGTAGAGGACTCACAGAATAGAGAAAAGCTATTTTATTCATGATTATGGCTTATTACAGCAAAAGGATACAGATTAGAATCAACAATGGAAAAAGTTCATAGGGTAAAGTTCAGGGAACATCAGGCACAAGCTTCTTCTACTTGTCCTCTGCCAACAACAAAGTATGATAACATACAGGGAATATTGCTAACCAGGGCAGCTCACCTGATTTTTGACATGCAGTGTTTTTGTTGGTTGATCACAAAACTATGGGTGACTGGCTGTGTGCCTGACATTTGTCGCCAGCTCTTCTAGAGCTCAAGCAGATACCACATGGTCCAAAGCCCCAACACTAATTACATTTTAGTATAGACTGTCTGGTGTGGTCCAAGACCCTTATGTAAACAAAATACTCTTGTTGAACAAAATATTCCAAGGCTTTAGAGATTACATTCCAGGAACCAGGCAACCTTTCATTGGAATGGGTAGGATGTGGACAACCCAGACCTGCTGAGTTAATCCTTTCCTGCAGCAGTATTAATAGTAAACCTGCAACGTTTAGGAGATTTCCTATTTAATATGTATTTTGGAATTCTCTAGAAAAATGGGAAGATCTGACCCATGCTTCAACCTGGCTGCTATTGACAGGAACTGGGAAGCTTTTCTTGTTTTAGATAAGGTATGTGCTTTCCAATCCACCAGGATTACATCCAGTTAATTTCACTCAATTACATGATGTTCCCATTTCTTATAAGCATTAGAGTATAGATGATTTGGAAACTAAGAGATATTGAAAATTCAGGCTCAAATTTAAAAAATCATCCTTCACCTGATGAATTTGTCATCTGTCTCCTCAAGTTGTTTTTCTGTGCTTCTCTGTTCACCATTCTTTTGCCTTATCCGTGGGATAAATTATTATTCTGGGAATATTGTCATCCAAAGGAGGCAGAAGAACCAGAAAATTCCTCTGGAGCCGTAGTTTTCAAAATTTTTTAGTCCAAGAACTACTGCAGCAGTTAACTATATGCCATCTATTTTTCCCAAGCTCACTCATCCCTTACTCCTTCTAAGCTGCCCTCAGCAGAATTAAAAGAATAAATATAATTTCTCTTTTAATAAGATATTATTCAGTACCATATAGAAACTTAGCTTGGGACTAGGACATAAACTTTGAGATTACATATGACCAGTCTTAAATCACCTATAGCACTTTTTGTTGGAACTTTTTGTTCTAAGTTACTCTCCTATGACCTGGCTACTTGGTCATAATGAAAGTAGTTCTTAAACCAAAAATGCCATACATTCAGATATTTTGGCAAATAGAGACACAGCTGTTTATATACTTTGTTAGGTAAGCTTGATGAAGTCCCAGTCTTCTGTCTTTTTAGATGCTTTGGCCACTTCATTACAAGAATGATTTTTTTTTTTTTTGAGGAACCATATATATCAATACAGAAGTAAGAACAAGGCAACTGAAATTCCTCCTAATCCAAGAGCTCAAAGGAGGACTTTTAAGGATCAAGCCTGATCATTACCTATAAGGGTGCAGGACAGAAGCTTCCAAGATTCGTAGACTCTGTTCAAGTATGTTTAGGAAAAATCATGAAAATATTTTAGCTAATTCATGTCCTGAATACCTCGAGCCTATTTCTGAAATCTATCTTGCTAAATAACAAACCAGTGAAGTTGCTAATAAAAGCCATTTCTGATACTTCCTGTGCTGGTTAGTGAAGTCTGAGCTGTTGACGGAAGAGATAAGGCTAATCAAAATGCCTGCAGTGCCCCCCTCGGAGTGTGACCTTTCTGAAATAATACCTGCTAACTATCCTTGGAGTAAGTATCCTTACTCCTTTATAGAGTAATTTCTTACATTAGAGTGGAAACTTAAACTCACTGGCGTATTAATTTAAATACTACATTGTCTTTGCTGAACTATTTTAGAGCAAATTACATGTATCATAATACCTTTTTAGATGTCTACTGATAATGATTTATAGATTACCCCTTGAGAAAGAGAATAGTTATCATATGCTCTGTTCCCAGTCCCAAGCAGGAGCAGCACTTAAAATGTCCTCGCATATAGGTACCTTCCATATTCTTAAATCTTGTGGTCATTGTGGAGGAAGGAGAGACCTTATCAGTGAGTTTATGGTTTTTATATTTTAACTCTTTTGCTAATACTCATTTTGAGAAAAAAATGCCATTTTTCCTTACTTAAAAAGTAATGATTAATAAAAGAATATGACTTATATTACATAGAACACATGGCTGTAATGCAAGAAATCATAATGAAAAACTGGCATCCAGAATATAGGGGTAAAATAATTCTTGGCTTGCAGTAGCATATCTGTTGTTGATGTTTGTTCTTCATAAAAATGAATAAAAAACATTATAAAACTCAGAAATAATGTGTTAATCTTAGTGCAATAATATGAAAGCAAGATCTCTTTCTTGAGTCATTATCAAGAACTATAAGTTTCATTTATAGCTATGTACTTAAACTCATTAAGAAGCCAATTTTATTACTGAAAGTCTTGCAGGAAAACTAAATTTATTGTTGAGTTTGCAACTCTCTTGCCCCCAATCTCTTTTTCCTCCACTGAAACAATTGTTTTTACTGCATGAATTTGGATAACTAAATTTTAGGAACACAGGATCACATTATAACACAATAGATTTTATGTAACACTAACAGTGTATACGAAACTAGAAGAGACAGATGAGAGGGCTTGTGAATATCTGAGCTATTTTATTTTATTTTTTTTTTTTTGAGATGGAATCTCTCTCTTTCACCCAGGTTGGAGTGCAGTGGCGCGATCTTGGCTCACTGCAAGCTCCGCCTCCCGGGTTCACGCCATTCTCCTACCTCAACCTCCCCAGTAGCTGGGACTACAGGCATCCGCCACCTCACCAGGCTAATTTTTTGTATTTTTAGTAGAGATGGGGTTTCACCATGTTAGCCAGGATGGTCTCGATTTCCTGACTTCATGATCTGCCCTCCTCGGTCTCCCATAGTGCTGGGATTACAGGCGTGAGCCACTGCGCCCGGCCAATGAGAATGAGATGAGAGACAGATAAGAGGGCTTGTGAATATCTGAGCCATTTTTTTTAAACCTTGTGATTTTGTCTTTAGCTTATTAACAATTCATTTCTTCTGACATTTAAAAAGTGTAGAATGGTTTTTCTTAGTTTAAAATCTATATCAAATAAGTACTTGAGCTTACTATTTGTTATCCACGTAAAACTGAACATTATATTTTATATATTTGTATACTCAATCATATAGAATACAGAGTCGTACACTTACGTATACCAGTTAAGAACGTTCTTTTCTTCTTCCAAGAGTTCTCCCTTCACACATTCAAATTATATTCATCTTAGAGTTTCTTTTCTTTGCTTCCTCAGACAGCAGCACTCACATTGAAAGTTAAATGTGATGGAGAACATCTATAAAAATACAGTTGGCAAAGGAGCAAAGAAAAAAAGGGTGAAAGAAATTCTGCATCAGGGAAAGGGATATTTTATGTGCAGGAACTACAGAAGGCAATATGATGTTGGGAAGTATTTCTCCATCATTTGAAGGACTGTCATAAAATGTGTTAATCATTAAGGGAGACAAACTCTTTTTGGATAACTCATTCACGTGTTATCTTTAAGTAAATCTGAAGCCACTACTTGTTATGCTAGTGATTTCCTGTCTACAATGGAGAAAGAAAGAATTACTATTTCTAATTATATTATAGTGAAATCCTTGTCGGTGGGGCACGTTGCCTTCACTTGAGAACTGTTTTACTGTTTTCATTTCATGAATGTTAACAGCATACTTTATCAGTTTTGAAAGGTTTCCAGTTAAAGGTTTAAAGTGTGGAGGGGCTGAAGCTGAGGATTACAAAGGAAAAAACAGACAAGGTCTCAAAATTCTCTTTCCAGTGTTAGCCAGAAAATGCTCTGTATTTTGAATTCTTCCTCTAGACAAAGAATTGAAGGAATTGTGATATGTATTTTTTAAAATATTACTTAACTATATAGGTCTTACTTTTTTGCCCAGGCTGGAGTGCAGTGGTGGGATCAGAGCTCCTCACATCCTTGAACTCCTGGACTTCGAGTGTTCCCCCCAAGTAGCTAGGACTACAGGTATGTGCCACCATGCCCTGTTAATTAATTAATTAATTTTTTTAACAGTTGGGGTCTCCCTGTGTTGCCCAGGCTGGTGTTGAACTCTTAGTCTCAATCTTCCCATCTCAGCCTCCCAAAGTGCTAGGATTAGAGGCATGAACCCTCAAGCATAATCCCATTTTTATTTTTTTTATTATTTATTTATTTATTTATTTTGAGACGGAGTCTCGCTCTGTCGCCCAGGCTGGAGTGCAGTGGCGCAATCTCGGCTCACCGCAAGCTCTGCCTCCCGGGTTCACGCCATTCTCCTGCCTCAGCCTCCCGAGTAGCTGGGACTACAGGCGCCCAACACTACACCCGGCTAATTTTTTATATTTTTAGTAGAGACGGGGTTTCACCGCATTAACCAGGATGGTCTCGATCTCATGACTTCGTGATCGGCCTGCCTCGGCCTCAAATAGTGCTGGGATTACAGGTGTGAGCCACTGCGCCCGGCCCCCCATTTTTATTTTTAAATATAAAGATGGAGTTCCAGCATTTAGAAAAAAACTCTCAGTTCATTTTTCTATTAAGCCCAATCAGTATATATCTATTATTTGTATTTCAAATTTTGTTACTCTTTTAAATACATCCTTTACCAAACAATAAATTTGTCCGTATAAATGCAAATGGCAGAGTCATTTATGAGGACAAAACTGTGAGCTCTAAAAGACACCAACCATGCTAGCACAGACTAAAAAAGAAAAAAGAGATCACCATCTGTATCATCTTCGTCTTTCTTCTTACAACATTCTTAGCCTTACAACATTCCTGTATCATCTTCATCTTACAACATTCCTAGCCCCTGATACGTAGTAGGAGTTCAATACATGTTTTAGTTTAAAGAAACGCATAAATACTGTCATTGAATACCCAATGCATTATCTTATATGATCTTCAAATCCCTGAGATAGGTACCATTTTAATCTCTGTTTTATTATTGAAGAAATCTTGACCGGTGAGTTCATGTAGCTTACCCAAGGTCATATGATCTAAGTGTATGCTACATTAACTTGTTTTTGCTACAGTGCTCTGAATACTCTTTTAGAAGGAAGGGAAAAATTCAAAGTCTGCAGTGAGAGGGCTTTTTGAGATCTAGTGGTTTCGTTGTTGCAGCCTAGTGGTTGGTGGGTAAAAGGTATTCAACAGATTTGAAATGGATGTATGAATCCTCTGAGTTTCTGCTTTGGGCAGCAGACTTCCCTTCCCTTCCCTCCCTCCCTTCCTTCCTTCCTCCCTCCCTCCCTCCCTCCCTCCTTCCTTGCTTCATTCCTTCCTTCCCTCTCTTTTTTCTTTCTTCTTTCTTTCGTTCATTTTTTTTTTGAAGCAAATATTTCCAAATGAGAAAAAGAGAAAAAAAAATCTTGGAAATCTTTATTTCTTTTGAGAAGCCTTTTGAATACATAGGAGAAGAAATTCTCAGCAATTTTAGGTGGGGGCTCAGGCGTGCATGCTGGTGACTGTTGATAGGTCCAATTATACCATTTCTTTTAACAATGACACCAATTTATTTTCTTTTAATTTTCACTCAATTTTCTGTTCTAAGTTTAGAATTTTTTTGTAACATTAAACTGTTTCTGAAGCAGTTTCTAAGGAAACCTCTTATGCAAGGCGCTTAAGTCAACAATTAGAAAGTCGTTATGTGTAAATTAAGTGAAATAGGCTGTGTGCCTAGAGGGACAGATGGGAAGGGGCAGTTTCAGAGATTTCAGCTAGTGTGGCCTATATGCTTTTTTTTTTTTTTTTTCCAACAGCCATCTGCAAAACAAACTTTTCAAGGTCCCAAAGGATGTTCAAGGTCAAATTGTATGAACAGTTTTTAATTATCAAAATTCATGTATAAATAGTCATTTAATATCTTCTTCCCAGATAATACAAACCCTATGATAGCTCATGTACCTGTCTTGTTTCTAACAACCAAATGAACAGAATGTAGCATTTTACCTATGTAAATAAACATTTAATAAGTATATAAAATAATACTATAAAAACACTTCATAGAATTCCTGTCTCAGAGCTGTCACTCAAAAATGTTAGTTATTACAATTTTAGCCACCAATCTTTAACTTCTCTCCTCCTATATAGCCCTTTACATATTTGTGTTTTCTAGAGCTTCCCTGTCTTTTATATTATACTTTACAATATTCTCTAGGCAATATCATTTACTCCATGGTTTTTGTTTTGTTTTGTTTTTTTCTAGAGACAGGGTCTTGCTCTGTCACCCAGGCTGGAGTGCAGTGGCACCTTCATAGCTCACTGTAGCCTTGACCTCTTGGACTCAAGCAGTCCTCCTGCCTCAGCCTCCCAAGTAGCTGGGACTACAGGTGTGCACCACCATGCCTGGCTGCTCCATGGTTTTAACTATCCTCTACATTCTGACAGTGTAGTGGGGACAATTAATTTATATGAAAATAACAGAGAGATGATCTATGAGGAGTGACATTAAGGCCTGAAACCTTCAGAATGATGATGAGAGTGAGTTTGATTCCTAGAGGCCAGAGGACTGTACCACCACTGTAGGAAACTAAATGCTCTGGACAAGGGTATGTTGGTTTTAAGTCAGCCACTAAACATGAGGTATCTGAAACATGGCATTGCAAATAAATCCACCACTTAAACAGCTGCTGTCTCCACTTGTTTTGAAGTCCCATTCTCTCTGATTTGTTCTAGGAATGTCTGGGCTTGACTGAGGCTCTATCTTCTATTGCCATTCATACAAGCCATTGACTAAACTGCACTGATTCTTCACAATGCTGAGAGGAAAATTCATCACCTCTACCCCCAATGCTATAAGCAGCTAAAATGGGACACATCCATATTATTCTGGGTCCCAATGTTAAATTTCTCTGATAGACATTCATATACGTAGCCATTATTCCCAAAGCAAAAGTTAATAGTGCTGTCTTTCACTCTCAAAAATGTCTTGTTTTATATGATAAATTATATGATCACCTCCTTAAAGTTCACCCAAATTAGAGTGATAGGGTGATTGGGAATAGGGATGCTAATTCCAGTCCCGTGATATGCTGACACCTAACCTCTCTCATTACAACTGAGGTCCTGGCATTGAGCCAAGGCCACCAGTTCATGACCAACTTTTCTGTCAACTTGAATGACTTCTTCAGAGCCCTTGATGTACTTTACAGATAGCTGGCCTTAGCTGGGATCTCTTCAGCGCTGCAGAGATATTCTATTTGCATTGAATCCAAAAAGATGAGGGATAAGGAGGTCTCTCAATCTCTTTCATCCAGGAAAGCTCTCACTCTCCTAATGTGAATTTAAGCACCTTTTCTCTGGTATACATGAATTATGCATACCAGATAGCATTACTTTGCCAAGCCTAGAAACTTTTTACTTTTATATTCTATCATATATCACATGACTAAAATGTGATATGATTCTGTATGGATGATTCTGTATGGATAAAGATCTGTCCAAGGTTATAGATCATCTCACTCAAAGATTTAGAATAAGCTCACAACTTTTAAATGACAGCTTCTCTTGCTTTTATTTATGCATACCTATTTATATTATACATACACATTCATATTTATAAGCACAGAAATAATTTGGAAGGTTATTCTTCAAATGATATTTATAAAAACTATTTTTTCCCCCAGTCAAACTAAGGAATAAAGGAACACATGAAAATCATCCTGGGTACATTTTTACCAGAAAATATTTTTTGAGTACCAGCAATATGCTAGGCACTGGGTGTATAAAGTAACATAAGCAATAAAATAATTGAAATTTGAAAAAAAATCTTTTTTTGTAGTTTGTAACTCTCTAACAAAATTAATTGCACATTCATCCTTTTCCTATAGAATATCATTTATTTCCAGTATAGCATATGTTGCACAATATTATGGTCATTTGCTTCATTTTGATTGCCACTGCTAGATTATAATTTCCTTGAGAGGAAACTACTTCTTTATTTTTATAATGCCCAGTGCTTGGCCTATCATAGGTGCTAATTGTTTTTTTTCCTTGATGCTAATTTCTTAACTTTCCCTCATGTAAATCAATTTAGAGCTAAAATAACTTAGTGGAGTTGAAATCCGTGAGAAATGGCTTCAGCAGCAGGCTAAAAAAAAAAAAGACAATTACAGAAATGATTGCCTAAGCAAAAGTGCCCAGAACAGAATTGAAAATAAAATTCCAGACCTTGATGTAAAATTAACTTAAAGCTCAGAGGACAATGTGTAAGTTTCAGAATGATTATAGCTTCCAGGAAAATTATGAGAGTTGACATATGATGACCTTTAAGTTTACTTCGAGTAAGAAACATGTCTTATCATGTTCATCTATTCTATCTAGATAATACCTTAAAGTGGATGCTAACTAAATGCTGTAGAAAGAATGGGTCTGCATTTATTACATAATTTGCATTAAGTGTTCTACTAGAAGTAGTATTTATTTTAATGTTTAATGCTTATTTAATAATAAGAAAGCTATTGCTAACTATAAATAAAGTATATGCTTAGGAGTTAATGTTTCTTTATGAGCAGAACAATTATTAGGTGCTCAACACAGGCAAAAGAAAAAAGAAGATGATAATTTCATCCTCTATGATTGGTCTAGCAAAATTAGGCATTTTCCCTCCTTTCATTTGTTAGTCTCTCTTTAATGCAGCTCCTATGTCTATGCTGATGTTACTTATAGTTACTTACATACCTGTCAATTTTACTCACTGTGGGCCCCTCAAGGGACCCGTATGTGGCAGCTGAGGTTCTGGCATTGAGCCAATGTCACCAATCCTTGACCATGTCTTTCAATACTATTTTCTTCTGATACTTACTCAAACTTTGTGAGTCTCAGTTTCCTTGTGTATAAAGTGAGAAAAGTAATACCTTCCCTCATAAGAGTGTTGTGAAGATAAAATTAGATAATGTATGAATAAACTACTTAGTGTCACCTAATTTTCTGCATATTTGAAGTCATCACTTCCATAACAATAAAATAAGCCCCTATACTCCCATCAGATAAAGTAGGAAACCCAGTGCCTTTCCGATATTTAATGTGCATTCCCAAGAAAGGTTCTTGTTTCCCCACATCTTGCACTTGGTATCCCTGCTCCAAGGTTTTAGTACACCTTGCTCCCAATCTTAACTATAGCTACTGTTTCTTCTCTATCCCTGTTCTCATAGCCGCTGTTCTCTCTACACTGCTGTATTAGTCAGGGCTCTCCAGAGAAATATAACCAGTAGGTTTTGATATTATGAGATTTATTATAAGGAATTGACTCATGATTATGGAGGTAATCTAGCCATCTGCAAGCTAGAGACCCATGAAAGCCAATGGTATAAATTCTAGTCCAAATCTGAAGGCCTAAGAATCAGTTCTGATGGTGTAAGTCCAAGTTCAAGGAAAAGACTGATGTCTCAGCTCAAGCAGTCAGGCAGAAAGAGAATTCACCCCCCCTTTTTTTTTTTTTAACAGTTTTCGTTCTATTTGGACCCTCAGTGGATTAGATGATGCCCACCCCTGTTGGAAAAAACCTTCTGTTTTACTCAGTTGACTAACTCATATTCTAATCTCTTCCAGAAACACTCTCACAGACATAGCAGTAATAATTAACCACATATCTGGACATCTTATTGCTCAGTCAAGTTGACACACAAAATTAACCATCACACTTGGTGTGGACATTGCTCCTTCTCCCTCATTCCTTCAAAACGCAATTCACACATCAGTGATATGCTTCATATATTTTCACTGGTTCCTTAGTAATTTTGGGATTATGAGGCTGAGGTGCTAACTGCCATGGAGAGCGGAAACAGCAACCTCAGTATTTATCCTCACTTCCCAGAAATGCATCACTTTTGTCACTTTTGGGGATTTTTGATTGTCTAGGTGTGCCTCTTTTTAGGCCCTATTCTCCCACCAGGGAACTGAGTCCACAATCAGGACTGTTGTGTGTGTATGTGTGTGTTGGTAGGTGATGGGAAGGAAGGATGACTTGTATTTAATGAACTCAGCCTTAGAATTTACCTCTGGTTTTGAATGCCCCTTTCAAATGCAAATCCTTGTTCTTAAATGTGTAGTGTCATAAACTGTTTCTCCAATCCTCCTAGATATTCTGTAAGTTCCTACTATCTGTTTACAAAAATACTTTATTGAGTACATTTATATTCAATATAATTTACACATTTTAAGTTTACAGTTGATGAGTTCTCATAAATATATACCTATGTGAAGAGAGAAGAGAAAGATGGCTGAATGAAGGTCTCCACCAATGTACCCCCTCCAGAGAAACACCAAATTTAACAACTATCTACACAAAAAAACACCTTCATCGGAACCAAATATCAGGTGAGCAACCACAGTACCTTTTTTTAACTTCATATTGCTGAAAGAGGCACCGAAGAGGTTAGAAAAGATAGTTATGAATTGCTGATGCTACCCCTCCCCCATCCTCTGGTAGTAGTTGCTTGGAACAGAGAGAGAATCTGTGTATTTAGGGGAAGGAGAGCACAGCGATTGTGGAACTTTGCTTTGAACTCGGTGCTGCCCTGTCACAGCGGAAAGCAAAACAAGGCTGAACTCAGCCAATGACCATGGAGAGAGCATTTAGATGAGCCCTAGATGACAGGGAATTACTGATCCCAGCAGTTGGAACTTGAGTTGCAGCAAGCCTTGCTACAGTGTGCCAAAGTGCTCTGGGGTTCTAAACAAACATGAAAGGCAGTCTAGGCCACAAGGATTGCAATTTCTAGGCAAGTTCTAGTGCTGTACTGGGCTCAGACTTGGGGAGCATGCAACCTAGGGAGACACCAGCTGGGGTGGCTTAAGGGAGTGATTGTGCCACCCCTCCTGCAACCCCAGACAGCACAGCTCACAACAAAAGTGAGTACTTCCTTGTGGTTGAGGAAAGAAGAGGGAAGAGTAAAGAGGGCTTTTTATTGCATCTTGGATACAAGCACAGACACAGTAAGATAGGACACTAGACAGGGTTGTGAGGCCTCCATTCCAGGCCCTTGCTCCTGGATAACATTTCTAGATACGCCCTGGGCCAGAAGGGAAACTGCTACCTTGAAGGAAAGGACCTAGTCCTGGCAGGATCTGTTACCTGCTGACTAAAGAAACCTTAAGCACTGAATAACCAGCAGTGATATCCAGTTACTATGCCATGGGCCTTGAGTGAGACTCTGAGACATATTGACTTCTGGTGAGACTCAGCACATTCCCAGCTGTGGTGGTGAGAGACAGGACTAGCTGGATTTCCTAGGCTGACTAAGAATCCCTAAGCCTAGCTGGGAAGGTGACTGCATCCACCTTTAAACATGGGGCTTGCCACTCAGCACACACCTGACCAATGAGGTAGGAAAGGTAGTTCACTAAAATGCTAATTAGGCAAAAACAGGAGGTAAAGAAATAGCCAATCATCTATTGCCTGAGAGCACAGCGGGAGGGACAATGATCGGGATATAAACCCAGGCATTCCAGCCGGCAAGGGCTACCCCCTTTGGGTCCCCTCCCTTTGTATGGGAGCTCTGTTTTCACTCTATTAAATCTTGCAACTGCACTCTTTTCTGGTCTGTATTTGTTACGGCTCTAGCTGAGCTTTTGCTCGCTGTCCGCCACTGCTGTTTGCCACCATCGCAGACTCGCTGCTGACTTCCATCCCTCCGGATCTGGCAGGGTGTCCACTGTGCTCCTGATCCAGTGAGGCACCCATTGCCACTCCCGATTGGGCTACAGGCTTGCCATTGTTCCTGCATGGCTAAGTGCCTGGGTTCGTCCTAATTGAGCTGAACACTAGTCACTGGGTTCCACGGTTCTCTTCTGTAACCCACGGCTTCTAATAGAGCTATAATACTTACTGTATGGCCCAAGATTCCATTCCTTGGAATCTGTGAGGCCAAGAACCCTAGGGCAGAGAAAACAAGGCTTGCCACCATCTTGGAAGCAGCCCGTGGCCATCTTTGGAGCTCTTTGAGCAAGGACACCCTGGTAACATTTTGGTGACCACAAAGGGACCTCCAAAGTGGTGAGTAATATTGGATCACTTTCGCTTGCTATTCTGTCCCATCCTTCCTTAGAATTGGAGGAAAATACTGGGCACCTGTCGGCTGGTTAAAAATGATTAGCATGGCTGCTGGACTTAAGACTCAGGTGTGAGGCTGTCTGGGGAAAGGCACACCTCACCAGTTCAGAATTATTCTAAGTCAAAAAAGCAAAAAGGTAGCTTACTAACTCAAAAATCTTAAAGTATGGGGCTATTCTGTTAAAAAAAAAAACAAAGGTAATTTAACACTAACCACTGATAATTCCCTTAACCCAGCAAATTTCCTAACAGGGGATTTAAATCTTAATTACCATACAAAGGTCGGACCAGACCTAGGAGGAACTCCCTTCAGGACAGGACTATAGATGATTCCTCCCAGGTGATTGAGGAAAAAACCACAATGGGTATTCAATAGTTGATACGGAGACTCTTGTGAAAGTAGAGTTTGAAAAATTGCCTAATGATTGGTCTCCTCAAACGTGCAAGCTGTTTGCCCTCAGCCAAGCCTTAAAGTACTTACAGAATAAAAAAAACTATCTCAATCCTGACTCAAAACTTTACCTACACCCTCTGTGAAATGAATTTGCATAAGAACTGCTTTTATGGGAGTGCATCTTGATGGGGCAGCTGGGTTGTTATGAAATACTCAGGAACCCAGGCCAGCTCTAGGACTCACCCCTGAGCACAAAGGCAATGATGGGGATGCTGGTAGAGGACCACTAGAATCCAGCAGCTCGGACCCCTTTCTTTGTGGTCAAGAAAGGCGGGAAAACAGGTGCAGGGCTGCTACATCAGTGAGCGTAACTAATCCAATAAGCAGAGGTCCATGGGTGGTTACACACCCTGGAAAGGAACTCACTTCTGAGAACAAAGGCAATGTTGGGCATGCTGGTAAAGTACCACTAGAATCCAGCAGCCCAGGCCCCTTTTTTGTGGTCAAGAAAAGTGGGAAAAGGGGTGCAGGACTGCTACATCGCTGAGCATAACTAATCCAATAAGCAAAGGTCCATGGGTGGTTACGCACCCTGGAAAAGAATAAGCATTAGGCCCTTAGAGGACACTCTAGGACTAATGCTCATCGGAAAATGACTAGCATCCCCATGCTGGCATCCCTATATTCTTTTTTCAGATGGGAAATGTGCCCCCCGCCAATGCAAAAATGCCCCTAAGATATATTCTGGAGAATTGGGACCAATTTGACCCTCAGACGCTAAGAAAGAAACGACTTATATTCTTCTGCAGTACTGCCTGGCCATGATATCCTCTTCAAGGGGGAGAAACCTGGCCTCCTGAGGGAAGTATAAATTATAATACCATCTTACAGCTCAACCTCTTTTGTAGAAAATAAGGCAAATGGAGTGAAGTGCCATATGTACAAATTTTCTTTCCATTAAGAGACAACTAGCAATTATGTAAAAAGTGTGATTGATGCCCTACAGGAAGCCCTCAGAGTCTACTTCCCTACCGCGGTGTCCCCTGACTCCTTCCCCTACTAATAAAGACCCACCCTTCCACCCAAATAGTCCAAAAGGAGATAGACAAAGGGGTAAACAATGAACTAAAGAGTGCCAATATTCCCCTATTATGCCCCCTCCTCCAGTGGGAGGAGGAGAATTCGGCCCATCCAGAGTGCATGTACCTTTTTCTCTCTCAGACTTAAAGCAAATTAAAATAGACCTAGGTAAATTCTCAGATAACCCTGATGGCTATATTGATGTTTTACAAGGGTTAGGACAATCCTTTGATCTGACAGGGAGAGATATAATGTTACTGCTAAATCACACACTAACCCCAAATGAAAGAGGTGCCGCCATAACTGCAGCCCAAGAGTTTGGTGATCTCTGGTATCTCAGTCAGGTCAATGATAGGATGACAACAGAGGAAAGAGAACGATTCCCCACAGGCCAGCAGGCAGTTCCCAGTGTAGACCCTCATTGGGACGCAGAATCAGAACATGGAGATTGGTGCCGCAGACATTTACTAACTTGTGTGCTAGAAGGACTAAGGAAAACTAGGAATAAGCCTGTGAATTATTCAATGATGTCCACTATAACACAGGGAAAGGGAGAAAATCCTACTGCCTTTCTGGAGAGACTAAGGGAGGCAATGAGGAAGCATACCTCCCTGTCACCTGACTCTATTGAAGACCAACTAATGTTAAAGGATAAGTTTATCACTCATTCAGCTGCAGACATTAGAAAAAAGCTTCAAAAGTCTGCCTTAGGCCCAGAGCAAAACTTAGAAACCCTATTGAACTTGGCAACCTCAGTTTTTTATAATAGAGATCAGGCGGAGCAGGCAGAACGGGACAAACAGGATAAAGAAAAGGCCACCGCTTTAGTCATGGCCCTCAGGCAAGTGGACTTTGGAGGCTCTGGAAAAGGGAAAAGCTGGGCAAATTGAATGCCTAATAGGGCTTGCTTCCAGTGTGGTCTACAAGGACACTTTAAAAAAGATTGTCCAAGTAGAAATAAGCTGCCCCCCTCATCCATGCCCCTTATGTCAAGGGAATCACTGGAAGGCCCACTGCCCCAGGGGATGAAGGTCCTCTGAGTCAGAAGCCACTAACCAGATTTTCCCGCAGCAGGACTGAGGGTGCCTGGGGCAAGCGCCAGCCCATGCCATCACCCTCACAGAGCCCCGGGTACGCTTGACCATTGAGGGCCAGGAGGTTAACTGTCTCCTGGACACTGGAGTGGCCTTCTCAGTCTTACTCTCCTGTCCCGGACAACTGTCCTCTAGATCTGTCACTATCCGAGCGGTCCTAGGACAGCCAGTCACTAGATACTTCTCCCAGCCACTGACTTGTGACTGGAGAACTTTACTCTTTCCACATGCTTTTCTAATTATGCCTGAAAGCCCCACTCCCTTGTTAGGGAGAGACATTCTAGCAAAAGCAGGGGCCATTATACACCTGAACATAGGAGAAGGAACACCCATTTGTTGTCCCCTGCTTGAGGAAGAAATTAATCCTGAAGTCTGGGCAACAGAAGGACAATATGGACAAGCAAAGAATGCCCATCTTGTTCAAGTTAAACTAAAGGATTCGACCTCCTTTCCCTACCAAAAGCAGTACCCCCTTAGACCCAAGGCCCAACAAGGGCTCCAAAAGATTGTTAAGGACATAAAAGCCCAAGGCCTAGTAAAACCATGCAGTAGCCCCTGCAATACTCCAATTTTAGGAGTACAGAAACCCAACAGACAGTGGAGGTTAGTGCAAGATCTCAGGATTATCAATGAGACCGTTGTCCCTCTATACCCAGCTGTACCTAACCCTTATACTCTGCTTTCCCAAATACCAGAGGAAGCAGAGTGGTTCACAGTTCTGGACCTTAAGGATGCCTTTTTCTGCATCCCTGTACATCCTGACTCTCAATTCTTGTTTGCCTTTGAAGATCTTCAAACCTAACTTCTCAACTCACCTAGACTATTTTACCCCAAGGGTTCAGGTATAGCCCCCATCTATTTGGCCAGGCATTAGCCCAAGACTTGAGCCAATTCTTATACCTGGACCCTCTTGTTCTTCAGTACATGGGTGATTTACTTTTAGCCACCCATTCAGAAGCCTTGTGCCATCAAGCCACCCAAGCGCTCTTAAATTTCCTAGCTACCTGTGGCTACAAGGTTGCCAAACCAAAGGCTCGGCTCTGCTTACAGCAGGTTAAATACTTAGGGTTAAAATTATCCAAAGGCACCAGGGCCCTCAGTGAGGAATGTATCCAGCCTATACTGGCTTATCCTCATCCCCAAACCCTAAAGCAACTAAGAGGGTTCCTTGGCATAACAGGTTTCTGCTGAATATGGATTCCCAGGTACGGCAAAATAGCCAGACCATTATATACATTAATTAAGGAAACTCAGAAAGCCAATACCCATTTAGTAAGATGGATACCTGAAGCAGAAGAGGCTTTCCAGGCCCTAAAGAAGGCCCTAACCCAAGCCCCAGTGTTAAGCTTGCCAATGGGGCAAGACTTTTCTTTATATGTCACAGAAAAAACAGGAATCGCTCTAAGAGTCCTTACATGGGTCCGAGGGATGAGCTTGCACCCCGTGGCGTATCTAAGGAAATTGATGTAGTGGCAAAGGGTTGGCCTCATTGTTTATGGGTAGTGGCGGCAGTAGCAGTCTTAGTATCTAAAGCAGTTATAATAATACAGGGAAGGGATCTTATTGTGGGGACATCTCATGATGTGAACAGCATACTCACTGCTAAAGGAGACTTGTGGCTGTCAGACAACTGTGAGGAAAGTAACTGAAATCTAAATCCCCATGGCCCTCCCTTATCATATTTTTCTCTTTACTGTCCTCTTACCCCCTTTCACTCTCACTGTACCCCCTCCATGCCACTGTACAGCCAGTAGTTCCCCTTACCAAGAGTTTCTATGGAGAATGCGGCTTCCCAGAGATATTGATGACCCATCATATAGGAGTTTATCTAAGGGAAACCCCACCCATATGCCCACACCCATATGCCCCGCAACTGCTATAACTCTGCCACTCTTTGCATGAATGCAAATACTCACTATTGGACAGGGAAAGTGATTAATCCTAGTTGTCCTGGAGGACTTGCAGCTGCTGTCTATTGGACTTACTTCACCCACACCAGTATGTCTGATGGGGGTGGAGTTCAAGATCAGGTAACAGAAAAACATGTAAAGGAAGTAATCCCTCAACTGACCAAGGTACCTGGCACCCCTAGCCCCTACAAAGGACAAGATCTCTCAAAACTACATGAAACCCTTCATACCCATACTTGCCTGGTGAGCCTACTTAATACCACCCTCACTGGGCTCCATGAGGTCTTGGCCCAAAACCCTACTAACTGTTGGATGTGCCTCCCCCTGCACTTCAGGCCATGCATTTCAATCCCTGTACCTGAACAATGGAACAACTTCAGCACAGAAATAAACACCACTTCCATTTTAGTAGGACCTTTTGCTTCCAATCTGGAAATAACCCATACCTCACACCTCACCTGTGTAAAATTTAGCAATACTGTAGACACAACCAACTCTCAATGCATCAGGTGGGTAACTCCTCCCACACAAATAGTCTGTCTACCCTCAGAAATATTTTTTGTCTGTGGTACCTCAGCTTATCATTGTTTGAATGGCTCTTCAGAATCTATGTGCTTCCTCTCATTCTTTGTGCCCCCTTTGACCATCTACACTGAACATGATTTATACAGTCATGTTGTACCTAAGCTCTGCAACAAAAGGGTGCTCATTCTTCCTTTTGTTATCGGAGCAGGAGTGCTAGGTGGACTAGGTACTGGCATTGGTGGTATCAAAACCTCTACTCAGTTCTACTACAAACTATCTCAAGAATTAAATGGTGACATGGAATGGGTCACCGACTCCCTGGTCACCTTGCAAGATCAACTTAACTCCTTAGCAGCAGTAGTCCTTCAAAATCGAAGAGCTTTAGACTTGCTAACTGCCGAAAGAGGGGGAATCTGTTTATTTTTAGTGGAAGAATGCTGTTATTACGTTAATCAATCTGGAATCGTCACCGAAAAAGTTAAAGAAATTCAAGATCGAATACAACATAGAGCAGAGGAGCTTCAAAACACCAGACCCTGGGACCTCCTCAGCCAATGGATGCCCTGGATTCTCCCCTTCTTAGGACCTCTAGCGACTATAATACTGTTACTCCTCTTTGGACCCTGTATCTTTAACCTCCTTTTTAAGTTTGTCTCTTCCAGAATTGAAGCTGTAAAGCTACAAATGGCTCTTCAAATGGAGCCCCAGATACAATCCATGACTAAAATCTACTGTGGACCCCTGGACCAGCCTGCTAGTGCATGCTCCCATGTTAATGACATTGAAGGCACCCCTCCTGAGGAAATCTCAGTGCACAACCCCTACTACACCTGAATTCAGCAGGAAGCAGTTAGAGCAGTCATTAACCAATCTCCCCAATAGCACTTGGGTTTTCCTGTTGAGACGGGGGACTGAGAGACAGGACTAGCTGGATTTTCTAGGCCGACTAAGAATCCCTAAGCCTAGCTGGAAAGGTGACTGCATCCACCTTTAAACACAGGGCTTGCAACTTAGATCACACCTGACCAATGAGGTAAGAAGGAGAGCTCACTAAAATGCTAATTAGCAAAAACAGGAGGTAAAGAAATAGCCAATCATCTATTGCCTGAGAGCACAGCGGGAGGGACAATGATCGGGATATAAACCCAGGCATTCCAGCCGGCAAGGGCTACCCTCTTTGGGTCCCCTCCCTTTGTATGGGAGCTCTGTTTTCACTCTATTATATCTCGTAACTGCACTCTCTTCTGGTCTGTATTTGTTACGGCTCTAGCTGAGCTTTTGCTCGCCGTCCACCACTGCTGTTTGCCGCCAACGCAGACCCGCTGCTGACTTCCATCCCTCTGGATCCGGCAGGGTGTCCGCTGTGCTCCTGATCCAGTGAGATACCCATTGCCACTCCTGATCTGGCTAAAGACTTGCCATTGTCCACTGTGCTCCTGATCCAGTGAGATACCCATTGCCACTCCCGATCGGGCTAAAGACTTGCCATTGTTCCTGCATGGCTAAGTGCCCAGGTTCATCCTAATCAAGCTGAACACTAGTCACTGGGTTCCACGGTTCTCTTCCATGATCCACGGCTTCTAATAGAGCTATAACACTTACTGCATGGCCGAAGATTCCATTCCTTGGAATCCGTGAGGCCAAGAACCCCAGGTCAGAGAACACGAGGCTTACCACCATCTTGGAAATGGCCCACCACCATCTTGGAAGTGGCCCGCTGCCATCTTGGGAGCTCTGTGAGCAAGGACACCCCGGTAACAGTGGCTATGGTGAGAAACTCCTTAAGCTTGATAAAAGATAAGGGAAAAGTTAAGGGGACTTTGTCTTGCACCTTATATACCAACTCAGCCACAGTGGGGTAGAGCCCCAAGTGGGCCCTTGGGATCCCCAATTCCAGGCTTTGGCTCTTGGATGGCATTTCTAGACCTGCCCTGGGCCAGAGGGGAGCCCACTGCCATGAAGGTGAGTCCCAGGCCTGGCAACCTTTATCATATGCTGACTGAAGATCCCGTGGGTCTTTGAACATTGACAGTAGCTTGAAAGTATTCCCCATGGGCCTTAACTGGTGCTGGCCATGGGGAGAGGTGCCTGTGTAAAGGGGAGGGAAGAGTGGTTTAAGTGCCAGCTTAGCTGCAGTGAATAGAACACCAAGTAGATTTATAAGGTTTTTGACTTCAGTCTCTGGCTCCTACATGGCATATCTGGACCTACCCAGAACCTGAGGGAATGAACCATCCTGAAGGGAAGGACACTAGTCTGGCTGGCTTTACCACCTGCTGATTGTAAAGCCCTAGGACCTTGAGCAAACATAGGCCAGGTAATCATTACAGCAAGCTTTGGGCAAGACCCAGTGATGTGTTGACTTTAAATCTGATCCAGCACAGTCCTAGGGGTGGTGGTCACAGGAGTGCTTGTGTCACCGCAATCCCAGCTCCAAGTGGCTCATAACAGAGAGACAGTCCATTTGTTTGGAAAAAAGGGAAGAGAACAAGGGACTTGCCTGGTAATCCGGAGAATTCTTCCAGTTCTTTCTAAGATCATCAAGTCAGTACCTCCTAGAGTCTGCCAGAACCACACTGTTGTGGGGATTGGGGTCTCCATTAATGTAGATACAGCTTAGATCATAATACTCAAGCCCCTTCAAATACATAGACATTTTTCCCAAGAAGGATGGGTACAAATAAGCCCAGGCAGTGAAGACCACTGTCCATACCTAACGCTTTTGTTTTTTTTTTGAGATGGAGTTTTGCTGTTGTTGCCCAGGCTGGAGTACAATGGTGCGACCTCAGCTCACTGCAACCTCTGCATCCCAGGTTCAAGCGATTCTCCTGCCTCAGCCTCCAAAGTAGCTGGGATTACAGGCATGCGACACCAGGCCCAGCTAATTTTGTATTTTTAGTGGAGACAGAGTTTCACCATATTGATCAGGCTGGTCTAAAACTCCTGACCTCAGATGATCCACCCGCCTTGGCCTCCCAAAGTGCTGGAATTACAGGCATGAGCCACTGTGCCTGGCCCATACCTAACTCTTAAGTGCCCAGACACTAACAAACATCCACAAGCATCAAGACCTCCCAGGAAAATATAAGCTGAACAAATGAACTAAATAAGGCACTAGGGACTAATCCTGGAGAAACAGAGATATATGACCTTTCAGACTGAGAATACAGAATTGCTGTTTTGAGGAAATTTAAAGAAATTCAAGACAACCCAGGAGAGAAATTCAGAATTCTATCATATAAATTTAACAAAAAGATTAAAATAATTAAAAATAATAAGAAATTCTGGAGTTGAAGAACACAATTCACATGATGAAAAATGCATTAGAATCTTTTAATAGCAGAATTGATTAAGCAGACGGAATAATTTATGAACTTGAAGAAAGGCTATTTGAAAAATAAACAGTCAGATGAGACAAAAGAAAAAAAAACAAATAATGAAGCACAACTACAAGATTTAGAAATTGGCCTCAAAAGGGCAAATATATGACTTATTGGACTTAAAGACAAGGTAGGTAAAGAGATAGGGATAGAAAGTTCATTTAAAGGGATAATAACAAAGAACTTCCCAAACCTAGGGAAAAATATCAATATCTAAGTACAAGAAGGTTATATAACACCAAGCAGATTTAACCCAAAGAAGACTACTTCAAGGCATTTGTTGATCAAACTCCCAAAGATCATGGCTAAAGAAAGGATCCTAAAAGCAACAAGAGAAAAGAAGTAAGTAACATACAATGGAAATTCAATATGTCTGGTAGCAGAGTTTTCAGTGGAAATTTTACAGTCCAGGTGAAAGTGGCATGTAAGAAAGTGGCATATTTAAAGCATTGAAGGAAAACCCTTTTACTGTGCAATAGTATGTCTGATGAAAATATCCTTCAAACGTGAAGGAGAAATAAAGACTTTCCCAGACAAACAGAAGCTGAGGGATTTCATCAATACTAGATCTAGCCAACAAGAAATGACAAAGGGAGTACTTCAATCAGAAAGAAAAGGATGTTAATGGGCAATAAGTAATCACCTGAAGGTAAAAAACTTATTGGTAATAGTAAGTACACAGAAAAACACAGAATACTACAACACTGCAACTGTGATGTTGTAAACTACTTGTGTCCTAACTAGAAAGACTAAATGATGAACCAATCAAAAATAATAACTACAACTTTTCAAGAAGTAGTGTAATAATATATATAGAAAAACAAAAAAGTTAAAAAGTGGGGGAATGAAGTTAAAGTATAGAGTTTTTATTCGTTGTCTTTTTGCTTGTTATGCAAACGGTATTACATTTTTATTATCTTAAAATAGTGGGTTATAATGTATTGTTTTCAAGCCTCATGGTAACCTCAAATAAAAAAAATACAGTAGATGCACAAAAAATAAAAAGTGAGAAATTCAACCATGCTACTAGAGAAAATCACCTTCACTAAAATAAAGACAGAAAGGAAGGAAAGAAGGAAGAGAAGACCACAAAACAACCAGAAAACAAACAACGAAATGGCAGGAGTAAGTCCTTACTTATCAATAATAACATTGTAAATGGAATAAACTCTCAAATTAAAAGACATAAAGTAGCTGAAAGGATTAAAAAAAACAAGACCCAATGAACTGTTGCCTACAAGAAACACACTTCACCTATAAAGACACATAAAGACTGAAAATAAAGGGATGGAAAAAGATATTCCATGCCAATGGAAACTGAAAAAGAGCAGGAGTAGCTATACTTATATCTGACAAAATAGATTTCAAGATAAAAACTATCAGAAGAGACAAACAAGGTTATTATATATAATGAAGAGGTTAATTCATCAAGAGGATATAACAATTTAAAATATATATGCACCCAATATTGAAGCACTGATATATATAAAGCCAATAATATTAGAACTAAAGAGATAGAAGCCAATACAATAACAGCTGGAGACTTCACTCCTCCACTTTCAGAATTGGACAGATCTTCCAGACAGAAAATCAACAAAGAAACATCAGACATAATCTGCACTGTAGACCAAATGGACCAAATAGATGTTTGGAGAATATTTCATCCAAAGGCTGCAGAATACACATTCTTCTCCTCAGCACATAGATCATTCTCAAAGATAGATCATATGTTAAGTCACAAAACAAGTCTTTGAACATTTTTAAAAATTGAAATAATATCTAGCATCTTCTCTGAGAACAGTGGAATAAAACTGGAAATCAATAAGAAGAGGAATTTTTGAAGCTATACAAATATATGGAAATTAAACAATATGCTCCTGAATGACCAGTGGGTCAATGAAGAAATTAAGAAGAAAACTGAAAAAGTTTTTGGAACAAATGATAATGGAAACACAACACACCCAAACCCATGCGAAACAGTGAAAACAATACTAAGAGGGAAGTTTATAGCTATAAGCCCCTACATTAAAAAAAGGAAAACTTCAAATAAATTATCTAATAATGCATCTTAACTAGAAAAGCAGGAGCAAACAGAACTCAAAATTACTAGAAGAAAAGAAATAAAGATAAGAGCAGAAATAAATGAAATTGAAATAAAAATACAAAAGATCAATAAAATGTAAAGTTTGTTTTTTTAAAGACAAAAAATTGACAAACCTTTAGACAGACTAAGAATAAAAGAGAGAATCCTCAAATGAATAAAATCAGAGTGAAAAAGGAGACATCACAAACTTTATCACAGAAATAGAAAGGATCGTTACTGCCTACTATGAGCAACTATATGCCAGTAAATTGGAAAACCTAGAAGAAGTGGATAAATTCCTAGACATGTAACCTACTAAGATTGAACCATTAAGAAATCCAAAACCTGAACAGAGAAATAACAAGTAATGAGAGCAAAGCTATAATGAAAATCTGGCAAAGAAAAGCCCAGGTCCCGATAGCTTCATTGCTGGATTCTACCAAACATTTAAAGAACATATACCTATTCTACTCAAATGATTCCAAAAAAGGAAGGAGGAGGGAATAATTCCAAACTAATTTTACATGACTATTATTACCCTGATAACTAAACCAGACAAAGACATATCAAAAACAAAGTACAGGCCAATATCTCTGATTAATATTGATGCAAAACTCCTCAACAAAATACTAGCAAACTGAATTCAACAACACATTGAAAAGAGCACTCATTATGACCAAGTAGGATTTATCCGAGGGATGCAAGAATGGTTTGATATACACAAATCAATCAATGTGATACTTCATATCAACAGGATGGAGTGCAAAAACGATATGATCATTTCAATTAATTCTGAAGAAGCATTTGGTAAAATTTAGCATTTCTTTATGATAAAAATCCTCATAAAACTGGCTATAAAAGGAACATACCTCCACATAATAAAAGCCATATATGACAGACCCACAGCCAGTATTATACTGATTGGGGAAAAACTGTAAGCCTTTCTGCTAAGATTTGGAACATGACAAGGATGCCCACTGTTACCACTGTTATTCAACATAGTACCAGATGCTGTAGCTAGAGGAGTCAGATAAGAGAAGGAAATAAAAGGCTTCCAAACGCAAGATGAAGAAGTAAAATTATCCTCACTTGCACATGATATAATCTTATGTTTGGAAAAAACCTAAAGACTCCACCAAAAAACTATTAAAACTGATAAATAATTCAGTAAAGTTGCTGAATACAAAATGAACATACAAAAATCAGTAGCATTTCTATATGCCAATGGCAAACAATCTGAAAAAGAAATCAAGAGAGTAATCCCATTTACAATAGCTACAAATAAAACAAAATACCTAGGAATTAACTTAACCAAAGTAGTGAAATATCTCTATGATGAAAAGTATAAAATATTAATGCACAAAGTGAAAAACTGGAGTCTGACTCACTGTCATAGTCTGTGTTGTGCTGCTACAACAGAATGCCACACACTGGGTAATTTAAGAAGAACAGAAATTTATTTCTTACATATCTGGAGCCTAGGAAGTCCAAAATTAAGGAGCCAGCATTTTGCAAGGGCCTTCTTGTTATGTCATCCCATGGCAGAGGACAGAAGGGCAAGAGAGAGAACCCACTCTCCGGAACCCTCTTATTAAGGCATTAAATCCACCCATAAAAGTGAAGCTGTCATGGCCTAATCACCTCTCAAAGTTCTCACCTCTTAGTTCTGTTACAATAGCAAATAAATTTCAACATGAGTTTTGGAGAGAACAAACATTTAAACCACAGTATTGACCAACAGACTTTCCTCTGCAGTGGGGACTTTAGTTTGCACATTCCAGATGATGAAACTATGACAGTGGAGTTTCCTTTAGCCTGGGTTTGAGTGACTCTGTATAGAACAGTCCTTATCAATTCCTTGTCAATTCACAATAGACATATAGCATGAATGAGAAATAAACTTTTCTTTCCTTAAGTCACTAGGATTTGGGGGCTACTAAACATAACTCAGTCTATGCTGGATTCTCATTGATTACGGCATTAATATATAGTCCTGAGTTGCTAAAAAGAGCCTTAAATTATTCTGACTCTCTATCTGGCATTTTCCATCTTCATCACTACATTCAGCCACACTAATTTTTCTCTTACTTAAATATTCTTTCCTCCTTGAGCTGCTGCGTATCCTGGCAACTTTGAGGGCAACTGAGTGTCATCTTCTGTATACTGACAGTCACTGTGATTGTGCTAATGGATCGAGGTAATTATAACATGTCAGCACATATTGGGTAGAATTTTTACTGAATAGTGTATTTTTCTCAGCTCGTACAGAAATAGTTTTGTTGGGCCCTGAATTGATGTAAATAGTCCCTGGGGGGTAGATGGGAAACAGTATAACATTTGTTTTTAATAAACAAGAAAACCAATTTGAGATAGTTTTGTTGTTGTTGTTGTTGTTGTATTTTGTTTTTTGCTTTTTGTTTTGTGACAGAGTCTCCCTCTGTTGCCCAGGCTGGAGTGCAGTGGTGCAACCTTGGCTCAATTGGCTCACTGCAACCCCTCCACTTCCCGGGTTCAAGTGATTCTCCTGCCTCAGCCTCCTGAGTAGCTGGGATTACAGTCACACACCACCATGCCCAGTGAAATTTTGTATTTTTAGTAGCGATAGGGTTTCATCATGTTGGCCAGGCTGGTCTTGAACTCCTGATCTCATGATCTACTTGCCTTGGCCTCTCAAAGTCCCGGGATTACAGACATGAGCCACTGCACCCAGCCGAGGTAGTTTTAAAAATCAAAAACATAATGAAAAACAATTTATTGGAAAGATATTTGGGTGTCTCATAGAACCCAAGAGCATCTGGGCCTATGGCCTATCAGAAAAGGAATTTATGAAATTAATCTCTACCCCAGGCAATGATCTTTCTCTGATCTTTGATTTTCTCACCATTTCTGCTTTTCTACCCACAGGAATTATCCGCTTCTTTGTGCACATGGAAGTAGAAGGCTACCCACTATATAATTCTGCTTGAGCTCCCATGACAGAATGCCACAGACTACATGGTATAAACAACAGAAATTTTTTTCTCACAGTTCTTGAGGTTGAAAAGCCTAAGGTCAAGGTGCCATCAGGGTTGGTTTCTGGTGAGTTCTCTCTTCCTGGCTTATAGAAGGCTGCCTTTTCATTGTGTCCTCATGTGGCCTCTTCTCTGTGTGCATGTGGAGAGAGAAAAAGAGAAGTCTCTTCCTCTCCTTAAAAGAACACCAGCCCTGAGATTAGGTTGTCACTCTAACAACTTCGCTTAGCCTTAATTATTGCCCAAAAGAACCCATTTCCAAAGACAGTCACACTAGGGGGTTAGAGTTTCAACATGTAAATTTTGAGGGTTCATAATTCAGTCTATAACACCTTTACTTCTCAAGTCAGCAGGCTCTTGGTCTTGGTCATATGGCAGAAGCTAATCAGCTATCTCTGAGTCTGTATTCCAAATTCCTAAGTGCTTTGGTTTGAATATTTGTGTGTACCCAAAATTCATAAGTTGAACTTCTAACCTCCAGGGGGATGGCATTAAGAGGGAGTTCTTTTGGGATGAGATTAGGACATGAAGGCAGAGCCCTCATAAATGAGATTAGTGCCCTTACAAAAAGAGGCCCAAGGGAGGTTATGTGGCTTTTCTACCATGAGGACACACTGAAAAGGTGCCATCTATGAAAAAGTGGGTTCTAACAAGACACTGAATCTGCCAGTGCCTTGATCTTGGGCTTCCCCATTTTCTGAACTGTGAGAAATACATTTCTGTTGTTTATAAGCCACCCAATTTATGGTATTTATGACATTCCAAACAGACTAAGACACTAAGGAAAATATGATTAGCTTGTGTAGGACCAGGTGTTTGCCCTTGAATCAAGCACCTGTGGCCATCAGTGCAAAATCTTAAGTACAGGTGTAGTTTCAGGGTTCCCAATCCTGAGTGTGTGTGTTGGGGGATGTGGCATGGTAGGCAGGTCTTAAAAGAAATGGGATCATTGTGAGGTGAGCAGAGACTCTGAAGTTATTTCTAACCATTTGAGGTCTGAGAAGCAGTGTTGATGGCAAACCAAGGAGTTAGTAGGTGAAATTCACTAAGTTTTTCTAGAGAAGAATGCAAAATCTTAAAACCAGGAACAAAGTACAGTTAAGGAATTACTGATTATTGAAAATATGAGCAGGAGATCAGATATATATTTTGCCTAATTTATAGAGGCCTTTTTTATTGGAGAAATGCTTATTAATTTCATGAGCTAGAATATGCAAAATGTGTGGCATACAGGAAGCATTAGTTAGTTTCACCTCCCCTCTCATACCCCTCCAACTTGGATGACCTTAAAGGAAATGCATAAATGCTGGAAGGGCTATATGGACAGTAAAAATCAAGGAGCGAATTGAAAGGCTTCAGAGTTTCCATAAAGGGAATTCAGGACATCTGAAAGGCAGTGAGAGTGTTGTAGAGGTGAAGATGAGCCTGATATCTTAGCCAAAGGGCTCTAAAAAGGGTGTAGATGCCCAAGAAAAAACACTTCTGCATAGAGGTACAGAAAGAAAATACTGAATTTTGATTTATAATTATTCTTCATCTAAAAAGAAAGAAATAAAATGCTGCTGCTACTTAATATACAGATTGACAATGTCAGCCTAACTTTGGATTACATGTTAGACTTCAGGTACCATGTTGGACACATGAGTTAGAGAGGTAATATACGCCATGGTTAAGATCAAGGCTCTGCAACCATACTCCCTGGGTTTAAGTCCCATCTCTAAGTCAATCACGTGTGTGACTTTATATGAACTGCTTAACTTCTCTGTGTCTCTTTTGCCTCACCTGTAAAATAGAAGTGAAAATACTAGTGTTTATTTTATAAGATTGTTCTTAAGATAAATGAGCTGATACAGGTAAGGTGCTTGTGAGACTTTCTGATGCGTAGAAGCATGGGGTGAGTGTTAGGAATAACCGTGAGCCTGAGAGAAGCATGGGATTCTACAGCTTAGAGGAGCTGACAGTGGTGCCTTCCCTCATTTGTTCAATTTCAGTATTATGTGATATATTACCATTCGGATGCTTTTTATTAGATGGAATTCCTACAGATTCTATAATTTAGTTTTAGTGGGGAAATAGAAGATTTTTGGTATTATTAATAAACACACATAAACAATAATTATTATTCTCATGTAAAATTAGAGTAAGAACCCTTGATTATGGCTCTTAGTGGCTCTTTCTAAATTCTTTTCTCTCTCAAAATAATGGCTTCCAGGCTATTGTTTGTTATTCATATCTTTTTTTTTTTTTTTTTTGAGACAGAGTCTTACTCTGTCATCCAGACTGGAGTACGGTGACACAATATTGGCTTACTGCAACCTCCATCCCCTGGGTTCAAGTGATTCTCTTGCCTCAACCACCCGAGTAGCTGGGATTACAGTTGTGTGCCACCACTCTCAGCTAATTATTGTATTTTTAGTAGAAACGGCGTTTTGCCATGTTGGCCAGGCTGGTCTCAAACTCCCGGCCTTGAGTGATCTGTCGGCCTCAGTGTCCCAAAGTACTGAGGTTCTGGGATTACGTGCGTGAGCCACGACTCCCGGTATCATATCCTCTTTATTTGAGCGATATTTTTAAAGCATTTCATTTAACATAAGAAAACTGACTGGAAAATAATACAGTCACATTAATCACTCAATCAGATTCATTTTATCAGGCATTAGCAGCATGATGGAATCTCTAACTTGCGGGTCAAATTAAAAAGAGACACTCTCTTTGCCTTGAAAAAATAAAAACAGAACGTGTGCATATAAATGGAATTATTAGGAGAATCTGAATAGGTTGGATTATTTCTTGATTGTAAAGCCTGGTTGGGAGTAGGAGCAGGTAATTGAGAGAATCTTCTTAGAGGATGGACAAGATCAGAGCAAGGAACAATTATGTAGGGGAAACCTGTGCATGTTAAACCCTCTCGGTGCCATTGTGGCATAGACAGGTAGACAGGAAACATTTTATATTTTGTAGAAAAGGCAAAAATTCAGCAGCTCCTCTGGAAGGTTCAGAAGGAAAATAAATATCTCAACAGAAATGGCAGTGAGAATTCTGCAAAATGGTGGAAAGTGTGTTTACATGACTTCCTAAGATTAACAAACAGGAAGGTCACCCTGGCCAGTGTCCTTGTGAGGTCCCTTCCATTTTCCTTCACTGTGAGTGTAGGTGCCCAGAAAGCCAGAATTTGGTCCTTAGAGAAAAAAAAAAAATGCCAAATTGAGGGAACAGCTTAAATGTCAATAGCATTAGGAATGAGTATTGTCATTCTAACACATTCCAAAAGTAGTAAGGTGAAGAAAAGCATTTCATATGGTGTCCTAGGAAAGACACACTAAAGTTGAATTAAGTATGGAGATATGGAAAAATAAAAAGTAAACTAAACTAAAGTATGAATCAAGAATGCAAGGCCCTCCAAAATAACCTACTTTTTATGCTAATATACTTTTTGGAGAATTAAAAGCCATATATGGCCCCTGAAATTATTATAAAGTATGTTGATGAATAGAAGAAATAAATGTAAGTCAAGCTTAAATGGATTCTACATGTATATAAAAAGTGAAAAACTGCATTTTTGATAAAGACATCCCACTTCTGAGAATTACAGTTTATATTTTTGATGTATTTTCTGGAGCTGAACATTAACAATAATATCATTGAGGATTTTGTCTTTGTCTTTTAATCATTAGTTAATACAGGTATGACCATTCACCTAACAATACAGCCCTGTGGAAAACAAACATTTGTAGTACAGACTTTATTATTCCCTTGGCAGCCATAAAACCAAATTAAGCAAAAAGTGAGACCCAAGAGGTGAGTGCTTCCAACTTCACCCTTTCTTCTGTGTGCAAAATGGTCTGGGTTTAATGGGAAAGATTTTTTCCTCTAAAATCTTGGAAAAAGTTCACTTGCACTGAACCTCATGAAAGATTAGAGTTAGAGAAGAAAAAAAAGATGCATTTTAATAATCTGAGTGAAAGAATGTATAGGTTTATTGCGTTCTCAAATGGGGCATGTTGCATGTTTACAATGAGTTCTGTTATTTTGCCTTTCAGAGAGGTTGGGCAAGTGCCTTGATAAGTAGGCAGACAATGGCATTAGTGAAATTGGTTTTGTGGACACTAAGCCCAGCTCTTGATCTACCAGCCTGTACATGCCTGGGCTTTTCCACCTGTATTAGTCCGTTTTCACACTGCTGATAAATACCCGAGACTGGGAAGAAAAAGAGTTTTAATTGGACTTAAATTTCCACATGGCTGGGCAGGCCTCAGAATCATGGCAGGAAGAAAAAGGCACTTCTTACGTGGTAGCAGCAAGAGAAAACGAGGAAGAAGCAAAAGTGGAAACCCCTGATAAACCCATCAGATCTCATGAGCCTTATTCACTATCATGAGAATAGCACAGGAAAGAATGGCCCCCATGATTCAATTATCTCCTCCTGGGTGCCTCCCACAGCACATGGGAATTCTATGAGATACAATTCAAGTTGAGATTTGGGTGGGGACACAGCCCAACCATATTATTCTGCCCCTGGCCCCTCCAAATCTCATGTCCTTACATTTCAAAACCAATCATGCCTTCCCAACAGTCCCTCAAAGTCTTAACTCATTTCAACATTAACCCAAAAGTCCACAGTCCGAAGTCTCATCTGAGACAAGGCAAGTTACCTCTGCCTATGAGCCTGTAAAATCAAAAGCAAGCTAGTTACTTCCTAGCTACCATGGGGTTACACATATTGGATAAATACAGCCATTCCAAATGGGAGAAATTGGTCAGAACAAAGGGGTTACAGGCCCATGTAAGTCCGAAATCCAGTGGGGCAGTCAAATTTTAAAGCTCCAAAATGATCTCCTTTGACTCCAGATCTCACATCCAGGTCACGCTGATGCAAGGGGTGAGTTCCCATGGTCTTGGGCAGCCCCACCCCTGTCGCTTTGCAGGGTACAGCCTCCCTCCTAGCTGCTTTTATGGGCTGGCATTGAGTGTCTGTGGCATTTCCAGGCACACTATGCAAGCTGTAGGTAGATCTACCATTCTGGGGTCTGAAGGATGGTGGCGCTTTTCTCACAGCTCCCCTAGGCATTGCCCCACTAGGGACTCTAGGGGCTCCAACCCCACATTTCCTTTTGGCACTGCCCTAGCAGAGGTTTCCCACCCCCTGCTGCAGCAAACCTTTGCCTGGGCATCCAGGCATTTCCATACCTCTTCTGAATCAGGTGGAGGTTCCTAAACCTTACTTCTTGACTTCTGTGCACCCACAGGCTCAACACCACATGGAAACTGCTATGGCTTGGGGCTTCCACCCTCTGAAGCCACAGCCCAAGCTGTACGTTGGCCCGTTTCAGCCACGGGTGGAGTGGCTGGGACACAGGGCACCAAGTCCCAGGTTGCACACAGCACAGGGACCCTGGACCCAGCCCACGAAACCACCTTTTCTTCCTGGCCATCTGGGTTTGTGAGGGGAGGGGCGCTGAAGGTCTCTGACATGGCCTGGAGACATTTTCTCCATGGTTTTGGAGATTAACATTAGGTTCCTTGCTACGTATGTAAATTTCTGCAGCCAACTTGAATTCTTCTCCCCAGAAAATGGGTTTTTCTTTTCTATTATATAGTCAGGCTGCAAATTTTCCAAACACTTATGCTCTGCTTCCCTTATAAAACCGAATGCCTTTAACAGCACCCAAATCGCCTCTTGAGTGCTTTGCTCCTTAGAGATTTCTTCTGCCACCAGATACCCTAAATTATCTTTCTCAAGTTCAAAGTTCCACAAATCTCTAGGGCAGGAGCAAAATGCCACCAGTCTCTTTGCTAAAACATAACAAGGGTCACCTTTACTCCAGTTCCCAACAAGTTCCATATTGCTATCAGCATTTTGGGCAAAGTCCAACAAATCTCTAGGAAGTTCCAAACTTGCCCACATTTTCCTGTCTTCTTCTGAGCCCTCCAAACTGCTCCAACCTCTGCCTGTTACCCCTTTCCAAAGTTGCTTCCACATTTTCAGGTATCTTTTCAGCAACACCCCACTCTACTGGTACCAATTTACTGTATTACTGTGTTTTCACACTGCTGATAAAGACATACCTGAGACTGGGAAGAAAAAGAGGTTTCATTGGACTTACAGTTCCACATGGCTAGGGAGGCCTCAGGATCATGGTGGGAGGTGAAAGGCACTTCTTACACGAAAGCAGCAAGAGAAAATGAGGAAGAAGCAAAAGCAGAAACCCATTAGATCTGATAAACCCATCAGATCTCGTGAGACTTACTCACTATCATGAGAATAGCACAGGAAAGACGGGGCCCCATGATTCAATTATCTCCCTGTGGGTTCCTCCCACAACACGTGGAAATTCTGGGAGATACAATTCAAGTTGAGATTTGGGTGGGGACACAGCCAAACCATATTACCACCCATCTCAGGTATGCTTGTAATACTTGGAAATTCTGGGATTGATTTTCTATCCTTCTCATAGCCAAAAGCCAAATAGTATTCATAATTCATTGCCAGTTTCACCACAAGTCCAAGCTTTTACCAAAGATTCCAGTACCTGAATCCAGAATTTATTCCTTACAGATTTTCTTTCTCATAAGGTATTATTTATGTGAAGCTCTTGAAATTGGATAGCATCACTTTTAATTTAACCAAAGACAATAGCAATACATCAGATGCTACTTGTGGGGAAGTATCAGTACAAAAATAGTGGTCTTTTCAGGAAAAATTAAAAGTGCATGTTTGGGGATGGGCTGCCAATTCCTAACAATAAAATCAGATTTCTGGGCAAATGAGTTCTGTGTAACATGTAGCTTACAATGCCCTTTTATTTACAGATTGAAGGGTTCCAGTTGATCTGCTTACTGTTGTATTATGTTCCTCTCAAACAATAAGGAAAATACATCCACAAAGGTGAAGTATAGGGGAGATTATTATTTTCTCCAAATTGGCAACTACAAGATGCCAATTGCCAATGGAATGCACAGCTCTTAGATTACTTTGGATTCTCAGTAGGGGCTAAGAAGGAAGGTCAGGTAAGATACTTTACATCAAAGACTGACAGTTAATGGAGTTAGATCAACCTTATGGGGAAGGGAAAGGCAGGGCTTGTGACAATTTTATTCCTAAAAGAATTTCTGCCTTGTTTTTAGCCATGATGTTAATTATATGGAGCAAGAAATAATAAAGTCAATGGCTAAAATAATGAATTGGTCATTTTCATAGGCTTCTATTGTCTTCTTTTGTCAAGCTTCTCTCTTCATTCCCCATTACGCAGTGGTTTTATCCTTCATTATAATGACTTTTCCTGCGTCACTTTCTCCTGAACCTCTTTCAAACACTAAGAATGAAACTAAAAATTTTATTTTGGTGGTAGTGTCAGTGACTCATTATTGTTCCATTTGTTATCACTTCTAGGTAACATTTATAATTTAAACGATAGTTTTGTGCACCTCTATCCCAAACGGTGACCAATAAAAAGCAGTTTAGGCTCTCCTTGGTGTTACTCTAACTACCACACCTCGACTCTGATAAGAAGATAGATTAAAACAGTTTTTTAAGTCTTAGAATTAATTCAACAGATATTTATTTATTTATTTATTTATTAGAAGTTTGCTTTGTCACTCAGGCTGGAGTGCAGGGACATGATCATCGCTCACTGCTCTTTCAAACTTCTAGGATCAAGGGACCCCCTGCCTCAGCCTCCTGAGTAGTTGGGACTACAGGTGTATGCCACCATACCAAACTAATTTTTTTTAAAAAATTGTAGAGATGGGGTCCCATTGTCCTGCCCAGGATGGTCTGTAACTCCTGGGCTCAAGTGTTCCTCCAGCCTCAGCTTCTCAAAGTGCTGGGATTACCAGCATATGTCACTACCCCCGGCTTCAACAGATAGCTAATGAAAACCTACTATTTGCCAGGGGCTATTCTAGCTGCAGGAATACAAAGATGAAGAAAATACAACCTTTGCCCTCTGTGAGCCACTAAAGATGTTGCTGGTATGGAAGTATTATAGTTTTCTGAGCATGTAGGGCTTTTGGTGTAGTTTCCTTAATGAAGCTGGCCCAAAGATTTTATAATGCCTAACATATAAGAAGCTTCCTAGAAATACTCACTAGAATACTTTTAATCATTTGTTCCATCATCTTCCCAAGTTTCACTGTATTCAAGGCAGCTGCTGAAAACCTCTCTCATTTTCTCAGCTACATTTATCTTCTCATTAACTCACCTATTGTGCCTTCTCCAAATGGCTCAACCACTATTCTTGCTCACACTTGCAGAGCTCAGGAGTGCCCACTTCCCATCTACTCCCCTAATTTGTGACTGTCCTCATTACGCACAGCTCTGGAGAAATCTAGGTCTTCTCCCATTCAGATTTATGTCCTCATAAGCAGTTCTTCTCTTGAAATCATTATTGACTAAATGCTATATCTTATTGCATGCTAATACTAATATTAAATGAATAATCAATGCATGACTATCATCATATCATGACAGGAACTATAGACAATGCATAAATGAATGGATGTGGCTGTGTTCCAAATAAGACTTTTCTTCCCTCAGAAAAACAGGTTATAATTTACTGACCTCTGATGTAAAGGCTTGTAGGCCATTGTAATGACTACAATGGCTTTTTTTTTTTCCTCTGAGGACAAAGAATGCTTTTAGAGGGTTCGGAGCAGAAGAGTCACATCATCTGCCATTTAAAAAGAACCACTCTGGTTCTGGGTTGAGAATTGACTAAAGGGAAGTGAGGTCCAAGGAAGAGAGCAGGTAGTGGGGATTATTGCAGAAGAGGACGGTGGCATGAAAGCGAGAAGTCATGGGATTCTGGAGACATTTACAGGATTTGCCAATGGATTGCATCTGGGGTTAGTAAGGGTGTGAAAGGGGAATGGCCAGTTGGAAAGCAATTAGGTATTCCTGATGAGGGGTGGTGCTGGCCTGGCCTGAACTAAAATGATGGCCTATTAGTTTTATACCAAAAAACTGACTTTGTACAGTTATGAAGCAGGGAAAGGGTGACGATGGAGAGTTGTTCCCTGATACTCTTTTTAAATGGGAAAACTGTTGATCTGCCTCATTTCCTATCTGTGACTTTCTTCTGGGCTGCTAAAGCAACCTGAGGAAACTGAATGGAGAATGTGAGGAGTTGTTGATAACATCCCTCCCAGCTCTGCACCTGCAAATTCTAGCCAGAGTGGTGAGAATCCTCCTACCTGTAGGGGGTGGTGGTTGCATGCCTAATAAAACAGAGAGTAGGCCAAAGTCGAGTTGATTCCTTCATTGCACAGTTTAGTATGTGGAGAGCAGAACCTTAGTTATATTCCTAATGAGTTATCAACATAGTTAATGAAATTTAAGATGCCTCTGATTTCTGATACATCATTATTTTTTTACCTGCTAAAAGAAAATCACAGTCAATTAAACTAATACACAATGCTTCTTATCACCTCAATTGTGAGACAATTTCTGATTTTAGAGTTGTCAAAAATGTTAAAAACATGCATCTTAAAGGAAACATAACATGCTAAAAAAGAAAACATAATAACAACATAAGCCGAAAATCAAATGAAAACAGGGGCTTTTGTACTGAATGTCTTCATTAGACTTTAGTGCTTTTTGGAGATTGACTCTAGTATTCACCATATATGAATTTTCACAATAAGTAATATAACTGATAAAATATATTTTAATAAATATCCTGTTAAAATGTATTATGTATTTTACTTAACCTATTATCAGAACTTCAAAAGAGCACATTGAATAATATTCCACATTTTTATCAATGACTCAGTCTTGATAAATATTATTTGGCTTCCAAAACACTACTGTCTGTTTTACTCCTACAGAGAAGGCTGACCTTCTCATTTCTACAAGTTTTAAACTCAAATCCAGTCTTTTCTTGCCACATGTGGTTCTCACGTGATCTCATCTAGTTTTACAGTTTATCACCATCCAGAACCTTCTAATTTCTCTCATACCTAATTATACACTTGTCTCTTCCACTTGGATGCCTAACGAGCATCTAGAGCTTGATATCTATGAATGGACATCTAATTTCTCCCCTAAACCCTCTTCCTCCTACAGTTATTTTTATTTCGGTAAATGACATTCCCATTCTTCAAGTTGCTCAGGCTAAAAAATTTGGAGTCATCTTTGACTCCTCTCTTTACCCCACATATACAAGGCATTCATAAATTCTTTTCATTCTACCTTCAAACTATACTCAGAATTGATCACTTCTCACCCCCTCCACCACTAACACCATCATTTCTCACCTGAAGTTCAATAGCTTCTCCTTGCCTCCCAAGAACCCATTCTCTACATGGTGGTTATAAGAATCTTTTTATTGTTGTGTCTCTGCCAGGCTTTGGTATCAGGATGATGCTGGCCTCATAAAATGAGTTAGGGAGGATTCCCTCTTTTTCTATTGATTGGAATAGTTTCAGAAGGAACGGTACCAGCTCCTACACACAAAAAAAGAGAATTTTAGACCAATATCCTTGATGAACATTGATGCAAAAATCCTCAATAAAATACTGGCAAACCGAATCCAGCAACACATCAAAAAGCTTATCCACCATGATCATGTGGGCTTCATCCTTGGAATTCATGGCTGGTTCAACATACGAAAATCAATAAACTTAATCCAGCATATAAACAGAACCAAAGGCAAAAACCACATGATTATCTCAATAGATGCAGAAAAGGCCTTTGACAAAATTCAACAGCCCTTCATGCTAAAAATTCTCAAGTTAGGTATTGATGGGACGTATCTCAAAATAATAAGAGCTATCTATGACAAACCCACAGCCAATATCATACTGAATGGACAAAAACTGGAAGCATTCCCTTTGAAAACTGGCACAAGACAGGGATGCCCTCTCTCACCACTCCTATTCAACATAGTGTTGGAAGTTCTGGCCAGGGCAATCAGGCAGGAGAAGGAAATAAAGGACATTCAGTTAGGAAAAGAGGAAGTCAAATTGTCCCTGTTTGCAGATGACATGATTGTATATCTAGAAAACCCCATCGTCTCAGCCCCAAATCTCCTTAAGCTGATAAGCAACTTCAGCAAAGTCTCAGGATACAAAATCAATGTGCAAAAATCACAAGCATTCTTATACACCAATAACAGACAAACAGAGAGCCATATCATGAGTGAACTCCCATTCACAATTCCTTCAAAGATAATAAATTACCTAGGAATCCAACTTACAAGGGATGTGAAGGACCTCTTCAAGGAGAACTACAAACCACTGCTCAATGAAATAAAAGAGGATACAAAGAAATGGAAGAACCTTCCATGCTCATGGGTAGGAAGAATCGATATTGTGAAAATGGCCATACTGCCCAAGGTAATTTATAGATTCAATGCCATCCCCATCAAGCTACCAATGACTTTCTTCACAGAATTGGAAAAAACTACTTGAAAGTTCATATGGAACCAAAAAAGAGCCCGCATTGCCAAGTCAATCCTAAGCCAAAAGAACAAAGCTGGAGGCATCACACTACCTGACTTCAAACTATACTACAAGGCTACAGTCACCAAAACAGCATGGTACTGGTACCAAAACAGAGATATAGACCAATGGAACAGAACAGAGCCCTCAGAAATAATGCCACATAGCTACAACTATCTGATCTTTGACAAACCTGAGGAAAACAAGCAATGGGGAAAGGATTCCCTATTTAATAAATGGTGCTGGGAAAACTGGCTAGCCATATGTAGAAAGCTGAAACTGGATCCCTTCCTTTCAGCTTATACAAAAATTAATTCAAGATGGATTAAAGACTTACATGTTAGACCTAAAACCATAAAAACCCTAGAAGAAAACCTAGGCATTACCATTCAGGACATAGGCATGGGCAAGGACTTCATGTGTAAAAGACCAAAAGCAATGGCAACAAAAGCCAAAATTGACAAATTGATCTAATTAAACTAAAGAGCTTCTGCACAGCAAAAGAAACTACCATCAGAGTGAACAGGCAACCTACAGAATGGGAGAAAATTTGTGCAACCTACTCATCTGAGAAAGGGCTAATATCCAGAATCTACAATAAACTCAAACAAATTTACAAGAAAAAAAAACACCATCAAAAAGTGGGTGAAGGATATGAACAGACACTTCTCAAAAGAAGACATTTATGCAGCCAAAAAACACATGAGAAAATGCTCATCAACACTGGCCATCAGAGAAATGCAAATCAAAACCACAATGAGATACCATCTCACACGAGTTAGAATGGTGATCATTAAAAAGTCAGGAAACAACAGGTGCTGGGGAGGATGTGGAGAAATAGGAACACTTTTACACTGTTGGTGGGACTGTAAACTAGTTCAACCATTGTGGAAGTCAGTGTGGCAATTCCTCAGGGATCTAGAACTAGAAATACCATTTGACCCAGCCATCCCATTACTGGGTATATACCGAAAGGATTATAAATCATGCTGCTCTAAAGACACATGCACACGTATGTTTATTGCGGCACTATTCACAATAGCAAAGACTTGGAACCAACCCAAATGTCCAACAGTGAGAGACTGGATTAAGAAAATGTGGCACATATGCACCATGGAATACTATGCAGCCATAAAAAATGATGAGTTCATGTCCTTTGTAGGGACATGGATGAAGCTGGAAACCATCATTCTCAGCAAACTATCGCAAGGACAAAAAACCAAACACTGCATGTTCTCACTCATAGGTGGGAATTGAACAATGAGAACACATGGACCAGGAAGGGGAACATTACACACCAGGGACTGTTGTGGGGTGGGGGTAGGGGGGAGGGATAGCATTAGGAGATACACGTAATGCTAAATGACGAGTTGGTGGGTGCAGCACACCAACATGGCACGTGTATACATATGTAACAAACCTGCACGTTGTGCATATGTACCCTAAAACTTAAAGTATAATAATAATAATAATAAAGAATCTTTTTAAAATGTGATCAGATTAGGTCACATCTCTTGTCAAAATTCTCCAATGGCTTCACAGCTCCTTCAGAGTAAAATCCAAAGTTTTTACCATGGTCTGCAAGGTCTCACATGAGGTTGGCCTCCACTTCCCCTCTGAGTTCATCTTCAATATTTCTTCCACTGCTTAACTCTGTTTCATCACTGGCTTCTTCTGTGTGCTTCTAACACAGGCTTTCTTATTAGTGGCACTATTGGCGTATGCTTTGTTGTGGAGGGGTTGTCCTGTGCATTTTAGAATGCTTGGTAGCATCCTTGACCTCTCAGTACATCCCTGAGTTGTGACAATCAAAAATGTGTCCAGATATTGCCAAGCGTCCTCCACGGGGCAAAATTGTCCAGTTGAGAACCATGGCTCTAACATAACAAGTATGGATATTCTTTAGGACCTTTGCACCATCTGTTCTCTCTGCCTAGAACACCCTTCTCGCAGATACTGCAAGCCTTGCTCCCTCACTTGGGTCTCTGTTTCAAGTATCACCTTGAAACATGCCCATTCCCTATCAACTTTACATGGTTTTATTTTTCTCTGTTCCATTTACCATTACCTTATTATAGCTATTTTCTGTATCTAGATGTTTCCTTTAATGCGGAGGGAATGCAATTAGGATAAATTCTTGGCTTTGTTTACTCCACCCCAGAGGATGGGGATGACTTATCTGGTTGGTAAATTTGATAAGAACATGCTGGCTATTTCTGGCTCAGTCCTCATTTTTTTCTCTAGAGGTGTTTTTTAGTGGAGGCTGCTCTGGTTTTAGTAGTGTACTGCTGCATGCATAAATTTGCCTCAATCTGAGGTTCAATGAGTTTTTGCCCTTTGTAGCCAGACTCTCTTAGTTAGTCTTTATCAATAATACAGGTGATATTTTGGGCTCTGTATGTGTTGCCACTCGTATATTTTAATTTGTTCAGGACTTCATCTGGAAGAAATGGAAAATCAGTGATATTTATAAGACCCCCTGACACCCTAATGCTTGATTCTTTGAGAAATAAAGAAAGGACTGGAAGTTGAGGGAAGTACAATAATAATGGCGGATTCTTCTGTGTTTAGGGCACAGCTTTTGGTTTGGGATTTTATTATATGGGGAGGGTATACTGATCTTAGCTGTTTGTAGAGGGTTATACTTGGACAGTTTTTAACTTCTGCAGCCTGGGAAAGAGGCTTTAAGCCTTAGGCCATGCGGTATTTTGTCCTTGGTGAATGACTGCATCACTGACAGCTGTTTCCATAGTCCACTGTCCTTCTACAGAGTCCAGGTGGCAGGTTCTGGGCCTAGCAAGGGCACAGAGGTCTCATAAGTCTTGGCACATGCTGTCTGCATGGGTGGTCTTGGCAAAAGCAGCAAGCAAAGGTGCAGGAAGCATAGGCCTTCTGAAAGTACAGGCCTTGGCAAGCCTAGGACCTCAGCAGATCCACGGGGCCTCAGGTGAAGCTGCCGTCACCACACAGGTACAGCTTTGCCGCAGATGCTGCTGAGGTGAAGATCTGAGGAAAGGGTGAGGTGTCCTTCCAAATACAGTTGTTCTGGACATTTGGGAAGGGAACATACTCTCTGCCTTTAAGCAACAAGGTGACTAAGTCCTATGTGTGCTACTGAACACTACAGGGGGCTTAGTATTTCCTTTTTTTTTGTTAGTGCCAGGCTTGGTAGGCAGTACTGCATTCATGGTCCCAAATTCTGCTCAGGATTCTCAAGGAAGATACTGTAAAAGGTTAAGTTTGGATTTGTGTGTTCTTTCCATAGGTTAAGAGTTATTCCATAGGATTAAGAGTTCTCTCTCACCTTGTGGTCTCAACTGGGTTCTTGATCAGTTGTTTTGTATGAGGGAGAAATCCTCTATAGGAGGCAGGGCTTTTTAGGTCTAAGCAATTTCTTTGCCAACAGTAGAGGAAACAACTGTTGTGGCCTAGAACAAAAAATGTCTGATTACAAGAGAGAGTGAACATGATGACCCTAGAGAGAGCCCATGCCCCCTTTACTAATGGGTGCTATAACAAGAGGCTCAAAAGGGAAGTGGAAATTAGATATGCACAGAGGAAAAATAAGGCTCCTTGACAAACAACTGATGACTAGAGTTCACACCAATGCAAAATTTTGCCCTTGTAAGAAGACAGCAATTTCTCAATGCCATTTTTGGAAAGAAAAGACAGAATCCATAGGTGGATTCCCTGTATCCTATATGTTTAATGTATCCCTGATCTCCCCTGTATCCTGAATGTTTAATGCCAAAATCAACCTCTCACTGGAAGATTGCTTTCAACTGAGGGTAAGGCTGTAGGTCTTGCACTTTGGACACCAAGTTTAGACTGACTGACATTCTGGTAAAACTATCTAGCCTTATTTTTTTTAGATTGACATTGAGTCTCTGTGACACTAAGTATTTGGTTAAAGAGACATAATTTTTTATGGGACAGTAGTTTTGTTGGGGTAAAGATTTGTTGATTTTCTAAGTTAGTGGGTGTTGGCTGGTGCTGTGATATACTTACGTGTCCAGTTAACTTTTTGGACCCTGTAACAAGGGAGGTACATCAAAGGCTTGGCATTATGTTTCTGCAACCATGAGGCAACTACTCTCTTCCCTTAAGAGACAGCATACACTGAAGCTAATTAATGGTCCCCCAAATTCACTCAGGCATTAAGAATTCCTTTGGAGCAGAATAAGAAACTTTAGACTAAGTTTTGGATCTGAATTTTCTTGACCTTTACCTTACACGAGCAAAAGTATTTGATCCCATTGACTTTAAATACTTCTGGATGTTAAATTGAAATGAGATTAAATATTTGAATTTAAAAATTTTCTCTGAAATTACGTAAGAGAATGGAGCTTGTATCTAATTGTGGGGAATCTCTACATTCAGATCCTTCTATTTCTCTTTTGGAGAGAGCTTCCTATTGAGCAGTCAGCCTCCTGGTTCTGCATTCCAAGAGTCTTAACTTCGGTAGTACCTCACAAGGGGATACCCTCCCTTGTCTAGGCTTGCCTATGATTGGATGACAAAGTTTATCCAATTTTTGAATTTGAAATTATGAGCTTAGCTGCTTGCCAGCCACGTCTTTGAAATTGGCCTCTTCAGTAATAAAGATGGTATCTTGACCTACTATCAGTCTTAATCTTTTGTCTTATTTTTCTGTTTGGTTGGGACCAGAACAGTGAAGAGAGGTATTATTTATTGAACTTCCTTACACATACTCATACTTACCGCTTTCTGATATAGTCTGTATTTTCTGTCTATTTTATGTTTCTCTGCAGTAGAATACAACTCCAGAGTAAGAACTTGTTTTCTTCTCTGCTGTATTCTTTGTGCCCAAGACTAACACAAGGTAGGCTCTCAATAAATATTTGTTCAATGAGTACATCAATTATTATGCCATGATAAACAAGGGTAATGACCTCAGAGATGATTGAGGTTTTCCTGCATTAAATATTTCCATGTATATTATGGATTGTTAATTTCCTATTTCTGTTCATTCTTAAGAGCCCTATAAAGGTTTTTACTTATTCCCACCATCTTATTTTATAGGCTTCTGGATGCTCAGAATAAATAGTTTTAAAATAACCTAAGAGTCTTTCCTTAGCAATTTTTGCCTGAAATAGCAAAAAACCAAACCAAACCAAAACCAAAACTCCCCCAAGACTCCAAAAAATAGATTAGCCTCTGATGGAGAAAGGATAAGAAAGTACATTTGCTAGGTGTTCATCTGGGACTTTGGATATTAACTCAGTATTTTTTTTTTAACTTTCTGGCTTTTAGCTGATTTTGATGACGTAAATTTATAGAATAAATGACGTCTGGATAATGAGTTTTTATGTTCATTATTCTGAATTTGAGAATGGTGCATACATGATTTGAAGATGACAAGAAGGAGATTCTGTTTTGCTTTTATCAAAGGCAATAAGTAGCTAAATTATCCCATTTACAAGTTAGGCCTTAGTTTACATTGATTGGGCCTTGTCTTTCAAATGTCTTCTTAACACGCTATTTGTCAGACTCAGATCCTTTCTTGCTGGATTTGGACCCACTTGTGTGTGTTTTTATTCTTCGACATGTATTTCTTCAGTTCCTTTTTATCTATGTGGCCAGTTCCTGGTGATGTTAGAGTTTTGAATAAGGAATAATTATGAGACAAAACCACAGACTTATGCTTAATTTTGTGTATGTGCATGTATGCATGTGTGTGTTGTGTGTAGGAGTTTTCTGTTCAAGCTCAGTTCAGAATAAAGTTTTACATTGCTTTTTGTTGTTGTTATTGTCCCATATGCTTAAAATTTCATTTGGAACCTCAGGAAAGGATATCTAGGATAGAATTTTAGTATTCCTCCATTTAGTGGTCATGCCATCTTAATATCATTAAAATTCCACAATAAACTTATTAGGAGTATTAAAAATTTTTTTTTCTCTCTTGTTTTATTCTTCAAGTTTCCACATGCAGCACTGATATTAGGATTCTTTTTGTTAAAACCAACAGGAATAACCCGTGGTAGGCAGCTTTTAAGACCATCCCAATGACTCCCTGCCTCCTAGCATTCACACCCTGTGAGTTCCCTTCCTCTTGAGTGTGGGCTGGACTTAGTGACTTGCTTCTAAGGAGTAGAATATAACAAAAGGGATGAGGGTCATGTTATTACAGACTGTGACTTCTGTCTGGCACTCTCACACTGCTTGCTTGCTCCTCTCATGGAGCCAGCTGCCATGTTATGAGCTGCACATATGGCAAGGAACTAAAGGCAGCCAGCAGGGAACAGAGGCCCTCAGGCCAACAGCCTGAAGAGAAATAGATCCTTCCAACAGGATTCTGCGTGGGAGTCTGCTCCCACGAAGCCTGAAGATGACTACAGCACTGCTGACTCCTTGATTGTAATCTCTTGAGATTCTCTTCAACTGGAGGAGCTAGCTGAACCATGCTTGGATCTCAAAAGAACTGTGAGCTGATGTAAGTGTGCTGTTTTAAGCCACTAAGCTTTGGGGAAATTTGTCACTCAGCAATAAATAATACGCATCCAAAATCTATCAAGGAAAATTATTTTTAATAATTTATCAGCTTACATCTTAATTAGGAGTTCATTCAATTTTAGTTAAAAGCAAAGAACAAAAAAGTCACTTGACTTCCAAAAGGATTTGTTATTCAGTCATTAGAATCATTTATTTTCTGTTTCCAGGAATCATATGCAAAGGGCTTTATCAACATTTAACAAATAACTATTAGTGATATTTAGAGAGCTACTTTTAAATTTAGAAGCAGCTTTCTTAACCCAATATATGCAATATATATAAAGCGAGAAAATTAGAATATTATTTTTTTAATACAGTATCCCCCCTTATCCACAAGCAATATGTTCCAAGACCCCCAATGGATGCCTGAAACCTCAGATAGTATGGAAGATGATTGCCATCAATTGGAACACATTTATGTTCGTGTCTTTTCAATCTTAGCTAAGTACTCATCCTGCACTGTGGCCAAAACTTTCGCAGTCTGAGGTATGACAGCAAAACTAACACAGATATCTTTTTCCTTCTTCACAGTTTCATAGATAGATGTGTTTTCACAGTAGATCTTAGCAACCTTACCATACAATTTATTTTCTTTCCTTAAGTCAAGAACTTTCACCTTTTTACTTGAAGGAAAGGAAGCACTTAATGGCTTCTCTTGGCATATTCAATTGCCAGCATTACTAACTAGTCTTGTGCTCTGGGGCCATTATTAAGTAAAATAAAGGTTACTTGAACGTAAGCACTGCAGTATCTTGAAAGCTGATCTAATAACCAATATGGTGTGGAAGGAAAATAAGTCTCGGGACCCCAAAATCACTAAGCCAAAGGGAAAAGTCAAGCTGAGAACTGCATCAGGCACACGTGCCTCCCATTTTATTCCTGAATAAGATAGTTGCAAAGATTTTTAAAAAGCTGCATACTCCCTTCACAATTTGCCCACTAGGAAATTTGTTTTGGGCCCCAAGGTATTTACCTTAAAACCATTCGGTTGAATCTTACCTTGACAATGTAAATTAATAGTTTATCTTCACAGATCAGAAGGGCAGAACTCTAAGTCATCCTTCTGCTCACCTGAGACAAATGCATATCTGATTGCATATCCTCTGATGTAAAAATGCAGATTCACCGAGATAGAGTTCCTCTACCCTCCTCACATGTAAATTGTGTACTTGGTGAAAGGCCAAAGACAAAAAAAATTGCAACCGTTTGTCTCTTATCTACCCACACCTTTTGAAAATTTCTTTCTCTTTCCCCAGTATCTGCCCTTTCCCCTTTAAATATTGAAGCCCTCAAAATCATCTTCCGACAAAGGCACAGACCTGCCTCTGAGGTGGGTGTCCTTAACCTTGGCAAAATAAACTTTCGAAATTGCTTGAGACCTGTCTCAGATGTCTCAGATACTTTTTGGTTTGTAACAGCTACTGTGACTAACTAACAGGTAGAGAAGCCAGCATGGTTACCCTAGACAGAGAAAGAATTCGCATCCCAGGCAGGATGGAATGAGACAATGCGGGATTTCATCACACTGCTCAGAATGGCATGCAGTGCAAAACTTACGATATTCCTGGAATTTTCCATTTAATTCTTTGGACCATTGTTGACCAAAGATAACCCACTGCAGAAAGTGAAACTGGATAAGGGGGGCCTACAGTATAACATTTTTTCGATATTTTTCCTTTTATCTTTTCACATTGCTTTAAATATACTTTTCTCAGAAACTTTGATGTTTGCAGATTTAGCCCAATTTATAGAATATATTTGCCAAAGCCTAATTTGTAAAGTCATATTCATGTTTAAATTAGGCAAGTTGAAGTGACAGTGTCAGAAAAGCCTGACTTTATTTAAAAAATTCAAAGATGTTAAAATATATTTACAGAATATTATATAAACCATTGAGAAATAAATTATGGTGCATACTGTTATATGAGTTATTAAAAAATTATTTCAGGCAAATAAAGAGGAAAAAGTACCCTTGGGAAGTCTTTCTTTTCTTTTTTTTTTTTTTTGAGACGGAGTCTGGCTCTGTCGCCCAGGCTGGAGTGCAATGGCGTGATCTCGGCTCACTGCAAGCTCCGCCTCCTGGGTTGATGCCATTCTCCCGCCTCAGCCTCCAGAGTAGCTGGGACTACAGGAGCCCGCCACCACGCCCGGCTAATTTTTTTATGTTTTTAGTAGAGATGGGGTTTCACCGTGTTAGCCAGGATGGTCTCGATCTCCTGACCTGGTGATCCACCCGCCTCGGCCTCCCAAAGTGCTGGGATTACAGGCGTGAGCCACCGCGCCTGGCCAGTTTTTGTTTCTTTTAAAGCAGCTCCAGAAACGTTTCTTGTCTAGCAGGAAAGCCCTGGCTCTTACAGAAAGGCAGGCAAGCTTTAATATGCAAATACAGGCCATTAAAAATAGGATCCACCCGGCGGAGCACGGTGGCTCACACCTGTAATCCCAGCACTTTGGGAGGCCGAGGCGGGCGGATCACAGGGTCAGAAGATCGAGACCATCCTGGCTAACACGGTGAAATCCCGTCTCTACTTAAAAAGAAAAAAAAATACAAAAAATTAGCCAGGCGTGATGGCCGGCGCCTGTAGTCCCAGCTACTGGGGAGACTGAGGCAGGAGAATAGCGTGAACCTGGGAGGCGGAGCTTGCAGTGAGCCGAGATGCGCCACTGCACTCCAGCCTGGGCAACAGAGGGAGACTCCCTCTCAAAAAAAAAAAAAAAAGGACCCACCCAAACATAGCAATTCCTGCCCTCTCCTTGCCTCAACATGTGCCTGGCAACATGGCTGCCCCCACATATCCCCACGTGTGTAAAACATCATGGCGCCCTTCATTTGCATATTGAAAGCTAGGGTAAAAGGGCCAGTATTTTCATGGGCTACATAAATAATACACCTGGTCAAACCAATCCCCTAGGCCCTATGCAAATCAAACACCACCTCCTCCAGCCTCCTCATATAACCGGCTGTTTTCCACCATACTCAGGGTATCCTCTCTGGGCTTAAAGCCCCCTTCCTGGCCAGGTGCGGTGGCTCACGCCTGAAATTCCAGCACCTTGGGAGGCAGACACTGGTGGATTGCCTGAGGTCAGGAGTTCCACACCAGCCTGGCTAACAAGGTGAAACCCCGTCTCTACTAAAAATACAAAACAATTAGCTGGGTGTGGTGGTGCATGCCTGTAGTCCCAGCTACTCGGGAGGCTGAGGCTGGAGAATCGCTTCAACCTGGGAGGCGGAGGTTGCAGTGACCCGGGATCACACTACTGCACTCCAGCCTGTGCGACAGAGCGAGACTCGGTCTCAGAAAACAAACAAAAAGCCCCCTCCCTCTCTTTCTGTAGGGCAAAGCCTCTTTCTTCTGTCTTGCCTATTAAACTCTCCGCTCCTTAAAACCACTCCACATGTGTCCGTGTTGTTTTATCTAAATCAGTGCAAAACCAAAAACCCTGGTGTTCCTCCAGTTATCAAAACCATATCAATACTTTGTAAGATCCTATTCAAGAACCAACTAGAAAATGTGGAGTTCATTTTTGCCTCCAACAGCAAAAAGACAGATTGGCTATTCTGATGGAGGAGGGAGAATAAAGTGTGCTTGCCAGGTGCTCACATGGGAAAATGAGCTCCAGGAAGAATTTCTAAATTTGGTAATAGATAATGTTAAGTTATTTTCCTTATCACCAGGGTCACAACGTATGATTTTTCAGAGTGAAGCACAAATCTTTTTGGCATTTCTATCTTTGGGGGAAATAGAGTAGTCTAAAAATAATGCATTAATCCTTTTCATAAAGAGAAATTATTGCTATTCTATGGAGAAAGATAATATGCATAGAATAGAAGGACCTCCTCCAGTTAAAATATATTATAATTTTTACTCATTGGATTGTAGGAATTAAGTGGAATGCTCTATGAGAAAATTCCTTGTGTAAGTCCTGAAACTTTGTCGGTACTATATATTTTTTTTAATGCGTTGATTTAAGGCTATTAGGCCATATTGTGCATGTGAAAGCGATTGCAGCAAGGGGTTAGGATGTCTCGTGATCAAAGGATCTGAGCAAAGCTTAACAGTTGCTAAGGATATTTCAGCCTCCTTAGATCAAAACAAACAAACAAAAATTACATGATGTCCAAGAGCCTAGACTTTATTTCTCTAGAAAGAACAAAATACTGGCCCTTAAGATAACATGGAAAAGAGAGCTGGCTGAACCAATAGGCTGTTAAACTTTGGAATGGGCTACTAAGTGAGGTTGTGCAATCCCTTCTCTGGCTGCCTACAAAAGTAGAGGATTTTCTCATCTGTCTGGTATGTTAGGACAGAGTTGGGATAGGAGTGCAGGAAAATGGAGATGACATCTCGACCTCCATTTGATTCTAAAACTCTCTAAGTTTGCAATGGAATGCAGTGTTGGGTAATACAGAAATAAAAACATCTATCAAGAAGGCATTTTAAAAATTAGAATTTGTAATTCTTAGAAAATTTCCCAGGAAGTTATCAGTAAAATATCTATAATGTATTATTACCCTTATTCATAATGCTTATTTTAAAATGATGTCTACAGATGGTTGCTGACTTAACAACAGTTTGACTTATGATTTTTTGACTTTCAGGACATAATCCCATCATAAGTGGACAAGCATCTGGACTTTTATGCCTGGCACAAATACAAATGCTTTTGTATTTGTATATGACTTACATAGTGCATCTTATTGTAATTATTGTATACACGGATCTCTTCTCTACTAGCCTTGTGCTCCTTCTTAGCAGGTACCATGTCTCCTCTATATCCCTAGAGCCTAGCACAGCCCTGGGACATAGTAGGGGCTGAATGAATTTTGATGGATCAACCTGACCTGGACAGACCTATCATGAACCTGTTTCTACAACACTCTGTACCTTTTCTGGTAGAATTAATTTTAATCAATTTTTGGTCATTGTCATTGCTACTTACTTCCTCTTCAGTATTAGGTTTTGATCTTATCACTAAGAGAAACAGTGTATTTTCATGGCAAGGCACAGAGTCTGCTAGACTAAAAATCTGCCTTTGTATTATTAGATGTGTGACTTTGTGCAAGTTATTTAATGTCCCCATGTCTCAATGTCTTTATCTGTAAAATGGAGATATTGACAGTACTCACCTCATGGGGGTTTGTGGAGGAAAAATTGTAGCTAAGTAATGTTATGGTTTTAATGTGTCCCGTCTAAAATTCAGGTGTTGAAACTTAATGGCCAATGTGATAGCATTAAGAGGTAAGCCCTTTAAGAGATGATTAAGCCGTGAGGGCTCCTCCCTCCTAAAAGGGATTAAGGCCTTTACGAAAGAGGCTTCATGCAGTGTTTGGCTTTCTTGCCTTTCTACATTCTGTCATGTGAAGACAGTGCTCCTCTCCTCTGCACGAATCAGCAACATGACACCATCTTGGAAGCAGAGAGCAGCCCTAACCAGATAACCAAATCTGTTGGCACCGTTATCTTAGATTTCCCAGTCTCCAGAGCTGTGAGAAAATTAATTTCTGTTATTTATAAATTAGTCTCCAGTATTTGTTATAGCAGCACAAAACAGATGGACTAAGACAGACATCTGATGAGTTTAACACAGTACCTTGCACATGGTAAGTGTTCAACAAATGATACCAATTCTTAATGTACTCTTTTAGCTTCAGTAACTCCTAATACATACTCTTTGTGGGTGTGAAGCATGCAATATCGGTTGAATTAAAATAATTTAGTATTTGAGGGAGAAATAGGCAATAACTGCAGTGGATGGAGGTTTGTACTAGATGATACCTAGTAAGTTAGCATTTGACTTAGTATTTAACATGTTTTAATTCAACATATTTTAATTACTTTTATCATCATAATTATTAGTATTTTAAAAATAAGGTGATTTTGCTGAAATCCTTGTCAGTCCTCTCTACGTTCTAGAATGTAACCATTATAACCTTATAACCATAGTTTTCCATGTAAATTTTCTGCTCATGCTTTCATAAGAAGCCTATTCTCACAGGCTATCATAGAATTTGACGATTTCCTTTCAGAGAAGCATAATTGCTATAATATGTGAGATGCATTTATAATGTTATATAATTTTTTTTAATGCTAGTTATATTTTCTCATGGCTATACTCTGGGAGTAATTTTAAAACAGCTTTTGTTTTTAATATAGGAATAGTTTATAGGAACTTCTACTATTCATTCATTAATCTTTAAAAGTTAAACAATTACAGCTGTATGTATCATATAGCATTTTAATGTCTCAAAGAACATTAAAAACAACAACTAGGATGGTGGGTGAGCTGGTCATTTGCCTATTTGCTCTCAGTTTCTGACTATCCTTTGCCCATTTCATTTTTTGAGATGTCTTGAAAAAGCTTTCTGGGTTTAGACATGGAAGATTGGAAATTGGAGGACAAGAAGCCTGGATATAGCTACCCCTCTCTTTTTCTCTGGATTGGGGAGAGCCCCTTCTCGCAGTGAGTATGTCTAGTCATAGTGATAGCTTTTGCAGGACTGGCCATCTATCACTGTTCCAGCCCTCCCTCAGCACCCTCTTTTTTTTTTTTTTTTTTTTTTGGTCTCTTTGGGCCTAGAGGTGGTTACAGCCTTCTTCTGTTGCTAATTTCTGGGTTTTTCAGCTCTTCCAAACAGCTATCCAGTATGCAAGTCTTTCTGTTGGCTTAACTGGCATGAACTCTGATGTTCACAATAGGGTATTCAGGAATTTTAGCAATTTAAATAGATAAGCAGAAACCTTTGTGTTTTTATTTCTGTGTAGAAGGTACATAGCAGATAATACAGAAGTTTCTGAAATTTTTTTCCTTTGAGTACGGGGAGTAATGCTTTATTTCTTAGATCACTTCTAAGGATTTAGGTGCTTTAGACAAGGATTTATGTTGCTCTAACTTTTCTCTTATCAAAATTCCCTTGCCCCTTCTCTGTAGCTGAAAATTTGCATAACCACACTTTTATAGTTGATGGGTAAAAGGGCAGAGGAGAGAGAATGTAGAGCCTCTGAACATCCCGCTTGTCAGCTCAGAGACTCTACTTCAACCTCAGGTACTTCTGAGTTGATTTTTAACTTTCCTGGAATAAGGAGTAGCTTTTCTCAAAAAGGGGTGGGAGTTTTGGTGAACTGGTAAGAGAGCATTTGTTACAAACAGAGGAGGGGACCCATCATAGCTGTGAAAGATCTTTCTTCTCCTGAACTGATCTTTTCTTTCATAGGGAAGTATATTAAAAGTATTGATTTATACAATGAGAATGTTATCAATAGTGAGCTGCTCAGAGTGTTCTGGATATATGTACTACTAATCTTAAGCAAAGAAAGTGCCAGAAGTAGTGGCCAAGAACACCAGGTTCTTGTTTACTGTTATCTGATTGATGTACTCCCAGGGGCTGGATTGAGTGCATTTGCTGCCTCCAGGATATATTTTTGATTGCCTCTAATTCCTGTAGGCTCTTTTGAAAGAACACAAAGTCAGATAAACGGGCAATGGTGATTTCAGCCAGAGGAGGACTAATGCCTTCCATTTAATAGTATAATTCTTGATAGAATAGGATGCTTTTTGGAGATAAAGGGCCAAGGGACCACACCTATTAATTCCCAAGATGCTCTAGATTTATAGCCAAATAAATTCTTGCAGTAAAGGGAAACTCAATAACAACAACAACAAAATTCTCCCAATTTTCAATGAGATGATATTTCCTGCCAGTAACTTCATAACTTTCACATAACTTAAATTTATGGTTTGAGATAATTTTTTGAAGGGAAAAATAAATTGCTACTAAATTTTGGCATAGGTCTTATGGTTTTTTGGACATATTCTGTAAACATTGTTATAAAGATTATTTAGAAAATTCTTCACAGCTCTACATGTATATATGTATTTTTACCATTTTCATTGCCAAAATAAACTAGCCCAGGGTCAACAGATGTCTTTCAGTCTCAGTCTTTTTTGGTGTTGTTTTAAACATTTCCTTAGAATCTTATCTGGGGAAGTCTTCCAGAAGACCAGTGGTGGTTTTATTGAATTAAAGGCTTAGAGGCTAAAGTTCAGCTCAGTAAACATTTGTTTATTATCTACTTTGTGCCAGTGATTTAGGATATTTAAGATGAGTAAGGGAAGTTCCCAGGAGAGTGGGTTTTCTAATTTTAGCTTTTATCAGAATCACCTGGAGAACTTGTTACACCATGGATTGCTGGGCCCCACTCCCAGAGTTTCTGATTCAACAGGTCTAAAGAGGGGACTAAAAATTTGCATACCTAAGACTTTGCCAAGTGATGTTGATGCAGGCAGTCTGTGGATCATGAAAAAAATCCAAAAAATAGATGATTAAATTGTGACATATATGCTTAAGAATTCACAAGGATACACAAGGTGGGATTAATGAGAGTGTGATTAAGTGTATTGTAGGAGGGAGGTGGTGATCAGGGAAAGATTCTGGCCAAGAGTGACACCTGAGCAGGATTTGGAAGTGTAGTTGGAATTCAGAGAGAAACAATATGGGATGGAGAAGGAATTTTTGTTCAGTAGCAATGTACAGAAATGTACAGAGGCGTGACAGAGTATGATTTATTCATTCATTCAACACATTTTAGATAACTATCAATTACATCTTGAGAATAAGGTGGTAACAAATGTGTTTGCAGAAACACTCACTAGCAGATGACTTGTCTGGAGCATTAGTAGCAATGTGGAATGATAAGAGATGGACCTGGAAAAATGGTCCGGGGGGCCATTAGTGACTTGTAGATGACATAGGCCATACTAAGGAGCTTGGATTTTAACTTGTAGATAATGCAGAGTATTTTGGTAAGATCACTCTGGCAGCAATGCAGAGGATGCATTTGAGGAAGACAGAACATTCTAATACTGGGGTAAGAGAGACCAGAAAGAAGGCTATTGCAATAATCTGGGCAAGGGATGATAAAGGACCCAGCAAAGTTTGTGAGTGAGCCATATGACATTTAAACATAGGTTTAATGCATTTTTCCCCTCCATAAGCCCTCCACCTGTCTCCCTCTCTCATTAGAATGATAATTGTTTTGAGGTTAGGTGTTAATTTTAGATCAAATGTTGTATGGCTATACATGGGCTCAATCAGTATGAAGGAAAGTTACTCTTATATAAACACCTAAGCAAGTAACAGGAAATAAGTTAGTCAATTAGGGAAACAAATTTGACTAGGTATTTTATGAATGTCTTAAGAGCCATCTTTGAATAAGTTATTTCCTGTTAAGCTGTTGTATTTAAGTTTAGCCAGTAGCTCTACTGGCATTGTAAATTTAAAACTGTCTTCAGATATTGTGGAATAGTTTGGGGCATTGGTAAAATTTTATATAGAATACAGAACACAGAGCCTGGTTTTTCTTCTGCTAACCCCATGGAATATCCAATCAAGATGGATTTCTGGCCTCCATAACTGAGAAAATACATTTCTGTTGTTTAAAACACCTGGTCTGTGGAACTTTGTTACTGCAGCCCTGGCACAGCTGAGAAGTTGATTTTTCACCAACCAGGCTGATACCATGATTTTGATCTTGGGAGACCACGTGGAATTCTGATCTACAGATCTGTGAAATAATAGATGGATGTTTTAAGCTGATAAATTTGTGATATTCTGTTATGCAGCAATAGAAAACTATATAAACTATATAATAAACCCCACCAAAAAGTGGGCAAAGGATATGAACAGACACATCTCAAAAGAAGACATTTATGCGGCCAAAACATATGAAAAAAACTCATCATCACTGGTCATTAGAGAAATGCAAATCAAAACCACAATGAGATACCATCTCATGCCAGTTGAACGTTGTTCATTAAAAAGTCAGGAAACAACAGATGCTAGAGAAGATGTGAGGAAATGGGAACGCTTTTACATTGCTGGTGGGATTGTAAATTAGTTCAACCATTGTGGAAGACAGTGTGACGATTCCTCAAGGATCTAGAACTAGAAATACAATTTGACCCAGCAATACCATTACTGGGTATATACCCAAAGGATTATAAATAATTCTACTATAAAGACACATGCACATGTATGTTTATTGCAGTGCTATTCACAATAGTAAAGGCTTGGAACCAACCCAAATGTCCATCAATGATAGACTGGATAAAGAAAATGTAGCACATATAAACCATGGAATTCTATGCAGCCATTAAAAAAAAAAAGGATGAGTTCATGTCCTTTGCAGGGACATGGATGAAGCTGGAAACCATCATTCTCAGCAAACTAACATAGGAACAGAAAACAAAACACCACATGTTCTCACTCATAAGTGGGAGTTGAACAGTGAGAGCACATGGACACAGGGAGGGGAACATCACACACTGGGGCCTGTCAGGGGGTGGGGGGCAAGGGGAGGGAGAGCACTGGGACAAGTGCCTAATGCATGCAGGGCTTAAAACTTAGATGACGGGTTGATGGGTGCAGCAAACCACCATGGCACATGGATACCCATGTAACAAACCTGCACATTCTGCACATGTATCATAGAACTTAAAGTTTAATTAAAAACCTATATAATAGTCTAACATTAATTTATGAACATGTCATTTAAATATTTTAGAATTCTATTTTAATGTTTTTTAATCTTGAAAATGTCAATAAAAATTATTTACTTTAGATGGAAATTCATGTGGTTTTAGAATTAATACACTTTTTCAAATTCAAAATATTTTGACATTTTTCTCTATTGTGTGAGCAAAGGGAACACCCATAGAATCATGCAATCTTTACTGCTTTAAACCAAGTTTATGCTCAGGCTTCCTATGGAAGGTGATGATGCTAAACCTAAATCCAACTTAAATTAAAATAAGTTGGTATTTGGGGGAGAAAGTGTCAATGGCTCCAGTGGGTAGAGATTTGCACTAGATAATTGCTAATTTTTTTGAAGATTTAGATAAATATTTTTATTATCTTCTCAAAAATATTTAAATATGTATATAATATGTACATTCAAAACCTGATCTTTATTTCTCAATCTCACATTTAATAGTTAGCACTCTAACTCCATTACAAATTAGATTGTTCATGTAAAGAATTAGGGCTAACTCATTAAGTAAGTTATGATGCACTTTTAAATGGTTTATGTAAGAAATAAACTCTGATTATCTTAGCCATACAGACAAACCATTCCACCTATTCAATCAGCTTATACTGATGTCCCTTATAAGTGGTAGTACAGTTATTTTAAGAATATGTTGAATTGGCCGGGCGCGGTGGCTCACGCCTGTAATCCCAGCACTTTGGGAGGCCGAGGCGGGTGGATCATGAGGTCAGAAGACCGAGACCATCCTGGCTAACATGGTGAAACCCCTTCGTCTCTACTAAAAATACAAAAAAATAGCTGGGCGTAGTGGCAGGCGCCCATGGTCCCAGCTACTCTGGAGGCTGAGGCAGGAGAATGGCGTGAACCTGGGAGGCGGAGCTTGCAGTGAGCGGAGTTTGCGCCACTGCACTCCAGCTTGGGCGACAGAGCGAGACTCCGTCTCAAAAAAAAAAAAAAAAAAAAAAGAATATGTCGAATTATCTATCTTTCTTAGTAGACTCTAAGTTCTTTGAGGACAAGGGCCATATAATTTATCTTTTAAGCTATGTTTTTATTTTTTAAATTGAAAAATAAAAATTGTATATATTTGTGGTATACAATATGATACACACACATATTTTGAAATAGCTAAATTGAACTATTTAACATATCCATTACCTCACACACTTTTTTTGTGGTTAGACACTTAACATCTACTCCTGGTAATTCTCAAGAATACAACACATTGTTATTAACTATAGTCACCATGCTGTACAGTAGATCTCTTGAACTTATTCCTCCTGACTGAAATTTTGTATCCTTTGACTAAACATATCCCCAATCTCCCCCACACACTTTAATATTTAATTCTCTATAATTCAACACATTTTAATTACTCTTTTCATCTAATTATTACTTTTTAAAGATGAGCCCAGAATATCACAAACTCTTAAAAACAAATGCTTGGATGGAGTGAACATCACAGGCATCCCAGGAATCGTAGAGTGGTGCAATGAACTATGTATCACCTATGCCCTGTAGCTTTCTGAAAATCTACCCCCATACATAACATCTCACAGTCATGAAGACAAAGTTGACCTTTCCTAAGTGGTTGATCCATCACACCAAGTTAAAAATAAATTTGTAGTTTTAGAAATGAAAACCAATGATCAAGGAGCAATTTTATTTACAGTATAAATTTCCCCTTTGGAGGTGATACATGGGATCAAATGCCGAGTTTGTAAGGCTGTGGAGAGGAATATTTGAGTTTTTGTCTCATACCACAATTTCCTCTGAATAATTTTAGAGCCTGAGTAAGTCACGGACATTTATCAAAATAGCATGCCTGTCTCATTTTTCCTAGAAAATGACTTATTTTTTTATTTATATTTAGGAGTAACTAATTTTTTCATTTCCTGACCATTGCTCACTTACTCATTAGTTTGATAAATTTCACTTGACTATTCCCATATGTTTGTCCACTTTGTGAATTATTATGCATAATTACTCATTTCTCATACTCTGCATTTTAAGTACTTTCCTGATTGTGAACTCTTTTCACCAGATTTCAGGGAAGAGAAAAAAAAAGTGAAAAATATAACTGGCTATTATGAGAACTAATGACAAATCTAGAAGAGGTTTGAGATAAGAGCAGATCAAAATCATTGGCTTACCTTTGTTCATTGATGTACTATTATTACCTGAAATGGCACTTAGAAAATACGTGGTATTTATTAAATAAATAAATGAGAATTCTGGATTACTTGTGGGCTTTTTTTCATTGTTGAGCCTGCACTGGTTTCCCAGATGTATATTGGCTCATATTTTCCTTTTTGTAAATTTTGTATTCACATTCTTTGCCATTTTACTGATTAGTGGTTTATTAACCTGTAAAACATTATACACCTATAAAATAGTAAAACTGTGCCAAAAATGTTGCAAATATTTCTTTAAACATATTATCATATTAGTCTTTAAGTTATAGAATTACTGGTCCATGTAAAAAACTATTTACTTTAAATCCACAAAGACCTTCTCTATTCAGAGATCAGATATTCATCTAAGTTTTCTTAATTTTAAACATATCATTTAAAAACAATATATTAATTCACTTGGCATTTATTTTGATGTATGCTTTGTTTGACTTTAGGATCTAAATTGATTCTTAACTGGTAAATCAGCTAATGTGTTTAGTTGCAAGGAATTTATTCTGTCTGTTTGGGCAGAAAAGGAATTTATTAAATGGGTATTGGGTAAGTCACATAATCACCAAGAGGTTTGGAGAACCAGTGTGGAGGCTATGCAGACAGCATAATCAAATACCATCTTGCAAATCTGTCCTCTATGAGCCTCTGCTGCAGTTCACACAGTGAATGCCACTGGCATTGAACATTGGATATTCAGTCACTTGGAGCCCAGGACACTCAATCTTGCTGCAAAAACCACTGCTGAAAAATTCTTCGTGTTCCTCTCTTCTTTGGTGTATTCTGCACTCAATTCAACATCTGGGGCAAGCGTGTTATCTGCTAGAATGTAGGGCATAGTTCAGATGCAAGCTCAGAGGAGATTGGGAAAGTAAATACCTGCGTTTTTAATTACAATAGTGGCAGGTAGGTTTTTCCTGCCTCCAAAACTCATATGGAGAATAAGGAGAATTCTCTAAACATTAGGGTGGGATTCAGATGCTGAGATTACGTGGTTTTCTTTCTTGAAACTATGGATCAGTTCATCATAATATATGTTAAACAAACTTGCCATAAACTCTTGGTTTGTGGGGAATATTGGGTTGTGGGGAATGGAACACCTACTACCCCTTGTTTAGAGTTAAAAATATAATCTTTGTGGTGTAAGTGCTGAACATGAATTTCATCTTTGCCATATTCTTGTCTGTGATCTTAAGTAAATTAATTAACACCTTTCTTAGCCTTAGTTTGTCTGTCAGTTTGTGATGATTATGATTAAAATGAGGGTGACATCCTTAGCATAAGCCACATCTCTTAAAATGTTTTAACATCTGCATAACCTCTTCATACCACAAAGGGGCAGTATTTTTGGAATTTAAGATATACAGGAATATAAGATGCATCCTAATTATGTGTGAGTGTTATTTTTAATTATGCAGTTTTCAAACATACACAAAACTAGAAAGAATAGTTTATTGAATCACACTCTACATTTCACCCAGATTCAATAATTACCAATATTTTGCCATATTTGCTTCATATACGTTAAATGCATTACATTTGACTGGAAGTAAGCTCTGGAGGCTTTAATAGATATGTGTTCAACTTTTTTGGTAAGAATACTTCAAAGGTAGAACTGGCTGCTTCATGCTGTATCACAGCAGGAAGCATACAACATCTGGCCCCACTTTTATGATGCTAAGATTGATCAGTGTGTTCAGGTGGTGACAACCTGATGCCTCTGTTGTAAAATTCCTCATGAATACTTTCATCTAATGGTGTCATCTACTGACACTGTTTTTCTGGCTCAAATGTTTCATTTGGAATTCCAAAATGTTGATTTTTCTAATGCCACCATTCCTTGTACATTTATTAGTTGGAATTATCTTATCATTTAGGTCTATTTAGCTACCCGGAAATATAGGAAAATCAGATACTGGCAAAATTGATGCTTAATATTTTATTTTAAAAACGAATCTTTAGAAGGAGGAGTTGGTTTTCTAGTTACTTTCAATGGTAACCAATAGGTTTTTGATCTAGGGAGTGAGAGGAAATGCTTTCTCTCTTTTATATGCGTTTCTACACAGTTGATATGTTTCAGTCCACTGCATTCAAAAAATTTTTGATGCTCTGATTGTTCCATCTTTGGCTAAGAGGAGCCCTTCATACTGGCTTCTATGTTCTTTTGGTGTGGCCTATTGGTTATGAACTACATTGTACAGTATACCAAAATCCAGTGGGAAGTCATGAATTCTGAGTATATGGCAATTTTCAATAAATTATATAAATATATAAAATTAAATAACTAAGAGAAATATATTCATAGTGATACATAACAGGCAAAAAATGTAACAAATTTACTGGTAAATTGAGTCCTTTACTAAACATAGAGCACATATTGGCACTGTATTTTAATTAATTTTGTTGACGGAAAAGCTATCCACTAGATAAAAGAAATGTGGAAAAGTCTACATAGAACATGCAGGTGAGAAAATATATCAGTAAACATTGGTACAAATTAAATAGCAAAGTAAAATATGTTTACATGAATTTCTATACAAGTAGCAAAAGTATATGAAAATAAGTCATTTGATGAAATAACTGGTTTAATACATAAAGCAAAAAAATAATTTTGAAGGAATTACAATGTCATTCACACGCATATACAAAAAGCAAATATTCCAAGATATATTAATGTTTAGTCAATTTGGCCTGCTAAAACAAACTACTATAAACTGGGTAGCTTATAAACAATAAAAATTTATTTCTCACAGTTCTGGAGGCTGAAAAGTCCAAGATCGAGATATCAGCAGATTTGGTGTGTGGTAAGAGCCCCCTTTCTGGTTCATAGTTGTATCCTCACCTGGTAGAAGGAGTGAGCTAGAGCTTCAGCATCTCTTTCAGAAGGGTACTAATCCCATTAACTCTGAAAGACCCCACCTCCTAATACTAATATTAGGGATTATATTTCAACATATGAATTTTAGGAGGACACAGAATTTGGACCATGGCAATTAAGCTATTTTATTGAGTACTAGTAAGCAGTTCAAACAGGAAAATAGAAGAATTCTAATGGAAATCTGTGTTCAAGAAGATCACACTATGTAACAAACAGCAAACAATAAAGGTTTTATAATCTTCAAAACCTAGAACATGCTCTTCTTCAAAAGTATATAGATTATCAATCACAAAGCTTGATAATACATCATCTCCAGAAATTCTGTGGCATTTGTTCTCTTTATTATTGGCATTTATTTCACTAGAAATTAAGTCATGAGTGTTTTCAAACTATTCTTTTGTAAATACTATTACTCGTGCTTATTTGAAAAATCTGGTGGTTCCAAGATGGCTGAATAGGAACAGCTCCAGTCTATAGCTCCCAGCGTGAGTGATGCAGAAGACGGGTGATTTCTGCATTGCCAACTGAGGTACCGGGTTCATCTCACTGGGGCTTGTTGGATAGTGGATGCAGCCCATGGACTGTAAGCTGAAGCAGGGCAGGGCATCACCTCACCTGGAAAGCACAAGGGGTCAGGGAATTCCCTTTCCTAGCCAAGGGAAGCCATGACAGAAAGTACCTGGAAAATCGGGATGCTCCCACCCTAATACTGTGCTTTTCCAATGGTCTTAGCAAACGGCACACCAGGAGATTATATCCCATGCCTGGCTTGGAGGGTCCCACACCCATGGAGCATCGCTCATTGCTAGCACAGCAGTCTGAGATCAAACTGCAAGGCTGCAGCGAGGCTGGGGGAGGGTTGCCCACCATTGTTGAGGCTTGAGTAGGTAAACAAAGTGGCTGGGAAGCTCGAGCTGGGTGGCGCACACCTCAGCTCAAGGAGGCCTGCCTGCCTCTGTAGACTCCACCTCTAGGGGCAGGGCAAAGCCGAACAAAAGGCAGCAGAAACCTCTGCAGACTTAAATGTCCCTGTCTGACAGCTTTGAAGAGAGTAGTGGTTCTCCCAGCATGGAGTTTGATATCTGAGAATGGTCAGACTGCCTCCTCAAATGGGTCCTTGACCCCCGAGTAGCCTAACTGGGATGTGCCCCCCAGTAGGGGCAGACTGACACCTCACATGGCCGGGTACCCCTCTGAGATGAAGCTTTCAAAGGAATGATCAGGCAGCAACATTTGCTTTTCAGCAGTATTCACTGTTCTGCAGCCTCTGCTGCTGATACCCAGGCAAACAGGGTCAGGAGGAGACCTCCAGCAAACTCCAATAGACCTGCAGCTGAGGGTCCTGACTGTTAGAAGGAAAACTAACAAACAGAAAGGACATCCACACCAAAACCCCATCTGTACATCACCATCATCAAAGACCAAAGGTAGATAAAACCACAAAATGGGGAAAAAGCAGAGCAGAAAAGCTGAAAATTCTAAAAATCAGACCGTCTCTCCCCCTCCAAAGGAATGCAGCTCCTTGCCAGCAATGGAACAAAGCTGAATGATGAGTTGAGAGAAGAAGGAGTCAGATGATCAAACTTCTCTGAGCTAAAGGAGGTGTTCGAACCCATCACAAAGAAGCTAAAAACCTTGAAAAAAGATTAGAGGAATGGCTAACTAGAATAACTAGTGTAGAGAAGTCCTTAAATGACCTGATGGAGCTGAAAACCATGGCACAAGAACTACGTGATGCATACACAAGCTTCAGTACCTGATTCAATCAACTGGAAGAAAGGGTATCAGTGATTGAAGATCAAATGAATGAAATGAAGTGAGAAGAGAAGTTTAGAGAAAAAAGAGTAAAAAGAAACAAACAAAGCCTCCAAGAAATATGGGACTATGTGAAAAGACCAAATCTACGCATCATTGGTTTACCTGAAAGTGACAGGGAGAATGGAACCAAGTTGGAAAACACTCTGCAGGATATTATCCAGGAGAACTTCCCCAACCTAGCAAGGCAGGTCAACATTCAAATTCAGGAAATTCAGAGAACCCACCGCAAAGATACTCCTTGAGAAGAGCAACTCCAAGACACATAATTATCAGATACACCAATGTTGAAATGAAGGAAAAAATGTTAGCGGCAGCCAGAGAGAAAGGTTGGGTTACCCACAAAGGGAGGCCCATCAGACTAACAGCGAATCTCTCAGCAGAAACTCTACAAGCAAGAAGAGAGTGGGGGCCAATATTCAACATTTTTAAAGAAAAGAATTTGCAACCCAGAATTTTATATCTAACCAAACAAAGCTTCATAAGTGAAGGAGAAATAAAATCCTTTACAGACAAGCAAATGCTGAGAGATTTTGTCACCACCAGGCCTGCCCTGCGAGACCTCCTGAAGGAAGCACTAAACATGGAAAGGAACAACTGGTACCAGCCACTGCAAAAACATGCCAAATTGTAAAGACCATCAATGCTAGGAAGAAACTGCATCAACTAATGAGCAAAAGAACCAGCTAACATCATAATGACAGGATCAAATTCACACATAATAATATTAACCTTAAACGTAAATGGGCTAAATGCTCCAATTAAAAGACACAGACTGGCAAATTGGATAAAGAGTCAAGACCCATCAGTGTGCTGTATTCAGGAGACCCATCTCATATGCAGAGACACAGATAGACTCAAAATAATGGGATGGAGGAAGATCTACCAAGCAAATGGAAATAAAAAAAATAATAGAGGTTGCAGTTCTAGTCTCTGATAAAACAGACTTTAAACCAACAAAGATCAAAAGAGACAAAGAAGGCCATTACATAATGGTAAAGGGATCAATTCAACAAGAGAGCTAACTATCCTAAATATATATGCACCCAATACAGGAGCACCCAGATTCATAAAGCAAGTCATTAGAGACCTAGAAAGAGACTTAGATTTCCACACAATAATAGCGGGAGACTTTAACACCACACTGTCAACATTAGACAGATGAATGAGACAGAAAGTTTAAAAGGATATCCAGGAATTGAATCAAGTGGACCTAATAGACATCTACAGAACTCTCCACCCCAAATCAACAGAATATACATTCTTCTCAGCACCACATCACACTTATTACAAATTGACAACATAGTTGGAAGTAAAGCACTCCTTAACAAATGTAAAAGAACAGAAATTATAACAAACTGTCTCTCAGACCACAGTGCAATGAAATTAGAACTCAGGATTAACAAACACATTCAAAACTGCTCCACTACATGAAAACTGAACAACCTGCTCCTGAATGACTACTACATATGTAACGAAATGAAGGCAGAAATAAAGATGTTCTTTGAAACCAATGAGAAGAAAGAAACATACCAGAATCTCTGGGACACATTTAAAGCAGTGTGTAGAGGGAAATTTGTAGCACTAAATGCCCACAAGAGAAAGCAGGAAAGATCCAAAATTGACACCCTAACATTACAATTAAAAGAACTAGAGAAGCAAGAGCAAACACCTTCAAAAAATAAGAGAAGGAAAGAAATAACTAAGATCAGAGCAGAACTGAAGGAAATAGAGACACAAAAAACCCTTCAAAAAATCCATGAATCCAGGAGCTGGTTTTTTGAGAAGATCAACAAAATTGATAGACCACTAGCAAGACTAATAAAGAAGAAAAGAGAGAAGAATCAAATAGATGAAATAAAAAATGATAAAGGGGATATCACCACTGATCACACAGAAATACAAACTACCATCAGAGAATACTATAAATACTTCTATGCAAATAAACTAGAAAATCTAGAAGAAATGGATGAATTCCTGGACACATACACTCTCACAAGTCTAAACCAAGAAAAGTTGAATCCCTGAATAGACCAATAACAGGCTCTGAAATTGAGGCAATAATTAATAGCCTACCAACTAAAACAAGTCCAGGACCAGATGGATTCATAGCCAAATTCTACCAGAGGTACAAGGAGGATCTGATACCATTCTTTCTGAAACTATTCCAATCAATAGAAAAAGAGGGAATCCTCCCTAACTCATTTTATGAGGCCAGCATCATCCTGATACCAAAGCTGGGCAGAGACAAAAAAGAGAATTTTAGACCAATATCCCTGATGAACATCGATGCAAAAATCCTCAATAAAATACTGGCAAACTTAATCCAGCAGCACATCAAAAAGCTTATCCACCATGATCAAGTGGGCTTCATCCCTGGGATGCAAGGCTGGTTCAACATATGCAAATCAATAAATGTAATCCAGCATATAAACAGAACCAATGACAAAAACTGTATGATTATCTCAATAGATGCAGAAAAGGCCTTCAACAAAATTCAACAACCCTACATGCTAAAAACTCTCAATAAATTAGGTATTGATGGGACATATCTCAAAATAACAAGAGATATTTATGACAAACCCACAGCCAATATCATACTGAATGGGCAAAAACTGGAAGCATTCTCTTTGAAAACTGGCACAAGACAGGGATGCCCTCTCTCACCACTCCTATTCAACACAGTGTTGGAAGTTCTGGCCAGGGCAATCAGGCAGGATTAAAAAATAAAGGGTATTCAATTAGTAAAAGAGGAAGCCAAAATGTCCCTGTTTGCAGATGACATGAGTGTATATTTAGAAAACCCCATCATCTCAGCCCAAAATCTCCTTAAGCTGATAAGCAACTTCAGCAAAGTCTCAGGATACAAAATCAATGTGCAAAAATCACAAGAATTATTATACACCAATAACAGGCAAACAGAGAGCCAAATAATGAGTGAACTCTCATTCACAATTGCTTCAAAGAGAATAAAATACCTAGGAATCCAACTTACAAGGGATGTGAAGGACCTCTTCAAGGAGAACTACAAACCACTGCTCAATGAAATAAAAGAGACCACAAACAAATGGAAGAATATTCCATGCTCATGGATAGGAGAATCAATATTGTGAAAATGGCCATACTCCCCAAGGTATTTTGCAGATTCAATGCCATCCCCATCTAGCTACCAATGACTTTCTTCACAGAATTGGAAAAAACTACTTTAAAGTTCGTATGGAACCAAAAAAGAGCCTGCATTGACAAGACAATCCTAAGCCAGAAGAACAAAGCTGGAGGCATCACACTATCTGGCTTCAAACTATACTACAAGGCTACAGTATCCAAAACAGCATGGTACTGATACCAAAACAGAGATACAGACCAATGGAACAGAACAGAGCCCTCAGAAACAATACTACACATCTACAACCATCTGATCTTTGACAAACCTGACAAAAAGAAGTAATGGGGAAAGGATTCCCTATTTAACAAATGGTGCTGGGCAAACTGCCTAGCCATAAGTAGAAAGCTGAAACTGGTTCCCTTCCTTACACCTTGTACAAAAATTAATTCAAGATGGATTAAAGACTTAAATGGTAGACCTAAAACCATAAAATCCCTAGAAGAAAGCCTAGGCAATACCATTCAGGACATAGGCATGGGCAAGAACTTCATGTCTAAAACACCAAAAGCAATGGCAACAAAAGCCAAAATTGACAAATGGGATCTAAGTAAACTAAAGAGCTTCTGCACAGCAAAAGAAACTACCATCAGAGTGAACAGGCAACCTACAGAATGGGAGAAAATTTTTGCAATCTACTCATCTGACAAAGGGCTAATATCCAGAATCTACAAAGAACTCAAACAAATTTACAAGAAAAAACAAAGAATCTCATCAAAAAGTGGGCGATGGATATGAACAGGCATTTCTCAAAAGAAGACATTTATGCAGCCAACAGACACATGAAAAAATGCTCGTCATCACTGGCCATCAGAGAAATGCAAATGAAAACCACAATGAGATACCATCTCACACCAGTTAGAATAGCGATGATTAGAAAGTCAGGAAACAACAGGTGCTAGAAGGGATGGGGAGAAATAGGAACACTTTTACACTGTTGGTGGGAGTGTAAACTAGTTCAACCATTGTGGAAGACTGTGGTGATTCCTCAAGGGTCTAGAACCGGAAATACCATTTGACCCAGCCATCCCATTACTGTGTGTATACCCAAAGGAGTATAAATCATGCTGCTGTAAAGACACATGCACACGTATGTTCATTGCAGCACTATTCACAATAGCAAAGACTTGGAACCAACCCAAATGTCCAACAATGATGGACTGGATAAAGAAAACATGGCTCATATACACTGTGGAATACTATGCAGCCATAAAAAATGATGAGTTCACTTCCTTTGTAGGGACGTGGATGAAGCTGGAAACCATCACTCTTAGCAAACTATTGCAACGACAAAAAACCAAACATCCCATGTTCTCACTCATAGGTGGGAATGGAACAATGAGAACACCTGGACACAGGAAGGGGAACATCACACACCAGGGCCTGTTGTGGGGTGGGGAGAGGGGGGAGGGATAGCATTAGGAGATATACCTAATGTAAATGACGAGTTAATGGGTGCAGCCCACCAATATGTCACATGTATACATATGTAACAAACCTGCAAGTTGTGCACATGTACCCTACAACTTAAAGTATAAAAAGACATAAATTAAAAAAAGAAAAATCTGTACTGATAAATTTGAATCTCATTTTGTAGTAATACCTTATTACCTTAAGTGATGAATTACAGGAATAATAAATAATAAACCTAAGTTTAAGGAGAATAGATCCCAATTTTATTCTAATGTGTTGTTTGATTTGTGGCTTGGTATTTTTGATAAAAACAATAATACAAATTTCCCAAATAATGTGATTTCCTTTCTTTGCTATGATGTTCTGTATTGTGCTGCTCCATTTCTACAGGTAGCATTATCACTATTGTTATTTTGAAATTAGTAGATTATTAGTCCTAGATAATCATGCAAGACCTGTCAGCTATATGTGGGTCTCCAACCATAATATAAGCTTTTTGCATGCAGATAAGTTTGCAATCTTTGTTGTCACTATTGAAAGAACTGTGTCTGTGTGTCTGGAATTGCTGAGTTCTTGGTCTCACTGACTTTAAGAATGAAGCCACGGACCCTCGCAGTGAGTGTTACAGTTCTTTAAGGCAGCATGTCCGGAGCTTGTTCCTTCTGATGTTCGGATGTGTTTGGAGTTTCTTCTTTCTGGTGGGTTCGTGGTCTCGCTGGCTCAGGATTGAAGCTGCAGACCTTTGCGGTGAGTGTTACAGCTCTTAAAGCGCACATCTGGAGTTGTTCATTCCTCCTGATGCATTCATGGTCTTGCTGGCTTCAGGAGTGAAGCTGCAGACCTTCGCAGTGAGTGTTACAGCTCATAAAGGTAGTGTGGACCCAAAGAGTGAGCAGCAAGAAGATTTATTGTAAAGAGCAAAAGAACAAAGCTTCCACAGTGTCGAAGGGAACCCAAGAGGGTTGCCACTGCTGGCTCTGGCAGCCTGCTTTTATTCTCTTATCTGGCCCCACCCAAATCCTGCTGATTGGTCCATTTTACAGAGAGCCCATTGGTCTGTTTTACAGAGAGCTGATTGGTCCTTTTTGACTGGGTGCTGATTGGTGTGTTTACAATCCCTGAGCTAGACACAAAATTTCTCCACATCCCCACTAGATTAGCTAGATACAGAGTGTCACACAAAGGTTCTCCAAGTCCCCACCAGAGTAGCTAGATACAGAGTGTCCCCATTGGTGCATTCACAAACTCTGAGCTAGACACAGGGTGCTGATTGGTGTGTTTACAAACCTTGAGCTAGATACAGAGTGCCTATTGGTGTATTTACAATCCCTTAGCTAGACATAAAGGTTCTCCAAGTCCCCACCAGACTAAGGAGCCCAGTTGGCTTCACCCAGTGGATCCCATACTGGGGCCATAGGTGGAGCTGTCTGCCAGTCCTGTGCCCTGCACCTGCACTTGTCAGCCCTGGGGTGGTCAATGGGACTGGGTGTTGTGGAGCCCTTGGGTGGTTGATGGGGCAGGCGGTGGGTGGGGTTGGCGGGATGGGAGAGGGGGAAGGGGGAGGGGTGGGCAGAGACTCAGGCATGGTGGCCTGCAGGTCCAGAGCCCTGCCCCGCTGGGAGGCAGCTAAGGCCTGGTGAGAAGTCGAGCACAGCAGCTCCTAGCCAAGGTGCTAAGCTCCTTACTGCCCAGGCCAGCGGGGCTGTTGGGCCACTCCGAGTGTGGACCACAGAGCCCATGCCCACCCGGAACTAGCACTGGCCCGCAAGCACGGAGCGCAGCCCCGGTTCCCGCCTGCATTTCTCCCTCCACACCTCCCCGCAAGCTGAGGGAGCTGGCTTCGGCCTTGGCCAGCCCAGAAAGGGGTTCCCACAGCACAGTGGCGAGCTGAAGGGCTCCTTAAACACTGCCAGAGTGGGTGCCAAGGCCAAGGAGTCGCCGAGAGCGAGCGAGGGCTGTGAGGGCTGCCAGCACGCTGTCACCTCTCATCTGAATGGAGGAAGATGAAGTTGCTTTCCTCATAATATTCAGATATAGACATTTTCAGGGGTAGTCATATATACCCTAGGAACATACACATTATCTCTGTATGCAATGAGTTCAAACCTATGTGTTTTCCAGCACTGTATCTAAAACATCCCCTTTAAATTAATAAAGAAGGCTTTAAAAATTATTACACAATCAGGACTTATTTCTGAACCTGCAACACGTCCGAAGTGTTCAAGACTACCTCATGCTCAGTGCATCTTTGTAAACTTGGTATTCAAGGAAGATCCGATGATTAATCAACTTAGATGCAAGTTGACTAGTCTCAGACTATCATACTGTATCTCAGGAACAGTAGATTAAGGCAATTTATCAATTTTCTCTCTGTGAAGCCTAGTTTACTTTGGTTCTCAACTTTCTTTTGCATAGAATCTAAAACGACATAACTTTTTTTGGTAAATATTATTTTGGTCTGTGTAGAAAAACAAGCCCAAAAGATATTCAGTGGCTTTTTAGGAATATGTGTTCATATGCATTCTTTGGACGGGGTTATCATGAAAAAACTGGTGACTTCTGAGTGGAAAAAAATAAAAACAAATCCAAATTGTGCAAATAAAATGAAAAAGTAATTTTCTTTCTTTTCAGTAGTTTCTTTCCAAAATAAGACTGTTTGTTGTTTGGTTTAGTGGAGTGGACTTTGACATAGAAACATTTAAGTCATCTTTGAACTCAAGTTGATTATGAATATTTGCTTTTTTTAAGGCAAAATTTCTGAAAGTTCTAACTTACAGATATATATGAAAACAAACAGAATCAAATCTACTAAAATTTGTTTTGCCCAGTCAGAGTGAGCAGATGTTAGAGCATGAGGACTGAATAAGTCTTCTTACATTGAATTTGGGTCACTTCATTTCCTTAGTTCTCAAGGCAGTGGGGTCATCTTTAATAAAATTTGCACTACTAATGCCATGTCATCAAGGAATGAATTTAAAATGCTCATTTCAAGGTCTAAGAAGCTGAAGAAATCCTCAGAAGAGGTCTACAGTGCTTCTGGCTCTCTAAAGACTGCCTGCTGAGAAATCGACAATGATTTGTCAGTTTTAACATCATGCCGTGAAGCACTTCTGTTGGCATCTTTGTAGAAAAATCTGCTCATGATTTTTCAGGAGCAAGGCTTTGGATCAGAAGATTTACCTCACACACACGGCCAAAAATACTTGCCAAGTTAAATGAAGCAATGAATGAGTATCTCTCTTTCAAATTGTTCCGAGTGTATTTTTTTTCTTCTTTTCCTCTGAAATTTACGCAAATGCATTGACTTGTTCTCTGGAATGCCAGTAAGGGTCCACATACTAGAATAAAATTTTACTCTTATTCCACTTTTTGACAAAATTTCTTAAAAAGATGTTGATCCAAGTATCCAGCTCTGATGAAGTTGACAACTTTCATAGCAGCAGAAAACACTTCTTTCAGTGTTGTTGGCCAAGTCCTTGCTACCAATGCAAGCCAATTCGTACAGCAATGCATTCCAGTGTCATGGGTTGCTTCATTTTTCATCAAAACAACAAAACTAGATGTATTGCCAAGCATCACAGGTGCTCTATTTTGCACAAAATACCAGAATTTTCTTTTAGTTGAAGTTTTGCTTGGCAAAGTAACAATGTTGACAGCTCTTAGTGTTTCTAAAATGGGCTCAGAAGATAGGAATTCCTACAAGAGCTCATTTGCCCTTGAAGATGTAAATAGTTTTATCTGGTTGAGTGCTGAAGGGAAATGATTTTTCCACCATGGTTCAATTCAAGACATTAAGAGAAATGTCAGTGATTGGATAACAGGATTTTACGGTGACATACTTTTGATTTCAGTTCTTTGGTCCACAAATCAGCTCAACAATTTGTATGGCACATATGTCAACAGTTTCTCTAATCCTGCTGTGAATGTAAATTGGTCAATTAACCTGTCAATATATCAGTAGCCTTGTAGGTTGCTTCAAGACAAGCTTTGGGTGTTGGGGTCAAATTAATATTTCTGTAAAACAGCCTCATTTTTGTAATGAAAATTCACTAAGTCTTATATATCTTCAGGATGAACATAATGGACAACTGTTAGCTTCTTTTGCTAAGTACCTCTGCCGGCAAGAACCTTGGCACATAGGAATAGGATCACCAAACTTCTATGTTTCATCAAGTTAGATGCTGAACATAAACCAAAGGATATATAAACCTCATTTCCTTCCCTCATTTTCTCCCTCTCTTCCACCCTATTTTTAGTCAGGCTTAATGATCATCATCATCATCATCATGATAATTATAACAATAACGTCTAATATTTTGTGGGTTCTTACTCTGTGTTAGATTCAACACTTTGGGTTAGATACTATTTTTATTTCCATTTTACAGATGAGGAAATTGAGGCACAGAGATTAGGTACTTTGTCAAAATCATATATATAGTGAGGTCATATTCTAATCTAGGTAGTCTGGCTCCTAAACTGAGTTCCTAACCTCTCTGCAAAATCATTATCTTGTCATGTATATCAGAATACTCAGCTACCCTATATGTATTTGGAATAAACATTATAATTTTACTTAAATATTTTTTTCACAAAATAATTTTCAAAGTAACAGCAAGGTAAGAAATATTTTTATTTTTGGTGAGGCTGTTTCATGGACCACAGATTAAACATTTGTACCATCACAATTTCCCCCCCAAAATAGTCTTCCTTGTTAATGAGCTGTTGTTGAGGCACTGGACTCCCACACTGTTTTGGGATAATGAGTTTAAACTTCCAGAAATCATGGTTGATTACAAATACATTCTCACTGTTGGCAATACATGCTGTATCACTTTGTTCTCACGCTGCTATGAAGAACTGCCAGGGACTGGGTAATTTATTAGGAAAGAGTTTTCTTGATTTTTTTGTTTGTTTGTTTTTTACACTTTAAGTTCTGGGATACATGTGCTGAAAAATCAGGTTTGTTACAAAGGTATACATGTGCCATGGTGATTTGCTGCACCCATCAACCCATCATCTACATTAGGTATTTCTCCTAATGCTATCCCACCCCTTGCCCCCACCCCATGACAGGCCCTGGTGTGTGATGTTCCCCTCCCTGTGTCCATGTGTTCTCATTGTCCAACTCCCACTTATAAGTGAGAACATGTGGTGTTTGGTTTTCTGTTCCTGTGTTAGTTTGCTGAGAATGACGGTTTCCAGCTTAATCCATGTCCCTGCAAAGGAAATTAACTCATCCTTTTTTTATGGCTGTATAGTATTCCATGGTGGATATGTGCCACATTTTCTTTATCCAGTCTATCATTGTTGGACATGTGAGTTGGTTCCTAGTCTTTGGTATTGTGAATAGTGCCACAATAAACATACGTGTGCATGTGTCTTTGTAGTAGAATGATTTATAATCCTTTGGGTATATACCCAGTAATGGGATTGCTGGGTCAAATGGTATTTCTAGTTCTAGATCCTTGAGGAATCCCCACACTGTCTTCCACAATAATTAAACTAATTTCACTCCCACCAACAGCGTAAAAGCACTCCTATTTCTCCACATCCTCTCCAGCATCTGCTGTTTCCTGACTTTTTAATGATCACCATTCTAACTGGCATGAGATGGTATCTCATTGTGGTTTTGATTTGCATTTCTCTAATGACCAGTGATGATGAGCTTTTTTTCATATGTTTGTTGGCCGCATAAATGTTTTCTTTTGAAAAGTATCTGTTCATATCTTTCGTCCACTTTTTGATGGGGTTGTTTGTTTTTTTCTTGTAAATTTGTATAAGTTCCTAGAAGATTCTGGATATTAGCCTTTGGTCAGATGGATAGATTACAAAAATTTTCTCCCATTCTGTATGTTGTCATTCTGTATTTCACACTGATAGATTATTTGGCTGTGCAGAAGGTCTTTAGTTTAATTAGACCCCATTTGTCAATTTTGGCTTTTGTTGCAATTGCTTTTGGTGCTTTAGTCATGAAGTCTTTGCCCATACCTATGTCCTGAATGGTATTGCCTAGGTTTTCTTCTGGAATTTTTATGGTTTTACATCTTATGTTTAAATCTTTAATCCATCTTGAGTTAATTTTTGTATAAGGTGTAAGGAAGGGGTCCAGTTTCAGTTTTCTGCATAGGGCTAGCCACTTTTCCCAACACCATCTGTTAAATAGGGAACTTTTCCCCATTGCTTGTTTTTGTCAGCTTTGTCAAAGATAGATGGTTGTAGATGTGTGGTGGTATTTCTGAGGCCTCTATTTTGGTCCATTGGTCTATATATCTGTTTTGGTATCAGTACCATGTGTTTTGGTTACTGTAGTCTTGTATAGTTTGAGATCAGGTAGCATGATGCCTCCAGCTTTGTTGTGTTTGCTTAGGATTGTCTTGACTATACAAGCTCTTTTTTGGTTCTATATGAAACTTAAAGTAGTTTTTTAAAATTCTGTGAAGAAAGTCAATGATAGTTTGATGGGGATAGCATTGAATCGATGCATTACTTTGGGCAGTATGGCCATTTACACGATATTGATCCTTCCTATCCATGAGCATGGACTATTTTTCCATTTGTTGGTGTCCTCTCTTATTTCCTTGAGCAGTGGTTTGTAGTTCTTCCTGAAGAGGTCCTTCACATCCCTTGTAAGTTGTATTCCTAGGTATTTTATTCTCTTTGTAGCAATTGTGAATGAGAGTTCACTTATTATTTGGCTCTCTGTTTATCTTTTATTGGTGTAAAGGAATGCTTGTAATTTTCCTACATTGATTTTGCACCCTGAAACTTTGCTGAAGTTGCATATCTGCTTAAGGAGTTTTTGGGCTGAGGTGCTGGGGTTTTCTAAATATACAATCATGTTATCTGCAGAGACAATTTGACTTCCTCTCTTCCTATTTGAATACCTTTGTTTCTTTCTCTTGCCTGATTGCCCTGGCCAGAACTTCCAATACTATGTTGAATAGGAGTGTGAGAGAGGGCATCCTTGTCTTGAGCCAGTTTTTGAAGGGAATGCTTCCAGTTTTTGCCCATTCAGTATGATATTGGTTGTGGGTTTGTCATAAATAGCTCTTATTATTTTGAGATACCTAGTTTATTGAGTGTTTTTAGCATGAAGGGGTGTTGAATTTTGTCAAAGGCCTTTTCTGCATCTATTGAGATAAAATTGTGATTTTTGTTACTGGTTCTGTTTATGTTTTGGATTATTTTTATTGATTTGCATATGTTGAAGCAGGCTTGCATTCCAGGGATGAAGCCAACTTGATCGTGGTGGATAAGCTTTTTAATGTGTTGCTGAATTTGGTTTGCCATTTTATTGAGAATTTTCGCATCAATGTTCATCAGGGATATTGGCCTGAAATTTTTTTTTCTTGTTTCTCTGCCAGGTTTTGGTATCCTGATGATGCTGGCCTCATAAAATGAGTTAGGGAAGAGTCCCTCTTTTTCTATTGTTTGGAATAGTTTTAGAAGGATTGATACCATACCAGCTCCTCTTTGTACCTCTGGTAGAATTCAGCTGTGAATCTGTCTGGCCTCAGTGTTTCTTGGTTGGTAGGCTATTAATTACTGCCTCAATTTCAGAACTTATTATTGGCCTTTTCAGAGATTCGACTTCTTCCTGTTTTAATCTTGAGAGGGAGTATGTGTCCAGGAATTTATCCATTTCTTCTAGATTTTTTAGTTTATTTGCATAGAGGTGTTTATGGTACCATTCTCTGATGGTAGTTTGTATTCCTTGGGATCAGTGGTGATATCCCTTTTATCATTTTTATTGTGTTTATTTGATTCTTCTCTGTTTCCTTCTTTATTAGTCTGGCTAGAATTCTATTTTGTTAATCTTCAAAAAACCAGCTCCTGGAATCATTGAAGTTTTCAAGGATTTTTCATGTCTCTATCTCCTTCAGTTCTGCTCTGATCTTAGTTATTTCTTGTCCCTGCTAGCTTTTGAATTTGTTTGCTCTTGCTTCTCTAATTCTTTTAATTGTGATGTTAAGGTATTGATTTTAGATCTTTCCCACTTTCTCCTGTTGGAATTTAGTGCTATAGATTTCCCTCTGCACACTGCTTTTGCTGTGCCCCAGAGAGTATGGTACATTGTGTCTTTGTTTTCATCAGTTTCAAAGAACTTATTTATTTCTGTCTTAATTTTGTTATTTACCCAGTAGTCATTCAGGAGCAGGTTGTTCAGTTTCCATGTAGTTGTGCAGTTTTGAATGTGTTTCTTAATCCTGAGTTCTAATTTGATTGCACTGTGGTCTGAGAGACTGTTTGTTATGACTTCCATTCTTTTGTATTTGCTAAGGAGTGTTTTACTTCCAATTATGTGGTCGATTTTAAGAGTAAGTGTGAACTGGTGCTGAGAAGAATGTATATTCTGTTGATTTGGGGTGGAGAGTTCTGTAGATGTCTATTAGGTCTGCTTGGTCCAGAGCAGAGTTCAAGTCCTGAATATCCTTGTTAATTTTCTGTCTTGTTGATCCATCTAATATTGACAGTGGGGTATTAACATCTCCCACTATTATTGTGTGGTAGTCTGACTCTCTTTGTAGGTCTCTAAGAACTTGCTTTATGAATCTAGGTGCTCCTGAAGTGCATATATATTTAGGATAGTTAGCTCTTTTTGTTGTATCGATCCCGTTACTATTATGTAATGCCCTTCTTTGTCTTTTTTTATCTTTGTTGGTTTAATGTCTGTTTTATCAGAGACTAGGATTGCAACCCCTGGGTTTTTGTTTTTGTTTTTGTTTTTGTTTTTTTGCTTTCCATTTGCTGGGTAAATCTTCCTCCATCCCTTTATTTTGAGCCCATGTGTGTATTTGCTCGTAAGATGGGTCTCCTGAATACAGCACCCTGATGGATCTTGAGTCTATCCTATTTGCTAGTCTGTGTCTTTTAACAGGGGCATTTAGCCCATTTACATTTAAGGTTAATATTGTTATGTGTGAATTTGATCCTGTCATTATGATGCTAGCTGGTTATTTTGCCCATTAGTTGATGCAGTTTCTTCATAGTGTCAATGGTCTTTACATTTTGGTATGTTTTTGCAGTGGCTGGTAGCAGTTTTTCCTTTCCATATTTAGTGCTTCCTCCAGGAGCTCTTGTAAGGGAAGCCCTCATTATTTGCTTGTCTGTAAAGGATTTTATTTCTCCTTCACTTATGAAGCTTAGTTTGGCTGGATATGAAATTTTGTATTGAAAATTCTTTAAGAATGTCGAATATTGGCCCCCACTCTCTTCTGGCTTGTAGGGTGTCTGCAGAGAGATCTGCTGTTAGTCTGATGGGCTTCCCTTTGTCGGTAACCCAGCCTTCCTGTCTAGCTGCCCTTAACATTTTTTTCCCTTCATTTCAACCTTGATGAATCTGATGATTATGTGTCCTGGGGTTGCTCTTCTTGAGGAGTATCTTTGTGGTGTCCTCTGTGTTTCCTGAATTTGAATGTTGGCCTGCCTTGCTAGGTTGGGGAAGTTCTCCTGGATAGTATCCTGAAGAGTGTTTTCCAAGTTGGTTACATTCTCCACGTCTCTTTCAGGTACACCAATCAAACATAGGTCTGGTATTTTCACATAGTCCCTTATTTCTTGGAGGATTTGTTCATTCCTTTTTATTCTTTTTTCTCCAATTTTGTCTTCATGCTTATTTCATTAAGTTGATCTTCAATCTCTGATATCCATTCTTCTGCTTGATCAATTCATCTATTGATACTTGTGTATGCTTCACTAAATTCTCATGCTGTGTTTTTCAGCTCCATCAGGTCATTTATGTCCTTCTTTAAACTTGTTATTCTAGTTAGCAGTTCCTGTAACCTTTTTTCAAGGTTCTTAGCTTCCTTGCTTTGGGTTAGAACATGCTCCTTTAGTTCAGAGGAGTTTGTTATTAGCCACATCCTGAAGCCTATTTCTGTCAATTCATCAAACTCATTCTCCATCCAGTTTTGTTCTCTTGCTGGCAAGGAGTTGTGATTCTTTGGAGGAGAAGAGGCATTCTGGTTTTTGGAATTTTCTGCATTTTTGCACTGGTTTTTCCTCATCTTCATGGATTTATCTACCTTTGCTTTTTGATGTTGGTGACCTTTGGATGGTGTTTTTGTGTGATTGTCCTTTTTGTTGATGTTGATGCTATTGCTTTCTGTTTGTTAGTTTTCCTTCTAACAGTCAGGCCCCTCTTCTTCTGGTCTTCTGGAGTTTGCTAGAGGTCCACTCCAGACCCTGTTTGCCTACATATCACCAGTGAAGGCTTCAGAACAGCAAAAATTGCTGCCTGTTCCTTCCTCTGAAAGCTTCATCCCAGAGTGGCACCTGCCAGATGCCAGCTGGAGCTCTCCTCTGTGAGGTGTCTGTCAACACCTGCTGGGAGGTGTCTCCCCATCAGGAAGCACAGGGGTCAGGGACTCACTTGAGGAGGCAGTCTGTCCCTTAGCAGAGCCCGAGCACTGTGGTGGGAGATCTGCTGCTCTCTTCAGAGCAGGCAGGCAGGAACATTTAAGTCTGCTGAAGCTGCACCCACAGTTGTCCCTTTCCCAAGGTGCTCTCTCCTAGGGAGATAGGAGTTTGATCTATAAGCCCCTGTCTGGGCCTACTGCTTTTCTTTCAGAGATGCCCTGCCCAGAGAGGAGTTGTGGGAAGTCAGGGACCCCGAATGGAGGGACTGGCTGGAGCAGCGGCAGAGGAACATAAATTGTGAAGATTTCATGGACATTTATCAGTTCCCAAAATTGATACTTTTATAATTTCTTATGCCTGTCTTTACTGCAATCTCTGAACATAAATTGTGAAGATTTCATTTTAATATGGACAATTATCAATTCCCTAATAATACTCTTATAATTTCTTACACCTGTCTTACTTTAATCTCTTAATCCTGCTATCTTCATAAGCTGAGGATGTACATCACCTCAGGACCACTATTGTACAAATTGATTGTAAAACATGTGTTTGAACAATATGAAATCAGTGCATCTTGAAAAAGAACAGAATAACAGTGATTTTAGGGAACAAGGGGAGACAACCATAAGGTTTGACTGCCTGTGGGGTCAGGCAGAATAGAGCCACATTTTTCTTCTTGCAGAGAGCCTATAAACAGACATGCAAGTAGGAGAGATATCACTACATTTTTCTCCTAGAAAGGAATATTAAACATTAAGACCCTAGGAAAAGAATGGCATTCCTGGGGGGCAGTCTATAAACGGCCGCTCTGGGAGTGTCTGTCTTATGTGGTTGAAATAAGGACTGAAATACGCCCTGGTCTCCTGCAGTACCCTCAGGCTTATTAGGGTGGGGAAAAAATCCCACCTTGGTGAATTTGAGGTCAGACCAGTTCTCTGCTCTCAAACCCTGTTTTCTGTTAAGATGTTTATCAAGACAATACATGCACAGCCGAACATAGACCCTCATCAGTAATTCTAATTTTGCCTTTTGCCTTGTGATCTTTTATTGGCCTCAGAAACATGTGATCTTTGTGACCTACTCCCTGTTCATACACCCCCTCCCCTTTTGAAATCCCTAATAAAAACTTGTTGGTTTTACAGCTCAGGGGGCATCACAGACCTACCAATATGTGATGTCACCCCTGGCGGCCCAGCTGTAAAATTCCTTTCTTTGTATTTTTTCTCTTTATTTCTCAGACTGGCTGACACTTAGGGAAAATAGAAAGAACCTACGTTGAAATATTGGGGGCTGGCTCCCCTGATAGAGGAGGAATCTAGAGAGGCAGTCTGGCTACAGCAGCTTTGCTGCACTGCAGTGGGCTTCGCCCATTCTGAACTTACTGGCAGCTTTGTTTACATGTTGAAGGGAAAACTGCCTACTCAAGCCTCAGTAATGATGGATGCCCCTCCCCCACCATACTCAAGTGTCCCAGGTTGACTTCACACTGCTGTGCTAGCAGCGAGGATGTCAAGCCAGTGGATCTTAGCTTGTTGGTCTTCGTGGGGGTGGGATCCACTGAGCAAGACCACTTGGCTCCCTGGCTTCAGCCCCCTTTTTAGGGGAGTGAATGGTTCTTTCTCGCTGGCATTCCAGGTGCCACTGGGGCATGAAATAAAACTCCTGCAGCTGGCTCAGTGTCTGCCCCAACAGCTGCCCAGTTTTGTGCTTGAAATCCAGGGCCCTGGTGGTGTAGGCACCCAAGGGAATCTCCTGGTCTGCGGGTTGTGAAGACCGTGGGACAAGCCTAGTATGTGGGCCAGACAGCACCACCCCTCACAGCTTCCCTTAGCTATGGGAGGATGTATTCTGACCCCTTGTGCTTCCTGGGTGAGGTGACACCCTACCCTGCTTCTGCCCACCCTCCTTGTGCTGCATCCACTGTCTCACCAGTCCCAGTGAGATGAACCAGGTATCTGAGTTGGAAATGCAGAAATCACCAGCCTTCTGCATTGGTGTCACTGGGAGCTGCAGATCAGAGCTGTTCCTATTTGACCATCTTGCCTGGGAATCTCCTGGAAAGAGGTTCAATTGACTCACAGTTCCACATGGCTGCGGAGGTCTCTGGAAACTTACAATCATGGCAGAAGGGGAAGCAAACACATCTTTCTTCACATGATGGGAGGAGACAGAAGAGGTGCTGAGCAAGAGGGGGAGAAGCCCCTTATCATACCATCAGATCTCATGATCTGATGGTTTTATACTATCACTCATTATAAAACCATCAGATCTCAGATCTCATGATCTGATGTTTTTATACTATTACTCACTATCATGAAAATAGCAGTATAGGGGTAACTGTCCCCATGATTCAATTACCTCCCACTGGGTCCCTCCCATGAAACATGGGTATTATGGGAAGTACAATTCAAGATGAGATTTGAGTGTGAACATAACCAAGCCATATCATTCCACCCCGGTCCCTGAAAAAATTTCATGTCCTCACATTTCAAAACATAATTATGCCTTCCTAATAGTCGTCCAATATCTTAACTCATTTGAGCATTAACCCAAAAGTTCAAGTCCAAAGTCTCATCTGAGACAAGGCAAGTCCCTTCTGCCTGTGAGCCTTAAAATCAAAAGCAAGTTAGTTACTTCCCAGATACAATGGAATTACAGCATTGGGTAAATACACCCATTCTAAAAGAGAGAAATTGGCCCAAACAAAGGGGCTACAGGCCCAAGGCAAGTCCAAAATCCAATAGGGCAGTCATTAAACCTTAAGGTTAAAAAATGATCTCTTTTGACTCCATGTCTCATATCCACATCATGCTGATGGAACAGGTGGGTTTCTTTGGCCTTGGGCAGCTCTGCCTTGTGGCTTCGCAGAGTAGAGCCCCCATCCTGGCTGCTTTTACAGGCTGACATTGAGTACCTACAGCTTTTCCAGATGCATGGTGCAAGCTGTCAGTGGTTCTACCATTCTGGGGTCTGGAGGATGGTGGCCCTCTTCTCACAGCTCTACTAAGCAGTGCCCCAGTGGGGACTCTGTGTGAGGGCTCCAACCCCACATTTTCTTTCCCCACTGCCCTAGCAGAAGTTCTCCATGAGAGTTCCACCCCTCCAGCAAACTTCTGCCTGGGTATCCAGGTGTTTCCATATATCCTCTGAAATCTAGGTGGAGGTTCCTAAACCTCAATTCTTGACTTCTGTGCACCCACAGGCCCAACACCACCTGGAAGCAGCCAAGGCTTGGGGCTTGTATCCTCTAAGGCAACTGCTTGAGCTGTATGTTGACCCCTTTCAGCCATGGCTAGAGCTAGAGCAGCTGGGATGCAGGGCATCATGTCCAGAGGCTGCATAGAGAAGGGGGGCACTGGGCCCAGCCCACAAAATCATTTTCCCTTTTTTGGCTTCCAGGCCTGTGATGAGAGGGGCTGCTCTGAAGGTCTCTGACATGCACTGGAGACATTTTTTCCATTGTCTTGTCTTGGTGATTAACATTTGTCTCATTATTACTCATGCAAATTTATGCAGCAGGCTTGACTGTCTACTCAGAAAATTGTTTTTTTTTTCTACTGCATTGTCAGGCAACACATTTTCTAAACTTTTATGCTCTACTTCCTCTTAAATGTTTTGCTGCTTAGAAATTTATTTCATCTGTTCAAAGTTCCACAGATCTCTAGGGCAGGGTCAAATGTTGCCAGTCTCTTTGCTGAAAGATAGCAAGAAATGACCTTATTCCAGTTCCCAAGAAGTTCCTCATCTCTCTCTGAGAGTCCACCTCAGCCTGGACATCATTGTCCATATCTCTATCAGCATTTTGGTCAAAGCCATTCAACAAGTCTCCAGGAAGTTCCAAAGTTTCCCACATTTTTCTGTCTTTTATGAGCCCTCCAAACTATTCCAAACTCAGCCTATTACCCAGTTCCAAAGTCGCTTCCACATTTTTGGGTATCCTTATAGCAGCACCCCACTCCTAGTACAATTCAGTGTATTAGTCTGTTTTTACACTGCTATAAAAAGGCTTCTTGAGACTGGGTAATTCATAAAGGAAAGAAGTTTAATTGACTCACAGTTCCACATGTCTAGGGAGGCCTCAGGAACTTACAATCATGGTGAAAGAGAAAGCAAATGTATCTTTCTTCATATGGTGGCAAGAGAGAGAAGTGTCAAGCAAAAGGAAGAAAAACCCCTTATAAAATCATCAGATCTCATGAGAACTCACTCACTATCATCAGAACAGCAGCATGGGGGTAACTGCCCCTATGATTCAATTACCTTCCACTGGGTCCCTCCCATGAGACATGGGGTTGTGGGAACTATAGTTCAAGATGAGATTTAGATGGGGACAAAGCCAAACCATATCAGATGCTTTGTAATGTTAGACAAAATATTGCCTTTCTAACATTCATGATTTTCTTTTAAATGTTTTATTTAAAGAAAGGCAGTTCTAGAATTCTGCATCCTAGAATGAGAAAGTGGGAACCTTCTTGATAAGCACAATTGCATACAGCTGTGCCTGCCTCTTTCTGTCTAGGATGAAATCCAAATATATCTTCACAACTCTTTTGACTAGAACTATATAAATAAGTGATGTTTACTGGAAATGTGTTTCTTTTATTGTAATGATAACAACATGCACTTATTTAGGGTCATCTAAATTAAATAAATCCCTATAAATAACTTTTACATTTAGAGGGGTTTAAATACCTCCTGCCTCTTCTAAATTTCTTTAAATTAGCTAATATCAAAGTCGATAATGATCTTTCATGGGTTTCATTCAGCTTGGTAGAACTGTGATTCTTAAAACAATGTTTTATTATTTCTTTTATTGGTATTGGCTGATGCTCATTTCAAAACTAAATTTCATAGTTTTTGGACATTATTCTAGAAGAAATAAAATGTCCAAAACTAAATTGTTGATTTTGCCACACTCCTGCTTCTCCTGTGGTCTGGGCCATCTAAGCTGATGACTTTTTTCTTTGACCATCTACATGCAATCTGTTACCAAATTCTGCTGCCTCCATGCTTCAAACTGTTCCCAGAATTTATCCTTTTCTATCTCCACCACTATCTATTTGTACTAACATATTTTGACTGACTTAAATTAGTCAATTTAAGTCATTTAAATTTAAGGTGTGTTCTGTGCTCCCACTTTTGGCATCCCATGCTTTATTCTCCACCCAGTACCAGAATCATGCTTTTATAATGTAAGTTGTATCATATCATTCCTTTGCTCAAAACCTTCTAATGGCTTCAGACCTAATTTAGGATAAAATCCAACATTTGTGGCCAGAGTTTATATGGTCTTGTCCCTGGCTACTCTCTAAATTAGCCAGATTCCCACTGCAATACTGCATAACAAACAATCCCCCAAATCTCTATAGCTCAACATCACACATTTGTTTTTTCATTCACAGGTTTGCAGGTCAGCCAAGGAAGCTCTGCTGCCTGCTGTAGTGTGGCTTCGTCTCCATTCTACATCCCTCATTCTGGGACTATTGTCTCCCTAGAAAAAAAATAATTTTTTTTAATAGCGAGGGCAGTAGGGGCAAAGCCAAATCATGAAAGCCCTTTATGGCTTCTGCTTGAGGCATGCTGGCTAACACTCTTATGACCTCTTATCGTTTTCCACCTCTTAATTGTCCTAGCTAATTGTTTTAATTAATGTAGGTATATAGTAGGCCTTGAAATCAGGCAGTGTGATTTCTCCCACTTTATTCTTCATTTTCAATATTCTTAGCCTATTCTTATTTGTCTTTTCATAGAAACATTAAGGTAAATTTTTCATAGAAATTGCATTGAACCTATAGATCAGTTAAAGGAGAACTGACATCTTTGTTATGTGTTAATGTATTGTGTACTAAAACATCTAATCCATGATGAAGATCTTCCTTTCATTAGTGTTTTATGGTTTTCAGCATATAGATCCTAATGTTTTGTGAGATTTATAAGTGTTTTCTTTGGAATCACTGCATTGTTTTCAGTTTTATTTCAAGTGTTTGGAAGCTTGTTTCTTAAACCTTTGTTACATACTTTAGGCTTTATTCATTTTTAGTTCTGTTTATTTATTTTTTTAATAATGTGATCAAATAATAAGGTCTGTGTAATTTTTACTCTTTTGAATTTAGTTAGGTAATTTTTTTGGCCAACTACCTGATAGTTATAAATATGCTATGGCAGCAAAGAAGGATAATGTTTACAGGATAAAAATATTGAATCTGATAATTTTTAATTCAACATTATCACTTATACTATTAAGATACTTTAGATTTATAGATATTGTTCTACCTAGTTTTTGCCCAATCTATCAAACAATAAGCATTATAGGTTCAAGCACCTAATTAAAGTTAGTTTTGTTTTCTACTGTTATTGGGAATTTAGAATCGGAATTGCTAACAAAATGCCACTTTTGTTCAGATGTCTTCAAAAGTTTAAAACATTTGCTCTATTTCTGAACTAAGGGATTTTTTTTCTAAGAAGCTTCTAGGTTCAATTCATCTAGATGGCAAAGATTTATGTCATTTTCCCTCCAACAAAAGCCCAACGCTTGATTTATTGTCCAAATGGATTTAGATCTACTGGTCTTGGAGCTTACACAAAGGCTGCACATCCATCCAGCACTTAGTTGCTGCTTGCCCTTTCTCAGGTGCCATGGGGTTGATGCCACTGTGACTTTATCAAACTTGACCCTAGGGTTAGCTCACATTGGAATCTCAAGCACTCACTGGTTCAACCATACTTGAAATTGTGTTTCCTTTGTTCAGTGATGAAAATGTAGTCTCCTCTGTCAGCTTTGTTCTCCTATTTGCTCTTCTTTGTATTCCCTTAAGCTTTTTCTCCGTAAGTGGCTACTCTCCTGATTGACTGCCACACAACTGTACCTTCTGGAAGTACTGTTCCTTAGCAGCAAACTTAGTGTAATCTCTTCCCAGAACGCTGGAAAGGAGAAAGTTTCTTTTGTTTTTTGGCTTTAATTCTTTTGTAATCAGTGAGGCTACTTCAAATTTATCCTACATAAATACATACACACCAAAGCTTCACATTAGCCATTTATGAACTCCTGGGAAGGTCCCATCAATCCTAATCATTTCTATGATAAGTAATGAGTTTTATAACCAGGGAAGGGCCCTGTTTCTCAACATAAAGAGTTACTTAGAGCCATATGATTCCTCTATACAATTTTGATTTGAAAGCCACATTCCTATATACTCTCATCTCCTCTTGTGACACTGGTCAGTGTGCACTCTGGCATTAGCAACAGCCTTCACTTTCCCTGCTATTCTAAGCACAGCTGAGGATCTGAGTCCACCACTGTTTTTGTGTTAGTTAGCAATTGCAGGAACACACTTGCTTGGACTGGCTAAATAAAAAGTGGCCAGGTGTCGGTTCTGTAGACCACCCCCAACATGATTATAATCAGGACCTATCTTATACTCCTTATGTCATCTTACTCAGAGCACTTGCTTTTGCATTCTCTTTCTTGACTGGAATCTAGTAGCTGGATGCTGGTTAGCTGGGTGAATCTAGTAGCTGGATGCTGGTTAGCTAACACCAAAACTGACTCTACACATTCCCTTGCACAGAATGGAATTTGATCTGACTCTACACATTCCCTTGCACAGAATGGAATTTGATCTGACTCTACACATTTCCTTGCACAGAAACTGAACATCTGTCATTTTTGCTGCAATAGTGCTTAATGGCTAACCAGCCCCTCCTTGAAACTCTACTCCCTTGGTTTTCATTACACTACTTTGTAGACCATTTTTTCCCCACATCTTCTTTCTTAAACATTGGTGGTTGTTGGGGTTTGGAGAGTGATAATCATGTCTGTTTCCAGTGTGTTTTTTCTGAGCCAATGGAACAGTAGACACAGCAGGCAGATGGAGATCAACATACCAGCAATGTCATACTAAAGCTGGATTAGAAGATGCTGCCTGAGAACACAATTGTCCTTCTGATAGAACAGGATGAACTTTTTCACCTACTTATAGGTTGTGAAGAAGGAATCCCTTGGACCTCCCCTTGCAGGGCACAGCCTGGCTCAGTAGCTTCCTGTGAGAGAATTAAGAATATGCACTTATTCTACAGGCTGTGTAGTCTGAAGGTGAACAAGGACTGAACCCTGGGCTACACTTATGCAGACTCCTTCTTCTGTTTTACTGATCAGATAAATCACTCCTTCCTGGAAGACCTTTCTGAAAGTATGTGAGAAATATATTTTCAGCTTTGCAGATTATCTAGCCTGATATGCAGATATACTCCAAATATATGATTAATTCCCATCTTTGTTCCACAAAGAATAACTCATCAATTCTTCATACACTCCTGATGATGATGATGATGATGACCCTTTCTACCTGTGTATTTATACCTAAGCCTTAATGATTGCTCCTTTAGAGCTTTCATACTTAAGTAATTCTCATTCCAGATTTTTATTCTGAAATGATAAACTTTTTTACAAAAAAAGACATTGAGTTGATTCTATATTATTTTAAAAAATTGAAAAATAAAAATTATATTACTTATCATCCACAACATGTTGTATTGAAATATATACATGCAGAAAGGCTGAATTGAGCTAATGAACATTTTTATTATTTCACATGCTTATCATTTTTTTGATGAGAAAACTTAATACTCTCAGAAATTTTCGAGAGTATTATATATAGTATTCTGAATCTGTGTGAATCTTAAGGTTAGTATGGGGGGAGTATTCTGAAATCTGAAAGATTTGTGCTATAATACTATATGTGTGTGTATATATATAGTATTCTCAAAATATATAAAAAGTATAAGTAAAACTAATATATATTTTTTGAGACAGAATCTTGTTCTGTCACCCAGGCTGGAGTGCAGTGGCATGATCTCAGCTCGCTGCAACCTCTGCCACCCAGGTTCAAGTGATTATCCCACTTCAGCCTCCCGAGTAGCTGGGACTAAAGGTGCGCAACACCATGCCTGGACAATTTTTGCATTATTAGTAGAGATGGTTGGCTAGACTAGTCTCAAACTTCTGGCCTCAGGCAATCCACTTGCCTCTGTCTCCCAAACGGCTGGGATTACAGGTGTGAGACACCATGCCTGGCTAGAATACAATATATTATTATTAACCATAGTCAATGTGTACAATAGATCTCTTGAACTTATTGCTATAAATATTTTTTAGGCTTAGAAAACAGATACTTTGTGAGAATATTTCTTAAGCTTAGGAAATACACATTCTCTAAAGTTGAATATATATTAGAAATACAATAAAGATGATGTTTTTAAAATTTTTAATAAAATTATGCCACACTTCTCTAATTACCCTTGTGCTAGAATTTCTAATGAAAATAGGATCTCATCAGGCCTCAGAACATTGGTGCTAATGGGCCCTTGTATTTTGTGTGAATACGAAGGTTAATTTGGGAGGAGTGTTCTGAAATCTGGAAGATTTGTGCTTCTGAGTAGAGAGTCTGATAAAACTTCTAAGATCTCTTTTAGTATTCTCAGATGAGTCTCTGTTGTGTAGGAGAGGGTTCTGATTGGGCCCCATCTCCAAGACTGAGAAACTGAATTAAGTTTTAACCTCTTTGCTTATAGGCTTTTTTTTTCTTTCTTCAAGCCTGAGCCCATCCATTCAGGTGTAGAACTTTAGCTGCTTCCTCCATATTGGTAATACCCTTCCATGAGTGAGATTCTTTTGTTGACAGGTAGCAAGGGGGAGACACATCTTGCATTGGGTAAAAAGGGACAATGAGCATTTTATGCAGTTTAGGCCTGGAAGGCAGGAAAGTACCCAGAGGATGAATCAATATTCCATGAGATCCTCCTGTGTGCAGAGAATGATCCAAGCCATGTGGGGAGATAGAGAATACTCTATTAACTCATATTTTCCTCTTCTTGTCATATGTCTATTTTCTGATTGAAAACTTAGCATAGAAGGAGAAATTCATGTGGGGCACTGCATTAGTGTGTCAAGTAACATTATCAGTAGTGGGTTAGTGTTTACAGAACGTACACGTCATTCATTTGCAACACCACTCAACTTGTGGTACTCAGGGTTTTCCCCTTCTACATTCATGCATGCTTTATAGATGAGCAATAAGAACAGACAACCCATCTGAGTGTCTCTTTTACTCTCTCGATGGTTGGAAAAATATTTGCAATTGTTAGGACTTAGCTTGATTTTTCCAGTGCCTGACCTAAATCCCGTCTATATTTCACTCAGTTGCTAGATGCTATACTAAGTTGTACAACGTCTCTTTCTCTCTTTCCCCAAGAAACCCATTAGAACATTGACATAGAGACATAACCATTTACTGATTTCTTTATTCATTCATTCATTCATTCATTCAACCGTAGTTATTGAGTAATTATATATATGTCCAAGCAACAGGGTTACATGGATTACTAAGATACAGTCCCTGACTTTGAGACACTAATTATATAATGAGAGAAAGAGACATATAAACTAGAAGCCACAGGACAATCTGATGTGAGTGTTAACAGAGGCATGTAGGAATCAGCTGCCTCAGGATGAGAAGGAAAAAGTGGAACATTTTGGCCGTGTCTTAAATAGGGAGTTTGCCAGATGGAAGGGGAACTTAGGTAAAAGAAATGTGCTCAGGGGTTGTGTAATTCTTTAGCCTGTGGGAGCATTGTTTTGGGCTAGATAAGTAACAAGTGTTTAATTTATAAGCATGGAATTGCAGATTTCCTTCCCAGTGGAGTGAGGTCTCCAGAGCAAAAGACAGGGAAGAATTGTTCTTATCGAGGGAAACATTGCAAAGTCAAGTGAGCTAAAGATAATTCACATTTAATCATTAGGATTCTTATTTTTCCATGTCTTTTTTTAATCAAGTTCTAATTTAAAATTACATCAAGGTTCAAATATTCCTTTCGTTGTATATATATTATTGATCTAGGACACCATGACTAGCATAATCTTGGTTTGACCATATCTTTATTTGATTTTTCTCTCCTTTTTCAAGGAATATATACTGAGTGTGAGCAGCCAGACCAAAACTTCTGATTTGGCCAAGAACAAGGACTGGTTGAGCCAAGAGTGAAGGGGCAAGGGATATTAGAAGAGTCTGTGGTCAAGCCAACAGTATGCTTGGCCCCATTACCACAAATGATTGCTGAATTCTTTATGGTAGGGGAACTGAGGTAAATGAGTGCCCTTGTACTCAACAGACCACACTGGAGACTTGTGTGGCTACTAGCCTCCATCTGTCTTGAGTAGACTAGCAACCCAGGGAACAGAAGAAGCTGGAATGTAGTGCTGGCTTTCTTTGTACAGTGAATTTGTTGCTCTTGTCGTTTAAATTGTTTTTATGATAAATATCTCTCCCATTTCTGAGATTTCTTTCCTTTTTCCTATTGAAATTGAAATCTTCCATGCAAATATGTAAGTCATTGGATGAGCTTACTATTTAATGCTATTATAACATACTATAATTAATATTTTTGACGGTGAGATCAAGTACACACTTGCATGTTAACTTTTTCTTTGCTCTAAATGAGTCAGTTGAGATGGGAACATAGTATGTCAGAGTATTCATGGGTTGATTCTACTCTAGGAAAGATGCTGGTACACTACATTGGTAATATGAGCAATGCAAATTTCTACAAAAATTTTATTTATTTACTTATTTATTTATTTTTTATCATAATTTAAGTTCTGGGATAAATCTGCAGAATGTGCAGTTTTTTTTACACAGGTATACATGTGCTATGGTGGTTTGCTGCACCCATCAACCAGTCAGCTACATTAGATATTTATCCTAATGCTATCCCTCCCCTATCCCCCCACCCCGCAGCAGGCCCCATTGTGTGATATTTCCCTCCCTGAGTCCATTTGTTCTCCTTGTTCAACTTCCGCTTATGAGTGAAAACCTGTGGTGTTTGGTTTTCTGTTCTTGAAATCATTTGCTGAGAATGATGGTTTCCAGCTCCATCCATGTCCCTGCAAAGGAAATGAACTCATCTTTTATATGGATGAATAGTATCCCATGGTGTATATGTGCCACATTTTCTTTATCCAGTATATCACTGATGGGCATTTGAATTGGTTCCAAGTCTTTGCTATTGTGAATAGTGCTGCAATAAACATACGTGTGCATGTGTCTTTATAGTAGAATGATTTATAATTGTTTGGGTTTATACCAGTAATGGGATTGCTGGGTCAAAATGTATTTCTAGTTCTAGATCCTTGAGGAATGGCCACACTGCCTTCCAGAATAATTGAACTAATTGACACTCCCACCAACAGTGTAAAAGCATTCCTATTTCTCCACATTCTCGCCAGCATCTGTTGTTTCCTGACTTTTTAATGATAGCCATTCTAACTGGCATGAGATGCTATCTCATTGTGGTTTTGATTTGCAATTCTCTAATAACCAGTGATGATGAGCTTTATTTCATATGTTTGTTGGCCACATAAATATCTTCTTTTGAGAAGTATCTGTTCCTATCCTTTGCCCACTTTTTGATGGGGTTGTTTTCTTCTTGTAAATTTGTATAGGTTCTTTGTAGATTCTGGATATTAGCCCTTTGCCAGATGGATAGATTGCAATTTTTCTTCCATTCTGTAGGTTGCCTGTTCACTCTGATGATAGTTTCTTTTACTGTGCAGAAGCTCTTTAGTTTAATTAGATCCCATTTGTCAATCTTGGCTTCGGTTGCCATTGCTTTTGGTGTTTTAGACATAAAGTATTGGCCCATGCCTATCCTGAATGGTATTGCGCAGGTTTTCTTCTAGGATTTTTATGGTTTTTAGGTCTTAACATTTAAGTCCTTAATCTATCTTGAGGTGATTTTTGCATAAGGTGTAAGTAGGGATCCAGTTTCAGTTTTCTGCATATGGCTAGCCAGTTTTCCCAATACCATTTATTAAACAGGCAATCCTTTCCACATTGCTTGTTTTTGTCAGATTTGTCAAAGATCAGATGGTTATAGATGTGTGGTATTGTTTCTGAGGCCCCTCTTTTGTTCCACTGGTCTATATATCTGTTTTGGTACCAGTACCATGCTATTTTGGTTACTGTAGCCTTATAGTATAGTTTGAAGTCAGGTAGCATGATGCCTCCAGCTTTGTTCTTTTTGCTTAGGATTGTCTTGGCTATGTAAGCTCTTTTTTGGTTCCATATGAACTTTAAAGTAGTTTAATCCAATTCTGTGAAGAAAGTTAGTGGTAGCTTGATGGGGATAGTATAGAATCTATACATTACTTTGGGCAGTATGGCCATTTTCATGATATTGACTCTTCCTATTCATGTGCAGGAATGCTTTTCCATTTGTTTGTGTCCTCTCTTATTTCCTTGAGCAGTGGTTTGTAGTTCTCCTTGAAGAGGTCCTTCACATCTCTTGTAAGTTGTATTCCTAGGTATTTTATACTCTTTGTAGCAATTGTGAATGGGAGTTCACTCATGATATGGCTCTCTGTTTGTCTGTTATTGGTGTATAGGAATGCTTGTGATTTTTTAATATTGATTTTGTATCCTGAGATTTGCTGAAGTTGCTTATCAGCATCAGGAGATTTGGGCTGAGACAATAGGGTTTTCTAAATATACAATCATGTCATCTGCAAACAGGGACAATTTGACTTCCTCCCTTCCTATTTGAATACCCTTTATTTCTTTCTCTTGCCTGATTGCCCTGGCCAGAACTTCCAATACTATGTTGAATAGGAGTGGTGAGAGAGGGCATCCCTGTCTTGTGCCAGTTTTCAAATGGAATCCTTCCAGTTTTTGCCCATTTAGTATGATATTGGCTGTGGGTTTGTCATATATAGCTCTTACTATTTTGAGATACGTTCCATCGATACCTAGATTATTGAGAGTTTTTAGCATGAAGGGGTGTTGAATTTTGTTGAAACTTTTTCTGCATCTATTGAAATAATCGTGTAGTTTTTGTCATTGGTTCTGTTTATGTGATGGATTACGTTTATTGATTAGCATATATTGAACGAGCCTTACATACCTGGGTAGAAGCCGACTTGATCATGATGCATAAGCTTTTTGATGTGCTGCTGGATTTGGTTTGCCAGTATTTTATTGAGGATTTTCTCATCGATCTGTATCAGGGATATTGGCCTGAAATTTTCCTTTTCTGTTGTGTCTCGGCCAGGTTTTGACATCAGAATGATGCTGGCCTCATAAAATGAGTTAGGGAGGATCCCCTATTTTTCTATTGTTTGGAATAGTTTCAGAAGAAATGGTACCAGCTCCTCTTGGTACCTCTGGTAGACTTTGGCTGTGAATCCAACTGGTCCTGGACTTTTTTTGCTTGGTAGGCTATTAATTACTACCTCATTTTCAGAACTTGTTATTGGTCTATTCAGGGATTCAACTTCTTCTGGTTTAGCCTTTGAAGGGTGTATGTGTCCAGGAATTTATCCATTTCTTCTAAGATTTCTAGTTTATTTGCATAAAGGTGTTTATAGTATTCTCTGATGGTAGTTTGTATTTCTATGGGATGAGTGGTGATATCCCCTGTATCATTTTTTGTTGTGTCTATTTCATCCTTCTCTATTTTCTTCGTTATTAGTCTGGGTAGCATTCTATATATTTTGCTGATCTTTTAAAAAAAACTAGCTCCCAGATTCATTGATTTTTTGAAGGGTTTTTTTGTGTCTGTATCTCCTTCAGTTCTGCTCTGATCTTAGTTATTTCTGGTTTTCTCCTACATTTTGAATTTGTTTGCTGTTGCTTCTCTTGTTCTTTTAATTGTGATGTTAGGGTGTCAATTTTAGATCTTTCCTGCTTTCTCTTGTGGATATTTAGTGCTATCAATTTCACTCCACACACGGCTTTAAATGTATCCAAGAGATTCTGGTACATTGTGTCTTCATTCTCATTGGTTTCAAAAAACATCTTTATTTCTGCCTTCATTTTGTTATTTACCCAGTAGTCACTCAGGAGCAGGTTGTTCAGTTTCTATGTAGTTGTGCAGTTTTGAGTGAGCTTCTTAATTCTGAGTTCTAATTTGATTGCACTGTGTTCTGAGAGACAGTTTGTTCTGATTTCCATTCTTTTACATTTGCTGAGGAGTGCTTTACTTCCAATTACGTGGTCAATTTTAGAATGAGTGTGATGTGGTACTGAGAAGAATGTATGTTCTGTTGATTTGGGGTGGAGATTTCCATAGATGTCTATTGGGTCTGTTTGTTGCAGATCTGAGTTCAGGTCCTGGATATCCTTGTTCACGTTCTGTCTCATTGATCTGTCTAATATTGACAGTTGGGTATTAAAGTCTCCCATTATTAACGTGTGGGAGTCTAAGTCTCTTCGTAGGTCTCTAAGGACTTGCTTTATGAATCTGGGTGCTCCTGTATTGAGTGCATATATATTTAGGATAGTTAACTCTTCTTGCTGCATTTTTCCCTTTACCATTATGTAAAGCCCTTGTCTCTTTTGATCTTTGCTGGTTTAAAGTCTCTTTTATCAGAGATTAGGATTGCAACTTCTCCTTTTTTTATTTTTATTTTTTTGTCTATGGTCTCAATCATTATGTGAGGTGCTACAAATAGAAATGTAAACAAATTTAAAAAGTAGTCTATTTCCTACTAGGAAAACACTCTCAAAATGAATTATTTTCATTACTTCTGGCAAGAGAATATCAATGAAATGGACTGAAATTAGAATAGAGAGCTTGTTCTTTTTTTTTCCTTTTTTTCTTCTTTTTTTCATTTTTTTTAATTATACTTTAAGTTCTAGGGTACATGTGCACAATGTGCACGTTTGTTAAATAGGTATACATGTGCTGTGCTGGTTTACTGCATTCATTAACTCGTCATTTACATTAGATATTTCTCCTAATGCTATCTCTCCCTCATACAACCACCCCACCACAGGACCCGGTGTGTGATGTTCCCCACCCTGTGTCCAAGTGTTCTCATTGTTCAATTCCCACCCGTGAGTGAGAACATGCGGTGTTTGTTATTCTCTCCTTGTGATACTTTGCTCAGAATGATGGTTTCCAGCTTCATCCATGTCCCTACAAAGGACATGAACTCATCCTTTTTAGGGCTGCATAGTATTGCATGGTGTATACGTGCCACATTTTCTTAATCCAGTCTATCACTGATGGACATTTGAGTTGGTTCCAAGTCTTTGCTATTGTGAATAGTGTTGCAATAAACATATATGTGCATGTGTCTTTATAGTAGCATGATTTATAATCCTTTGGGTATATACCCAGTAATTGGACGGCTGAGTCAAATGGTATTTATAGTTCTAGATCCTTAAGGAATTGCCACACTGTCTTCCACAATGGTTGAACTAGTTTACAGTCCCACCAACAGTGTAAAAGCATTCCTATTTCTCCACATCTTCTCCAGCACCTGTTGTTTCCTGACTTCTTAATGATCACCATTCAAACTGGTGTGAGATGGTATCTCATTGTGGTTTTGATTTGCATTTCTGTGATGACCAGTGATGATGAGCATTTTTTCATGTTTGTTGGCTGCATAAATGTCTTCTTCTGAAAAGTGTCTGTTCATATCCTTCACCTACTTTTTGATAGGGTTGTTTGTTTTTTTCTTGTAAATTTGAGTTCTTTGTAGATTCTAGATATTAACCCTTTGTCAGATGAGTAGATTGCAAAAATTTTCTCCCATTCTGTAGGTTGCCTGTTCACTCTGATGGTAGTTTCTTTTGCTGTGCAGAAGCTCTTTAGTTTAATTAGATCCCATTTGTCAATTTTGGCTTTTGTTGCCATTGCTTTTGGTGTTTTAGACATGAAGTCCTTGCCCATGCCTATGTCCTGAATGGTATTGCCTAGGTTTTCTTCTAGGGTTTTTATGGTTTTAGGACTAACATGTAAGTCTTTCATCCATCTTGAATTAATTTTTGTATAAGGTGTAACGAAGGGATCCAGTTTCAGTTTTCTACATATGGTTAGCCAGTTTTCCTAGCACCATTTATTAAATAGGGAATCAATTCCACATTTCTTGTTTTTGTCAGGTTTGTCAAAGATCAGATGGTTGTAGATGTGTGGTATTATTTCTGAGTGCTCTGTTCTGTACCATTGGTCTATGTCTCTGTAATGGTACCAGTACCATGCTGTTTTGGTTACTGTAGCCTTGTAGTATAGTTTGAAATCAGGTAGCGTGATGCCTCCAGCTTTGTTCTTTTGGCTTAGGATTGTCATGGCAATGAGGGCTCTTTTTTGGTTCCATATGAACTTTAAAGTAGTTTTTTCCAATTCTATGAAAAAAGTCATTGGTAGCTGGATGGGGATGGCACTGAATCTATACATTTTGATTCTTCCAATCCATGAGCATGGAATGTTCTTCCACTTGTTTGTGTCCTCTTTTGTTTCATTGAGCAGTGGTTTGTAGTTCTCTGTGAACAGATCCTTCACATCCCTTGTAAGTTGGATTCCTAGGTATTTTATTCTCTTTATAGCAATTGGAAATGGGCGTTTACTCATGATTTGGCTCTCTGTTTGTCTGTTATTGGTGTAAAAGAATGCTTGTGATTTTTGCACATTGATTATGTATCCTGAGACTTTGCTGAAGTTGTTTATCAGCTTAAGGAGATTTTGGGTTGAGATGATGGGGTTTTCTAAATATACAATCACGTCATCTGCAAACGGGCAATTTGACTTCCTCTTTTACTAATTGAATACTCTTTTTTTCTTTATCTAGCCTGATTTCCCTGGCCAGAAATTCCAAATCTATGTTGAAAAGGAGTATAGAGAGAGGACATCCCTGTCTTGTGCCAGTTTTCAAAGGGAATGCTTTCAATTTTTGCCCATTCAGTATGATATTGGCCATGCATTTGTCAGAAATAGCTCTTATTATTTTGAGATACATTCCATCAATACCTAGTTTATTGTGAGTTTTTAGCATGAAGGGGTATTGAATTTTGTTGAAGGCCTTTTCTGCATCTACTGAGACAATCATGTGGTTTTTGTCTTTGGTTCTGTTTATGTGATGGATTATATTTATTAATTTGCATATGTTGAACCAGCCTAGTATCCCAGGCATGAAGCCAACTTGATCTTGGTGGATAAGTTTTTTGATATGCTGCTGGATTTGGTTTGCCAGTATTTTATTGAGGTTTTTTCATCGATGTTCATCAGGGATATTGGTCTAAAATTCTCTTTTTTTGTTGTGTCTCTGTCAGGCTTTGGTATCAGGATGATGCCGGCCTCATAAACTGAGTTAGGGAGAATTCCCTCTTTTTCTATTGATTGGAATTGTTTCAGAAGGAATGGTACCATTTCCTTTTTGTACCTCAGGTAGAGTTTGGCTGTTAGTCCATCTGGTCCTGCACTTTTTTTGTTGGTAGGCTGTTATTGCCTCAATTTCAGAGTCTGTTATTGGTCTATTCAGGGATTCAACTTGTTCCTGGTTTAGTCTTGGGAGGGCCTATGTGTCCAGGAATGTATACATTTCTTCTAGATTTTCTAGTTTATTTGCCTAGAGGTGTTTATAGTATTTCTGATGGTAGTTTGTATTTCTGTGGCATTGCTGGTGGTATCCCCTGTATCATTCTTTATTGTGTCTATTTGATTCTTCTTTCTTTTCTTCTTTATTACTCTTGCTAGTGGTCTATCAATTTTGTTGATCTTCTCAAAAAACCAGCTCCTGGATTCATGGATTTTTTGAAGGGTTTTTTGTGTCTCTATTTCCTTCAGTTCTGCTCTGATCTTAGTTATTTCTTGCCTTCTCCTATTTTTTGAAGGTGTTTGCTCTTGCTTCTCTAGTTCTTTTAATTGTAAGGTTAGGGTGTCAATTTTGGATCTTTCCTGCTTTCTCTTGTGGGCATTTAGTGCTACAAATTTCCCTGTACACACTGCTTTAAATGTGTCCCAGAGATTCTGGTATGTTGTGTCTTTGTTCTCATTGGTTTCAAAGACATCTTTATTTCTGCCTTCATTTCGTTACATATGTAGTAGTCATTCAGGAGCAGGTTGTTCAGTTTCCATGTAGTTGGGTGGTTTTGGGTGAATTTCTTAATCTGAGTTCTAGTTTGATTGCAGTGTGGTCTGAGGGCGAGTTTATTATAATTTCTGTTCTTTTACATTTGCTGAGGAGTGCTTTACTTCCAACTACGTCATCAATTTTGGAATAAGTGAAATGTGGTGCTAAGAAGAATATATATTCTGTTGATATGGGGTGGAGAGTTCTGTAGATGTCTATTAGGTCTGCTTGGTGCAGAGCTGAGTTCAATTCCTGGATATCCTTGTTAACTTTCTGTCTCGTTGATCTGTCTAATGTTGACAGTGGGGTGTTAAAGTCTCCATTATTATTGTGTGGGAGTCTAAGTCTCTTTGTAGGTCTCTAAGGACTTGCTTTATGAATCTAGGTCCTCCTGTATTGGATGCATATATATTTCGAATAGTTAGTTCTTCTTGTTAAATTCATCCCTTTACCATTATGTAATGGCCTTCTTTGTCTCTTTTGATCTTTGTTGGTTTCAAGTCTGTTTTATTAGATACTAGGATTGCAACCCCTGCTTTTTGTTTTTGTTTTCCATTTGCTTGTTAGGTCTTCCTCCATCCCTTTATTTTGAGCCTATGTATGTCTTTGCACATGAGATGGGTCTCCTGAATACAGCACACTAATGGGTCTTGCCTATTTATCCAATTTGCCAGTCTGTATCTTTTAATTGGAGCATTTAGCCCATTTACATTTAAGGTTAATATTGTTATGTGTGAATTTGATCCTGTCATTATGATGTTAGCTGGTTATTTTGCTCATTAGTTGATGCCTTTTCTTCCTAGCATCAATGGTCTTTAAAATTTGGCATGTTTTTGCAGTGGCTGGTACCGGTTTTTCCTTTCCATGTTTAGTGCTGCCTTCAGGAGGTCTTCTAAGGCCAGCCTGGTGTTGATAAAATCTCTCAGCATCTGTTTTTCTGTAAAGGATTTTATTTCTCCTTCACTTGTGAAGCTTAGTTTGGCTGGATATGAAATTCTGGGTTGAAAATTATTTTCTTTAAGAATGTTGAATATTGGCCCCCACTCTCTTCTGGCTTGTAGAGTTTCTGCAGAGAGATCCACTGTTAGTCTTATGGGCTTACCTTTGTGGATAACCTGACCTTTCTCTCTGGCTGCCCTTAATATTTTTCTTCATTTCAACTTTGGTGAATCTGACAATTATGTTTCTTGGAGTTGCTCTTCTTGAGGAATATCTTTGTGGCATTCTCTGTATTTCCTGAGTTTGAATGTTGGCCTGCCTTGTTATGTTGGGGAAGTTCTCCTGGATAATATCCTTAAGAGGGTTTTCCTGCTTGGTTCCATTCTCCCCGTCACTTTCAGGTACACCAATGAGATGTAGATTTTGTCTTTTCACATAGTCCCATATTTCTTGGAGGCTTTGTTTGTTTCCTTTTACTCTTTTTTCTCTAAACTATGCCCTGCCCCCAGAGGTGGAGTCTACAGAGGCAGACAGGCCTCGTGGAGCTGTGGTGGGCTCCACCCAGTTCAAGCTTCCTGGCCAGTTTGTTTACCAACTCAAGCCTCAGCAATGGTGGACACCCCTCCCCTAGCCTTGCTGCAGCCTTGCAGTTCGATCTCAGACTGCTGTGCTAGCAGTGAGTGAGTCTCTGTGGGTGTGGGACCCTCAGAGTCATGCACAGAATATAATCTCCTGGTGTGCCGTTTGCTAGGACCGTTGGAAATGTGCAGTATTGGGGTGGGAGCATCCCGATTTTCCAGGTAGCATCTGTCACGGCTTCCCTTGGCTAGGAAAGGGAATTCCCCGACCTCTTGTGCTTCCCGGGTGAGACAATGCCCCTCCCTGCTTCAGCTCACACTCCATGGGCTGTACCCACTGTCCAACAAGCCCCAGTGAGATGAACCCGGTACCTCAGTTGGAAATGCAGAAATCACCCATCTTCTGCTTCGCTCATGCTGGGAGCCGTAAGCTTGAGCTGTTTCTATTTGGTCATCTTGGAACCAGAACCCCTCTAACCTTGTCTTTACACTTTATTTCATTAAGTTGGTCTTCAATTACTGATATCTTTTCTTCTGCTTGATCAATTCAGCTATTGATACTTGTGTATTCCTGACAAAGTTCTCCTGCTGTTTTTCTGCTCCATCAGGTCATTTATGTTCTTCTCTACACTGGTTATTTTAGTTAGCAACTCATCTAACCGTTTTTCAAGGTTCTTAGCTTCATTCCATTGGTTTGGAACATGCTCTTTTAGCTCGGAGGAGTTTGTTATTACTCACTTTCTGAAGCCTACTTCTGTCAATCCAGCTCATTCTCCATCCAGTTTTGTTCCCTTGCTGGCAAGCAGTTGTGATCCTTTGGAGGAGAAGAGGTCTTCTGGTTTTTGGAATTTTCAGTGTTTTTGTGCTGGTTTCTCAACATCTTTGTGGATTTATTTACCTTCGGTCTTTGATGTTTGTGGCCTTTGGTTGGGGTCTTTGAGTGGATGTGCTATTCCTTTCTGTTTATTTTCCTTCTAACAGTCAAGCCCTTCTGCTGCAGGTTGGCTAGAGTTTGCTGGAGGTCCACTCCTCACCCTGTCTGCCTGGGTATCACCCGCAGAGGCTGCAGAACAGCAAAGATTGCTGCCTGTTCTTTCCTCTGGAAGCTTAGTCCCAGAGAGGCACCCGCCAGATGTCAGCCAGAGCTGTCCTGTATGAGCTGTCTGTCAGCCCCTACTGGGAGGTGTCTCCCAGTCTGGATACATCAGGATCAAGAACCCTTAGCAGAGCTTGAACACTGTGCTGGGAGGTCTGCTGCTCTCTTCAGAGCTGTCAGGCAGGCACTTTTAAGTCTGCTGAAGCTGCACCCCCAGCCGCCCCTTCCCCCAGGTGCTCTGTCCCAGGGATATGCGAGTTTTATCTATAAGTCCCTGACTGGGGCTGCTGCCTGTTTTTCAGAGATGCCCTGCCCACAGAGGAGAAATCTGGTAGTCTTGCCACAGCAGCCTTGCTGCGCTGCAGTGGCTCCACCCAGTTCGAACTTCCTCATTGCTTTGTTTACACTGTGAGCCTAAAACCGCCTAGTCAAGCCTCAGCAATGGTGATGCCCCTCCCCCCACCAAGCTCGAGCATCCCAGGTCGATCTCAGACTGCTACTGTGCTGGCAGCAAGAATTTCAAGCCAGTGGATCTTAGTTTGCTGGGCTCCACGGGGGTGGGACCTGCCGACAGACCACTTGGCTCACTGGCTTCAGCACCCCTTTCCAGGAGAGTGAATGGTTCTGTCTCACTGGTGTTCCAGGTGCCACTGGGGTATGGAAAAAAAAAACTGTGGCTAGTTCAGTGTCTGACCAAACAGCCGCCCAGTTTTGTGCTTGAAACCCAGGTCCCTGGTGGGGTAGGTACCAGAAGGAATTTCCTGGTTTTGGGTTGCAAAGGCCATGGGACGAGTGCAGTATCTGGGCTGGAGTGTGCATGGTTCCTCAGGCTCAGCCCCTTATGGCTTCCCTTGGGTAGGGGAGAAAATTCCCTGACCCCTTGCACTTCCCTGGGGAGGTCATGCCCCTCCGTGGGCCTCACCCACTGTCCAACAAGTCCCAATGAGATGAACTGGACACCTCAGTTAGAAACACAGAAATCACCCACCTTCTGCATCGATCTTGCTGGGAGCTGCAGACCAGATCTGTTCCTATTCGGCCATCTTGCCAGCAATCTATAAAAATATTTTTTTAACCTTTCCATCCTCTATATCTCTAAGAACATTTTTCTTGACCTTGATTGATTGTAAGGAGACTCCATAATTCCCGTTTCTGTAAGCTACAGTTGAAATTCACTCTCAATAATTCATGGCACTTTTTATTTAACAAATGATACATTCTGGCAATTATTGCTTTTCTCTCTATTAAAGCAGCCATTATTTCTACACCTGTGATGAACACCTAAAAAAGAGAAAGAAAAATGGGAATCAAAGCATTTTACAAGACCTGTCATATAACGTGCTTCAGGAATCAGGATCAGATGAGACATTCTAGGAAGAACTCTGTGTTATTAACTAAATTCTTACAACTACTTTAACCCCCAATGTGTAACTCCTAATTTCCAGATGAGGAAACTGAAGTACAGAGATTTTTGAGTACCTTGCCCAATACCCAGTGGAGTTGCTGAGGCTTGAGCTCAGACACTCCAGACTCTCAACCATCATACTACAAGTCATTTTTGATTTTAGTGGGAAAAAAACTTCTTTCCTTGATTGGTTTAAGTGGAAAAAAAACAAATTACCTTATAAAATATATTTTTGTTTTAATTCTTTTGGTTTTATAAGGAGGCTGAGTTAACTATGCTTATAGCTCCTATATTTAGTTTCAAAGATATGCAATCAGGTGGTTGTACTCTATGGTGAGCTAAAGAAGTAACACTTGGTTATACATTGTACCTGGTACTGACTGCAGTAAACAAGCCCCTGGCTAAACTCAGGAATTTAGACATTCAGTCTTTGCACATCAACAGGGTCCTCCTATAAATTAGAAGTGATGCAAATAAAACAATGAGAGGCTATCATAACTCCCATAGAATGAGAGTATTGAATGTTAAATAATAAAGGGTGCTACGATTGGATGCTTAGGTTCAAACACTCTGACTCTGGTGTGATGTTGCAAGTCCTTTAACCTCTCTGTGCCTTAGTTTCTTCATGTAAAACAAGGATAAGAACTGCAATAGAATCATATGGTTATTGTGAGGATTAAATTATACACTGTATAAAAACAACATTCAAAATGCCTGGCATGTAGTGCAAGCCTTGAATAAACGTTAGTTATTATTACTGTATTCTTGAGAATGTGTATTATGCATTGCTCTTTGTCTTAATTGGGCCATGAGTGAATTTAACCATTAGCAAATTATTGATGAGTCCTTGTTTATACCAGTTATCAATACTCAACCAATTAAGCTGAGGTGATAGTTGATGTTGTATATATGTGCTTACAAAGTGAATTACCATGATGGTTATCTTGCGAAGCAATTAAAATGGTATATCTCCTCAAATGAAATTCTATGAATAGGTGAATTTCTAACAAGGCCAGAAAAAAATGAAGTTAGTATATGCATAGTAGGAAAATAAAATGACTTTGGGAAAACACGGTTTTTCTTATGTAAAATGCTTGTCCAAGGCTAGGCTAGCTCCAGTCACCTCCAACTTTAATGATTTCAAGCTATATTCCACTACACAGATAGACATTTTCAGCTCAAAGACATTTTGGCTTAGATAACTATAACAATTTCTAGGCCTTTCAAAACTTCTCTGAACTTTCCCAGAAAAATATACTTCCAGTTGTGCTAGTAATGTGAAAGCAACCTCTGAGAAATGTTAACTAGCTTGTTTGTCTGCTAAATCCCTTAATTAAAAGTGGATTAGAAATGACTGTCCTAGAAAAGACTGCAATGTTCCATATTTTGTGCATTGGTAATCAGTCCACTGTAAAACTTCAGAGGCAATTTTAAATGCTGTATATTTTACCTATTAACGTTTACAAATGGTTACTAAATGAATAAATAAATGAATAAAAAATAAAAAGGTTTTGTATGCCACAAGTGTATTCTGTAAAGGCTAGCCAGTCTCCTGAAAATTCATACTAGTAATAGAAAGTATTAAAAATAATAAACTTTTATAGAATTATTTTTTTTATTATACTTCTATGACTTTTACTGGAATGCTAACCACATGTAACTTATTAGAATCTTTGGGTCTTAGTTTATTGATTTTTTTCCTCTTGTATTAGGAAGCCACCCTAATACACAGGCAAGGGGTACAACTCCTATTTCCCTGAATGTCCCAGAATTACTTTTATATAACTGGTAGATTTATAGCTGCTGGCCAGATTATAGGAAAGCATCTGGGATACAAAAATAAAGTGGTTTCTGTGTAAAATTGAGCCATATCTTGGGGGTAAGAGTGGGCTGGTCCCTTACAGGATGTCACAGACTTGGAATGTACACCACATGCTCTCCTGGGGTGGTGTAAAGACTTCTTTCCAGGCCTTACTATTGTTGTGTTTGTTCATATTTTAACTGTTACCATCTTATGGGCATGGGGTTCATGTGCTAATTTGGAGAAGAGAGAAACCAAGAAATCATTCACAACACCTCAGCTCATGCTCCATAAACAACATTGTCCTTAAAAAGAGGGTTGATGGCTAAGTTGTACCAAATGGGATTTGTAATGGAGAAGGCATCCTTCCAATCCAATTGTTTTCGTGCATTCTTTAGTAGACAGAACAGAAAAATGACTTCTTCCTCAATGCTAAACTATTTAATTGCATATATAACACTTGCGTGTAACATTGATAGCTTTATTTTTTTTCTTCCTTCTTCTTTTCTTTTTCTTTTTTTTTTTTTTCGGGACTCCTGTCATTTAGGCTGGGATGAAGTGGCTTGATCCTAGCTCACTGCAACCTCCCAACTCCTGAGCTCAAGTGATCCTCCTGCCTTGGCCTCTCAAAGAGCTGAGATTATGGGTGTGAATCACAGTGCCTGGCCCTTATTTCTAATAGTCTTCTACAAAAGGGATGGAAGCCTAAAGAGCCTAAAGGATGTGATTGAGTGAATGAGGAAACCAATTCTGTTGCTTGAACTCAGGGAGCTAGCAGGAATATTATACAGGGTTTTTTTTTTTTTTTGGAAATCTATGTGTACTATTAGGGAAAAAGTGTCTCCTTGCAGTCATAAGGAATTATAATGTTTCTTACCGTGGATAATGGTCTACTATCACTTACCATCACACTATTAAAATGGAGTGACAAGAAGAATCCTAGAAAGAAAAACCGAGGAAACAGATAAACACCTAACAATTGTCTGCCTCCCTTGTGCCAGGTACTGTGCTAAGTAAGCACCTTTATCTTCTCTTTCTGTATATCTTCAGCATAGAAGTATATTATCTTTCTCATACATGGTTGATACATTAGCACTACTGGATCTATTTTTTCCAGGTCAGTTCAGAAAATATTTGTATGGGCTATAAATTATTATCCTATGTAGTAGAGGCTTCTACTAACCAAATTTTATACATGAAGGTAATGGAGCAAAGAAAGATTGAGTAAATTCCTGGAAATTCCATAGCTAGTGTTTGATTTTGAGAGTCTGAAATACAAATGACAATGCCAGACTATGTATAAAAATAGAACTCTGACTCACAACCTGCAGCAAACAGCCCAGAAAGCCAGCCCACTACCTGTAGTAATGCAGACTTATGAAAATTTACTTGTAAATTGTCTTCTAAGAGTTTTATAGTTTTAGCTCTTACATTTATGTCTATGAAAATTTTGAGTGAATTTTTATGTATGGTGTTAGGAAGAGGTTCAACTTTTTTTTTTTTTGCATGTGGATATATTTTTCTCTAGCATGATTTGTTGAAGAAAATATTTTTCTTCATTGAGTTGTCTTTACCCTTGTTGAAAATCAATGGACTATAAATGTAATGTCTTATTTCTGGACTTTCAGTGTATTCCCTTGGTCTAACCTTATTTTGGCACTATATCTGTCTATATGTCTAACCTTATTTTGGACTACATCTGTTTATTATTATAGCTTTGTAGTACATTTTGACATTAAGTATGTGCCCTTCAAATAAATTCAAGGTTTTTTTTTTTTTTTTTTTTTTTTTTCCCCAGCTATTCTAGGAACCTTAAATTTCCATATAAATTTTAGGATCAGCTTGTCAATTTCTGCAAAAAAAGCCAAGTAGAAATTTGGCAGAAATTACATTGAATCTGTAGATCAGTTTGGTGAATATTGGTGTTTTAACAATGTTAAGTCTTCTAATACATGAATGTGGGCTGTCTTTCCACTTATTTACATTTCCATTAATATCTATCAGCAGTATTTTATAGTTTTCAGAGCATAAGTTTTACACTTATCTTGTTAAACATATTCCTTAGATTTTTTTTCCTATGATGCCATTATAAATGGAATTATTTTCTTAATTTCACTTCTGGGTTGTTCATTGCTACTGTTTAGAAATCCAGTTTGATTGGCGGTTCCAAGATGGCCAAATAGGAACAGCTCCAGTCTACAGCTCCCAGTGTGAGTGACGCAGAAGATGGGTGATTTCTGCATTTCCAACTGAGGTACCGGGATCATCTCATTGGAGCTTGTCAGACAGTGGATGCAGGACAGTGGGTACAGCCCACTGAATGTGAGCCAAAGCAGGGATAGGCATCACCTCACCTGGGAAGCACAAGGGGTCAAGGAATTCCCTTTCCTAGCCAAGGGAAGCTGTGACAGATGGCACCTGGAAAATTGGGTCATTCCCACACTAATACTGCACTTTTCCAAAGTCTTAGCAAATGGCACACCAGGAGATTATATCCCATGTTTGGCTCGGAGGGTCCCATGCCTACAGAGCCTCACTCATTGCTAGCACAGCAGTCTGAGATCAAACTGCAAGGTGGCAGCGAGGTTGGGGGAGGGGTGCCCACCATTGCTGAGGCTTGAAGAGGTAAACAAAGTGTCCAAGAAGCTTGAACTGGGTGCAGTCTACTGCAGCTCAAGGAGGCCTGCCTGCCTCTGTAGACTCCACCTCTGGGGGCAGGGCAGAGCTGAACAAAAGGCAGCAGAAACCTCTGCAGACTTAAATGTTCCTGTCCGACAGCTTTGAAGAGAGTAGTGGTTCTCGTAGCATGGAGTTTGAGATCTGAGAAGGGACAGACTGCCTCCTCGAGTGGGTCCCTGACCCCTGAGTAGCCTAACTGGGAGGCACCCCCCAGTAAGGGCAGACTGACACCTCGCATGGCTGGGTACCTCTCTGAGACAAAGCTTCCAGAGGAACGATCAGGCAACAAAATTTGCTGTTCAGCAATATTCGCTGTTCTGCAGCCTCTGCTGCTGATACCCAGGCAAACAGGGTCTGGAGGAGACCTCCAGCAAACTCCAACAGACCTGCAGCTGAGGGTCCTGACTGTTAGAAGGAAAACTAACAAACAGAAAGGACATCCATGTGAAAACCCCATCTGTACGTTAGCATCATCAAAGACAAAAGGTAGATAAAAACCACAAAAATGGGGATAAAACAGAGCAGAAAAGATGAAAATTCTAAGAATCTGAGCAGCTCTCCCCCTCCAAAGGAATGCAGCTCCTTGCCAGCAATGGAATAAAGCTGGACAGAGAATGACTTTGATGAATTGAGAGAAGAAGGCTTCAGATGATCAAACTTCTCCAACCTAAAGGAGGAAGTTTGAACCCAACACAAAGAAGCTAAAATCCTTGAAAAAAGATTAGACAAATGGCTAACTAGAATAACCAGCATAGAGAAGTCCTTAAGTGACCTGGTGGAGCTGAAAACCATGGCACAAGAACTATGTGAGGAATGCACAAGCTTCAGTTTTGATCAACTGGAAGAAAGGGTATCAGTGATTGAAGATAAAATGAATGAAATGAAGCAAGAAGTTTAGAGAAAAAAGAGTAAAAAAAAAACAAACAAAGCCTCCAAGAAATATGGGACTATGTGAAAAGACCAAATCTACGTCTGATTGGTGTACCTGAAAGTGACAGGGAGAATGGAACCAAGTAGGAAAACACTCTGCAGGATATTATCCAGGAGAATTTCCCCAACCTAGCAAGGCAGGCCAATATTCAAATTCAGGAAATACAGAGAACACCACAAAGATACTCCTCAAGAAGAGCAACTCTAAGACACATAATTGTCAGACTCACCAAAGTTGAAATGAAGGAAAAAATGTTAAGGGCAGCCAGAGAGAAAGGTCGGGTTAGCCACAAGGGGAAGCCTATCAGACTAACAGTGGATCTTTTGGCAAAAACTTTACAAGCCAGAAGAGAATGGAGGCCAATATTAATATCCTTAAAGAAAAGAATTTTCAACCCAGAATTTCATATCCAGCCAAACCAAGCTTCATAAGTGAAGGAGAAATAAAATACTTTACAGACATGCAAATGCTGAGAGATTTTGTCACCACCAGGCCTACCTTACAAGAGCTCCTGAAGGAAGCACTAAACATGGAAAGGAACAACGGCTACCAGCCACTGCAAAAACATGCCAAATTGTAAAGACCACTGATGCTATGAAGAAACTGCATCAACTAATGAGCAAAATAATCAGCTAAGATCATAATGACAGGATCAAATTCACACATAACAATAATAACCTTAAATGTAAATGGGCTAAATGCTCCAATTAAAAGACACAGACTGGCAAATTGGATAAAGAGTCAAGACCCATCAGTGTGCTGTATTCAGGAGACACATCTCACGTGAAGAGACACACATAGGCTCAAAATAAAGGGATGGAGGAAGATCTACCAAGCAAATGGAAAACAAAAAAAAGCAGGGGTTGCAATCGTAGTCTGATAAAACAGACTTTAAACCAACAAAGATCAAAAGAGACAAAGAAGGCCACTACATAATGGTAAAGGGATCAATTCAACAAGAAAAACTAACTATTCTAAATATATATGCACCCAATACAGGAGCACCCAGATTCATAAAACAAGTCCTTAGAGACCTACAAAGAGACTTAGACTCCCACACAATAATAATGGGAGACTTTAACACCCCACTGTCAACATTAGACAGATCAATAGACAGAAAGTTAACAAGGATATCCAGGAATTGAATTCAGCTCTGCACCAAGCATACCTAATAGACATCTACAGAACTCTCCACCCCAAATCTACAGAATATACATTCTTCTCAGCACCACATCACACTTATTCCAAAATTGACAACACAGTTGGAAGTAAAGCACTCCTCAACAAGTGTAAAAGAACAGAAATCATAACAAACTGTCTCTCAGACCACAGTGCAATCAAACTAGAACTCAGGATTAAGAAACTCACTCAAAACCACTCAACTACATGGAAACTGAACAACCTGCTCCTGAATGACTACTGGGTACATAATGAAATGAAAGCAGAAATAAAGATGTTCTTTGAAATCAAGGTGAACAAAGACACAACATACCAGAATCTCTGGGACATATTTAAAGCAATGTGTAGAGAGAAATTTATAGCACTAAATGCCCACAAGAGAAAGCAGGAAAGATCTAAAATTGACACCCTAACATTACAATTAAAAGAACTAGAGGAGCAAGAGCAAACACGTTCAAAAGACAGGAGAAGGCAAGAAGTAACTAAGATCAGAGCAGAACTGAAGGAGACAGAGACATAAAAAACCCTTCAAAAATTAATGAATCCAGGAGCTGATTTTTTGAAAAGATCAACAAAATTGATAGACCACTAGCAAGACTAATAAAGAAGAAAGGAGAGAAGAATCAAATAGATGAAATAAAAAATGATAAAAGGGATGTCACCACCAATCCCACAGAAATACAAACTACCATCAGAGAATAGTATAAACACCTCTATGCAAATAAACTCGGAAATCTAGAAGAAATGGATAAATTCCTGGACACATATACACTCCCAAGACTAAACCAGGAAGAAGGTGAATCCCTGAATAGACCAATAGTAGGCTCTGAAATTGAGGCAATAATTAATAACTACCAACAAGAAAAAGTCCAAGACCAGATGGATTCATAGCCGAATTCTACCAGAGTTATAAGGAGGAGCTGGTACCATTCCTTCTGAAAATATCACAATCAATAGAAAAAGAAGGAATCCTTCCTAACTCATTTTATGAGGCCAGCATCATCCTGATACCAAAGCCTGGCAGAGGCACAACAAAAAAAGAGAATTTTAGACCATGATCCCTGACGAACATCAGTGCAAAAATCCTCAATAAAATACTGGCAAACTGAATCCAGCAGCTCATCAAAAAGCTTATCCACCATGATCAAGTGGGCTTCATCCCTGGGATGCAAGGCTGGTTCAACATATAAAAATTAATAAATGTAATGCAGCATATAAACAGAACCAAAGACAAAAACCACATGATTATCTCAATAGATGCAGAAAAGGCCTTTGACAACATTCAACAGCTCTTCATGCTAAAACTCTCTATGCAAATAATAATCAATAAATTAGGTACTGATGGGATGTATCTCAAAATAATAAGAGCTATTTATGACAAACCCACAGCCAATATCTTACTGAATGGGTGAAAAATGGAAGCATTCCCTTTGAAAACTGGCACAAGACAGGGATGCCCTCTCTCACCACTCCTATTGAACATAATGTTCAAAGTTCTGGCCAGGGCAATCAGGCAGGAGAAAGAAATAAAGGGTATTCAATTAAGAAAAGAGGAAGTCAAATTGTCCCTGTTTGCAGATGACAAGATTGTATATTTAGAAAACCCCATCGTCTCAGCCCAAAATCTACTTAAGATGATAAGCAACTTCAGCAAAGTCTCAGGATACAAAATCAATGTGCAAAACTCACAAGCATTCTCATACACCAATAACAGGCAAACAGAGAGCCAAATCATGAGTGGACTCCCATTCACAATCGCGTCAAAGAGAATAAAATACTTAGGAATCCAACTTACAAGGGATATGAAGGAACTCTCTAAGGAGAACTACAAACCACTGCTCAATGAAATAAAAGAGGACACACACAAATGGAATAACATTCCAGGCTCATGGGTAGGAAGAATTAATATCGGGAAAATGGCCATACTGCCCAAGGTAATTTATAGATTCAATGCCATCCCCATCATGCTGCCAATGACTTTCTTCATCATGCTTCCAATGACTTTCTTCAGAGAACTGGAAAAAACTTCTTTAAAGTTCATATGGAACCAAAAAAGAGCCTGCATTTCCAAGACAATCCTAAGCAAAAAGAACAAAGCTGGAGGCATAACGCTACCTGACTTCAAACTATACTACAAGGCTACAGTAAATAAAACAGCATGGTAGTGGTACCAAAACAGAGATATAGACCAATGGAACAGAACAGAGCCCTCAGAAATAATACCACACATCTTCAACTATCTGATCTTTAACAAACCTGATGAAAACCAGAAATGGGGAAAGGATTCCCTATTTAATAAATGGTGCTGGGAAAACTGGCTAGCCATACGTAGAAAGCTGAAACTGGATCCCTCCTTACACTGTATACAAAAATTAATTCAAGACGGATTAAAGACTTAAATTTAGACCTAAAACCATAAAAACCCTAGAAGAAAACCTAGGCATACCATTCAGGACATAGGCATGGGTAAGGACTTCATGTCTAAAACACCAAAAGCAATGGCAAAAAAAGCCAAAATTGACAAATGAGATGTAATTAAACTAAAGAGCTTCTGCACAGCAAAAGAAACTACCATCAGAGTGAAAAGGCAACCTACAGAATGGGAGAAATTTTTTGCAATCTATCCATCTGACAAAGGGCTAATATCCAGAATCTACAAAGAACTCAAACAAATTTACAAGAAAAAAACAACCCCATCAAAAAGTGGGCAAAGGATATGAACAAACACTTCTCAAAAGAAGACATTTATGCATCCAAAAGACACATGACAAAATGCTCATCATCACTGGCCATCAGAGAAATGCAAATCAAAACCACAATGAGATACCAACTCACATCAGTTAGAATGGCAATCATTAAAAAGTCAGGAAACAACAGGTGCTGGAAAGGATGTGGAGAAATAGGAACACTTTTACACTGTTGGTGGGATGGTAAACTAGTTCAACAATTGTGGAAAACAGTGTGGTGATTCCTCAAGGATCTAGAACTAGAAATACCATTTGATCCAACCATCCCATTACTGGGTATCTACCCAAAGAATCATAAATCATGCTGCTATAAAGACACATGCACACGTATGTTTATTGTGACACTATTCACAATAGCAAAGACTTGGAACCAACCCAAATGTCCATCAATGATAGACTGGATTAAGAAACTGTGGCACACATACACCATGGAATACTATGCGGCCATAAAAAAATGATGAGTTCATGTCCTTTGTAGGGACATGGATGAAGCTGGAAACCATCATTCTCAGCAAACTATTGTAGGGACAAAAAACCAAACACTGCATGTTCTCATTCACAGGTGGGAATTGAACAGTGAGAACACTTGGCTGCAGGAAGTGGAGCATCACACACTGGGGCCTGTCATGGGTTTGGGGGATGGGGGAGGGATAGCATTGGGGGATATACCTAATGTAAATGACGAGTTGATATGTGCAGCACACCAACATGTCACTTGTATGCATATGTAACAAACCTGCATGTTGCGCACATGTACCCTATAACTTAATGTATAATTAAAAAAAAAAGAAATCCAGTTGATTTCTGTATATTAATCCTGTACCCTCCAACCTTGCTGAACTTGTTAATTAGTTCTATTTTTTTGATAAATTCATTAGGATTCATACATAAGATCATGTCTTCATTGTATATGATGTATAGAAGCTATGCTACTTCTTCATTTCAAATATGGATGTATTTTATTTATTTGTCTTGCTGAATTGCCCTGATTAGAACCTCTTGTAGAATGGTGACTAGAAGTGGTAAGAACAGACATCCTTGTCTTGCTGAACATAGGGTGAAAACATTGTCTTTTACCACTTAGTATGATGTTAGCTCTGGGTTTTGTTTTTATACTTTTTTTAACTTCTGTTTTAGGTTCTGGGGTACATATAAAGGTTTGTTACATAGGGGTAACTCACATCATAGGAGTTTGTTGTACAGATTATTTCATCACTCAGATATTAAGCCCAGTACCCAATAGTTACCTGTTTTGCTTCTCTCCCTCCTCCCAACCTCCACCCTCAAGTAGGCCCAAGTGTCTGTTGTTTCCTTCTTTGCATTAATATGTTCTCATCATTTAGCTTACACTTATAAGTGAGAACATGTGATATTTGGTTTTCTGTTTCTTCATTAGTTTGCTAAGGATAATAGCCTCCAGTTCCACCCATGTTCCCTCAAATGACATGATCTTGTTCTTTTGTATGGCTGCATAGTATTCCATGGTTTATATGTACCACATTTTCTTTATCCAACCTGTCATTGATGTGTAATTAGGTTGATCCCATGTCTTTGCTATTGTGAATAGTGCAGCAGTGAACATTTGCATGGATGAGTCTTAATGGTAGAATGGTTTGTATTTCTCTGGGTATATACCCACTGAGGAGATTACTGAGTTGAGTGGTAGTTCTGCTTTTAGCTCTTTGAGGAATCGCCATACTGCTTTCCAATGGTCGAACTAATTTACACTCCTACCAACATTGTATAAGTGTTCCCTTTTCTTTGTAACCTTACCAGCATCTTCTATTTTTTGACTTTTTAATAATAGCCATTCTGACTGGTGTGAGATGACATTTCATTGTGGTTCCGATTTGCATTTCTCTAATGATCAATAATATTGAGATTTTTTTCATATATGTGTTGGCCACATGTATGTCTTCTTCTCAGAAATGTCTGTTCACGTACTTTGCCCACATTTTAATGGGGTTGTTTTTCTCTTGTCAATCTGTTTAAGTTCCTTATAGATGCTGGATATTAGACCTTTGTCAGATGCATAGTTTGCAAACATGTTCTTCCCTTCTGTAGTTTGTCTGTTTACACTGTTGATAGTTTCTTTCACCATGCAGAAACTCTTAAGTTTAATTTGATTCCACTTGTCAACTTTTGCTTCAGCAAAGTTGTAGAATGCAAAATCCATGTACAAAAATCACTAGCATTTTCATACACCAATAACAGTCAAACCGAGAACCAAATCAGAAAGGCAATCTCATTCACAATTGCCACAAAAAGAATAGAATACCTAGGAATAGAGGAATACAGCTAACAAGGGAGATTAAAGATCCTTACAATGAGAATTACAAAACACTGCTCAAAGAAATCAGAGAAGACATAAACAAATGATAAAACTTCCCATGCTCATGAGCAGGAAGAATCAATATTATTAAAATGGCTATACTGCCCAAAGCAATTTACAGATTCAATGCTATTCCTAACAAGCTACCAATGACATTCAAAGAACAAGGAAAAAAACTATTTTAAAATTCATATGGAATCAAAAAGGAACCTCAATAGCCAATGCAATCCCAAGCAAAATGAACAAAGTTGGAGGCATCATGTTACCCAACTTCAAACTATACTACAAGGCTACAGTAACCAAAACAGCATGATACTGGTACAAAAACAGGCACATAGACCAATGGAACAGAATAGAGAGCCCAGAAATAAGGCTGCACATCTATAACTATCTAGTCTTCAATAATGCTGAGAAAAGTAAGAAATGGGGGAAAGATTCCCTATGAGATAAATCTTGCTGGGATAACTGGCTAGCTATATGCAGAAGCTTAAATCTAGACCCCTTTCCTATATCATATAAAAATAAACTCAAGATGGATTAAAGACTTAAATATAAAACTCAAAATTAGAAAAACTCAGAAGATAACCTAAGCAATACCATCCTGGACATAGGAGTGGGCAACAATTTCATGACAAAGACCCTACCCCCAAACAGGACCTGGTGTGTGATGTTCCCCTCCCAGCATCCATGTGTTCTCACTGTTCAACTTCCACTTATGGGTGAGAACATGCAGTGTTTGGTTTTCTGTTCCTGTGTTACTTTGCTGAGAATGATGGTTTCCACCTTCATCCATGTCTCTGGATGAAGAATTAATCATTTTTTATGGCTGCATAGTATTCCATGGTGTATATGTGCCACATTTTCTTTATCCAGTCTATCATTGATGGGCGTTTGAGTTGGTTCTAAGTCTTTGGTATTGCAAACAGTGCCCCAATAAACATACATGTGTGTGTGTCTTTATAGTAGAATGATTTATAATCCTTTGGGTATATACCTAGTAATGGGATTATTGTGTCAAATGGTATTTCCGGTTCTAGATCCTTGAGGAATCACCACACTGTCTTCCACAATGCTTGAACTAATTTACACTCCCACCAACAGTGTAAAAGCATTCCTATTTCTCCACAACCTCTCCAGCATTTGTTGTTTCCTGACTTTTTAATGATCGCCATTCTAATTGGCATGAGATGGTATGTCATTGTGGTTTTAATTTGCATTTCTCTAATGACCAGTGATGATGAGCTTTTTTTTCATATGTTTGTTGGCTGCATAAATGTCTTCTTTTGAGAAGTGTCTGTTCATATCATTTTCCCACTTTTTGATGGGGTTGTTTGTTTTTTTCTTGTAAATTTGTGTGAGTTCTTTGTAGATTCTGGATATTAGCCCTTTGTCAGATGGATAGATTGCAAAAAATTTCTCCCATTCTGTAGGTTGCCTTTTCACTCTGATGGTAGTTTCTTTTGCTGTGCAGAAGCTCTTTAGTTTAATTAGATCCCATTTGTCAATTTTGGCTTTTTTTGCCATTGCTTTTGGTGTTTTAGTCATGAAGTCTTTGCCCATGCCTATGTCCTGAATGGTATTGCCTAGGTTTTTTTCTAGGGTTTTTATGGTTTTAGGTCTTATGTTTAAGTCTTTAGTCCATCTTGAGTTAATTTTTGTATAAGGTGTAAGGAAGGGGTCCAGTTTCAGTGTTCTGCATATGGCTAGCCAGTTTTCCGAACACCATTTATTTAATAGGGAATCCTTTCCCCATTGCTTTTGTCACGTTTGTCAAAAATCAGATGGTTGTAGATGTGTGTTGTTATTTCTGAGGCCTCTGTTCTGTTCCATTGTTCCATTGGTCTATATATCTGTTTTGGTATCAGTACCATGCTGTTTTGGTTACTGCAGCCTTGTAGTATTGTTTGGAGTCAGATAGCTTGATGCCTCCAGCTTTGTTCTTTTTCCTTAGGATTGTCTTGACTATGTGGGCTCCTTTTTGATTCCATATGAAATTTAAAGTAGTTTTTCCCTATTCTGTGAAGAAAGTCAATGGTAGCTTGATGAGGATTAGCATTGAATGTACAAATTCTTTGGGCAGTATGACCACTTTCATGATATTGATCCTTCCTATCCATGAACATGGAATGTTTTTCCATTTGTTTCTGTCCTCTCTTATTTCTTTGAGCAGTGGTTTGTAGTTCTCCTTGAAGAGGTCCTTCACATCCATTGTAAGTTGAATTCCTAGATATTTTATTCTCTTTGTAGCAATTGTGAATGGGAGTTCACTCATGATTTGGCTGTTTTTCTGTTATTGGTGTATAGGAATGCTTGTGATTTTTGCACATTGATTTTGTATCCTGAGATTTGCTGAAGTTGCTTATCAGCTTAATGAGATTTTGGGCTGAGACGATGGGGTTTTCTAAATATACAATCATGTGATCTGCAAACAGAGACAATTTGACTTCCTCTTTTCCTCATCGAATACCCTTTATTTCTTTCTCTTTCCTGATTGCCCTGGCCAGAACTTTGAACATTATGTTGAATAGGAGTGGTGAGAGAGGGCATCCTCGTCTTATGCTGGTTTTCAAAGGAAATGCTTTTAGTTTTTGCCCAGTCAGGATGACATTGGCTGTGGGTTTGTCATAAATAGCTCTTATTATTTTGAGATATGTTCCATCAATACCTAGTTTATTGAGTTTTTAGCATGAAGGGTGTTGAATTTTGTTGAAGGCGTTTTCTGCATCTATCGAGATAATCATGTGGTTTTTGTCATCAGTTCTCTTTGGATTACGTTTATTGATTTGCATGTGTTGAACCAGCTTTGCATCCCAAGGATGAAGCCAACTTGATCATGGTGCATAAGCTTTTTGATGTGCTACTGGATTCGGCTTGCCAGTATTTTATTAAGGATTTTTTGCATCGATGTTCATCAGGGATATTGGCCTGAAATTTTCCCTTTTGGTTGTGTCTCTGCCACGTTTTGATATCAGGATGACAGTGGCCTCATAAAATGAGTTAGGGAGGATTTCCTCTTATTCTGTTGTTTGAAATAGTTTCAGATGGAATGGTACCAGCTCCTCTTTCTACCTCTGGTAGACTTCGGCTGTGAATCTGTCTGGTCCTGGACTTTTTTTTGCTTGGTAGGCTATTAATTACTGCCTCAATTTTAGAACTTGTTATTGGTCTATTCAGGGATTTGACTTCTTTCTGGTTTAGCCTATGTGCCCATGAATTTGTCCATTTCTTCTAGATTTTCTAGTTTATTTGCATAGAGGTGTTTATAGTATTTTCTGATGCTAATTTGTATTTCTGTGGGATCAGTGGTGATATCTCCTTTATCATTTTTTATTGCATCTATTTTATTCTTCTTTTTTTATTAGTCTGGCTAGTGTTCTATCTATTTTGTTGATCTTTTCAAAAATTCACCTCCTGGATTCATTGATTTTTCGAAGGGTTTTTTATCTTATTATTTTTTTCAAAAAAGCAATGTCTGGATTCATTGATCTTTTGAATAGTTTTTCATGTCTCAATGCCCTTCAGTTCAGCTCTGAGTTTGATTATTTCTTGTCTTCTGTTAGCTTTGGGGTTGATTTGTTCTTGCCTCTCTAATTCAGTCGTGATCTTAGATTGTTAATTTGAAATCTTTCTAACATTTTGGAGTGGGCATTTAGTGCTATGAAAATCCCTCTTAATTCTGCCTTGGCTGTGTTCACTCTGGGTTTTTTACAGATCCTTTTTCTCAGGCTGAGAAAGTTCTATTTCTTTATTGAGTTTTATTTATTTTTAATCATTAAACCCTATTAGACTTTGTCAAATGCTTATTCTGCATTTATGGAGATGATGATGCAATCTTTGTTTTTTACTCATATATATTATGTTTTGATTTTACTCATATATATTATGTATTGATTGATTTCTGGATGTTAAAAAATCCCTTGCATTCCTGAGAGAAATTCTACTTGGTCACGGTAAATATGTTGCAAGATTCAGTTTCTTGGTAATTTGTTGAAAATTTCTGCATCTATATTAATGATATGTATTCATCTGTAGTTTTCTTTTCTTTTGACGTCTTCATCTGAATTTGTCTCAGTTACTATTGGCCTTACAGGATGAGTTGAGAATTACTTCCTCCTCTTCTAATTTTTAGATGACTTAATGAAGAATTAGTGTTAATTCTTCTTTAAATGTCTGGTAGAATTCATCAGTAAAGTCATCAGGGTTAAGCTTGTCTTTGTGAGAAGTTTTTTAAAAAATTACTAATTAAATTTCTTTATTTGTTATAGGCCTATTCAGGTCTTTCTCTTTCTTCCTTAGGGTGTTTAGTAGCTTGTATATTTCTAGGAATTTATTCATTTCCTCTATTATCTAATTTATTGGCATATAATTTTATACTATTTCATTACAGTCTTTGTTTCTATAAAATTAGTAATGATGTCCCCTATTTCATTTCTGATTTTAGTAATTTGAGTCTTCTGTGTTTTTTTCTTGGTCACTATAAGTTTTCAGTTTTATTTTTTTTTCTGCCTTTCATATTTTTTTCACTTTTTTCCTTCAGTTTTCATCTTTTCACTTTTTGGCAATCCCATTCTCAGTGATTGGCCAGTCTTTCTGGGTGCATTACCGCTATAAGTCTATTGTAAAGTATATTTACTTGACTTCTCCCAAGGTAGTCCATCTACCTACAAATTGAACTGTAGAAGATTTTAGCAAAGACTGAGGATATAGCCTTATGAATTAAGAATATATAAAACATTTAATACATAATACATGGTCATTTCCCCTTGAATAACTTGATGTTACTGAGATGAATTTACTTGATTAAAGAGAGAGTTGAGTAAGAAGAAATTGGATTACTCCTTGTCATGTGCTTTTCAAAGAGTTCTTTAGAGAGTACAAGAGGTCTTAACACCTAAAGTAAACCTGGAACTTCTGGTTTGAATAAATACTTCAACTGTCGACACACTCCCATGGTTTATAAACTTGCAAAATGATGAGGTGGGGCATTCAAATAGAGGGGCAAAATGGCAAAGTATTGGGAGAATATATTAGTTACATATTGCTGTATAATGAGCTATGCTAAAACTCAGTAGTTTATATGTTATTATTTTTCATGAATCTTCAAGTCAACTTATCTAGGCTGAACTCAGCCAGACAGTTTTGTTGGTCTTGGCTCAGGTCATTTTTATGACTGCATTTGGCTGGAGGTAGCTGTGGTCCATGTATCTCTTATTATCCTCCTGCCATGTCCAGCAGCTGGGCCTAGCATGTTCTCATGATGATAGAAGAGATACAAGAGAGAAATTGGAAATATGCATGTCTTCTTGAGTTCTAGGCTTACCATAACTTCTATCTCATTCTCTTGGCCAAAGTAAGTCACACTGGGCATGGAAATATACTCTGCTTTACCGTGAGGAACTACAAAATTACATAATAGGGAAGGTGAAGAATTAAGGTTAATGGCGTAATCAACCTGTTATAGGGAATAGAAGTTAAGAGAGGAAGGGGAAGTTAAGTGAGTTTCCACAGTGGGTTATAAGTTGAGTTTCATTTTTGTTAGACTGGAAAAGAAAGGAACAAACTTTTGCAAAATATACCAATTCTGTCTTGTTGAGAGAGTGCATGCAATATGGAAAACTAGAGAAGCATGTGATGTAGCTCACCAGTCATCCTGCAAGTTAGCAGACTGATTCTTATTATACAATATGTGCCCTTTCATAATAATCAAGGCTTATTTTGTGCTTTCTTACATGGGCATCTTTTGTATGGGCATAGAGCAGTTCACTCTGGAAAGCAAATAACATTTCTAATTCTTGAGAGGTTTAATCTTTACTCTTCTCAGGAATGTGCAGAATCAGCAGGTTTTGTTTGTATTTAAAATGGAGAGGATCTTAGTGAAGTTCACTTGTTACTCCACAAATATCTTAAAATTGTGGAACTTTCCCTCTGGAATTATTATATGTGAATGGATTCCTACATTTTACAATGGAAAAGCATGAAATCATAGCCGGCTTGGCTACTCCTATTATTCATTTAGCAGATTTTATTCTTTTAACAGTTAAACTTCCATTATGCTTTACTATTTGTTACATACCATTTTTATGTGTTTCATAGTTTTATGCTTTTTGCAGTTAACTATTTGAAAGGGCATTCAGTTCTGAAAGTAAGAGTGATTTACCATTCTTGAACTTTTGTCTTTACTAATGCTTTGTGTATTTTGTTTCAAAGACAATAATAGATTCTAATATTAAACAAGACTAATAACACACTTTATTTTCTTGCTCTCAATAACGATACTTTAAGTATCGGTGTGCGTGTTTGCATGTTTGAGAATATATATATCTCTAAATGTTAGACACATACATCAAAAACACAGATGACTATAGGTGAAGAGGAAAAGAAAGCTCTGATAATCACTACATAGATTTTGAAACACACACACACACACACACACACAACACTAAGGTGATAAAGGTGTTCTATAATGTTAAGTGCAGCAATAATTTTGAAGGAATTCTAATTTATTTACCAAAATTTTTTTCAATATTCATAATAAGGCAGAGTGAATTTTAAAAGCAAATTAATTCTGATATTAAGAATACTATACTTTCTACTTTGAGAATATATGTTTCTATGCATTTGTAATGAAATTCACAATATTACGAGAAAGTAAAATGCTTTTTTATTAGATATATTCTTATACATTAGTACATGTAAAATATGACTAAGGTAATGAGAATATTGCATTACAAAATCCGAGATTTTATGTTTAAGTCTTTAATCTATCTTGAGTTAATTTTTGTATAAAGTGTAAGGAAGGGGTCCAGTTTCAGTGTTTTGCATATGGCTAGCCAGTTTTCCCAACACTATTTATTAAACACGAAATCCTTTCCTCATTGCTTGATTTTGTCAAGTTTGTCAAAGATCAGATGGTTGCAGATGTGTGACATTACGTCTGAGGCCTCTGTTCTGTTCCATTGGTCTATATATCTGTTTTGGTACCAGTACCATGCATTTTGGTTACTGTAGCCTTGTAGAATAGTTTGAAGTCAGATAGCATGATGCCTCCAGCTTTCTTCTTTTTGCTTAGGATTGTCTTTGCTATACGGAGTCTTTTTTGGTTCCGTGTGAAATTTAAAGTAGATTTTTCTAATTCTGTGAAGAAACTCAATGGTAGCTTGATGGGGATAGTATTGAATCTATAAATTACTTTAGGTAGTATGGCCACTTTCATGATATTGATTCTTCCTATCCATGAGCATGGAATGTTTTTCCATTTGTTTGTGTCCTCTCTTATTCCCTTGACCAGTGGTTTGTATTCCTAGGTATTTTATTCTCTTTGTAGCAATTGTGAATGGGAGTTCACTCATGATTTGGCTCTCTGTTTGTCTGTTATTGGTGTATATGAATGCTTGTGATTTTTGCACATTGATTTCGTATCTTGAGATTTGCTGAAGTTGCTTATCAGCTTAAGGAGATGTGGGGCTGAGATGATGGGGTTTTCTAAATACACAATCATGTCATCTGCAAACAGAGACAGTTTGACTTGCGCTCTTCCTATTTGAATACGCTTCATTTCATTCTCTTGCCTGATTGCCCTGGCCAGAACTTCCAATACTATGTTGAATAGGAGTGGTGAGAGAGGGCATCCTTGTCTTGTGCCAGTTTTCAAAGGGAATGCTTCCAGAGTTTGTCTATTCAGTATGATATTGGCTGTGGGTTTGTTATAAATAGCTTATTATTTTGAGATCTGTTCCATCAATACCTAGTTTATTGAGTTTTTAGCATGAAGGGATGTTGAATTTTATTGAGGGCCTTTTCTGCATCTATTGAGATAATCATGGAGTTTTTGTCATTGGTTCTGTTTATGTGGTCAGTTACGTTTATTGATTTGTGTATGCTGAAGCAGCCTTGCATCCTAGAGATGAAGCCAACTTGATTGTGATGGATAAGGTTTTTGATGTGCTGCTGGATTCAGTTAGACAGTATTTTATTGAGGATTTTCACATCGATGTTTATCAGGGATATTGGCTTGAAATTTTCTTTTTTTGTTGTGTCTCTGCCAGATTTTGATATCAGGATGACGCTGGCCTCATAAAATGAGTTAGGGAAGAGTCCTTCTTTTTCTGTTGTTTGAAATAATTTCAGAAGGAATGGTATCAGCTCCTCTTTGTACCTCTGGTAGACTTTGGCTGTGAATCCATCTGGTCCTGAGCTTTTTTTTTTTTTTTTTTTTTTTTTTTTTTTCTTTTTTGGTTCATAGGCTATTAATTACTGCCTCAATTTCAGAACTTGTTATTGGTCTATTCAGGGATTCAGCTCCTTCCTGGTTTAGCCTTTGGAGGGTGTATGTGTCCAGGAATTTGTCCATTTCTTCTAGGTTTTCTAGTTTATTTGCATAGAGGGGTTTATAGTATTCTCTGATGGTAGTTTGTATTTCTGTGGGATGAGTGGTGATATCCCCTGTATCATTTTTTATTGTGTCTATTTGATTCTTCTTTCTTTTCTTCTTTATTAGTCTGGCTAGTGGGCTATCTATTTTGTTATTTTTTTCAAAACCAGCTCCTGGATTCATTGATAGTTTGAAGGGTTTTTTGTGTCTCTATCTCCCTCAGTTCTGCTCTGAACTTAGTTATTTCTTGTGTTCTGCTAGCTTTTGAATTTGTTTGCACTTGCTTCTCTAGTTCTTTTAATTGTGATGCTAGAGTGTCTATTTTAGATCTTTCCTGCTTTCTTTTGTGGGCATGTAGTGCTATAAATTTCCCTCTACACATTGCTTTAGCTGTGTCCCAGAGATTTTGGTACGTTGTGTCTTTGTTTTCACTGGTTTCAAATAACTTATTTATTTCAGCCTTAATTTTGTTATGTACCCAGTAGTCATTAAGGAGCAGATTGTTCAGTTTCCATGTAGTCGTCTGGTTTTGAATGAGTTTCTTACACCATAAAAACCCTAGAAAAAAAACCTAGGCAATACCATTCGGAACAAGCAGACTTCATGACTAAAACATCAAAAGCAATGGCAACAAAAGCCAAAATTGAGAAATGGGATCTAATTAAACTAAAGAGCTTCTGCACAGCAAAAGAAACTATCATCAGAGTGAATACGCAAGCTACAGAATGGGAGAAAATTTTTGCAATCTATCCATCTGACAAAGGGCTAATATCCAGAATCTACACAGAACTTAAACAAACTTACAAGAAAAAAACAATCCCATCAAGAAGTGGGCAAAGGATATGACCAGACACTTCTCAAAAGAAGACATTTATGTGGCCAATAAACATGCAGAAAAGCTCATCATCACTGGTCATTAGAGAAATGCAAATCAAAACCACAATGACATACCATCTCACACCAGTTAGAATGGCAATCATTAAAAAATCAGGAGACAACAGATGCTGGAGAGGATGTGGAGAAATAGGAATGTTTTTACGCTGTTGGTGGGAGTATAAATTAGTTCAAGCATTGTGGAAGACAGTGTGGTGATTCCTCAAGGATCTAGAACCAGAAATACCATTTGATCCAGCAATTCCATTACTGGGTATATACCCAGAGGATTATAAATCATTCTACTATAAAGACACATGCACATGTATGTTTATTGCAGCAATAGTCACAAAAGGAAGGACTTGGAACCAACCCAAATGCCTATCAATGATAGACTGGATTAAGAAAATGTGGCACATATATACCATGGAATACTATGCAGCCATAAAAATGATGAATTCTTCATCCAGAGACATGGATGAAGGTGGAAACCACAATTCTTAGCGAACTAACACAGGAACAGAAAACCAAACACCACATGTTCTCACTCATAAGTGGGAGTTGAACATTGAGAACACATGGACACAAGGAGGGGAGCATCACACACCCGGTCCTGTTGGGGGGTAGGGTCTAGGGGAGGGATAGCAGTAGGAGAAATTCCTAATGTAGATGATGGGTTGATGGGTGCAGCAAACTACCATGGCACGTGTATACATTCGTAACAAACCTGCACGTTCTGCATATGTATCCCAGACCTTAAAGTATAATAATACGTTAAAAATCATAGAATGTGCACTTAAAAATATGTGTTGTTTATCAAAGAAAGAAGTCCAATCTTCTCTGCATAAGAATTTTAGGCTGGGTGCGGTAACTCACAGCCTGTAATCTCAGCACTTTGGGAGGCCAAGGCAGGCGGATCATTGAGGTCAGGAGTTTGTGACCAGCCTCGCCAAAATGGTGAAACCCCATCTTTACTAAAATACAGAAATTAGCTGGGCAATGTGGCAGGCAACTGTAATTCCAGCTACTTTGGAGGCTGAGGCGAGAGAATCACTTGAACCCGGGAGATGGAGTTTGCAGTGAGCAGACATCGCACCATTGCACTCCAGCCTGGGCAAAAGAGCAAGAATCCTCCATCTCCCAAAAAAAAAAAATAATAATAATAATTTTGTAATTGCTCCATGAAAAATTAATTTGTTTTTGTTTTGGAATACATCACTCCCACTTATTTACAGTCTCATTTATACATTTTATCTAGTTTGATTTTTCATTTCACCCTTCACACTTCACTTGTAAAAATTTTCATTTGTTTAATTTTTTGTAATGGTAGTACATTCACATGATCCTCTGACCCAGGAGCAACCAAAATTTTTCTTTCTTGGGTAACCTCTCAGGAATATTTTAAGTAAATACAAGCAATTACATATGTGCGTTTACCTCTCTTGTATTTTTCAACACTAATGATATGTTCATGCACAATTTATCAACTTTCTTTTAATAAGAAAACTCATGGAAATAATTTCATGTCAATATATAGTTTCCATGTCCTTTTTTTTTCACAGCTTATCATCCCAGTGTTTAAATCAGTCTCCAATTAATGGACAGCTAATAATCAATAACTTTGTATTTATATGACATGACTATTTTTAAAATCATGTTTACCCTTGGCACTGTGGATCGTGACAAGACTGTATTACGGATTCTGAAATGGGTGAGCCAAAATGTAATGAAAATAATAATATTACAAAGATACTTAAAAGACTATGATAAGAATTTGGGTTTAGATATTCTGGAATGTGTTTTAAAAATCATTGTCATATTTTACAGTTTCTATCTTATTTTGCTCATAATATAATGACTTTTTTTCCATGTGTCCTTTCCATAAATAAAGACTCATGAGAAGAAAACTTATACTTTTGTTTTCTTTCTGCTTTTCTTGTGGGATACGAACTGTTTCTACCTTTTAAAAAATAGCTTCTGAAATGGTAATCAAATTCTGTGAAGTGCATTTAGTTATGTCATTTCTTTCCCATTTTATTGGAGAGCAAACTGAGATTCAGAGAGATTGAGTAAATTGCCCATGTCATAGAGCTAGAAACTGACAGAGCCAGGACCTGAATCTTGTTCATAAACTAAAATGAATTGGTACTATGCTTTTTTTCTCCCATAAGAATGACTACAGAGTGTTTCTTATAGTATGATAATAATATCTAGATGAATGTACAAACTGGTAATGAATGTAGAATCTGATTTGATGAGATATCAAACTTGGACAAAGCAATGAAATAATCCAGAATCCAATTAGAGAATAATGAGGTTCATTGAATCCAATCAACACTGGAAGAAATTAGGAACATAGATGATCTTGTGTATAGTCATCCTGGAATCATTATTTCTCTGTTTCATAGAATATCAAAGTCTATAATCTTTCAGCCTGTGTCAGAAATGTATACTCTCTCCCTAAATTGATTAGGTGATTTGACTTTACAATAACTTTGGATTAAGAATACACATGATGAAATAAGTCAAGCCTATAACATTAGTACTTTTGCATTAAGTTCAGGATAATCTGTATTTGTCAGTTAAAGTGTTTGCTGTGTTTAAGAGAACCTGATAACTTTGTGATTTTAAGCTTTAAATAAGTATGTGAATTTTTTTAAAGTATTGAAATAGAAATTCATTTAATATAGTTAATAATTTAATTTATTAATTTAAAAAGAGTTATCTAAGTATTTTGGGTGGTTTTGACTTGTTAGAATTCTAAGTGTCTCCTCGCTGATACTTTAATAAAAATATGGAATGATATGGGTTTCTTTTCATCCATTATACTAAGAACTTATTAGGTTCAGTTTAGCATCTTTCTGGGAAATTTTCTTGAATTATTTCATTAAAATTTTTCTTCTTTTTATTTTTTTGAGACAGAGTTTGGCTCTTATTGCCCAGGATGGAGTGCTCACTGCAACCTCCGCCTCCTGGGTTCAAGTGATTCTCCTGCCTCAGCCTCCCGAGTAGCTGGGATTACAGGCATGTGCCACCACACCTGGCTAATTTTGTATTTTTAGTAGAGACAGGGTTTCTCCACATTGGTCAGGCTGGTCTCAAACTGCCAACCTCAGGTGATCCGCCCGCCTCAGCCTCCCAAATTGCTGGGATTACAGGCATGAGCCACCACACCTGGCCTGTTGTTTTTATTCTTCTCCTTGTCTCTTATTTGAATATTGAATCTTTTCTACTTGTCATTGATTCTTATTTTTATTTTGTATTTTCTTTTGTCTTTTTGATTTACTTTCTGAAAACTTTCCTCTGACTTACTCTTCAACTCCTGAGTTTTTCATTTGTTATCATATTCTTGATTTCGAAGGATTCATTTCTATTTTCTGAATTAAAAGAATCATCATGATATTTTATGAATGTCAATTCTTCTTTTAGCTCTCTGAGGATATTAATGATATTTGATTAGTTCAGCGTCTGTATTCCTCTATCACTTATTCCTGTTTGTTTGGCTTCTGTCTTTCACATTAGAGACCTTCCTCAAATGTCTCATGAATTTTGGCTCTTGGTCAAGTCTGTTGGCTGTTGTGTGAAGTATTGAAGTGCTGACTGAAAGCTTTTTGTAAGTGGATAGGGCTTGTTGATCTGGGTTCCATTGTCAGGTGACCTAGCTGGAACATTTTAATGGAGAATCTCCAATGTAAGTATTTTTAGGCTTTTTCTTATGGGCAGGCAATTTCCTCAGAGAAACTGGACTCTTATCTGGATAGTGTAATTCTCACTGCCAACAACTAGCATGCCCCCTGCCTGGTGTGCCTCAGCCAGATAAAACTTTCCAGAGGAAAACCCCTCAGTCTTATGTGGAAGAGAGTTGTGAAGAGTATCTGGTGATTTAATTGTTTCTTATATTTTCAGCAAATATTTCTGCTTTTAGTTATACCTCTACCTTCTCATCCAGAGGTATCTGGATGCCACAAAGTCCTGAGCCCTCTGGGGGCCATGGTTTCCTTCTTGGATCTATCTACTTTCTTGGGTCTATTAAGGCATTCACCACTTGTTTATCTTTTTCTGGCTTTTGCTATAGATTCCTCTTCCATTCTTTTGGTCCTTGTGCATTTTTGTATTTTTGTTGTAATACTTTACTATCATTTTAGTGGAGTTTCACGAGTGAGCATGAATTTATCCATCATACTTAATACGAAGCTTTGCAGAGCTTTTCAGATGTGTTCATATTTATTAACAAAGGTATTTTCAATCCAGTCTTGATGACATTTACTTCCTTAACCACTACTTGTTAAAACTATTAGTGTTTTTTATTTTCTCAACACTATTTGTGCATTTGACAGAAGCCCATACATCTGTAAACATGCACAATGTGTTAGACTTATGTGAGTAGTTATGTCAATGTGATTGATAGGCAGATACATTTAATAGCTCATCAGTCATTTGATTGATGGCTGAGTATATGCTATGCCCATGTGCTAAATTCACTGACAGCATGGGCCACTGGGTCCCTGGACAATTTTTGTTAAAAACAAGAAACAGGCTGGAAGCAGTGGCTCATGCCTGTAATCCCAGCATTTTGGGAGGCAAAGATGGGAGGATTGTTTGAGCCCAAGAGTTCAAGACCAGCCTGAGCAAAATGGTGAGACCCCGTCTCTATAAAACATTAGAAAAATTAGCCAGGTGTTTTGGTGCACAGTTGTAGTCCTGGCTACTAGACAGGCGGAGGTAGGAGGATTACCTGAACACAGGAGTTTGAGGCTGAAGTGAGCTATGAATGAGAAACTGCACTATAATCTGGATGACAAAAATAAAAATAAAAATTACATATAATTAGCCGATTAGCAAACATAGGCTGGGCTTAAAAATGGAAGAAAAAGGCTTGTAACTGATGAGATACTAAACATGAATCAACAATATATACATTTATATATATATATATTTATATTAAGGCAAGTTACCAAATTTTTTCAACAAGAAAATAGTTTGAAAAAAAGCTTGTTAATCCTAGAATCAACATTAGTCAGACCTTTATTATAATTTTCTTTAGGGGCCTATAATTTTAGTCCGATATGGGGGCCTTGGGAAGACTTCAGAAGAAAGCAGTCAAAAGAATTAAGCTCTCCAGAACTAGAGTTGGGGAGAAAAGCATAAAATAATTGCAATCATTTAATCTGGTGAAGAAAAGACTGAAAAGGGACAGGATAACAGTCTTGATGCTAGTGAAAGAATTATGTTTTAAGGATGCAAAGCACTGGTTTTTCTCTCACTTACATTATGGATTGGTTAAGAGGAAAATTTCTAGTTTATAATTAAGTGTATTTTGAAATAGAAAATCCTTAATCATTTCAGGGCAAGTGGTGTTTAATGAGTTGTTGACTGGGCAGGGACTGCTGGAGACATAGGGAGCTATCAGATACAAAGGATAGTTAGGATGAAATTGGGAGGCTTAGACTGATTTCTTTGTGTGACATTAACTAACTGAATGATCTTTAGTGAGCCACTCAATCTTCCAGTGCCAGAGTTTTTTTCTCTGCAAAGCAAGAAAATAGACCTACATTCCAATTTTGATATAGTGTTATTGTGATAAAGAAATGAAACCATAGCAAAGAATTCCTGTCTTTGCCACCTCTCAGAAAGGCAGAAATTCATCCCTTCTTTGACACAGGTTTTGAATAGACATCCCAACTCTGGGAGGTTCTTCCAATCAGGGCAGCATGGCAGGGCAGGTAAGCACATAGGCTTTGAGAGCATACTACCATAGATTCATATTCCAACTTAGCTTCTTAGCTGATGAGTATCCTTGGAGCAGATATTTTAGTTCTCCAGGCCTTATTTTCCTCATCTTTGAAATGAAGATTATGAGAATAGTAATTCAGACCAGGTAGAATTAAATGAGCTACAAAATACAATGTACTTAAATCAGCAGCTGGAATATAGTAAGTACTTGATACACATTATTATCATACTCTGATCTGTGAAATTTCTGCATTTGAACATCTAGAAACCTTTATACCTTTCTAGTAGTATTTATTTTCGTATCAAAGTAGTATTTTGATTTATTTTTGAGTTGTTTGTATCCTTGCCTTTTCCCTTCCACTGGATTTTAATCTAGTTTCCTGAGAGTGGAAATTGTTTTATTCAGTTTTGTTTCCCTAAACACTTAAAATTCCCTCACAGTAGCTGCTTAAAATTGTTGAATGGAGTTAAAAAGTTCAAAGTACATGTAAAACATATCATATTTAATGAGATGAATTTCTGTGTGCTATGTGAAATTCTGTATCATTATATTATACTTTGTTTGTTTTACTGGAACGGTGTCATGGAAAGAGATTGAGTTTTAGAGTCAGAAAGAGATGAACGCAGTTCTCATTCTTCCACTGATTGGATCTGTGAGTGACTTTACTTTCCTGAACATCAGTTATAAAATTCAAGAAATATCAAATACCTTACAGGGCTGTTGTGAGGCTTAGAGACAACATGTATAAAGCAACTAGCACATAGCAGGGACAACAAATGAGTAGCTATTATTTTTTGTAATTATTTTGGTAACTATCTCAATGATCTCTGTCCTTTGAGAGGCAAACCTCAGCTCCTTGTGATATTAGTAAGATGGTTGGTTTCAAGCAATCTGTGTGATCTATCACCCCCAAGGTCTCCACTTCTCTCTCTGACAGCAGCAGGATCTACTTCCAAGGACTTCTGTCTATAGCGGTGTCAGCGACAGTCTTGCCTTTGAATGAGAACTTAAAAGTTGGCTGATGTTCCTTTCTGAGCTGAAGGGCCCAGAGAAACAAGAAAGAGATAGACATTTAGAAACTGGGCTGATGTGTGCTGACTGCCTTGATGGCAGTCTGCAATTGTGCTCCTTATCCAAGCCACAGCTTCCAATTCTGAAAGCAGATGGAGGAGATAGAAAGCAGCAGCAGAAGTGGGAGGACTGACTTCCCAGTGCTAATAGGGCTGAAAGGGGGACATTGACAACTACTGGGGTTGAGATTACTTGTCCTTGATTCTGTGGCCAATATTCCAGTCATTTTCCAAGAGTCGATTGATGAGGCACTTTCTCTGCTGTACCTCAGGAGAACAGCTTAATCTTACTTTTGGGTTCCCTGTAAAATCAGTACATATTTTTATTATAATGTCTACAATATTAGGTTGGCGGAAAAGTAATTGCAATTTTTGCATTAATGGCTTCTAGAAACCTTTATACCTTTATACTAACACTTCTTTGCACTTACTCTACAAGTTTGTTTCCTTTCACTACATTGCAAGTTCCTTATGGGTTATTCATCTTTATATTCCTAAGGCCTAGGGCTGGGTCTAGAACATAGTGTGTATTTAATAAAATTTGTTAACTTACTGTACGAATGATCCAGAAGTTGACAGTTCAGACCCTCAAGTGTCCACTGATTTCCTCTATAAACCAGGCAGGAACTTTGTCTCAATGACTCACTTTTCTGGTTTCTAAAACCAGAGGCAGTGTGCCTTTCCTTTCCCAGAAGTATTTTAAGAACCAGTGAAAGTGTTGTTGAAAGGGACTCCACATGCTGGATGGAAGCATCCCCCAAGCACTGGGCATGGCCATAATAAGATGACCATGGATTGTGTGCCAAAAGCCACTTTCACTTTATATTTCAGTATTTGTCATTTATGCAGCATCATTTTATGATAAGAATATAAAGTTTAGCAAGGTTAAGAAAACACATGTATTTTCAGTGCTGAGTTTATTCATATATTAGGAATTTGAGGCAGACATTTGATTTTGCCTGAGTCAATAATTGTGGAATTACAGTTTTTTAGTTGTTTGATTACTCAAGTTACTTTTTTCTCTGTTGTATCCAATTATATTTTGCCTCAATTCAGGAAAAATATTTAAAACTTTCAGAATATATAGATTAAGCTTTGGAATTCAATTATAATAAATTCAATAACTATTCCATAAGCACTTATTTAGTAAAAGTTTACTTTCCAGTTGTGAAAAGGAATATAAAATTTCCATTAAGCTACGGGAAGGTAAGGACACATTCAGAAATCAATGTAATTTAAGGCAGAATACTAGAAGTAACATGAACCGTGTATAAGGAGACTGGTATGGGAATTCAGAAATGGCAGAATTCACAAGCCAATTATTCATATTTAAGAGGAAGACACTTTCAAGTTATATCATATTTGGGATCAGCAAATCAATAACCCAAACCATAATTAGTAGAGATATTAGGTCACCTTTCAAATTCTATGTGTTCTTTAGTTCTTGGCTTCTTGGGACCGGTGGTAAATTTATCCTCTGATTTGGAGGTGGGGAAGGAAATAAGAGGTGTGAGAGCTGCAATTTCTCCCTCTCCAGCCTTCCCAGGGCAGCACTGTTTTTGACCTCATGGAAACTATGCAGCCAACAGTCTTGAGACATCATAAAGCTGCATGTCTGAAAAAAAATGGATAGGTAAAATGTTGGCAATTGTTGAAGCTGGGTGATGGTTCACGAAGGCTCTTTATATTATACATCTCTGCTTTTTTTGATATTTGAAAATTTCCATAATGGAAAAAAAGGAGCCACAAGTTACCTGGGTGTTTGTTATGAGGGAGTTCATTTTGTGCTATTAACTACTATACCAGGCTGGAAGCTGCCTGTGCAACTAATTCAAGGAAGATAATAGAATTTTCTTCCTTTTCCATGTAAAGCTCTAGGACATGACAGAGTTGTCCTTCTGAGAGCTAATTGCAACCTTCTCTTGCCCTTGCAGGTAGGAGACTATGGCTAGTTGATGCTTCATTATCTCAGTTGAACTTTTACCTGTAGAGTTAGTGTCATGCAGCATGGAAAATATTAGATTGGGAACCAGAAGATTTGATTTCCAGGCCCAATTCTGTCACTTGCCAGCATTTTAGACGACAGGAGACAGTGTTTATTGAACCCCCATTCTGGGCCAGCATTTATTGAAAATGCTGTGTTCTAGACAGTGGTCATATATTACCTCATATATAACATCTGTGTAGACATCACCACTACGTACCTCACTTGGGTTGTTTTGTGGCTCAAGCAATATAACACATGTAAATAACTTGGAACTTTTTAAATCTTAAAGTTTCTAAATATATAAGATATTATAAAGATTAGCACTAGCATGTATGACTTATTAAAAGTTGAATATTTTAAAATGCCTAATAATAGAAACTTGCCACTACATAGTGTTTTAAAATAATTGACATCACATCCTTAAGTTTCCACATGGGCTTACTGAAAAGGCTTCCTTTTGAAGTCTTGCACCAGTAGGTATGCATGATTACTGATTAAATCATTATATATTCTAATCAAAGCATCATTACATATATAGATAGTGGAATAAACTTACTAACTAGTAGTATTCTAAGTTTTCATTTTACAAAATTGTAAGGCATGCTTGAATTTGCATGTAACACATAATTCTTGTTCCATAGGTCTTGGCAGAAGCCACTGGATTACTCAGTGATTTTTTTTCCCAAAATGAAAGGAAGAGGAGGAAGCCAGCTGCAGCTTTGACACTTGTAATTGTACCCCAGGTAATAGCAATGGTTATATATGAGCTGTTTAAGTTGAAAGCAACACAAGTCATGCAAATTGAAAATAAAAATCAGTCACATCAATTGAAAATAAAAGAAAGGAGAGAAATGTTTGCCAAATGGAAAAAGGACACATTATGTAGAATAAATTATTTCTAATAGTCTATGAAAATATAGCTAGCAAGCAATGTGAAATAAAAATTTTAAAGTATTTGGTGTAAAGTTGAAATGATACTTAAGTACTAAATTGGGACCATTTCCATTTGGCAATTCAGGAAAATCTGGTAACACCCTGGGTGGTGTGTGCAGCAATTCTCAGTGAAAATTTTAATCCCCGTTTGGAAAAATACCAGTTGTAAAGATGTGTCTCTTCAACATATATTGGCTGTGGATCTTAAGATTCTGAAGCCATCTAAGCCCACACTGATGTGAGGTGATTATTTGAGGACATTCCACTGGGCTCTGGGATTGAGAATGATGGTAGCATGAATTTGTAAACCAATTTTATACATCTCATCATACAATCTTTTGTTTGTTTTTTTGCTTAAAAAGATAATAATATCCTTCTAATTTTATAAGTGTATCTAGTTGAGCCAAAAATATCACATCTGTAATCTAAAAGAAATGTTCTTAATCATGGAGGAAATTAGGTAATAATACAAATGAAATCTGACAACAAATTTCAGAGAAGGCAAACCTAGTGCAGCTCCATGGCTCCGTCAAGGTCACCCAGCTCATTAGCACAAAAGGATTGGACTGCAGCCTCTGCAGTCCTCATTTTTCTTCTCTGCTGCATGAAGACTGAAGTTTTTTCTAGCTGTAAAATACTGCAGCCCACATTGGAAAGTTCATTTTCTTCTTATTGCTTTAAGATTTTATTTTGAAGAGAACCAGTTTTGAAAGAAGTTGTAATTATACTGTATTTACTATAAAATAATGCTTTATTTTTATAACTTACTAAAATAGGTTAGAAAGTCTGGTCATTAATTTTGGAAGATAGAATGTGTAACAAACCAGTGACTTCTGTGTGTCTTTAGAATACAGTAGCTAATTAGATAATTCACTATAAGTAAAAAAATTGCTTTGGTGGTGTCCCCAAATATCTAAGTGATGCAAGACTAAAGATAACTAAACAGTTTATCATAGAGAAGCACAGTGGTTTAGGAGTATCCATTCTGGTTCTGTAGACAAAGACTTTGCAACTTTGGAAAATCATTTAAACTCTAATGGATTTAGTTTCTTCATTTGTAAAAGGATAGTCTCAAATTGGTTGACTTTAATGTTCCCTCCAGTTCTGTGATTCTGGACTTTTGGGACTTGCCTCAAATCAGATACTGTGATTTAATGATACGTATTAGTGATACATTCCTTCTGTATTATTGTAGAACAAAAGATTTTTTTTTATTTTAGAACTTATTAGTGACGTCTTTACATTTAAAGTTGACATCAGACTGTTTTTAAAAGTGACTCTGTGGAATACGTCTGAATATATTTCTCTCACATATGTTTTGTCAAGGGCCTCTTTCACTCTTCTGTTTCTCCTTGAATCTGTTGGGCCAGAGAAGTACTTCTTGAGCTGCTAGGGATTTTCTTTTGAAATTGGGAACAATGGTAAATCTTCAGGACAAACTTCTGTGTTATATAAATTTTTGTTTGTTTGTTTTTGTTTTTATCAAAGTCTGGTTCAATTTAATTTTCTTTTCTTTTTTTATTATATGCTGCACCCATTAACTCGCCATTTAACATTAGGTATAACTCCTAATGCTATCCCTCCCCCCTCCCCCCACCCCACAACAGGCCCTGAAGTGTGATGTTCCCCTTCCCGTGTCCATGTGTTCTCATTGTTCAATTCCCACCTATGAGTGAGAACATGCAGTGTTTGGTTTTTTGTCCTTGCGATAGTTTGCTGAGAATGATGGTTTCCAGCTTCATCCATGTCCCTACAAAGGACATAAACTCATCATTTTTTATGGCTGCATAGTATTCCATGATGTATATGTGCCTGTTTTTTAATGAAAACGTAAGCTTCTGGGTTATATAAATGTTTTTTAATGCAATGAAATACTTACATATACTATTTTGGGCAGGATGCAGCAAATAAAATTTCATAAGCTAAGAGCTTGAATTTAGATATCTTTACTCACACCTATAGGTTTAGAATAGGACACCCAACAGAAGCAAATGCTAAAATACCTCCAGATGCCTATAAGAACAGGAGAGGAAGACCCAAAGGCACAAGCAGACACACACACACATACACACACACACACACCACACACACCACTAAAAAACTAATAAAAAGGGAAACAAACATTCATTCTAGCATTTGCCCAAAGTTATATGTGTAAGTATAACTTCCCAAAGAGGAAGGAGTCAGGCAACTCATGATTTCTCAGCAACAATGGCATATTGGCTAGCATCTGTTTTGATTGTCAGTACTCATGCTGCACTGGTCTTTTTTGTTAGCATTTGATGATCTATAGAAAGGATTTTCTAGACTTGAATGGTAAGCTGTAGCCATTCTGCAAATTTTGTTTTTATTGCTTTTCTCCTACAATCACCAGAAACAGGCTAGAGTTACCAGGGCTATCATTCAAATGAATAAGATTCTCAAATACAACTAAGCAAGCAGTCAAGAATCACCATGTGTTTAAGGAAAGAGCTGCCAAACTCAAAAACAGAAGGGCTAATGTTCAGGAAGTGAAGATAATGGAAAAAAAATTTATAATAGGGATAACTGATATTCTCAGATTTGAATGGATATTGCATTCCTAAAAGACAAACAATCAGCCTGAATATAGTGAGACCCTATCTCTACAAAAAAAAAAAAAAAGAAAGAAAGAAAGAAAAAAGAAAAATTAGCCAGGCATGGTGGCATGTGCCTGCAGTCCCAGCTACTCAGGAGACTGAGGTGGGAGGATTGCTTGAGCCAGGGAGATTGGGGCTGCAGTGAGCTGTGATATCATGCCACTGTACTCCAGCCTAGGCCGCAGAGTGAGACCCTGTCTCAAAACAAAAATGAAAACAAAAACAAAAAACAGTTCTTTAAAGGGAGGAAAGTGTAGTTGGAGTTTTTGCAAGTAACCATCATAACCAATACAAGACATTTCAATTGATAGGCTGAATAGCTGAAAGGACAGAGCTGAAAATCAAATCAGTATACTGAAAGATGAAGAGAGTCGTTCACATAGGAAGCAATGCAAAATTATAAGGGGTTAATTTGAAATTATATTAGTTTCTTATTGCTGCTGTAACAAATTACCACAAATTTACTGGCTTAAAACAACCCAAATTTATTATCTTACAGTTTTAGAGGTCAGAATCTTAAAGTCAAGGTGTTGGCAGGGCTCTGTTCCTTGTGGAGACTCTAGAAGAGAATCTGTTTTCTTGCCTTTTCCAGCTTCTGGAGGCCAGCTGCATTCCTTGGCTTGTGGCCCTTTCCTCTATCTTCGAATCCATCAATGAAGCATCTTCCAGTCTTTTTCTCCCTTTTCTCTCTGATCTCTGCCTCTGTTGTCACATCTCCTTTGACCCTGATATCCTACTGCCTTCTCATAAGAATCCTTTTGATTACATTGGGTCTACCCAGATAATCCTGGATAATCTTCCCATTTCAAGATCCTTAACTTAGTGATGCCTGCAAAATATCTTTTGTTGTGTAAAGTTAACATATTTACAGTCTCTGGATAGTGGTATGTGACTATCCTTGGGGGCAAGGGCTGGGCTTTATTCTGCCTACTACAGAAAGTATGAGAAAAAAAAGTTAAAATAAATAAAATGCAGTTCCTGAATACCCATAGCTACAAAATAGTAATGCCCTGGGGATGTAAGGAGACAACAAATGGGAGAAAATGATCAATTAAATGAGAAAAGAACATTTACTAGAGCTCAAGAAATCAGTAAGTCTCCAGGTTTCAAAGACCATGTGGTATTAAATAGGAGGTATAAAAAGAGAGCCACAGCTAGACATCAGTGAAATTTCAGATCTCCAAGGATAAAGAGAAATGTCCAAAAGCTTGCAGAGATAAACAACAGTTTACATGCAAATAAATGAAAATCAGATTGCTATTAAACTTTTTAAAGCAATACTGAGTACAGTAAACAAGGGAATAATGTCTTCAGAATTATGAGATGAAATTATTATAAACTTAGAATTCTATTCCCAGCCAAAGTAGAATTCAAGAGTGAAAGCTAAGAATAGTTTTGGATGTATCAAAGACAATTCCACTCACTGCCCCTCCCTATTTGAGAGAATCCTAGTAAAAGCAAATGGCAAAGGACACAAGTAACACCACAGAGCAAAGATGCTGGCAAAACTAATTGTTAAGTCTAAATAATTGATGAATATGTTAAAAAATAATAACAATCTGAAAGTTAAAACTACAGGTGATTCTAACATGGATGCTGGCAGAGGGCAGGGTGGTTTGAGTAGGGTAGGAGAAAAGTAAAATGAAGCCAATAATTTTTTTGTCTTATTGGGTATGAAAAAATATCTTAATGTAGTTTATCTTTGAATATTCTTGATTAAAAATTTTAAAATTAAAATAAAAATTGGATTGATAGTGTTATGTGTTAGTATGTTTTGAAACAAATACATACACAGTTGGAAGGTATATATTTTTGTCTACTTTTTTAGTGGACAATTTGGTAGCTTCTTTCAAGTTTTGAAATGAATAACCCCTTTGCCCTAGAAATTTCATCTCTAACCATCTATTCTACAGAAGTATTTCTCTATCTGCAAAACAATTAGCAAGAATGCTTATGTGGCATTATTTATAACAGTCAAAAATAGAAAATAATCCAATCCTATAGGAATGAATTAGGTTAATTATGAACAACCATGCTCTGGTTAAAAAATTAAGTAGTTATAAGTATTTGCAGACATAGAAATATTATCAAGTCATATTTTTGAATAAAGAAGTTACAAAGGTTGGCTATAATTCTATTTATTGTAAGTGATTCTGAAAAGATGTATATATTCACATATACACAATACAAAATTGTATGCAATTACAGAATTGGGACTGGAAGGATATAAGCCAAAATGCTAATAATTATTATCCTTGGGAGGAGATTTTATCTGGCAGAATATTTTGCTTTTAATTTCTACTTATATTATTTTACAATAAGAATATATTTATGCATTATGCACATTACTCATATAACATTTAAAAGTTTAAAAAAACAAATAGCAAAATCTCCTGAAATACTACACCCAAGGAAAATTACTGTCAACAGCTTGGTGAGCATATATCTGGACCACCTGATTACACATATGGGTATACAGATGTATTTAATTTTCCATAAATAAAAGTATATGACTGCATTTAAAAATCATTTTTAATTAATTTTGGGGGGATATAATTGTAGATACATATGTGATTGGGAAAAATACTACAGAGAGACTGCATATACACTTCTCCTTGTTTATCTCAAAGGCAAAATCTTGTAAAATCACAACTATGATACCGACATTGATAGTCAAGCTATAGAACATTTCCGTCTCCACAGACATCCCTCATGCTGCTCTTTTACAGACCCACTTCCCTCCCACCTCACTCCCCTCCTGATAACTCTAATATGTTTGCCATTTCTATAATTTTGTCATTTCAAGAATGTTACATGAATGAAAAGATACAGAGTGTAACCTTTGTGGTTCACTTTTTCACTGGGAATAATTCTCTAGAGATTTGTCCAGCTTGTTCCTACATGTATCAACAGTTCATTCCTTTTTATTGTTCATTGATATTCAATGACATGGATGTACCACAGTTTCTTTAATGAGTCACTCCTTGAAGGACTGGGTTGTTTCCAGTTCTTGGCTGGTGCTAATAATTTTGCCACAAACATTTGTTTACAGATGTTTTTATAAGCATAAATCTCAATTTCTCTAGGGTAAATACCAAGGAATGCAGTTGCTAGGTCTTACGGTATTTGCAAGTTCAGTTTTTTTAAAAACTGTCAAACCATTTTCCAGAGTGACTGTACTATTTTACATTATGTCTCCCCTCCAATTTACATGCTGTTTATTTATTTTTCTTGTTTTAGTGCACTGACTAGAACTTCCAGCACTATACTGAATAGGAGTGCTGAGAGCAGAAATCCTTATCTTGCTCTTGGTCTAGAGGTAAATAATTCAGTTTTTCACCATTAAATATCATGTTAGCTATAGAGTTTTGTAGATTTTAAAAAATCAAGTTTAGGAAATTGCCCTGTATTTCTGTTTTTATAACAGTTAAAAAATTATAAATTGGTGTTAAACTTTGTTAAATTCATCTTATGAATTAATTGATGTGATTTTTCTTCTTCAGTCTGCTAATATGGTGGATTATATTGATTGATTCTCAACCACTTAACCAGCCTTGCATTTCTGAAATAAACTTCATTTGAATATGGTGTTTAATCATTTTATATATTGCTTACTTCTCTTTGCTAACATTTTGATAAGGATTTTTGCCTCTATACTGATGATAAATATTGGTCTGCAGTTTTCTTTTTGTTTTTAAAAAATGTCTTCTTCTTATTTTGGTATCAAGGCAATATTAGCTTCATAAAATGAATTGGAAAGTGGTTCCTCCTTTTCTATTGCTGGAAGAGGTTTTCCCCAGTTGGTGTTAATTCTTTAAATGTTATTATAAATATTATTTATTTATTTAAGAAGACACATTTATTAAGCATTATCAGACTATTACATTTAGCAATCAATGGCATGGGTGCAAAAACATATATATGTACCTTAAAACTCTTTGTTGGAATGCTTTACACTTTCCACAAAACAGAAACTAAAATAATCTGTTGTACAATTAGTCATAAATACAATCCTCAAGTTTTCCCCAGACTCATGAGTATTGTCTAAAAGATGTCTTCTTTGTAGCAGCTAGGCTCTGCCACCACTGTGCTTGGCTGAGTTCACAAATCTGCTGTGACCTGTAGCTTCCCCGTCACTTCTCTGGCTCTCCTCTCCTGTGAAATTTTCTTTCCTGGCAGGAATTGAAATCTGCCACTGCTATAGCTAGTGCTGCTACCAGAACTACCATAGCCACCTTGGTTTCGTGGTTTGGCAAAGTATTGGCCTCCCCCACGTTAGGGGCCAGAGCTTCTGCCTCCAAAGTTTCCTCCCTTTGTGGGTCCAAAATCTGAAGACAGATTGTTGTAATTGCCAAAATTGTTGTTGCTTCCACCACCTCCAAAATTGCTTCCATCATTACCAAATCCATTATAGCCATCCCCACAGCCACCATATCCACCACCACCATGGCTGCCACCAAAGCCATCATGACCACTGACGTTTCCTCCATGAACAAAGTTGTCATTCCCACCATAACCACCCCACGACCACCACCAAAGTTTCCAGATCCACTTCAACCTCTGGCTGGAGGAAGCACTAGCCATCTCTTGCTTTGACAGGGCTTTCCTAGTTTCACAGTTGTGGCCATTCACAGTGTGCTATTTCTGAATGACAGTCTTATCCACGGAGTCATGGTTGTCAAAGGTTACAAAGGCAAAGCCCCTTTTCTTGCCACTGCCTTGGTCAGTCATGATTTCAATCACTTCAATTTTCCCATACTGTTCAAAATAATCTCTTAGGTGATGTTCTTCAGTGTCTTCTTTAATGCCACCAACAAATATCTTTTTCACAGTTAAGTAGGCACCTGGTCTTTGAGAATCTTCTCTTGAGACAGCTCTCTTTGGTTTTACAACTCTCATCCACTTTATGTAGCCTTGCATCCATGGCTGCATCCACCTCCTCCATGTGACAAACCCAAAGCCCCTGGAGCACTTGGTGTTTTGGTCTCTCATTACCACACAGTCCATGAGCATTCCCCATTTTTCTGAATGGCTGCTCAGACTCTCATCGGTTGTTTGAAAGCTCTCTGCACCTGTTCAGGCTCTTTGGGAGATGCTGACTTAGACATCATGGCAGTGGGAAGAGAGACTTTAATGATTCTCCCTTGGCAGCATCCATAGGCAGAAAGGAGCAAACTAATGAATGTATTTCCATGGTTTATTTAGACATGTGTTAGTTTTCAAATATTTGGAGGTTTTACTCTTATCTTTCTTTTATTGATTTGTAGCTTGTTTCCCTTGTGGTCAGACAATACATTGTGTATTATTTCAATACTTTTAAATTGTTGGGGGTTTGTTTTATCTCTCAGGTTATAGTTTGTTTTGGTATATGTTCTATGCATGGGCTTTTGTAAATAATGTATATTCTGTTTTTTAAATGCCAATTATATTTTGATGGTTTTATGGTGTTGTTGAGTTCCTCTATATCCTTGCTGATTTTCTCTATAGTTTTGTTTGTTTGTTTTTGAGACAGGATCTTGCTCTGTCACCCAGGCCAGAATATGGTGGCATGACCATGTTTCTCTGCAGCCTCAACCCCAAGGGCTTCAGCAATCCTCCCACCACAGACTCCTGAGTAGCTGGGATTACAGGCCTGCGCCACTACACCCAGCTAATTTTTGTATTTTTTGTACAGACAGTGTTTCACCTTGTTGTTCAGGCTGGTCTCAAATTCCTGAGCTCAAGTGATCCTCCAGCCTCGGCTTCCCAAACTGCTGGAATTACAGGCAGAGCCACCATGCCTGGCCTTTTTGTATAGTTGTTCTACCAGTTGTTGATAGTGTAATGTTAAGGTTTCCAAATATAATTGTGGATTTATCTATGCTTCCTTTTTCTATCAGCTTTTGCTTCACATACTTTGCAACTGTGCTATTTGGTGCATTGACACTTAAGATTGTTATGTCATCTTCATGGATTTACCCTTTTATTATTATATAATGCCCTTTGGCTCTGGGAATCTTTTTTCTCTGAAGTCTACTTTGTTTAATACTGATATAGCCACTCTTGCTTTACTTTGATGGATGTTTGCATAAAATATCTTTTTCTATCCTTTTACTTTAAACCTGCCTATATCATTATATTTGAAGTGAGTTTCTTATAAAGAACATTTAATTCAGTCAATGCCTTTTAGTTGATATATTTAGACCTTTGATATTAATGTAATTATTAATCTGTCAGGCCTTAATTCTGCCATTTTTTGTTTTCTGTGTGTTCTTTCTGTTTTTTTGTTTTGTTTTGTTTTTATTTATTCTGTCTTCTGTGTGATACTGAAAGGTTTTATTCGATTCTACTTTGATTTATCCATAGTGTTTCTGAGTGTTTCTCTTTGTATAGCTTTTTAATGGCTGCTCTAAGTATTATATCATATATAAAAGCACAGCCTACTGGTGTTTTTATTTTATGAGCTTCAATAAAGTGTAGTAAATGTCCATTAGTTATGTCCATTTATGTTCCTTTCTCTTCTTTCATTTATAATATAACTGCATTAAATATTTCCTCTACATATGTTTAGAAACATATCAACTGGTGTTATAATTTTTGCTTCAGTCAAGAAGAAACAAAGCTTGTTGTATTCGCTCACATTTTTGTTTACTGTGTTCTTCTTTCCTGATGTTCCAAGGTTTCTTCTTTAGCATTTCCTTTATGTTTAGAGCACTTCCTTTAGCCATTCTTTTAGGATAGGTCTGGTAGGGACAAATGCTCTTACTTTCCCTTCATTTGATGATGTATTGATTTCCTCTTCATTTCTGATGCATATTTTTCCTGGGTGTGATTCGTTTGCCAGTTCTTTTCTCTCAGCTTGTGAGAAGTATTATGCTGCTTCCTTCTGTTCTTCATGGTGTCTGATGAGAAATCTGCTGTCATTCTGTTTTTTTCTTTTTTTCCTATAGTAAGCAGTTATTTCTCTCTCGCTGCTTTGAAGATTTTTTTCTTTGTGTTTAGTTTTCAGATGTGCCTTGGTGTGGATTTTCTTGAGTTTGTCCTGTTTGAGATTCACTCAGCTTCTTAAATCTCTAGGTTTACATTTCTGGCTAACTTTGGGAATTTCCAGTCATTATTTCTTCAAGTACTATTTCAGCCCTACCTTTTTTCTTCTCTCCTTTTGGAACTTTGTCAGACATTTGTAACTCCCGTGCCATCCTGGTGTTGGCATCTATTAATTGTCCTTTCATTCAGGTTGAGATTTTCTGGTTCTTCATATGATGAGTGATTTTCTACTGAAACCTAGATATTTCCATATTATGTTGTGAGGCACGGCATCTAATTGTAACCTTCTGTTTTAATTGACTTTTTTGGATAGTACTGTGGCAGGAGAAGGGTGCTGCCACCTCTTTATGACTTCACACATATGGAAATAGAAGTTCAGGTCCCCACTTGGCCTCTGTTCATACCCAATAGATGGTAGTCCTCTTCTGCCTGATGAACAGGAGTAGGAATTGTAGCTACCCGGTGGTCTCTGGTGACTCCTTGATTGGGGTGGATTCCTTATTGCTGAATGATCAATTGTCAAAGTCTGGATCATTTTTGGGGTCCTGATGTCCCCAACCAGCCTGACTTCTTCTCATCTTTCAGAGTTCTTACATTTCTTTCATTTGTCATGTACAAGGTTCTTAGTTGTACTTTGTAAAAGGAACGGGGAAAGTATGTCTACTTTATTATTCAAGAAACAGAAATTCTTGATAATGTCATTTTGCAACTTACTTTTTCACTCAGTAATATGTTATGAAGTTCATTCTATTTAAATGAATACTAATTGATATCCTTTCAATTTATGAATATTATTCAATTGTATTACTATTACCATAGTTTCTTTTAAACTAATCCATTATTATTATTATTTTTAGAAACAAAGTCTCACTCTGCCACCCAGGCTGGAGTGCAGTGGCACAATCTTGGCTCACTGCAACCTCCACCTCCCAGGCTCAAGTGATCCTCCCACCTCAGCCTCTCAAGTAGCTGGGACTACAAGTGTGTGTCACCACATTCAGCTAATTTTTGTATTTTTCTGTGGAGACAAGGTTTTGCCATGATGCCCAGGCTTGTCTCAAACTCCTGGACTCAATCTATTCTCCTGCCTCAGCCTCCCAAAGTGCTAGGTTTACAGGCATGAGCCACTACTCCTAGCTAATCCATTATTAATATACATTTAATTGAATAATAAATGATGCTCTCCTGAACATCTCTTGATGCAGAGGTCTGCATTCTCTTTTCTATCATTCTGACAATTAAAAAGGTATGTAAACCACATATATTTTCCAGTGTTTGGTGAAAATTCATTTTGTGTCACCACCTGTCTAGAACTCATAGGAGGCTGTTTATAGTCTTTATTTATCCTGCTCAGTTTTACACTTTATATATTTGTTAGAGAAATATTAAGATATTTAATTGTGAGTTACTGACCAGACTGCTGGGATTTGTTATGAAACATGTAATCTATGCATCTTATTATTTTCTTAGATCCAAATGTTCTGAATTCTTGCAAACTTCTCTTAAATATTCTTAGGATAACTTTCTAGGAGAGTGATAGCCAAATTTTGTGTCATACTGTGAAACTGTACTTCTAAAATGCAATTTTAGTAGTACTATGTGCTCTTAACACAGCATATGTCCGTTTCTACATGTTCTTGACAACACTGGATAATATCATACAATAGTGTAAATTTATAATTTATTCTTTGTGAGATTATAAATAGAATCAATAAATGTACATTTTAGAAAAATCTAGAAAATACAGAGTAGTATAAAGAAGAAAATTTAAAACACTTGTAGTATTTCTTGTCAGTCGTAATAACTCATTGTCACGAGTTATTACCACCACTAATATTTTGGCTTATTCTCTTCATCTCTACTTTTAAATACAAAATTGGAATTACACTCTATGTAGCCAATTTTTATATTCCATTTTTCATTAATGCTGTATTGTAGACAATTACCTTTGTCTCTAAATATTTTTATAGAACATGATTTAAATAATTGTATATTTTTTCATAAAAGAGATTATAATTCATATAGCTGATTCCTTACTTTTGGGTAAATGAATTGTTTTCAAATTTTTCCCATTGTAATTACATTGTAATAAACATAATTGTAAATATTCTCAAGTTTAAGTGTTAGAAGAAAGCTTGGCCACAGCTTGGATAATACATCTTAAAATTGAAATCCCATCTTTGCAAAAGTGTTTCAGTTCACTCTGATTATGGTCTGATATGGTTAGGTTTTGTGTGCCCACCCAAATATCATCTTGAATTATAATCCTCATAATCCCTATAATCCCCACATCTCAAGGGAGAGACCAGGTGGAGGTGGTTGAATCATGGGGGCAGTTTCCGCCATGTTGTTCTCATGATAGTGAGTGAGTTTTATAAGATCTGATGGTTTTATAAGTGTTTGGTAGTTCCTCCTGTATGTTCATTCTTCTTCCTGCCACCTTATGAAGAAGGTGCCTTGCTTCCCCTTTGCCTTCCACCATAATTGAAATTTCCTGGGGCCTCCCCAGCCATGTGAAACTGTGAGTCAATTAAACCTCGTTCCTTTATAAATTATCCAGGCTCGGGCAGTTCTTTATAGCAGTGGGAAAATGAATTAATTCAGTAAATTGGTACCATAGAGACTGGGGTACTGCTATAAGAATACCTGAAAATGTGGAAGTGACTTTTGAACTGGGTAACAGACAGAGGCTGGAACACTTTGGAGGGCTCAGAAGAAGACAGGAAGATGTGGGAAGGTCTGGAATTTTCTAGAGACTTGCTGAATGGCTTTGGCCAAAATGCTGATGGTGATATGAGCAATGAAATCCAGGTTGAGGTGGTCTCAGATGAAGATGAGGAACTTGTTGGGAACTGGAATAAAGGTTACTCTTGCTATGCTTTAGTAGAGACAGGAGGCATTTTGTCCCTGCCCTAGAGATCTGTGGAACTTTGAACTTGAAAGAGATTATTTAGGGTATGAGTGGGAGAAATTTCTAAGCAGCAAAGTGTTCAAGAAATGATGTGAGTGCTCTTAAAAGCATTTAGTTTTTTTTTCTTTTTTATTATGCTTTAAGTTCTAGGGTACATGTACAAATGTGCAGGTTTTTTACATATGCATACATGTGCCATGTTGGTGTGCTGCACCCATTAACTCGTCATTTACGTTAGGTATTTCTCCTAATGCTATCCCTCCCCCAACCCCACCTCATGACAGGCCCCGGTGTTGTGTTCCTCACCCTGTGTCCAGGTGTTCTCATTGTTCATTTCCCACCTATGAGTGAGAACATGAGGTGTTTTGTTTTCTGTTCTTGCGACAGTTTACTCAGAATGATGGTTTCCAGCTTCATCCATGTTCCTACAAAGGACATAAATTCATCCTTTTTTATGGTTCCATAGTATTCCATGGTGTATATGTGCCACATTTTCTTAATCCAGTCTATCATTGATGGACATTTGGGTTGGTTCCCAGTCTTTGCTATTGTGAATAGTGCCGCAATAAACATACACGTGCACGTGTCTTTATAGTAGCATGATTTATAATCCTCTGGGTATATACCCAGTAATGGGATGGTTGGGTCAAATGGTATTTCTAGTTCTAGATCCTTGAGGTATCACCACACTGTCTTCCACAATTGTTGAACTAGTTTACACTCCCACCAACAGTGTAGAAGTGTTCCTATTTCTCCACATCCTCTCCAGCACCTGTTGTTTCCTGACTTTTTAATGATCACCATTCTAACTGGCATGAGATGGTATCTCATTGTGGTTTTGATTTGCATTTCTCTGAGGCCAGTGATGATGAGCATTTTTTCATGTGTCTGTTGGCTGCATAAATGTCTTCTTTTGAGAAGTGTCTGTTTATATCCTTCACCCACTTTTTGATGGGGTTATTTGATTTTTTCTTGTAAATTTGTTTAAGTTCTTTGTAGATTCTGGATATTAGTCCTTTGTCAGGTGGGTAGATTGCAAAAATTTTCTCCCATTCTGTAGGTTGCCTGTTCACTCTGATGGTAGTTTCTTTTGCTGTGCAGAAGCTCTTTAGTTTAATTGGATCCCATTTGTCTACTTTGGCTTTTGTTGCCACTGCTTTTGGTGTTTTAGACATGAAGTCCTTGCCCATGCCTATGTCCTGAATGGTATTGCCTAGGTTTTCTTCTAGGGTTTTTATGGTTTTAGGTCTAAGATTTAAGTCTTTCATCCATCTTGAATTAATTTTTGTATAAGATGTAAGGAAGGGATCCAGTTTCAGCTTTCTACATATGGCTAGCCAGTTTTCCCAGTACCATTTGTTAAATAGGGAATCCTTCCTGCATTTCTTGTTTTTGTCAGGTTTGTCAAAGATCAGATAGTTGTAGATGTGTGGTATTATTTCTGAGGGCTCTGTTCTGCTCCGTTGATCTGTATCTCTGTTTTGGTACCATGCTGTTTTGGTTACTTTAGCCTTGTACTATAGTTTAAAGTCAGGTAGTGTGATACCTGCAGCTTTGTTCTTTTTGCTTACGATTGTCTTGGCAATGTGAGCTCTTTTTTTGTTCCATATGAACTTTAAAGAAGTTTTTTCCAATTCTGTGAAGAAAGTCATTGGTAGCTTGATGGGGATAGCATTGAATCTATAAATTACCTTGGGCAGTATGGCCATTTTCACGATATTGATTCTTGCTATCCATGAGCATGGAATGTTCTTGCATTTGTTTGTGTCCTCCTTTATTTCATTGAGCAGTGGTTCATAATTCTCCTTGAAGAGGTCCTTCATATCCCTTGTAAGTTGGATTCCTAGGTATTTTATTCTCTTTGAAGCAATTGTGAATGGGAGTTCACTCATGATTTGGCTCTCTGTTTGTCTGTTATTGGTGTATAAGAATGCTTGTGATTTTTGCACATTGATTTTGTATGCTGAGACTTTGCTGAAGTTGCTTATCAGCTTAAGGAGATTTTGGGCTGAGACAATGGGGTTTTCTAAATATAAAATCATGTCATCTGCAAACAGGAACAATTTGACTTCCTCTTTTCCTAATTGAATACCCTTAATTTCTTTGTCCTGCCTGATTGCCCTGGCCAGGACTTCCAACACTATGTTGAATAGGAGTGATGAGAGAGGGCATCCCTGTCTTGTGCCAGTTTTCAAAGGGAATGCTTCCAGTTTTTGCCCATTCAGTATGATACTGGCTGTCAGTTTGTCATAAATAGCTCATATTATTTTGAGATACGTCCCATCAATACCCAGTTTATTGTCAGTTTTTAGCATGAAGGGCTGTCGAATTTTATCGAAAGCCTTTTCTGCATCTACTGAGATAATCATGTGGTTTTTGCCTTTGGTTCTGTTTATATGACGGATTACATTTATTGATTCGCAGATGTTGAACCAGCTTTGCATCCCAGGGATGAAGCCAACTTGATCAATGTGGATAAGCTTTTTGATGTGCTGCTGGATTCTGTTAGTTGGTATTTTATTGAGGATTTTTGCATTGATGTTCATCAGGGATATTGGTCTGAAATTCTCTTTTTTGTTGTGTCTCTGCCAGGCTTTCGTATCAGGATGATGCTGCCTCATAAAATGAGTTAGGGAGGATTCCCTCTTTTTCTAGTGATTGGAATAGTTTCAGAAGGAATGGCCCTAGCTCCTCTTTGTACCTCTGGTAGAATTCGGCAGTGAATCCATCTGGACCTGGATTTAGAGACACACATAGACTCAAAAAAAAGGGATGGAGGAAGATCTATGAAGCAAATGGAAAACAAAACAAGCAGGGGTTTCAATCCTAATCTCTGATAAAACAGACTTTAAACCAGCAAAGATCAAACGAGACAAAGATGGCCATTCCATAATGGTAAAGGGATCAATTCAACAAAAAAAGCTAACTATCCTAAATATATATGCACCCAATACAGGAGCACCCAGATTCATAAAGCAAGTCCTTAGAGACCTACAAAGAGACTTATACTCCCACCTAATAATAATGGGAAACTTTAACACCCTACTCTCAACATGAGACAGATCAATGAAACAGAGAATTAACAAGGATATTCAGGACTTGAACTCAGCTTTGCACCAAGTGGACCTAATAGACATCTACAGAACTTTCCACCCCAGATCAACAGAATATACATTCTTCTCAGCACCGCATCGCACTTATTCCAAAATTGACCACATAGTTGGAAGTAAAGCACTCCTCAGCAAATGTAAAATAACAGGAATTGTAACAAACTGTCTCTCAGACCACAGTGTAATCAAATTAGAACTCAGGATTAAGAAATTCACTCAAAACCGCTCAACTACATGGAAACTGAACAACCTGCTCCTGAGTGACTAGTGGGTAAATAAGGATATGAAGGCAGAAATAAAGACATTCTTTTAAACCAATGAGAACAACGACACAGCATACCAGAATCTCTGGTACACATTTAAAGCAGTGTGTAGAGGGAAATTTATTGCACTAAATGCCCACAAGAGAAAGCAGGAAAGATCTAAAATCAACATCCTAACACCACAATTAAAAGAACTAGAGAAGCGAGAGTAAACACATTCAAAAGCTAGCAGCAGGCAAGAAATAACTAAGATCAGAGCAGAACTGAAGGAGATAGAGAGACAAAATACTCTCCAAAAAATCAATGAATCCAGTAGCTGGTTTTTTGAAAAGATCAACAAAATTGATAGATCACTAGCAAGACTAATAAAGAAGAAAAGAGAAAAGAATCAAATAGACACAATAAGAAATGATAAAGGGGATATCACCCCGATCCCACAGAAATACAAACTATCATCAGAGAATACTATAAACACCTCTATGCAAATAAACTAGAAAATCTAGAAGAAATGGATAAATTCCTGGACACATACACCCTTCCAAGACTAAACCAGGAAGAAGTTGAATCCCTGAATAGACCAATAACAGGCTCTGAAATTGAGGCAATAATTAATAGCCTACCAACCAAAAAAAGCATCCAGTTTTATGCATTCACAAAGGGATTATTTGGAATTGTATCTTATGTTTAAAAGGAAGCCGATCATAAAACTTTAGAAAATTTGCAGCTTGAGAATGTGATAGAAATAAAAAGCCCATTTTCTGAGGGGAATTTCAAGCCAGCTGCAGAAATTTGCATAAGTAACAAGAAATCAAATGTTAATCACTGAGGAAATGAGGAAAATGTCTCCAGGGCATATCAGGGTCTTCATGGTAGACCCTCCCATCACAGGAATGGAGACCTAGGAGAAAGAAATGGTTTCCTGGGCCAGGTTCAGGGCTTTGCTGCTTTGTGTAGTCTCAGGACTTGGTGCCCTGCATCCCAGAAATGGCTAGGAGGGGCCAACCTACAGCTCAGGCTGTTGCTTCAGAGGGTGTAAGCCCAAAGCCTTGGTGGCTTCCAAGTGGTGTTGGGCCTGTGGGTGCACAAAAGTCAAGAACTGAGGTTTTAGAACCTCTGCCTACATATCAGAGGATGTATCAAAAGGCCTGGATGTCCAGGCAGAGGTTTGCTGCAAGGGTGTAGCCTTCATGGAGAACCTCTGCTAGGGAAGTCCAGAAAAAAATGTGGCTGGGAGCCCCCATACAGAGCCCCCACTGGGAAACTGCCTAGTGGAACTGTGGGAGGAGGGCCATCACCCTCTAGACCCCAGAATGGTGGATTCACTGACAGCTTGCATTGTGCACCTGGAAAAACCACAGAGAGTCAATGCCAGCCCATGAAAGCAGCTAAGGGGGTTGTACCCTGCAAAGCCACAGGGGCGGAGCTGCCCTAGGCCATAGGAACCCACCTCTGGCATCAGTGTAACCTAGATGCAAGAAATGGAGTCAAAGGAGATCATTTCAGAGTTTTAAGATTTAATGACTGTCTTGCTGGATATCAGACTTGCATGGGGCCTGTAGTCCAATTTCTCCCATTTGGAGAATGGGAGTATTTACCCAATGCTTGCACCCCCTCTGTATCTAGGAAGTAACTAATTTGCTTTGATTTTACAGGCCTATAGGCAGAAGGGACTTGCCTTGTTTCAGATGAGACTTTGGACTTGGGCTTTGGGTTAATGCTAGAAAAAATTCAGACTTCAGGGAATTGAAGGAATGATTGGTTTTTAAATGTGAAAGGGACATGGGATTTGGGAGGGGCCAGAGGCAGAATGATATGGTTAGGCTTTGCATCCCCACCCAAATATCATCTTGAATTGTAATCCCCATAATTCCCATAATCCCCACATGTCAAGGGAGAGACCAGGTGGAGGTGGTTGAATCATGGGGATAGTTCCCTCATGCTTTTCTCTTGATATGAGTGAGTTCTCATGAGATATGATGGTTTTATAAGTGTTTGGTAAGTTCTTCCTGTGTTCATTCTCATTCCTGTCACCTTTGAAGAAAGTGTGTTGCTTCTCCTTTGCCTTCTGTCATGATTGTAAGTTTCCTGGGGCCTCCCCAGCCATGCTGAACTGTGAGCCAAATGGACCTCTGTCCTTTATAGATCAACCAGTGTCAGGCCATTCTTTATAGCAATGTGAAAACAGACTAATACATAGTCTTATTTATTATGTCATAAAAAAGATACAAGAATAAAAATTGTGAGAAATTGGTTTTAGTTCCTTCCTCTCTTACTTCTCTCTCTTATTCTCCCTTGCTCCTTCCTCCAGAAGTATTTAAATACAAATAATTGATTCCTGTTGTCAAGAAGCTCTACCAGCCTCAGTGGCTCACACCTCTAATCCCAGCATTTTAGAAGGCCAAGGCAGGAGGATTACTTGGGCTCAGGAGTTCAAGACCAGCATGGGCAACATAATGAGACCTTGTCTCTACAAATAATAATAATAATAATGATAAAATAACCAGATGTGGTGGTGCAAACCTGTGGTCCCAGCTACTCGGGAGGCTGAGGCAGAAGAACTGCTGGAGCCGAGGCTATAGTGAGTCAAGATTGCACCACTACATTCCAGCCTGGCTGACAGAGCAAGACCCTGTCAAAAATAAATAAATAAATAAAAACTGCTCAAACTAGAACAAGCAGAGGAGACACTTTGGTTCTCACACTAACTCATTCTATCTCACTCTGGAACCAGGCAAAGCCACTTGGAATTTTGCCAGTATTTCCTTCAACTATAAAGTGAACGTAGTTGAGTTAGTAGTTATCTAAGGTTACTCTTAGCTCCTAAACTTTATGTTTTCCTTGCTGTGGGCTATCATAATATCACTGAGGTGATGGCTCCACCATCTGTTTCCAGGTTTTTGACCATTGTTGTTTTATTTTTATTGTTGTTATTTAAATTTGTTTTTCATATGAAGGAAATGGGCGTGTGCATCCTTTAGTTGCCATGTGAAGATTTTTCTATATTTAGTTTATCTGTCCTGGGGTGAGTGGAAGAGCCAATCACCACCCTGAATTTCTTAATACACTATGCGTACACCACCATATGGAATATGGAATATGTCCTAGCTCTCTCCTTTCAGAGCTATTTGACTATGTGCAAATCATTTAATCTGTTTGGGCCTCAGTTTCCTCATCTGTAAAACAGAGAGAAAGCTATTTGTCTCACAGCTCTCCCTCAGAAGTAAATGATGTAATGAGTAGGAAAGCCTTCTGTGAAATGAATAGAAGTCAGATGTAGAGTAGTTGAATAACCTGCTACAGCAATGGTCTCCACAACCTTTTTGGCACCAGGGATCAGTTTCTTGGAAGACAGTTCTTCCATGGATAGAGAGTGGGCTGGGGTGGGAAGGTCTGGGGATGAAACTGTTCCACTTTAGATCATCAGGAGGCATTAGAATCTCACAAGGAGTGTATAACCTAGATCCCTCTCATGTGCAGTTCACAACAGGGTTCATGCTTCTATGAGAATCTAATGTTGCCACTGATCTGACAGGAGGCAGAGCTCAGGTGGTAATGCTTGCTGGTCTGTTTCTCACTTCCTGCTGTCTGGCCAGGTTCCTAACAGGCCATGGAACCTCTAGTGTGGGGGTCCCCAACCCTCAGACCACCAACCAGTACCAGGGACTCCTGTGCCAGAGGGACCTGTTACCACTAAATGGCAGGATGGAGGTACCAAGTTAGCCCATCTTACTTAGCTATTCCATACTCTTTTGACAGTGTCTATTTCTCTCCCTCTTTTTTTAAAAAAATTATTTATTTATTTTATTTTATTTTAATAGGTTTTTGGGAAACAGGTGGTGTTTGGTTACATGAATAAGTCCTTTAGTGGTGATTTTTGAGATTTTGGTGCACCCATCACCTGAGCAATGTATGCTGTAGCCAATGTGTAGTCTTTTATCCCTCACCCAACTCCATCCTTTCCCAAGTCCATTGTGTCATTCTTATGCCTTTGCACCCACATAGCTTAGCTCCCACTTACGAGTGAGGATATACGATGTTTGGATCCTTCCTGAGTTACTTCACTTAGAATGATGCTCTCCAGTTTCATCCAGGTTGCTCCAAATGCCATTATTTTGTTTGGTTTTATTGAGTAGTATTCCATGGGATATATATACTACATTTTCTTTATCTACTCATTGATTGATGGGCATTTGGGGTGGTCGCATATTTTTGCAATTGCAAATTGTGTTGCTATAAACATGGGTATGCAAGTATCTTTTTTGTATAATGACTTCTTTTCCTTGGAGTAGATACTCAGTAATGGGATTACTGGATCAAATGGTAGGTCTACTTTCAGTTCTTTAAGGAATCTCCACACTGTTTTCCATAGTGGTTGTACTAGTTTACATTACCACCAACAATGTAAAAGTGTTCCTTTTTGACCACATTTTTGCCAACATCTATTATTTTTTGAATTTTTGATTATGGCCATTCTTGCAAGAGTAAGGTGGTATTGCATTGTGGTTTTGCTCTGCATTTCCCTGGTAATTAGTGATGTTGAGCATTTTTTCATTTGTTGGCCATTTTTATATCTTCTTTTGAGAACTGTCTCTTCATTGCCTTGGCCTACTTTTTGATGGGATTGGTTGTTTTTATCTTGCTAATTTGTTTGAGTTTCTTGTAGATTCTGGGTATTAGTCCTCTGTTGGATGTATAGTTTGTGTAGATTTTCTCTCACTCTGTGACTTGCCTGTTTACTCTGCTGATTATTTCTTTTGCTGTGCAGAAGCTTTTTAGTTTAATTAAGTTCCATCTATTTATCTTCATTTCTGTTGTATTTACTTTTGGGTACTTGGTCATGGAAGTTTTTGCCTAAGCCAGTGTCTAGAAAGGTTTTTCCAATGTTATCTTCGAGAATTTTTACTGTTTCAGGTCTTAGACTTAAGTCTTTGATCCATCTTGAATTGATTTTTGTATAAGGTGAGAGATGAGGATCCAGTTTCATTCTTCTACATGTGGCTTGCCAGTTATCCCAGCACCATCTGTTGCAGAGGATGTCCTTTCCCCCACTTTATATTTTTGTTTGCTTTGTCAAAGATCCATTTACTGTAAGTATTTGACTTTATTTCTGGGTTCTCTATTCTGTTTCATTGGTCTATGTGTGTATTTTCATACAAGTACCATGCTGTTTTGGTGACTATGGCCTTATTATATGGTTTGAAGTTGGGTAATGTGATGCTTTCAGATCTGTTCTTTTTACTTAGTCTTGCTTTGTCTATGTGGGCGCTTTATTGGTTTTAAACAATTTTTTTTTCTAGTTCTGTGAAGAAGGATGGTGGTATTTTGATGGGAATTGCATGGAATTTTGTAGATTGCTTTTTGCAGTATGGTCATTTTCACAATATTGATTTTACTCATCCATGACATAGGATATGTTTCCATTTTTTTATGTTGTCTATGATTTCTTCCAGCAGTGTATTGTAGCTTTCCTTGTAGAGCTCTTTTCCCTCCTTGGTTATGTATTTCCTGAGTATTTTATTTCTTTTGCAGTAAAAGGGATTGAGTTATTGATTTGATTCTCAGCTTCATTGCTGTTGGTGTATAGCGGGGCTACTGATTTATGTACATTAATTTTGTATCCTGAAACTTTGCTGAATTCATTTACCAGTTCTAGGAGCTTTTTGGATGAGTCGTTAGGGTTTTCTAGGTATACAATCATGCCATCAGCAAACAGTGACAGTTTGACTTCCTGCTTACCAGTTTGGATGCCTTTTATTTCTCTCTGTTGTCTGCTCTGGCTAGAACTTCTAGTATTATGTGGAATAGAGGTGGTGAAAGTGGGCATCCTTGTCTTGTACCACTTATCAGGGGGAATGCTTTCAATTTTTCCCCATTCAGTATAATGTTGGATGTGAGTTTGTCGTAGATGGCTTTTATTACCCTAAGGTATGTCCCTTCTATGCTGATTCTGATGAGGATTTTAATCATAAAGGGATGCTGGATTTTTCCACCTGATTTTTCTGCATTTATTGTGATGATCATGTGATTTTTGTTTTTAAATCTGTTTATGTTGTATGTCACATTTATTGACTTGTGGATGTTAAACCCTCTCTGCATCCATGGTATGAAACCCACTTGGTCATTGTGGATTATCTTTTTGATAAGCTGTTGGATTCAGTTAGCTAGTATTTTGTTGAAGATTTTTGCATCTATGCGCATCAGAGATATTGGCCTGAAATTTTCTGTTTTTGTTATGTTTTTTTCTGGTTTCAGTATTAGGGTAATACTGGTTTCATAGAATGATTTAGGGAGGATTCCCTGTTTCTCTATCTTTTGGAATCCTGTCAATAGGAATGGTATCAATTTTTCTTTGAATGTCTAATAAAATTCAGCTGTGAATTCATCTAGTCCTGGACTTTTCTGGGGGGTAACCTTTTAATTACCATTTCAATCTTGCTGCTTATTATTGGTCTGTTCAGAGATTCTATATCTTCCTGGTTTAATCTAGGAAGGTTGCATATTTCCAGGAATCTATCCATCTACTGTAGGAGTTCTAGTTTGTGCATGTGAAAGTGTTCATAGTAGCCTTGAATGATATTTTGTATTTCTATGGTATTGATCGTAATATCTCCCTTTGTGTTTCTAATTGAACTTATTTGTATCTTCTGTCTTCTTTTCTTAGTTAATCTCACTAATGGCCTGTCAATTTTATTTATCTTTTCAAAGAACCACCTTTTTGTTTAATTTATCTTTTGTCTTGTTTTTGTTTCAATTTCATTTAGTTCTACTCTGATCTTAGTTTTTTCTTTTCTTCTGCTGTGTTTGGGTTTGGTTTGTTCTTGTTTCTCTAGCTGCTTGAGATGTGACCTTAGGTTGTCTATTTGTGCTCTTTCAGACATTTCGATGTAGGTATTTAATGTTATGAACGTTCCTCTTAGCACTGTCTTTGCTCTACCTCATAAGTTTTGATAGATTGTGTCCTTTGTCTTCAGCTACCAGGGCAAGTAGAGAAAGACCATCAGGTGGGAGCAGAGTTAGGTGTGTCTGAGCTCAGACTCTCCTTGGGCAGGGCTTGCTGCAGTTACTGTGTCTGTGGGAGATGGTGGCGTAGTTCCCAAGCCAATGGAGTTACGTTCCCAGGGGGGATTATGGCTGCCTCTGCTGTGTCACATAGGTTACCAGGGAAGTAGAGGAAATCTGGCAGCCACAGGCCTCACCCAGCTCCCATGCAGCCCACAGCCGAAAAGGCTGGTTTCACTTCCACAGTGCCCCCAACAACAGCACTGAGTTTATTTCCAGGTAGCCAGTGAGCAGGGGTGAGAATTTATCCTAGGCTACAAGCCTCCTAGCTAAGAAAGCAAACAGACTCACAGTTCCTTGGCTGTCCCATGGAGCCTGCAGCAGCAATCTACCTCCTTCAAAGGGTCTGTGGATTCTCTCAGCTTTCCTGAGATGTTTCTATTGTAGTTCCTGGAGCAAAAGTTGATGATGTGCATCACCATATGCTGCTCTTTCCATTGGAGTGGGAGCTGCAAGTTAGTCCTGCCTTCTATCTGCCATTTTCCCCTATATACCCTCTATTTCTTTCCCACTTTCATTAATCCATCCACCATTCAGATTTTACCTCCTTTGCTCCAAATACCTCCAGACCAGCATTGTGAAGTTCTTCTTTTAAATTGTCAAAGGAAGAATTTTTGGCCACATATTTGGAATTGCCTGTCCTCATTCTTCAGCTACTTTGTTGGCTTACTAGCCTTGACTACTCAGGAGGAAAGCCAAGTATCTCTGCCTGGGGGGCTTGGCTGCCATTCCTGCCACATAGGGAACCAATACCATAGAACTTTTTCACATGTTCACGTGTGACTCAGCATTTTTGGTGGTCTGATCTCAAGGGGACTCCTGAGAGCTTGAGTGTCAAGGAGAAGAACTCTCCATCCCCAGCACCTGGGAAGTCAGTTTCACGCCCAACCCCATCTCACTGGAGTGTGGGTGGTTTAGTACTTTACAGCAGACTCCAAAACCTTCTGTAGTTCATGTGTTACTGGGGCAGATGCAGACAGAGTTTCTATTGTTTGGGTTTTTTTTTTTTAAATAAACGCCTAATTGGAATCAATACCACCAAAACATGAATGAATATAGTTCCTTTCTTACTTGCTATTGTTAGAAGATATACAGATATGAAGTGATACCTCCAAGTCCTGGAGCAGGCCTACTCACTGACAAAGGTGCCTCAAACCCAGTACTGTCCTTCCAAATAGGCAATGTAGATGGTCTCCAAAAGATGTGATCTATGAAGCCATTATTTAAAATCTCCTTCCTAAAAATGTCATCTTATTAGTCCAGGTGGAATACACAAATTTCCACCATTTGGGCTTAAGGCATTGTTTCTTATTGTATGCCCCATGAAAATGCATGTCCCATCACATGGATTTTACATAATTTTTTTTTGTTTATTTGTTGTGTTAGCACAAGGAACTGTATCTCAGAAAAAAAGACTGGGTTTTGATGCGGTCAGAGCATAGGATATTTTAGAGGAAAAACAGAGACCAGAGATTATTATTATAGATAGCATCTGACAAATATACATATTCATAAAGAGATAGAATAGTATAGCGTTAGGGGTTATCAGTAGATTAAATGAGACAATGTGTATGAAGTCTTTAGCCCACAGACTGACACAATGTAAGCACTAAACCAATATTATTATTACTACAGTGTGCCTCACACGTTCCAGATACTGGGGCTACAACATAGAATGATACAGACTTGGTTCTTGCCCTCAGGGAGCTGAATTTGGTAGCTAAGCAACTAATAATTAAAATAGCATTTATGGTGAATACTATGGCATGAGAAGGTCAGAGTAGGGTGTTAGGAGAGCATGCAGCAGAGGCTCATAATTACTAAATTTTGCCTAAGAGAGCTTACTAGAGAAGGTGATTTTTTATCCTGAGGCCTGAATGAGGAATGAGTGATGTGGGAAAGGGGAGGAGAGGAGAGTTTCAAATATGGGGAACATATGCATGAAAGTCCAGAACTGGGACAATCAAGGCATGTTTCAAGAGCTACAAAGGAATTTAGTTGTTGGAGGATAGGGTACCAGAGGGTCACTATGTTTAGATGATGCTGAAGAGGTTGGCAACAAAAAGGAGAGTGGGAAATTTCCAGTATCCTTTTGTTGATTGAAGCTGGAACTGACTACCACAAAATTAGAAAAACCTTGGTTACCAGTACAAATCTGCTAATTGCTTTTGGAACATCGATGCTGCAATCAACTTCTCTTGAACTGGGGAGAAAACAGAATGTTCTGGTTACCACTTTCATGTTCTGAATCATATGCCACAATTGAAATATTGTTGCTTCTCTGTTTACAAGTTTTTCTTTTTTCTTCCCTCAGAAGGGTCAAAGAGAGCCAAAGGTATCTTCCTTCACATTTCTTAACATATACCATGTGTGGGCTTACAAAGAAGAACAAGCAAGGACCCTTTAGTATAGAAGACCACCCAGTTGAATAAATAGGAAGCTCAAAATATTATGAGCTTTAAAAATAATAGGTATATAGAAAATTAAATAACACAATTCATCTCTTGTCCACTCCTACCCTCTACTACGGTAACCATTGTTAATAAATTAGTGTGAATTTCTTTTTACATCTTTCTCTAAGACAAACACAGATAAAACTATATTCACAAAAAAGCTGTTTTCTTGTTTTTAAAAGGGATAATAGTACCTCATCTATTACTTTGCAACTTGTATTTTTATTTAATAATACATCATAGACAACAATCCAGTTTTACAATCACAAAGATTTAATCCAATCTTTTTCGTGGCTACATATTATTCCCCAATATAATGTGTTGTAACGTAATCAAACTTTCCACTGTTGGTGGACTTTCAGATTGTTTTCAGGGTGTGTGTGTGTGTGTGTGTGTGTGTGTGTATCTGTGTGTTTTGCTACAAAGTACTAAAATAAAGTGCATATATATGGAATTTTTCTATGGGTTGTCATGGCAGGTGCCAAAAGAGGGCTAAATGAGTCAAATGTGTGTATGTTTTAATAATCATTAGATTTTGCCAGATATTTTTGCAAAATGTTGTGGCAAATGATGATAATGTTCTGTGTTCTCAGTAGACTAGAATACCATCACTCTTTTTAATTGTTACCAATCTGATAGGTGGCAAATTATATCACATTGTTATTTTAATTTGAATTTTTTTTTGGTCCGGTGGGCTGGAGCATATTTTTGTTTTCTTATTTGCCTTCTTTATATATTATTTTGTACATTCTTAATTCATAGGGTTTGCTTATTTTTTCATATTGTTACTTGCCCTTTTTATTTGTAGATTTTTATCATGTTGCAAAATTAATCTCTTGAGATATTGTGCACAACTAGTTTTCCAAATCTATAATTTGTCTCTGAATTTTTAATTCTCTCTGGGAAATAGGATGACTTTTTTGGAATACTGGGTGAGTACAGGGTCATCATATTGTATGGGGAGTGGTGGTGGACATAGTACCTGCTCTCCTTTAACCCTATGGTATACTTAATTATGAATACAAAAATAAACACATGAAATAGATATGATGGCAAATTACTCTTTGGTAAATATTTTAAAATAATCTAGCAATGTGAATTCCAGCACTGTCATTCTTCTTATGTGATGAGGAAAATGTAACACATTTATTTTCTTCAAATTAGAATTTTTTTTAAAAGAAATCTGAAGTATTTGAGGGGCAAGAAAATACTTGCTTTTTGCTTTATGGGAAGGTGTGAAACTTAGCTGCTTGCAATCAGATGAATTAACAAACTGAAAACAATCAAATCAGAGTAGAAAAAAATAGGTTTTCCAGTTGTACAACTAGCTGCTCAAAAGTTCAACTTCCGATTGTTCTGGCTTCTGATGTAACATTATAGCACACTCCATCCTGTAGTGCACCAGTGAATTCAGATATTTTCTCAAGAATCCTTGTTAGAATTGTGGTACACATTAGGGCTGGACTAGCAGCAAGGATTCTGGAGGTGGGAGGGGACAAGAGCACATCTATCTCTCTATCTATCTATCTATCTATCTATCTATCTATCTATCTATCTATCTATCTATCTATATTTTCTGACAAGACTAGAAGTTCTGGGCTGTAAGAATAACAAAACCTGTCACTTTTTATGCTATATAATTTGGCATAATGGTAAACATGCTACTCTGAGAGGCAAATAGATAACTGAGCTCAGAATTTTAATTCTTTTCCTCCCTATGGAAATGTGGATTTTCAAAATACTATGCAAGTTCTTTTCCAATTTTTTTAGAAATTAACTTTGTCTTTTCTTCAGAGTTTCAAATCCTTGCTAGTGTTGTTTCTTTTCAGCATCTGATGTTACCTGTATTCTCCAAGTGATTTTTTGAAGCTTTTTAAAGGTCTGTCCTTTTTTTTTTTTGCTGCTTAACTTTCTAACCAATGAAAATTCAACACTAAGGGTGGGGGAACAGGCAGGTGAGAAGAGTAGGAAGTTTTTAGAGCAAGAGAATGACAAAACTCAAGGATTTTAATCTTCACTAAAGCGCTTGCAATAATATCGTGCACCTGTAAATTACCAATTTTTCAATGTTTGCACTCTGAGATACCTACACATTGCAGTCAAATAATTTGTCTACCTGTTAATAATTTTTAATTAGTCTAACTGGGGGGCAGGAACCACACAGAGCGTTAAGGGTGTAATAGCTGGTAGGTGACAAGAGGGGTTGTGAATCCTTGATCCTTACAAGGTAACGTCCCCTCTTACCCCCTGTAGGATGAGGTGAGACTGCCCAGCAAGGCTCCTCAGTGGGTGCTTCTTCCAACAAACTAATCACACATCATTAGTGACAGCTAAAAATCTAACCACAGAAAATTACTGTACACTAATCTATTCCCTAAATTACTAAACACAACCTTGAAAATAAATACACATGATTGAGTGAGCAATTGGCATGTTCCACTGGTAACTACACAATATGAGTTGTATTTCCACTATTCTTTAGAATGTAAATATTTATGATGGAGTGTGAGAGTGAGCGATTTGGAGGGCATGCTCCTTTGGTAACTATACAATATTAGTTGTATATCTAGTATTCTTTAGAAATGGATCTTCATATGTTCCTCAAATATCAGCGAGGATTTCCCCTACCACCCTCTACCGGTGCACATTTCTGTTTGCTTCATTCTAGATGACCAATTTCCACAAGAAACCCACTCCTGACAAGCATTTTTTGAGTTTTAGAGGAATTCTCCGACAATCTGGCAGATACAGAAAGAATTTACAAGCAAACTACTGCCTTCCTTTTCAACATCACCTGGCTCCATGAACGCTTCTATTTCCTATTATCTCTTTGCTCCTTCTGTCTGAGAACTATCCCCTCAGGATAATTCTGTCTGAGGATACTCCACATTTTCTCTTCTAAGAATGCATAGTGGTTTTTTTTTTCTTCTGAGTCATTGGGAGCAGCCAATACCCAGCTTTTGGGTGGAGGGAATAGTGATTCTCAGCTTTGTTTCTCTTCTTTCTTATCAAGGCATCCTGTAAGCCAGCAGCACTCATACTTGTTATCTTAGAATTCCTTACAGCTTTTGTCTATGGGGGTGTATCTATCAACTTTTATCGTACTCGAAATTGAAAATTTTTTTAAAAATAGAATTTCCTTTAAAATAACAGTAAGTGCATAATGTATTAATATACGTGATATTTTTAATGAAAAGTGACTATTATTTCCAAGACAAAAAAATTAGTTAAAGAATAGCATTGGTTTTCTTTTTTTGCACATTTCTTTAATGTCCAGCTTGATAGAAGATACCTGCTTCTGTATTCTGCTATATTGTTTAGGTTGAACCATGCAAAGAAAATTCAGGCTCATAGTTGGAAAAGAGGAGTATTTTAAGATTTTCAGATGATTGTGGGTTTTTTTTTTTTTTTTTTTTGCTACTACATCAGAACTTCACAAATGGCAGTTTCTTAAAGGTTATATACAATGTGGAAATCTGACACTATATCAATAAACATGCACTCTGTTACATTAAAATTTATTATCTGATCCTACTTTTTGAATGGATCTTTTGCTCATACATTAGTCATTTAAAAATATTGATTTCCTGAATTATTTAGGCCTTTTAAATGCAGTTGTTAATATTACCATCAATCTCAAAGAAAAGTCTTGCAGCAGTAGGAAGATGCCAAGATTCTACAGGCAAATACTGTATTTCTAAAATCTTAATTCCATTTGCAGTGGTAATGCTTTATACGTACTTTTTTTTTTTTAAACCACAGAATATTAAAAACTTGTTTTCAGTGGTCAAGGCTTAAGAAAATAAGTGCATTTTGCTGTATCATCAAGGACATTTTAAAGTGTAACTGCACTCCCCTCTTTTTTCCTGCAAGTGTGTGGCAGTAAATAAATTAGTGACTACTTCTGTAGTTTGGTACCAGTGTCTTGATTCATGCTAAAGTACCAAAGGTTTTATCCTCTATTGCTTTCATACTATCAATGCAAATGCTGAAACGATGAAAAAGGCAGTGGCTTTTAATTTTGAAAATATTTTGAACACATTAACCCCCTGAAAGGCTCTTAGGTACTCTTAAGTTTAACTGAATATTACCAGTGCAGCCAGTGTTGAGATACTACCCTTCTAGATCTCAAATTTTAATGCACACACACCTTGTTGGAGGGCTTATTAAAATGCAGATTGTGATTTAGTAGTCCTGAGGTGGGACCAGAAAGCTGCATTTCTAACAAGTTTCCAGGTGAAGATGATGCTTCCTGTAGGTGGCTGCATTTTGAGTAGTAAGTCTGTAGCCTGCATTGCCCCAAATGATAGCCACTAACTACCTATGGCTAAATAATTTAAATTTAAAGTTATTAAAATTAAGTAAAATTAAATATCCAGTTTATCAGTCATATTAGCCACATTTTGACTACTCAAAACCACCTGAGGCTGGTGACTATCATATTAAACAGGAAAAGCATCGATCATTTTCATCATCTTAGAGTCTAATGGACAGTGCTACTCTATTTGATTTACATGGAGTTAATAATGGCAGGCAAATGTAACTGAATTTATTTAAATATTAGTTACAAGATACTCTTTAAAACATTGGTGGGGTAACTTATTATAACTGCCATTTTTTTTTTCTGATCAATGCAGCAAAGGCAGACAATTTAGAATTTTTAAAAATACTTTAAACTCAATAGCTTCACATTGTTTTACTAATTTCTTATAAACCTCCATAGTGTCATGTCATTATGAGCTACATAAACTGATAATTTGATGGCTGGTACATATAGTCCATTTTTGTGGGAGAAAGGATTCTATTTAAAAGATAAAATAATTAAGCATATCTGATACAGAGAAAGAAAAATCCCTTACTCACTGTAAAATTTACTGATTTTTGTATCCAAAACATGGTCCTCCATAAAACTCACAAGGAACAATTCAGTGGAAAAAGTTCCACTGGGGAGAATAAAAGGCTGTGCCTCAAAGGTTAGCACTCGGGATAGTGTTTCTCCTGGGCGCGCCACTGCAGATAGCGTGCTGAGAGGCATTCCTTGGGGTTCATTTGGGCAGCTCTTGCTCTGGATGAGAGCTGGCCAAACTCTGTATACCCCACCTGAGTCAAGGAAACATTCCAAATTAGGCTTTCCAAAAGCATTCCTAGTCTGCAAAGTTGGCAAGCTGAGACAAGACTAGTTGGAGTGAGGAGCAAGTATAAAAACTAATAAAAATAGGAAGAGAAAAGAAGGGGAGGCCTTTTTAGATGTTACCATGAGCTCTTCTTTAGGATATTTTCTGTCTCCTCTATATCAACAAGTACGGTAAGTACTGTATACTGTAAAAAGGAAGTTGTGAAACATAGCTTGTCAATTTGGGGGCTGCAAGAACATCTCAATAACAAAGCAAACACCTTTTGGTTTTGCTAGTTTCAAGAGTAGATGTGGGTCCGGATGCTTTTGGAGAAGGGAAACATTTCTACACTCTTATTCGTCTTCCTTTTTGTACCTAACATACTTTCATAAAATTTTTCAGTGAGAAATAATGAGACAAAGAGAGAGTGTTCCATCAGTCTCAGCCACTGGTTTGCCAGTGCCCAGAAACACAAGATTAGCAGCTCTTGTAATTTCATCCTCCAGGTAGGTGTTCTTGTCAGTTCAGTTTCCATTTTAGTAGATGTGTCTTGGCTTTGAATCTTTTCAGACATCAGTAAAATCTCCCCACAGGAAACAAACTGATAGACTTCCTTGGGTTCTGCATATAATAAACATGTTTTCCTATTGCTGCATTAATTGTCACTCTGGTTTTTGAGAGTCTATCTGGTACCACCATTCTCTCAGTCTCCTGGCCTCCACATAAAAGGTTTCCGAGAACAACTCTTGACTGTGTGCTCTGCCTAGGACCCTGCAATAAAGTCTCAGTGGTGACTATGATTGTGAGAAGCAAGGCTGGGGACAATTGTTTTTGTTATTTAGTTCAGACAAAACTACATAGGGACATTCTATGTAAAAAGTAGGATTTGCTCTTTGGGGTGGAAGCGGGACAGAGAGGAAACAGCTCTTCACAAGACAATCTTCTGCTGCAGCTCAGTGCACAGCACTTGCTCCTCTTAGGCAGATGTGGCCTCTTTAGTTTACATAAGTCCCCACCTGAGCCACTTGCCTCAGTTACGCTACCTGCCTGGGCTCTGCATTTGCTGCAGGTGCATTTGCATCTGCTTCAAAGCACCCATCAATCTCTTGTCAGTCTCATTGTCTATTGCACCTGTGGGCATAAGAGCGATAGCTGCTCAGTAGTGCAATGGTGAGACATTCCAGCTTGTGAAGACAAGGGACTGGGACCATGTTCTCTGCAACTTCTCAATGAACAGTTGGCATTTACTGAGTACCTACTGTTAGGAAAGCAGGAGCCTAGAAGAGCCACAGTAACATCATTTTAAGTTCAGCTCCATCTTGAGACTAACAAGGCACATCCCTTGCCAGTCACAACCAATGGTCCTAAGATGTTTATAGTTGAGGAAACAGCCTAAAGATACCTACAAGAAAGGACACACTCCCACAACAACAGAGAATCCAGATGTCCCAATACCAATAACAATATATGCTTTCAAGATAGCAACAGTTATGCTTTGATGTACTCATACACTAAAATGTCGGGATAGTTTTATTTAAGACAATAGAATAATAAATTTTGTCATCCTGTTACTTTAAGGGAGTAAACCCTGAAGGCAAGCAGCTTAATTTAGCCTTTACGTAGACAATACCCCTATTTAAGAAAATCTTGAAGATGTTAAATTCCTCCTTTTGCTTTTCTGAGGGTGCCCTACTCTGTAACAAAGCAGCTTCAATAAACTGTCTCTTTCAGTGCACTTTGCAACTTGGCTTGAATTTCTTCCTGTGTGAGATCCAAGAACTCTCTCCTGGGGTCTGGATCAAGACCCCATTTCTAATAACACTATTGATATGGTTTAGTTCTGGGTCCTCACCCAAATCTCGTTTTGAATTGTACTCCCATAATTCCCACATGTTGTGGAAGGGACCCGGTGGGAGATAATTGAATCATGGGGGCGGGTCTTTCCCATGCTGTTCTCATGATAGGGAATAATTCTCACGAGATTTGATGGCTTTATAAGGTGGAGTTTTCCTGCACAACCTCTCTTTGCCTGCCACCATCCACGTAAGATGTAACTTGCTCCTGTTTGCCTTCCACCATGATTATGAGGCTTCCTCAGCCACGTGGAACTGTTAAGTCCAATTAAACCTTTTTCTTTTGTAAATTGCCCACTCTCGGGTATGTCTTTATCAGCAGCGTGAAAATGGACTAATACAACTACTATGTAGCAGGCCATGGGTTAGGTGGTATCAGACAGTGGGCCTTCCATACTTTGTAAAATGAAAGAAAAAAAAAAGGATGTCTTATGAATTTTTTACAACAACCAAATCTACTAATGTGTGTTACAACTAGAGAAGCTTAATATTAAATATAATGGAGTAAACCCTGAAGGCAAGCATGAAAGGCTTTTAGAATCCTCCATCTATTTCTCCTTAAAGGCATAACGGTTTCAGTGTTCACACATTGGCATACGTACTTTTGTTTCTTGCAAGCTCAGCGTCACTATCTTAAATGTTAATTTTTAAAAATATTATGTAGAATTGTATACATAAAGCCATGGATTCTCACAGTTGACCTAAGGAATTTCAAAGGGTAATTTTCTCCATAATCAAGTTTCACCTTACAAGCTAATTTTCATATCTACACTTGGGTAAGATACGAGTTGACTATATTTATGAAATATTGTGGATATTAGCATTACTTTAAAACCGTATTTTTTAGAAAGTGGACAAGTCTTGTGATAGGTGAAATTTTAATCCTGAGTAGTTTGAAACAGTATTTTTCCCTTCTTTTTCCTCCGAAGTTTATATCACTTGATACAATTATTAGATAAATGGGGGTGTTTGTTTTACAGTTAAAACTTACAAGGTGGTTCTCTATATTTGCAATGTCATTGAATTGTTTTCAACTACAAACAAATATCACAAACTACTTGCTCTCAGAAAGAACAGTTCTTCATCCGCTATAGAAAAACAAGGATGGCAGATGTACAAATGTGTGAAGTGATTATTCTAAAGTCTTTGAACCACAAGAGCAATTTATTGAACTATTTTGGAGTGCATTTTGAAATTAAGTTATCAAAGATAAAGCTGCACCTAAATTTGTAAGTTCCCTAAGGGGCACTACCCAGGTCATTTTGGATTATGTAGTTGTTTAATAGCAGAAGCCTTTATATTCTAGGAGAAAAATCAGCCCTTTCAGTAGATCACAACAAAGTTCTTGTCTACTGTTCACTTTACTCCAAGAATTCATTTCTGAGCAGTGGTCGTATAGGAGGTTAGAGTTAAATTGGTTCTACCTGTACGAGCACCAGAGGACAGGTTCGTGTATAGCCTATGTGAACAAAGCCTCAAGTTACAGGGGCCTAGCAAAGGGCATGCAAAGAGGACCTCAGGTTTCAGCTTTTGCTGTTATCATTAAATAAGATGTGCATTTAAATGCATATAATTTGAATGAAAATGAATAAAGAAGGTGTGTACCAGACAGTCTTATACTTATGCCCTTTTGCTAGACAACATTGTCTAAGGTGATAGTAAACTTTTCTCTAGAAACTTATCATTATCTTGTGAATAACACAATTATATTGCATTGTGTTTTTCAATGTTAAAGATGCTATTTTGTCTACCATGAGCACTTAAAATATGTCAGAGTTTTTGAACCTTGTTTTGGTATTTATTTTTAAACTTGAGAAACCTCAAAAATTAAAAATGGTTTGAACCCCTCTAGACCTCTGAGAAGCCCCTGCTTACAATCTAAATAAAGCATGTGAAGTTTTTTTTTAATCAGTAACTTAGAATAGCAACTTAATTCAGCCACAAATTAATTATACAATCTAATTCCTACCAGAAGCTCTTTTTAGAGGCAGCCTAATTCCTAAATAACATGTTAACTCTCTCTTCTATCTGGTATCTAGCTTTGTCTCCAAGTTACCTGAGAATTGGTGCTGGTCCATGTGATGTCAGCCAGGTGATGTTATCTCAGCTCCCGCAAAATTGCCAACACTGTGTTAAGATTTCCTCTTCATTCTCAGCTTCTGTGGGATGCTAGAGACTCACAGATTCTTTGAGGTATCATTAATTCCAGTTCCTTAATTATAGATATGAAGAAATTGAGGACAGGAGAATTAAAATGATTTGCTCAAAAATCACAAAGGTGGTAAGAGGCAGAACCAGTACTAGAAAGCCATCTGCCATTTCCTTTATGTGACAACTTCTTGGGAATGGCACTGTCTCTTGCTCTCCTCCATTGGGTTTTAGTTCGTTCTTGTGCTGCTGTAAAGACATACCTGAGACTGGGCAATTTATAAAGAAAAACGGTTTAATTGGCTCACGGTTCTGCAGGCTGCACAGGAAGCATAGTGGCTTCTGCTTCTGGGGAGGCCTCAGGAAACATACAATTATGGTGGAAGGTGAAAGGGGAGCACACATATCCATGGCTGCAATAGGAGCAAGAGAGAGAGAGTGGGGAGGGGCTACACCCTTTTAAATAACCAGATCTCATGAAAACTATATCATGAGAGTAGCACCAAGGAGCTGATGCTAAACCATTCAAGAAGGATCCACCCCCCATGATCAAATGACCTTCCACCAGACCCCACCTCCAACATTGGGGATTATAATTGAACATGAGATTTGGGCGGGGACACAGATCCAAACCATATGAGTATACTTTCTCTTCTATGCACCTTTTCAATAGCTTCTGGTTTTGACCACAGTGGGTGAGTGGTGATGGGTAGAAAACATTCATTCTGCTGCTTTGGAAGTTCTTTAGATGATCCGCACATCCATGATTACTCTTTGCCACCAGCACAATGCATGCGTATCTTCTGCATAGCAAAGGTCTAGGTCTCATGCCGTGTATTTTATGCTTTGCTTCCTTTAACTTTATTTCACAATCTACTATAAACCACCAAATAAACAAAGGACAAACTTTTTTCATCTTGCAGAACAATCCTTCATATGCTAACATTGCTGACGTTAATCAAATTTAGTGGTTTAAAGTGCTGATAAGCTTACAACATATATCTTCTGTAATTAAGGATATTCCCCCATCAGGCACCAGTGGAATTATTCTGTGGTGATTAGTCATAGGCTGTAATAATTCACATTGTATGCTCAGTGGTTAGGATTTTTTTATTGTTTAAATCTGAAAGCTGTAATAACTTTTGCAGTGTCTTTTCTTTTTTTACGATGTTTTGTTTGCCGATGGAAAGGCACCAAAAAGTTTTTTTTCTTTTTATATTTCTTAGCCTGTCAGTGGAGGATTTTGCATATGGTCCTACTTGCCATAGGGAAGGAGACATTCCATTGAGGTCTTGGGTATTCCATATGTTAGAGACCAGATGGGCTGCAGATAACATTTAAAATGAAGGTTATCAAAAAAGAAAAGGCATCTACCTCTTAGAATTTTTGCAGGTGTTCTTTGATGGTGTTAGACCTTTATGTCTTTGTGTTAGAACTTAAATGCTGACTTGTTGCTTCTCATTCTGGGGATAATTTATGGTGAGCACCAAAACTAAAACACTGTTTTGCATACCATTTTCTTGACATGTAAAACATAAAGGATTTTTCCATAATCAAAATAAAATAAAATGAAGGTTATCTTTGGGTAGCTTTATACTAAGATATACCAAACACAATTTAGTTAGATGATTCATGTTTCAGGGGTTATTTTTCCAGTTTTTATGTGGTTATGGAAGTAGTTGAGACATCTCCAGGTTGATAAGCAATTGTGAACATTCAAATCCATTTTTAATTTAAGGGTTTAAATCCTAATTACTCATTTTCATTTTAAAGAAGGCAAAAGTGCTCATCTAGTTAACATATGAAAGCAATGAAGTACAATGTACCACTGGAATTGTTGGGACTTTTTTTCATAACTTGTCTCAGCCACCATTTTAAAAAGCAGTTATTAAATACTGTATTAGAATAGTTCTAGGATTATCCTAGAATTCACCTGTAATTTCATAAATAATATTCTGCCTCATATTGTTTTAAAGATAAAAAATTATAATTTTAAATATTCTTTAGGAAATATGGGAGTTCAAAAAGAATGTAGAAGGCATAATACATAACTTTAAAGAGTAAAACTCATACCCAGGGTTAAAATGCTTAGAAATACAAGTAAACAGAAAATTAAAAGATATACATAAGTACACATTGTGATGATGAGCTAAGTGCACAAAGCACAGTCGGGTGGGCAATTCAAAGACAGTAAGTTGCTAATAGTCACTGAAGCACCTGAATCAAGATGCTTAAACTAGAATGACTTTATGATGGAGGAAAATTTTTAATACATACATTTAACGTTTGGAGGAGAAGAGGAAACAAATTTCTCCACTCTTGGAGGGTTAATATAACCTACAAAGAACAGGAATTGGGGGAGTATTAAAATCTTCCTTACTACAGGTCTTAAATTTGTGGAGGCCACAAATACTGGCTGTTACTTGATGCCAAACTTGTACAGGAAGGAAAGAGTAAGCTCCATTACAAATGCTGGTATCAGCTTGGAACTATATTTTTCATTTAGTTATTTAGGTGCCACATTGCCAACAATTACAGAAGTTGTTGCTAGGTGTTTATAACTAATCATAAATGGTGAGCCAATTTTGTAGAAGAGGAACAACGTAAGCCTAGGTCTTCTTTCAAGTATAATGTGTGTGAGGTTAATTTTATATGTCAACTTAGCTAAGCTACGGTACCCTATTGTTTGGTGAAACACTAGGCTAGACGTTATTGTAAAGGAATGTTGTTGCTGTGATTACTATTTAAATCAGCAGACTTTGAATAAAGCAGATTACTCTCCACAATATGGAATGGCCCCATCTTATCAGTTGAAGGCCTTAGGAGAAGAAAGACTGAGATTCCTCGAGAAGAAGAAATTCTGCCTTCAGACTGTCTTCATGATCAAGACTGCAACGTCAACTCTTCCCTGGATCTGCAGTCTGTTCACGTCTTGCAGATTTTAAGCTTGAGCCATTTCTTTAAAATGAGTCTCTCTAGCTCTCTGTCTCTCTCTCTTTCTTTTTTTCTTTCTATACACCTTATTGATTCTGTTTCTCTGAAGAACTCTGAACAATACAATATATGAACATTAGCTATGACTCACAGTGATTGGTTTTCCCAATCACTATGAAAGATAGTGAAAGATAAGATCTTATCTTTCAGTGGTGATACACACTACCTCTATTCAAGAAACAATGTCAAAACTGCAAAGATGTAGTCAACTTTAAATGTATACATTTCTTAGTTATAGATTTATTTGTATCACACTCAATAAAAACATTTATGACATTTAAAAAATGTGTTAAATTGCCCATGTTTTTGTTACATTTAAACTTAATTCACATATATTAGAACTATTTTGTATTCACATCTTGTTTATGAAACTATAATTTCTTTTCTATCCTCCCTTTCTTCCCTCCCACCCTTACTTCTCTCCCTTGTTTCCTCCATCTTTCTCTCTCTCTTTGTTGTCAGGTCTGTAATAATATTTTGAGGTTTGTTTATAATCTTTCAATATGTGAACAATTTCATTTTCCATTAATAGAAAATAACACAATATTATCACACCTAATTCTCTAATTTTATATCTTATTTAGGAAATAATTTAGTGAAAAGTGTAGAAATAGATAATCAAGTTTCAGAAATTTCATTCTGCTAATAATACACCAGTCCTGATTTGTAATCTCATCCTTCTTTTATTCTCAAAATTAATATTATTATTTTTCCTTTTTTTTTCTGCTCACCTCCCTCCTCCCACCCTCTACTCTCAATTCATCCCCATCATCTGTTGTTTCCTTCTTTGTGTTCATAAGTTCTTATCACTTAGCTCACATTTATAAGTGAGAACATGTAGTATTTGCTTTTCTGTTCCTTGGTTTGCTAAGGATTACATCTTCCAGCACCATCTATCTTCCTGCAAAAGACATAATCTTGCTCTTTTTTATGGCTGCATAGTATTCCATGGTGTATATGTATCACATTTCCTTTATCCAATATGTCATTGATGAGCATTTAGGTTGATCCCATGTCTTTGCTATTGTGAGTGGTTTGCTGCAGTGAACATTTGCATGCATGTGTCTTTATGGTAGAATGATTTATATTCATCTGGATACATACCCGGTAATGGGATTACTGGGTCAAATGGTAGTTCTGCTTTTAGTTCTTTGAGGAATTGCTATACTGTTTTCCACAATGGTTGAACTAATTTATACTCCTATCAAGTGTATAAGTGTTCCCTTTTCTCTGCAACCTCACCAGCAGCTGTTATTTTTTGACTTTTTAATAATAGCTATTCCCACCGGTGTGAAATAGTATCACATTGGAGTTTTGATTTGCACTTCTCTAATAATCAGTGATACTGAGCTTTTTTTCATATGCTTGTTGACTACCTGTATGTCTTCTTTTGAAAAGTGTCTGTTCATGTCCTTTACTGACTTTTTAATGGGTTGTTGGATTCACAGCCGAATTCTACCAGATGTACAAAGAAGAGCTGGTACCATTTTTACAGAAACTATTACAAAAAATTGAGAAGGAGGAACTCCTCCCCAACTCATTCTATGAGGCCAGCATACTCCTGATACCAAAACCTGGCAGAGACACAACAGAAAAAGAAAACTTCAGGCCAATATCCTTGATGAACATCAATGCAAAAGTCATCAACAAAATACTTGCAAACAGAATCCAGCAGCACATCTTTAGTCCTGTCATTTGGCAGGTCCCAAATTTTTCTCCTGTGTCTAGGAAGAATTAGGTACACGGACAACCGGAGCTTCACTGAACAAGAAGAGCTTCACTGAGCAACAGAACAGCTCTCAGGAGACCCAAAGTGGGTAGTTCCTTTCTGCAGGCAGGTCAACCTGATGAGTGTCCAGCTCTCAGTGAAGAGAAGACCCATAGTGAATAGCTTCTTTCTGGCGGGTTGTCCCGATGAGTGTCCAGATCTCAGTGGAGAGGAGACCCATAGAGGGTAGGAGAGGAGACCCATTGTGGGTAGCTCTTTTTCAAAAGCAGGTTGTCCTGAAGAAATGAGGAGACCCAACGTGGGTGGCTCCTTTCCATAGGTGGTAGTCCTGATGTCTGTTTGAGTCTGGCTGAGTCCAAGATTTTATGGACTCAGAAGGGAGAAAGTATGTTCTGATTGGTCCATGGGCAGCCATGGATGGCCATGGGTGGGCCCAGAAAAAGCACCCTAAATTCTCACTCTGGGCCATGAACTCCACCTGGAACTGGTGGCCCAGCTGGCAGGCTTCAGGTGGTCCCTGACTTGAAGGTGGGTTTTCACCGGGAACCTGTCCCTTTCTGCTTAAGAGTCTGTCTGCCTCCTGCTGTCATCAACATGCGATCCACGGTGCCCAGGCTGTTCATGCCTAGGGGCATCTGCAGGCCTGTGCTGAGCTACCCTTAGCTACCTCCCTAGCCTCCCTTCCTGAGGGCTCAGTGCCCAAAGTTTCAGAGGGGGCCAAGGTGGCAGGGGAGCTGGCATGTCAGTGCCACCTTGAATATGTTCACACTTGACCAGGTCACAACAGTACCTGGGCTCGGCTTCAACTTTGCTTTGAAATCAGAGTGGGCACTGGGAGCAGGGAGAGGCCAGGGAGTGGAAGTGGGCAATTCTGAGCCTGTAGGGGGAAGGGGGGGACTCCTGGGTTTCCGAGAGCACAGGGATGCCCAGATCCAGAGCTGTGGCTGGATGGATATAGCTGTGCCTGGGAGTGTGGGGCTCTTGCCCCACCAACTCAATAGGAGGTGGGCCCTCATCTGTTCCCACCATCCTTGGCTCTGTCAAGCACACAGCCCTGGCCATACCTCCTCTGTTGCACCCAGTGTCTTTGCAGTGGCTGACCCAAAACTACCAATGACTTTCTTCATGGAACTAGAAAAAACTTTTAAAATTCATACGGAATTAATAAGAGCCCAAATAGCCAAGACAATCCTAAGCAAAAAGAACAAAGCCAGAGGCATTACACTACCCAACTTCACACTACACTACAGGGCTACAGTAACCAAAACATCATGGTACTGGTACAAAAACAGACACATAGACCAATGAGATGGAATAGAGAGCCCAGAAATAAGACTGCACACCTATGACCACCTGATCTTTGGCAAAGCTGACAAAAGCAAGCAATGGGGAAAAGAATCCTTATACAATAAATTGTGTTGGGATAACTAGCTAGCCATATGCAAAAGACTGAAGCTGGACCCCTACCTTGTACCACATACAAAAATCAACTCAAGATGGATTAAGGACTTAAATATAAAACCCCAAAGTATAAAAACCCCAGAAGACAACCTAGGCAGTACTATCCTGGACATGGGAGTGGGCAAAGATTTTGTGACAAAGCAATTGCAACAAAAGCAAAAACTGACAAGTGGGATCTAATTTGACTTAAGAACTTCTGCACATCAAAAGAAACTATCAACAGAGTAAACAGACAACCTATAGAATGGGAGAAAATATTTGTAAACTGTGCATGTGACAAAGGTCTAATATCCAGCACCTATAAAGAACGGAAACCTAATATTATATATTGAATTAATGTGTTAAACCATATGAAATTGCTGATATTCAATCACTTTCTGACCTACAAAAATGTCATTTTTAATACTGAGTTTATAAAATTCTAATGAAACTCCATTGACACATAGAACTCCCTACATTTAAGAGTGAGAAAAGCTGAGCATATGTCCTGAAAATGCAAGGGATGCCCAGGCCTTACTGAACCATCTTAAGAAGTGTACTGTTCCCAGTTGCTCTAATATGAGAGAGCTCAATCCTGTGATGTAACTAGGAGGATCCTTTGAGCAGTACCATAAAGAAGACAGCTCAGTGAATGGGCAGATTTATTGATAAATTTTAATAGTATAATAATGAGTTCTATTCTTAAGAACACACCTTTGAATGACAAAGCTTACAAACATATCATAATTCTAATTATAGCTGAGAAGTATAATTCCCATTTTGAAGGTTAGGAAGACAAGAAGATGATTAACTTAAAGAAGGGAGGCTCTTTTACAAGATATGATAAGAGGGTCAAGACCAGATCGTGGCTCTGAGATACCAAGAAAAATTAGAATCAGCATCACAAAAAAAGAATCAGCAGTATATATGACAAAAGTAGGAACAGAAACAAATCAATATAATGCAGTCATAAAGTAATTTGGTTCCATGACAATATATAAAAATTTTAAGAAATGATTGCATATCATGCTTTAGAAAAAGCTATAAATGTATGGTTTATTGTTGAAAACATTTTTGAAAGTTTTATAATTCCAAATATTTTACTTTGTGATAGTTATTTTCTATTAATTATTGTCTTCCCCAATTTAAATCATGTTATTAATTCATACACAAAAATAATGTTCTGAAAAAGTTACATGAGGTAGAACTGAAATAAGAAAAAGATTTGTATTGCAGCAGACTATTTTATGTCTTACAATAAATACAGTGTAAGTTTAATTTTGGGGTCATACAGGGATGCTGCTCTGAATACATAGGTGAGCCACAATATTTGTGTTAAAACAGTGGTCTGAATTTTGCTACACTAAAACTTGTCATGTCACATGTGGTTCACTGAGGGTCATTCCTTCAAGTACATGATGTGCTGTGTGAAGTTTTTGAAACTAGTGATCTTAATGGTACATAAAATGGTAGGATTGAAATGTGGTCTGGACAAGATGCCACAAGATGAAACACCAGAAGAAAAGATTTTACCACAGTGTTGTTTGACTTAAAATCATTCCTATAGCTTTTGGTTTTGTGTTTTTTGTTTGTTTGTTTTTAACTCAGCTATAACCTGAACATTTGGGTTAATCCAGTAGATACTTTAAAGTCAACTGCTTATTTGATTTTATAACATAATCATGGCATGATAAAAATAATGTTGAAAATAGCCAAGGACATTTAGATTAAGAATAAAGAATTAGGGCAATATCCTAAATATTTTTAAATCCTGGACTTTCTTGTAGAAGATGGAGAAGTTTTCTTCTGTATTGCTTTAGACTAGAAATTTATCAACCAACAGTCGTCAGGTTTTAAGGTAGCCAGATAGGGTTTTAAACATGGAGACATTTCACATAAAAATCCATTTTTCAATCTTCTTTCAAAAACTGAGAACACTTGGGCAACATGGGGCCTGCTTCCTGATGTGAAATGACAACGATCAGTTGTGGAACAGCAGGTATTCTTTTAGTCCAGGCAAGAGCTTGTTCATTTGCCACAATCCTCACTGCTCCTGGCAGACTTCATGGAACTGTTATTCACCTGGTTTCTGCAGGCATCTTAGCATATTTCAGTTCAGTGTGATAACGCTAGCTTTCTAACAGCAAGATATGGTGCCTTGTGAGGCAGTGGGTACCCTTGTTCTAAAGTGTTAAACAGGGTCTGAGCATAGAGGAAACTGAGAAATAGGCGTGAGATTTGACTGGATGGCATATTAGAATTCTTTTCATCTCCAAACACTTTTGATTCATTTCATTAGCATAGAACCATTTCCTGAAAAGTAACAGTCCTTAACATTTTAAAATTTATTTTATTTTATTTTATTTATTTATTTTTTGAGATGGCGTTTTGCTCTTGTCACCCAGGCTGGAGTGCAATGGCATGATCTCAGCTCACTGCAACCTCCATCTCCCAAGTTCAAGCAATTCTCTTGCCTCAGCCTCCCAAGCAGCTGGGATTACAGGCATGTGCCACCATGCCCGGCTAATTTTGTATTTTTAGTAGAGACGGAGTTTCACCATGTTGGCCAGGCTGGTCTCGAACTCCTGACTTCAGGTGATCCGCCCACCTCGGCCTCCCAAAGTGCTGGGATTATAAGCGTGGGCCACCATGCCTGGCCTAAATTTATTTTAATATCATTTTTATAAAAATTATAATAATTTTATTTAATAAGAAACCAAGACATACAACTAACATCAGTGTCAGATAATGAATGGAAAGTGTTTATCCCTGAACCTAAGACCTGATTGTGCAAACATATCTATTTGCCCATTTGGCATTTATTTATTAAGCATCTTCTATGTGTTTAGGATCCTGGAGATGTAGAGCTACAGTGGTGAATAGACAAAATATTTGCATTTATGAGAGTTTATATTTCTGCATAGGAAATAGAAAATACATAAGCATAAAATTTCAGAGAGTAACAAGTGTTGTGAAGAAAATAAAACAGAGTGAGGTAATCTATGTATGCTCATTTAGAAAAGATGGTCTGGAAATGCATCTTAGGAAAGTAACATTTGAGAAGAGAATGAATGATTAGACAGTGTTAGTTATTCAAGGATATGGGTGAAGAGCATTCCAGGCAGTAGAGCAAGGGTAAGTGACAGGGATAAATTTGACTTTTTCAAGGCACAACAAGAAGGCCACTGCAGACTGAGTCCATTGAGCAAGGGAGAGATGAGAGGATGGCAAGAAAGGAAGCCAGGTTGTGGGGAATGTTCTGAGAGCAATGGGAAGACATCAGTTTTTAATTAGGCAAATGATATGATTGGAATTAGACTTTGAAAGATTTCTTTGGCTGATCTGCAAAGAATAAACACAGAAGGGCAAAAGGGAATGCAGGGAGACTACTTGGAAAGCTGTTTCCATAGCCCAGGATGGGAAGTGATGGTGAAGTGATGAGAGGTGATGATGCAAGATTCATACTGAAAAGAAGACTGATGGGATTTGGTGATGGACTGAATTAGGGAAAAGTAGAGAAGGAGAAGAATCAAGAATAATGACTACATTTTTGGATCAAGAAATTGAAATTGAATAAATGACTATGAGAAATGGAAAGAGTGAAGACTGGCAGAGCAGATTCTCTCAACAAAAATCAGGTGACACATTAAACCCTTCCTGGAAAAATGGTAGACTATAAATATACAGAGAGAGATCTTGGATATTAGGCATGAATATACAGAATGACTCTGGTCCCTGGTCCTGGAGAGTTCGTAGTCTAGTAGGGGAAATACACATGTCAAAGAAGTCAGTACAAATTAATATCCAATATGATAGAGATGTGAACAAAGGGGAGGAAGAAGGAGCTTTCAGGATTCTCAGTTTTTCCTTATGATCAAAAGGTGTATAGAGAGTTTAACAATGAGCTCAATTGGATGCAGCAGGAATGGCTAGCAGCTCAACTTGTGGAAAACATTATTACCATTCACCTATTATTTTGTGGGGGAAAGACTGGCTTTTATTTAATCTTTTCTCAGAGTTCTTATTTTCTGACATGTCAATCATCCCGGTAATTCTCTGACTATCCCTTTATATCTTGTGATGGGAAGAATATGAAATAGAAAAGAAATTCATTGATCCATTCTCTTTCATCTACAAATTCTCTTCTTATTTTCATTCCCCTATCTCTTTCTGTCTCAGCAGCAACCAAAATCTAACGTGTTTTTTAAGAGCCCATTACGAGCCAACTACGTGTTTCTTTCCACATTTCTTTACTTTCTGGCACTTTAACCTTTGAGTAAGCTAAAATTGCCAGCTGTTATTTTAAAATCATTCTTAGATTTCCTCTCTTTCTGACTCAATGTTTTATTTTCTTCACATCTCCTATCTGTCTCTTTCATCTTGTTCTCCATTCCCTTCATTTAAAGTCATCAATAATCTGTTTTTGCCATACATTTTGCTTCTTATGATTTAGATAATTTCTTCTTTTCCCCCATGCATGCTTATCATTCTCATTTCTTATTCTTCAATTTGAGCTTCTATATATTCCTTAGATACCATTTTTCTTTATTTTTGTAGCTTGTTCACTGTTCATATCACTTAATTCTGTTCTCTGTAACATGCTCTACAGCCTACCATTTTCTCAGTAAATCCATATTAAACATTATCGAACAAGTTATATAAGCTTTTTTTTGCTCTTTGAGACAGAGTTTTGCTCTTGTTGCCCAGGCTGGAGTACAATGGCACAGTCTCAGCTCACTGCAACCTCCGCCTCCTGGGTTCAAGCGATTCTCCTGCCTCAGCCTCCCGAGTAGCTGGGACTACAGGTGCCCACCACTACACCAGCTAATTTTTGTATTTTTAATAGAGACAAGGTTTCACCATGTTGGCCAGGCTGGTCTCGAACTCCTGACCTCAGGTGATCTGCCCACCTCAGCCTCCCAAAGTACTATAAGCTTTAAGTGCAACTTAATAGTTTGATAAATTGGTTGGACTAGAGATGTTCTGAACATCATCATGAACAACTAATCCTATCAAACGGAAATTTCTGCATTGTCTTTCTTCTTGCTCACTGGACTTTCCACTGATAACTTAAAAAATACATATTCTTAGAAACAGCTGTTCTACTTGGCTGCTTTTAATTGAGCAGAGACTGAATAAAGATTGTAATTAAGTATGATCCAGTGGTATCAAATAAAAATCTAAACTAAAAGTTTAGAAAATTAGATTTGGAAAAGATAACATAAATGAAAATACACACAAAGAAAAAAAGCAAGGATGAAGTACATTTCCAAGGTCTCTAGTTTTTAATAGATACTTAAAAGCCTGTTATTAGAAATTTCTGTCATTGTAGCTTGAGGAAGAATTGTACTTCTCCTTTGAAACTGAACAGATTTCCTTTTTTTCCTCTGCACTGCTAGAAAGTGAATTAGTGGCTCAAATTAGCTTTTTTTTTTTTTAAATCTACTATTCTGTAGACATTTTTAGGTCTCAAAGTATTTTGTTTCCTAATTTACTACCTACTTTTAATTTGTTATTTTATTGACTATTACTTATCTATGTAAGCCACCTCAGTCATTTCTGATGTGGCACAGGATATAAACACTCTTTCTTAGTATATCTAACCATTTGGTGTCACTGTTCACCCTGTTTCTTCCTCAGTCTAACTGACTAGAATACAAGCCATTTGGTTAGAAAAGCTGTCACATTTGGAAAGCCGCAGCCAGTCAGAGAGAAATTAAATTGTTTTTCTTTGTCTGCCTGCTGTTCCAAGTCTCTGCTGGCATTGCCAGTTATTTGGAGGGAGAAGTGTGGGGCTTGTTCAGCTGTCGGTGAGCATGGAAGAGGGTGGGTGGATTCATACCAGCCTACCCTTTGTGCCATGGAGTCAGTTAGTGAAGGTTGGGTGGGCATGGGGGGAGATTCCACCAGGTAATCCTCTGAGGAAGTGGCTGATGCTTTTTGAGAAAAGAATGTTTTGTCACTGTTGTGAAACTGATGGTGATGGACTACTAGGCAAAGCTCATATTTTCCATTTTCGTATTTCTGGCAGTAGGAGTCTTTGTGGACAAAACAACCCTAAGAAATATCATTCACTAAAGCTGAATTTGCCATAAGGTTAGTTCGGTCATCCAACAGGGGTGAGATGCTGAAATAGTAGGAATTTCTCTGTATGAGTCATACTCTTGAGATGGTTCGGGAGTATTAGGTCAGATGCCTTTGTATTTAAATGAGGAGAATGATGTAGGAGATGTTAGAATGTAACTCTTAAGCATGACAGGGGTGAGAAAGGCATGGATGAAGTAAATCCATGCTTGCTTAAGAAAAACCACTGAGGAAGAAAATGGATCCTATGGAGAATGGTGAATGATAGATATATGAACCATGGAGCTCCCTATAAAATATAGAAAGCTAATATATGATGTTTAAATTCAGAGGTTAGTTCACCAGACAGTCAGTGTTAATGCATATTTACTTCCAGACCCATAGTAGAATGATGATTCAACTGCTGGGAAATTAATTAGTCCAGTGGTTTTAGAACTGTGACTGTTCCTATGGGAAAATGAATTAGAAAACTATCATAGAAATAAACGACCCTTTTTCCCTTTTCATATTTATTTCATGATAATCTGCATGACTATGCTAAGGGATTTGAATGCATTATAATCAGTTAATGCTTATAACAAGTTTATGAGGGCAACACCATTAACATCTCCATTTTCCAAATGAAGAAATTGAGGATGAGAAAGTTATTGAAGCAACTTGCCTAAGGTCACACAGATGGAAAGTGGCAGAACCAGGTTCAAAGCCAGACACTGCTAAAGCTGTTAATTAATATTATGCTATCTGTATTTCACTCATGATTTAGGTGCAAAGAAGAAGGCAAAAAATTAACCTTACCCTTAAATCCATTAGTCATATAGACCAACATTTGAAGGTGATTATTGAGCCACTGATACATTTCTAAGGACCTACTGAGACATAGAAAAAAATGCCCCAGCATAGAACTTGGCAAGACAATCTTAAGCACGACTGCAACATACTATATTTTTCCTATAGCTGTTGGAGCTTAATAAGGTAAGGTATAAAACACTTATGAAGACCTCATGTACTAGGTCCATCTTCATTATGTCTCATGGTTTTGAAAATAGGCTCAACAACGTATTAGCTCTGTGACTTTATTCAAGTTACTTCAGTTCTCTGAACTTCATTTTTCTCACTTGTAAAATAGGAACCTACCTCACTGTGTCCAGAATTGGTGGGTTCTTGGTCTCACTAACTTCGAGAAAGCCGCGGACCCTCGCGGTGAGTGTTACAGTTCTTAAAGGCGGCGTGTCCAGAGTTTCTTCCTTCTGATATTCGGATGTGTTTGGAGATTCTTCCTTCTGGTGGGTTCGTGGTCTGGCTGGCTGAGGAATGAAGCTGCAGACCTTGGCGGTGAGTGTTACAGCTCTTAAGGTGGCGCGTCTGGAGTTGTTCGTTTCTTCTGGTGGGTTCGTGGTCTCGCTGGCTTCAGGAGTGAAGCTGCAGACCTTCCTGGTGAGTGTTACAGCTCATAAAGGCAGAGTGGACCCAAAGAGTGAGCAGCAGCAAGATTTATTGCAAAGAAAGAAAGAACAAAGCTTTCACGGTGTGGAAGCGGACCCCAGCAGGTTGCCACTGCTAGCTTGGGCAGCCTGCTTTTATTCTCTTATCCGGCCCCACCCACATCCTGCTGATTGGTAGAGCCAAGTGGTCTGTTTTGACAGGGCGCTGATTGGTGTGTTTACAATCCCTGAGCTAGACATAAATGTTCTCCAAGGCCCCACCAGAGTAGCTAGATACAGAGTGTTGATTGGTGCATTCACAAACCCTGAGCTAGACACAGGATGCTGATTGGTATGTTTACAAACCTTGAGCTAGATATGGAGTGCCAATTGGTGTATTTACAATCCCTGAGCTAGACATAAAGGTTCTCTACGTCCCCACCAGACTCAGGAGCCCAGCTGGCTTCACCCAGTGGATCCCGCAGGGGGTCTGCAGGTGGAGGTGCCTGCCAGTCCCACACCCTTCCATCGCACTCCTCAGCCCTTGGGTGGTCGATGGGACTGGGCGCCCTGGAGCAGGAAGCCGCGTTCATTGGGGAGGCTCCGGGCGGCACAGGAGCCCACTGAGTGGGGGGAGGCTCAGGCATGGCGGGCTGCAGGTCCTGAGCCCTGCCCTGCAGGAAGGCAGCTAAGGACCGGGGAGAAATTGAGCACAGCAGCTGCTGGCCCAGGTGCTAAGCCCCTCACTGCCAGGGGCGGGTGGGGCCCACCCGCTGCTCCCAGTGCAGGGTCAGCCGAGCCCACGCCCACACGGAACTCCTGCTGGCCTGCAAGCACCGGGGGCAGCCCCGGTTCCCGCCCGCGCCTCTCCCTCCACATTTCCTGGCAAGCTGAGGGAGCCGGCTCCAGCCTTGGCCAGCCCAGAAAGGGGCTCCCACAGTGCAGCGGCAGGCTGAAGGGTTCCTGAAGTGCCGCCAAAGTGGGAGCCCAGGCAGAGGAGGTGCCAAGAGTGAGCGAGGGCTGTGAGGACTGCCAGCACACTCTCACCTCTCATCACCTCATAAGATTGTTGTGATGATTACATGAGTTCTTATAAATGAAAGATGGTCGAGCACATATTGAGTTTACAAATAGTAGCTCCCTCAATTCCCTTTTATTCTCACAACATTGCTTACTACATGCCCAGAGAATATTCTAAATGCTTTATATTTATTAAGTCACTTCATGCCACTAACCCATGTGGTGGGCATTGGTATCATCCCCATTTTGTGAATGAAGATACTGGGGCAGTGCTTAAATTCAGGATGTCTGGCTTGGGTGTGGGTCTTCTTAATACCACCCTAAAGCTCATTGATACTATAAGGAATCATGCCAACCTCAGACAGCTAGAAAGAACCAGAGCTAGAAATCAAACTAGTATTTTCCCATTCTAGGTCAAGATTCTGTGTTTTTTTTGTATAATTTGGAGACTGATGAGAGTTAAAGAATTAAAAGCAAGAGTCTACGTAACAAATCGGAGATATATTAACATTGTACTCCAACGCATGAATACCTTCTAGCTTTGCCAAAATAAGAGTTTCTAAAAATGAATAATTACATATACGTAAAAATTAACAAAATACGGAAAACAAGCAAGAATATAAATTGTGTTAATGAAACAACATAAAGTAACAGAATAGTGAAAGAAAACATAAATAGAGGCAGGTTCTCAAATCAAAACCCCCAAAGCTCATTTTAACATGGCAAAACACACCAGGAGCAAAATAATTAAATTATATTTGTTTGCTGTTATGTTTTTGTTCTTCTGATAATGTTAAATAAGAATGCTTATCAAATTATAATAATCTTACAAAGAGATAAAATAATTTAACATTTTGAATTTTTTTGTGTGTCACCTGTGGTCCAAATTCAACGAGAACACCTTCCATCTACTTTTTTGAAGATTCAAATTGAAAATGTTTTAATATTCTCTTCAGATCATTTGTCATTTATTATTGTTCAAAGGACTACGAAAACTTTGTGCCTCAAACTTAGTGCCTACAAAACCAACATATAAACAAGATGAGTGATCCTTTCACTCCCAGATTTCTGTCTCTCTTATACTTTGCCTCCCCCTCTGCAAAACCAGGGAAGACTGTTCTTTAGCGATCTTCCTTTGCATGGTTGTAAATGCTGGAGGCCTTGTGGCCAAAGGACTACAACAAACCAAAGTTTCTGCACTCTAAAATTAAGGAGAAAAATAAAATATCAAAAAATTATAAATAAATGCAAGAAAATGAGGTGCTTAGGGTCATCTTTTTAATGCTGCAATTACTACTGAAAATAGGAATCATAGAAATAATAATATGTGATAGGTAACATTTATTGAGAACTTCAGCTAATATAATAGCAATCACTTTATGTGTATTCTATCATTGAATACTCACAATTTGTTCCTTCAGTAAGTATTTATTAAGAACCTACTTTGAGCTAGGCTCTCTTCTAGGACCTGGACCTTCATCAGCAAACAAAACAAAGTCTGCATTCTGTTGAAGTTTATATTCTGTGACTAATGAGAAGAAATGATACTAAGTTTTGTGATTTGGCAAACTGAACTAACGGTGAAATCAAGGATAGAGCTGGATTACTGAGAAAGGAGAGCTAATCTGGAGAAAAGATGAGGATGTCAATTTCCAATAGGTTAAATACAGAATTTGACATTATGGCGAGTCATTCAAATGGAAATGCCTGTGGCCATTTGTAAACAGGAGGAGCACATGGAAAATAAGAATTGGAGATGGAGGCTTGGGGATTACCTTCTCAGAGGAGAGAGTTGAAGCAATGGAGTTTATAAACTCAATGACTGAAACAGTATGAGTGACAAGTATGGACTGGGCACGATGGCTCATGCTAATAATCCCAGCATTTTGGGAGGCCAAGGCTGGCGGATCACCTGAGGTCAGGAGTTTGAGACCAGCCTGGCTAACATGGTGAAACCCCGTTTCTAATAAAAATACAAAAAATTAGCCTGGCGTGGTGGCATGTGCCTGTAATCCCAGCTACTCAGGAGGCTGAGGCAGGAGAATCATTTGAACCTGGGAGGCGGAGGTTGCAGTGAGCCGAGATCACACCATTGCATTCCAGCTTGGGCAACAAGAACGAAACTGTCTCAAAAAAAAAAAAAAAAAAGAAAGATAAAAAAGAAAAGAAAAGTATGAAGGGCAGAGGACAGAACCTTCAGAAACAAGAAGGGCTGAATGTTGAGTCAGTGTATCTAAGAAGAGAGAAACAGAGCAGTCAGAGAAAGAGGAAGAGACCGAGACAGCTCTGAGTGCAACAGAATTCAAGGTTGTGAAGACATGAAAACATCAATATTTTTTGCCAAGAGAATGGTTGTTGTCAATATCAAAGAGCACTTTAAGTAGAGTGAAACCAAATGCAAGAGATGAAAGGGGGCAGGTAGGCAGGAAACAGAGGCAGCAAGTAAAAGGAAGCAGAGATAGGCTCTAGAATGGGTAGCAGAGTCCACTCGATAAGGTGGCATCACTGTTCACGTGAAGTCTCTGTGTACATAAGACAACTGAGACTGAAATTGGTTTTAGCTCAATGAAGACAATTTTTTTTTGAAATAGTGAAAAAGAATCAATGTTTGTGTGTAGTACTCTGCTTTCAGAATACAACCAAACACCTCAAAGAGGTATCATTTCTTGAATGTGAAATAGAAAATCTGAGCCCTCTGACATGAAAGCTGTATTTTCCTACCTGTCTTCATGCAGAGATTTATTTTTGCTGTCAGAAGTGAAAATTCTCCCCGGTAGGTAGCAGGATTTGAAGCAAGGGAGAAAATGAAACATAGTCGGTCACAAAGTTGCATTTGTATTAGGAAAACATCATTTTGGCAGGAGAGATACTGTAATTTGTCCATCAGGTTAATCTTAGCAGTGAAAAGTCCTCATCAAATGGTGAAGACTTTAATATATGTCTTAGAAAGAGAGGTTGGCTGTGGATCTGTAACTGCTACAGGAGTGAAAAGAGACCCCAACAATCTGCAAGAACCTAATGGATGGAAATCATGACAAATTTGGAGAATGTATACTTAATTTTTTTTTCAGTGTTGGCCTATTCTTACTTTTAGCACCACGGCAGAACAAGTTTAAAAATGTTCATTTAGACTGCGGACTTAGGTATACTACAATGACGTTCTTTTAATCTCCCTATAGGTTGCTCACAGATACAGAAATAATCAGTGATTTTTCTTTCTCTTTCACTCTAATTATACTTAATATATTTTCTAAGCAGAAAGTAATCAACAGGGAGAAAATTCAAAACGACACACAAGAGCTAGAATTTTTTCTCAAACCTTTAAATGACATTCCAATTGAAACTATATTTAATGGCAAACGATTTCTAATTACACTCTGTAATTCTTGTCTCATTGAGGAGTTCTTCAGGAAAACTGTTTCCTGACACAGCCACAAAGGCCATGCTTTAAATGTTGGTACCCTCCTCGTGTTTAATTACCAGATATGGTGGTAGAGGTAAATGGCTCCAGAACACTGAGATTTTGGCTTCAATAAGGCTTCATGTTGTCCTTTCAAGGTGAGTACCAACTTCTTTGTATCCCCATGCTATTTGGCAGAGTGACAACTGGGTAGTGCATAGTCATGAAGCCTGGTTCTGCATATGAACACAAAGAATGCTGTTGTATTTTCACCTGTAGTAAAAAACAGTTTAAAAGTCCTATAAAGAAGCCAAATAGAATTTAAGAGCTCACTACATATTGCTAATTACAAACAAATTACACAATTCCTAGTTATTGATGATTTAAGAACCTTTGTAATAAGATTATATTCAGTGTCTCTAGCTCACCACAATTAGAAATTTTGCTTTGAGTAATGAAGTCTCCAGGGTGTGGTGGGAGGAGGACGGTCTATAGAAATATAATACATATGGCTGGTGCTGCCTCAAATGTACATAAACTGCCACTGCTTTATCAAATTGTAATATCTCCCCTTTCAAAATCTTAGACAGCTTGTGCACACCATCTGCTCTTTGTCTGTATTCCTTCTGTGCTTTTCTTAATCTAGAAGAATGGTTCTTGAAATTCTTACAGGACTCTTTAAAACGTTTGCCACATATTTTGAGAAGCATCTGGTTGGAAGAAGTCCCGCTTTCTGTATTTGTTCCCAGTTGTCTGGTGTGTGCCATGTTTCTCGTGAACCTAGTTTTGTTAACTTTCAGAGTAAATGCTTTTGCATTTGCTGCGGCACATATTTATGGTGAGACTAATAGCCCAAAGCAAGTTGTTAAGGGTTGTGTAAATGAAGACTCAGTGTCAGGAAAACTTGATTAATTTACCTGTCATCTAATTTGCACAAAGTTACCTGGAAATTGCTGTTTGTTTCTTTTGCTTGATGATTTCAAGATGAAGTTTGTCCCTTTAAGGAATCTTTGATACCTTGAATACTTGCTCAAACATCTGCTCTGGTTTCATCAGGGAGACTTTGGGATAGCTATAAGTCGCTTAGCTTTCCTTCAACAAACAAGGCACCTACCTGTCAGTAAGACAAATTTCCAAGGAACTAAAAAATGGAGAGTGTTACAAAGAAGCTCTGAATCTTAAAGGGACAGAACTTTCAGTTAAGTCAGCTATGGAAATTGTTACTGGCCACTTTTTATTCTTTTCATAGGTTTTTTGGGGGATATCAACATACATATGCTAAACATTTGAAATTTCAAAACATATAAAAATTAAGATCACACATAATCAATAGAAATAATCAATAACTAACACCTGTATGGTGCTTACTATGTATTACAACAAGAACTGTTCTAAGGCTTTACTCATATTAAGTCTTTTAACTCTCATGACGATTTCAATATGAGAAATCGTCATGAGAATTGAGATAGATCCCATCATGGCCTTAATTAAAGAGATAAGGACCAGAAGCACAGTTAAAATATTTGCCTACAGTCACTTGGCTAATAGGTGGCAAGCCTAAGATTCAAATGTAGGCAGTGTAATTTCAGAGTCTAACTTTTAGTTGCTATGCTGTACCATCAACACTCACTTACCACTGTTAACACTTACATGAAATTCTTTCCAGACTGCTTTCAATCAAGTTTTTAAGACAAGGTTGAGATCAGAGTATGTTTATTTATTTGTCTTAATTTTGTTTACTTAATTAATCTTGTAACAAGTTCCCTCCCACACTATTTACAGACTTATAGTAATTATTTTTCTTAGTCCATTTTGTGCTGCTATAACAGAATACCCGAGACTGGCTAATTTATAAAGAACAGAGATTTATTTCTTATAGTTCTGGAGGCTGGGAAGCCCAAGGTTGATGGGTTTGCATCTGACAAGGGCATTCTAGCTGCATCATCTCATGGGAGCAAGTGGAAGGGCAAAAGAGCATGCATGTGTGAGAGAGGTTGAGAGAAGGTGAGAGAGGGAGAGAGAGGGGGCCAAACTCATCCTTTTATCAGAAACCCACTCTCTCGATAATAGCATTAATCCCTTCATGAGGGCAAAGCCCTCATGATGTAATCACCTCTTGAAGGTCCCACCTCTCAACACTGTTGCTTTGGGGGTTAAAACCACAGCATCAAACCACAGAAGCATCTTTGGAAGAAAGACATTTTAATTGAGTAAAGCAAGTGCCCCCTACTTCATATATCACCTATTTACAAAAACTTGCTTTGTCTATTAAGCAGTAACATAGTATGGGAGAAAGAGCATGAGTGCCAAGTCAGTGCAAGTGAATTGGAGTAAATGATGGTGGGTAAATCCCTTAGCCTTTTTTAGTGACATTTTTCTCATTTATAAAATGGGTTAATGGTGTTGATAATTTGAAGTACAATGTTGTCATGACTACTAGAAGATATACGTGTGAAGGTACTTAGGCACTTGTATAACTACTTACAAATGTCAGTGATTACTTTTAATAACAGCAATAATAAATCAGCATATCCAACCTTGACTGACAATCTTTCAAGGGAATTCTTTCATAGGCAAAGGAGGAGATCAAAGAGGTTTGTCAAAGCGATGAACATAAAACATTGTCAGGAACTATTGAAGAATACTTTAGTAACGGTAATAGAAGCACTGGAAAGCACACACACATGCACACACACACACCCAACAGCATAAATAAGATTTTCATGTATTTCCTTTGAGACTTTTTCAATCAAGCTTTTTCTTTCAACTTGTCTTTTGGTTCCTTTCTAGTCTAAGATCAACACACTTTGCTAAATCAACTTCTTGGAACACTCCTCACTTTTAATTTGTTACTTGCCCTTCTACTTCATTTATCTTTTTTTTTTTTCAAAAAAAGAAAATTTTTTTACTTGCTTACTTAATTTCTCTCTTTTCTTATCTTGTCTTCACTTCCCAATGTCATTGATACATGAAGTGCTTCTATTGGTAGACAAACAAGGTCTTGGGGTTAGGGACTGGAAGCTTCTAGTGGACCTTTGAGAGATGCCTGTCCATTCCTGTTCTCTGCCTCCTCAAAGGACCATACCCAAGCAATTTCAGCTACAGAAGAATGGGCATTTGTTATTGCAGTCCACAGGGAAGAAGACTGAGACTCTTTGCTCCAACAGTACACTTGCATGCAAACTATAGCCACAAGAATCAACTCGATTAAATGCATTGCTTTGTAACTGACCTGGCTTAACCACTTTAGAAGAAGATAATATTCAAAATCTAATAAAATGATAAAGAAGTTGGATTATTTTTAAACTCTCAGTTCCTTCTGAAATTGGTTGGAAATATCTACAAAAATTGCAGGCAACGTTTTATATGAAACACTCTACTCTAATTCTTCAGTTTTTGCCATCTTTGGATATTGTCAGTAGTAGCTCAGCACATACTGAAATGTTTTTGTATTTTCTTTTAATTTGAGGTTTGGCACTTGCATTAGGAATCTTAGCAAGCCTGAATGGCAGCTCCAACTGAGGTGGAATACCTGTCTTGTAAAGTTGTTATGGATATATCCTTGAGAATATGAGAAAAGAAAGCCTACATTCTGAGAAGATATCACCAGTCCCTGCCCACTGCTTGAATCCGTGCTGTCCTGCCCAGAGAATGTACTATAGAAAATTCTGCAGTGGGCAAGTCTAGACAAAATATTTTTGGATGCTTTGAGCATATCACTCCAGATTAACTATTGCCAAGGGGTTAATTGGACTCAAAGATCCCTCCCCATGAGGTTTGAGAGTCTGTGATATAAATTCCATCTGTTTCTTGAAGCAGTTTATGGGTTTGGCAATATGAGATATTGGCCTGACAATTGTTTAAAAAATCCTTTTTAGCCTGATACAGGTAAAATTTTTTATAGCATCCAGATTTATTTTCTTCAACATCTAATTTTAAATTAGAAACCACTCCAGTCCTGTGTCTGGAATACAAAATTTATTCTGAATGTGAATACTGCATAGCCATCTTTTGACCAAAGAGGTATAACTTTCATACTGTAGTGGAGGAGTAGAACTTTCTTCATCCAATTTTATTGCTATGAGAATTGGAATGTTATAAATAGTGAAATCAGCCCTTCAGTATTTCTCAACTATACTTACTTTGTTTCAAGGGATTGTCTATGAACTGTCTTCAGTGGATTATAAGATCTGAGACACTCTCTTGGCTTATGTGACAGCATATATTCATTTTCCATGAATAAATTTCATACAGGTAAATCTAGGTTTAAAAAACAAAAGAAAAGACAAAATTAAAGGGGAAAAATTAGGAAAAGTTAGCCTACAGGAGGGTGAAAGTTGAAAAAGGGGAGAAGTCATTTCATTTCCTTGCCTTAATTATGGAAAGGAAGAATCTGCTTCCTTCTAACCCCTTCATCACTCACAATCCTAGCTTTTAATTTTACATGAGGATCTGCCTTGGCTATCTTCGTTCTCAGGTGGAGATTTCCTTCAGGTTTGTCTGCTTCAACCTCCTCTTGTTCTGTGAAACATTTGGCTTCTTTTCTCCAACTTTTATTTTAAGTTTAAGGGTACATGTGTAGGATGTGCAGGTTTGTTACATAGGTAAACATGTGCCATGGTGGTTTGCTGCACAGATCATCCCATCACCTTTACTTCCTGCTCCCACCTCCCCACCCTCTGATAGGCCCCAGTGTGTGTTGTCCCCCACCATATGTTCATGTGTTCTCATCATTCAGATTCTACCTATCAGTGAGAACATGTGGTATTTGGTTTTCTGTTCCTGTGTTAGTTTGCTGAGGATGATGGATTCCAGCTCCATCCATGTCCCTGCAAATGATATGATCTCATTCCTTTTTATGGCTGCATAGTATTCCATAGTGTATATGTACTACATTTTCTTTATCTAGCCTGTTACTGAAGGACATTTAAGTTGGTTCCATGCCTTTGCTATTGTGAATACTGTTGCAGTGAACATACACCTGCATGTATCTTTATAATAGAATGATTTATATTCTCTTGGGTATATACCAAGGAATGGGATTGCTGGGTCAAAAGCTATTTCTGTCTTTAGAACTTTGAGGAATCAATACAATGTCTTCCACAATAGTAAAACTAATTTACACTCATACCAATAGTGTATATGCATTCATTTTTCTCCACAACCTCACCAGCGTGTTTTGTTTTGTTTTTTACTTTTTAATAATAGCCATTCTGATTGGTGTGAGAGAGCATCTCATTGTGGTTTTGATTTGCATTTCTCTAATGATCAGTGATGTTGAGATTTCTTTCATGTTTGTTGGCTGCATGTATGTCTTCTTTTGAGAATTGTCTGTTCATGTCCTTTATGTACTTTTTAATGGTTTTTTTTTCTTGTAAATTTAAGTACCTTGTAGATGCTGGAAGTTAGAACTTTGTCAGATAGATAGATTGAAAAATTTTTCTCCCGTTCTGTAGGTTGTCTGTTCACTCTGATAATAGTTTGTTTTGCTGTGTAGAAGCTCTTTAGTTTAATTAGATCCCAATTGTCAATTTTTGCATTTGTTGCAATTGGTTTTGGCATCTTTGTCATGAAATCTTTGCCTATGCCTATGTCCTGAATGGTATTGCCTAGATTTTCTTCTGGGTTTTTTTTTTTTTTTTTTTTTTATTCGAGACAGAGTCTCGCTCTGTCTCCCAGGCTGGAGTGCAGTGGCACAATCTCGGCTCACTGCAAGCTCCGCCTCCCGGGTTCACACCATTCTCCTGCCTCAGCCTCCCGAGTAGGTGGGACTACAGGCGCCCACCACTGCACCTGGCTAATTTTTTGTATTTTTAGTAGAGACGGGGTTTCACTGTGGTCTCGATCTCCTGACATCGTGATCTGCCCACCTCAGCCTCCCAAAGTGCTGGGATTACAGGCGTGAGCCACCACGCCCGGCCTCTTCTGGGTTTTTTATAGTTTTGGGTTTTACATTTGAGTCTTTAAGCCATCTTGAGTTGATTTTTGTATATGGTGTAAGGAAGGGGTCCAGTTTCAATTTCTGCATATGGCTAGTCAGTTCTCCCAGAACTGACTATTCTTAAATAGGGAATCCTTTCCCCATTGCTTGTTTTTGTCAGGTTTGTTAAAGATCAGATGGTCATAGGTGTGTGGTCTTATCTGGATTCTCTATTCTCTCTCATTATTCTTGTACCAGTACCATGCCATTTTGGTTACTGTAGGCTTGTAGTAGCCTACAGTAGGATTTGACATCAGGTAGCATGATTCCTCTAGCTTTGTTCTTTTTGCTTAGGATTGCCTTGGCTATTTGTGCTGTTTGTTGGTTCCATATGAATTTTAAAATTTTTTTCTACTTCTGTGAAAGATGTCAATGGTAGTTTAGTGGGAATAGCATTGAATCTATAAATTGCTGTGGGCAATATGGCCATTTTCACAATATTGATTCTTCCACTCCATGAGCATTGAATGTTATTCCATTAGTTTGTGTCATCTCTGATTTCTTTGAGCAGTGGTTTGTAGTTATCCTTGAAGAGGTCTTTCACTTTCCTTGTTATCCGTACTCCTAGGTATTTTATTCTTTTTTGTGATAACTGTGAATAAGAGTTCATTCATGATTTGGCTCTTGGCTTGGCTTGTTCATGTATAGGAATGCTAGCAATTTTTGCACATTGATTTTGTATCCTAAGACTTTGCTAAAGTTGTTTATCAGGTTAAGAAGCTTTTGGGCTGAGATAATGTGGTTTTCTAGATATAAGATTATGTCATTGGTAAACAAAGATACTTTGACTTCCTGTCTCCCTATTTGAATACTCTTTATTTCTTTTCTTGCCTCATTGCCTTGGCCAGAACTTCCAATATTATGTTGAATAGGAATGGTGAGAGAGGGCATCCTTGTCTTCTGCCTCTTTTTAAGGGGGATGCTTCCAGCTTTTGCTCATTCAGTGTGATATTGGCTGTGTGTTTGTCATATATGGGCCTTATTATTTTGAGGTATATTCCTTCAATACCTAGTTTATTGAGAGTTTTTAACATGAAGAGATGTTGATGTTGAAGGCCTTTTCTGCATCTACTAAGATAATCATGTAGTTTTTGTCTTTAGTTCTCGTCATGTGATGAATCACATTTATTGATTTGCATATGTTGAACCAACTTTGCATTACAGAGATGAAACCTACCTGATCATGAGGGATAAGCTTTTTGATGTGTTGCTGGATTTGGTTTGCCAGTATTTAATTGAGGGTTTTTGCATTGCTGTTCATCAAGGATATTGGCCTGAAGTTTTCCTTTCTTGTTGCATCTCTGCCAGGTTTTGGTATGTAGATGTTGCTGTGCTCATAGAATGAGCTAGGGAGGAGTCCCTGTTTTCCAATTTTCTGGAATAGTTTCAGTAAAAATGGTACCAGCTCTTCTTTGTACCTCTGGTAGAATCCAGCTGTGAATCCATCTGGTCCTGGGCTTTTTTTTTTTGTTGTTGGTAGGCTATTTATTACTGCCTCAATTTCAAAACTCATTATTGGTTTACTCAGGGATTCAATTTATTCCTGGTTCAGTCTTGGGAGGTTGTGTGTTTCTAGGTATATATTCATTCCTTCTGGATTTTCTAGTTTATGTGCACAGAGGTGTTCATAGGATTCTCTGGTGGTTGTTTGTATTTCTGTGAGGTCAGTGGTGATATTCCCCTTATCATTTCTGATTGTGTTTATTTGATTCTTCTCTCTTTTCTTCATTTATTAATTTACTTTCTATTTTTATTAATTTTACCCTAAAAACAGCTCCTGGATTCATTAATTTTTGAAGGTTTTTTTGTGTCTCTATCTCTTTCAGTTCCACCCTAATCTTGGTTATTTCTTGTCTTCTGCTACCTTTGGGTTTTGTTTGCTCTTGGTTCTCTAGTTCTTTCAGTTGTGATGGTAGGTTGTTGATCGGAGATCCTTCTAGCTTTTTGATGTGGACATTTAGTGCTATAAGTTTCCCTCTTGAAACTACTTTAGCTGCATCCAAAATATTTGGTACATTGTATCTTTGTTCTCATTAGTTTCAAAGAACTTCTTGATTTCTGCATTAATTTCATTCTTTACCCAAGAGTCATTCAGGAGCAGGTTGTTCAATTTCCATGAACTTGTGTGTTTTTGAGTGAATTTCTTAAACTTGAGTTCTAAATTGATTGTCCTGTGGTCTGAGAGACTGTTTTGTATTATTTCAGTCCTTTTGCATTGGCTGAGGAGTGTTTTACTTCTGATTATGTGATCAATTTTAGAGTAAGTGCTGTTGGGTGATGAGGAGAATGTATATTCTGTTGTTTTGGGGTGGAGAGTTTTGTATATACTTATCAGGTCCACTTGATCCAGAGCTGAGTTCAATTCAACAATATCTTTATTAATTTTCTGTCTCGATGATCTGTCTAATATTGTCAATGGGGTTTTACAGTCTCCCACTATTATTGTGTCGAAGTCTAAGCCTCTACAAAGGTTTCTAAGAGCTTGCTTTATAAATCTGGGTGCTCCTGTATTGGGTGCATATATATTTAAAATAATTAGCTCTTCTTGTTGAATTGAATCCTTTACCACAATGCACTTCTTTATCTTTTTTCATCTCTGTTGGTTTAAAGGCTGTTTTGTCAGAAACTAGAGCTGCAACCCATGCTTTTTTCTTTTTTTCATCTGCTTGGTAAATTCTCCTCAATCCCTTATTTTGAGTCTATGTGTGTCTTTGCATGTGAGATGAGTATCTTGAAGACAGCATACTGATGGGTCTTGGTTCTTTATCCAGCTTGCCATTCTATGTCTTTTAATTGGGTTGTTTAGCCCATTTATATTTAAGGTTAGTATTGTTATGTGTGAATTTGATCCTGTCATCATTATGCTAGCTGGTTATTCTGCAGACTTGTTTATGTGGTTGCTTCATAGTATCACTGGTCTGTGTACTTCAGTGTGTTTTTGTAGTGGCTGGTAATAGTTTTTCCTTCCACATTTAATGCTTCCTTCAGGAGCTGTTACAAGGCAGGTCTGGTGGTGATGAATTCCTTCAGCACTTACTTGTCTGAAAAAGATCTTATTTCTCCTTTACTTATGCAGCTTAGTTTGGCTGGATATGAAATCTGATTTAGAAATTCTTTTCTTTAAGAATGTTGAATATTGGCCTTCAATCTCTTCTGGCTTGTAGGGTTTCTGCTGAGAGGTCTGCTGTTAGTTTGATGGGCTTCTCTTTGTAGGTGATCTGGACTTTCTCTCTGGCTGCCCTTAACAAATTTTCTTTCATTTTGACCTTGGGGAATCTGATGATTATGTGTCATGGGGTTCATCTTCTTATGGAGTATCTTACTGGGGTTCTCTGCTTTTCCTGGATTTGAACGTTGGCATCTCTTGCTAGGTTGGAGAAGTTCTGCTGGATGATGTCTTTAAGTATGTTTTTCAACTTGTCTCTATTCTGCTCATCTCTTTCAGGTACCCCAGTCCATCATAGTTTTGATCTCTTTGCATAATCCCATATTTCTTACAGGTTTTCTTCATTCCTTTTCATTCTTTTTTCTGTATTCTTGTCTGACTGTCTTATTTCAGAAAGATAATCTTCAAGCTCTGAGATTCTTTCCACTGCTTGGTCTATTCTGCTATTAATACCTGTGATTGCATTTTCAAGTTTTTGTAGTGTGTTCCTCATCTCAGGTCAGTTATGTTCCTCTCTTAACTGGCTATTTTGGCTGTCAGCTCCTGTATTGTTTTATCATGATTCTTAGCTTCTTTGCATTGGGTTACAACATGCTCCTTTAGCTCAGTGAAGTTTGTTATTATGCATCTTCTGAAGCCTTCTTCTGTCATTTTAGCTATCTCATCCTCAGCCCAGCTCTGAGCCCTTGCTGGAGATGTGTTATGGCCACTTGGAAGAGAAGGCGAACTGTGCTTTTTTGAGTTTTCAGTGTTTTTGTGTTGATTCTTTCTCATTGTTTGGGCTTATCTACCTTTGATCTTAAGGTTGCTGACTTTCAAATGGGGTTTTTGTGGGGTCTCTTTTGTCATTGTTGTTTTCTCTTTGTTTGTTTTTCTTTTAACAGTCAGGGCATTCCTCTGTAGAGCCATTGTGGTTTTCTGGAGGTCCATTCCAGACCCTAGTTGCCTCAGTTTTTCCCATACCTGGAGGTATCACCAGTGAAGCCTGTGAAACAGCAAAAATGGTAGCCTGCTCCTTCCTCTAGAACCTCTGTCTCAGGGGCGTATTGACCTGTTGCCAGCCCAAACACACCTGTAGGAGTTGGCTGGAGACCCCTATTGGGGGGTCTCACTTAGGAGGAACAGGATCAGTGTCCCACTTAAATAAGCAGTTTGGCTGCTTTTTGGTAGAGCAGGTGTGCTGTGCTGAGCTCTCCAGGGCTCACAGGCTAGACTAACTGAGAAACCCAAACAGTCAAGGTGTTGGCCTGCCCAATTTTCACCCCTGCCCCCTTGCCCCCAGCATTCCATCCCAGAGGGAAATTAGAACTGTGTTGGCTGTAGAACATGGGCAGAGGAAGCTCGAGGCCCCAGCTGGGAGATCTTGCCAATAAGGAGAAGTGGATTGAGGTCCTGCTTAAAGAAGCCTGGCCACAATCTGGCAAAGCAGCTGTGCTGTACTGGGGGAATGCTTTTTTGTCTGAACTCTTTGGACTCTCCAAAGCTGCCAAACTGTAACAACTGAATCAACCAAACAGCAGAGATGATGACCTGACCCTCCCCACAGGGGGTCCATCCCAGGGAGAGATCAGAGCTCCATTTGTAGAAAACTCACTGAGGTGGCTGAACCTCCAGCAGGGAGGGGTAAGTAAGGAGGACTTGTATTGGGTAAGGAGGAATGGATGGGGTTCCCACTTAGAGAAGCAGTCTGGCCATGATGTGGCAAAATGACTGTGCTGTGTTGGGGGGGACCCTTCCTCATCTGGACCATTTGGACTCTCCAAAGCCAGCAGGTTGGAACAGCTGAGTTGACTGGATGGCAGAGATGGTGGATAAACCTCCCCCAAGGGGTTCCATCCCATCTCAGGCAGACTCTACTCTGTTGCTGTTGACTGGCTGGAATTCCAGTCCGGTGGGTCTTACCTTGTGAGATGCCATGGAAGTGGGGCCCACAGAATGCTTCTTGGGTACCTGGATTCAGCCCCCTTCCTAGGAGTATGTACAGACCTCTTGCCTTGACTGAGTTGCAGACATGTTTGTTGGGAATCCCAGATCCAGGGTATGTGAAGATCCTGGGGCTCTGTGTGTGCCGGAGCAGCTGCTCTGCCAAGACTCCATGCAGCTCTGTGTGTCAGACCCAAGGTGCTGGTGGCATGGGTTTACAAGAGGATCTCCTGATCCATGGTTTTCAAAGATCCATGGGAGAAGCATGGTTTCCCCGGTGGGGTCACTCACTGCTTCCCTTCACTGGGGGTTAGGGTTCCCTTGGCTCCATGTTGCTCCCAGATGGGCCATTGTCCTCCTCTGCTTTTCTTCATTCTCCATGGCTCAAGTTGTTGGCCTAATGAGTCCCAGTGTGAGAATCTAGATATTTCAGTTGAAGGTGCTGTATTCACTCACCCCTTTTATTCCTCTCCATGAGTGCTATAGACCACAGCTGCTTCTATTCAGCCATCTTGGTCAACTCCCTGCACCATTTGACTTTTTATCATGACTTCTCTTCTCTTATATAGACCTGTTTGGTCACAATAGATCTATGTAAGATAAGATTTCAGATTATAAATCTTTGTTCTTACTTGGATTCTCTTTAAATTTTATTTTGAATTTAATAACTTCATTTGGCTTCACTTACCACCATTGCTGGCAAGGGGCTCTGTCCCTGCAAATCTTCACCAACTACCTGGGAAGCTTGCTATCTAGACCCAAATCAACTTTTAGGCTTCACTTATATGAAGAGGGAAATTGAACATTCATGAATCATTGAACTCTCAGAGAAACAAAACTGTTAGGCCAATTAGCTATGCTCTATGTTCACCTGCGTTTCCACTCAGAACATTCTTCCAGCTCTCCATCATCTCCTGCAAATCTCTTTCTCACTAGCCATCACTGGCCTGCATGTTCTTTAAATGTCACCTTAGTCCCCCCTCTTTCCTAGCTCCCCCTGTGAGATGGCAGCTTGATTTCAGACTGTTGTGCTGGGTCTTGGTTAATATCCCTTTGAGGTGGTGTTTTTGTAAATACCTCCATGAAAAGGCCACAGGGCCATGACACCAATGATGGCTTTGGTTTCCTTACAACTTTAGATACCAATTGAATATGTGTTCTTTTGCTGGTTAACTAACAAACATAGGGTTGACAGTCATATGGCAGGTTCCTGACTCTAGATTAAAGTGATGATATACTCCAGGGCACTGATTCTATGTGATCAGCTGCATCTGGTTTGAGCAGACATTAAACTTTCAAGTGGCAGGAATTTTCATATGGCCATCATCCACTATACTGACTGGCATGCATAATGTCAATTGAATGGCTTCTGAATGAATAAACACACATTGAGGATAGTTTGAGGGCATATGTAAAACTTTAGACTTACTCCACATTCTATCAAAAGCTCAACTGTGAATTAATAAGAAGATAAAATTGAAGTTTCAACCAAGAAAAAACTGAGACATGTCAGACATCAAAGTGACTATGAACAGATCTCTGTATGTGACATTACAATTATATTGAAATTATACCTGGGATTTAATTTTTAGAGGTATTACTGAGTGATGACACAGAGAGGCCAGTGCTGTTGAAGAAGATTTTTATTATATTTCCTGAGAAAGAGGGGCATGCCATGCCATGCAGAGCCACAGGGGAAGCATTCAGTTTTGGTCCAGAGGCAGAAAGCAGGTGCAAGGGGAAAGCTTGTGCCACAGTAGTCTCCAGTGTCCAGCTGCTTCTTGTCTTCTCTTCTTCTCTGCCAGCTGAGCCTGGGGTTTTTATGGGCACAGGATGGGGGTTGGGGTGGCCATGGGTAGTTTTGGAAAAGACAGCATTAGAGCAGGAAAACAGGGATGTGAGTGCTCAATTTGGGCCATGGTATTAGGCTTTTCAGTTTGAGGATGGGGCTCTTGCCAGGGACCTTCCCTCCCAGAATTTCTCTGCCACCTGTCCCTATCAGAGAGATGCTACAAGACACCTTGCTTGTAGCATCTTGCTGAAGGTATTCACAGAAGACTGGTGCCAGACTTATGTCTGAGCAAACTAAAACATCCTGTGTCCTCTTTGTCAGTACAAAGAAATGAGTAGACTCTGCTGTGGAGCAGATGTAGGTCAGACAGAAAAGATAGCAAGGATGATATAATCTTAGGTCCTGTCCAATATGGCTACCTGGAAAAGAGTAGGTCCCTAGTTGTGAGAAGTTCCAGGTGAGCCCTGAAATCCTAGGGGCTGAAGAATGCATTTCAAGGGATCACCCAAAATAGACATACATCTACCCAGGTCAAGAGAACTGCAGGAGAGGGAACCTGAGTGATGGAAGCTGCCAAATCTCCACTGAAAAAAGCTTTAAATATCTGCCAGTCCTAGGGAGCCTGAAGGCAGCGTATGAGAATATCTGTTCAAAAAACCCTTTATTTATTTCTTAAAACTTCTTCTTTTCCCTATTTTACCCTGAAAGTTTCCAGAAATGGTTAGCAAGCTAGGCAAGATGGAGATTGAGTACAGAAGGGTAGAGAAACCATCATTTCTCTCCATTTCTACTGCAAGTTTCTAACATGAAGTGTATTAGAAACCTAGTTCTGATTAACTTCCTGGCAGAACGTTTTTAATTTCTGAGTTAAGGCTATGTTTTTTATTTAAAATGACTGCATCACTGTCCATTCTCCAAGAGCCAGCTGAAAAGTAATAAGACATGCCCAAGTTTTCATCAAGGGATGGGAAACAATCAACAGAGGACACAAGGAAATATTCTGCCATATAAAACAGCTATAGTGCCTTAACAGAGCTGAGAAAAAACATACTTTTGAAAAGATTTGCCACAGTGAAGAGAAGAAACTTGTAAAAGTTTCTGTTTTGTGTTTTAAATACAAAAATCAAGGAAACACTGTCTTTTTGAATGCATAATATTCCTTGAAAAAACAGTAAGTTGGGTTGTAGATTAAGAGGGGTAAGAAACCAGTGAATCCACTAAATAATCATGGAATTAAAGTATCAAAAGAACATCTAAAGAACCACATTCACATTACAGAAAACAGAATCACTGAGATAGAAGACTAACTTAAAGCACCCTTGCAGAATGCTGAGAAAAGACAGCAACAATGTCTATGGTTAATAAGACCTTACTGAACACAAAACACATTACAGAGGAAGAAACTGAGACTTGGCAAGGTCACCAAGCATGCCCAGGCAAACAGCCAGTCAGGGACAGAGCAGAACCCAAACTCAAATTTGTCAGACTCCAAAGCATGTCTGTTTACTATTACACAGTGCTAAGTACAAAGACCTGACAATATTTAGATCTGAAGGAGAGTGAATGAAGGGCCAACTCACAGATGACAGGTGTTTAAAGGGAAAAAAGCAGAACAAATTGAGCATTAAAAAAACATAAAAATAAAATAGAATAGTATAGTTTGAAGTTAGGTAGCATGATGCCTCCAGCTTTGTTCTTTTTGCTTAGGATTGATTGTCTTGGCTCTACACGTTCTTTCTTGGTTCCATATGAAATTTAAAGTAGTTTTTTCTAGGTCTGTGAAGAAAATGAATGGTGCTTGATGGGAATAGCATTGAATCTACAAATTACTTTGGGCAGTATGGCCATTTTCATGAGATTGATTCTTCCTATCCATGAGCATGGAATGTTTTTCCATTTGTTTGTGTCCTCTCTTATTTCCTTCAGCAGTGGTTTGTAGTTCTCCTTGAAGAGGTCCTTCATGTCCCTTGTAAGTTGTATTCCTAGGTATTTTCTTTTCGTGTCTTTTTTTTTTTGAGACGGAGCCTCGCTCTTTCGCCCAGGTGGGACTGCAGTGGCGTGACCTCGGCTCACTGCAAGCTCCACCTCCCAGGTTCATGCCATTCTCCTGCCTCACCCTCCCAAGTAGCTGGGACTACAGGCACCCATTACCATGCCCAGCTAATTTTTTGTGTTTTTAGTAGAGACGGGGTTTCACCGTGTCAGCCAAGATGGTCTCAATCTCCTGACCTCCTGATCCGCCCACCTTGGCCTCCCAAAGTGCTGGGATTACAGGTGTGAGCCACCGCGCCCAGCCATACCTAGGTATTTTTTTCTTTGTAGCAATTGTGAATGGGAGTTCACTCATGATTTGGCTCTCTGCTTCTCTGCTGTCAGTGTATAGGAATGCTTGTGATTTTTGCACATTGATTTTGTATACTGAGACTTTGCTGAAGTTGCTTATCAGCTTAAGGAGATTTTGGGCTGACATGATGGGGTTTTCTAAACATACAATCATGTTGTCTGCAAACAGAGACAATTTGACTTCCGCTTTTCCTATATGAATACTCTTTACTTCTTTCTCTTGTCTGATTGCCTGACTGGAATTTCCAATACTATGTTGAATAGGAGTGGTGAGAGAGGGCATCCTTGTCTTGTGCCGGTTTTCAAAGGGAATGCTTCCAGCTTTTGCCCATTCAATATGATATTGGCTATGGGTTTGTCATAAATAGCTCTTATTATTTTGAGATATGTTTGTATACTACAAGGCTACAGTAACCAAAACAGCATGGTACTGGTACCAGAAGAGATAAATAGACCAATGGAACAGAACAGAGGCCTCAGAAATAACACCACACATCTACAACCATCTGATTTTTGACAAACCTGACAAAAACAATCAATGGGGAAAGGATTCCCTATTTAATAAATGGTGCTGGGAAAACTGGCTAGCCATATGCAGAAAAGAGAAACTGGACCCCTTCCTTACACCTTATACAAAAATGAACTCAAGATGGATTAAAAATTTAAACGTAAACTCTAAAACCATGAAAACTCTAGAAGGAAACCTAGGCAATATCACTCAGGACATAGGCATGGACAAAGATGTCATGACTAAAACACCAAAAGCAATAGCAACAAAAGCCAAAATGGGTGAATGGGATCAAATTAAACTAAAGAGCTTCTGCACAGCAAAGGAAGCTATCATCAGAGTTAACAGGAAACCTACAGAATGGCAGAAAAATTTTGCAATCTACCCATTTGACAAAGGTCCAATATCCAGAATCTATGAGGGACTTAAATAAATTTACAAGAAAAAAACAACTCCACCAAAAAGTGAGCAAAGGATATGAACAGACACTTCTCAAAAGAAGACATTTATGCGGCCAAGAAAAATATGAAAAAAAGTTCATTGTCACTGGTCATTAGAGAAATGCAAATCCAAGCCACAATGAGATACCATCTCATGCCAGTTAGAATGGCGATCATTAAAAAGTCAGCAAACAACAGATGCTGGAGAGGATGTGAAGAAACAGGAACACTTTTACACTGCTGGTGGGAGTATAAATTAGTTCAACCATTGTGGAAGACAGTGTGGCAATTCCTCAAGGATCTAGAACCAGAAATACCATTTGACCCAGCAATCCCATTACTGGGTATATACCCAAAGGATTATAAGTCATTCTACTATAAAGAGACATACACACATATGTTTATTGCAGCACTATTCACAATAGCAAAGACTTGGAACCAACCCAAATGTCCATCAGTGATAGACAGGATAAAGAAGTTGTGGCACATATACACCATGGAATACAATGCAGACATAAAAAAGATTGAATTTATGTCCTTTGCAGGTTCATGGATGAAGCTGGAAACCATCATTCTCAGCAAACTAACACAGGAACAGAAAACTAAACACCGCATGTTCTTACTCATAAGTTCAAGTTGAACAATGAGAACACATGGACACAGGGAGAGGAATATCACACACTGGGGCCTGTTGGCAGGTCAGGGGAAAGGGGAGAGAGAGCATTAGGACAAATACCTAATACATGTGCGGCTTAAAACCTAGATGATGGGTTGATAGGTGCAGCAAACTGCCATGGCACATGTATACCCATGTAACAAACCTGAACCTTCTGCACATATATCCCAGAACTTAAAGTAAATTAAAAAAAAATAGAATAAAGCTTTCCTCAACTGGATAAAAAGTTAATTCTCCAAATGAAATGATCTTATCCAGATAGAGCATTGGGCAATTGATCTAAAAAATATAACAACTGTTTCTTTATACAGAAGTGGGGGTGAGAAATATGAAAATAGGTAAAGAATTGGCAAAAATGGTAGTGTTTCCTTCTATTAAGCATGTGGTGAAACAAGTATTCCCATTCACAGAAGTATCAGGTAATATATAAATTATTGATCCTAATAAAATAATCTAAAATGCAAGCATGAAATCACGTGAAGACAGACATTAATTTTATAATCAGAAAAGATATTAAATATATAAAAAAGTTTACAAATGTAAGCAGAATTAAAATAACATTTAAATATTTAGTGTAGATTATTAAAATACAAAAAATACTTGCTTCCTATTCATACAGCCTCGTGTCTGAGGCTTTCTTTTCATTGATGGAAAATATTGTAGTATCCCCACAAAAATTCTAATAGAAAACTCTAAACACATTTTACATATAAACTAACAAACAGAGTAGGCCTGTGTTGAGGTTGGCAATATTCTTTGAATTCTTTGATATAACCCTGGAGAAGCAGGATAGGGCAACAGATGGTGACTGGTCTCTAAGACAGAAGAGGTGAGTTCTACTGTAGTTCTGCTATTTACTGTCTTATGCTGTGCAAGTCAGTTTCTCTCTCTAAACCATATACCTATTCTAGGATACCCTCAGTAAATATTTCTTGCCCAAGTCAGTTGGCAAAGCCACATAAGTATTAAATGTTGGAACAAGGAAGGCTTTGTTGAGCCAGGATGCCTGGCAGATAATCAGAACATTTAGAAAAGGAGGAAATTCCAATTAGTGGAAACAGTGAGAAGAAAAGGAATGGAGTTCAGACCACATGGGAAGCTGGCTTTTCCTAGCCAGTACAGACAGAATATAAACAATAGAATAATATCTCAACTTTTTTTTTTTTTTTTTGAGGCAGTGTCTCACTTGGTCACCTAGGCTGCAGTGTTGTGCAATCATGGATCACTGCAGCCTTGACCTCCTGGGCTCAAGTGATCCTCCAGCCTCAGCCTCCTGAGTTGCTAGAACTACAGGTGTGCACCCCCATGCCCAGATAATTTGGTTTGTTCTTTGTAGAGACAGGGTCTCACTATGTTACCCAGGCTGGTCTTGAACTTTTGGATCCTCCTGCTTCGGCCTCTCAAAATGCTAGGCTTACAGGTGTGAGCCACTATACCTGGCTGACAATATAACATCACAGCTTTCCATCACAATTCAGTTTTATAATCTAATTAGTTATACATATTCTTATTTGGCTCTCCTGAAGATCTTGGAAATTTGGAAGAACTGGTATCATTATTCTCCAAATAAAATGACTCAGGGACAAGTAATATTAGATATTCTTTCCTAAGCAAGTTGAAGTTCAGGAAATTAAATTAGGGAAATCATAGTAAACTGATGGAAGATAATGAAAACAATAGAAACCAGTTTAAACTCAGAATTGAAGTGATGGAGATTCAGTGTTAAATCCCAGAGAAATTATTGACAGAGGAGGAGGTAATGTAGGTTTACATAAAAAATATTTACGTACTGAGGCTGGATAATGGTAAATGAAAAAGACAATCCTGGGCCGGGCGTGGTAGCTCATGCCTGTAATCCCAGCACTTTGGGAGGCCGAGGCGGGTGGACCACCTGAGGTCAGGAGTTCAAGACCAGCCTGGCCAACATGGTGAAACCCCATCTCTACTAAAAATACAAAAAATTAGCCGGGCTTGGTGATGGGTGCCTGTAATCCCAGCTACTCAGGAGGCTGAGGCAGGAGAATCCCTTGAACCCGGGAGGCGGAGGTTGTAGTGAGCCGAGATTGTGCCACTGCTCTCCAGCCTGGGCAAGAAGAATGAAACTCCATCTCAAAACAAACAAACAAACAAACAAGCAAACAAAAAAAATCTCCAAACAGCATTTTCGAAACTGGGTGGTAAATTTATTTCCCACAGTTTGGAAAGCATGACTAAAACAATTAGAACCATTCAAAGAGGAAATTGACTTGGCAATGTTCCAAACCTTAGAGGTTGATGATATGGAAGATTTCACTTCTACCTCAAAGCAAGACCACACCTCAACCATTTTATACAGGGTAAAAATCTTCTCCAAGAAGACATTAAGAGGAGATTTCTAAACTTTATACACTTCACATCTTTGTTGGGCCAAGATGAAACAGAATAATTTGGAGTCTGTCTGTTCTGACTGAGCTCACCCAAGTCGGGGCTCAGAAACCAGCTCAGATTATGGTTAATGTTGGATACCAGACCTCTGTCAAACTAAAAGGGTCCTGGTGGAAGCTCCAGAGCAGGGCAGGCTGGGCCTTATCTCTGGCTCCTATAGGCACAACTGAGTCTTTTGCATGTTTATAAGGACAGCCTCAGGTATCTGAGGCCCTCTTTTTCCTAGTCAAGGGCTCCTCCACCCACTTGAAAGGTATTTTAGACATCTGAGGCAAATGTGCAGTTGTTTAATTCCACAACTGATCAGAGAATGTCAGGCAGTGTAAACATATTTTGAAAATGTTTATTTTATTTCTTTAAACACATATATATTTGCACTTGTAGAAAAATGTTAATAGAAGTCAAATAAGTTTTTTAATGAGTTTTAATAATGTAAATACACCTACCTATACGCAAAAACTGCACACACACAGAGATTTACCAGAAAGAGGGCCCATTTTATTTGCTAAATGGGCATGTGCTCAAAGACCTGTGAAGTCATTTCCCTTTTCTGGATTAATTTGGGGGCTAGAAAGGGTGAGATCCAGTGGGGTCATGCCACCCATGAAATCCTTGCCTAATGGTAAGAGAATTTCCTCAGTTTCTTTTTCTAACCAGGAACTTTCCAAGCAGGTGATATGCCAACCAAGTTTCTCTTTTCCACTTGGATTGCTCATATACTTCATTCAACAGTCTCTAGAATCATCTTGATCATCATTTGAATCAACAGTCTCCTCATTTATCGCTCCTGGGTGAGGAAATACTCTTCTTAGCAGTAGATTCATTTTGTTTTGTTCAACATCTAGGCGATGCCATAATCTTGTTTGATGTGTAGAATTAAGTAGCCGAGCAACAGGTTTCCTTCTTTCTGATGATCCAATGGGTCCATTTGAGGTTTCTCAAGTTATTACATGTTGCTTCGTATTTCCTTAAAAGCACCATGTATCCCACACTTAATCATAGTACAAAGATTGACAATCTCCTTGGAAATTCTTTAATTACATGGAAGTTTTATGATATATCAGTGCTCTGAAAAGTTTTCAGGCAGAAATTCTGTTATTTCTGATAATTAAACATATTGTTATGTAAGAGATGACAAATAGATGGAAGTAAATGTGGGTTTTTTTCTGTTTTTGTTTGTTTGTTTGTTGTTGTGTGCTTGTTTCTGGATAACTTTACTCGAGCAAGAGTACATACAGATGTAGAATCATCTAAATGTTTGGAGACAGTTTTTATGGTTTTTATAACTTTTTCCAAACTTTCCATTTCCCCCCAAACACAAATAAATTCCAAATTATTAGCCTCTGTTGTAAGAAAACTGTCAGTTTTTGCTTTTTTTCCTTTGTATGAGAGGCTCTTTCCTTCTGCATGTATACCCTTTCAAAGAAATTATCACTGTCTATATTGTATTTGGCTACAAGTGTAATGCTCTGCATGGCAGCATAAATAGGTGGAGTTGATCAGCCATTATTTTTATTGTGTCAGATTTTTTCATGTTTACCCTACTCCTTTTTGAGGAATATGGTACCTTTGTCATTGTTTTCTTGGCAGTAATATAGAATGATAAAGAGAATATTAGAACAAGAACCAGGAAACCAGTTTTCCTTCAGGTTCTGCCATTACCAATCTAGACAAATTTCAGGGGAATCACTCAACCCTAATTGTGTCACAATTCTCTCATCTGCAAAATGAGAGTGTTGAACTAGATTTTTTCAGAAACCCAATTCTATGAGTGCACAGTCTCAAACCACTTTTTGTTTACACATTTGTGCTCTAGCAAGTTTGAAGTTACTCTTTTAATAACTGAGAGGATAAAAGTAACATCTTTTTGTTGGAATTTCAGAAAATTATAGAAAAATAAAAGAATATAATTTAAATACTAAATATCAACCTTATACCAACCAGGGATTATTACTGTCAGTGTTTGTTACATTGGTTGCCAGTGTGTTTCTTTTGCATATGCACATGTGTTTTAAACCTCCATTTTGTAAATATATAAACATATGTAATTATATTTTATAGATGAATAAAGATATATCTATAAAAACTTAATTATACTGTATATATGTCATAGCTTGTTGCTTTATTTCACTCATTATTATATTATGACCATATTTCTGTTTTGTTAAATGTTCTTCACAAATATTATTTTTAATGGCTAAAGTCTTTTCTTCTAGCACGATTCCCCAAAGACAGAAATGATCCAGTAAATTTTAGCTTTAATTATAATATTTCTATAAATATTTATTTTTAAGATACTTCCTATTTGGATACTTAAGTTGTTGTAATTTTTGCTACTATAAATGGTGCTGTGTGGAACATACTTGCATATGACTATTTGAGAACTTCTCCGATTACTGCTTCAGAAGAGTATGTGAGTTATCTTTTGCTACACAAATTACCCCAACATTTAGTGTATTAAAATAGTCATGAACATTTATCGCACAGTTTTTGTGGGTCAGGAATTTGAGAGGAGCTTAGCTGGGCGGGTGGTTCTGGTTCAAGGTGTCTTGAGAATTATAGTCAAGATGTCAGCTAGAGCTGCAGTCATCTGAAGGCTTGAATTGGGCTGGAGGATCTGCTTCCAATGTGGCTCACTTTCACTGACAGAAGGAAGGCCTTAATCCCTTACCTACTGGACTCTCCATGGCTATCTAAGTGTCTTCACAACATGAAGAGTGGCTTACATAGGGCAAGTAACCAAACAGAAAGCAAGGCAGATGCTGCAGTCTTTTATGACATAGGCTAACCTTAAAAGTCATGCTTCATAATTTTTTCAGTAACATCTTTGTTACACCTTATTCAATATGAGAGGGGTCCAGTCAAGGATGGACATGAACTTGAGGACATGAGAATCATTGGGGGGAAATCTTGGAGGCTGGCTACTGCAGATGAATTCTTAAAAATTCCATTATGGGGTCATATTAACAAGTGATTTTAGAAGAAAAAAATTTTAATGATCATATTGTTTAATATATATTTATTCATATGTAAACAAAATGTGCAATCTTATGTCCTTCAGTTCTATAGCCCTCTTGGTTTACCTTGCCCTTTTGTATGGATATTTAAAATGAATGGTTGAATCTCCTATATATACAGGGATATTCTGAGAAACTCAGAATTATTCTCCACCCAACAACCCAATGATTTTACAAGTTTTACTGTTTTGATCACCTTTTTCTGTAAATTTACAATTTCATTGACTTCTCTGTCTCTTCTCTGGATTTATTTTCCTGTAGTTGCTGTCCAATTCTCATTCTGCTTTGTTATACATAGGCTATGATCCCCATTATTATTTTATTTCAAGTATTTCAAATAAAAGATTGTTGTATATAGTCAATTTTTATTAAATATTTGGGGTAATGAGGACAATTATAGTCCCATATGGTATTTAAAAATAACTCAAAGTTTAATAGTAAACATTGCCATCCCAAAATTGTATTGACTGTGTCTCCTCTCAAGAGATTTACTGCTTGCTATTACCTTAAGCTCAAATTTACAACTTCTTGTTTTTTTCCTTCCCTATTGCTTACTTACATGTCTTCTGTTTATTCTTGAGTCCTATCCTCAGTTTGTTTGAGAAAACTAAAATTTGTTTGCTTCATTATGCAGAATAATTCAGTTCTGTTTCTAGCATAGCATTTTCTTCCAAATTTTCTTATAGAAAGTTACACCTTTGACACCCAAGAGGTCTATAAATACTTTTTAAAGATGCTAAATGTAGGCCCCCAATCTCTTCTGGTTTGTAAGGTTTCTGCTGAAAGGCCCACAGTTAGTCTGAAAGGGTTCCCTTTGTATGTGACCTGCCCCTTCTCTTTGATTGCCTTTAAAATCTTTTTCTTTCCATTGACTTTGGAGAATCTGATGACTGTGTCTTGGGGATGGTTGTCTTGTATAGCATCTCATAGGGTCTTTGGAATTTCCTGAATTTGCATGTCATTATCTCTAGCGAGGTTGGGGAAATTTTAGTGGACAATAACTTCAAATATGTTTTCCAAGTTGCTTGCTTTCTCTCTATCACATTCAGGAACAGTGAAATTTATGACCAAATTTATGACTAAATAAATTTCAAAAAAACTATTAGTCATAAATTTGGTCTCTTTACATAATCTCATATTTCTCAGAAGTTTTGTTCATTTTAAAAATTCCTTTTTTTTAAATGTTTGTCTACTTGTGTTTATCCGAAGGAGCAGTCTTTGAGCTCTGAGAATCTTTCGTCAGTGTGATCTCTTCTTTTTACTGCTTCCAGTTGCATTCTGAAATTCCTGTAGTGAATTTTTCATTTCCAGAAGTTTGGTTTAATTTTTTCTTAAAATAGTACTGAACACTGGCAGGATTCTGTCTGCAGAAGTTCTACAACAGGTATCAGGGTCTGCCAGTGAGAGAACTATGGTGATGGCCACTGGCAAGCACTTTGGCTGGGCAGCTGATGCTGTGCTGTAAGTGGATATGGCCAGACAGGGACCCTGGGAGAGGCTGGTAGACAGAGGGGTACTCAAATCAGACTGGTCCAGTTTCATGGGCAAGAGAGCACAGCTCTGTCCAGGTCCAGTAGCTACAAAGGGCTGGGGGGATGGGTGCCCATTACCATGCTCCATTGCAGCTGTTCCTGTGCCAAACACTGTGGACTCTATACAGGCTGGAATTCTGTCTCTGCCAACTCTCTGGGAAGTTCTTGCCAGCTCAAATGTTTGTGGGAGTCATGGGGTTTCCCACAGCTAGGATCCCAAAGGTCCATGGTTAGAGTGGGCCACTGCATGCCTATTTCACTCACTACTTCCCTAGGAGCTGCTTGGGGCCAGGAACAAGTCTTGGTCCTTGGCAGCTCTGTGCAGAGTTCCCAGCTTCCTCCCCTTTCTGCCTGGGATCGGTGTCCTCCTGCTGTCCACTCTCAAGGCCTTGTTTCTGAAGATATTCTGAGTGAGTGTGCCAATCTACTCAATGGTCTGGTCTCTGTTGGTGGGAGAAGCTCTTCTTGGCTATGCATAGTCAGGCATCTTGGCTTTCTCCTCTTCAATTTCTTGGGTAAATGTTTTATGGTTTTCATTGCAGAGATATTTCACTTCCCTGGTGAAGTAAATTCCTAGGTATTTTACTTGCAGCTATTGTAAATGGGATTACTTTCTTGACTTCATTTTCAGGTATTTACTGTTGACATATAGAAATGCTACTGATTTTTGGCTGGGCGCAGTGGCTTACACCTGTAATCCCAGTACTTTGGGAGGCCGAGGCGGGTGGATCACGAGGTCAGGAGATCCAGACCATCCTGGCTAACGTGGTGAAACCCCATCTCACCTGGTGAAACCCAGTCTCTACTAAAAATACAAAAAATTAGCCAGGCGTGGTGGCGGGCGCCTGTAGTCCCAGCTACTGGGAAGGTTGAGACAGGAGAATGGTGTGAACCTGGGAGGCGGAGCTTTCAGTGAGCTGAGATCACGCCACTGCACTCCAACCTGGGCAAGAGCGAGACTCCGTCTCAAAAATAAAACAAAACAAAACAAAACAAAACAAAACAAACAAAAAAAGAAATGCTACTGATTTTTGTATGTTGGTTTTGTTAATCCTGCAATTAACGGAATTAACTTATCAGTTCTAATAGTTTTTTTTTGAGTGTGTGTAGTCTAGTTTTGTTCAAATATAAAATTATATCATCTGCAAATGAAGATAATGTGACTTCCTTCTTTTTAAGTTGAATGCCCTTTATTTCTTTCTCTTGTCTGATTGCTCTAGTTAGGACTTCCACCATTAGGTTGAATAACAGCATTAAAAGTGGGCATCCTTGTCTCATTCCACATCTTAGAAGAAATGCTTTCAGTTTTTTCCCCATTTAGTATGATACTAGCTGTGAGTCTGACATATTTGGCTTTTCTTATGTTGAGGTATATTCCTTCTATAGCCATTTTAAAATAGTTTTTATCATAAAGGAATGTTGAAATTTATCAAGTGCTTTTACAGCATCAATTGAAATAATCATATGATTTTTGTCCTTAATTCTATAAATATGATGTGTCGCCTTGATTAGTTTACATACATTGACTCATCTTTGTATCCCTGGGATAAATTTCACTTGGTCATGATGAACGAACTTTTTAATGTGTTGTTGAATTCAGTTTGTTACTATTTTCTTGACGATTTTTACACTAATTTTCATAAGGGATATTAGCCTGTACCTTTCTTTTTTGATGTGTCTTTGTCTAGTTTTGGTATCCGGGTAACACTGGGTTTGTAGAATGAGTTTGGAAATACTCACTTCTCTTCTGTTTTCTTTAATAGTTTGAGCAGGAATTTTATTAGTTCTTTTATATATATATATATATATATATAATTATACTTTAAGTTCTAGGGTACATGTGCGCAACGTGCAGGTTTGTTACATATGTATACATGTGCCATGTTGGTGTGCTGCACCCATTAACTCATCATTTACATTAGGTATATCTCCTAATGCTATTCCCTCCGCCTTCCCTCCACCCATCAGGCCCCAGTGTGTGATGTTCTCCTTCCTGTGTCCAAGTGTTCTCTTGTTCAATTCCCACCTATGAGTGAGAACGTGCAGTGTTTGGTTTTTTGTCCTTGCAATTGTTTGCTGATAATGATTATTTCCATCTTCATCCATGTCCCTACAAAGGACATGAACTCATCCTTTTTTATGGCTGCATAGTATTCCATGGTATATATGTGCCACATTTTCTTAATCCAGTCTATCATTGATGGACATTTGTGTTGGTTCCAAGTCTTTGCTATTGTGAATAGTGCTGCAATAAACATACATGTGCATGTGCATTTATAGCAGCATGATTTATAAACCGTTGGGTATATACCCAGTAATGGGATTACTGGGTCAAATGGTATTTCTAGTTCTAGATCCCTGAGGAATCGCCACACTGACTCCCACAATGGTGGAACTAGTTTACAGTCCCACCAACAGTGTAAAATAAGTGCTACTGATTTTTGGCTGGGCGCGGTGGCTTACACCTGTAATCCCAGCACTTTGGGATCCAGCACCTGTTGTTTCCTGACTTTTTAATGATCACCATTCTAACTGGCGTGAGCTGATATCTCATTGTGGCTTTAATTTGCATTTCTGTGATGGCCAGTGATGATGAGCATTTTTTCATGTGTCTGTTGGCTGCATAAATGTCTTCTTTTGAGAAGTGTCTGTTCATATCCTTCAACCACTTTTTGATGGGGTTTTTTTTTCTTGTAAATTTGTTTGAGTTCTTTGTAGATTCTGGATATTAGCCCTTTGTCAGATGAGTAGATTGCAAAAATTTTCTCCCATTCTGTAGGTTGCCTGTTCACTCTGATGGTAGTTTATTTTGCTGTGCAGAAGCTCTTTAGTTTAATTAGATCCCATTTGTCAGTTTTGGCTTTTGTTGCCATTGCTTTTGGTGTTTTAGACATGAAGTCCTTGCCCATGCCTATGTCCTGAATGGTACTGCCTAGGTTTTCTTCTAGGGTTTTTATGGTTTTAGGTCTACCATTTAAGTCTTTAATCCATCTTGAATTATTTTTTGTATAAGGTGTAAGGAAGGCATCTGGTTTCAGCTTTGTACATATGGTTAGCCAGTTTTCCCAGCACCGTTTGTTAAATAGGGAATACTTTCCACATTTCTTGTTTTTGTCAGGTTTGTCAAAGATCAGATGGTTGTAGATGTATGGTATTATTTCTGAGGGCTGTGTTCTGTTCCATTGGTCTATATCTCTGTTTTGGTACCAGTACCATGCTGTTTTGGTTACTGTAGCCTTGTAGTATAGTTTGAAGTCAGATAGCATGATGCCTCCAGCTTTGTTCTTTTGTCTTAGGATTGACTTGGCAATGCGGGCTCTTTCTTTGTTCCATATGAACTTTCAAGTAGTTTTTTCCAATTCTGTGAAGAAAGTCATTGGTAGCTTGAAGGTGATGGCATTGAATCTATAAATTACCTTGGGCAGTATGGCCATTTTCCCAATATTGATTCTTCCTACCCATGAGCATGGAATGTTCTTCCATTTGTTTGTGTCCTGTGTTATTTCCTTGAGCAGTGGTTTGTAGTTCTCCTTGAAGAGGTCCTTCACATCACTTGTAAGTTGGATTCCTAGGTATTTTATTCTCTTTGAAGCAATTGTGAATGGGAGTTCACTCATGATTTGGCTCTCTGTTTGTTATTGGTGTATAAGAATGCTTGTGATTTTTGCACATTGATTTTGTATGCTGAGACTTTGCTGAAGTTGCTTATCAGCTTAAGGAGATTTTGAGCTGAGATGATGGGGTTTTCCAGATATACAATCATGTCATCCGCAAACAGGGACAATTTGACTTCCTCTTTTCCTAATTGAATACCCTTTATTTCTTTCTCCTGCCTGACTGCCCTTGCCAGAACTTCCAACACTTTGTTGAATAGGAGTGGTGAAAGAGGGCATCCATATCTTGTGCCAGTTTTCAAAGGGAATGCTTCCAGTTTTTGCCCATTCAGTATGATATTGGCTGTGGGTCTGTCATAAATAGCTCGTATTATTTTCAGATATGTCCCATCAATACCTAATTTATTGAGAGTTTGTAGCCTGAAGAGCTGTTGAATTTTGTCGAAGGCCTTTTCTGCATCTATTAAGATAATCATGTGGTTTTTGTCTTTGGTTCTGTTTATATGCTGGATTACATTTACAGATTTGCATATGTTGAACCAGCCTTGCATCCCAGGGATGAAGCCCACTTGATCATGGTGGATAAGCTTTTTGATGTGCTGCTGGATTCGGTTTGCCAGTATTTTATTGAGGATTTTTGCACTGATGTTCATCAGGGATATTGGTCTAAAATTCTATTTTTTTGTTGTGTCTCTGCCAGGCTTTGGTATCAGGATGATGCTGGCCTCATAAAATGAGTTAAGGAGGATTCCCTCTTTTTGTATTGATTGGAATAGTTTCAGAAGGAACAGTACCAGCTCCTCCTTGTACATCTGGTAGAATTCGGCTGTGAATCCATCTGGTCCTGGACTTTTTTTGTTTGGTAAGCTATTAATTATTGCCTCTATATCAGAGCCTGTTATTGGTCTACTGAGAGATTCCACTTCTTCCTGGTTTAGTCTTGGGAGGGTGTAAGTGTCGAGGAATTTACCCATTTCTTCTAGATTTTCTAGTTTATTTGCATAGAGGTGTTTACAGTATTCTCTGATGGTAGTTTTTATTTCTGTGGGATCAGTGGTGATATCCCCTTTATCATTTTTTATTGCCTCTATTTGATTCTTTTTTCTTCTTTGTTAGTCTTGTTAGCAGTCTATCAATTTTGTTTATCTTTTCAAAAAACCAGCTCCTGGATTCGTTGATTTTTTGAAGGGTTTTTTTTGTCATAGAGGTGTTTACAGTATTCTCTGATGGTAGTTTTTATTTCTGTGGGATCAGTGGTGATATCCCCTTTATCATTTTTTATTGCCTCTATTTGATTCTTTTTTCTTCTTTGTTAGTCTTGTTAGCAGTCTGTCAATTTTATCTTTTCAAAAAACCAGCTCCTGGATTCATTGATTTTTTGAAGGGTTTTTTTGTGTCTCTATTTCCTTCAGTTCTGCTCTGATCTTAGTTATTTCTTGCCTTCTGCTAGCTTTTGAATATGTTTGCTCTTGTTTCTCTAGTTCTTTTAATTGTGATGTTAGGGTGTCAATTTTACATCTTTCCTGCTTTCTCTTGTGTGCATTTAATGCTATAAATTTCCCTCTACACGCTGCTTTATATGTGTCCCAGAGATTCTGGTATGTTGTGTCTTTGTTCTTGTCAATTTCAAAGAATATCTTTATTTCTGCCTTCATTTCGTTATGTACCCAGTAGTCACTCAGGAGCAGGTTGTTCACTTTCCATGTAGTTGAGTGGTTTTGAGTGAGTTTCTTAAAACTGATTTCTAGTTTGATTGCACTGTGGTCTGAGAGACAGTTTGTTATAATTTCTGTTCTTTTACATTTGTTGAGGAGTGCTTTACTCCAACTATGCGGTCAATTTTGGAATAGGTATGGTGTGGTGCTGAGAAGAATGTATAGTCTGTTGATTTGGGGTGTAGAGTTCTGTAGATGTCTATTAGGTCCTCTTGGTGCAGAGCTGAATTCAATTCCTGGATATCCTTGTTAACTTTCTGTCTCATTGATCTGTCTAATGTTGACAGTAGGGTGTTAAAGTCTCCCATTATTATTGTGTGGGAGTCTAATTCTCTTTGTAGGTCTCTAGGGACTTGCTTTATGAATCTGGGTGCTCCTGTATTGGGTGCATATATATTTAGGATAGTTAGCTCTTCTTGTTGAATTGATCTCTTTACCATTATGTAATGGCCTTCTTTGTCTCTTTTGATCTTTGTTGGTTTAAAGTCTGTTTTATCAGAGACTCGGACTGCAACCCCTGCCTTTTTTTGTTTTCAATTTGCTTCGTAGATCTTCCTCCATCCCTCTATTTTGAGCCTGTGTATGTCTCTGCACATGAAATGGGTTTCCTGAATACAGCACACTGATGGGTCTTGACTCTTTATCCAATTTGCCAGTCTGTGTCTTTTAATTGGAGCATTTAGCCCATTTACATTTAAGGTTAATATTGTTATGTGTGAATTTGATCCTGTCATTATGATGTTAGCTGGTTATTTTGCTTGTTAGTTGATGCAGTTTCTTCCTAGCATTGATGGTCTTTACAATTTGGCATGTTTTTGCAGTGGCTGGTACTGGTTGATCCTTTCCATTTTTAGTGCTTCCTTCAGGAGCTCTTGTGGGGCAGGCCTGGTGGTGACAAAATCTCTCAGCATTTGCTTGTCTGTAAAGGATTTTATTTCTCCTTCACTTATGAAGCTTAATTTGGCTGGATATGAAATTCTGGGTTCAAAATTCTTTTATTTAAGAGTGTTGAATATTGTCCCCCACTCTCTTCTGGCTTGTAGTGTTTCTGCCGAGAGATCGACTGTTAGTCTGATGGACTTCCCTTTGTGGGTAACCTGACCTTTCTCTCTGGCTGCCCTTAACATTTTTTTCTTCATTTCAACTTTGGTGAATCTGACAGTTATGTGTCTTGGAGTTGCTCTTCTCGAGGAGTATCTTTGTGGCGTTCTCTGTATTTCCTGAATTTGAATGTTGGCCTGCTTTGCTAGGTTGGGGAAGTTCTCCTGGATAATATCCTGCAGAGTGTTTTCCAATTTGGTTCCATTCTCCCTGTCACTTTCAGGTACACCAGTCAGACGTAGATTTGGTCTTTTCACGTAGTCCCATATTTCTTGGAGGCTTTGTTCATTTCTTTTTATTCTTTTTTCTCTAAACTTCTCTTCTTGCTTCATTTCATTCATTTTATCTTCAATCACTGATACCCTTTCTTCCAGTTGATCGAATGGGCTACTGAAGCTTATGCATTTGTCACGTAGTTCTTGTGCCATGGTTTTCAGCTCCATCAGGTCCTTTAAGGACTTCTCTACATTGGTTATTCTAGTTAGCCATTCATCTAATCTTATTTCAAGGTTTTTAACTTCTTTGGGATGGGTTCGAACTTCCTTCTTTAGCTCGGAGAAGTTTGATCATCTGAAGCCTTCTTCTCTCAACTCATCAAAGTCATTTTCCATCCAGTGTTGTTCTGTTGCTGGTGAGGAGCTGCATTCCTTTGGAGGAGGACAGGTGCTCTGATTTTTAGAATTTCCAGTTTTTCTGTTCTGTTTTTTCCCCATCTTTGTGGTTTTATCTGCCTTTGGTCTTTGATGATGGTGACGTACAGATGGGGTTTTGGTGTGGATGTCCCTTCTGTTTGTTAGTTTTCCTTCTAACAGTCAGGACCCTCAGCTGCAGGTCTGTTGGAGTTTGCTGGAGGTCCACTCCAGACACTTTTTGCCTGGTTATCAGCAGTGGAGGCTGCAGAACAGCGAATATTGCTGAACAGCAAATGCTGCTGCCTGATCGTTCCTCTGGAGGTTTTATCTCAGAGGGGTACCCAGCCGTGTGAGGTGTCAGTCTGCCCCTACTGGGGGGTACCTCCCAGATAGGCTACTCAGGGGTTAGGGACCCACTTGAGGAGGCAGTCTGTCCGTTCTCAGATCTCAAACTCTGTGCTGGGAGAACCACTACTGTCTTCAAGGCTGTCAGACAGGGACATTTAAATCTGCAGAGGTTTCTGCTGCCTTTTGTTCAGCTATGCCCTTCCCCTAGTGGTGGAGTCTACAGAGGCAGGCAGGCCTCCTTGAGCTGCAGTGGACTGCCCCCAGTTCAAGCTTCCTGGCAGCTTTGTTTACCTACTCAAGCCTGAGCAATGGTGAGCGCCCCTCCCCCATCCTTGCTTCTGCCTTGCAGTTCAATCTCAGACTGCTGTGTCAGCAATGAGCGAGGCTCTGTGGGCATGGGACCCTCTGAGCCAGGCACGGGATATAATCTCCTGGTGTGCCGTTTGCTAAGACCATTGGAAAAGCACAGTATTAGGGTGGGAGTGACCCGATTTTCCAGGTGCCGTCTGTCACAGCTTTGCTTGGCTATGAAAGGGAATTCCCTGACCCCTTGTGCTTCCCGGGTGAGGCGATGCCATGCCCTGCCCTGCTTCAGCTCACCCTCGGTGCACTGCACTCACTGTCCTGTGCCCACTGTCCGACAAGCCCCAGTGAGATGAACCCGGTACATCAGCTGGAAATGCAGAAATCACCCGTCTTCTGCGTCACTCACACTGGGAGCTGTAGACTGGAGCTGTTCATATTCGGCCATCTTGGAACTGCCTCTTCTTTAAGTGTTTGGTAAAATTTAGCAGGAAAGGTACTGGGTCCCAGGCTTTCCTTGCTTGGAGAGATTTTACTATGGCTTCCATTTCGTACTTCTTAATTGTCCATTCAGGTTTTGGATTTCTTCATGGTTCAATCTTGGTAGATTGTATGTGTATAGGAATTTATCCATTTCTTCTAGGTTTTCCAGTTTATTGGCCTGTAGTTGCTCATCGTAGTCTCTAATAATCCTTTGAATTTCTGCAGTATCTTTTATAATATCTCCTTTTTCATCTCTAGTTTTTTTTTGATTTTATGTGGGTATTCTTTTTTCTAAGTTAGTCTGGCTACAGTCTTGTAGATTTTATCTTTTCCAAAAAACCCCACTTTTTTTCATCGATCTTTTGTATTGTTTTCTGCATTTCAGTGTCATTTATTTCTGCTCTGATCATTTCTTTTACTAATTTTCAGTTTGATTTGCACTTGCTTTTTTAGTTCTTTAAGATGCATTGCTAGGTCATTTGTTTGAAGTTTTTCGACTTATTTGATGTAGGCACTTATTGCTATAACCTTTTCTCTTAGTGCTGCCTTTGCTGTACTTCGTAAGTTTTGGTATCGTATGTTTCCATTTTCATTTGTTTCAAGAAAGCTTTCAATTTCCTTCTTAAATTCTCAATTGTCCCACTGATTATTTAGTTGTATGCTGTTTAATTTCCATGTGTTTTTATGATTTTCAATGTTTCTTTTTTTATTGATTTTTAGTTTTATTCCATTGTGATCCAAGAAGATACTTGATATGATGTATGTGTTTTTTAATTTTTGGACTTGTTTTGTGGCCTAATGTATGATATATACTTAAGACTGTTTCATGTGGTGAAGAAAAAAATGTATTCCGTAGCCATTGGATGAAATGTTCTGTAAATATCTATTAAATCCATTTTGTCTATAGTACAAATTGAGTTCAATGTTTCTTTGTTGATTTTTTGTCTGGAAGATTTGTTCAATGTAGAAAGTGGGGTGTTGAAGTCTCAAGTTATTTTCATATTATAATCTATCCCTTTTTTTTGTTCTAATAATGTTTGTTTTATATATCTGAGTACTCCGGTGCTGGTTGCATATTTTTTTTTATTATAATTTTTTTTGAGACGGAGTCTTATGTTGCCCAGGCTGGAGTGCAGTGGCGCGATCTTGGCTCACTGCAACCTCCGCCCCCTGAGTTCAAGCGATTCTCCTGCCTCAGCCTCCTGAGTAGCTGGGATTACAGGCAACTGCCACCATGCCCAGCTAATTTTTGTATTTTTTTTCTTTTTTTGTTAGAGATGGGGTTTCGCCATGTTAGCTAGGCTAGTCTCAAACTCCTGACCTCAGGTGATCTACCTACCTCAGGTGATCTACCCACCTCAGCCTTCCAAAGTGCTGGGATTACAGGCATGAGCCACTGTGCCCAGCCACATATATATTTATAATTGTCATATTCTCCTGATGAATTGACCCCTTTATCATTATATAATGACTTTGTCTCTTTTTATGGTCTTTGTCTTGCAACCTACTTTGTGTGATATAAGTATAGTGACTCCTGCTTATATTTACTTATATCCATTTGCATGAAATATCTTTTGCCATTCTTTATGTTTTTAGATTGGGGCGATTAGTCCATTTACATTCAGCGTTATTATTGATAAGGGCTTACTATTAACATTTTGTTATTTGTTTCCTTTTTGTTTTGTGGCCTTGTTTTCCTTTCTTCTTACTTTCCTGGTTTCCTTTTTGTGAAAGTAATTTTCCCTGGTGCTATGTTTTAATTTCTTACTCTTTACTTTTTGTGTATCTGTTGTAGGTTTTCTGATTTGAGGTTACCATGGGGCTTGCAAATAACATCTAATAACCCATTACTTTAAACTGATGACAACTTAACACTAACTGGTGTTAATTTTAGAAACAATTAACAAATAAGCAAAGAGAAAAGTAATAACAACTTTGCATCTTAACTTCATTCCACTCCTTCCCCTGTTTGTTAACTTTTTGTTTTTTTCTATTTTTATCTCATATTTATATAATGTCTGTGTTGAAAAGTTGTTATAGTTATTATTTTTGATTGGTTTGTCTTTTAGTTTTTCTGCTGAAGATATGAGTAGTTCACACTCCACAATTAGGGTGTTATAACAGTCTGTGCTTTTCTGTATACTTATTAGTGGTATTTGCTTATCAGTGAGTTTTCTTATCTTCACATGATTTCTTATTGCTTGTTAATGTCTTTTTCTTTCAGATTGAAGAACTCCCTTTAGTAGGACAGATCTGGTATTGAAGACATCCCTTAGCTTTTGTTTGTCTGGGAAAGGCTTTATTTGCATTTCATATTTGAATATTTTCACTGAATACACTATTCTAGGATAACATTTTTTTTCCTTAATCACTTTAAATATATATTCCCATTCTTTCCTAGCATGTAATGTTTCCACTGAGAAAGCTGCCACCAACATATTGGAGCTCCATTGTATGTTATTTATTTCTTTTCTTTTGTTACCTTTAGGATCCTTTCTTCATCCTTGATCTTTGGAAGTTTGATTATTAAATGTCTTGAGGTAGTCTTACTTGGATTAAATCTGCTTGCTTAGTGTTCTATAACCTTCTTGTACTTGAATATTAATATCTTTCTGTAAGGTTGGGAAGCTCTCTGCTATTATCCCTTTTAATAAATTTTCTATCCTGATATCTCTCTCTAATTTCTCTTTATTGCCAATAACTCTTAGATTTGCCCTTTTGAGGCTCTGTTCTAGGTCTTGTAGTTGTGTGTCATTGTTTTTTATTCTTTTTTCTTTGGTCTCCTCTGACTATGTATTTTCAGGTAGTCTGTTTGAAGCTTGCTAACCCTTTCTTTTGCCTGATCAATTCTGCTGTTAAAAGACTCTGATGAATTCTTCAGTATGTCAATTGAATTTTTCAGCCTCAGAATTTCTGCTTGGTTTCTTAAAATTATTTCAACCTCTTTGTTAAATTTATCTGTTAAGATTCTGAATTCCTTCTCTGCATTATCTTGAATTTCATTGTACTTCCTTAAAACAGATGTTTTGAATTCTCTGAAAGGTCACATGTCTCTGTTACTCCAGGATTGGTTCCAGGTGTCTGGATCAGACCTGCAGCAAGCATAGTACTGGGTTTTGCCCAAGGTCTGTGGTGACTATTGCCTGGTTACCACTGATGGCCCATGGGCTCTTTATTCAGCAAGTGGTGAATTCAACCAGGCTTGTGTTTTTCCCTTCAGGGAAGTGGGTTCCCTTCTGGCCCAGGGTGGGTTTAAAAGCACTGTCTGATAACTAGGGCCTGGAGTCAGGAAATCTAGGTACGTACTGGGTGCTTTATTTTACTGTGGCTGAGCTTGTGCTTAACCTGCAAGACGAAGTCACCTTTACTCTTTACTCTCCTTTTCTCAAGCAGAAGGAAACTTTCCCCATGGCCACCACAGCTGGGGATGTGCTGGGTCACATCTGAAGCCAGCACAGTATTGGGTCTCGCCAAAGGCCCATGATGAGCACTGCCTGGCTACCACTGATGTTTATTCAAAGCCCAAGGGCTCTTTAGTGAGCGGCTGGTGAATCCTGCCAGGACTGGGTTCTTTCATTCCAGGCAGCGGGTTCCCTTCTGGCCTAGGGTGTGTCTAGAAATGTTGTCTGAGAGCTAGGGCCTGGAATGGGGACTTTAGGACTCTGCTTGGTACTTTATTTTACTGTGGCCAAGCTGGTATCCAAGTTGCAAGACAATGTTCTTTTTACACTTCCCTCTTTTTTCTTCAGGTAGAAGGAATTTCTCCTGAAGTTGTGAGCTGCACTGCCTGGAGTTGAGGGAGGGGTGATGCAGTCACTCCCTTGGCCAACCCAACTGATGTCTCATTAGGTTTTATGTACCCCAAGTCCATTGGTTCCAAACCCAGCACAGCACCAGGATTTGCCTAGTTTTGCAGTCCTTGTGGTCTAGACTGCCTTTCAATTTATTTAGGACCCCAGAGCCCTTTAGCCCACAGTATTGAGGCTAGCCAGAACTCATCAGAGTTCATCCTCTTCAGAGCCTTTTTCCTTGCTATCATGTTAAAACCAGGTACTGTGATCACTTACCTGATTTTTGGCTCCTGTTGAGATGGACAGTCCCCTCTGGCTAGGGCTGGTTTAAATGCTCCCTCCGCAGGTGCTGGCTGAATTCTGCCCTGTGTTGCTTTCTGCTGTGACAAGACTACAACTGAGTTCCAACACAAAGTCCCACAATCACTGTGCTCTCCCTCCTCCAAGCACACAGAATCCTCTCTGTGCCAGATGGCCACTGCCAGGGCATATGAGAGGGGTGGTGTCAACAATTCAAGACTGTCTTTCCCATCCTCCTCAGAGCCTTTTTCCTTGCTATGATGTTAAAACCAGGTGTTGTGATCACTCACCTGATTTTTGGCTCCTATGAAGGTGCCCTTTTGTGTGGACAGTTGTTCAATTTGGTGTTCCTGAAGAGGCAGAGGTGATGATCACTGGAGGGTTCTATTTGGCCACCTTACTCCATCTCTTATTTGGTCTCTTTTAATCAGGAACTGTTTCTAACTCTTTGTGTTTCACGGCATTGACACTTTCAAATAATGCAGATTCCTTATGTTTTTAAATAGCCCTCAATTTGAGTTCGTCAGTATTTTCTCATGATTAGACTCAGGTTATGTGCTTCTGGCAGGAAGTGAAAAAGTGATGTTATGTTTTTCTTGGTGGATTACATCAGGAGGCACATGCTGTTGATTTTTACCACTGCAAATGATGGGGGATTTGTTTTTAATATCAATTTTTTTCTTGATACTCAGAATTGTTCTAAATGAATAAAAAGTAATGCCTTTGTAGATTTTTGGAATTTTGTCACAAAGTTACTTTATTATAGTTCTATTAAAAAAAAACAAAGAAATTAAGCTTATGGCCTATAATGCTCTTTCATTTTTTTACTTATTGAAGCCTTTTTAGATTTAACTCAAATTCAATCTCCTCCATGAAGTCATCTTTTTAACCTAATCAGAAGTAATTCTTTCTTGAATTGAAACCTTAAAATTATCAAACAAAAATAACCTAATATGAAGTCTGGTATCTTGTAGGCACTCAGCGACCATCTGTCACTTTCCGCATTTTTACTTCTAATATGACATCTCACATACATTGTATTTTAAATATTTATTTGCATTATGGGTTTTTAGATTCAAAAGGAATATCAACGATAAGCTATGTTATTTCATTTTACTTATGAAGGAATTCAGCAATGAAAGTTTGTATAACATTCTGATGTTAAACCCAAGATATAAAACAGATAAATTTTTTTTTTTACATAAAAACCTAAGATATAAAACAGATAAAATCAGAGAAACTTTGTTGAACTGGGTCTATGTTGTAGGTCTAGGTTTCTACAACGTACACTCCGTTCAAGAAAGTTTCTCTGATATTATCTGTTTTATATCTTGGGTTTTTATGTAAGAATTCTTATGAAAAAAAGTGTCAGCTGCTAAAAAGAAAACAAAAAATAAAAATAGGAAAACAGTCACTCTATCCCTTATTAACTGAGTGCACAAATGTTCTGCTAGGGGATTATCTAATCTATACTTTAGATCCTACAGACATGGAACTTACTAAATTCTCACTCAATAATATTTACTGAGCACTTTTCATGTACCAGGCATTTTTTAGGCATTTGGCATACAGAGATGAACAAGACACAAATAGATACTACTGCCATGTAAATTATAGATTTTGACACATAGAAAGATCTTCTTGATATCAAGTTGAAGTCTATTTGTAATTCTCTTCTCAGGTCCACAAAGAAAAAAGTCAGTTGCCTCATCTATTTAAAATCTTTAATTTTATAAAGGCAGATTGGTACTATCTTTACTTCTCCAGGGTATAACTCACTTCAACTGTTTTTTAGGACATAGTATCAAGTCCATATGCCACTGAAAAAAACTCATCCGCTACACCTATTCTGGATGAATACAAATCTCTGAAGATACCCAGTACTCATTGATGCAGTCTAATATGGCATGCATTTATTTGTTCATGCAATAATAACAACAATCTTGTTCACAGCCTTTACAATTTAAAGGGAACTACACATATTTTATTCTTATTTAGTGTACTCAGGTATAAATCTCCAATATTTGAGTCTTTATCCTGTTTTCCAGGTTATTGGCTATCTTTTCAAACTGTTTGCTGTCTTCAAATTTGAGTTACACATTATCTATAATGTCAGTGACATTGATTTTAGGCTGGGCGCCGTGGCTTATGCCTGTAATTCTAGCACTTGGGGAGGCCAAGGCAGGCAGATTGTCTGAGCTCAGGAGTTCGAGACCAGCCTGGGCAACATGGTGAAACCCCATCTCTACTAAAATACAAAAAATTAGCGAAGCGTGGTGGCGTGTGCCTGTAGTCCCAGCTACTCGGGAGGCTGAGGCAGGAGAATTGCTTGAACCCAGGAGGTGGAGGTTGCAGTGAGCTGAGTTTGCGCTACTGCACTCCAGCCTGGGCGACAGAGCAAGACTCCATTTCCATCCTCCCCAAAAAAGACATTGATTTTAACAAGAACAAGGCTTAGTGGAGAATCCAGTAGACTGTCATCAAAGACTTCTTCTTTTCCACATCAGAGCTAGCCTCATTCCTCTAATTGACTGTCTTTCTATACATAGTTGTTTAGCTAGTTCAACCAACTATACTATTATCCAATATATATTTTTTAATTTCCCCCATATTAAGGCATTTGTTCAACATATTTTTTAAATTGAGATGCATTACATTTTTGAATTCCCTGATCTACAAATATAATGACCAATGCCAAGAAAATTATAAATTTATTTTAGTAGTGCCTATTTTCATTGAGTCCCTATCGGTTCCTGGTGGTAAATGCTTCTTGTATAAGACATGAATTTTAATAAACCCTGGAGATTTTATAACACATTATAATTAAACAAATAACTTTCATAGTGCTGGCCACTGAGTATAGCTTTCAATAGGAAAGATTTTTAGTGAGAGGGACTCCACTGTGTAGACATCCTACATAAGGTCTCTGGAGGCTAGAGAATGACGATTTTAGTTAAGCAGCTGTCTACTGCCCCAGTCTCACGAGCCTTAGATGATTTTAATTTTTCACCCGTGCTTTTTTGATCAGTCAGTAAGAATGCCAATTACTGTACTATGCTAACTTGCTAAATAAATCATTGAGGCTGGATACTCTACCAAATATTTAAAAAACAAACTTTTTATTCATGTGTTGGAAAAAGAAAAACTTTGTGCCCTTTTAATAATGTGAGGTCTTGCACATAGTAGGAGCTCAAAGACAATTTAAAAATAAATATTTGTTAAAAATATATGTATTGATGTTTAGTCATAAGGTGTGGAGTTTTGGCTGTTTCAGCTGGAATTACTGTAAGACACTTGTTCACAGAGGGAAATACCTTAATAGAGATTAGAGCATTTCTTTGTCTCCAAAGCTTTTGTAAATACTAGCTATATATATATATATATATATGGGAGTCAAGCTGTTGAGTGAGGTTAAAGGACAAAAATGTACTGGTTGAACACTTATTAAAGTATCTAATTTACCCCTTAATAGGGGTGAATTATTTTTGCTACATGTTTCTTTGAATAATTTTCCAACTTCTCTTGGAATGAACAAGAGTACTTTTCAACCTGGGTTTTACAGAAGAGCATTTTATCATATCTATCTTTCCCAGAGATCTCTCTTTATATGCCTGACAAATTATATATGGAAGTTGGAAATTGCTATTTTTATTGGTCTGAAATATAGCCTTTTGTGCTAAGGTAGAAAAAAAATGAAATATACGTTTTGCTTTTTATTGCTTATAAAATTTTTTCCTTAAAAAGCTATGTTTCTAAAACTGCTTCTTGTGGGTGATATTAAACAACATTTTCAAAAAATTTCTTGAAGAAATTCTAAAGAGAAAAATAATTATGGGAGGCTTCTCTTTTTAATTCTACTTTTTAAAGAAAAAGTAAACATATACGAATAAGGTGAATAGCAAACTCCATTTTTATTGACCCACAATTTACCAACTCCTTCATACAATTGCCTCACCTTTCTCCCACTAACATATGTAGTATTTTTTCAGTTCAAGCTTCCTATTTCTAAATATTATGCCATGCATTTCCATTTGGTAAGAATATAAGGCAAGGGAAGCCAAAGAGGGGAGTATATACTGGAGTGGAATTCTGGAGTTATGTTATCAATTGAATTTTATTGCCCCAGAAATGACATGTTGGAATCATAGTCCCCAGTATCACAGAGTGTGACCTCATTTGGAGATAGGACCTTTACAGGGTAATCAAGTTAAAAAGAGATCTCTAGGGTGGGTTCTAATGCAGTGTAACTGTTGTCTTTACAAAAAGGGGAAATGTACAGACAGAGATGGACATACAAAGAGGGAAGATGAAAAGAGACACAGGAGAAGATGGCCATCTGTAAGCCAATGAGAGAAGCCTGGAACAGATCTTGCCCTCACAGCCCTCGATAGCAACAAAACTGCTGACCTCTTGATTTCAGATTTTTACCTTTCAAAACTGTGAGACAATACATTTCTGTTTTTAAGCCACTCAGTTTGTGGTACTTTTTTATAACGACCCTAGAAAATCCATACAGTATATATGGAATTGTTTACAAATGTAAAAATGCTTATTACAGTGAACACTTAGTTATGTGTATGTGCCAGGTTATTAGAAAGATCTAAGCAATTTAAATATATAACTCATTTAATCTTTACAACAACCCTTATGAAGTAGGTACCATTATTATCATCGTTTTTTAGATGACGAGGCCGAGTCTCAGAAAAGCTAATATAATTGTCCTAAGTAAGCCAGGTAGTAAGAGCTGGAGTTGGAGCTTGAATTAAGGTAGTTTTATACTCCAGCATGTATTCTTTTACCACTGTATTGAATACCACGCATTGCCCAGAGAGAAATAATCAAATTAATTAAAGTAATTCTAATTATGTTTCCAGAATTAGGAAGATTCCATTTTAACGGGTGAGATTTTCAACGTTAGTGCTTGTATTAGTTTCCTGCGGCTGCTGTAACAAATTACTGCAAATTGGATGACTTAAAACAACAGAAATTTATTCTCTCATGTTTCTGGAGACCAGAAGTCTGAGCTCAAGGGCCACAATTCTTCTAGAGGCTCTTGAGGAGATTCTATTCTTTATGTTTTTCAGCTTGCAGTGGCTGTCAGCATTCCTTGGTATTTCTTGGCTGCATCACTCTAATCTCTGCCTATGTGGTCACACTGCCTTTTGCTCTTCCGTCTGTGTGTAGCTCTTGTCTGTGTCTTTTAGAAGGGCATTTCTCATTGGATTTAGAGCCCAGATAATCTGGGAAGATTAGCTTATCTCAAGGTCCTCAATTTAATTACATCTGGAAAGACTTTTTTTTTCTCCCCCAAATAAGGTGACATTTAAAGTTCCAGGGAGTTGACATGAACACATCTTTTGGGGGAAGCCACCTTTCAATCCACTGCAAGGCTATCTTGTACTTTTTTAAGTCAATGTGCTTTTCCTGTGATCATGGTGCACCAATATCATTTAAGCAAACTAGTGAAGAAATACAATGACAGAAGGGAAGGGTGAAAGAATAGGAGAGAAAAATATTATCCTTAGGAAGAATAAACATTAAAAACCACTATGTGGATCAACATTTGCCACCAAAGTTTAGCAAATGTTGCTATTTGAGAAGAATTTAAAACAAGTGAACACTGATAATTGGGGAAAAATGGTTAAGCGTTTGAATAAATATATTGGAAAAAAGGCTTTTTAGGGTCATTGAGATGATCTATTTTAAAATTATAAGCCCTTAAAAACAGCATTATCATAAGAAAAGAAATGTAATTCATCATCCTAATCTTTAATAGATATGTCTCTCTGTCCTTGTTTCTATGGCAAACAAAATATAACATTTCAGCGTAGTTTTGTACTATTACAAGACTAAGAAACAGTTTATCATGAGACTAAAACACAGTTTGTCATTGGCAAGCCTTGTGAATGAAAAACAATAGTGAATCTTCTGCATGTGAATGTTCATAACTTGCCAAAACCTAGTTCAAAATCTAGATTTATTAGAACATAAAATGTTATTTATAACAGAAAAGTTGGAACTTTCTTAAAAGTTTTTCACACCCTAATAATAGTACACAATGAGGATGAACAGGCAATTCACAAGAGAAACAAAATAAACACTGGGAAAAAAGAAGTTGAAACTCAGTAATAAGCAAAGAAATGCAAGTTAAATATTTTTTACCAGAGTGGCAGTGATAAAAAGAATAATAATATCTGATATTGTAAAATATGTAAATGAAAAGGCATTTCCCTAATTGCTGGTGGGATGTAAACTAGCACCAATTTTCCCAAAGGAAAATCAGATGCATGTACATCAAAAGTCTTCGAATTGTGCAGATCTTTTGACCCAACAGTTTCACTTATAGGCAATGTACGCTAAAGAAATAAGAATATATGTGCTCAAATATGTATGCATATGTATGTGGCTTAGTTTTTGTTTATATATGTTTGTATTAGTCACAAATTGTAGATAGCATATATGTCCAACATCAGGATATTGGCTGAATAATGTATATCAACATATCAGAACCTACGCAGCTGCTGGTAAAATGATGCAGATCTATACTGATTGGCAAGAAAATGAATTGTGTTAATGATACATTGGCACATGAAAAAGGTTACAGAAAGATATGCTTCTATTGGTGTGAAAAGCATAATTTATTTATATATTTTATTCAGATCTATCTATATACGTTTTACTTTTTTTTTTTTTTTGACGAAGTTTCTTTTGCTCTTGTTGCCCAGGCTGGAGTGCAATGGCGAGATCTTGGCTCACTGCAACCTCTGCCCCCTGGGTTCAAGATTCTCCTGCCTCAGCCTCCCAAGTAGCTGGGATTACAGGTGCCTGCCCCCATGCCCAGCTAATTTTTTTGTATTTTTAGTAGAGATGAATTTTCACCATGTTGGCCAGGCTTAAACTCCTGACCTCAAGTGATCTGCCCACCTCGGCCTCCCAAAGTGCTAGGATTACAGGCATGAGCCACTGCCCCCGGCCGTTTTACATGTTTTTTACACAGATAAATATCTGGCAGCAAAACATAATATTATTAATTTAATATGATTATAACCAATCTCAGAATGTTAGAATCAATATAAATTTATTAATATAATTGTTATAAATATCATAGATAATATTAAGAATATTATGTGGATAGATAAGATTACATAAAACTTTTTTAGTATTTTTATTATTTTCTAACTTTTGATAATGCATTTGAACTACATGTAAAATAAAATGTTTTAGAGGTATTTAAACACACTCTTTAATTAGTTCTCCATCACAGAAGGAACCAGTATGTTAGGCAATGTTCATGAGCACATTTTGAGATTTGGCTCACTAAATTTTGCATTGTGGACACACATAGTTAATAGAAACTACACATGGAGAATTTATTAAGGTAAAATTTAAAAATTTGTTGCCATAGAAAAAATACATTTTCAAAATTAAATACAAAAATCCAATAATATATTTCTGCTTCTTTCTAAAGAATAGGTGTTTAAAATTTACAATAGATATGTGATTGTCAAGTTAAGAATATTTAGGGCACAAAGAAATAAGATGAAATGAAGGGGAAATAGGCAGATTTTAAAATAAGAGAGATTTGTCTGCTATTCTTGCTACTGCTTGTTTTATATTCTAGAATAAAACATTGCCAGGACCTTTACTCACATTCAACTCAATTAAATACAGGTTTTTTTGAGCTCCTAGAAGTCATCACGCCACAATCACAATCCTCAAAGAGACCAAGTCTTCACCCTCCCATATTCAAGCAATTTCCTGATTCGTACAAAAGAGGAATTTTACTAGTAGCACTTGGAAGTGTTACACTGGCAATGTGACTCTGAAGAGTTCTTATTTTTTTTATTGTATAAAATTATGGAGTTCAACGTGATGTTTTGATATATGTATACATTGTGGAATGATTAAATCAAGTTAATTCACATACCCATCACTTCACATTTTCTTTGTGGTGAAGACATTTATAATCTACCCTCTTAGCATTTTCAAGCACACAGTATATTGTTATTAACTGTAGTCACCATGTTATACAATAGATCTCCAGAATTAATTCCTCCTGTCTTACTGAAACTTTTTACCCTTTGACAACATCTTCCCATTCTCCTTCAACTCCCCCAGCCCGTGGTAACCACCATTCTGCTCTCTACTTTTATGAGTTTGATTTTTTAAGATTGCATATATAAGTGAGGTCATCAGGTATTTATCTTTCTGTGCCTGGCTTATTTTGTGTAACATGATGTCTTCAAGGTACATTCATGTTGTTGCAAATAAAAGAATTTTCTTCTTTTTTAAAGCTGAATAATATTCATATATATATATATATATATATATATAAAATCACATTTAAAAATATTTTTAGTTATTAGTTTTCTTTCATTTGTGCTGTACTGGAATGCCACTATAGGCAGAAATTGAGTATAAAAGCCAATGCTTTCTCAGAGTAAACATGAACTCTCTGTACCTTTTTCTTCTTTGGTTGTAAATTGCTCTAAGAAAAATTATAGATATGACAAATAAGACTAAGAAGTAGGCTCTCTCTCAGTGTTGAATGTCTTAGCCTTCATTTAGTTTGATCACCAAGTTGAAGGTGGTTATAATTGCAACACATCTGTCATCTCATGCTTTGAATCTATTTATTTAAATATATTTAAAATATTTATTAACAGATATATATATACATGTTAAAAAGTAAGGTAGAGCAAAAAAGGCTTAAAATGAGGGAAATCAGTTTTTTCACTATTTCCCATTCCCACTGCAGATTCTGTACAAGCAACTATTTTTTTTTTTTTTTTTTTTTTTTGAGACGGAGTCTTTCTCTTTCACCCAGGCCAGACTGCAGTGGCGCTATCTCCGCTCACTGTAAGCTCCGCCTCCAGGGTTCACGCCATTCTCCTGCCTCAGCCTCCCGAGTAGCTGGGACTACAGGCGCCCTCCACCGCACCTGGCTAATTTTTTGTATTTTTAGTAGAGACGGGGTTTCACCGTGTTAGCCAAGATGGTCTCGATCTCCTGACCTCGTGATCCGCCCGCCTCGGCCTCCCAAAGTGCTGGGATTACAGGTGTGAGCCACCGTGCCAGGCCAACAAGCAACTATTTTAAACTATTTTCTGTTTGTTCCCTTCATGTTGCTAAATAATGTACCTATACATATTGCATTCTCTGCTTCCTGATAGGATATTGAGGATTTAATCTCTTAGACCACCTTCCAGCTTCTTGCTAATCCTTACAAAGTAATCATATGCTTTAATTTTAGGTGAATAAATGAACACTATTTGCATTATTAAGAAGAAATACGTGATTCCTCAGTGCCAAGTAGTGACCTTAGATCACATTTCTTTCCTGATAAAACTTTTGTCTCCCAAAGTTGTTATTTTACCTTTTATTAGAGGATTTTCTTATAAAATGATTACATTTCCCAGCAGAGTTTTATCAGAGACATTTTGCTGTTAAAAAAAAAAAAAAAAAAAAGACCTGGGTCATAGGTCTTTTCCTGGGTATAAGGTGTACTCCTGGGTATAAGGATTACCACATCCTTAAGTACCAAAGCGTACACAAAAGGCAAGCAGCATATGCAACCACACATGTTTAAAAATATCTTTATTCAATCCACACTTATGACTGATGGTTTGTTAGGATATAGAAATAGGTAAAGAGCTCTAAAATAGAAGAAAAAAATTTAAGAGACAAACTTAGGATATCTAACTTTTAATTAATACATATTCCAGGAAAGAAACCAAGAGAATTGGGAGCAGGATGCTATTTAAAGAAAAGGGCGTATCTAGATATATAGATAAATGGATAGATATAGTAATAAATATAGATATCATAGTTAAAGAACCATAAGCTCTAGATGGAAAGAGCAACCTAGAATTTTTTCCAGGAATTTTGTAGAAGTTTTACATCGCCTTTGAGCATCCAGTGTTGTGGATGAGAAGTCTGAAGCTATTCAGAAACTTGTTTCTTTCCAGTTGCTTCCTTTTACTCTCTGGGAGCTTTTAGAGTCTTCATTTTACGTTTGGAATTCTAAAATTTTATAATGTGATTTTCTGTCAGTATTTTTGAAAATTATTTTGCTAGAGATTCAGTTTGCCCTTTCAATGCAGAGCTTTATGGTTCTTTAACTCCTCCAGCAAGTCTTTGTTTTGTTTTGGTTTGATTTTTTTTCCTGTAACTCCTATTCAGTCAGATGTTAGACCTCTTAGAATTGTCTTTTTTGAAAAATGTCCTTAACTTTATTTTCTCAATTTTTTGCATATTTTAGGCACTCACATATTTAATTTCCAAGAACTCTCTCTTTTCTCCAATTGCTTATTTTCCATGGCAGCATGATTAATAAAATTTAATTTGTTGGGTGATACAAATTGTAGGATATTATTACTTGTTATTGCTATTATTATTCTCCTATCTCCTCAGTTTCTCTTGTGGGAATTTTTGTTCTGTTTATCTTGTCTTTCATATTGTGGTATTCTTTTTTTAAAACATGTTAATTCACAGTTCAATTGTCCATTAAAAACTGACTGTGACCTCTGTGTTTGATTTTATTTTCAATTGGCATTCCTACCTATTAGTGATCACACAGAGAGCCATGGGACTCACAGAATGTAAGAACACCAAGCATTTGTTCCTCTAGCCTTCCTCATTTTCTCTAGAATGAAAATACCTTCATTTTCATGTCTAAGAATGAGATATCTGATTACCATTCCATCGGAAGTGGGGTGTGATGTTGTGGGCATGGGCTTAAGATGATTATATGCAGACTTTCAACTAATCCCATGGTTTCAGCCCATTGCCTCATTACCACTCCCAACATTAGCTTCCCATCTGGGGTTCTGCAGGATATGTTGCTTCCTTTTTTTTCCGAACTCTTTCTTCAATCACTCTAAGCTAAGGTCTTCTCTGAGGTGCTGCATCATTTACCACTCTTCTATCAGCTTTTTGTTTTCCAAAGTTTTGTGAAATCTATAATCCACTGATAGCCCCTTTCCGATCTTTTGGTCATTCTTGGTTTAACTGCATGTGTCTAAATCATCAAGCATTCAGCGAGCACCTACTTTGTGCTTGTGTGCTGTGGGGGGCACAAGACAACTATAAGAGGCAAAGACCTGCCCTGAATAAACTTAGATTTTAGCAACTGATAAAAGACCAGTGCAAATGATAATGAGTAACGAGTAGTATGACATAGCACTGAACCATATGCCCCGGGTGTAGAGTGCTGTGGGAGTTCAGAGTACTTGGAGTGAGCTCTGGATGACAGAAACATTTTGAACTTGTGGGAGGAAGAGAGTTTGCGGATTAGTACATATCATTGATCTTTCTGGGTGTTTTTACTCTAATACAGCAATTTTATGCCCTATTAATGAGGCTAACTGGCTAGTACTAAAGGTTAAATGTTGAAGAGTAATAGGAACAAATAATCAAGAGCCTTAAAGTTTAAACCTCATGTGGTAGTAATGATGATCATTTTTAAAATGCAGGAAGAATTGATACATTGTGTGGCAGTTCATCTCTTGTAGCTCTGCTGTATAGATAAGTAAACCAAGGTGCTGATAAGTAAACTTGGCCTTGACTAACAAAGGAAGGGGCCCAGAAAGACAAATACCACATGATCTCACTCATGCGTGGAGTCCAAAAAAGTTGATCTTACAGAAGTAGAGAGTAGAATGATGGTTACTAGGGACTGAAATGGTTGAGGGGTTGGTGTTGGGGAGATGTTGGTCAAAGGATACAAACTTTCAGTTAGATAGGAGAAATAAGTTTAAGAGAGCCATTGTACTACATGGTAACTATAGTAAACAATATATTATATTCCTGAAAAATGCTGACAGAGTGGATGTAAAGTGTTTTCACCACGAAAATGATAACTATGTGAGGCGATACATAAGTTAATCAGCTAGTTCATCATTCCACAATGTCTGCCTGTTTCAAAACAATATTTTATGCATAGTAAACACATACAATTTTATCCATCAATTTAAAAAAATAAAAAAATTTTTTCCATCAATTTTAAAAAAATTAAAAAATGAGTTCTTGGTCTGAGTCTTTTTCACTGCACATGGTCTAAATCTCAACTCTAATGATAAGATAAGCTTTTCATTCCTTTTATGCATGAAAATTCTGCACATACTCAGAGATGTTACTAGCTGAACATTATAATGTAAAATTGTGAAGCAGAAAGCATGCTTTATACAGAATTATTTAGAGTAGTGTCTCCTTCTGTCTTCACTCACTGATTCATTCATTTGCTCACTAATTTATTCAATATTTTATTCATTCTTTTCATGCAGGTGCTAAATGCTGGAATACAAATATGAATGAGCCACTTCTCTCAAAGGCCTTATTTTCCGGATATAAAGAGACAATTTCTTGGATTCTTTGGGTTATTTCTAGGCCATACTAGTGTTTCTCTTTGGACTTTTTTTGCAGGCCACCCACAATCTGGAAAATAGAGTTCACTTTTTCCCTTTCTGATAACCCTCAGCAAGAAGAACACTATGGCCAGGTATTAGGTTTAGCCAAAAAATCCCCAAAGTATTTTTTCCGAAATATTTTATCCAAAATACTTCCTAAAGCACAATATATTCAGAACATTTCCCTTCTTGATTTTTAAATCCCAGTGTCTTTAATGGATATTTAATCTGCATGTTTCTGGCTCATTTACATATAACTCGGCACAGCATTATTTTATGAGAGTGGTTCAATGTCCAAGAATTTTCATGAGTTTCTGGTATTCACTCTTTTTTAGTACTAACTCCCACTACCCCTACCACCTCCTCCACCTTATTGAAACCTGGAAATCCTATTATATCTGCACAGCCTTAAAGTTCAAGTTCTGTTGAAAACCTAAAATTCAGAACGTTAGATGACAAAGGTGTATGTTCATTACTGTATTCCACATCTGTTTCTCCTGTTGTATGTTTCAGAAAAGTTAGAGGAAGGAAAGGGAGGAAAGGACCATTTTTTTTCTATGAAGACTTTGGCACATACCTGTTCTGCTGGATATTTCCCACATGCAAGTGTGAACATGAAGACAGAGCAGGACCTTATTTTTCCTTGAAGAATATGCTGACATGAGTATTTTTTTTGTTGGAATTGAGTTTTTAAAAAGCTGTGCTGAATGAGAAGGAGAAAGCAGTGGTGGAAAGTTTCAGCACCATTCTGCCTTCCCCCTCCTTTCCATCACCAAGAAATAATAATAATAAAAAATCCCACTGAGAATATGCAGCACATTCCAAGAGAGTTGATCATAATTGTGTCTTAGCAGCCCTTAAATTTTATAAAGAAATGTCCAAATTAACCTGGTGGAGCCTGTAGTTTCATATCTTTTACCTTCCAATTGCTTCTATTATTGCTATGGCCATTATTGTTATTACTGCAGGCATCTCACTATGTTTTCAAACAAAAGCCTGGCTCCCATTTCTGAAAATGTCACAAGAACTAAACTCCCTGTAAAATTTTAAGGAAACATTTTTAAACTAAATCTGTGCAGGTAAAATCTGAAGTTCATTAATGGCTTCCTTTAAGCCAAACATGGTCTTGCGAGGCCCATTAGTGTGAACTAGAGACGCTGAAGGCCCACATAGCTCTTCTTGGGCCTCACTTGAGCTGGCATCATGCCCCAAAGTGTGCTGCTTGAGGCCTTTACCGGGTCCAGGTAAAATTCACATCTCATTTCTTTTTCTTGATTCTGTCAGTGAAGAGGAAATATAAGATAGTGCTAGCCTGCCTGCAGAATTAGCAGTCAGATGAGGGGTCTTCTTTATTGGCAGGACTGAGAGAGCTTTTCTGCATGTGGCGTCTTTTTAGCAGAATGCTCTGATGTTCCTCTGTGGCATCCTCATTTGTGGTTTCTTAATTTAAAATGCTATGATCATTCTATGGCCAAATATATAATAAGGCTCCATGGGATATAGAATTCTTCTAGGGCCTGGGCTGCATCTGCATCTTCTTGGAGAGAAAAATTTATAAGGGAACTTCTTATCCCTAGGCTTGATGACTAGACCTTGTGATGAATAGGCTTGCATTTGAGTAGCCCATTTTCGACTGTAATAGTAATGGCTCTCATTTACTCATTCAACTGATTCTATGTACCAGGCACCGTCCTTGGCAGTGGGGGTATACTGGTGAACAATAAAGACAAAATATATTCCCTCAAGGAACTTGAAGTAGAATGGTGGAGACACATGACAATAACACAATTTATTTGGAAATGCTTTGAATAACTCCCCTAGGAAAATTAAAGCAGGATAACAGGATGAAGAATGATGGGGTGTGCACTTGAGTGGTAGGTGTGGGAACTATTTCATCAGATAGATAAGCCAATTGGGGAAGAACTCCCAGAAGGGCTGGCAATAGGTGGTATCTAGATGCAATGAGAGAATGAATCACAGAATATCTGGCAGAAACTCATTCTAGGAAGACGAAATAGTTAAGGGCGAGTGTTCTGGAGTTGAGATAAGCCTTGTACACTTGAACAGCAATGAAAATCCATCTGGGTAGAGGAGACTGAAGTAGAAGAAAGTATTAGAAGATAAAGTTGAATTTTTCACTGTCACTATCTCATCAATCATGAAATGTATTTCTTGTTCCTTGACTTTGGGATCATCCCCTTGATGTTCTTTGGCCAGTGGCAAAAGAAATGGCAAAGACAACAGGATGCCAGTTCTGACTGGGGGCTTTAAGAGGTGTGGCACAGTTTCACTCTACCACAGCTAGTCCACTGTTCCCAGGAGAAGGAGGAGAGAAGCATGGGGAGAAAGTCTTCTGAACTGCTGCAGCCTGAGCAGTCCTGCCCCCGGAATGGCTGGCTACAGCAAATCCACTTAGCCAATTCACAGATTTGTGAGAATAAATGACTATAGTCCTTGTGTTTGTGGTTGTTTTTAATGCAACATTATTGTGGCAATGGTTAATCAATACAGGAGCCTGATCATTTAGGATCTCCAGGGTCTTGTTACAAAGTTGGATGTCCCTGAAGTATAATGAAAAGTCATTGGATGGTTTTGGGTAGGGAAATGACACAAGTTGAATTAAGTTTTTAAAAGATTTTTAAAAGTCTTCACCTTTTTGAAGAATAAACTATAGAAAAAATGAGTGATGCCAGGTAGTTCAGAAGCAATAGTTCAAGAGAAAGATGGTAGTGGTCAAAATGCTCCCTTGTTTATTAAAAAAAAAAAGGTAAAAATAGTAAATTCTGATTTCTGTCTTAGAACCTTGGTAATTGTATGACAGTCAGTGAAATCAAAGGCATTAATATGTTCTGTGTTAAGAATATGTGCTGTGCTCTACAAGTAGAATGAATTTTCCTACAGTACAACCAGTCAAATCTAGCAGAACTATTTTTTGTTCACATGAGAAACAGAAAGTGCAGCTTGAAATTAGGAAAAATCTCTCCTGAGCTTTGAAGTATTAAAAAGAGAAGCCAGAGCATGAAGAGAAGAAACCAAATACTCTCTTGGTCCTGTGTCTAAAGGCCTGGAGAACTGTACAGCCATAATACAGTAAGAAGGAGAGACAGCAAGTGTGCTTTGCACTTGAACAGTAAGTCAAAAGAACTAATGTTGCTGTCATGTCTCTAAATAATCTTGAGTAAGTGAAGTCATATCTCTTCCTTGGGTTTCCATGTACTCACCAGAAAAATAGGATAATAAGTGCCTTAGCTGCTTACAAGCTTACCCCAAGAATTATGTATGCTAAAACACTTTGAAAAAATATATAGTGCTATGCCTATAGAAAATACAATTATAAAACTTGAAAACCAGTCAAGATGTTTGCTAGTAAAAGATAATTAGTACCATGTATGCAAGAATTCCTGCTAATTTACCTCAAATATTGTAATTATTAGCACACCTAGGGAATTTCCATTTTTACTGGATAAGAGTTGGATTACATCTGAGTGTGACCTAGCACAATTGCTCTTATATTCAGATTTTGAGCTAATATAGCCTGACACCCAAATAGAAAATACATCAGACTTTCAAAGTGGTTCATTATTGAGGAGGTACTAGGGAAAGATTCTGGCTCTGCTAGATTTTATTTTTTTCTGTATTGAAGGAAGAAATTATATTTTATTTTTTCTGTATTAAAGGAAGAATTAACAGAAAATGAAATTACAGTGCTTTTTTTCACTCTCTCAGAAAAAAAAAAAAAAACTTCTACCATAATAACAGATGCTTCGCCAAGCCTAGGAGTAACTTCACCTGCTCACATGAATTATCTATTCTGATATTTGTCCTAAAATAGAAGACAAGGAATGATGAGAGCTCTCATGCATGCTTTTTCAATCTCTCCTGTCCACTTTAAAACTCCTATGTCATTTGAGGGAAAATTCTACTTCACTTATAAGGACAACTGTAAAATCTTCATGTGAACTGACATTTTAAAACCAAACTGCCCACTTGTATTTTATCATTGGTCAAAAATACTGTTGGTCTCGTGTTCCAAATTAAACCAAAATAAGACTGTAAGTGGAAAAGTTGGGTGAGGCCATGAGGACTCTGTCCAGAGGGGAGTGATCTGGCCAACTGACTTTCCTTCTCAGGTAAAGGGAATCTCAGACTTCCCCACAGAGTAACTAGGAGGCAGAAGTTTTCCTTTCTTTCCTTCATCCATGTCCAATAAGGCAAAAAGGAGTTCTGGAAGGAGCCGCCTACTCTCCAGTCTGGAATTTAGCCCCCTAATTTGGCACTGTATTTTTGTCTGTTACTAGGGCTACTCTGCAGGGACAAAGTTGCCTTGTGCTAGCTGACAGCGAACTGTATTTGTTCTAATCATCAAACAGCAACAAGCCCTTCTTCTCATTAATTTTCTGGACTTTATATCATCAGATGTTGTGGGAAATTAAAGGTATACAATTCAAACCATCTCTTTGAGGGCCAAGAGGCTCACAAGTGCAAATTATGCCTAACACTTTTCTCCAGCAGCCAGGAGGGCAACTAGGGTACTACTTGATGGCTTTTTCTTTATGGTGTGAATAGTTTAATACTCTTGTTTCAACTGAGTTGTAGTTGCTTATTTCCTGGTTTCATGTTGGCTTTAAAAATTGTTTTGCACCAATATTGTTTATAGCACTTTATAAGCAGTGGTCTTTGAATTTTACAGAGAATGCATGCCCAATTTTGTGTGTAAATGAATATATGTATTGTGGTGAACTAGGGATCAGAAGCTTTCATGGTATTCTCAAGATGTCTGTAATGCAAAAATGGGAAAGGTACCTTGCTAATAAAGGAGTCACTTGTCTAGTCAGCTCAAGGATTTTAGCCTTAAGCTACTAAGGCAACACTGGACCCATAGTCGAATAGGATAAAATAAAAGCTGGGGCCGCTACCCAGTGTGCTTCAAATTCCGTCATCCAACCACTTTTGAATTTGAGCTTTATTTCCTCCTTTGGTTTCATATTCTATAGAACTTTGGCTTGTAAACTGCAGACTCTTTTAAAGCATACTACCTTATTATTGATAGGTCATTTGAACAATCTATCACTTTGATTTGTTTCTTCTTTGCACCAGAATCAAAAGAAAAGGAAAGGAATGAAGAGGGACTAGAGAGGGGTTAAGGGGAAAAATGAGAAACTCAAAACATTTCATTTATTCTCAGTTAGGCTCCCTTGATATTACTCCCCTGTTCTGAACCCAGATCCAGAGATTCCATGGTTCCAGGGTCTCTGACTACCTATGAATGAAATTTAGATGTGTAATATAAGTTTTGGTAGTTCTAATAATAGGAGGGCCTTTCAGATATGTCTTTCTTCTATGAATTCAATGACTCCATTTCTACCACCCAAGCCATATGGAGCATGTCTTCTCCAACCTCAGACCAAGTGGGTTACTCTTCTCTTCTTTCTTGGTGTCATATTCGGATTGACTTTATCAGCCCAGCAGGCATCTACGCATGATTTGGCATTTCCTGTTGCCTGATTTGCTAAGGATGTGTCTTCCATTCCGGGCTGCTTGGACTATAAGAAAGTTGCAGCCTGGCTCCTTCTAACTTTTGCTCTATTCTCTTAAATTGCTTCATGAGACAGGATCTCACAACAGCTCTCATCTGACCTCCAGAGACGTGTTGATTTAGCAGGTTACATTCTCTTTTCTTTGTCTTTTTTTTTTGGAAGCAATCCAATGGATGCAAGGGCCGCAAAATGTTTAGTCATTTACTGTCTTTAAACATTAGAGAAATAAACTGCTGGTTATCAATTTAGCACTTCTAAATCTCATGCAAAAAATTATTAACATAAAGTGCCCAACTTTTATTTGTTTATTTTATTTTTTTGAGACAGAGTCTCACTCTGCCATCCAGGCTGGAGGGCAGTGGCATGATCTGGGCTTGCTGCTGTCTCTGCCTCCCCAGTTCAAGCGATTCTCCTGCCTCAGCCTCCTGAGTAGCTGGGATTACAGGCGTGCACCACCATGCCGGGCTAATTGTTTGTATTTTTAGTAGAGACACGGTTTCACAATGTTGCCCAGGCTGGTCCAGAACTCCTGAGCTCAGGCAATCCACCCGCCTTGCCTCCCAAAGTGCTAGGATTGTAGGCATGAGCCACTGTGCCCGGCCTCAACTTTTAATAATTGGAATAATAATAAAGATTTTTTGTGAAGCCAGGAGGAAAGTGAAAATGACTTTTTAAAATATCACTGGAAAGTCTAGGGTGAAAACTTGGCCATATAATGTATTCCCTAAAGGGACATAGATTATATATCCCATATGATGACTCCTCAGACTCTGAAAGCAAAGCTAGGAATAAGCTCAATTCAGATTCTAGTTTTTGCTCTGCCATGCTGATTTTGTGGGTCACCTTGGGCCTTAATTTTTAATTCTTCAGTTCTCATAATTTTTCAGCTGAAACACTGTAACTACTGTAATTTTTATTCTTTTAAAATATTCGTTGACACAGAAACACATTCTTAAACATATAGAAAACATCATACACCCACTACACATCACAGAGAAGGAACATTTTACCATCTTCTGAAAGTCTAAGAGATTTTGGAGGAGTGAGTTATTTTTTGAAGTTGCATTAATGTTACTGAGATCCTAGGTTGCCACTTAGGACACTGAACCAAGAGTAGCAAGTTGGTGTCTCCACAAAGCCAAAAACAAAAAACCTGGATAGAGAGGAAAATAGAATAGAGCATATGTCACTGCTGACATGGCTTATCTTGTTGACGTGTTTTAACAAAATGTTTACTTCAGAGCACTCTGTTCAGCAGAATTGAGTTGAAGGTTGCCAACCAAAATGGTTAATTAGTGTCTAATCAAGACAGCTAAAATGAGTAGTTAGTTCTCATCTTTGAGAATGTCTCATGTCTAAAAAATGTTTTAAATAAGTTTGGCCTGCCTGACAGGTGTCTTGAGTGGGGCATTTGTAAGGCCACAGGAAGCGTAAGGTCGACTGCCTGGGACCTCTGATTGAACTTGTCAACCGAATCAGGTGCTTCCATCCGGACATCAGCTCTGCTCCTCCGCATAGGAACTGACCTACTGAAATGAGGTCATAGATACCAACTCCAACGCCCAAGTTTACTTTAGAGTTTTGAAATAGTCACCAATTCTTGACTATTTTTTAAGGCATTCTGTTCTTGTCGCAGAATTCTTGTCTAACACTTGGCATCTTTTTCTTTTTCCTTCCTTCTTCCCTCTCATTCTCCTTCAATCCCTTCCTTTCTTCCTTCCAGGGTACTTGTTATTAAAATTTTTATTTTCTAAATCTTGTCTTGTTTTTAATGCTCAAGATGAGGCACAAGAACCTGATTTAGAGATGTATCATATTTGATCTACTGGGAAGGCCTCCAAGATGCAGAAAATAAGGTTGAGAATGGAAACTAGGGGGAAAAGGTTTGTAGTACATTTTCATGCTCCTAGTAAATAAAATCCATTTACTTCTCAAATTTACATTTTCCTTTAATAATCAAGAATAGTATTCTCAAATACAGAATCTGCTGGAGTTCGGTGTTTAACTGGCTATTTTTTTAAGATGGCCATGAATCTTTGTATTCAAATTATTACATAATTGGCAAAGAACTGAAGTTCTAACAAATGCCTTCCTCATTTCATACATAAATGAAAACTTCATTTATATCCAAACTACACATGCTTATCAGTTGCAGCCATAGGTTTGGCTACAGAAACAGGAGTTAGGTAAAAATCAAAGAAAACACTCATTCTGTGAGAATGAATTGGCTATATAAAATTTTAAGTGATGTCATATATTTTACTATTATTTCTAAATGGTTTGCTGAACACCTTTTATATCAATAAGATTGTAATAAATGTATATAAATATATATTTATATAAAAGCATACATTTTTTAAAGATTGTTTTCCCATATATATAATATTTAATTATTCATCTTTACTTTCCTTTGTTTCCTGGTCCTATTTTTTTGTTTAAGTAAGGATTTTTCCTTTTTCTTATAATGTTAGCTATTAGTATACAGCCATCCAAAGAGTCAGTCAGTTGTCTAGGGAGAGTAGTAATGTAATCACCCAGTGGGTTCACCTTGCCCTCTGCCTAGACAGAACCGATTTATCAAGACAGGGGAATTGCAATGGAGAAAGAGTAATTCACACAGAGCCGGCTGTGCGGGAGACCGGAGTTTTATTATTACTCAAGTCAGTCTCCCCGAGCATTCGGGGATCAGAGTTTTTAAAGATAATTTGGTGGGTAGGGGCTTGGGAAGTGGGGAGTGCTGATTGGTCAGGTTGGAGATGGAATCATAGGGGGTTGAAGTGAGGTTTTCTTGCTGTCTTCCCTTCCTGAGTGAAACGGCAGAACTGGTTGAGTGAGATTAACCGTCTGGGTGGTGTCAGCTGATCCCCCAGTGCAGGGTCTGCGAAATATCTCAAGCACTAATCTTAGGTTTTACAATAGTGATGTTATCCCCAGAAGCAATGTGGGGCGGTTCAGACTTGGAGCCAGAGGGTGCATAACCCCTAAACTGTAATTTCTAACCTTGTAGCTAATAGGTTAGTCCTGCAAAGGCAGACTGGTCACCAGGCAAGAAGGGAGTCTTTTTGGGAAAGGGCTGTTATCAATTTTGTTTCAGAGTCAAACCATGAACTGAATTCCTTCCCAAAGTTAGCTCGGCCTATGCCCAAGAATGAACAAGCACAGCTTAAAGGTTAGAAGCAAGATGGAGTCGGTTAGGTCTGATTTTTTTTCACTGTCATAATTTCCTCAGTTATAATTTTGCAAAGGCAGTTTCAGTAAGAATGGAAGTATATTTTCATGGCATTTATACAATTTTTGTTTAGACAACTACTAATTTAAAAATGTTGGTATTAATCATGACTTCTCAAGTGGATTGCAACTTCTCAGGTTGCTGCCTTTTACTTGAAATGTCTATGATGTCTGTGCATCAGCAATAACTACACCACACCTACTTGCTGCACATTCAGCATAGTGTTTTTGTTTAAGAGAGAAAACATCGAAAGCGGATATGGATACATGGCTTTAGAAATAACAATAGACAACATAGAAGAATTTTCTACCAGATACTAATTTTTATTAACTAAGCAAGTAATTTTTGTTTAAGAGAGAAAACATCAAAAGCGGATATGGATACATGGCTTTAGAAATAACAATAGACAACATAGAAGACTTTTCTACCAGATACTAATTTTTATTAACTTAGCAAGTAATTGATATTTTGGGCTTGTGAAATAAAAGAACAAACCCTCAGTGGCACACATTTAACTTGACACCACACTTTTTTTTAGTAAAATACTTCATTGGCAATCGGGGGTAGTTCTGAGTTTTGTGGGGCCTGAGAATTATATTACTTAGGGTGTCCTCTTAAAAAAAGGGGGTGGGGCACATTATTTTACACAATATGTAAAATATTATTTTCACAAAAGTGAATATTTATTTAGAATACAATATTACAACAAATTATAAATTTTACAAAGTTGACACATGGTCACAAACATTACAACATCAGGAAAAATAATAATTCATACTGCCTTTTTATATGATGACAATTTTTTAATTACATCCATACAAAAGATAGAAAGATAATTAAACTTTCTTCTAGAATGGTCGATAAAAATTTGTGGCTTTTATTGATGAAAAATTTTCCTTCAGTTTCATAACTTGTTATTGGAAATGTCATGCAAATTTTTAGAACTGCTATCAAATTTGAGAAAACCTTTCTCATCTTTCTTTTACATATGAGCTGTAAGATTTGAAGGGTGTGTGTGTGTGTGTGTGTGTGTGATTAACTGTAAATACTATTCAGATTTATGATACTCCTTAACTAATGTGTCATTGCTGTCCTTGTAGTGACATATGAGTTTTATGACATTGTCAGTGTCAATGTTTTGTGTCAAATAAAAAAAATAAGAACCAGTAAAGTATAAATGACCAAGGGAAGAAAATGAGCAAAGCTATGTTCCAGCAAAGGTGAGGAGTCCAATTTGGATAAGATACAGGGTGCAGGTAAGATAGGAGAGACAAAAAGGCAAAAAAAAAAAAAAAGTATTGGAGTCAGAGAGGAGGAGGGAAATACTATCACATCCTGGCAAGAGCTTGAGGATGAACAATCATAAAAAGGTCTGCTGATGGATAACAAAGCATGCAAAGAGCAAGAATATAAAGAACATTATAGAGTAGGCAAAGCCAGATGTGAATCCTAGCTTTGCCATTTGCTAACATATAGAACCTTGCTACCATTAACTAAACTATGCATGGAAATGACTGCCAGCCACGTAAATAATTCCACCAGAACAAACTAAAAGTGTCTTCAAATCTTCCTTAGCCAATCCCAAAAATGCTTGTGGCTCTTCCAACACCACCCACCAAAAGGGGAAATGTGACAGAGGAAAAGCTGGAGTGGAAAGTGTCAGTGGAATTAACCAATTGCAGTGAGAATATCTTATACTTTTCAATTTTGTAATAATAAAAAAAAAACATTTCTAGGGCCCTGTTAGGGCCGTAAGATTGTGCAAGTGAGAGGCCCAGAGAGGTAAGTTTTATCAGTTTTACAGTAAACAAGCGTCTGCTGGCAATGTCATGGTGGAAATGACATTTTGGGTGCTTCCTACATAACCATGATAACCACAGATTAAAATGGAAATTGAGGCTAATTCTGAAGTGGCTGCCACCCTTGCTCCTCCTCTGCACTTACAGTAAGATCACATTTCTGTGTCTGGTAATGACACTTGTAACTGTTGTAGACAGTGAAAAGCACTTGTCACTGGGTATTTGAAAGCTTCCAGAGATCACTGTATTTATTTGCTGCTTCTAGCATACTTTAATTGATTGGAAAAGGCTGAGGAGCAGTGGAGAGACTACACGAACATATTATCCAAATTTTATGATCACTGAAAAGCTCAACACATCTTAACATGAAATAGACATTACACAGTAAAAAACAAAAATAAAATTTCTTATTTTCCAAAAAGTAGATAAAAAAGAACCAAATTTTTATAAATGAGAAACATTGTGTTTGCTGTTCATTGTTTTTGTTATTGGATTAAATCCTGAAACCCATAAATGCTTGTTATAAAAGGCTTTTCTTTTATCATATTACTGCTTCTCTATATTCTTACTCCATGGAAGATGATCTCTTTCCCCTGTTGGGCCAGTGGTTGTCTCCTCTGGCTATAAAATAGAATCAATGGAGTACTTTAAAAAAATACCCATTTCCTAGGCATACTCCTAAGTATTTGCAACTTAAAAAAACCAATCTAAATAATTTTAATGCACAGTTAGGGCCGATAAACAATTTACCAAATAAAAATCAGAAAAAGACATCTTTAGGTTAACCTTCAGCAGTTCCATTACTGTGCCAGGATTTAAGAGAGAGGAAACAGAGTCAAGATTCTGTTTATTTCAGTCTACAAGCATTATAGCTCCACCTACTGGGAGGATGGGCCTTTAAAACGGAGTGTCTACTCTATTTTTCATACAGTTGCTTTCGTTTCAGCCACGGCAAAATAAATTCAATTCTGATTTAAAAACAACAAAAATTAGTTTTTCTCTTAGTCCACTTGTGCTATTATAACAAAAATACCTTAAACAACAGAAATTTATTTCTCACAGTTCTGGACGCTGGGAAATTCAAGATCAAGGTGCTGACAGATTCAGTCTGGTGCGGTCCTATTTTCTGGTTTATGGATGGCACCTTCTCACTGTGTCCTCACATCGCTGAAGGAGCAATGAATCACTCTGGAATCTCTTTTATAAGGACACTAACCCCATCAGGGTTCCATCCTCATGACCTAATCATTTCCCAAATAACATAACCTAATAACACCCCACCTCCTAATAATAAACACTTAAGAATTTTGGGGGGAGGACACAAATATTCAGTCCATAGAAGTACCTAAAACCTGTATTTTGTAAATCAAACAAAATTCCTAGTTTCTTGGCTATAGTGAAAGGTAAGGCAAATGTAGACAAACATATCAACATACTTCTTCAAATGTTGAAGATTTCTCCAAGTAGGCATTCCATTTTATCTTTACTTCATATCCCAACTTTTTAATACATATGCAAATAATTCCATCCAATACCTTTTGATGAATGAATGGCACAGTTTTCACCACAGAAAAATATAAATGGGATGAAAACTTGTGCTTTGGCTCCTGATCTATAAGACACATCTTCTTACTCTAAGGAACTACTTTGGAATAATTACTCTCACTTTGACCTTTACTAATTTGTTAAAAATTAGTTTTAAAAGTCCTTTGGCCTTTAAGTCTTCTGTTGGGGGAGAGGAAAAGAGGCCAATGGATGATAATGCTGTCTTTTCTTCTTCACTTATGACCTGGCATATTTCTTTAAAGTGAAAATGCTCATCATTAAATATTTACTTTTAGTTTGTGTAGAAATACATGATAAATGCTTGCTTCTTTTTATTTCACTGTTTTCAAAATACTGAATTTGTTTTCTAAATTCCTCCAATGGTTATCAATGTGGGTACTTCATAATATCAAAATGAATGCATGATTTTAAACTTACTTGATGTGTACAATTTTTATAGCCATTATTTTTATTGCTATTCAAATTATTCCCACTGTCACCAGTGGGAGCTCCTTCAAATTGGTTTTCAAATCCTTTAGATTTAATCCTAGGAGACTTTTTCTCCTTTTGCCTCCCCATTTTCTGGATTGACAAGATGTTCTAATCTCCTGTTTTGTATTTCTGCCCTAGATCTAGAATCAGCCATTTTTTCCAAGAAGCCCTGGTTGATTTAGTGGAATATAGTAGAGACAACTGTCAGGACAATAGGCATTCTCTTTGCTATTGAGTTGTCATTGCTAGCCATGATCAATAGACAGGGCTCAGAAATACATGTTTTTAAAGATAAAATTATTATGAGTTTATACAAATATTATTCCAATTGTATTTGGAGCTGTCTTAGTCAGCTTGGGCTGCCATATGAAATAACAGAGAGTGGATGGTTTAAATAATAGAAATTTATTTTCTCACAGTTCTGGAGGTTGGAAATCTGAGATCAAGGTGCCAGCAGGGTGAGATTCTGGTTGGCCACCTTCTTGCAATGTCCTCACATGGCCTTTCCTCAGTATGTAACAGGGTGAAGTCTGGGGAGAGAATTTATTTGTCTTCCTCTTCCTATAACGGCATTAATCCCACCATGAGGCCCCCACTGTCTAATCTAATCTAATCTAATCCCAATTATCTCCCAAAGGCCTCATCTCAGATACCATCACATTGGGGATGAGGGCTTCAATATATAAATTTAGGGGGACACAAACATTCAGTTCATAACAGAGCTATAGGGTTTGTACTAATTTGATTCATTTTAAATACAAATTTTATTTCTCCCACATCAAAAATCCTGGTTCTCGATGTTGTTAGCGTAATTAATAATTTGCTATAATAAAATCCGTAAGCTCATTCTACTTTTCATATACTTTCCCATTCTCCCAAGTTTTTCATAGTTGTGGTAAATCTATATTGTTAGAGCACATAGCCACTTCATACTGTATTTACTGTCTTCTACCATCCTTTAGGCTGAAGCTTACTCTCTAGTAGATTCCTCAGGAGGTATTAATGGGAATAATATTCCCTGCATTTCTGCATATTCTTAAAAGATTTTGGCCTTTATATTTGAATATCAGTTTCAATTGTTATAAAGTGCTTTACTCACATTTACTTCCCTTAAGAATCTCAACCTACTACTCCATTGTCTGCCAGCATAAAGAATTTCTGTTGAAACATAATGATGGGTAATCCCAGCACTTTGGGAGGCCAAACTGGGAGGACTGCTTGAGCCCAGGAGTTTGAGGCTGGGCAATATGACAAGAACTCATCTCTACAAAAAAAATTAGCTGGCTGTCTTGGCTTGTACCTGTAGTCCTAGCCATCTGGCAGGCTGAGGTGGAAGTGGAAGGACTGCTTGAGCCCAAGGAGTCGAGGCTGCAGCAAGCAGTGATTGCACCACTGCACTCCAACCTTGGCAACAGAGCAAGACCCTGTCTCAAAAGTAAGTAAATTTAAAAATATATATAATATAATGATGATAATCACTTTCTTACTTTTATGGGTGTCTTGTCTTTTTGGCTGGAAGCTAAGAACATTTTTTCTTTTCTTAAACGTCTAGTACTTTTAGCAGAATATATTTTGGTGTTAATAATCTTAAGTTGGTATTCCCAGATATGAAGTATATCATTTCCAACATAGCTCTAAATCTTTTTTTTATTGTTTCAGAAAAATCTTCTTCATTTATGACTTTTAGTATTTGTTGTGTTCAATTTTTTCCCCTTCAATTCCTAGTGTGTGTGTGTGTGTGTGTGTGTGTGTGTGTGTGTGTGTGTGTATGTATGTTGGATTTTATTTACCTATCTTCTATATCTGCCCATTTTGCTTGAATAGTTTTTCATGCTTATAGAATAAGGTATTTACCATTGTGTTTATTACACCCTATCTCTTAAGGTATTGTGTTTATTCATTCGTATATTCTGCCTATCTTAGCTTTTGTTTCTGAAATAATTTTTTCTCTTATTTCTAATTCTTTCCTGGGTTCTATTAGATCTCTGAAATCTTTTATCTCTTCAATTGCCTTATTTCTGCATTTTCCTGATTCAGACTTATTTAATTTATCATAATGTCTATAATTTTCTTAGTTTCTATAAGAAATTAAGAAACTGTTTCAAAATACAGTGGTGCAAGTGTACAGATGTCTGACATGTCTTCCTGCTGTGCTTTTTTTGTTTGTAGAGACAATGTTTCTCTCTCTTTCTCTCTCTGTGTGTTTTTTATATAATACTTTTATTTTGAATTATGATGTAATTTTTAATTTTAATTTAATTTTAAAATTAATTAATTTTTCAAATTACAATTTTACTTTTTCTAAACTTCAGGCAGAAGAAGAGGTCTAGGTTAGTGTCTTAGTCTGTTTTGTGCTGCTATAACAGAATACCACATATAGTAATTTATAATGAATAGAAATTTATTGGCTTATAGTTCTGGAAGCTGAGAAGTCTAAGATTGAGAAGCCAAGTGTTTTGATTTGGGCATCACACATTGGACAATAATTTTAGGAGGAGATAATGTGCTTGATAGAAAGCAAAGGAATTCCTTGACTGGCAAAGCAAGTTTCTTGGACTGTCCCAAAACCAACTTCTCAAACTCTTTAGAATTGACCTCACAGAGATACGTACTTGCCCACATGTTCTTTGGGCCACATGTTCTTTGTCCATAAAGTCTAAAAGGCCATTTAAGTTGGCCAAGAATCTCAGAAGGAATGACATAGCTTTTTAACACACACAGGAAAAATGAGGATTTATCTGTGCCTAGTCTATAAATACAAAATTCTACAGGTCCAAAACAGGTATAGGTAGCCTTGAACTAGGATCTTCAACTTAAGAAATTTGGAATATGCTCCCTAATATGTTATAAAAATATCCAAAATTATTTGGGTTTCAAGAGTTCTTGGCTAGAAGTCACATGGATTTTCTTTTGTAAATCTGACTTTGACAGATGTGTTATTCCAGAGGAAACAGAAAGATGTTTCCTGGCCTAGCTGCCTGAACAGCTTTGTTATCACCTCTGAGACTCAGGAAGTGTCTATTTTTTTCTTTCTGTAAGGCTTCAGCTAATACGTTAATAAAATAGTTAAGTATTTATATTGTATAAAAGTGCTCTTTCACTCTGCAGGATATCATTTTGAGCTCTGACAAAGAGAATGTTTCCTAATTCTCTCTCTCAAGGTAATGTTGCCGTTGGCTATTAAAAGGAATATGTTTATAAATACCATAGTGAAATGGATAATTTTGAAAGTAAAGAATAAACAAAGTAGAATGCAGTTACAATTTGGAAATAGAACAAGAGCAAATCTGGCTGTGGTTATAATTACTTGTTAGACACTTTCTCTCAAGCCATTTGCTGGTGGTATAAAAGGGAATATAGAGCTTGACGTGGAGAAGAGGAAAGAGCAATGGCACTCTGGTCCTGCTTTAGCAACTGTCATACACTCTGCTGCATTTTAGTCTGGCCAAATTCTCTGGGCCCAATGGATCTTGAACTAGCCATTCTTGCCATGTATTTTTTGGTCTTTTTCTTTTTTTCAACTTTGGCTGCTTTCATAATCCTTGAAACTGAAGTTGTGGATGGGTAGGGAAGTGTTTGCACATTCCGTCATTCATCAAATAGGTATTATATGCCTTCCATGTGCCAGACACTATGCAGGTGTGGTAGGTTTGTTGGGGAGCAGAGATGTGGGAGGTTATTTGAGGTCTCTTCTCCCTTCACAGTTTAAGCCCGGAGGGATGATGACTAAAAAGTTTAATGAGATATTGGAAATAACTCAGACCTAGCCATTTTATGATGATCTGATCATTCACTGAGAGAATAAAAAGAATAGTATTAATGTTATGTCTACAGTATATTAAAGCTTTCCTAAGGCATTATACAGGGAGGGGGGTCCCATCCCACCTTGAGCCCAAGTTGCACCTACCACTGAGATTCATGCAAACATAGGACAATTTAATGAGCGTATATAGTGGGTGGTCTGGAGGTGTCTATATAAATTGATGATCATGGGAAAAGGCTGACTGCCAAAAAAAAAAAAATGGGATAAAATTGGGGATGCAGAAGATAGCAAGGTGTCTGTTGCAAACATTTGGCTTCTGGCACTATGTCATGGACTCATTTCTGAGACTTATGGAAAGAGGGACTTTAAGCAAGATCTTGACCTTGAGAAAACAAAGAGGGCTTCTTTAGCAAGACACAGGTATCTAGATTGTGACAGTGGTAGAGAGAAGAATATTTCCTCCACCTCTGCCCAAATATGGCACCTTGAGTTTAGCAGTATCGAGAGCATGAGAGGACAACAGTCTTGGCACAAGCACTGGAAGTCTTCTATGTGTTTCCCACAATAGTTTCAACGTAAGGTCAGCCTTCAGTAAATGCAGAGGCAGTGGACCTCAATGTATGAACAGGAGCAGGGAGAATGGGTCAGAATCCAAGTAGTGAATGCAACCGAAGGAATGGCTGTGACATATGTGACACAGTCTCTGGACATTAGCAGATATCAACAGGCAAAACTTCTTGGGGGATAGGGTTCTTTAAAAAATATGAGTCATTAGTATTAACATGAAATTAAACTGGTAAGACCTGGAGAAATTTGGATCACACGTACCTGCAAAGAGTACTTGAAGTGAGGATAGAAATATTTAATGTGTTCTAATTTTATTACTTATCAGTTTTGCTTTTCAAACTCTTTTTGGTGCATTAGAAGGATCTGAACACTCAAAGAGCCCCAATATTTCCCCATCCTCACCTTCTTATTACCATCTCAGAACCAAATAATAGCTAATGTCAGAACTATGAGCAAACATACCTGGGATCAGCCAAACCCAGCCCAGATTAGCAGAGCCTACCAACCTACCCATAACCTGGTGCTATCTTCACTTCTGGGAGCATTTGAAAATTAAGCTTTTATATGCCTTTAAGGAAGGGTAAACTAGTTTTTTGGTAGTTAATCCTTTGGGTCTGATTATAAAGTGCCATCAAGATCTATTAAGAAAGCAAAGAGGACAATTGACTCAAAGATAGGGATAAAAAGAGTAAGAAGCTATGACAGAAAAACCAGACAGAAAACTGTGGGTAGGAGGAGGAAAAATAAGTAAGGAAGACATTCACCCCAACATCTGGAAAACTATCCTAGACCATTTGTCCAAGAAGGAGGGGTGAGGTTGGGGGACAGTGATTACTGCCTAGGAACTGTCAGATTAGTGAACCCAAGCAGACAGTTTTGAGTGGTATGCCAGTTAAAAATTTTTTAAAAACACCACCTCCCCCCAAAAAAGACGTAGTGGCTTAAAACATCAACCATTTTTTTTTTCTCATCAGATTATAGGTAGGTTGCTGGGCTCTGGTGATCTGGTCTGGGCTTGGCTGATCTCAGCTGGGTTTTCTCATAGGTCTGACATTAGCTATTAGGTTGGCTGGAGTTTATTGTTGTTCTAGGAGAGCCTTGACTGGGATGATTCCTCCATGTGTCTCTCACTTCCCTCCAGTAGGTATCCTAGCATGTTCCCACAGCAGAGACAGGGAAAGGAAATGTGCAAGTACTTTTAAAAAGTATCTGTTTGAATAGGAGTGGTGAGAGAGGGCATCCCTGTCTTGTGCCAGTTTTCAAAGGGAATGCTTCCAGTTTTTGCCCGTTCACTATGATATTGGCTGTGAGTTTGTCATAAATAGCTCTTATTTTGAGATACGTCCTATCAGTACCTAATTTATTGAGAGTTTTTAGCATGAAGGGCTGTTGAATTTTGTCAAAGGCCTTTTCTGCATCTATTGAGATAATCATCTAGTTTTTGTCTTTGGTTCTGTTTATATGCTGGATTACGTTTATTGATTTGCATATGTTGAACTAGCCTTGCATCCCATGGATGAAGCCCACTTGACCATGGTGGATAAGCTTTTTGATGTGTTGCTGGATTCGGTTTGCCAGTATTTTATTGAGGATTTTTGTATTGATGTTCATCGGGGATATTGGTCTAAAATTCTCTTTTTTTGTTTTGTCTCTGCCCAGCTTTGGTATCAGGATGATGATGGCCTCATAAAATGAGTTAGGGAGGATTCCCTCATTTTCTATTGATTGGAATAGTTTCAGAAGGAATAGTACCAGCTCCTCCTTGTACCTCTGGTAGAATTCAGCTGTGAATCCGTCTGGTCCTGAAATTTTTTTGGTTGGTAAGCTATTAATTATTGCCTCAATTTCAGAGCCTGTTATTGGTCTATTCAGAGATTCAACTTCTTCCTAGTTTAGTCTTGGGAGAGTGTATGTGTCGAGGAATTTATCCATTTCTTCTAGATTTTCTAGTTTATTTGCATAGAGGTATTTATAGTATTCTCTGATGTTAGTTTGTATTTCTGTGGGATCGGTGGTGATATCCCCTTTATCATTTTTTATTGCATGTATTTGATTCTTCTCTCTTTTCTTCTTTATTAGTCTTGCTAGCGGTCTATCAATTTTGTTGATCTTTTCAAAGAACCAGCTCCTGGGCAGGGCAATCAGCCAGGAGAAGGAAATAAAGGGCATTCAATTAGGAAAAGAGGAAGTCAAATTGTCCCTGTTTGCAGATGACATGATTGTATATCTCGAAAACCCCATCGTCTCAGCCCAAAATCTCCTTAAGCTGATAAGCAACTTCAGCAGAGTCTCAGGATACAAAATCAATGTGCAAAAATCACAAGCATTCTTATACACCAATAACAGACAAACAGAGAGCCAAATCATGAATGAACTCCCATTCACAATTGCTTCAAAGAGAATAAAATACCTAGGAATCCAACTTACAAGGGATGTGAAGGACCTCTTCAAGGAGAACTACAAACCACTGCTCGATGAAATAAAAGAGGACACAAACAAATGGAAGAACATTCCGTGCTCATGGGTAGGAAGAATCAATATCGTGAAACTGGCCATACTGCCCAAGGTAATATATAGATTCAATGCCATCCCCATCAAGCTACCAATGACTTTCTTCACAGAATTGGAAAAAACTACTTGAAAGTTCATATGGAACCAAAAAAGAGCCCACATTGCCAAGTCAATCCTAAGCCAAAAGAACAAAGCTGGAGGCATCACACTACCTGACTTCAAACTATACTACAAGGCTACAGTAACCAAAACAGCATGGTACTGGTACCAAAACAGAGATATAGACCAATGGAACAGAACAGAGCCATCAGAAATAATGCCACATATCTACAACTATCTGATCTTTGACAAACCTGACAAAAACAAGCAATGGGGAAAGGATTCCCTATTTAATAAATGGTGCTGGGAAAACCGGCTAGCCATATGTAGAAAGCTGAAACTGGATCCCTTCCTTACATCTTACACAAAAATTAATTCAAGATGGATTAAAGACTTACATGTTAGACCTAAAACCATAAAAACCCTAGAAGAAAACCTAGGCAATACCTTTCAGGACATAGGCATGGGCAAGGACTTCATGTCTAAAATACCAAAAGCAATGGCAACAAAAGCCAAAATTGACAAATGGGATCTAATTAAACTAAAGAGCTTCTGCACAGCAAAAGAAACCACCATCAGAGTGAACAGGCAACCTACAGAGTGGGAGAAAATTTTTGCGACCTACTCATCTGACAAAGGGCTAATATCCAGAATCTACAATGAACTCAAACAAATTTACAAGAAAAAAACAAACAACCCCATCAAAAAGTGGGCGAAGGATATGAACAGACGCTTCTCAAAAGAAGACATTTATGCAGCCAAAAAACACATGAAAAAATGCTCATCATCACTGGCCATCAGAGAAATGTAAATCAAAACCACAATGAGATAACATCTCACACCAGTTAGAATGGCGATCGTTAAAAAGTCAGGAAACAACAGGTGCTGGAGAGGATGTGGAGAAATAGGAACAATTTTACAGTGTTGGTGGGACTGTAAACTAGTTCAACCATTGTGGAAGTCAGTGTGGTGATTCCTCAGGGATCTAGAACTAGAAATACCATTTGACCCAGCCATCCCATTACTGGGTATATACCCAAAGTGTTGTAAATCATGCTGCTATAAAGACACATGCACACGTATGTTTATTGCGGCACTATTCACCATAGCAAAGACTTGGAACCAACCCAAATGTCCATCAATGATAGACTGGATTAAGAAAATGTGGCACATATACACCATGCAATACTATGCAGCCATAAAAAAGGATGAGTTCAATGCCTTTGTAGGGACATGGATGAAGCTGGAAACCATCATTCTCAGCAAACTATTGCAAGGACAAAAAAACAAACACCACATGTTCTCACTCATAGGTGGGAACTGAGCAATGAGAACACATGGACACAGGAAGGGGAACATCACACACCGAGGACTGTTGTGGGGTGGGGGGAGGGGGGAGGGGGGAGGGATAGCATCAGGAGATATACCTAATGCTAAATGACGAGTTGATGGGTGCAGCACACCAACATGGCACATGTATACATATGTAACAAACCTGCACGTTGTGCACATGTACCCTAAAACTTAAAACACAATAATAAGAAGAAGAATAATGAAGTATCTGTTTTAGTCAAGTTTGTATTCCCATTGGCCAAAGCATGTCACATGGTCAAGCCCAGCATTACTGTGGGATGGTACTATCAAAGGCATGTGTACAGGCAGGTAGCATTATATAAACTTCCACGTGCCATTTGGAAAGTTGGCCCCTCACTGTTTACACAATGGAGAAACTCTCACATCTGCATGCAAGACCTGTGCCAAGTGTTCCTACCACTCATAAAATGGACATAGGAGGAAGCTGGGCTTGGTTGGCACCTGTATCTCACATTTGTCCTCAGCCCATTATGTTAAAAGGTTTTGGTTACAATATTTTGGTTAAAGTTGTTCAGTAAAAAGTTAAACTATAGTGGTAATAATATCTTTCAATTACATTTTTGAAAATAACATTTAATCTCATAATTTTGAATGGTGATAAAATCTCAGTTTCATTAATTTCTGGTTTTGAAGCAAAACTGCTTACTTAGATCTTTGTCTTGTTCTTTCCATTCAGAGTAGAAGCTTCATATTGAATATCATCTTGAGCTAGCTTTATTTGAATGTAATATTAATATTTCTAATGCTGTAAAAATGTGTGCAACTAATGTATGTTATCCATTTATTTTATCCAGAAAACTTTTTATAAAAAGATAGCATAAAAATAAAAATATGTTTTAAAATAGTCATAAAACATAGAAATTAAAAGCTACAACTACAACTGACAATGTGGACAGATGTTCATGTAATATACAAAAAAAAATTAGTGAAAAAGTAAATTCCAGAACATTATATACAATATTATGTACTTTTTATATAACTAAAAACAAAAATATGAACAATATTTTTAGCAATACTAATAAAATAAACTATTTTTAGAAAAGGAATTGAATAATATGCAAAAGATTAAGGGTAATAATTAACTGGAGTGGGAGTGGAAGGAGGAAAGAGTGGGGGAGAATCACATTGGGAGATACAATTTCTTGTTAATTTTCTAGGTCTCATGATAAGTGTAGGGATACATGATAAGTGTAGGGATAAGTGTAGGGATAACAAAGAAGCCATACATAGACCAAAAAGGCCATATGTAGACGTAGACCAATAGTGACAGTATGCTATGAACAAAGGATTATGAACTCAACTCCACACACCTTAGTTTATTTTTAAATGCAGCATTACTTAAAAGAATGTTTAAATGGTCAAGCCAAACGACTTGATTTTGAGAATACATAGTATGTTTTAAACATACCTCTTTAAAAAACAGCCTATTTTTTCTTTCATGCCTTTGAAGGAATGTCATCAGTATATATGAGATATTTATATTAAATGGCTTTAAAACTGATCTCTAACAAGTACCAAACTGTTGATACCAGCGATTGCAAATCTTAATTCAATAAACTACCAGTCAAATGTGAATTTCATAACCGTGGTTTATTTCCATATTAGCTATTCCGTGACAATATTAAACACAAATTTTGTTTTCAACGCCCTATCTCTTGGCTGTCATCAATAATGAAATTAGATAGATATAGCAAATTCATATTTCCTAAATTTCAGAAGAATGAGGGTAAAGACTCTTCATTGGAAATTTCTATTTGAAACAAAAAAGAAAAAGAACATAAAAAGCTTACAAATGATTACAAGCAATGTCAGCAAGACAAATGGGAATCTAGGAAGTGAAACTACACTGACTATTCATTGATTAAATTAAGTGAGTTTATCTGAGGCAGGGGAAAAGATGTCATGAAATACCTCACCATTGCAATCTTAATAAGTGAGAGATTAGATGAAGGATGTGAGAGAGCAGAGAAAAACAAACCTGAGCATTCACCCAGGGAGTGATGACAGATGCTTCCCTTCAAAGATGATTACAACTGGGAAGATTAGCCACAGTAAGGTCCTATGGAGAATTCCCTCGTTTAAGCAGATGCTTTACAAGAACTTATTTAGAGAAGCACAACTGTTCCTGTATAATACTAAAATTAAGCTGAATGAGTTCCTCAAGGAATTGACTATAAGGAAGACACCAGTGAAAAGGCAGCCTGGGAACTCAAACATTAAGGATTAGACAACAGAGATGTCTTTTTAAAGGACAGTTACCCAGTGGTTCATAGAGTTCATCAGATATATTAAGGGCAATTATGGGAGCAGTAGCACAAGATATCTAAGAGCTCAGCATCTGAAGATTGCTTTTATTTTTGAACATTCACTCTTTGTTAGGAAAGAATACAAATGTATTGTGTTCTGGTTTGCTCCAAAAGTTCTCTCTTCTGGAATTCCGTGCTACCCTTTGTCACTGCTCTCAAATATGTTCACATACTCTATTATACACACACACACACACACACACTCACAAACACTATCTTCACATAGGAAGTTGGTCTACTCTCAAAAAGATTGTAAAGGCTTAGAGTTTAATGTTACTCTAGATTTTTTTTTTTTAAAGTATCAGTTCTCTTCCTGAGTCTGTGCAAGCTTTCTAAGTGAATGTGAGATTAAATGTGAGATTTCTTGGGCTCATCTCCTTGACTTATGTACAAGATAGAAGTTATGGCACTTGACTAGAGAAAAATAAAATGCCGTAAATTATTTTATTTTACCAAGGGGTTGGTGACCTTGGAGGGCAGAGCACTAAGTTTGGTGATGCAACAACAGGCAATCATGGTCTTTCTAAAGTAGTGACAGATAGGCTTATTGGAGGGCAGTGACTCTGGAATCAGGTTTTTTTGTTTGTTTATTTTGTTTCTGTTTTGCTTTGTTTTGTTTTGCTGATGCCCATGGGGGTCCTGTCAGAGTCAGTGTAAAGCAATACACACTGACAAGGTACATATTTGCCCCAGAACTGACTGCTGTTGTCACTGACACTAAATCATAATATACCAGAATTGAGAATTTCCAAAGGAATCAGGCTTCTGTAGGAGTGTGGGGGAAACTAGAACATAGGACATTGCTAGGTCCGATGATTGCCCCATACAAACATCTAATTAATCACAAACATGCACAGAACAAAAGTGCCCCAGGTAATGAACTTGATTTTAAAAAGAGAGAAATTCTTAGATACGGACCTCTGGAAGAGTAGCTTTGTCAGGCACTAGGTGGGGGAGTGGTGGGGCTGTTTGTGGTGGTATCATCCCTCCTCAATGATCATAGATATAGAAAATCTTGCTTATCTATGGGGTTAGGAAAGAAGGTCAAGTGATTTCTGAGATGATGCTGAGAAGATTCACACTAGGAAGAGAAAGGTCAGGGCTTCTCTACTTCCTGCTTTCTCTGCTCAAAATATTCATGCCTAGGCTTACCTCTAACATTTGGTGGCCCTGGGTAGACTACAAATAGAGGCCTGGTCTGTGGCCTGCCCCCTTCTTTTCCCACTGTGGCTCTGTGTCATACCACAAAGGTCCTCGCGCACATGCACTTGGACATATGGGCTACAAGCACAAAGCTCCCTCCTAACCCCTCTCCACCAGGCACCAGCAATCCCTTTGGTTACCCATCTGGCCTAGTGGCACAGAAGCAGTCCTCCTTCAGAGAAAGAACCTGGGGAAGAGGCCTGCATAGGCCCTAGAATGGGCCCAGGGCTATTTGAGTATGAAGTGCAGTCTGGAAAAGGGAGGTGTGGACACTGGTGGCCACCTCCTTTACCCATGTAGGCGCCTTGCTCAGTGATTGGAGCATGATTCTATGCCATGGGGCAGGGGCCTATCAAGCGCAGAGTCCAGGGTGGGGTGCTTGTTGCCTGCTCTTCCCCCAGTTACTCTCATGTTTTTTTCTCTTCTTTTCTCTTACTTTCTTCAGAGTGCAGAAGATTGGGATAATTTGTAATGGCTTTTGAGTTTTCTGTTTTAGCTCTGGAGGCATTTACTCAATAGAGTCATCATCTACCATGTTTGAACAGTACAGAGTATGTTCACATTCTATAGTAAATACATCCTTCAAAAATTTTAAAAAGTTGTTTTCAAAACTTTTGAGCACCATGAGAAACAAAAAAGTATATATTGAGGGAAGTGAAGCACAAAAGATGGCTTGGTGAAAGGAAGACATCTGGGGCTTTGTGATGTGGGCTAATTCCAACAGAATGAGCACCTTGGGCCATAAAGGCATTTTTCCCATCATGGAAGTATTCCTTGCCCTCTACCCTGGGTGTCAAGGGGTAGTCATGGTGAGTGAGGAAAAAGGGTAAAATATTCTCTCTGTCCTGGTGATCCAAGATTAAATTGAAACAATTCACAGATGCTAATTCTTAAATTTCCGGAAGTTTACAAGTCAAAATTGTGTTAAACATAGTAATTGTTAAAAATTAAAAGATATAAATTTATAATTAACACATTTCAAACAAAGGTAATGAGTACTAAAAACTCACATTGTAATTAACTTACTCTTTTTTTTATTATTATGCTTTAAGTTCTAGGGTACATGTGCACAACATGCAGGTTTGTTACACATGTATACATGTGCCATGTTGGTGTGCTGCACTCATTAACTCGTCATTTACATTAGGTATATCTCCTATGCTATCCCTCCCCCCTCCCCCCATCCCACAACAGGCCCCAGTGTGTGATGTTCCCCTTCCTGTGTCCGAGTGTTCTCGTTGTTCAATTCCCACCTATGAGTGAGAACATGTGGTGTTTGATTTTTTGTCCCTGCAATAGTTCACTGAGAATGATGGTTTCCAGCTTCATCCATGTCCTTACAAAGAACATGAACTCATCCTTTTTTATGGCTGCATAGTATTCCATGGTGTATATGTGCCACATTTTCTTAATCCAGTCTATCACTGATGCACATTTGGGTTGGTTCCAAGTCTTTGCTATTGTGAATAGTGCCGCAGTAAACATACGTGTACATGTGTCTTTATAGTAGCATGATTTATAATCCTTTGGGTATATACCCAGTAATGGGATGGCTGGGTCAAATGGTATTTCTAGTTCTAGATGCTTGAGGAATTGCCACACTATCTTCCACAATGGCTGAACTAGTTTACAGTCCCACCAACACTGTAAAAGTATTCCTATTTCTCCACACCCTCTCCAGCACCTTTCATTTCCTGACTTTTTAATGATTGCCATTCTAACTGGCGTGAAATGTTATCTCATTGTGGTTTTGATTTGCATTTATCTGATGGCCAGTGATGATGAGCATTTTTTTCATGTGTCTGTTGGCTGCATAAATGTCTTCTTTTGAGAAGTGTCTGTTCATATCCTTCACCCACTTTTTGATGGGGTTGTTTGTTTGTTTTTTGTAAATTTGTTTGAGTTCATTGTAGATTCTGGATATTAGCCCTTTGTTAGATGGGTTTCAATCCTAATCTCTGATAAAACAGACTTTAAACCAGCAAAGATCAAAAGAGACAAAAAAGGCCATTACATAATGGTAAAGGGATCAATTCAACAAGAAGAGCTAACTATCCTAAATCTATATGCACCCAATACATGAGCACCCAGATTCATAAAGCAAGTCCTTAGAGACCTACAAGGAGACTTAGACTCCCACACGATAATAATGGGAGACTTTAACACCCTACTGTCAATATTAGACAGATCAATGAGACAGAAAGTTAACAAGGATATCCAGGAATTGAATTCAGCTCTGCACCAAGTGGACCTAATAGACATCTACAGAACTCTCCACCCCAAATCAACAGAATATACATTCTTCTCAGCACCACATCACACTTATTCCAAAATTGATCACATAGTTGGAAGTAAAGCATTCCTCAGCAAATGTAAAAGAACAAAGAGAAGCCCATCAGACTAACAGCAGATCTCTCAGCAGAAACTCTACAAGCCAGAAGAGAGTGGGTGCCAATATGCAACATTCTTAAAAGAATTTTCAACCCAGAATTTCATATCCAGCCAAACTAAGCTTCAACCCAGAATTTCATATACAGCCACTGCAAAAACATGCCAAATTGTAAAGACCATCGATGCTAAGAAGAAACTGCATCAGCTAATGAGCAAAATAACGAGCTAACATCATAATGACAGGATCAAATTCACACATAACAGTATTAACCTTTGTAAATGGGCTAAATGCTACCCCTGCCTTTTTTTTGTTTTCCGTTTGCTTGGTAGAGTTTCCTCCATCCCTTTATTTTGAGCCTGTATGTATCTCTGCATGTGAGATGGGTCTGCTGAATACAGCACACTGATGGGTCTTGACTCTTTATGCAATTTGCCAGTCTGTGTCTTTTAATTGGAGCATTTAGCCCATTTACATTTAAGGTTAATACGTTGGGTTTGAGGTCATCTGTCAAATAAAATAGGCAATTAGATCTGGATCTCAGAGGACAAGTAGAGACAGAAAATATAAATGTCAGAAGCATGGGCATAAAGGTTTTTTTATAGGTCATGAAAATGTAGGCAATAAACCATGGTGAGTGTGTGCAGTGAGCTGATGAGAGAAGGATCTGATTCATGGGAAAACTAAAGAATCATTGCTGAATGGGAAAGATGGTACATCTCTGCCACGGCCCAGAAGCTTGTTTTTGAATGGTGTCTGGTTCTCTGCTCTAGATGACATGCTGTTGCTCCAGAACCATAAGTGTCCATGTTGTGATTCTCCTATTGGGGCTCAACATGATTTCCACACAGCATCTCTTTTCGTAATGGGTACCTTTGGTACCATAGGGTCTACTGGCCATTTGGCCCATGTAACAGGGATGCTCACATTCCAGCCCATACTTAAAAAGCTCTTTCCTTACCTGGCCTCAATGAAAGCTAGTAGCCTTCTGAGTCACTCAGTAAATGGGCTGGAGCAGTATTCTCAAGTGTAGAATAAGCTGCCTCCATAAATTAAACAAGCTTACCAACATTGTGCTACTTTCTTTTTGTAGGAGTTGTGAGATACAATAATTTGTTCTCTACCTTGGGGGGAATGTTCCAGAGTACTGAACCCCAAAAGTTTACTGATATGGTGGGTTTATTTCCTGCTATACATGGAGTGAATGTGTCTTGTATATCTGGTCTGATTACCATGACATCACTGATAAAATGGATCAATGTAATGTTCTAAAGAGTGTCCAGACAAGTAGATCCCTTTGGACTGTTTTTTTTTTATTATTATTATACTTTAAGTTCTAGGGTACATGTGCACAACGTGCAGGTTTGTTACATAAGTATACATGTGCCATGTTGGTTTGCTGCACCCATCAACTCGTCATTTACATTAGGTATTTCTCCTAATGCTATCCTTCCCCCATCCTTCCACCCCCCGACAGGTGATGTTCCCTGCCCTGTGTCCATGTGTTCTCATTGTTCAACTCCCACCTATGAGTGAGAACATGTGGTGTTTGGTTTTCTGTCCTTGTGATAGTTTGCTGAGAATGATGGTTTCCAGCTTCATCCATGTCCCTGCAAAGGACATGAACCCATCCTTTTTTATGGCTGCATAATATTCCATGGTGTATATGTGCCACATTTTCTTAATCCAGTCTATCATTGCTGGACATTTGGGTTGGTTCCAAGTCTTTGCTATTGTGAATAGTGCTGCAATAACATGCCTGTGCATGTGTCATTATAGTAGCATGACTTATAAACCTTGGGTATATACCTAGTAATGGGATTGCTGATTCAAATGGTATTTCTAGTTCTAGATCCTTGAGGAATCACCACACTATCTTCCACAATGGTTGAACTAGTTTACACTCCCATCAACAGTGTAAAAGCCTTCCTATTTCTCCACATCCTCTCCAGCATCTGTTGTTTCCTGACTTTTTTTTTTGAGATGGAGTCTCGCTCTGTCACCCAGGCTGGGGTCCAGTGGTGCGATCTTGGCTCACTGCAAGCTCTGCCTCCTGGGTTCACACCATTCTCCTGCCTCAGCCTCCTGAGTAGCTGGGACTACAGGCAACTGCAACCACGCCCAGCTAATTTTTTTGTATTTTTAGTAGAGACAGGGTTTCACTGTATTAGCCAGGATGGTCTCAACCTCCTGACCTCGTGATCTGCCTGCCTCAGCCTCCCAAATTGCTGGGATTACAGGTGTGAGCCACCGTGCCTGGCGGTTTCCTGACTTTTTAATGATCACCATTCTAACTGGCGTGAGATGGTATCTCATTGTGGTTTTGATTTGCATTTCTCTGCTGACCAGTGATAATGAGCATTTTTTCATGTGTGTGTTGGCTGCATAAATGTCTTCTTTTGAGAAGTGTCTGTTCATATCCATTGACCACTTTTTGATGGGGTTTTTTTTTTCTCGTAAATTTGTTTGAGTTCTTTGTAGATTCTGGATACTACCCTTTGTCAGATGGGTAGATCGCAACAATTTTCTCCCATTCTGTAGGTTGCCTGTTCACTCTGATGGTAGTTTCTTTTGCCGTGCAGAAGCTCTTTAGTTTAATTAGATGCCATTTGTCTATTTTTGCTTTTGTTGCAATTTTTGGTGTTTTAGTCATGAAGTCCTTGCATAGGCATGGGGCCTGTGTCCTGAATGGTATTGCCTAGGTTTTCTTCTAGGGTTTTTATGGTTTTAGGTCCAACATTTAAGTCTTTAATCCATCTTGAATTAATTTTTGTATAAGGTGTAAGGAAGGGATCCAGTTTCAGCTTTCTACACATGGCTAGCCAGTTTTCGCAGTGCCATTTATTAAATAGGAAATCCTTTCCTCATTGCTTGTTTTTGTCAGGTTTGTCAAATATCAGATGGTTGTGGATGTGTGGTGTTATTTCTGAGGCCTCTGTTCTGTTCCGTTGATCTATATATCTGTTTTGGTACCAGTACCATGCTGTTTTGGTTACTGTCATCTTGTAGTATAGTTTGAAGTCAGGTAGTGTGATGCCTCCAGCTTTGTTCTTTTTGTTCAGGATTGTCTTGGCCATGATGGCTCTTTCTTGGTTCCGTATGAACTTTAAAGTAGTTTTTTCCAATTCTTTGAAGAAAGTCATTGGTAGTTTGATGGGGATAGCATTGAATCTATAAATTACCTTGGGCAGTATGGCCGTGTTCGCGATATTGATTCTTCCTATCCATGAGCATGGAGGGTTCTTGCATTGGTTTGTGTCCTCTTTTATTTCATTGAGCAGTGGTTTGTAGTTCTCCTTGAAGAGGTCCTTCACATCCCTTGTAAGTTGGATTCCTAGGTATTTTATTCTCTTTTTACTAAGTGTGAATGTGAGTTCACTCATGGTTTAGCTCTCTGTTTGTCTATTATTGGTGTATAGGAATGCTCGTGATTTTTGCACCTTGATTTTGTATCCTAAGACTTTGCTGAAGTTGCTTATCAGTTTAAGGAGATTTTGAGCTGGGACAATGGAGTTTTCTAAGTATACAATCATGTCATCTGCAAACGGGGACAATTTGACTTGCTCTTTTCCTAACTGAATACATTTTATTTCTTTCTCTTGCCTGATTGTCCTGCCAGAATTTCCTACACTATGTTGAATAGGAGTGGTGAGAGAGAGCATCCTTGTCTTGTGTCAGCTTTCAAGGGGAATGCTTCCAGTTTTTGCCCATTCAGTATAATATTGGCTGTGGATTTGTCATAAATAGCTCGTATTATTTTGAGATACATTCCATCAATACGTAGTTTATTGAGAGTTTTTAGCATGAAGGCTGTTGAATTTTGTTGAAGGCCTTTTCTGCATCTATTGAGATAATCATGTGGTTTTTGTCATTGGTTCTGTTTATGTGATTGATTACATTTATTGATTTGTGTATGTTGAGCCAGCCTTGCATCCCAGTGATGAAGCCAACTTGATCATGGTGGATAAGCTTTTTGATGTGCTGCTGGATTCAGTTTGCCAGTATTTTATTGAGGATTTTCACATCAATGTTCATTAGGGATGTTGGCCTAAAATTCTCTTTTTTAGTTGTATCTCTGCTGGGCTTTGGTATCAGGATGATGCTGGCCTCATAAAATGAGTTAGGGAGGATTACCTCTTTTTCTATTGATTGGAATAGTTTCAGAAGGAATGGGACTAGCTCCTCTTTGTACCTCTGGTAGAATACGGCTGTAAATCCATCTGGTTCTGGACTTTTTTTGGTTGGTAGGCTATTAATTATTTCCTCAATTTTAGGACCTGTTATTGGTCTATTCAGAGATTCAACTTCTTCCTGGTTTAGTCTTTGGAGAGTGTATGTGTCCAGGAATTTATCCATTTCTTCTAGATTTTCTAGTTTATTTGTTTGGGGGTGTTTATAGTATTATCTGATGGTAGTTTGTGTTTCTGTGGAATTGGTGGTTGTATCCCCTTTATTATTTTTTATTGTGTCTATTTGGTTCTGCTCTCTTTTCTTCTTTATTAGTCTTCCTAGTGATCTATTTTGTTGATCTTTTCAAAAAACCAGCTCCTAGATTCATTGATGTTTTAAGGTTTTTTTGTGTCTCTATCTCCTTCAGTTCTGCTCTGATCTTAGTTATTTCTTGCCTTCTGCTAGCTTTTGAATTTGTTTGCTTTTGCTTCTGCTTCTCTAGTTCTTATAATTTTGATGTTAGGGTGTCAATTTTAGATCTTTCCTTCTTTCTCTTGTGGGCATTTAGTTCTATAAATTTCCCTCTACACACTGCTTTAAATGTGTCCCAGAGATTCTGGTACATTGTGTCTTTGTTCTCATTGGTTTCAAAGAATATCTTTATTTTTGACTTCATTTCATTATTTACCCAGTAGCCATTCAGGAGCAGGTTGTTCAGTTTCCATGTGGTTGTGTGGTTTTGAGTGAGTTTATTAATCCCGAGTTCTAATTTGATTGCACCGTTGTATGAGAGACAGTTTGCTATGATTTCCATTCTTTTACATTTGAGGAATGTTTTACTTCCAATTATCTGGCCAGTTTTAGAATAAGTGTGATGTGGTGCTGAGAAGAATGTATATTCTGTTGTTTTGGGGTGTAGAGTTCTGTAGATGTCTATTAGGTCCATTTGGTCCAGAGGTGAGTTCAAGTCCTGGATATCCTTCTTAACCTTCTGTCTCTTTGATCTGTCTAATATTGACAGTGTGGTGTTAAAGTCTCCCATTATTATTGTGTGGGAGTCTGAGTCTCTTTGTAGGTCTCTAAGGACTTGCTTTATGAATCTGGGTGCTCATGTATTGGGTGCATATATATTTAAGATAGTTAGCTCTTCTTGTTGAATTGATCCCTTTACAATTCTGTAATGGCCTTCTTTGTCTCTTTTGATCTTTGTTGGTTTAAAGTCTATTTTATCAGAGACTAGGATTGCAACCCCTGGTTTTTTTGTTTGTTTGTTTGTTTGTTTTTTGCTTTCCATTTGCCTGGCAGATCTTCCTGCATCCCTTTATTTTGAGCCTATGTGCATCTTTGCACATGAGATTGATCTCCTGAATACAGCATATCAATGGGTCTTGAGCCTTTATCCAATTTGACAGTCTGTGTCTTAAAAGACACAATTAAAATTGGAGCATTTAGCCCATTTACATTTAAGGTTAATATTGTTATGTGTGAATTTGATCCTGTCATTATGATGTTAGCTGGTTAGTTTGCCCATTAATTGATGCAGTTTCTTCACAGTGTCAATGGTCTTTATAATTTGGCATGTTTTTGCAGTGGTCGGTACCAGTGGTTCCTTTCCATGTTTAGTGCTTCCTTCAGGAGCTCTTGTAGGGCAGGCCTGGTGGTGACAAAATCTCTCAGCATTTGCTTGTCTGTAAAGGATTTATTTCTCCTTCACTTGTGAAGCTTAGATTGGCTGGATGTGAAATTCTGGGTTGAAAATTCTTTTCTTTAGAATGTTGAATATTGGCCCCCACTCTCTTCTGGCTCATAGGGTTTCTTCAGAGAGATCCACTGTTAGTCTAATGGGCTTCCCTCTGCGGGTAACCCGACCTTTGTCTCTGGCTGCCCTTAACATTTTTTCCTTCATTTCAACCTTGGTGAATCTGACAATTTTGTGTCTTGGGGTTGCTCTTCTTGAGGAGTATCTTCATGGTGTTCTCTGTATTTTCTGAATTTGAATGTTGGCCTGCCTTGCTAGGTTGGTGAAGTTCTCCTGGATAGTATCCTGCAGAGTGTTTTCCAACTTGGTTCCATTCTCCCTGTCACTTTCAGGTACACCAATCAAATGTATATTTGGTCTTTTCACATAGTCCCATGTTTCTTGGAGGCTTTGTTCATTTCTTTTCACTCTTTTTTCTGTAATCTTGTCTTCTCACTTTATTTCATTAATTTGATCTTCAATCACTGATATCCTTCCACTTGATTGAATTGACTATTGAAGCTTGTGCATGCATCCCAAAGTTATCGCACTGTGGTTTTCAGCTCCATCCAGTCATTTAAGGTCTTCTCTACACTGTTTATTCTAGTTAGCCATTCTTCTCACCTTTTTTCAAGGTTTTTAGCTTCCTTGCAATGGATTAGAACATGCTCCTTTAGCTCAGAGAAGTTTGTTATTACTGATCTTCTGAAGCCTACTTCTGTCAACTCTTCAAACTCACTCTCTATCCAGTTTTGTTCCCTTGCTGGCAAGGAGCTGTGATCCTTTGGAGGAGAAGAGGTGCTCTGGTTTTTGGAATTTTCAGCTTTTCTGCTCTGGTTTCTCCCCATCTTTGTGGTTTTATCTACCTTTGGTCTTTGATGTTGGTGACCTACAGATGGAGTTTTTTTGTGGATATCCTTTTTGTTAATGTTGATGCTATTCCTTTCTGTTTGTTACTTTTCCTTCTAACAGTCATGCCCTTCAGCTGCAGGTCTGTTGGAGTTTGCTGGAGGTCCATTCCAGACCCTGTTTGCCTGGGTATCACTAGCAGAGGCTGCAGAACAGCAAATATTGTTGCCTTATCCTTCCTCTGGAAGCTTTGTCCCAAAGGAGTACCCACCTGTTTGAGGTTCCTGTGGCCCCTACTGGGAAGTGTCTCCCAGTAAGGCTACACCTGGGTCATGGACCCACTTGAGGAGGCAGTCTGTTTGCAGCTGTCTGCAGCCTTTTGTTCTGCTATGCCCTGCCCCCACAGGTGGAATCTAGAGAGGCAGTAGGCCTTGCTGAGCTGCAGTGGGCTCCGCCCAGTCTGACTTTCCCAGCAGCTTTGCTTACCTGTGAGCTACTCAAGCATCAGCAATGGCAGATGCCCCTCTCCCCATCAAGCTGCAGCATTGCAGGTTGATCTCAGACTGCTGTTCTAGCAGTGGACAAGGCTCTGTGAGTGTGGGACCTGCCGAGCCAGGCCACAAGAGGGTATCTCTTGGTCTCCTGGTTGCTAAGACCATGGGAAAAGCACAGTCTTTGGTGAGGAGTGTACTGTTTCTCCAGGTACAGTCTATCATGGCTTCCCTTGGCTGGGAAAGGGAAATCCCCCAAACCCTTGTGCTTCCCAGGTGAGATGACACCCCACCCTGCTTCAGCTTGCTCTCCGTGGGCTGCACACACTGTCTATCCAGTTCCAGTGAGATGAACCAGGTTTCTTAGTTGGAAATGCAGAAATCACCAGTCTTCTGTATCAATCTTACTGGGAGCTGAGACAGGAGCTGTTCCTATTCAGCCATCTTGGAAGTGACCTCTGGACTATATTAAAAGTAAGAGTAACAGAGTTAACATAGCCTTAGGGCAAAACCATAGGTGTATGCTCTTATTCATTTCACAGAAACACAAACTACTTCTGATCCTCTTTTCTAATAGGGATAGAATACAATGTATTTGCTAGATCGATGGCTGGATAGGACATGCTGATGCTGTGTTAATTTGCCCTTATCAAGGTACCATGTTTAGTACAACAACATTGAAGTAACTGTGTTAGATTTTATTCTTCCATTTTCATCTGCCAAGATCCTTCTGGAATTTTAAAGGTCAGGCTCACAAATTAAATGGGATATGACAGGGAACCACCATCATTTCTTTAAATCTTCAAAGGTGGAGTTATCATCTACTATTTCCCTTGGGACATGGTAATTTTAATAATTTATTAGTTTTATTGGAGGGAGCCAATTTCCAGCATTTCCACTTAGCTTTCACCACTAGGATAGTTCTTACCTCACAGATCAGGGAATTATTTAGGGGTTTTATGAACTTCTTGAAAGCTTCATGGACAACATATCCAATCATTCTTGAAATATCTTGATATTATTTTTCCCCAATTCTTGGTTACCTAAAAATAAAATGTCAGAGACCTTGATGTTTTAGAGTCTTTCCTTAAAAAGACAGTTTTGAGTGTAGACAGCCTGGAACTTAGCTCACTAATGCTAGTGGAAAACTCTCAGTATGAAATCTGCCTTGCCAAGTGTGTGGGAGCTTCTCTCTGGAACACTACCCCAGGGGCCAGGGAACCACCCCCACCCCTACTTCCACAGGGGCTGCTGCTTGCCCTTCACACAGAAACTCAGAGTATGGACCTGCCAGGCCCAGCCCCAAACTGGCATTGCCCCTCTACCCACCCTGGTAGCTTAATACAAAGAACAGAAACTTTTGGGAGTCTAATGGCCTCATCTATCACCTAGACACCAGAGTACCTCCCCTGTGTAACATAAGGCAAGCACAAATTCCACCACTACTACCACAGCTGGAGGCTTTTGCAAGTGCCACCTCCTGGCTGGAGACCAACTAACATAGTCTGTTACAGCATCTCCAGCACTGCACCCAGGAAGGAGAAAATTTGTGCATGACCTTAGCTATCACCAATGCCTGTACCACCTGGCTAACCAAGAGGCCCTTAGTCTGTCCACATGACCAGATCATTGCTACTACAAATGGCATTTGAGAAAGCCAACACACTAAGACTGTCTATACCAAGGAATCTCACAGAGTCAGTGTCACTTCCCTGCCACCCACATCAAAGGTGGTGCTGGTACCCACAGGTGAGAGACTTGAGGACAGGTCATATCTCTGGATCCCCTGAAGACATTCCCCAGCACCATCCTGAAGTGCAGCAGTCCCTTTGGGTAGTTAGACCCAGAGGAGCAACAGCATTCACAGTAGTCTGGCTCTCAGGGACTCCTACTCCTAGGGGAAGAGGAAGTGCGTCATATCAAGGCAATACCCAATGGGACAAAAGAACCCAGATGGCAGGCCTTGGGTCCCAGATCTTTCCACTGGTGGAAAATTTCTTTCAGCGGAGGCACAGTTGCAATGCTGGGTTCAGCAAGTTAGTCTGATGGGCTTCCCTTTGTGGGTAACCCCACCTTTCTCTCTGGCTGCCCTTAACATTTTTTCCTTCATTTCAACCTTGGTGAATCTGACAATTATGTGTCTTGGGGTTGCTCTTCTCAAGGAGTATCTTTATGGTGTTCTCTGTATTTCCCGAATTTGAACGCAGGGAAAATCTGCATTCTGCCCCAAGAATCAGGCAGCCCTCGTGCTCCTGAAGGGCCTTAGAGAAGGAGACTTCTTTTCACCCTCATCCACCACTGCAGACACAGCTGGAGTTTTTCCCACAGAGGCTCGGCATAGACAGCCTTTCTGGAACAATTCAGGGTGATTACATTGCCACAGGAGGTGCACCCTCCAGGTGCAGTCTTTCATGAGAGGTAGAGTCACAATTCCTCTTTCCTTGGAATATCAACAATCCTGCAAATGAAGAAAGGTACCTGTCTGATCTGAATAGCTGAAATACTGGGTAAGCAGTGTGTCTGGGAGGTGGATAGCTTTCCTGCTGGACTGGCAGTGGAGCTGAGGTGGCTATTGCCATTCCCTCTGATAATACCTCAGAGTGTTTCATAGAGAGCTCCTTCAGCCACCTCTGTCAAGGCTGGGACCTCTGTCCACCATTGGATAATGCATTTTCCCCCTATTTTAGCCACAGAGAGTTTTTACTTGTAGATATCTCCCCTATTGGCTTAAGCCTGAACTATTCAACCCAGTAAATAGAATACTGGGGAAAAAGTAGCAAATAAAAAAGTGCACACCATGGGGGCATGAGATAAGCATCAAGAAACCTCTGCCATTCCAACTCTATAGGAAACAGTGAACTTGCACACACACTGAGCACCTTGCTAATACAACCAGCATCTGAGAAAGCTATCATACACAGACTCTCTGTAACCAAGGAATTCATACAATCTTCACTCCCAAAAGCAACAAGAGCCAAATTAGGCTACAATAAACTATAAAAGTTAAAGTCACGTCCTTAAGGGGGAGAAAATTTTTAAAAATAGTCAAATCAAAAATAAATTCAAGAATAACTAGAAGAAATTTTCTACCCAAATGAGAAGGAACCAGAAATATAATTCTGGTAATATGAAAACACAGGGTTTTATAACACCTCCAAAGGATCACACTAGCTCCCCAGCAATGGATCCAAACCAAGATGAAATATTTGAAATACCAGATAAAGTATTCAAAATGTTGATTATTAAGCTACTCAAGGAGATTCCAGAGAAAGGAAAAAAACAAACATAAATAAATATAAAAAAACAGTCCAGGATATGAATGAGATATTTTCTAAACAGATATTTTAAGGAAACACCAATTAGAACTTCTGGAAATGAAAGACACACTTGGGAAATTACAAAATGCAGTGGAAAGTTTCAACAATAGAATAGTCAAAGAATTTCAGAGGTCAGAAACAGGCTATTGAATTAACTCAATCAGACAAAAATAAAGAGAAAGAGAATAAAATAAATGAACAAAATCTCCAAGAAACATGGGATTTTGTAAATGGCTAGACCTAAGAATAATTGGTGTTCTTGAAGGAGAAGACAAAGCAAAAAGCTTGGGAAACTTATTTGAGGGAATAATTGAGGACAACATCCCTGACCTTGTTAGAGATTTAGATATCCAAATACAAGAGTTCAAATAACTCCTGGGAGATTCATTGTAAAGGTCATCAGCAAAATATATAATCATCAGACTATCTAAAGTCAGCATGAAGGAAAGAATTCTAAGGACAGTGAGATGAAAGCAAAGCATCAGGTAACTTATATAGGAAAACCCATTGGACTAACAGCAGACTTCTCAAAAGAAACCTTATAAGCCAGAAGGGATTGGGGTTCTATCTTTAGCCTCCTTAAATAGAATAACTTTCAGCCAAGAATTTTGTATCCAGAAAAAGTAATTTTCATAAATGAAGGAGAAATAATGTCATTTTCAGACAAAGGAATGCTGAGGGAATTTGTTAATACCAGGCCAGCCTTAAAAGAAATGCTGAAAGGAGTTCTAAATCTTGAGACCAAAGCTTGACATACACTGGAATAGAATCTCTTAAAAGGTTAAAACTCACAGGACCTATAAAACAATAACACAATGAAGAAACAAAGTATCTAGGGAACAATGAACATGATGGAATGTTAATGGAACAGTACCTCACATCTCAATATTACCATTGAATGAAAATGGTGTAAATGCTCTACTTAAAAGATACATATTGGCAGAATGGATAAAAAAATCACAAACCAAATATCTGCTGACTTTAAGAGACTCACCTAACTCACAAGAATTCATATCAGCTCAAAGTAAAGGAGTAGAAAAAGATATTCCATGCAAATGGAAAGGAAAAATGAGTAGGAGTAGATGTTTTCATATCAGATAAAACAGACTTTAAAACAATAACAGTTAAAAAAAAGACAAAGCCATTATATAATGATAAAAGAATCAATACAACAAGAAGATATTACAAACTTAAATGTATATACATCTAACACTGGAGCTACCAGATTCAGAAAGCAATTACTACTAGACCTAAGAAATGAGATAGACAGCAACACAATAATAATAGGGAACTTCAATATTCCACTGACAGCAGTAGACTATTGAGACAGAATGTCAATGAAGAAACACTGGACTTAAACTAGACCCTAGAACAAATGAACCTAACAGATATTTACAGAAAATTTTACCCAAGAACTGCAGATTATACAAGCTTTTCATCAGCACATGGAACATCCTCCAAGATAGACCATGTAATAGGTCACAAAACAAGTCTCAATACATTTTTAAAAATTGAAATCATATCAAGTATCTTCTCAGACCACAGTAGAATAAAACTAGAAATCAACTACAAAAACAATCCCCTAAACTATACAAATACATGGAAATTAAACAGCCTGCTCTTGAATGATATTTGAGTTTACAATGAAATCAAGATGAAAATTTAAAAATTCTTTGAAATTATTGATAATACAGACAAAAGCTAGCAAAACCTCTGGGATAAAGCAAAAGCAATGCTAAGTGGAAAGTTTATAGTACTAAATGCCTACTTCAAAAAGTCTGAAAGATTACAAATTGGCAACCTAAAGCCATACCTCAAGGAACCAGGGAAATAAGAACCAACTAATCCCAAGCTAGCAGAAGAAAAGAAATAACAAAGATCAGAGCAGAACTAAATGAAATTGAAATTAAAAAAATACAAAAGATCAATGAAACAAAAAGCTGGTTCTTTGAAAAAATAAGCAAAATTGACAGACCATTAGTTAGATTAACCAAGAAGACAGACAACTCAAATAAGCTCAACTACAAATGAAACTAGAGACACTACAACCAACATCACAGAAATACAAAAGATCATTTAAGACTACTATGAACACTTCTATGCATACAAACTAGAAAACCTAGAGAAAATGAACAAATTCCTGGAAACATACAATCTCCCTAGATTAAATCAGTAAGAAATAGAAAACCTGCACAGACCAATAACAAGCAGTGAGATTGAATTAGTAATTTTTAAAATGCTAACAAAAGCCCAGGGCCAGACAGATTCACAGCTGAATTCTACCAGACATTTAAAGAATTGGTGTCAATCCTACTGAAACTATTCCAAAAGATTGAGACATAGGGACTCCTCCCTAATTCACTCTATTAAGCCATATCACCCTGATACCAAAACCAGGAAAGGACATAACTAAAAAAGAAAACAAAGACCAATATCCGTCATGAACAGAGATGTAAAAACCCTCAACAAAATACTAGCTAACCAAACCCAACAGCACATCTGTTCCCCATCATCCTGAAGCAGCTGGACTGGTGGAATAGTTCTGTCCCTCCAGAAAACCCTGACTAATACAACATCAAAAAGATAATACACCATGATCATCCCAGGGATGATTTAACATACACAGGTCAATAAATGTGATATATCACGTAAACAGAATTAAAAACAAAAATCATATGATCATCTCAATAGATGTAGAAAAAGCATTCAATAAAATCCAGCATCCCTTTATGATAAAAACCTCCAACAAACTAGTCATAGAAGGGAATTACCTCAAATTAATACAAGCCATATATGACAGACTCACAGCCAACCTCATACTGAATTGGGAAAAGTTGAAAGCATTCCCTTTGAAAATCGGAACAAGACAAATAAAATACCTATGTATATACTTAACCAAGGAAGTGAAAGATCTCTAAAAGGAGAACTACAAAACTGCTGAGAGAAATCACAGGTGACACAAACAAATGGAAACACATCCCATGCTCATGGATTGGAGAATCAATATTGTGAAAATGAATATACTGCCCAAAGCAATCTATAGATTTAATGTAACTCCTATCAAAATACCAACAACATTTTTCATAGAATTAGCAAAAAACAGTCCTAAAATTCATATGAAATCAAAAAATAGCCCAAATAGCCAAAGAAATCCTAAACAAAAAGAACAAATCTAGAGGCATCACATTACCAAACTTCAAGTTGGACTACAGGGCTACAGTTAACCAAAACAGCATGGTACTGGTATAAAAGTAGGTGCATAGACCAATGGAATAGAATAGAGAACCCAAAAATAAAGCCAAATACTTACAATCAATTGATCTTTGATAAAGCATACAAAAACATAAATTGAGGTAATGATGCCCTGAAGTTCTGGGAAAACTGTAGAAAAAATGAAACTGGGTCCTATCTCACACCATATACAAAAATCAACTCGAGATGAATCAAAGACTTAAATCTAACACCTGAAACCATAAAAATTCTAGAGGATAACCTTGGAAAAAGTCTTCTGGACATTGTCCTAGATAAAGAATTCATGACTAAAACCTCAAAAACAAAAGCAGTGAAAACAAAAATAAATGGGACCTGATTAAATTTAAAAGCTTCTGCAAAGCAAAAGAAATAATCATCAGAGTATATGGACAACACACAGAACGGAAAAAATATTTGCAATATATGCGTCTGACAAAGGACCAGTATCCAGAATCTACAAGGAACTCAAATAAATCAGCAAGAAAAAAATTAAATAATCCCATCAAAAAGTGGGCTAATGATATACATAGACATTTTTCAAAAGAAAGTATACAAATGGCCAGCAAACATATTTAAAAATGCTCAACATCAATAATCATCAGGGAAATGCAAATTAAAACCACAATGAAATACGACCTTACTCCTGAAAGAATGGCCATTATTAAAAAGTCAAGAAACAACAGATGTTGGCACGGATGTGAGGAAAAGGGAATGCTTATACATTGTTGGTGAGAATGCAAATTAGTACAGCATCTGTGGAAAACAGTATGGACATTTTTTAAGGAGCTAAAAGTAGATCTACCATTCAATTCAGCAACCCAACTACTGTGTATCTACCCAAAGGAGAATAAGTCATAGATGAAAAAGACACAAGCACATGTATGTTTATTGTGGTCCAATTCACAATTGCAAAGATATGGAACCAACTTAAATGTCCATGTCCTTTGCAGCAACTTGGTTGGAGCTGAAGACCATTATTCTAAGTGAAGTAATTCAGAAATGGAAAATCAAATACCATATGTTCTCACTTACATGTGGGAGCTAAGCTATGAGTATGCAGAGGCATACAGAGTGTTACAATGATATTTGGAGACTCAGAAGTGGGAGGGAAGGAGGGGAGTGTGCGATACAAAAATACATATTGGTACAACATATACCGCTTGGGTGACAGGTGCACTAAAATCTCAGAATTCACCAATATTTAACTCATCCGTATAACCAAAAACCACTTGTACCCCAAAACTTATTAAAATGAAAAATATATTTAAGAATTCTATATTATGACAGAGTTCTTTTCTTTATTTTTTGAGACGGAGTCTCACTCTGTCGCCCAGGCTGGAGTGCAGTGGCGCTATCTCGGCTCACTGCAAGCTCCGCCTTCTGGGTTTATGCCATTCTCCTGCCTCAGCCTCCCGAGTAGCTGGGACTACAGGCGCCCGCCACCGCGCCCAGCTAATTTTTTGTATTTTTAGTAGAGACGGGGTTTCACTGTGTTAGCCAGGATGGTCTCAACTTCCTGACCTAGTGATCCACCCGCCTCAGCCTCCCAAAGTGCTGGGATTACAGGCGTGAGCCACCACGCCCGGCTGACAAAGTTATTTCATATCAATTGACGTTCTTTTATCCAAATTAAGGTTTCACTCCCTTAATCTAGAACCCTCAAGATTCAGGTAATTGCGTATTTTCTTTCTAATATATGACAAGATATGTCAGCCAGATAAAACATCAACTTCTATGTAAACTCTATTTCCTTATCTTAAATTGGACTAGGGATTTCATTCTTGTTACTGGTTCAGTTGCCAGGAGAGGATGTATGCATAGATCTTGAGGGGACACACAGTT